>NC_000017.11:31935980-33185980 GCF_000001405.40 Homo sapiens
TCATTACAAAGATAACTAGTTTTGTAAACAACTTGAATAACCATTCCAGAGACACTTGTTTTGTAAACAGTGTTTTGCAGTTAACTATAGAGAACCCAAGTAGACATTTAAAAAATGCTGTTTAGAGTATGAAATGGTTCTATGTTTATAGGTTGGGATTTTTGAAATTTTAACGTAATATAAAAATTGGAAGAACATCCTTAGAGATCATCTTGTCCAACCTGAAATTCAAATCATTAGCTCAACTCCAAACCAATCTGTGCCAGAAGACTGAAATGGGCCTATGTGTCTATCGTTCAAAGCAAGACCTGGCCAGGCGCGGTGGCTCACGCCTGTAATCCCAGCACTTTGGGAAGCCGAGGCAGGTGGATCACGAGGTCAGGAGATCGAGACCAGCCTGGCCAAAATGGTGAAACCCTGTCTCTACTAAAAACACAAAAAATTAGCCAGGCGTGGTGGCGAGCGCCTGTAATCCCAGCTACTCTGGAGGCTGAGGCAGGAGAATCGCTTCAACCCGGGAGGCGCAGGTTGTAGGGAGACGAAGTCGCGCCACTGGCACTCCAGCCTGGGCGACAGAGGGAGGCTCCGTCTCAAAAAAAAAAAAAAGCAAGACTCGCAAAACACCGGATTCCTTCTCAGCTTTCTGAGCTGAAAAGGTATAGATCCTAAAGAAGAGAAGAGTGTATGTAAGTACTTCTCAACCAGTTTACCTCTCTGACCACTCTTACGGTGTTTGGGGGCAACAAACTAAGGATCTAGACTCGCTAAACCGCTCGCTGGGTCCTTCTCTCCCCACAATGCACCGGGGCCAGCAGGAAGGCCGCTCCGACCCCTAATTTTCCCGCGAATTCAGTTCAAAGAGGCGGCCGGGCCCGCGATCGGCAGCGCGCACGGGCCAACCAAGCCGCGCCTCCGCGAGAAGCGCCTCCGCGTGACTGACGGGGGAATCCGCGGGCCAACGGGCTGGGCGGCCCGGCGGTGCGCGCTCCCGCCGGCCAATCAGAGCGCCGGGCGGGGGAAGTGGGCGGAGCGAGGCCAGGGTAGGGTGAGCGGCCTCCGAAGCGGAGCGGGGCTCTGAGGAGACACTTTTTTTTTCCTCCCTCCTTCCCTCCTCTCCTCCTCCCTTCCCTTCCCCTCTCCTCCCCTCTCTCCTCCTTCCCCCCTCGGTCCGCCGGAGCCTGCTGGGGCGAGCGGTTGGTATTGCAGGCGCTTGCTCTCCGGGGCCGCCCGGCGGGTAGCTGGCGGGGGGAGGAGGCAGGAACCGCGATGGCGCCTCAGAAGCACGGCGGTGGGGGAGGGGGCGGCTCGGGGCCCAGCGCGGGGTCCGGGGGAGGCGGCTTCGGGGGTTCGGCGGCGGTGGCGGCGGCGACGGCTTCGGGCGGCAAATCCGGCGGCGGGAGCTGTGGAGGGGGTGGCAGTTACTCGGCCTCCTCCTCCTCCTCCGCGGCGGCAGCGGCGGGGGCTGCGGTGTTACCGGTGAAGAAGCCGAAAATGGAGCACGTCCAGGCTGACCACGAGCTTTTCCTCCAGGCCTTTGAGAGTGAGTGTGTGCGAGGCTTTGAGGGCAGGAAGACCCACTCTGCCAACACCGGGGATGGGACACTCTGCTGGGCCCCCTTCCTCCTCGGGAGTCCACTTGTGTGGTAGTGGAGGGAGGAATTGAGGGGATGTCCCCCTTTCGGAGATTACGTCTCCAGGGGATCCGGAGTCCAGGGCCTTGGGAGAGCTGGAAAAGAGGGTCCGGGCGGGTTCTTGACTCCCCCAAGATTGACGCAAGAGGCTCGGGACTGGGGCCCCACGTTCAGAGCAGGCGGCTTTTAGATGAGGAGGTAGCAGTTGAACTGAGCCGCAGTCACATCCCGAGACTGGTTCTTGTTTTCTTTCATGCCTTTCGGACTCTAGAAATACAGGGGTTTCGGTTGTAGCTTTTGAGGGGCAAAATGAAGCCTGTGAAGGGATGAGTGCAGTGGAACCGAAGAAAGTGTCCTTAGTCTGAAATGCCTTCGCGCTAACTTGGTGCTGCAGGTTCCTATGGCACCTTTGGATGCTTAAAACCCTTCAAATCTATCCACCCATTTTGTGGATATGTAAACTGAGCCAGAGAGTGGTCAAGCATCTTCTCTGGAGACGACCCCGGAATTCTGCTTTTTCTACCTGGCTTACAGAACATTTTCTTGCGTCAATTTCTGTTTCTAAGTTCTGTCTGGAAGGTGAAACTGACTTATTTGGAAAGGAGAGCAAGGTGTCTGGAAACAAACAATAGAATTTATTAAAAACATCGTGACTATGAATAATCCTGATTGTTCTTTAAGGAATGTTATATCCTGATTGGTTCCCTTTTTTGCTTTTGTGTGTTATAATTTGGGTGATCTTTAATAGCTAAATAATCTTACAGAAACTTGAATAAACTTGGCTCTACCGCCCAGTGTCCTTATTTACAGTTTCACTGTGGCATATGTTAAGGGCATGGTATCAGCTGTGCTTAGAAAGACGTATTACGTTGTTTAATACCCTTCCTTCATTCTCTCTCATTAGTGCTTCATGAAATTCTAATTGGAACTTAATAGAAGGAATTTCAGTTTTTATGGAAACGAATATTGAACCTGCTTCAGAGAGATTCACATTATTCACGTATTTCTTAGTATACTTTGAAATATCTAGAGAGGCTTTAATTGGAAATAGGATGTAGAACTGAAGGGCAGTGGTGACAATAATGATACTTGTTTGTACCCCTTCTAAAGTATCTCATCTCCCTTTAGTTAATTTAAAATAAAACCAATTGAAGATTTAGGTGGAAATTTTAAAAGTTCTTTCTGAATGTTAAGACACATCCTCCAAGAAAGTTTTAACTATTTGCGTTCTGATGAGTCGACCTCAGGGAAGTCAAGTGTCATTAAGAGCTAGATCTGGTCATAAAACAACTCGAAGTTGTTTACTGGAAAGTTTAAATACTTGAATGTAATTATTCACATAGTTATTTCTATTTGGTTTATTCTGATACTGCTGTATAATGACCTAACGTGACACTAATAGGTCATTAATGTAACTGATATAATAGTATATGTATTTTTCATCGACTTAAGTCCTGTATAACAAATTACATTTTAACTAATTTGAAATTTAATTCAACTCATTTTAAGCGTTAGAAAGACTGTTTTGTGAACCTGTCAATTGTGTAAAAAATGTATTGAGGTAATATTTATATTGAACAAAATAGATACAACTTTAAATTATAATTAGGAATATTTATTGAGAATTTTTGCTGCAGTTTGTGTCCGAGATTCATTTCAATATTGACTGACTTTTGAGTGCAGTGGATCCCACCTGTAATCCTAGCTACTCTGGAGGCTGAGGCAGGAGGATCTGTTGAGCCCACGAGTTTGAGACCAGCCTGGGCAACATATCAAGACCCCTTTTCAAAAAAAGAAAAAAAAAATCTTGACTGACTTTCATCATACCTGTATTAGGAATGTCTGGATCTGTATTAGGATGTCATCATATCTGTATTAGGATGTATTAGGATTCTGTTTTGGCTGACTACAATTTTTTTTTTTTTTTTGAGACGAAGTTTCGCTCTTTATTGCCCAGGCTGGAGTACAATGACGCGATCTCGGCTCACGGCAGCCTCCGCCTCCCAGGTTCAAGTGATTCTCCTGCCTCAGCCTCCCAAGTAGCTGGGATTACAGGCATGCGCCGCCCCTATGCCTGGCTGTTTTTGTATATTTGGTGGAGACAGGGTTTCTCCATGTTGGTCAGGCTGGTCTCGAACTCCCGACCTTAGGTGATCTGCCCACCTTGGCCTCCCAAAGTGCTGGGAATACAGGCATGAGCCACTGCGCCTGGCCGGCTGACTACAGATTTTTTAAGTGACCATTTAAAAAGTGAAATTTTCATCTTGTTTGGCATCAATCAATAGTTCTTTTGTTGACTCCAGCTGCCTATTACAGCTGCTTTTTGGAAGAAAATCGGTAATAAATAGTTTAAATTAGCTAAGTTAAATGAGTACAACTACTTCTCTTGAGTTCTGCTCGGTAACAATAACTATCTTAGAAAGGCTTAAGAAAAATATTGTAGAGAACCTTCAGTATAAAAAGCATAGATGAACTTTGTGAATGTATGCCATTGATTGAATACCTTTTGATCTTACTGTGCATACTTTCTTGATGTAAATATTTAGTGCGATATAAATAGTGCGTGATTTCCATAGCAGATGATAAGTTTATATTGATTATAACATGGTCTCGGTTGATATTTTTCTGACAAGTAAGTTTAGATCATGTTTGGATTTTGTTTCCTATTACCTAGAGCCAACACAGATCTATAGATTTCTTCGAACTCGGAATCTCATAGCAGTAAGTAGTCAACAAAATTCATCAATATTATTTCTCTCTTATAACTGCATCTGTATTCAATTTTAACATTTTTAAAACTCTTTTTGTAGCCAATATTTTTGCACAGAACTCTTACTTACATGTCTCATCGAAACTCCAGAACAAACATCAAAAGGTACATTTTATGAATCTTATTTCAAGCTGATCAAACCATGTTAGTTTTATTTTAAAGTACTATTTCTCAAAATTAAAAAAAAAAACGAACAAAAATAAGTACTATTTCTAACTAAAGATTTAAGATGAAAACTGAAGTGAGAGAGTGACTGGTTGAATTGGTTGCACAGTGGTTTTCTATAGTATAATCTTTGTAAGTCTCAGGTTGTTATTAGCTTTTTTTTTTTATCCTCTAATAGAAATGAGGCTGGGTGTGGTGGCTCATACCTATAATCCCAGCACTTTGGGAGGCCAAGTTGGGCGGATCACTTGAGGTCAGGAGTTCGAGACCAGTTTGGCCAACATGGGAAAACCCTGTATCTACTAAAACAAAAATTAGCTGGGCGTGGTGGTGTGTGCCTGTAATCCCAGTTACTTGCGAGGCTGAGGCAGGAGAATTGCTTGAGCCCGGGAGGTGGAGGTTGCAGTGAGCCGAGATTGCGCCGTTGCACTCCAGCCTGGGCAACAGAGCGAGACTCTACCTCAAAGAAAAAAAAAACAAAACTGATTTTAGTAGTGAAGTGAATAAAGTGATTTTACTGATTATATTTTTACTCTGTGCCATGGGTTATTTCTCTTTTTTTGTTTGTTTGTTTTTTTTTGAGACAGAGTGTCTGTCCAGGTTGGAGTGCAGTGGCGTGATCTCAGCTCACTGCAAGCTCCGCCTCCTGGGTTCATGCCATTCTCCTGCCTCAGCCTCCTTATTTTTTTTTTTATTGTTGTTGTTGTTTTGTTTTTGGTGTTTTTTTTGAGAGAAGTCTCACTCTTGTCCCCCACGCTGGAGTGTAATGGTGCAATCTCGGCTCACTGCGATCTCTGCCTCCTGGGTTTAAACGATTCTCCTGCCTCAGCTTCCCAAGTAGCTGGGGTTACAGGCGCCTGCCACCACAGCTGGCTAAGTTTTGTATTTTTAGTAGAGACAAGGTTTCCCCATGTTGGCCAGGCTGGTCTCGAACTCCTGACCTCAGGTGATCCACCCGCCTCGGCCTCCTAAAGTGCTAGGATTACAGGCATGAGCCACCGTGCCTGGCCTTTTTTTTTTTGAAACGGAGTCTCGCTCTGTCTCCCAGGCTGGAGTGCAGTGGCGCAACCTCGGCTCACTGCAACCTCTGCCTCCCAGATTCAAGAGATTCTCCTCCTTCAGCCTCCTTAGTAGCTTGGACTATAGGCGCGTGCCACCATGCTCGGCTAATTTTTTGTATTTTTGGTAGAGATGGGGTTTCTCTGTGTTAGCCAGGATGGTCTCGATCTCCTGACGTCAGGATCCGCCTGCCTCGGCCTCCCAAAGTGCTGGCATTACAGGAGTGAGCCACCATGCCCAGCCTGACCTTCTTTTTCTTTTTTTGAGATGGAGTTTCGCTCTTGTCTCCCAGGCTGGAGTGCAGTGGTGCGATATCGGCTCACTGCAACCTCCGCTTCCCGGGTTCAGGCAATTCTCCTGCCTCAGCCTCCCGAGTAGCTGGAATTACAGGCTCCCGCCACCACACCCAGCTGATTTTTTGTATTTTTAGTAGAGATGGGGTTTCACTATGTTGGCCAAGCTGGTCTCAAACTCCTGACTTCAAGATCTTCCCGCCTTGGCCTCCCAAAGTGCTGAGATGACAGGCGTGAGCCACTGCGCCCGGCCTCCGCTGGTTATTTTCAAGTTTGATAGAAGTTGAGGATTTAAATATTTACTAAAGGGCTCAGGGTAACTATATTTGTTACGTAAAATTTAAGTTAATTTTTGATTATTATGTGTAATTTGAATTAGGTCCTGTAATGGTGGGTTCAGAAAGTCTCATTTTATATCTTTGGTTTTTTTTTTGTTTTGTTTTTATTTTTTTTTGAGACAGAGTTTCACTCTTGTTGCCCAGGCTGGAGTGCAATGGCGCAATCTTGGCTCACTGCAACCTCCACCTCGCGGGTTCAAGGGATTATCCTGTCTCAGCTTCCCAGGTAGCTGAGATTACAGGTGCCCACCACCACGCCTGGCTAATTTTTTGTATTTTTCATGAAGTTGGGGTTTTACCATTTTGGCCTGGCTGGTCTTGAACTCCTGACCTCAGGTGATCCACTCACCGTGGCCTCCTGAAGTGCTGGGATTACAGACCTGAGCCACAGCGCCCGGCCTTGGTGGTGGTCTTATTGAAGGGGAAACACTTTTGAAATCAATAGGATGAAGGTTTTTTAAAAACAATGAAGTCTTAAATCATTAGATTTTAAAGTGGGGTCTGGAGGTGGAAGACAGCTTATTTTTGCTGTGTAACATTTAGTACTTAACCATACATAATTATCAATGCAAGTTTTTTGTCCTAGGTGCAAGATTATATTTATTTGAGAGTATCAGGTGAACAAGTTTACATTTAAAGGCGAGAATTGTGTTAAGCATTTGGTATTGTCATTATAGTTTTAGTAAAACCATCAAGTTATCTCGATAGAGTTTGAAACTAAGCTCTTTGGTGGACTGCTACTGTTTATTAAGTAGGTATCACATTTCTATAGCAAGACATAGTTGAGTTGTGTAAATCTTGTATTTTGAAGGATTGAATTGTGAAAATTATTTGTCTTTTGGCAATCTTTCTGAATAGAGAGCGTGCATGAGCAAGTTTGCATTGCAGTTAATAGGTGAAAATTGCTGAGCACCTAAGTAACTAAAAAGGAGGTGATGAATTAGGTTACAGAATTAGTTTTGTCCACCCTTTACCTGTCTACTCCATTATTTGATTTTTGCCAGCATTCAGCATGCTTTTTCTGTAAAGGACCAGTAAATAGTAATTATTTTAGGCTTTGCGGCCAGGGTGCAAAATTGAGGATATTATGTAGGTACTTAATTTTAAAAGAAAGAAAAAATTTACAGTTTTTTAAAATTTCAGTCCGAAATGTCAATCTGTAAATTTTTTGTTGATTAAAATACAACAATATAAGATAGAACATTTTGTAATACAGGCCTACAAATGAGAAATGAGAATTTTATTTTTGTGAGGGTAGGGGAGATAACATTTAGCTGAATTGGGGTTCAGAGTTAGTGTTTTCTGTAATCAAATCGATTGCTAATGTTTATCTGTAAAAACCGTTCTTACCTTCCGGGCTGTACAAAAACAGGCGATAGGCCAGATTTGACCATGGTCCATAGTTTCCCCACCCTTGATTTATTCTATAAAACTAGTAGAATTCGACTAACTGTTTTGTTTCATCAAAGCTTTTTTTTTTTTGAGACAGAGTCTTGCTCTGTCGTCTAGGCTGGAGTGCCGTGGCGCAATTTCGGCTCACTGCAGTCTTCGCCTCCCAAGTTCAAGCAATTCTGCCTCAGCCTCCTGAGTAGCTGGGATTACAGGCGTGTGGCACTACACCCAGCTAATTTTTGTATTTTTAGTAGAGACAGGGTTTCACCATGTTGGTCAGGCTGGTCTCAAACTCCTGACCTCATGATCCGCCTGCCTTGGCCTCCCAAAGTGCTGGGATTACAGTCGTGAGCCACCGTGCCTGGCCATCAAAGCATTTTTAATATAGAAGGTCAGTTGAGTTGCTGCCTAGGATGCAACCTGATCTTAATTTACAAAGTAATTAAATTATTATAAAATAAGTTTGCATTCATAGATTAAAAAGTACACATTTATTTTATTATTATTATTTTTTTTTGAGATGGAGTTTCGCTCTTGTTGCCCAGGCTGGAGTGCAATGGTGCAATCTTGGCTCACTGCCACTTCCACCTCCTGGGTTCAAGTGATTCTCCTGCCTCAGCCTCCCGAGTAGCTGGGATTACAGGCATGCGCCACCATGCCTGGCTCATTTTGTATTTTTAGGAGAGATGGGGTTTCTCCATGTTGGTCAGGCTGGTCTCGAACTCCCGACCTCAGGTGATCTGCCCACCTCGGACTCCCAAAGTGCTGGGATTACAGGTGTGAAACACCACGTCCTGCTAAAAAGTACACATTTAAAATCTAAGTTCCATTTTCCCGTCATGTTTATTAATTTGTCCCATTGCAGGATATGTTTCTGTTGTCCGCATGGGTAGAGATAATTTTAAAAGCTTGGTTAAGTAAGAACTGATTTTCTTAATTATTGCCCTTTAGGTTAAAAAAAAAAAGTCTGGGGAATTTTTAAGCAATCTGCCAGCCAAGAAGCAAATTTAAGTCCCACCTAGTTTAGTTCCTACAGAAATGGGTAGGAATAGGCTAGGCATGGTGTTTCAGACCTGTAATTTCAGCATTTCGGGAGACTGAGTTAGGAGGATTGCTTGTGTAACATTTAGTACTTAACCTTACGTAATTATGAATGCAAGTTTTTTGTCCTGGGTGCAAGATTATATTTATTTGAGCGTATCAAGTGAACAAGTTTACATTTAAAGGCGAGAGTTATAGGTCAGCCCTGGCAACATAGTGAGACCCTATATCTACAAAAATTTTAAAAAATTAGCTGGGCGTGGTGGCTCATGACTATAGTCCCAAATACTCAGGAGGCTGAGGCAGGAGGATCACCTGAGCCCAGAAGTTCGAAGGTTGCTATGAATGTGCCGGTGCACTCTAGCCTGGGCAGTAGAGGGAGATGGTGTCTCAAAAAAAAAAAAAAAAAAAAAAAGTATGGGAATCATTTAATCATCTTGTTAGATGCCTGATCTTATTACTTATTAGGACTAATTATTAAGAAATTAAAGCACAACTCATTTGCTGTTGTCTTCAGCGTAGTTGGTGACTTTGGAAGGTGGCAGATTTAGCCCAGTGATTGTCGTTTCTCAAAATGTTTTCAGAACTCGTTTTTTACTATTACAACAACATAATATCCATTGTTGGAATAAGCATATCACTCCCTTTAAAGTCATACTCTCAGTCGTGATATTAATTCTGGTATATTTATTAAAGTCAGCTTGTGCTTTACTCTTTCTAGAAGTATTCAACTTCTATAGGCTAACACTGCCCCAACAAAGTAAAAATATAGGTCACGAGAAGGGCATCTTTTATTGAATCCATTTTGCTAGATTTCGTGTGAGCTGTTTCTGAAGTCTCCCAAGAAAATTTTCTGAAATTTCTTGAATTTTTAAATATGCTCCTTTTCGATGACCTTTTGATAATTATTTCCTTCTTTAAATCTGACCTACAGTAACATTACCTTTCTAAAGAACAGAAATCCTTGGTGTTGGGGGAGGAGCAGCTTTTATATAGTTGCTTATGAGGTTGGTTTTGTTTTTTTCCTAAGGAAGGCTGGGTTGCTTTTGTGATCTTATCTATTTCAAATGGTTAATCAATTCTATTCACTTCTCCTGTATACAGCTTCATAAAGGTAGAAGAGATGAACCTTAGAACGTACAGTCTTTTTCTGCAGACAGAATTTCTTAATCATTACATAAACATTATTCGGAAAAGTTTTCAGTAGTTTCATGGCCCTCCTCAATAGTAACTTTCAGTATTTATACTGAATAGCTCTTTGCAACTAGCCTAAAAGAGTCCTTTATTTTTGTTCTTTTTTCTCTCTTATCTGTGGAGATTGAAAATATATTGCCATCCTTCAGAAAGCGCTTCTTACTATACTCTATTGGATGAAACTTTAATATTGAAGTTTTCAGTAACTCTAAAGGTAAAGAGAGAAGCTTTTTTTCCCTTAAGATCTTTACTATGGAGGCTCTTCTCATTCACTTGAAATATAGATTGTATCAATTCTGCTCTAATATCAGTAGTTTACTATATTTACATTAACATTTCTCTACTGATAATTTTTACAGTAGTTGAATACAATAAATAGCTCTTTTTTGGCCAGGCATGGTGGCTCACACCTTTAATCCTAGCACTTTGGGAGACAGGGGTGGATAGATCACCTGAGGTGAGGAGTTCAAGACCAGCCTGACCAACATGGTGAAACCCTGTCTCTACAAAATGCAAAAATTAGCCAGGCGTGGTGGTGCACACCTGTAGTCCCAGCTACTCGGGAGGCTGAGGCAGGAGAATTGCCTGAACCCGGGAGGTGGAGGTTGCAGTGAGCCGAGATCACGTCATTGTACTCCAGCCTGGGCAACAAGAGTGACACTCCCATCTCAAAAACAAAACAAACAAAAACAAACAAACACAAAACTCTCTTTGAGGAATGAGATTATTCGTAATTTTTGGTGTCTGCATTCAAGCATTATAAAGTAATAAATTGATGTGGAGTACATTTGGCTTTTCAAGTCCTAAAGAGGAAGGGACTATATGAGTATAAAGAGAAACATTTTTTCTAATTAAATTATATATGGGTATAGATTTTTAGACTCTTATCTCTAGAACATGTCATAGACCACCTTAAGAACTAAGATGAGGCTTGTTTTTACAATCCATTCATTCTTTAATTGCTTTGAGAAGTTATACTTAAGTTTCTATTTTTTGGGAAATAGCTTTTTTCTCTTAAACTTGTCAAGTTAAAAGGTAGTAGTTTTATTACGATTTGATGGATCATTCCCTAACTTCAAAATTTTTTCATGATGTCAACAACTGTCTCTTTAATATGACATATCATTGAGCTTTAGGCTTTGCTGATAATCTTTGAGGATACCTTGTGAACTTCAAATATATTTTATAGAATATTTCTTTTTTTATGTGATGGTGCTAGTACATATTTGTTGTGTTGCTTAGTAGACGTGTTAAGTGTTTCAGAATACACATAATTTATATTTGTTTGGCTTAATTCAACAGATACTTGAATACCTACCAAGTATAAGGCACTATGCCAGCACTGCATAGCTTTCCTTGAAGAAGAGCAATTACTGCCCTTCAGGAATATATAATCTAGTAGGAGAAATAAAATATTTACATGAGTTTTACGTGTAGGAAACTGAATGAAAAGTAAGTGTCAAAATAAATATAAACCAAGTACCATGGGTAAGGAGAAATCACTGGTTTGGGAATAATTGGGTAAAAGGTTTAATGAAAACAAGTTAGCGTTTTAGATGGGGCTTGAAGGCTCGTGTGCTGTATTATACACCGTCTCCATAGTATTCATTGTTATGGCTAATCATCCATAATTTATCTTACTAAAAATAATCAAAATCTGGTTTCCATCTTGCCTATTAGAGTGACAATAAAGTATAATTTGTTTCTTTTTCCCAGTTGAGAAGTGATTATTTTGTTTATCTGTTTCTTCCAGGAAAACATTTAAAGTTGATGATATGTTATCAAAAGTAGAGAAAATGAAAGGAGAGCAAGAATCTCATAGGTAAGATAATCTATCAGTTTACATTAAGTGATATACTTTAGGAAAGAGGAAAAATTACAGTGATCATTTTCCTAGTGATCACCTTGATATAAGGAGTTAGAAGGAATCTTAGAGGTCAGTTTGGTCCAAACTCACACACAAGTCAGAAATTAATTTCTGTAGCATTCCTGGCAGAGAATACTTAAGCTGTGGCTTGAATACCTCCAGTGTAGTTGTATTTATTATTGTTTATCTTTATTACCAGTTTCTTCCATTTTGAGTGAAACCTCTGACTTCTGCCGTTGGTCTTAACTCTACCACCTCATTTAAAGAGGGATACTCACATTTATAGTATATGTGCTAGGTACTGTGGCAGGGACTTCACAATATCACGTATCTTGTAAGTTATTCTCAAATATGAGAGGGGTTCTCTTTTTTTTCCATCTTTTTCTTCTCATTTAAATCTATCAGGCAACATATTCATAACTTTTATTTCATATTTGAAATATGTTTCTCACATAGTTTCAGAAACTTGAACATTTGGACAGAATCTACTTGTTGTACATTATCAAATATATACCTAGAACGAATCCCTAAATGTTCTGACTAGTCTGATATCTGTCTACTCTAGATAGTATGCTTCTATTTATTTTTTGACACGTAAACTTTATTTTTTGATATTTTTGATAGAAAATTGAATATTCTAAGGAGAAACAGCAGCTTGGGTGGTGTTTGTTCATTCATTAACTCCTTTAGAGAGTGCAGAACTAAAAATATTAGATTCTTGAAAAAATAGAGTTGGAAAATTTGTCACAATGCATTTTTCTTTTCCTCCTAGTTTTAAATCACAGCTTACGAATTTAGATAGGATATACACTTAATGATGCATCATTTATGCATCTCATTGTTTTCCCATTGTTCTGTTGACTGGTAAAAGACTTCCTTTTTTTCAGTTTGGCTTCCTTCTATTTTAAGTTTGGCTTTGGAATTAAGTGATTTTTTTACTTGGATTATAAAATGATATTTTTTATTTTATATCCTGCAATCTTGTGGGGTTGAAGTATAATTTATATTTCCATGTCTAGGCAATCCTGACTTGTAAATAAACTGTGATAGTCCATTCTAGAAGCTGAGATCCTGAATTGTTACCTGTTATATCTGTTAATGCCCAGGGAGACCCTATAAGATAGAACTGAGAATATTCGCAGTGCACGCACATTTTTCTTTACTAGAATTTATATTCCAGATTCTTGTCTGGTCACCCACCCTAGACAGAGCTCTTGGGATCCTCAGGGCCTTTTTTACTTAAAATACAGACTGTAGTAAGATCCTGGTCTGACCTCCCTGCTTCTTTTCTCCTGACCACATTAAAAGTTTGCCCTATAGTCATTTCAGGGTTCAAGTGAGAAGGAAGCATGAACCAACAACAGGAACACTGGACCCTTCTCTTCATCTTCCTCATCAAGGTTTACCTTCACTACTAAACCCTATTACTATCTCATTGTGACATTGGGTTTGAAATTACAGAGCTTCCCTAAGTAAGAGTGTGTGGGAGATACATACTGTTCAATTCTCTCTGAACAATTGTTTCCCCAGTAATTTTGTTCCTTTTGACCTGGTGGGTTCAATAGCAACTCAAACATTAAAATCAGAGGGTTACATAAATTCCTGCTGGTAGTTTTGGAAGAGAATTTTTTGAGTCTTTAGGGTCTAGCTAGGACCAGTGAGTTGGCCATTTAAGCCTCTCAAGATTCTTATGAATGTCTCAGTATTGCTCCCAGAGGCACTAAGATGAATTAAGAAAGTGTGTCATTTTAAATTTACTGCTAAGACCCTACATTATTAACTTTCTTTAATCTATTTCTTTTTTTTTGAGATGGAGTCATGCAGTGGTGCTATCTCAGCTCACTGCAACTGCCACCTCCTGGATTCAAGCAATTATCCTGCCTCAGCCTCCCAATTATCTAGGATTACAGGCACCTGCCACCACACCCAGCCCCCCCCCCCCCCCCTTTTTTTTTTTTTTTTTTTTTTTTTTTTTGAGACCAAGTCTCCCTCTTGCTGAGGCTGGAGTGCAGTGGCGCGATCTTGGCTCTACAGCCTCCACCTCCCGGGCTCAAGCAATTCACCTGTCTCAGCCTCCTGAATAGCTGGGAATACAGACGTGCACCACCACACCCAGCTGATTTTGTATTTTTAGTAGAAACAGAGTTTCACCATGTTGGCCAGGCTGGTCTTGAACTCCTGAGCTCAAGTGATCTGCCTGCCTTGGCCTCCTGAAGTGCTGGGATTACAGGTGGGAGCCACCAAGCCTGGCCAATTTTTGTGTTTATTTATTTATTTATTTTGAAACGGAGGTTTGCTCTTGTTGTGCAGGCTGGAATGCAATGGCGTGATCTCCGCTCACTGCAACCTCTGCCTCCCGTGTTCTCCTGCCTCAGCCTCCCAAGTAGCAGGGATTACAGGTGCCCGGCATCACACCGAACTAATTTTTTCTTGAACTCCTGACCTCAGGTGATCTGCCCACCTCAGCCCTCCCAAAGTGCTGGAATTATAGGCATGAGCCACTGCGCCCAGCCTCCTTTAATCTATTTCTTATTTCAAATTAAGGTAATCTTATTTTTCTCCTAAACCTATCACACAGGGTTGTAGGAAGGACCCTAAACACCAGTATATGATGCCAGCAATATAAATATTTGCTTCTAAAATCTATTGTCAAATTCTTAAAAGATAACACAGGCCGGGCATAGTGGCTCACACCTATAATCCCAGCATTTTGGTGGCTGAGGTGGGTGGATCACTTGAGGCTAGGAATTTGAGACTGCCCTGGCCAACAGGGGAAAACCCTTTCTCTACAAAAAACACAAAAATCAGCCAGGCGAGGTGGTGTACACCTGTAATTCCAGCTACTTGGGTGACTGAGGCAGGAGAATCCCTTGAACCCGGGAGGCAGAGGTTGCAGTGAACTAAGATTGTGCTACTGCACTCCAGCCTGGGCAAGAGTGTGACTCTGTCTCAAAAAAAGAAAAAAGATGATAAATCTTTGTTGTTCCATAACATTAGTTAGTAGAAGTTAATATCTTAAATCGTACACAAAAGTATCTCTCCTCCATTTATGTTCTTTTTTTTTTTTGAGACGGAGTCTCGCTCTGTCACCGAGGCTGGAGTGCAGTGACGCGATCTCAGCTCACTGCAGGCTCTGCCCGCCGGGGTTCACGCCATTCTCCTGCCTCAGCCTCCCGAGTAGCTGGGACTACAGGCGCCCGCCACCTTGCCCAGCTAATTTTTTGTATTTTTAGTAGAGACGGGGTTTCACCGTGTTAGCCAGGATGGTCTCGATCTCCTGACCTCGTGATCCGCCCATCTCAGCCTCCCAAAGTGCTGGGATTACAGGCGTGAGCCACCGCGCCCGGCATATATTCTTTGTACTATTTCAGTTTGACTGGGTCCCAGATCTGTACAGGTCTAGTCTGGGAGTCTTCCACTAGAATTCATATTCCTTTAGCACTGCCAAAGTTATAGTATGTCTGCTCCTGAGCCCAATATATTTCATTCCTCAAAGTTCAAGGGGTATCAAGATAAAAATACCATAGTAGTATAGCCCAAAAGTTAGTTCAGTCAAATAAATGCCTGAGTTTATTATGACATTTGTAGTAATTTATAAACTAAACCAAGATATGAGCATTATCTGTTCAAAAGAAGTTGGTGTTTCACGGTCTTTTATATTTTAGACCTACAGTTGTCTTAAGTCACTTGCAGAAACTTGTTGGTGGAAGGAGGTGATAGAAAAACATGAGCTATTAAATGGTGGTTAGTTCTTTTTTTTTTTTTTTTTTGAGACGGAGTCTCGCTCTGTCACCCAGGCTGGAGTGCAGTGGCGCCATCTCAGCTCACTGCAAGTTCCGCCTCCCGGGTTCACGCCATTCTGCCTCAGCCTTCTGAGTAGCTGGGTCAGGTGCGTGCCACCACGCCTGGCTAATTTTTTGTATTTTTAGTAGAGACGGGGTTTCACCATGTTAGCCAGGATGGTCTCGATCTCCTGACCTCGTGATCCACCCGCCTTGGCCTCCCAAAGTGCTGGGATTACAGGTGTGAGCCACCGCGCCCAGCCTTTTTTTTTTTTTTTTTGAGACAGAGTCTCACATTGTCGCCCAGGCTGGAGTGTAGTGGTGCGATCTTGGCTCACTGCAACCTCTGTCCCCCAGGTTCAAGAGATTCTCCTGCCGCAGCCTCCCTAGTAGCTGGGATTATATGCATGCCCTACCACGTCCAACTAATTTTTGTATTTTTAGTAGAGACAGGGTTTCACCATGTTGGCCAGGCTGGTGTCAAACTCCTGACCTCAAGTGATCCTTCCACCTTGGCCTCTCAAAGTGTTGCAATTACAGGCTGAGCCACTGCGCCCAGCCTTCTTTTTCTAAGAGACAGGGTCTTGCTCTGTTGCCCAGGCTGGAGC
Source organism: Homo sapiens (assembly GCF_000001405.40). Taxonomy (NCBI): domain Eukaryota; kingdom Metazoa; phylum Chordata; class Mammalia; order Primates; family Hominidae; genus Homo; species Homo sapiens. The sequence continues at coordinate 31,952,121 of NC_000017.11, forward strand.
ACAAGTGGCTGCTCACTGCAGCCTCTAACTCCTGGCCTCAAACCATCCTCCCATCTTAGCCTCCTGAATAGCTAGGACTACAGGTGCATGCCACCATGCCTGGCTAATTTTTAAATTTTTGTAGAGGCAGGATCTTGCTATGTTGCCCAGGCTGGTCTCAAACTCCTGGCCTCAAGTGATCCTTTCAGATTGGCTTCCCAAAGTTCCGGGATTACAGGTGTGAGCCACCACGCCTGGCCTTTATTTTCTTTACAGAAGGTCTGATATAATGCCTTACATCCTTTCCAGCTCTTGTTTCTGGTACTCCAGTTTTGAATTTTTCATGGATTTTGACCAGGCACTATGGCTGATTAGAATAAATCTCTTGCCTTTGTGTAGTGGTATATGCTAGCAGGATTCTAGGGATTCTTATGCTGTCCTACCAATTTTGGAATTATCTTTTTTTTGTTGCTGTTTTTTTGAGATGGAATGTGGCTTTGTCGCTCAGGCTGGAGTGCAGTAGCGCGATCTCGGCTTACTGCAACCTCCTCTTCCTGGGTTCAGGCAGTTCTCATGCCTCAGCCTCCTGAGTAGCTGGGATTACAGGCATCTGCCACCACGCCCAGCTACTTTTTGCATTTTTAGTAGAGACAGGGTTTTACCATGTTGGTCAGGCTGGTCTTGAACTCCTGACCTCAAGTGATCCGCCTTCCGTGGCCTTCCAAAGTGCTGGGATTACAGGCGTGTGGCACCGTGCCTGTCCCCAATGTTGGAATTCTCTGGTAACAACTCTTGAGTGCTGAGTGCATCTCCATGGACTAAAATGCATCATGAAAAGATTTTTAAATCTGAGTTGCTTCCAAGTGTTTACCAGGGCCAAACGAAGCAAAATGTCACTTCTCTCTTGCCCTTATTCCTCTTCTATTCCTGGTCTTCTGTTAGTAGCTGGAGAAAAATCCCCTCAAAGGATACCTGAATTAGAACTTTTATTAGGGTTATTTTCAAGCATATATTTTTATTTTTTGAGACAAAGTCTTGCTCTGTCACCCAGGCAGGAATATAGTGGCATGATCTTGGCTCACTGCAACCTCCGCCTCCCAGGTTCAAGCAATTCTCGAGCCTCAGCTTCCCCAGTAGCTGAGATTACAGGCATCTGCCACCACACCTGGCTAATTTTTGTTTTTTGTTTTCCAGTAGAGACAGGGTTTCACCTATTGGCCAGGCTGGTCTCAAACTCCTGACCTCAGGTGGTCCATCCGCCTCGACCTCCCAAATTGCTGGGATTACAGGTGTGAGCCACCATGCCTGGCTTTATTTTTATTTTTTGAGACAAGGTCTCGCTTTGTCACCGAGGCTGGAGTGTAGTGGCACAATGATAGGTCACTGATGGATTGAACTTGTGGACTAAAGGGATCCTCCTGCCTCAGCCTCCTGAGTAGCTGGGACTACAGGCATGTACTGTCACACCTCACTAATTTTTTGAATTTTTGTAGAGTCAGGGTCTCATCATCTTGCCCAGGCCAGTTTTGAACTCCTATCCTCAAGTGATCCTCCCACCTCGACATCCTGAAGTGCTGAGATTACAGGAATGAGCCCGCATGCCCAGCCTCAATTTTTTTTTTTTTTTTTTTTGGAGACTGAGTCTCGCCCTGTTGCCAGGCTGGAGTGCAGTGGCGCGATCTCGGCTCACTGCAACCTCTAACTCCTTGGTTCAAGCAGTTCTCCTGCCTTGGCCTCCCGAGTAGCTGGGATTATAGGCACGCGGTGCCACTCCCAGCTAATTTTTGTATTTTTAGTAGAGAAGGGGTTTCACCATGTTGGCCAGGATGGTCTTGATCTCCTGACCTTGTGATCCACCTGCCTCAGCCTCCCAAAGTGCTGGGATTACAGGTGTGAGCCACCGAGCCCGGCTCATTTTTATTTTTAGTAGGTTGATAAGTCAGTGTGCCTTTTTTGACTATTTATTTATTTATTTATTTTTGAGACAGAGTCTTGCTTTGTTGCCCAGGCAAGAGTGCAGTGGTGCCATCTCGGCTCACTGCAACCTCCGCCTCCTGGGTTCAAGCTATTCTCCTGCCTCAGCCTCCTGAGTAGTTGGGATTACAGGCACACACCACCACGCCCGGTTAACTTTTGTATTTTTGGTAGAGACGGGGTTTCACCATATTGGTCAGGCTGGTTTCGAACTCCTGACCTCGTGTTCTGCCCACCTCGGCCTCCCAAAGCGCTGGGATTGCAGGCGTGAGCCTCTGCGCCCAGCCAACTTTGTTTTTGATGCAACCTAAGCTTTTGAATTAGTAACCTTCCTTTTCTAAACCTCCCCCTTTTTAAGCATTTATTTTTACAATAAGAAGGCCTGCATCTATATTCTTGGGGGCGCGTTTCATTTATGTAGTGTGCAATGTCCTAGGCACTATACTAAGCCCTCGGGTATATAAGGGTGAACAAAATGGATGAAGGCCCTGCCTTTATGGAGCTTAGTGTTAGGGGAGAAAGACATAATCATTTAATAAATATGAAATAAGTGCTGGGAAAGAAAAGCATAAGAAAACTGTGAGTGTATAAAACAGGAGAACCAGCTTTCATTTGAGGTGTTAGATTTGGGAATAATGACGATCAGGGAAGGCATCTCTGAAGAAATAAGCTGAGATTTGAAAGAAGTGTACAGAAGTAAAATGGGGTGGGAGGATGAACAAATAGGTGGTTCTAGTTAAAGGGAATATTACATATAAAGCATTTGATGCCAGAGTAGCTGTGTAGAAAGAGCAAGTCTCCTTGAGAGTGGTATGAGAAGAAGCTGGAGCAGATGGCCAGGGCCAGACAGTGCATTGTCTTCAAGGTAATTTAAGGATGTTGGTCTTAAGAAAGTCGTTTGTTCGTTCTTTTTGTTGTTGTTGTTCTCTAAGAGGTGGGGTCTTGTTCTGTCACCCACACGGGAGTGCAGTGATAGGTTCATAGCTTACTGCATCCTCGAACTTCCAGGCTCTGTTGTCTTACTTTATTTTTTATTTTACTTTTTAGAGATGAGGATTTGCCCTGTCGCTGAGGTGGCAGTACAGTGGTGTGATCATGGCTCAACTACAGCCATGAACTCCTGGGCTCAAGTAACCCTCCTGCCTTAGCCTCCTGAGTAGCTGGGACTACAGGCACATGCTACCATGTCCCACTTATTTTATTTTATTAAAAAAAGGTTTTTTTAGGAGACAGGGTCTCACTTCATCAGCCAGGCTGGATTGCAATTGTGCGATCATGACTCACTTTACCCTTGACCTCCTGGCCTCAAATGATCCTCCTGCCTCAGCCTACCGAATAGCCTAGGACCACAGGCGCAAGATACCATGCCTGGATGATTTTGTAAAATTTTGTAGCCGGGGCACGGTGACTCATGCCTGTAGTCCCAGCACTTTTGGAGGCCGAGGCGGGCGGATCACGAGGTCAGGAGATTGAGAACAGCCTGACCAACATGGTAAAAACCCCATCTCTACTAAAAATATAAAAATTAGCTGGGCAGAGTGTCGTGCACCTGTAATCCCAGCTATTCAGGAGGCTGAGGCAGGAGAATCGCTTAAACCTGGGAGATGGAGGTTGCAGGGAGGAGAGATCGCGCCATTGCACTCCAGCATGGGCGACAGAGTGAGACTACATCTCAAAAAAACTTACAGTAGAGATCCATTGTCTTGTCATGTTGCCCAAGATGGTCTCAAACTTCTGGCCTCTAACAGTCCTCCTGTCTCAGCCTCTCAAAGCATTGAGATTACAAGTGTGAACCATTACACCCAGCCTGTTGTTTTTAAAGTTGTATATTATTATTATTATTATTTTTTGTTTTTGAGATGGAGTCTCGCTCTGTCGCCCAGGCTGGAGTGCAGTGGTGCGATCTCGGCCCACTGCAAGCTCTGCCTTCCCGGGTTCACGCCATTCTTCTGCCTCAGCCTCCTGAGTAGCTAGGACTATAGGCGCCTGCCACCACGCCCGGCTAATTTTTTGTATTTTTTAGTAGAGATGGGGTTTCACCGTGTTAGCCAGGATGTTCTCAATCTCCTGACCCCGTGATCTGTCCGCCTCGGCCTCCCAAAGTGCTGGGATTACAGGCGTGAGCCACCACGCCCAGCCAGTATTACTATTTTTTTGAGAGGGAGTCTCACTCTGTCGCCAGCAGTCTCGACTCACTGCAACCTCCGCCTCCTGGGTTCAAGCAATTTTCTTGCCTCAGCCTCTGGAGTAGCTGGGACTACAGGCGTGTGCCACCATGCCTGGCTAATGTTTTGTGTTTTAGTAGAGATGGGGTTTCACCGTGTTGGCCAGGATGGTCTTGATCTGACCTCGTGATCGGCCCACCTCAACCTCCCAAACTGCTGGGATTACAGGCATAAGCCGCCGCACCCAGTCAGTTTTTAAATATATATAGTTATTGTTTCTGCATTGTTCTGTTTCTTCTAACATTAGACCAGTAGTACATATGATGGTTAGGATTGTAATCTGAGTTCCAGGAGCAGGATGCTGCTCTTCGGTCACTTCAGAACCTCGAGATATCACCGAAAACCCTCCCTACCCACCTCTGCTATTATTGCACTTCTCGCCTAGTATTGTGGTATGTAAAAAAGTCATTAAATTCTTAAATTATTTATTTTATTTTCTCTCTATATATACGTGTGTGTGTGTATATATATGTATATATGTATATATATATATTTTTTGGTTTTTTGAGACAGTCTCATTCTATGGCTCAGCAATGTCGCCATCTAGGATCACTGCAACCTCTGCCTCCCAGGTTCAGGGGATTCTCATGCCTCAGCCTCCCAGGTAGCTGGGATTATAGGCATGTGCCACCACGCCCAGCTAATGTTTGTATTTTTAGTAGAGACTAGTTTTCACTGTGTTAGCCAATCTGGTCTTGAATTCCTGACCTCAAGTGATCCACCCACCTCGGCCTCCCAAAGTGCTGGATTACAGGCCTGTGCCAGCGTGCCTGGCCTTATTTTATTACTATTATTATTTTTGAGATAGAGTCTTGCTCCATTGCCCGGGCTGGAGTGCAGTGGCACGATCACTGGCTCACTGCAGTCTCAACCTCCTGGGATGAAGAGATCCTCTCTCCTCAGCCTCTTGATTAGCTGGGACTACCTGGCTACATTTTTTGTTTTTTTTTTTTCTCTTCCAGATGGAGTCTTGCTTTGTTGCCCAGGCTGTAGTGCAGTGGTGTGATCTCTGCTCACTACAACCTCCACCTCCTGAGTTCATGTAATTCTCCTGTCTCAGCTTCCTGAGTAGCTGGGATTACAGACATGCACCACCATACCCGGATAATTTTTGTATTCTTTTTTTTTTTGGTACGGAGTTTCTTTCTTCTTGCCCAGGCTGGAGTACAGTGGCGTGATCTTGGCTCACTGCAACTTCCACCTCCCAGGCTCAAGCGATTCTTCTGCCTCAGCCTCCCGAGTAGCCGGGATTACAGGTGCCTGCCACCACGCCTAGCTAATTTTTTTGCATTTTTAGAGACAGGGTTTCAACAGGTAGAGCAGACTGGTCTCGAATTCCTGACTTCAGGTGATCTGCTCGCCTCAGCCTCCCAAAGTGCTGGGATTGTAGCCGTAAGCCACTGCCCCCAGCCAGTTTTTGTATTTTTAGCAGAGATGGAGTTTCACCATGTTGGCCAGGCTGGCCTCGAATTCTTGACCTCAAGTTATCCACCAGCCTCAGCCTCCCAAAGTGCTGGATTACAGGTGTGAGCCACTGCACCTGGCCCTGGATTACAGGTGTGAGCCACTGCACCTGGCCCTGGCTCACCTTTTGTCCTTTTTTTTTTTTTTTTTTTTTTTTTGAGACAGAGTCTTGCTCTGTCGCCCAGGCTGGAGTTCAGTGGCGCAATCTCCGCTCACTGCAAGTTCTGCCTCCCGGGTTCATGCCATTCTCCTGCCTCAGCCTCCCGAGTAGCTGGGACTACAGGCGCCTGCCATCACGCCCGGCTAATTTTTTTGTATTTTTAGTAGAGATGGGGTTTCACCGTGTTAGCCAGGATGTCTCAATCTCCTGACCTCATGATCCGCCCACCTCAGCCTCCCAAAGTGCCGGGATTGCAGGCGTGAGCCACCGCGCCCAGCCCCTTTTGTACTTTTTGTAGAGATGAGGTTTCACCGTTTTGCCCAGTGTGACCTCGAACTACTGAGTTCAAGTGATCTGCCCACTTTGTCCTCCTAAAGTGTTAGGATTACAGGCGTGAGCCACTGCATCCGACCTATTAAATTATTTTTAAGAGAACTATTGTATTAATGATTTTTCCCTACTTTTCTATTTTGTACATTTAGCTGCAGTTTAAAATCTTTAGGCTGGCCCAGGCATGGTGACTCACGCCTGTATCCCAGCACTTTGGGAGGTCAAGGCAGGTGGTTCACTTGAGGTGAAGAGTTCAAGAGCAGCTTGACCAACATGGTAAAAACCCCATCTCTACTAAAAATCCAAAAAATTAGGCCAGGTGCGGTGGCTCACGCCTGTAATCCCAGCACTTTGGGAGGTCAAGGCAGGCGGATCATGAGGTCAAGAGATTGAGACTATCCTGGCCAACATGGTGAAACCCCATCTCTAGTAAAAATACAAAAATTAGCTGGGCGTGGTGGCATGTGCCTGTATTTCTAGCTACTCGGGAGGCTGAGGCAGGAGAATTGCTTAAACCTGGGAGGCAGAGGTTGCAGTGAGCCGAGATTACACCGCTGCACTCCATCCTGGCTACAGAGTGAAACTCTGTCTCAAAAATAAATAAATAAATAAAACATTAGCTGGGCATGGTGGCGTGCACCTGTAATTTCATCTACTCGGGAGGCTGAGGCAGGAGAATTGCTTGAACCCAGGAGGTGGAGGTTGCAGTGAGCAGATATCGCACCACTGCACTCCAGCCTGGGTGACAGAGGGAGACTCCGTCTCAAAATAAATAAATAAATAAAATCTGTAGACTACCTCTTAGGTTGGTTATGTGTCTTTCCCACCATTAATAAGATCTGATGTTTTCCCTTTCTTTTTTTTAATACACTTTGCCTTGACTATAAGCTTTGAAGTTGTTTTCAAATTGTCATCTTTTCAGTCTTGAGTTTTTGTTCTTTTTTCAGAACCTGGCTATACATTTCTTTTTGCATACTTACTCTTGAAGGTGCCTCATCAGTTGCCACTTAAGCATATCTGATTCTTAAAAATTTGAATATTCAAGAACAAATTGTAAAAATATTCCTTGTATAATTTTTGGTTTTGTAGTAATTCCTTTGTTTGCTTCACAGTACTTCTGCAGAGTGATCCATTTGTAATTAATAGACACACACACATCATCCACCATTGAGCTTTATCTTCTCATTAGAAAGTGCGTCTAACCCCTATATTTTGAGATCCTGGATTTCAGAATATTGGACTTGATGTAGACACGAGTTTCTCAGCTTTACATATCATAGGATGAAATGTATATAACAAAAGTTGAATAGCTAACATCTAACTATAGAAACCAAGTAGATTATCAGACTTGTCCTGTTTTGAGGTAATACTGCCATGCCCTTAAAATGAAGCCTTATTCCTGCTGCTAGCAGATTCATGTATATAAATTAGAGGCACTAATCTTGGTCTCCTCTTGTCATAAAAATTACTTCCTCTGTGGGATCTGGCTGTTCTTAAAATGGGAGGCTCTTCCTTGAATTAGATTTCAAAGTGTTAGTCTCTTATGAATTAGCTTAGCATCATTTTCTGTAGACTGTATCAGAACTGTCAGATGTTTGTGCTTGGAATGCTGAAATTTGCATCTCAAAATTTCAAATTCTTTACCTGATTTCTTGTTATCATGTGTCTTACTTCCTGAGAAGATGCAGGGAGCACATGACATAGATGAACTAAGTTTCTTATATCTTATTCTGGTCATGTAAACTAGATTTTTTTGTGGCCTAAAACCAAATAGTCCTGACCAACCTTACGTGTTTCTTTTCCTCCCGTTCATCTGGTCCAGCCTAACCAATTAAGATGTGGACAAAGTAGCTGCAAGAGAGGGCAGAGGGAAGGGAGAGAAAACTTTGCCCTTTTCCTTGGAACAAACCACCTATGGAAGGGATCATTGGTACACTTTATTCTAGTACATATCAGAGTGTTTACTTTTTTTTTTTGAGACGGGGTCTCGCTCTGTTGCCCAGGTTGGAGTGCAGTGATGCAATCTCGGCTCACTGCAACCTCCGCCTCCCAGGTTTAAGCGATTCTCCTGCCTCAGCCTCCTGAGTAGCTGGGATTACAGGTGCCTGCCACCACGGCCAGCTAATTTATGTGTTTTTAGTAGAGATGAGGTTTCACCACGTTGGTCAGGCTGGTCTCGAACTCCTGACCTTGTGATCTGCCCGCCTCGGCCTCCCAAAGTGCTGGGATTACAGGCGTGAGCCACTGCGCCCAGCCAGAGTGTTTACTTTTAGGTGAGGAAGGGGAAATCATGCATAGCAAGTCACATTCCCAATGTCACCTTTATTTATTATTTATTTATTTATTTTTGAGACTTGCTCTGTCACCTAGGCTGGAGTGCAGTGGTGTGATCTTGGCTCACTGCAACGTCCGCCTCCCAGGTTCAAGCTGTTCTTCTGCTTCAGCCTCCCGAGTAACTGGGATTACACGCGGGTGTCACCACGCCTGGCTAATTTTTTGTATTTTTAGTAGAGACAAGGTTTCACCATGTTGGCCAGGCTGGTCTCCAACTCCTGACCTCAAGTGATTCCCCCTGCCTCCTTCCCAAAGTGCTGGGGTTATAGGTGTGAGTCACCGTGCCTGGCCCCAATGTTGTCTTTTAAAATTGGTTAATTGAAATTTAGAATTCTTTCTCAAAGTCCGGGCATGGTGGCTCACACCTGTAATCCTAGCACGTTGGGAGGCTGAGGCAGGTGGATTGCCTGAGCTCAGGAGTTTGAGACCAGCCTGGGCAATATGACGAAACCTCTCTCCACTAAAAAATACAAAAAATAAACTGGGCATGGCAGCATGTGCCTGACTCCCAGCTATTCAGGAGGCTGAGGCAGGAGAATGGCTTGAACCCTGGGAGGCAGAAGTTACAGTGAGCCGAGATCACGCCATTGAACTCCAGCCTGGGTGACAGAGCGAGACTCCGTCTCAAAAAAAAAAAAAATTCTTTCTCACAAAGAAACACTAGTATGATAATGGCTGGTTGGCTGGGCATAGTACTCACACCTGTAATCTCAGCACTGGGAGGCCGAGGTGGGTGGATCACCTGAGGTCAGGAGTTCTAGACCAGCCTGGCCAACGTGGTGAAACCTCATCTCTACTAAAAACAGGAAAATTAACCTGGCATGGTGGCGGACACCTGTAATCCCAGCTACTCAGAGACTGAGGCAGGAGAATCACTTGAACCCAGGTGGGAGGTTGTGGTGAGCTGAGATCGCACCACTGCACTCCAGCCTGGGCTACAGTAAGACTCCGTCTCAAAAACAAAACAAAACAAAAAAAGCTGGTTATACAGGCTATCCTATGTAAGGTATAATGTACCATTTAAAACTGTCTCAAATCACCTGTGGTGAAAGATCATTTTGTTTATTTGTTAATTTTCAGTGTGTTGTTAGTAGTAGTCTCAATTTCTTGAGTTGTAGAATGGTAACATTTTTCTTAATGACCTCAGTTTGTAGACAACATTTTAAGTAACACTGATTTAAAATATTCTCTGGGGTAAATAAATGTAAGATCTTTCTGGCATTTCAGAGTTGGAGCTTACCCTCACACTTCTCAGAAAAGTAATGTAAATAATACTAATAGTACTGCAGTGTAATGGGCCATCATTCCTGACCTTTAAATTTGTATTACTCTAGGAGGACATTATCTTATGAAAAAAATTTGTTGGGTCACTTTCTGTAAGACACTGCTAGGTGCTAGGGACACTAATAAAAAGATGTATATGGAAAAATAGTGACTAAAAAGTGGTAAATAAGAGTGCTTGTAAAGGGATAAAGTGGTCATTTAGCTCTTGATTGATTGGGTTTAGGGTCTTTGTAGAAGAGGGAGAGAGTATTTTGCTGGATACTTTATTATTTTCTGCAAGCCTGACCAGGCACAGTGGCTCATGCCTATAATCGCAGCACTTGGGGAGGCTGAGGTGGGATGATCACTTGCACCCAGGAGTTCATTACCAGCCTGGGCAACATAGCGAGACCCTGTCTCTAAAAGAAAAAAAAAATAATTGAATTAAAACCTTAAACAGGCCAGGCGCAGTGGCTCACACCTGTAATCCCAGCACTTTGGGAGGCTGAGGCAGGTGGATCTCTTGATCTCAGGAGTTTGAGACCAGCCTGGGTAACATGGCAAAATCCTGACTCCACAAACATGTAAAAATTAGCCAGGCATGATGGTGCATGCCTATAGTCTCAGCTACTCTTGGAGGCTGAGGTGGGAGAATCGTTTGAGCCTGGAAATTGGAGGTTGCAGTGAGCCTAGATTGTGCCACTGTATACCAGTCTGGGTGACACAACGAGACCCTGTCTGAAAGCAAAAAACAAAATCTTAAGCCTCACACTCTCTGTGAGAGAAAATATCCTCATTTTATAGATAACAGACCGCAGCGAGTAAGTGGCACCAGAATTCAAACTTGGATTTTCTGACTCTATAAATTCAATTCTATTTCATATGTAAGGCTTTCGTAGAACAGGAAATGAGAACCATTTCAGCAGTTAGACAAAAGATTTGGTAGGTGGGGTCTCAGTAGATGTGGAGAAAGGAATGATAGATAAAAAGTAGATTCTTATGAAAGTTAATCTGGTCTTAGTATGTAGTTTTAATTGAAGCAACAAAGAGTAGGATAGATTTGTTGTGACTGGTGGATTATCTTCTAATGTGAGAATTGTAGAATATTCCTCTTTCACTTATGTTTTGGGTTTTAGCTAATTCTGCTATGTAAGGTAGTATTTATGGAACTTCTTCTAGAATAATGCTGTCTTTTTAGTAAAATAGCACGTAGAAATCTGATTCATGTAAAAATGTTTATAATATATGAATTGCTTATACAGAATAGGTTTTTAAGACTCCTGTTGTATACGATTATTTATTATTATTATTTTTTGAGACAGTCTTGCTCTGTCGCCCAGGCTGGAGTGCAGTGGCACAATCTTGGCTCACTGCAGCCTCCACCTCCTGGGTTCAAGTGATTCTCCTGCCTCAGCCTCCTGAGTAGCTGGGACTACAGGCGCATGCCACAACGCCTGGCTAATTTTGTATTTTTAGTAGAGATTGGGTTTCACCGTGTTAGCAAGGATGGTTCTTGATCTCCTGACCTCGTGATCCACCCGCCTCATCTCCCATCCCGCCTCATCTCCCAAAGTGCTAGGATTACAGGCATGAGCCACCACGCCCAGCTGATACTTAAGTTGTGGTGGTGGTTCTTAGGTATTTTTTTTGTTTTGTTTTGTTTTTTGAGACAGAGTCTCACTCTGTCGCCCATGCTGGAGTGCAGTGGTGCGATCTTGGTCACTGCCACCTCCGCCCTCCGAGTTCAAGTGATTCCTCTGACCTTTGAGTTCAAGCAATTCTCCTGCCTCAGCCTCCCGAGTAGCTGGGATTACAGGCGCCTGCCACCACGCCTGGCATTTTTTTTTGTATTTTTAGTAGAGACGGGGTTTCACCATCTTGGCCAGGCTGGTCTTGAACTCCTGATCTCATGATCCACCCGCCTTGGCCTCCCAAAGTGCTGGGATTACAGGCGTGAGCCACCGTGCCCGGCCATTCTTAGTTTTTAACTTTATATTTTTGCTTTCTCCCATCCAAGTACCAACCAGGCCCAACCCTGCTTAGCTTTTGAGATTTGGCGCGTTCGGGGTGGTATGGCCATAGGCACCGGCCCTCTGCTTTCTAACTCTGCTTGGACCCTTATAGTTCTACTCTTCCATAATAATTTTGTCCTCTACTGATAGCATACTTTTTTGTTGTTTGTTTTTTGTTTTTTTGAGGCGGAGTCTTGCTCTGTTGCCCAGGCTGGAGTGCAGTGGTGCAATCTCGGCTGACTGCAACCTCTGCCTCCTGGGCTCAAGTGATTCTCCTGCCTCTGCCTCCCGAGTAGCTGGGACTACAGGCACACGACACCATGCCTGGCTAATATTTGTATTTTTAGTAGAGATTGGGTTTCACCGTGTTAGCCAGGATAGTCTTCATCTTCTGATCTCTTGATCCTCCTGTCTTGGCCTCCCAAAATGCTGGGATTACAGTTGTGAGCCACCGCACCCAGCCCCTAGCATACTTTCTAGAACATACTTTTCTAGAACATACTTTCTGTACTACTGTTCTAGAAATGCCTGTCAAAATCCCAACTCTGTAGGTTTTTTTTTTTGAGACTGAGTCTCCCCCTGTCACCCAGGCTGGAGTGCAATGGCGCAATCTCGGCTCACTGTAACCTCTGCCTCCTAGGTTCAAGCGATTCTCCTGCCTCGGCCTCCTGAGTAGCTGAGACTACAGCCATGTGCCACCATACCCAGCTAATTTTTGTATTTTTAGTAGAGACTGGGTTTCACCATATTGGCCAGGCTGGTCTCGAACTCCTGACCTGGTGATCCCCTGCCTCGGCCTCCCAAAGTGCCAGGATTACAGACGTGAAGCACTGCACCCGGCCCACACTGTAGTTTTTTTAGCAGACAGTTTCATGGCCTACTTCACTAAGTAGATGGAGATATCCCCCCATCTTCCATGGAAATGTCTTTCTTACTTGCCTCTTATTTCTCTATCTTAGAAAAAGAGGAATCCAGTCGGGCTCGGTGGCTCACACCTATAATCCCAGCTACTTGGGAGGCTGAGGCAGGAGAATCGCTTGAACTCGGGAGGCGGAGGTTGTAGTGAGCCAAGATTGCGCCATTGCACTCCAACCTGGGCGAGAAGAGCGAAACTTCATCTCAAAAAAAAGAAAAAGAGGAGTCCTGGTCAAATTTACAGGGCAACCTCTTCATAATATGTCCTTATTTCCAGTCATTACTTGTTCCTTAGTACTCTCTTGCCACAATGTCTTTCTGTAACTGTTCCCATCTGACTATAAAAATGCCTAGATTGTCACCATCATTTAAAAAAAAAATATATATATATGCCCTTTACTAGTCCTTAGTGCCCAGCAACTATTTCATTAGTAAATGCCTTATGTAAGGGATCAGTACTGCTTTCCTTTCCCCACCATCTGTTCTGTATAGCCCTCCATAATCTGGTGTCTGTACATGTCACACTATGGAAACTATGCTCAGGAGAGTTATGAATGTCTCCTGATCAACAACTGTATTGTGTTTTGCAGTTTAAAGGTACTTCAAAAGCTTATTGATGCTTCTGTTTATTTTATCCCATGCTTATTGTTTTTTTCTATTGTTAATAGATGTTTGTGAAAATAGAAGGAGCACTAGTTCTAGTTCATGCTTGCTTTTGCTTTTCCATAGCTTCTAAAACTAACAGTGAAAATGATATATTGAAACAGTAAATTATAGATCTATACCAGATTTGTAATTGTGTATTTCATTGCTATTTGAAGTATAAAGTAATGGTTCTGTATCATTTATTGGGAAGGTTGAATTTCCATAGCTTCAAAATATTCAAATTTTTTTGCATGGATTTAGCTACGCTTTTCAAAATTTCCTTTTGATGAAGTCATTGACTAAAGCGTCATTAAAACAAAACAAAAAAAGAATTCCAAAAACCCTCCAAAATTCCTTTTTAAAGATAGGAAGGCATACCTGCTGTCATTTTATAGGTAGAACACTAAAACACAGTAAATTACCTGGCCTCCAACTTGGTAGTCTGATTTTTTTCTGCCTTGGTCTGGTGTTTTTGTGGTTTTGTTCTTACTTTTTGTGAGTTGTGAGGGGTTTTTTGTTGTTTATTTTTTGTTAGGTGTATAGACACACTTTTGGATGTCATATTTAACAGGGAAAGCATAGAGTCATGGGCCTGAATAACAGTTGAGTACAAATATTTATAAATTGGTTGAAGTAACTTTGATTTCAATGTTATATTTTAAAGTCTAGGTTATTTTACTACAGAGCATTACAATGATAAAATATTTCCTTTTTTTTTTTTTTAGCTTGTCAGCTCATTTGCAGCTTACGTTTACTGGTTTCTTCCACAAAAATGGTATGTATTTAAAAGTAAATAAAGTGGCATTTTAATAGCAAGATACCTTTGTGAATGTAAAAAAAGTGGGGCTTCTGAGTGTAAATTTATAAAATTAAGTTTAATGGAAAATATGTTGGTTCTGATGTTTTTGAACTTTAAGGTATGAAGGCTAATGATGAAATTTGTTTTTGGTGGATGGGGGTGCAGAGTGAAGGCTGGAGTGCAATGTTATGATCTTGGCTGACTGCAGCCTCCACCTCCCGGGTTCAAGCGATTCTCCTGCCTCAGCCTCCTGAGTAGCTGGGATTACAGGCACGTGCCCCATGCCTGGCTAATTTTTTGTATTTTTAGTAGAGACAGGGTCTCACCATGCTGGCCAGGCTGGTCTTGAACTCCTGACCTCGTGATCCACCCGCCTTGGCCTCCCAAGGGGGCGTGAGCCACCACGCCTGGCTAATGATGAAGATTTTAACAAATTGTCTTAGAACTTCAATAGGTAAAGAATCTCCTCAGTAGAACCTTTTATGCATAAACATTTTGAATTAATGATACTGTATCATGTTTTAAAAAAACACAGTAAAACAACTGAAATAACCACTATTACCAATGGCATATATTAATATTTTAGATATTATTCAAAGGAAATTATATGGTATATTACTCCAGTAAAAGCTCAAAGCATGCTGGAAAGAATTAGAGTTGTTTTAAAAATGGAAAAATACGGCCAGGCGCAGTGGCTCACGCCTGTAATCCCAACATTTTGGGAGGCTGAGGCGGGTGTATCATGAGGTCAGGAGTTCAGGATGTTCAGGAGTTCAGGAGTTCAGCTGGCCAATATGATGAAACCCCATCTCTACTAAAAATATAAACATTAGCCAGGCGTGGTGGTGGGTGCCTGTAGTCCCAGTTACTTGGGAGACTTAGGCAGAAGAATCACTTGAACCTGAGAGTCGGAGGTTGCAATGAGCTGAGATTGCGTTACTGCACTCCAGCCTGGGCGACAGAGCGAGACTCCATCTCAAAAAAAAAAAAAAAGGGAAAATCACTTATCAGCTTATCCATCATAAGTCTGTGTATATGGCATATCTTTTTATTATGCAATGGAATAAAACCATTATTAGAAACATGCCAGGTTGGTTGTCTTGGTATCGTTTAGTAAGAAACAAAGATTGAAAATGAGTCCTGGTGGGCCGGGCACGGTGGCTCACGCCTGTAATCCCAGCACTTTGGGAGGCTGAGGCGGGTGGATCACAAGGTCAGGAGATCGAGACTATCCTGGCTAACATGGTGAAACCCCGTCTCTACTAAAATACAAAAAAACTAGCTGGGTGTCGTGGTGCACACCTGTAGTGTCACCAGTGGCACTCCAGCCTGGTGACAGAGCGAGACTCTGTCTAAAAAAAAAGAAAAAGAAAATGAGTCCTGGCCTGGTGGCTCATGTCTGTAATCTCAGCATTTTGGGAGGCTGAGGTGGGAAGATGACTTGAGGCCAGGACTTCAAGACCAGCCTGGGCAACACAGACCCCATCTCTACAAAAATTAGCCAGGTATGGTGGTATGTCCTGTAGTTCTAGGTACTTGGAAGTCCAAGATGGCAGGATGGCGTAAGCTCAGGAATTCAAGGTTACAGTGAGCTATGATTGCACAACTCTACTCCAGGCTGGGCAACAGAGTGAGACCTTGTCTCCAAAAAATCCCAAATATTAGACTGGGCGTGGTGGCTCACAGCTATAACGTCAACACCTTGGGAGGCTGAGATGGAAGAATAGCTTGAGGCTTGCCTGGGCAACATAGGGAGAACCTGTCTGTAAGAAGTAAAAAAAGATTAACTGGGCACAGTGGCACATGCCTGTAGTCCCAGCTATTCTGTAGTCTCAGCTACTCAGGAGGCTGAGGTGGGAGGATTGCTTGAGTCTTGGAGGTTGAGGCTGCAGTGAGCCAAGATCACACCACTGTACTCCAGCCTGAGTGACAGAGTGAGACACTGTCTAAAAAAGACAAAAAGACAACCTTGCCAATTGGCCAATTGTCAAAATGCTCTAATATAACCATTTTTTAATGACTCTTTGGGGGTTGTTTGTTTGTTTAGACAGGGTCTTGCTCGTGTCACCCAGGCTGGAGTGCAGTGGTGTGATCAACTCCTGGGCTCAAGTGATCCTCCTGCCTCAGCCTCCTGAGTAGCTGGAACTACAGGCGTTCCCACCATGCCTGGCTAATTAAAAAAAATTTTTTTTGTTAAGATGGAATCTCACTACATTTCCCAGGCTGGTCTCAAACTCCTGGTCTCAAGTGATCCTCTCACCTCAGTCTCCCAAAGTGCGGGGATTACAGGTGTGAGCCACTGAGACTGGCCCTAGTTAGGGTTTTTATGTAAGAAATTTGAAATCTCGTATTTGTATTAGCAGCTAATGTAACTTCTAGTTTTTACCTTAGATCTGGTCTATTTTTTATATAGAAGTAACCTGGGTAGCATTACGGTTTTTGTTTTCCTTAAATTATTTGTAATGGTCTGCTTAGAGTCCTTATTTCTAGTCATCGTATTTTGTTTTCTGTGGTACTTCTGACGTGTCTAGACTTTAATTCTTCAGAAACTTATAATTTGAATTTTATACATTCATTAGCCCTTTGTTCTCAGGGACCTGTGTAGAACACATAGTTTATCCATCACTGAAATTTTTGGAAAGTAGTCATATTAAGCTTTTTTCCTATCTTCATGACAAAATATATAAAGTTCAACAATTGCTCAGATTTACTTTGTTTTTATTTTTCTTGATATTGAAGTAAAAGAGATAGTGAACTCTGTTGATATCTCTGTTTCCAGAAAATAATTCCTCTGTCACCTAGGCTGGAGTGTAGTAGTTTGATCTCAGATCACTGCAGCCTCTGCCTCCAGGTTCAAGTGATTCTCATGCCTCCACCTCCCAAGTATCTGGGATTACAGGCGGGTGCCACCACACAAGCTAATTTTTTTTCTTCTTTTTCTGAGATGGAGTTTCACTCTGGTTGCCCAGGCTGGAGTGCAATGGCGCAATCTCGGCTCACCACAACCTCTACCTCCCGGGTTCAAGCAATTCTGTTGCCTCAGCCTCCCAGAGTAGCTGGTATTACAGGCATGCACCACCATGCCCCGCTAATTTTTTGTATTTTTAGTAGAGATGGGGTTTCTCCACGTTGGTCAGGTTGGTCTCTTGAACTCCCGATCTCAGGTGATTTGCCCACCTCGGCCTCCCAAAGTGCTGGGATTTCAGTAGGCATGAGCCACCGAGCCCAGCCCCTAATTTTTATATTTTTAATGGAGACAGGATTTCATTTCACCATGTTTGCCAGTCTGGACTCAAACTCCTGGCCTCAAGTGATTCACCCACCTCGGCCTCCCAAAGTGCTAGGATTATAGGCGTGAGCCACCACGCCTATGTTGAAAATAACTATTCTATTTTAACTTTGAAACTAGTAGAAGTTGGAAGTAGATATATTGTGTTTCTTTTCCATCCAAGGTTTATTTGTACCTTTTTTGTTTTCAATAATATTTTTAAGAAACCAGGATAGAAAACCAACATCAAGTTCTCTAAAATGTACCAGGAGCAGTGATGCTTGCCTGTATTTCCATCTACTGAGGAGGCTGAGCTGGGAGGTTTGCTTGAGCCCAGGAGTTTGAATAGAGTCTGGGCAACATAGTGGGACCCTCTCTCAAAACAAGGAAAAAAAAATTTTTAATTCTTAAAATGTGATTTTTTCTTCTTATTTTCTTACTATTAATTATTTTTTAGACAGAGTCTTGCTCTGTCACTCATGCTGGAGTGCAGTGAGCAGTCTTGCTTCATTGCAGCCTCCCGGGCTCAAGCGATCCTCTCACCTCAGCCTCCCAAAGGGCTAGGATTACAGGCATGAGCCACTGCATCCGGCCTCTTGTTTTTAAATGAAAACTTTTGTTTGGCAATTACTACTTGAAACTGCTTCTTAGAATGAATACACAAAGATTATTTGGGTACTATTTTCATGATGAGTATTGTTCGGCAAATATTTTTGTTACTGCATTTAGACATTGGACTATTTTTTGCTGTATTAAGGTGTTTTTATCCTGGATGCAACTTCCGAAGAAACTGATCAAATGTGTTTTACACACACACCCCCAATAAGAATGTTTTTAAGTAGAAAAAAAGTGTTGCCGGCCAGGCGCAATGGCTCACGCCTGTAATCCCAGCACTTTGGGAGGCCGAGGCAGGTAGATCACCTGAGGTAGGGAGTTTGAGACCAGCCTGGCCAACATGGTGAAGCCCCGTCTCTACTGAAAATAACCAAATTAGCTGGGAATGGTGTTTCATCCCCATAATCCCAGCTACTCTGGAGATTGAATCATGAGAATTGCTTGAACCTGGGAGGTGCAGGCTGCAGGGAGCCGAGATTGTGCCACTGCATTCCAGCCTGGACAACCGAGTGAGGCTGACTCAAGAAAAGAAAAAAAAAAATTACCCAGGCTTGGTGGCTTGTGCCTGTAGTCTGTAGTCCCAGCTACTCGGGAGGCTGAGGCAGGGAGAACTGCTTTAACCCAGGAGGCGGAGGTTGCAGTGAGTCAAGAACATTCCATTGCACTCTAGCCTGGGCAACAGAGCAAGACTCTCTCTCTCAAAAAAAAAAAATAAAGAAAAAATGTGTTGCCCAGTGCCTTAGAACAAAAAATTTTTTTTGTGTGTTCATGGATTCATCTATTATAATAGTTCTGGATGTTATTGAAGCTATTTGATGAATTAGTGATTAAATATTCAGTTATGAACTGTTAATACCTTTGGGACTTTAAAAACAAGTTATGGAGGACTACTCTAGAACCTTAATTTGTAAAGCCTGTGTTAATTTACATAGAGAATATAGACTATGGTATTCAAAATTAACACCCCTAAATTTTTTGTAAGCCAAGATATTCTAGATAGTAAATAATATCTTGATTTTTGTTATCCCATTTAAACTGTAGAGAAATTCTGGGGAAAGCATCTAAAAATAGCTCTGATAGCTCTGTCTCTACGTTTTATAATGTTTAATGTTTTTTGAAATCCATTTTTTATCCTTTTGGCCACAAGTCTTGGTCAGATCAAGAACTTTTTAGTTTAGTTGTCTCTGTGCATTCATAATGAAACATGTATAATGGTAACTGATTTAATTCAAATGTTATCTTAATACTTTTTCTAGTAGATTTTAGGAGAAGAAAAAAATTGAAGATGCTTATTTTGAATGTGGTTGTCTCCTGCAACTTTTTTTTTTTTTTTTTTTTTTGGAGATGGAGTTTCGCTCTTGTTGCCCAGGCTGGAGTGCAATGGTGTGATCTCAGCTTACTGCAACCTCTGCTCCCCAACCCCTGGTTCAAGCAGTTCTGCCTCAGCCTCCCAAGTAGCTGAGATTACAGGCATGCACCACCATGCCTGGCTGATGTTGTATTTTTAGTAGAGACGGGGTTTCTCCGTGTTGGTCAGGCTGGTCTCAAACTCCCGGCCTCAGGTGATCCACCTGCCTCGGCCTCCCTAAGTGCTGCGATTATAGGCGTGAGCCACCACACCTGGCCCTCCTGCAACTGTTTTCATTTATGCTTTCTGCCAAGAAGCTTTAACTGTATTTGTCAAAATTACTTTTGACTAGCAGTGTATTATCATAAATGTTAAATCTTCAAGCCGGCCCAGTTGCATGTGCCTGTAGTCTCAGCTACTTAGGAGGCTTAAAATGGGAGAATCACTTGAGCCCAGAAGTTTGAGACCAGCCTGGGCAACATAGCCAGACCCTTGTCTGAAAAACAAACAAAAATATTAAATCTTCAAATTAGAAATATTCAGTAAATATGGCCGGGTGTGGTGGCTCACACCTGTAATCCCAGCATTTTGGGAGGCCAAGGCAGGTGGATCACTTGAGGTCAGGAGTTCAAGACCAGCCTAGCCAACATGGTGAAACCCCATCTCTACTTAAAATTAAAAAAATCAGCTGGGTGTCCTGGTGCGCACCTGTAGTCCCAGATACTTGGGAAGCTGAGGTGGGAGGATCACTTTAACCCGGGAGGCAGAAGTTGCAGTGAACCAAGATCGCCCTACTGCACTCCAACCTGGTTGACAGAACGAGTCTCTGTCTCGAAAAGGAATTAGGAAATATATATATGTGTATATATATGTATGTATGTGTATATATATGTGTATATATATATATGTGTATGTATGTGTGTTTGTGTGTGTATATATATATATATATATATAAATAGAAATGTGTAGATGTGTTTTAGAGACAGGATCTCACTCCTTCGCCCAGACTAGAGGGCAGTGACAGGATCATAGCTCACTGCAGCCTTGAACTCCTTGGCTCAAGAGATCCTTCCACCTAGCCTCTGAGGTAGCTAGGACTACAGGCACATGACACCCACCACACCCAGCTAATTTTTTCACATTTTGTAGAGACGAGGTTTCTGTGTTGCGCAGGCTGGTCTTGAACTCTTGGCCTTAAGTGATATTCTTGCCTTGGCCTCCCAAAGTGTTGGGATTACAGGCATGAGCCACTATGCCTGGCCAGTGAATATTTTTTATACTTACAACCTGGGCATGGTGGCTCACGCCTGTAATCCCAGGTACTCAGGAGGCTGCCGTGCTGATGTGTGAGGATCACTTGATCCCAGGAGCTTGTGATTGCAGTGAGCTGTGATTGTGCCACTGCACTGTACCTTGGGCAACAGAGCAAAACCTATATCTAATGGAAAAAAAAATTACAGCATATAGGACGGTAATTATATTTGTTTTGTGAGTGGTTTATTTACACTATATATAAAGGCTTTTAAAGAGTTTGCTGTAAGTTTGGAACTGATTTGAGGAAAAAAGAATGAGTGAACTTTTGAGAAGTCTTACTGTGGGAAATCTCTGTTTGAAGTTCCCTGACTTGTTAGCAAAATGAATACCTTGTTCATATATTTTTTAAATATATTTTAAAATACTGATTTTCTATTTAGATAAGCCATCACCAAACTCAGAAAATGAACAAAATTCTGTTACCCTGGAAGTCCTGCTTGTGAAAGTTTGCCACAAAAAAAGAAAGGTAATGTCAACAAAATGATATTGGTAGATTAAATGGAATAATTTGCTTAATTGGACATCTTTATGCATATATATTGTATTTTAAAGCTTAGTTTTAAATTTTGAAAGCTTAAGAAATGTGTTGATGGCCTAATTATAAAACTGATAACCTCTTTTGCCAACTCGCATATCTGTGTAGTTTTTCTAGTCTTTTAATAAGTGTCTGTACAAAACTTTCTCATAGGAGTCTGGAAATGGAGAAGCTATGTTTTAGCATCTGGCATAAATTCAGTTGCTGTTCTACCATTTCAATCTGTTAGCGTATTTCTTAGCTGTTTGTACCCATTGACATTTTAGGTAAGGGCTAAGAGAGAGTTTTTTCCACAAGATTATCCTTTGTAACACTGCTCTCAGGCAAAGAAATTTTGTTGTCAGCGTTATTAGCCATTCACTTATTAGTACATTGCTTCAAATTTTTATAAGGTGAAGTTATTTCACCATAGAAACAAGTGTTAAGATGTTTCCTGGTCAACCGATCAAAGCCAACATATGTACCTTTAGTTGCCTCAAGTCCTCGAGTGTTTCAAGAGGAGTAGGAGCTGGTCTGGGTCCAGGGTCCCAGTGCTGATATTCTTCCAAGACCATAGGCCATAAGGGCCTCAATCACTGGGAGGGAGTAGACTAAGGCACCATGGAGGCAGCAGTGGAACTTTATTTTTGAAAGTTTATGTAAAGGCCGGTTGCCGTAGCTCACACCTATAATCCCAGCACTTTGGGAGGCAGAAGTGGGCAGATTGCTTGAACCCAGGAGTTAAGCATCCTGGGCAACATGGTGAAACCCTGTCTCTACCAAAAATACAAAAATGAGCTAGGCATGATGGCCTGTGCCTGTAGTCCCAGCTACTCGGGAGGATTGCTTGAGCCCAGTAAGTCGAGGCTGCAGTGAGCCATGATTGCACCACTGAGCTCCAGCCTGTGCGACAGAGTGAAACTGTCTCAAGAAAAAAAAAAAATGTATGTAAAGTTAGGAAATATCACTCCTTGCCAGGTGCTGGTGGCTCACGCCTGTAATCCCAGCACTTTGAGAGGCCAAGGTGGGCAGATCACGAGGTCAGGAGATCGAGTGGCTAACACGGTGAAATCTCGTCTCTGCTAAAAATATAAAAAATTAGCCAGGCGTGGTGATGGGCACCTGTAGTGCCAGCTACTCAGGAGGCTGAGGCAGGAGAATGGTATGAACCCGGGAGGCGGAGCTTGCAGCGAGCCGAGATCGCACAACTGCACTCCAGCCTTTATCACTTCTTACTCCTACCTAACCTCCATACACATTACAACAAGTGATGATATGAAAATCCAAGATACATTACTTAGAATAAGATATGAATATAAATATAGTCATTCTTATGTTCAAAAAAATGTATCGGGGTAATCATTTTCCTGGAAGAATATACACAGCCAACTGCTAGTATTAGTCATCTCCGGAGCGTAAGACCTGGGGGGGTGGGTGAGAATTCATAGTTTTCACTTTATAGTCTTATAAAATAGAAATTTTTTTAGACTGTATGTATTCTATTTATTTAAAAGAAGTAGCTGCTGTAAGATACTGTCATAAAAGTCTTCTGATCCTTCCAGTTTTTCTAGTATGCATTTTCAGTGTAACTAATCATACAATAACAGAATATTACTCAGAATATGATCATTGGTAGATAAAACCAGTTTTGTTTTTGTTTTTTTAAGGATGATGATTCTTTCTGTTAAACAACATATTTTAACTATATGGATTTACTGTTTCATAATGTAGTTGTTGACCATGGGATTATTAGTCATTTTTTTTTATTTCTAATGGTCCTATTAGTCACTGTCATGTTAAAATAGAACATTTAAGAGATTTGATAAAAGTACATGAGTTTAACATTTTAGCATGGTTTTTTTGTTGTTGCTAAAAAGCCTTACCAGAGAGATTTAGCATGCTTTTAGTTCTAAATTTCTAATATACAACTGTTTCAGATCACTGTTAGCTAAATATTAGGTATACTGTATCATAATTTCATTATGTTGGAGAAAACCTCAATTGCTTTAATATTTGGAATATAGGTATTTCAAATGTTTATTTTTGCTTCACAGTTTGCAGAACTATGGTTAGAATTTTAACATTCCATTTGGTGATCATGGCCTATCTCCCGTGTTTCCTATAGCTGTGATTAGAAGTTTTATTATAATTCTTATTGCTTATATACAAATAAATATAAATTAATAATGTTTACCTTTGCAGGATGTAAGTTGTCCAATAAGGCAAGTTCCCACAGGTAAAAAGCAGGTGCCTTTGAATCCTGACCTCAATCAAACAAAACCCGGAAATTTCCCGTCCCTTGCAGTTTCCAGTAATGAATTTGAACCTAGTAACAGCCATATGGTGAAGTCTTACTCGTTGCTATTTAGAGTGACTCGTCCAGGAAGAAGAGAGTTTAATGGAATGATTAATGGAGAAACCAATGAAAATATTGGTAATTTTTTTTTTTACTAGATTTTATCACTGGAGACTAAGATGGTCATTGAAAATGATTGTACCAGTGTTCCTTCATGATAGTCATGGTGCTGAGTCTTAAAGCAAACAGTGAATTCACCTCCACCTCAACATTTTGTTGTGCAAATTTTCAAACATAAAGGACAATGAGAAGTATTTTATAGTGAACACCTATCTACTTACCTCTTAGATTCAACAATGAACATTTTATTATACTTGTTGTGTATTTATCCCCCTGCCCATCCCTCTTTTCTTCCAACAATTGTGAATTCATCTTTGAGGTATTCATTCAACAAACACATAGGTGCTGGGGATGATTTAATTTAATCGAAGATGATTAAAACATTCAGTCCTATCCTCCAAAGTCTCACAACCTAGTGTAGGGAAATAGACATGAAATATATCATTGCAGCAAAATGATGAGTGCCATAATACAGGTATATGTGAAGTTCAGCAGAGAAACACGTTGGAAAAAATAATCTTTGACTCGAAGTATTGTTTGAAGTTTTTGGGAGTTACCACGAGTGAGAAGGAGTTTGCCTAGCAAAGATAATTCTAAACAGAAACATTAGCATTTGCAAAGATGTGGGGTTAATGTTGTGATTGTTAAAAAGAACATATAGTAAAAATGCAAAATTGGAAACATGTGGTCTGTATATTATTGCAACTTTAGTGTAATTCGTACCTCATTTGGGATAAATGTAGCATGTTTTATGTTAAGGGACCATATATCATAACACATTTTTGTTCTAATATTTGATTTATGAGAAATGTTTGTTAAATTTAGATGTCAATGAAGAGCTTCCAGCCAGAAGAAAACGAAATCGTGAGGATGGGGAAAAGACATTTGTTGCACAAATGACAGTATTTGATAAAAACAGGTAATGTTGATGAACAAGTGAGGCTCCCACAATGTTCTGGAAATGTTTTCATTCTGAAGCAGAATATAATTATTTATATTGATTATTTCATTGCCTTTGTTTCTTTTTATTCTTACGGATGAAAAAACAAATTTGCAAACACTGAATTTTTGTCTGTTTTATAGAAAACAATAATTAAGGAACTATTCGGATAGATAGCTCAGTTAAACTTACTTATTTGGCGAATATTTTCTGAGTGTCTACTCTTTGCCAGACACTGTTCTAGACATTAAGAAGGCAACAAAATCCCTGCCTTCACCATGGAGCTTAACTTTTAGTGGAGGAAACAGACCACCACCCAAAAAATCAACTAATGTCACTTAGTGATGAGTGTTGTGAAGAAAAATAGAGAATAAATGGTTACTGTTTTAGAGAGATATCCTCTGGGAGGAGGTAGTATTTGAGAAGAGACTTAAATGGACTGGGCCCTACGTAAATCTTGGGGTTATGTGTTTATTAAAAATTAAGGAAGAGGAGCTGGTCATGGTGGTATGTACCTGTAGTTCCAGCTACATAGGAGGCTAAGGTGGGAGGATTGTTTGAGCCCAGGAGTTCAAGGCAGCAATGAGCTATGATCATGCCACTGTACTCTGGCCTGAGTGACAAAGTGAGATCCCATCTTTTTTTTTTTTTTTTTTTTTTAGAATAGTGTCTCACTCTATCACCCAGGCAGGAGTGCAGTGGCGCAATCTCTGCTCACTGCAACCCCTCTGCCACCTGGGTTTGAGCAAGTCTCCTGCTTCAGCCTCTGGAGTAGCTGGGACTACAGGTGCGTGCCACCACGCCCAGCTAATTTTTTGTATTTTCAGTAGAGACGGGTTTCACCGTGTTAGCCAGAATGGTGTCGGTCTCCTCATCTCGTGATCCGCCTGCCTTGGCCTCCCAAAGTGCTGGGATTACAGGCGTGAGCCACCATGCCTAGGCGAGACCCCATCTTTTTTAAAAAAAGAAAGAAGGCCGGGCGCAGTGGCTCACGCCTGTAATCCCAGCTCTTTGGGAGGCTGCAGTGGGTGGATCACGAGGTCAGGAGTTCGAGACCAGCCTGGCCAAGATGGCGAAACCCTGTCTCTACTAAAAATACAAAAATTAGCCAGGCACGGTGGCGTGTGCCTGTAATCCCAGCTACTCAGGAGGCCGAGGCAGGGGAATCGCTTGAACCTGGGAGGCAGAGGTTGCAGTGAGCCGAGATCACACCACTGCACTCCATCCTGGGTGACAGAGCAAGACTCTTGTCTTAAAAAGAAAAGAAAAGAAAATCATGTATAATGATTGTGTACCTCTGTGCATTTGGTACAGGATGGCAAGAAACACAGACTTATTAAATATTTCTGCAATTTCTGTTTGGAAACGAAATATTTTAGTGAAAATATCACCAGTGAAAGAATGTCTGGGAAGCAAATCCAGCATTTTTTCTTTTTGGGATTGGAGAAAGAAACCTATGCCGTCATTTCTTGTACCAGGCTGCGTGCTGGTAGTTAACAGTTTATTGTCAGGTATAGGACAAAGAACCAGGGAAAGTAACTAGGCCATTCCTCCTATTGTTTATTTTTTATTTATTTATTTGTTTATTTTTGAGACGGACTCTCGCTGTGTCACCCAGGCTGGAGTTCAGTGGCATGATCTCAGCTCACTGCAACCTCTGCCTCCTGGGTTCAAGCGATTCACCTGCCTCAGCCTCCTGAATAGCTGGGATTACAGGCACCTGCTACCATGCCCAGCTAATTTTTGTATTTTTAGTAGAGATGAGGTTTCACCATGTTGGCCAGGCTGGTCTGGAGCTCCTGACCTCACATCATCCACCTGCCTCAGCCTCCCAAAGTGCTGGGATTACAGGTGAGCCACCGTGCCCGGCCAGTGTCTTTTTAAAGTCAGAAATTTTATTGTGGATCGAAGATTTAAATGGAAAACAATAGAACCATAAATGTACTAGAAAATAGTGGTCATGTCTGTGGGGGAAACAATTAGAATGAGGCGCATTGGACTTCATCGATGCTGTTAATTGTTCTATTTTAGGCAGCATGGGGTATGTTCTATTTTCTTTTTTAATCACTGTACCTGACACATATGTTTACACATTTCTTGTAAGAAAAAGATAATGCTTTTATTTTAAAGAAAAAGTGCCAAGAAGAAACTGGGAGAATTTCCCCACAGCAGCTTATTTTGAAAATATTCACCCGGGCATGGTGGCTCACGCCTGTAATCCCAGCACTTTGGGAGGCTGAGGCGGGCGGATCACGAGGTCAAGAGATCGAGACCGTCCTGGCCAACATGGTGAAACCCCATCTCTACTAAAAATACAAAAATTAGCTGGGCCTGGTGGTGCGTGCCTGTAGTCCCAGCTACTCGGGAGGCTGAGGCAGGAGAATCGCTTGAACCCAGGAGGCGGAGGTTACAGTGAGTTGAGATCGCGCCGCTGCACTCCAGCCTGGTGACAGCGAGACTGTGTCTCCAAAAAAAAAAAAAAAAAAAAAAGAATTCAAAACGATAGGAAAGTTGAAAGAATACTAAAGTCATTTAATATCCACATACCCTTCATCTAGATTGTATCTGTTGTTAACATTTTGCCACATTTGATTTATTTATGAGGCTATATTTTATTTTTGTGCTGAATAATTTGAAAGTTTGCTTTATTCCTCATTTATAAACTCTCTTGCATGTATCTCCTAAGAACGAAGACATTTTCTGATATAACCACCGTACCCTTATGAGGAAAATTAAAATACAAATACAATACTATCTCCCCAGTTGACCTCAATAATGTCCTTTATAATTTGTCCTGTCCCCACCCCGATTCCATAGCTAGATGTCATAGTTCTTCAGTCTCCTTCAATTTGGAATAGTCCCCCTAGCCTTTCTCCCTACCTTCTGTGACATTTTTCCCCCAGTATAGGCCTGTAGTTTTGCAGAATGTATCTCAATTAGGACTTCTGTGGTGATTTCCTCTTGATTAGCTTCAGGTTAAATATTTTTGGCAGGGATTCTAATGAGTGATGTGTTCTTTACGTACTACATCACAGACAAAAGGTAATATTAGGTTTGATCACTCAGTTAAGATGCTGTTCACAATATTTCTCCATTGTAACAGTACTTTTTTCCCTTTTATATAAATCAGCATATAATTCTTATGCTAATACATGAAGCTGAGTAAATATCCATTTTCTTCCCATAGCCTTTCACCCAATAGTTTTAGCATTGATTGATTATTTTTGCTTGAATAAATTATTCCTTTGGCAGTTGGAAAATGGTAATTTTCTAACATTTCTTCCACATTTATTTGCATTTTTATATAAAGAAGAGCATTCGTTCTCTGCTCCCACTGCTTCACTTGACTAACCCTAAAAAATATATATATATGTATAGAGAGAGAGAGAGAGAGAGAGAGAGAAACAGGCAGGCATGGTGACTGATACCTGTAACCCTAACACTTTGGGAGTCCAAGGCGGGAAGACTATTTGAGCCCAGGAGTTTGAGACCAGTTTGGGCAACATAGCAAGACCTCGTTCCTAAAAAGAAAAAAAAAATTTTTTTAAAGTTACATGTAAATTTAAAAAGAAGAGCATTCCTTTCCCTAGCTTTGATATTTTAAAATCAGTATGGATTAACAAATTCTATTTATTCAATTAGTTTTAATCTATTGATACTGTTATTTTAATGCTCAAATTGTCTCATATTTTGTCAGGAGGAGCCCTTCTAAGTAGGCTTCTGTGTCCTGTTTTGTTGCTGCTATTTTTTCCTGATTTTCTAGAATAGTAAGATATACCAGAATCACCTTCTCCTTTTTTTTTTTTTTTTTTTTTTTTTTTTTTTTTTTTTGAGACGGAGTTTTGCTCCTGTTGCCCAGGCTGGAGCGCAAAGGCACCATCTCAGCTCACCGCTACCTCTGCCTCCCGGGTTCAAGCGATTCTCCTGCCTCAGCCTCCCGAGTAGCTGGGATTAAGGCATGCGCCACCATGCCTGGCTAATTTTGTATTTCTAGTAGAGACAAGGTTTCTCCCTGTTGGTCAGGCTGGTCTTGAACTCCCGACCTCAGGTGATCCTCCCACCTCAGCCTCCCAAACTGTTGGGATTACGGGCATGAGCCACTGCGCCCCGGCCTACCTTCTTCTTTTCTTACCTCTGCTCTGAAGTTGTGATTTCTTCAAGGAGTCCTGATTCCTTATAGAAGAATAGTATTTTTAAGCCAAAATCTGCATGTTAGATGTGTAAAAATTGTTTTTAAAATCTCACAGAGGGCTGAGTGCAGTGGCTCACACTTGTAATCTTAGTACTTTGGAAGACCAAGGTGAGAGGATCTCTTGAGCCCAGGAGTCTGAGGCTGTAGTGAGCTATGATTGTGTCACTGCACTCTAGCCTGGGTGACACAGCGACTGTCAAAAAAAAAAACCAAAAAATCCAGTTAATTCCTTGAAATAATAACCAATATTCAAAAGCCTTATAGGAAAAGAATGCAAAGTTGAACAAAATAAAAATCAAAAACTTCTTCAGAAAACAAAAAAGCCACCATAACCAAAGTCAAAAATGACAAGATGGGGAGAAATTATTTTCAACTTGTCTTTCAGGTAGATGTCTGTCATTCTTGAATGTAAACAGGTCATACTAATTTTAAAAGACCACTGCCCAATAGAAGAATGGGCAAAAGAAACAATAAGAAGTTTACCAAAATAGATACATATGGTTCTTAAACAATTAAAACGACAAAACATCTGAATTAAAAGTACACTGAGATGCGTTTTTTCACTTATCAGATTGACAGAGACCAAAAAACTTGATAAAGCACTTGATCAGGCTGTGGGGGAAAAGTCTCCACATACATTACAGATAGGAGGGTGCATTGGATTGTAGGTATCAAATGTACACCCACAAAATGGAATAGTACGTATCTATGTAAAAGCATAAGGAAGCTCCTTTTTGATTTAGAAATATATGAATTTATTACCTCTTTGAGTAAATAAATTAGTTTTTAAAATAGTTGAATGGCTTTGCTGATGTACTATTGAAGTTGACTAAATTTAAGTAGTACAGCATAGAGAAAAGACAAAAATTCTTAAGTGTCAATCATTTGGTTTTAAGAGACTTTAGAGACAGACACCTGGATTCATTTGCTGGATCTGGCTATTTACGGTTTGATTTTAAGGCAAGTTATTTAACCTTTTCTTGCCTCAGTTTTCTCTTCTGGCAGTGGAGTAATTGTACATAGTTCATAGCATTGTTGGGAAGATTAAATGAACCATGTAAAATCTTTATAATAGTGCCTGGCACATAGTGAACACTCAATAAATGTCAGCTGTTTTTACCTAATAGAATTTCTCTAAGAGTGATGAAGAGAAGCCAGTTTCTTGATATATACAGTTAATTACTGAGCATGGTTGAAGAATGGTGTTTAGAGTAGTAGTGGTTACTAGTGTTTAAAGTATGGAAAAAATAAGTTATACATAGACACATATGTACACACACCTTAAAACTATATTGTGTGAATATATTTGAATTATTTGATTCAATTAGTATTCCATGAAGTGTTTATTGAGCACCTATATGTGCCAGGTGCCCCCAGAATTCCGTAGTTACCAGATTCGTCATTATAATAATCAGTTTACTGGTCAAGTATAAAAGTAAAGGATTCTAGTTCAAACAATTACAGTAGTTAAAGGTAACAGAATTCTTAGTGTTTCCCTAAGACAAGCATTGTTTGTAACACTATTATCCTATTTTTAAAAATATAAAGCCTGGGCTGGGCGCGGTGGTTCACGCCTGTAATCCCAGCACTTTAGGAGGCCAAGATGGGTGGATCACGAGGGCAGGAGTTTAAGACCAGCCTGGCCAAGATGCTGAAACCCATCTCTACTAAAAATACAAAAATTAGCTGGGCATAGTGGCACGCGCCTGTAATCCCAGCTACTCGGGAGGCTGAGGCAGGAGAATCGCTTGAACCTGGGCAGCAGAGATTGTGGTGAGCGGAGATTGCACCACTGCCCTCCAGCCTGGGTTGCAACAGAGCAAGACTCCATCTCAAATAAATAAATAAATAAATAAAGCCTGTACTTACGCTTTATATTTAATGTTGACAACGTACCAGGTTTTGAGACCTCAGGCATATTATACTTTACATGTTTAGAGTTATATCTGAGTAGCTACAGTAATGAATTCCTAGTAATACAGTTTTTAGTGTACATCATTAAAATTGCTTTCATCAGGACTGGAGTGTAGCTGTATTTTTAAAATCTTGTTGGGTATGTAAGCTAGTTTATAAATTTAATAAATGGTTTTAGTATAAATCTAAAGATGTAGAATTTGTGTACTTATAGTAATAACACAGGTTACTTTAAAGTATATGTGTTTGTCTAACAGGCGCTTACAGCTTTTAGATGGGGAATATGAAGTAGCCATGCAGGAAATGGAAGAATGTCCAATAAGCAAGAAAAGAGCAACATGGGAGACTATTCTTGATGGGAAGGTATGGACTACTTAGAAGGTTGAGCACGTTATAGTTATGAACTCCCATTTTTGACTGATGTTTTCTTCCCCAAATGCTAATTCATGTTGGAAGTAGAGTCCTTTGTTTTTTATACTTTAAAAAACACAAGTAAATGATCTAGTCAGAGCATTTAACGGAAGGTATCATTCTTTTTTTTTTTTTTTTTTTGAGGGGGAGTCTTGCTCTGTTGCCCAGGCTGGAGTGCAGTGGCATGGTCTCGGCTCACTGCAACCTCCACCTCCCGGGTTCAAGCGATTCTCCTGTCTCAGCCTCCCAAGTAGCTGTGATTCTGTGATTCTGCGTGCCACCACGCCTGGCTAATTTTTTTTTATTTTCAGTAGAGACGGGGTTTGACCAT
This sequence comes from Homo sapiens, assembly GCF_000001405.40. NCBI lineage: Eukaryota > Metazoa > Chordata > Mammalia > Primates > Hominidae > Homo > Homo sapiens. Next base: position 31,983,484 of record NC_000017.11, read on the forward strand.
GTTGGCCAGGCTAGTCTGGAACTCCTGACCTTGTGATCTGCCCACCTTGGCCTCCCAAAGCGCTGGGATTACAGGCATGAGCCACTGCACCCGGCCACACGGAAGGCATCATACTTTGAGAGCCAGACTGCCTGATTCAAATGTCTGCTCCTAGCTATGTGGCGTTTGGCAAGTTACTTATCCATGTCTCAGTTTCTTCTCCTGTAACATGAGACATAGAATTGATGGATTAGATGAAATAATAAAATATTTAGTACAGTGCCTGGCATACAATAAGTGCTCAATAAATGTTAACGGCTATTTTAAATTCTATTCATTGTAATGGCAGGTAATAAGGGATGACTAGTAATACATTTATCAAGAAATCTGCAGAATTTAGATTAAGCGTACTTAAGATAACTCTTTTAAGAGATAAAGAGGAATCCATGCATTTCTTAAATAGGTAGATTCAAAACTGTAACGATGTCTTTTATTTCTAAATATGTTAGATCAGTGTTACCATCCAATGCAAAATCTCATAAGGATTTTTTTAAGCCTTAAAATTAGTTCCAAGTCAATCTAGAAGGATAAGTATTTAGTAATACTAAGGGAAATTTTAGAAAAATATTTTGAGAATTTTTACTTACCAGTTTTAGTATGATATACGATATACAGTAGTACATACCATAAAGTTAAGAGAACTTAAACCCTATGGTATAAGCATAGGAATAGACAAGCATATCATTCAAGCATATCATTCAGGCATAGTCCTGAAATAGTTTGATGTATATTTGAAATTTAGTTCATGATAAAGGTGGTGGTATAGCTATGTGAGAAAGAGAAACTGTTCATTAATTGTGACAACTCTTCTCCAGTCATCTGGAAATAATCTTAGACCTAATACATTCTGCAAGGCTCATAAACATGTAAAAATGAACATTCATAAGCATGGAAAAAAAATAGGTGAATGTTAATATACTGCAGTGAGGAAGACCTTTCTAAGGATGATTGAAAAGTAAGAAAGCATAAAGTAAAAATTGTCGGGTTAAAATTAGTCATTTTTATACTGCAAAATATCTAAAGTTACAAACAAATTATGGAATGGGGGAAGTATCTGTAACACAAAATGCTAATATGAATACATAATATTGTGAATTATAAAACAAGAAAAAGATACGCAGTCTAATAAGAAATATGTGTCAAGGACTCTCACGCAGTTCTTAAAAAAACAAATATAGATGGCCAGCAGACTTTTAAAGCAGTACTCAACCTTATTAGTACTCAAAGGCATGCAAATGCAGAGATACTTTTGAGAGTTCGACAAAGATTAAAAGTTTGACAGTTTCTAGTGTTTTAGGGACGTGAGGACACATATACTCTCAAATAATATTTTGATGTAACAGTAAGTTGGGGCCGGGCTCAGTGGCTCATGCCTGTAATCCCAGCACTTTGGGAAGCCAAGGCGGGTGGATCACCTGAGGTTATGAATTTGACACCAGCCTGGCCAACATGTCAAACCACATCTCTACCAAAAACACAAAAATTAGCCAGGCATGGTGGCAGGTGCTTGTAGTCCCAGCTACTTGGGTACTTGGGAGGTTTAGGAGTATTACTTGAACCTGGGAGGCAGAGGTTTCAGTGAGCTGAGATTTTGCCACTTCACTTTATCCGGGGAAACAGAGCAAGACTCTGTCTCAAAAAAAAAAAAAAAAAAAAAAAGGTTGATACAGTCTTACTATAGGGCAGACTGGCAATATATATAAAGTTAAAATTGTATATATAGTCTTTAACAATTCAAATTTTATATTTTTGTCACAGTGTAGTAACTTGTTAACAAAAGATGTAGGTAACAGGTTTTCTCAGCATTTTTTAAATAATGAAACATTAGAAACATGTTAAATCTAAAAAGCTATTAAAAAGGATGATAGTTTACAAGATTTCCATATTAAATTTTTACATAACTGTATACATATATATATATATATTTTCCCTGTTTCTAAAATTTATAATAGTGGTTAACTCCAGGTGATGAGATTTCAAATAATTTTTATCTATACTGTTTGGGTTTTCTGCATGGATTTATCTTTATGATCTTTTTCATTTTAAATTTCTTGTTTTAAAGTATGTTTTTATTCATGAGACTATAAGGATTATATATATGAAGAGTTTTTGTTGTTGTTGGTTTTGTTTTTGTTTTTTTTTTGTTTGTTTTGTTTTTGAGATGGAGTTTCACTCTGTCACCCAGGCTGGAGTACAGTGGCATGATCTTGGCTCACTGCAACCTCCGCCTCCCGGGTTCAAGCGATTCTCCAGCCTCAGCCTCCTGAGTAGCTGCGATCACAGGTGTGCACCACCATGCCCAGCTGATTTTCATATTTTTAGTAGAGATGGAGTTTCACCATGTTGGCCAGGCTGGTCTCGAACTCCTGACCTTGTGATCCACCCGCCTCGGCCTCCCAAAGTACTGGGATTACAGGCATGAGCGACCGTGCCCGGCCTGGCCTTTTTTTGTTTGTTTCTGTTGAGATGGAGTCTCGCTCTGTCACCCAGAGGTGGAGTGCAATGGCGCGGTCTCAGTTCACTGCAACCTCTGCCTCCTGGGTTCAAGCAATTCTCTTGCCTCAGCCTCCTGAATAGTTGAGATTACTGGCATGCGCCACCAGGCCTGGGGGTTTCACCATGTTGTCTTGGCTGGTCTCAAACTCCTGACCTAAGGTTTTCCACCCACTTCGGCATCCCAAAGTGCTGGGATTACAGGTGTGAGCTACTGTGCCCGGCCTATCTGGAAGCTCTTAACCCTGTAAAATGGGCATCCTTTTAAGTCAGAGCATATAGATTTACTTCTTTTTAAAAGTTCTGAGATTTTTTGTTTTGTTTTGTTTTGTTTGGGTTCCTTAATTGACTAAACCAGTGCTGGTCTAATAGATAATTGGGTTATTTGATTTTTTTTAATCTTGTCAAAAATGTTAATAGTGATTATACTTGAACCTGTATCAAGTATTTTATAAGATAAATTCCTGTGGACTGCTGTGTCCAAACTAGTCTCTGAACACACTTTTACTACATTCTAGTCTAAGTAGTTTTTTGTTTTGTTTTGTTTTGTTTTTTGAGATGGAGTCTTGCTCTGTCTCCAGGCTGGAGTGCAATGGTGCAATTTCGGCTCACTGCAACCTCTGCCTTTCGAGTTCAAGCGATTCTCCTGCCTCAGCCTCCCAAGTAGCTGGGATTACAGGCGCCAGCCACCATGCCCAGCTAATTTTTTGTATTTTAGTAGAGACGGGGTTTCACCATGTTGTCCAGGATGGTCTCGAACTCCTGACCTCACGATCTGCCCTCCTCGGCCTCCCAAAGTGCTGGGATTACAGGCGTGTGCCATTGCGCCCGGTCCTCTAATCTAAATAGTTTTAAGAGGATTACTTTGTAATAATGATATAGAAGGAGTTTAGGCCTCTGTGGCAGTAAAATAAATTGAAGCTCATTGAAGACTACTTGATCTCTCCTATATTTGAATAGGAAAGTAAAAATCAGAAGCAAGTAGAACAACTGAGATACTCTAGTAGTAAGGCAATACTGATCTATAACAAAGGTTTTTTTGTTTTTTTGTTTTTTTGTGATCCTTGAAGGACAAGGAAGAAATGATAAACATTTTAAAAAGGACTTGGTAATTGCATGAGAAACGAAAGGATAGGAGTCAAATATAATTCCAAAATTTTTAGCTTAGGGTCACTAGTAGAATGATAATGACAAGAACAAAAATAACGTGAGAAGGAAAGTGTTTTAGAAGAAAAGATACTGGATACACTTCTAAACATGTTTTAGTTCAAGGTGACATTGAGATCAACTGGCAGTGTCCAAGAGGCAATTGGAGATACGAGTTTACAGTTCAAGTGTAAGGATAAGAATGCAGAACCAATTTGGGATCATCAGCTTAATAGGTAAATTCTTGAGGATGGTTGAGTGATTCGGTCAGATGGCTAAAAGTTAGCTATTTTCAATAGCTCAGTGTTGTAAAATCAAAGAAGGGAAGCACTGGCAGTCATTGTCAGTGAAACTGAGAGAAGTCAAAGAAAATTACTAATTGAAAAGCTGTTCAATTTACAAAAAAAAAAGTAATTGGTCACCTAAGAGCAAAGGTTGCATGCTGGTGGGCTTTGGGTACCACAATTTTATTTTTAAGACATTTCAAGGCCAGGCGTGGTGGCTCATGCCTGTAACCCCAGCACTTTGGGAGGCCGAGGCAGGCAAATCACCTGAGGTCAGGAGTTCAAGACCAGCCTGGCCAAGATGATGAAACCCCGTCTCTACTAAAAACACACACACAAAAAATTAGCTGGGCGTGACGGCAGGTGCCTGTAATCCCAGCTACTTGGGAGGCTGAGACAGGAGAATTGCTTGAACCTGGGAGGGGGAGGTTGCAGTGAGCTGAGACCATGCCAGTTGCACACTAGCCTGGGCGACAAGAGTGAAACTCCATCTCAAAAAAAAAAAAAGACATTTGAACTGGTTAGCAACAACCTAAATGGGAAATTTTCCCATGATAACTTTGATTTCTGACCTATTTGGAAAAATCTGAAAATCTGTCTGTGTTGGACGAGTGTTTTCACATGGCAACAATTCACCTGTTGCTGATCAGTGGTCGCCTCTTTTAGACAGCCTGTGCTCTCCAGTTCAAGTTCTACAGTGTCTGGTCCATACTTTTACTTTGTTTGCCTAGCCGTCTCAGTCAGCATTTGGATTTTCAAGACAAATCTATTAAGGCAAATCCACATTGACTTATAATGAATTTTTTTTAATTTCTACAATTTATTTGAATTCATTATCTGAGTCTCCAGTCTTTGCATGTTTTTTATTTTTTAGAGGCTGCCTCCATTCGAAACATTTTCTCAGGGACCTACGTTGCAGTTCACTCTTCGTTGGACAGGAGAGACCAATGATAAATCTACGGCTCCTATTGCCAAACCTCTTGCCACTAGAAATTCAGAGAGTCTCCATCAGGAAAACAAGCCTGGTTCAGTTAAACCTACTCAAACTATTGGTAAGAAAACATTGCAATCAAAATAATAAAATAATGGTTTGCAGAGTTAGGTCTTGTGCTTTAGATTAATTCATTTGTGTTTTGCTTTATGTGATTCTTCTTTTTTTTTTTTTGAGATGGAGTCTTGCTCTGTTGCCCAGGCAGGAGTGCAGTAGCGTGATTTCGGCTCACTGCAACCTCTGCCTTGTGGGTTCAGATGATTCTCCTGACTCAGCCTCCCGAGTAGCTGTGACTACAGGCGCATGCCACCACACCTGGCTAATTTTTTGTAGTTTTAGTAGAGACAGGGTTGGCCGAGCGCAGTGGCTCAACACCTGTAATCTCAGCATTTGGGAGACCGAGGCGGGCGGATCACAAGGTCAGGAGATGGAGATCATCCTGGCTAACACGGTGAAACACCGTCCCTACTAAAAATACAAAAAAATTTAGCCAGGTGTGGTGGCGGGCACCTGTAGTCCCAGCTACTTGGGAGGCTGAGGCATGAGAATGGCGTGAACCCAGAAGGTGGAGGTTGCAGCCGAGATTGCACCACTGCACTCCAGCCTGGGAGACAGAGCAATACTCCATCTCAAAAAAAATAAATAAAAGTAAGTCAATAAATTAAAAAAGTAGAGACGAGGTTTCACCATGTTAGCCAGGATGGTCTCCATCTTCTGACCTCATGATCTGCCCGCCTCAGTCTCTCAAAGTGCTGGGATTACAGGTGAGAGCCACCTCTGCTGGCCTCTATGTGATTAGCCTTTCAGAATATTATCTGGCTTATTGGGTAGGTTATGAATCATGGTAAATTAAGGTTCTCCTATATTAAGTGTAAAGTCTTGTGTTGAAGTAGTAGTAAAAATTCTTTATCCAGAACCTTTGTGCCAAGTGTGCCTAGAAATTTGAATTGAAAAAAAAAATTGAAGCGTGATATGGTACATAGTATAGATATCATATATAACATCTTGAAGTGGGGTCCTCATGGTAAGTTAGAGCAAGTTTTTCCACTAAACAAATTTGCCAGAAACTTACAAGAAAACTATTGGTTTTCAGATTAGCTTTTAAGATTTTGGAATCACAACTACAAAGAGCTTTGGAACTAAGTTGTTTTTTTTTGTTTTTTTTGTTTTTTTGTTTTTTGAGACGAAGTCTCACTCTGTTGCCCAGACTGGAGTGCAGTGGCTTAATCTCGGCTCACTGCACGCTCTGCCTCCCTGGTTCATGCCATTCTCCTGCCTCAGCCTCCTGAGTAGCTGGCATTACAGGCGCCTGCCACCACGACCAGCTAATTTTTTTTTTTTTTTTTGTATTTTTAGTAGAGACGGGGTTTCACCTTGTTAGCCAGGATGGTCTCGATCTCCTGACCTTGTGATCCGCCCGCCTTGGCCTCCCAAAGTGCTGGGATTACAGGCACGAGCCACTGTGCCCAGCCCAGGAACTATGTTTTTTATAACTCACATATAAGTTTTTCTGTTTGTTTGTTTTGTTTGTTGTTTTCTTTTTTGAGATGGAGTCTCGCCCAGGCTGGAGTGCAGTGGTGCGATCTCAGCTCACTGCAAGCTCCACCTCCTGGGTTCATGCCAATTTCCTGCCTCAGCCTCCCGAGTAGCTGGGACTACAGGCGCCGGCCACCATGCCCGGCTAATTTTTTTTTTTTTTTTTTTTTTTTTGGATTTTTAGTAGAGATGGGGTTTCACCGTGTTAGCCAGGATAGTCTCAATCTCCTGACCTCATGGTCTGCCTGCCTCGGCCTCCCAAAGTGCTGAGATTACAGGCGTGACCCACCAGGCCCAGACTAACTTTTTTTGTATTTTTAGTAGAGATGGGGTTTCACCGTGTTAGCCAGGATGGTCTGGACCTCCTGACGTCGTGCTCTGCTCACCTGGGCCTCCCAAAGTGCTGAGAATTACAGGTGTGAGCCACCGCGCCCAGGCTGCAGTGCGGTGACGTGATCTCGGCTCAGCACAACCTCCGCCTCCCGGTTTGAAGCAATTCTCCTGCCTCAGCCTCCCGAGTAGCTGACATTACAGGCACACAACCACTAGGCCTGGCTAATTTTTGTATTTTTAGTAGAGACAGGGTTTCATCATGTTGGCCAGGCTTGTCTCAAACTACTGATGTCAGGAGATCCACCCATCTCGGCCTCCCAAAGTACTGGGATTACAGGCATGAGCCATCGCGCCCAGCCAGTTTTTAAGAGGAAAAAACATTTACAAATAGAGTTAACTTTCTGCTGAGTTTAAGGCCCAAGTTGCAGTGTTCTATCATTTTTATTTTACTTTTTTTTTTGAGACAGGGTTTCTCTCTCTCACCCTGGCTGGAGTGCAGTGGTGCCATCTCAGCTCACTGAAACCACCGCCTCCCAGGCTCAAGCGATCCTCCCACCTTAGCCCTCCATATAGATGGGACTACAGGCTCGTGCCACCACGCCCTGTTAATTTTTGTATTTTTCGGTAGAGATGGGATTTTGCCATCACCCATGCTGGTCTCAAACTCCTGAGCTCAAGCAATCTACCTACCTTAGCATCCCAAAGTACTGGGACTACAGGCTTGAGCCATTGCGCCTGGCCAAGTTCTGTCATTTTTGTGTCTGTCCAGTAGGTACATTGTCCTTGACCTGAGAGAGCACTCATGTGTCTTTATCTGCCTGTTTAAAGAAGGCAGAAGGCGTAAGTTGTCCTCCTTGACCACTCATGTACACTCATTGTGTGCAGGTGACAGTAATGGTCAGATTAAAGAGATATAAGAAATGGGGCCGGGCGCAGTGGCTGACATCTGTAATTCCAGCACTTTGGGAGACCAGGGTGGGTGGATTGCTTGAAGCCCAGGAGTTCAAGACCAGCCTGGGCAACATAGTGACACCCTGTCGCTTATAAAAAATAAAAAATATAAATAAAATAAGAAATGGCTTGTGTCAGGGGAAAGGTTTTGCAAGTAAACTGTAGTATGGGCACTTCTCAGAATACTCAGAAACCAGTGAAATAGGTAAAAGGTTGCATCAAAACTAAGAAAAAGTTCTATACAAATTATACCTAATTGTTAATTATGTAAGGAAATATAAATACCTTTTTTTCTTATATCTGAAAGGAAATATACCAGAATCATTTGTCACTATCTTTTTAGATTTGAAATAATTATTTTTTTTGGAGACGGAGTCTTGCTCCGTCACCCAGGCTGGAGTGCAGTGGCGAAACCTCAGCTCACTGCACCCTCTGCCTCCCGGGTTCAAGCAATTCTCCTGCCTCAGCTTCCCAAGTAGCTGGGACTACAGGTGTGTGCCACCATGCCTGGCTAGTTTTTTTTCATAGAGATGGGGTTTCACCATGTTAGGCAGGCTGGTCTCAAACTTCTGACCTCAGGCAGTCTGCCCACCTCGGCCTCCCAAAGTGCTGGGATTACAGACATGAGCCACCGTGCCCAGCCTGAAATAATTTTAATATAATAAGTATAACTTACTTTCTGATAAACCAACACTTAGTGCCTGCTCACACCTGGGATCTGAGAATACAAACACCAATTAAAACCACACTCTGGGCTGGGCACGGTGACTCATATCTGTAATCCTAGCAATTTTGGAGGCCGAGATGAGCAGATTGCCTGAACTCAGGAGTTCAAGACCAGCCTGGGCAATATGGTGAAACCCTGTCTCTACTAAAATACAAAAAATCAGCCGGGTGTGGTGGCGGGCGCCTGTAATCCCAGCTACTCAGGAGGCTGAGGCACGAGAATTGCTTGAACCCAGGAGGTGGAGGTTGCAGTGAGCTGAGATTGTGCCACTGCACGCCAGCCTAGTCACCAAAGTGAATCTGTCTCAACAACAACAAAAAAACACATTCTGACCTCAGAGTGCTTAAAACAGCATGGTAATGACATATAATTACTTGGAGTTACTTTTATAATTGTTTAGGACATAGGAGGTGGTTTTTTGTTTTTGTTTCTGTTTTCCTTTTTTTGACAGAGTCTTCCTCAGTCGCCCAGGCTGGAGTGTAGTGGTGCGATCTCAGCTCACTGCAAGCTCTGCCTCCCAGATTCACGCCATTCTCCTGCCTCAGCCTCCCGAGTAGCTGGGACTACAGGTGCCCACCACCATGCCCAGCTAATTTTTTTGTATTTTTAGTAGAGATGGGGTTTCACTGTGTTAGCCAGGATGGTCTTGATCTCCTGACCTCGTGATCCACCCGCCTCGGCCTCCCAAAGCACTGGGATTACAGGTGTGAGCCACCGCGCCCGGCCCTGTTTTTGTTTTTTGAGACGGAGTTTTGCTCTTGTCATCCAGGCGGAAGTGCAGTGGTGTGGTCTTGGCTCACTGCAACCTCCGCCTCCCGGGTTCAAGCAATTCTGCTTCCGCCTCCTGAGTAGCTGGGATTGCAGGTGCCCGCCACCACGCCCTGCTAATTTTTTATATTTTTAATTAGAGATGGGGTTTTGCCACGTTGGGCAGGCTGGTCTCTAACTCCTGACATCGTAATCCTCCTGCCTTGGCCTCCCAATGTGCTGGGATTACAGGCGTGAGCCACCGCGCCCGGCCAGAGGTGCTTTTTAAGGAAAAAAATAAGTCCTGCCAATAGACCTTAACATCAGATTAGGGATGCTGAATTATGGGTATTTTTCCTGCGATCATCAGTTGAGGGAGATAACAGAAATATATTTAAATACCACAAGTAGAATTCTGTGAAACCTTTAATATTTAATAGTTTTTGTGAGGTATGTTATTTTGCTTTTCAAAAGCAATGTTTTTATTGAATATAAAAGTGTATGTTTTCAGCTGTTAAAGAATCATTGACTACAGATCTACAAACAAGAAAAGAAAAGGATACTCCAAATGAAAACCGACAAAAATTAAGAATATTTTATCAGGTAAACATAGCTGACCCTTCTTAAAGTAATTATGAAATGTATTTGTTTTTTGTATGTCAAACATGAAAATTTTTTGTTCATTTTTATTTTATTTATTTATTTATTTGAGACAGGATCTCACTTTTTTGCCCAGGCTGGAGTGCAGTGGTGCAGTCTTGGCTCACTGCAACCTCTGCCTCCTGGGTTCAACCTGATTCTCACGCCTCAGCCTCACGAGTAACTAATTACAAGCACATGCCACCACTCCTGGCTAATTTTTGTAGTTTTTGTGGAGACGAGGTTTTACCATGTTGCCCAGGCTTGTCTTGAGCTCCAAGCGATACATTTGACAGTGTCTGCCTTGGCCTCCCAAAATGCTGGGATTAACAGGCGTGAGTGACCTCGCGTCACTGGGCATATTTAATTAAAGAGAATATCTCTAATTTGATTTTCCGCTTAAATTTTTTAAACTATTTTTAGAAGTGATATTTAAACAAAATATCTTGTTATGCGTAAATTGGAGATTTGCTTTTTTTTTTTAATTGTTTTTAGTTTCTCTATAACAACAATACAAGGCAACAAACTGAAGCAAGAGATGACCTGCATTGCCCTTGGTGTACTCTGAACTGCCGCAAACTTTATAGTTTACTCAAGCATCTTAAACTCTGCCATAGCAGATTTATCTTCAACTATGTTGTGAGTAATTTTTCATATTTTCTCAATTTGTGTTAAGAAATCTCTTGTACCCCATAAATATATACATCTATGTACCCACAAAAATTTTTTAAATTAAAAAAGGGAAAAAATATGCATTAAGTACAAGATAGCATGACTTTCAAAAATTGTACTTTGTATAAAAAACAAATTTCTGTATTTGATAGATTGCCGTATATATGGATTACAGTGAATGATTCAGAGTTGACATATATTTGGAATTATAATTAATGTTTGTGTAGTGTCTCTAATTGACTCACAAAATCCTCAACCAACTCTTTGAATTAAATGATAATTTTCTTATTCTTGCTCAACCAAGAAATAATTTGTACAAAGTCACCAAGCAATAAATGACATAGTTAAGATTTTAACACATTTTGTTGACCCCAGGTCTTCTGACTGCCTGTTTACCATGCTGGTGTGCCTGGCCTATTTTAGTTTTCTAAATATTAAGAGCCCACAAATTCTTTAATTAAATTGGAGGGATATTTAGGATAGGATACTTAATATATTTTTTTTTTTACATTTTTGTTGCAGTATCATCCAAAAGGTGCTAGGATAGATGTTTCTATCAATGAGTGTTATGATGGCTCCTATGCAGGAAATCCTCAGGATATTCATCGCCAACCTGGATTTGCTTTTAGTCGCAACGGACCAGTTAAGAGAACACCTATCACACATATTCTTGTGTGCAGGTAGGTAAAAAGGGCATATAAGAAAAGTTTAAGCTCTGATTTTTACTGATGTTGGAGGAACAAAGGAGCCAGATGAAGCTACTAGTTCGTTAGGTGGAAATTATTATTTTTCAGTATTAGGTGTCTATGGGGTTGTTAACTACTTTATAACACTTGATAGCTCCTATTTCTACAGAGAAGTTTTCTCACTTTTCCTTTGAACTTTATACTTAAGTTTTAATGATGTTAATGTCACTACTGCTGCAGTGGTTTGGGATTAAAGAATTCTGTCAGAAGTTTCTGGATAATTGGTTGAACCTGGGAGGTCGAGGTTGCAGTGAGCCGAGGTTGTGCCATTGCACTCCGGCCTGGGCAACAAGAGCAAAACTTCGTCTCAAATAATAATAATAGTAATAAAAAAATTACAAAGAGGGAATTTTTAATCTTAGTAAAACTGAAAAAATTTTTAAGGCAGGTGTATGCATATGTAACCAGTGTTAACGGCTTTTCTGCTTTGTGAATATACATGAGTTAGAATACACAGTTTTGACATGTAGGATTTTATATGCATATTCCTATCTGAATGTGCCCTAACTAGCACTTCATTTCTTTTTCCTCCTTTTTAACTGTAACTTTTCACACCCAGAAAGACAGTTTGTGTTTGAATTAATATGTAATAGGTTTGATTTACATTATGTACCAAAAGAAAATAACTAGTGGGGGTGTGCCTCTAATACTATTGTTTTATGGTTAGTTTTATAAAAGGGTGATGTTGCAGATTATCACAGATCTCAACTCCTAGTCGTGAGGTTAGATGGTATACATGTAGAGGCCATAAATCAACATTTATTTCTTTTCATTAGGCCAAAACGAACAAAAGCAAGCATGTCTGAATTTCTTGAATCTGAAGATGGGGAAGTAGAACAGCAAAGAACATATAGTAGTGGCCACAATCGTCTGTATTTCCATAGTGATACCTGCTTACCTCTCCGTCCACAAGAAATGGAAGTAGATAGTGAAGATGAAAAGGATCCTGAATGGCTAAGAGAAAAAACCATTACAGTAATTATTATTATCTTTATTGGCAATTATCTTGGAATATTATTTTGTTTTGAAAATTGCTTACTATGAACTAGACTTTTATTGTAAAGGAACTTTTTTTAAAAAAAAAAAAAGGAATCCGGAAATGTACAGGTTTTAAAATTATGTCACTTTAAAAGTTAACCAAGTTAGGCTGGTGGCGGTCGCTCACACCTGTAATCCTAGCACTTTGCGAGGCAGGCGCATTGCCTGAGTTCAGGAGTTCAAGACCAGTCTGGACAGCATGGTGAAACCCGGTCTCTACTAAAAATACAAAAAATTAGCCAGGCATGGTGGCATGCACTTGTAGTCCCAGCTATTCAGTTGGCTGAGGCAGGAGAGTCGCTTAACCCCAGGAGATGGAGGTTGCAGTGAGCCAAGATTGCACCACTGCACTCCAGCCTGGGTGACAGAGGGAGACCCTGTATCAAAACAAACAAAAAAGTTACCAAGTTAAAGGGAATATGGATTTTCTTCAAGTAAATTTGTATTGTGTGTTTTCATTTCTATATTTATAGGTAATCGTAATTTAGGCTTTCCCTTTTTAAATGACGGCAGGTGTGCTGGCTCACACCTGTAATCCCAACACTTTGGTAGGGCGAGTTGGGCTGATCACCTGAGGTCAGGAGTTTGAGACCAGCCTGGCCAACATGGCAAAACCCCATCTCTACTAAAAGAAAATACAAGAGTTAGCTGGGCATGGTAGAGCGTGCTTGTGATCCCAGCTACTCGGGAGGCTGAGACAGGAGAATTGCTTGAACCCGGGAGGTCAAGGTTTCAGTGAACTGAGATCGTGCCACTGTACTTCAGCCTGGGCGATAGAGCAAGACTCTGTCTCTAACTAAATAAATAAATTAAATTAAATGACTACTTAAATAGAAGTTAATTTTAAGAAATGTTGCCACTTTGCTGTATAAATATGTTGTATTTTTAGTTCCAAAACATTCTGTTTTTGACATTCTCACAAGTTTTTCTTAAAATATGTGTTTAATAGGTGTTTTTCTTTCTTTTTCCCAGCAAATTGAAGAGTTTTCTGATGTTAATGAAGGAGAGAAAGAAGTGATGAAACTCTGGAATCTCCATGTCATGAAGCATGGGTAGGGTATTTCTAAATTAATTTAAATATTTTATTATTCTTTATGGTCTTTTGCTGTTTCACATTCTAGAAATCTTACGTGTGTTAGAATCTTATTTAAAATTCCATTAATGTATATTTGTCCCAAATTTTATTCTATTCCAATGTTTTTTGGTTTGGCAGGTTTTTTTTAGGTACAAAGACGTTCCTTTTGGTATTATTTATAACAATGAATTAATATTATATTCATTAGTATTAATAAAATCAAGGCAAAAACCGGGCCTTGCCTTTAGAACTTGTTGCACAGATGTGAGTCATCGCAGCATTATTTATCAGGGTTGTTGATTCTGTCAGCTTTCAAGAGGAAACAGGCTGCTGCAACCCTGGTGTCCGTAGGAAAGGGTGTCATCATCATAGAACCTCCTCAGAAATCACTGGTGCCCATCCTAACTCTCGTAGTAGTGTTTCTCCCATGCTTGCAAACTCTATCAGGGTTGACTCGTTCACACTCAAAACATTTTATAGAGCTGGGTACAGTGGCTCATGCCTGTAATCCCAGTACTTTGGGAGGCCAAGGTGGGTGGATCACTTGAGGTCAGAAGTTAGAGAGCAGCCTGGCCAACATGGTGAAACCCTGTCTCCACTAAACGTACAAAACTTAGCCGGGTGCAGTGTCACACACCTGTAATCCCAGTTACTCGGGAGGCTGAGGCACTATAATCACTTGAAGAACCCGGGAAATGGAAATTGCAGTGAGCCAAGATTGCACCACTGCACTCCAGCCTGGGCAACAGAGTGAGACCCTATCTCCAAAAAAAAAAAAAAAAAAAAAGGCCACCTTGGTGGGACCCACGACCAGGGAGCAGCAGAAGGCAAGACAGAGCTGTAGGTTCATTTAATGACCCAATTTTCATGCCTTTTAGTGCCACGTGTTTCATGTCTGGAAATCCTGAAAATTACCACAGTTATTACCACAATTTTTAACCATTGGTTAATTTTTCAGAATAAAACGTGGCTTTTTGGATTTGTTTACCATTTCATAGAGGTGAAAGGAGAACAATTTTTGTTTCTTATTCCTTTGTGGCTAAAAGTATGTTCCCGGCTTGGTGTGGTGGCTCACACTTACAATGCTGGCACTTTAGGATGCCAAGGCAGGAGGATCACTTGAGTTGAGGAATTCAAGACCAACCTGGGCAACACAGTGAAACCTTGTCTCTACTAAATTTTTTTTTTTTTTTTTTTGAGACGGAGTCTCTCTCTCTCGTCCAGGCTGGAGTGCAGTGGTGTGATCTCGACTCACTGCAAGCTCCACCTCCCAGGTTCACACCATTCTCCTGCCTCAGCCTCCGGAGCCGCTGGGACCACAGGCACCCGCCACCACACCCAGCTGATTTTTTGCATTTTTAGTAGAGACGGGGTTTCACAGTGTTAGCCAGGATGGTCTTGATCTCCTGATCTTGCGATCCACCCACCTCGGCCTCCCAAAGTGCTAGAATTACAGGCGTAATTACCTGGCCCAAATATTTTATGCTTTTAAGACTGCTTATGTAATTGAAGAACAGAAATTATATCTGCTGTTCTAATGGTACCTGTTTAAGCTTAAGTTAGATTAAATCTCTTGAAATTTTTAAAATGGTAAGCTCATTCAGATGATTGAATTTCAGTTTCTCTATAGTTTTACTGCTTCTTTAATCATCTTTTATTTTACTGGAATTGGATATAGTCTTATTATAATGGTTATCACTGTTGCATTTGACAAAAATGCTTTGTATTGCTATTCATATTCTGTTTTTATTAAATAGGTTTATTGCTGACAATCAAATGAATCATGCCTGTATGCTGTTTGTAGAAAATTATGGACAGAAAATAATTAAGAAGAATTTATGTCGAAACTTCATGCTTCATCTAGTCAGCATGCATGACTTTAATCTTATTAGCATAATGTCAATAGATAAAGCTGTTACCAAGCTCCGTGAAATGCAGCAAAAATTAGAAAAGGGGGAATCTGCTTCCCCTGCAAACGAAGAAATAACTGAAGAACAAAATGGGACAGCAAATGGATTTAGTGAAATTAACTCAAAAGAGAAAGCTTTGGAAACAGATAGTGTCTCAGGGGTTTCAAAACAGAGCAAAAAACAAAAACTCTGAAAAGCTCTAACCCCATGTTATGGACAAACACTGAAATTACATTTTAGGGAATTCATCCTCTAAGAATTATGTTTTTGTTTTTAATCATATGTTCCAAACAGGCACTGTTAGATGAAGTAAATGATTTCAACAAGGATATTTGTATCAGGGTTCTACTTCACTTCATTATGCAGCATTACATGTATATCACTTTTATTGATGTCATTAAAACATTCTGTACTTTAAGCATGAAAAGCAATATTTCAAAGTATTTTTAAACTCAACAAATGTCATCAAATATGTTGAATTGATCTAGAAATTATTTCATATATAAATCAGAATTTTTTTGCATTTATGAACGGCTGTTTTTCTACTTTGTAATTGTGAGACATTTTCTTGGGGAGGGAAAATTGGAATGGTTCCCTTTTTTAGAAATTGAAGTGGTCTTCATATGTCAACTACAGAAAAGGAAAAAAATAGAAATTGAAGGATTTTTATGAAATTATATTGCATTACTATTTGCAGTCAAACTTTGATCCTTGTTTTTGAAATCATTTGTCAATTCGGAATGAAAAATTATAATGTAATTTTACATTACATAAGTTCCTTTTACAATTAAAAAATAGCACTTCTTCATCTTATGCCTGTTTGAGAAGATATTAAATTTTCACATTGTTGACAGTGAAATGCTATGTTGGTTTATAAGATTACAGACCATTTGTTTTCATGTGGATAATTTTAGTGCATTGCTCACCCGGTATGTTTTTTTTTTTTAACTTGAACATTTTGCTTGTTTTGTTTTTCTTTTTTAATTAGATAATCACACGGAAAATTAAGCTGTTCATATCTTTAAATTAGGATTGCAAACCAAGGAAAGAACGCATTTGAGATTTTAAGATGTCACTTATAAGGGGAGAAGTGTTCTTAAAAAGTCAACCAGAAAACTGTTATGCCTTTTATTTGTTTGCAAGGATGTCTTTGTAATGTGTTTCATGAATAGAATATCCAATAGAGATAAGCTGACTTGAATCATTTTGAGCAATTTTGCCCTGTGTTATATGTGTTTCACGCACATATTTGCAGTTGGATTTTCTCCAACAGAAAGTGGATTCACTACTGGCACATTAACAAGCACCAATAGGTTTTTATTCCAACTCCGAGCACTGTGGTTGAGTAACATCACCTCAATTTTTTATTATCCTTAAAGATATTGCATTTTCATATTCTTTATTTATAAAGGATCAATGCTGCTGTAAATACAGGTATTTTTAATTTTAAAATTTCATTCCACCACCATCAGATGCAGTTCCCTATTTTGTTTAATGAAGGGATATATAAGCTTTCTAATGGTGTCTTCAGAAATTTATAAAATGTAAATACTGATTTGACTGGTCTTTAAGATGTGTTTAACTGTGAGGCTATTTAACGAATAGTGTGGATGTGATTTGTCATCCAGTATTAAGTTCTTAGTCATTGATTTTTGTGTTTAAAAAAAAATAGGAAAGAGGGAAACTGCAGCTTTCATTACAGATTCCTTGATTGGTAAGCTCTCCAAATGATGAGTTCTAGTAAACTCTGATTTTTGCCTCTGGATAGTAGATCTCGAGCGTTTATCTCGGGCTTTAATTTGCTAAAGCTGTGCACATATGTAAAAAAAAAAAAAAAAAGATTATTTTAGGGGAGATGTAGGTGTAGAATTATTGCTTATGTCATTTCTTAAGCAGTTATGCTCTTAATGCTTAAAAGAAGGCTAGCATTGTTTGCACAAAAAGTTGGTGATTCCCACCCCAAATAGTAATAAAATTACTTCTGTTGAGTAAACTTTTTATGTCATCGTAAAAGCTGAAAAAATCCCTTTGTTTCTATTTATAAAAAAAGTGCTTTTCTATATGTACCCTTGATAACAGATTTTGAAGAAATCCTGTAAGATGATAAAGCATTTGAATGGTACAGTAGATGTAAAAAAAATTCAGTTTAAAAGAACATTTGTTTTTACATTAAATGTTTATTTGAAATCAAATGATTTTGTACATAAAGTTCAATAATATAAAAGCTGTATTCTGTTTTGGGGTTTTTTTGTTATTATGCATTGTTAACATGTACATTAAAATTTTGATTTAGATAGCATAGTAAGATTTCAGCCTCAAATGAGTCAGAGCTAATAAGAAATTAGGAAAATCTTAATGTGAAATCCTGCTTTCAGCAGTTACAACTAATATGTCATTTATGGTATTACATAAATATTTAAAAATTTATAGTTCAGAGTAATGAAGGAGAGAGATTCATTTTTCACAGCATACCTTTTTATACTATTTAAACTTTTAAGGTATATATGTTTTTAAAACCTAAAAAAAAATGAAAAGCAGAGTTGAGTGACAAATAAGGTGACATTGAATTATAACCTAATAAATAACCAGTTATAACCCAATGAGTATAAAATATCCACAAATCTATACTCAGAAATAAATGTCTGAAAAAATAAATGAATAAACAAATCTGTGCAGAAAACTTCCAAATAATTTATGTAGATATTGCCCCTTCAAGAAGGTAGAACATAACTCCCCACCCAGTAAGTGTGGCTGTTTACAGTGACTTACAGTATTGGAGGTTTGAGGAGATGGGGGAGGATGTAGGGAAACCTGACAAACACTGCCTCACCCAGAGGACCAAGGTTAACATCATCAGTGATAAGTCACGACGACGGCATGCACTCTTGATAAGACGAGAACTGCACATCACCTCTGTGGTCTTCCTCCCCAAAATGCAAAAACCTAGGCTAACCATAAGAAAAACCCATAAGGAGGGCTTTCTACAACATACCTAACCAGTACTCCTCCAAACTGTCAAGGCCATCAAAAACAAGGAAAGTCTGAGAAACCGACAGTCTAGAGGAAAACATGATGACTAAATATCATGTGGTATAGGATCATGAGGCAGAAAAAGGACGTCAGGTAAAAACTAAGGAAATCTGAGTAAAGTATGGACTTGAGTTAATAACAGTGTGTCAACACTGGCCCATTAGTTGTAACAAATATCCCACACTAATCTAAGACGTTAATAACGGATAACCAAGTACAGGATATACGGAAACCCTCTACTATCTTTGCAACTTTTATATAAATCTAAAGCTATCCTAAAATTTTAAAGTTTTATTTTTTAAAAGCAAAAAGTTCAAAAAGAATATTTCTTAAAAGCTGGAATGCCAAAAAAGTTTAATAAGATACTTGAATTAAACTAACATTTTGGGGAATATTAGTAATGACCCAAGGCAGAAATAAAACACTAAAATATATAGCATCCCTAATTTATGTGGGAATGAACAAGGTTCTCTTGGGAAAATGAAATACGGAGAACTAAAGTAAAATATACACACAGTCATGCACTGCACAATGTTTCAGTCCACAAGGAACCACATACATGACGGTGATCCCATAAGATTTTATGTAGTACCTTTTTAAATGTTTAGATATGGTTAGATACACAAATACCTACCGTTGTGCTACAGCTGATCACGGGATTCAGTACAGTCACATGATGTGCAGGTTTGCAGCCTAGCAGCAATAGGCTATGCCGTATAACCTAGGTGTGTTGGAAACCCTACCATCTAGGTTTGTGTAAGTGTACTCTATGATGTTCACACAATCGGGACATCGCCAAATGACACATTTTTCAGAATGTATCCCCATCATTAAGCAATGCATGACTGTACTTGAAAATTTTAATCTATTTTTGGCCGGACACGGTGGCTCAAGCCTGTAATCCCAGCACTTTGGGAGGCCAAGGCAGTTGGATCACGAGGTCAGGAGATCGAGACCATCCTGGCTAACACGGTGAAACCTCATCTCTACTAAAAATACAAAAATTTAGCCGGGCATGGTGGCAGTGGGCGCCTGTAGTCCCAGCTTCTCAGGAGGCTGAGGCAGGAGAATGGCGTGAACCTGGGAGGCGGAGGTTGCAGTGAGCCAAGATTGTGCCACTGCGCTCCAGCCTGGGCGACAGAGCGAGACTCCATCTCAAAAAAAAAAAAAAAATTTTTTTTAATCTATTTTCAAATTTTGCAGTGATTTCATACCAACAGTTTAGCTCAGACTTAACAAAAATAAAATGAGAAAATGACCCTCTCACCATTAGCTGTCACCAGAAAGGATTTGTTACTGCCCTGAGCCTTATCGGTCAGGTCTTCAGTTATGTCCATGTGTCGGATTTCTTCATGCATTTCTTCCAGAATTTTGCAGAGTTCTGCTTCCCAATAATCTTTGTCTAGACAGTCAATTAATTCTGCAAGCTGGACCTTTGTGCTGTAGTACCAAATTTTATTTTCATTTTCATTTTCTGTATCTTCTCTGTTTAAAAATGGGGAAATACTTTATATGTTAGACATAATGCCACTTTTCTGACAGTTTCATCTACCCAGTGAAAAGTTAAAGCTTATGCACTAAAACTCAATATATGTGCTCACAAGAGATCCCTGCAGGTCTTACTCAAACTTGATTTACTCTGAGAAAGGACATCTAAAAAACTTGATACAGAGAAAGATGACCTCAAAATTCAGAACCATATGAGAGTACTTTGTGGAAGCCAGTTTCAGCTACATCTCAATCAACTTTAAGATCATCAATGTAACAATATGATGAGCCGAATGTATTTAGAATTATTTTATTTTAATTATTTATTGAGATGGAGTTTTGCTCTTGTCACTCAGGCTGGAGTGCAGTGGCGCGATCTCGGCTCACTGCAACCCCTGGCCTCCCGGGTTCAAGCGATTCTCCTGCCTCAGCCTCCAGAGTAGCTGGGACTACAGGCATGTGCCACCATGCCCAGCTAATTTTTGTATTTTTAGTAGAGATGGATTTGGCCAACATGTTCTTGATCTCCTGACCTTGTGATCTGCCCACCTCGGCCTCCTAAAGTGCTGGGATTATAGGCATGAGCCACTGCACCCAGCCTAGAATTATTTTAGAATAAAATAAATGTATTTTAGAGACAGGGTCTCACTTTGTCACCCAGGCTAGAGTGCAGTGGCACCATCATGGCTCACTGCGTACTCAGACTCCTAGGTTCAAGCAATTCTCCTGCCTCAGCCTCCCAAGTAGCTAGGACTACAGACATGTGCCACCATACCTGGCTAATTTTATAATATAGTTTAGAAATATTTCCATCAAACTGGTGTAAACGCTTTGCTAAGTTCTGGTTCTTGAAGGAGTTATCTCAAATAATATCTCATCCCTTTTCTTCGGGACAATCGAAGCCCAAAATGAAGAGAAGAGCTTCCTCTCCAGCCTAAAACTCTCCTAAGGTTCCATTCACTTTTAATGGATTTAAAGACTTCAACAGAGATGGTCACTAACTTAAAAGAAACAAGGCAAATTAATGTCTAGGACTAGATGTAGAGGAACACACATAATGGTATTTCTGTTCCCACTCAAAAGCAATTCAAGAGTATGTGTGAGGCAATTGATGACAGTGAGTCTGATTTTCCTGTTTCCTCAATGGCAAACTGAGGGAACTGAAAAAACTGGGCTTTTGGAGAGATCTGGCTTTAAATAGGCTAATGTGCTTAGAAGATATGTGGACATGGACAAAACACAACCTCTCTGAGTCTCTAAGACATTTTATTTATCTCACTTGTAAAATGAGGATATAATAAAACCTGCCTGTGTGCCACTATAAGACTTAAAAGTATAATGATGAGGCATCTACCATAGTGCCTGGGCACATTAGTGATCAATAAATGTTAAATATTATTGTTAAGGTAGTAAATGAATAAAAATTCAGCAGCATTACAGGAATGAGTCACTCAGTAATTCTGAAGAAAGAAGGGCTATATTAAATCATAGATAAAAGGATACTGGTGGAGTACCCTTATTCTGAAAATCTGAAATCCAAAATGCTCCAAGGTCCAAAAGTTTTTGAGTGTCAACATGCTGTTCAAAGGAAATGCTCATTAGAGCATTTCAGATTTTCAGATTAGAAATGATCAACTGGTAAGTAGAATGCAAATATTCCAAAAATGCCCAAAACACTTCTGATCCAAAGCATTTTAGGTAAGGATGCTCAACCTATACAGTATTCACTGACTTAACATTTTTCTTCTTGAAGCCACAGAAAGATAAATTCATTAAAGCATAAAGGAGCAAAACAGCAAATACCTGCTAATCCATTCAAAGAAGAGTTGGGTTTTTTTGGTCTATTTTGTTTAACTTTTCTCTTTTTTTTGGTGGGGGGGAGGGGGTGGTGAAGGAGTCTCGCTCTGTTGCCCAGGCTGGAGTGCAGTGGCATGGTCTCCGCTCACCACAACCTCCGCCTTCCAGGTTCAAGCGATTCTCCTGCCTCAGCCTCCTGAGTAGCTAGGACTATGGGCACATGCCACCATGCCCGGCTAATTTTTGTGTTTTAAGTAGAGATGGGGTTTCACTATGTTGGCCAGGCTAACCTCGAACTTCTGGGCTCAAGTGATCCACCCACCTGGCTTCCTAAAGTGCTGGGATTACAGGTCTGAGCCACCACACCTGGCCACCCTCTTCAAACAAAATATGAGCATTTCCATTGGCCTAGGTCTTCACCTTGTCTACTTTATTGACTTACATTACTTACCTAGTCCCTGAAGACATAACACACATTTGCCACCCTTAGAGCTCAACCAAACTGTATTGAATGCATGTATTTGGCAATTAGTGCTTGTATTTTAATTTTCATTTCACATATGTGTTCCATTTTCCTAACTAGATTGAAATAAGCCATCTCCTATTAGGTATTTTTCTTTCTTTTTTAAAAATTTTGAGACAGGGTCTTGCTCTGTCACTCAGGCTGGAGTGCAGAGGTGCAATCATGGCTCAGTGCAACATCCACCTCCCAGGCTCAAGCGATCCTGCCCCCTCACCCTCTGGCGTAGCTGGGACCACAGGTGCGCACCACCATGCCCGGCTAATTTTTCAATTTTTTTCTAGAGACGAGGTCCTGCTATGTTGCCCAGGCTAGTCTCAAACTCTTGACCTCAAGCAATCGTCCGGCTTTGGCTTCTCAAAGGGCTGGGATTGCAGGCATGAGCTATCGCGCCCGGCCAAGTATTTTTGTTTAAATTACTTTTTGGTTGTCACTTATCTCAATAAATATTAACATATGTTTACGAAACCTTTCTTTTTCTTTTTTTTTTTTTTTTTTTTTTTTTTTTTTTGAGACGGAGTCTCGCTCTGTCTCCCAGGCTGGAGTGCAGTGGCGCGATCTCGGTTCACTGCAACCTCCGCCTCCCGGATTTTACGCCATTCTCCTGCCTCAGCCTCCCGAGTAGCTGGGACTACAGGCGTGCACCACCTACGCCCGGCTAATTTTTTTTGTATTTTTAGTAGAGATGGGGTTTCACTGTGCTAGCCAGGATGGTCTCGAACTCCTGACCTTGTGATCCGCCCGCCTCGGCCTCCCAAAGTGCTGGGATTACAGGCGTCAGCCACTGTGCCCGGCAAACCTTTCTCTTATCTGAAGAACTGACCTCAACCACTCAGGGTTGAGTCCCTGTGATAAGGTTTGAGGGTGCCTGAACTGTCACCATGATTCGTCCCCTGGGCTGAGCTCAAACCTAGTGATTTGTCAGGTAAATAAATTAAGGTTATTTCCCGATAATACAGACCTGTAACACCGTGAAGTAGGTTTTAGGCAGGATTCCCTCTTTTCCACTGCAAAGGAGAGGTAAGTTCTTGCTAAGGTGGTCAGGCTCCTAGCTGGGACACTGGGAAGGTGGCGGGAGATTGGAACATGCAGTAGTTGCATTCTGGAGTTTACTGAGGCTTTCCGAGTGGGGATCCCATGCAACAGGTCTTAGGGACCCCCCTCCCTCCAGGCGTGGCAGCCCGGGGTGTGGCTCCTGGCACAGATCCGGAGCAGTTGTCATCGGAGTCAATTCAGGACTCCACTTCCAAGCTTCGGAGTTTCCTAAATTCTGGGGGCTTGTCTCCCTGTACCCCACCCCGACTAATTTTCCTCGGTCGCTGGCGCTGCCCCGTCCCTTAGGTCGCTCGGGCCGCCCCCCTCCGCGACTTTTTTTTTCTTTCTCTCGCTGCCTCTTTCAGCCTCAGTTTCCCTAGAGGGCGGGAGGGGAACGATATTTGGGGGCTCTCCTGCCTTCCTCTCCGAGCCGCGGAAGGGGAGTCGCGGGAAGGAGACCCGGCAGGCTTTGGGCTCCAGCCAGGGGTCCGCGGAGACTGTGGTCTCCGAAGGCCTTAGACGCGGGGCTTGTCAGGAGCTGCGGGCCTCTTTCAGCCGCGCCACCCGCACCCGGAGCGCCGTGCTGCGCCAAGTCCAGGCGCCCCGAGCTCTCCGCCCCCGACTCAATGCTCCCGCGCTCCCCCTAGCGGCCGCCGCGCCACCTCGCCCCCTTCCCAGGCTGGGCGGCGGCGCACCTCACGTGACCGCGCTCCTGTAGAGGGAAGAAACAAGGTGGCGGTTGAAGGCGATCTTGAGTGGGGCCCCAGCAATTCGGTTGAGCCTTCTCCCTCCACTCGCTTCCGCCGGCCGGGCCCCTCCCGCCCAGCCCCTCGGGCCTCCCAACCCGGCCCCGGCGCTCCCCACCGCCGCCACTGCGCCCGGCCCTCCCCGTCAGCTTTCCCTTCTCCCGCCGCCTGGGCTCCAACAAGAGGGGCCGGCGGGGCAGGCCGACCAAGCAGCCCGCGGCTCCCGCTGCGGAGCGCTGCGCCCCGGCCCCGCCGCCGCCGCCGCCCACGTCCGGACCCATCGGGGGCTCCCCTCGCCGATACGCGGTAGTAGCCGGGGCAGGTGGGCAGCCGCCAGGCTGAGGTGGCGCCCAAGACGCGGCTGAGCTCGCCCAGGGTGGGCAGCAGTAGCCGGAGGAAGCCACCGCCGCCGGCCCGCCCCGCGCCGGCACCAGCGCACGGGCCCGGCGGGGGCGCGGGGGCAGCCACCTAGCCCGGACCACCGCAGCCCGGAGGGCTGTCAACAGAGTGGTGTATGATGACTACGAGAGCGAGGAGGAGGAGTAAGAGGAGGGGGGCGGCGATGCCGAGGAGACCCAGGAGTCTGAGGACAACTAGGAGGATGACATGGAGGAGGACGACGATGACTCCGATTATCCGGAGGAGCTGGAAGATGACGACGAGGACGCCAGTTACTCCACGGAAAGCAGCTTCAGCAGCACTCCAGGTACCCACCCAGCGCAGTTGCTGCAGACTCATTCCCCACCTCCTCTCCCCTCCCCCCTTGCTCACTTATGTGCTGTGCATCCCGCTCCGATCTCCCGCCAACCCCGCCGACCCCTAAACTTTAGAGGGGAAATGGGAGGGCACATCAAGTGGCAAAAAACTAGATTTATAAGAGGAAAGAAGCACATTGTTCAAAATGGAGATTGCATTGTTGCAGGCCGCACTCGCTTGCTCCCCGTCCCCCCAACTCCCTTTTTTTCTCCTCAAAATTTGTGCCAGTGCAGTGTCTCCACCGGGCAGGATTGAAACTTTGGCAAACACATATCCATTGCATTCATTTTTCTCCCCTTGTTTTGGTGTGGTTTTCTGGAATGAAAGAAGCCTCTTGTTTTGCAAACCTCTTTGCATTTCTAATGTGTTTCCTTTCGGATTTTCATTATATATCTGTTCCTTAAAAGGGAATTAAGGATTTGTACAGATTGTGGCACACAGACACACAGAAAAACATGCCTGTGTTCACACCCCTAGCTGTGGTTTTTAAATTGTGTTAAGGAAACGGATCATTTTGGTTAGTAGGGGAACTTTACCTGGTCCTGTGTGTTTGTTTTTATTCTTCGAGTGCTGACGGGCTAGTGCAACAGTTGCTGGTAAATGGCTGATTAAAAAGCAAAGCAGAAAGCCAAACAAGATCCAACCAAATTTGGTAATTCATCCGATTCAAAATTGTTTTGGTTATTTCTAGTTTTTGGCAGCTATGAATAAAGCTGCCCCAAACATTTCCATCATGTTTTTTGTATGAACGCAGACTTGTTTCTCTTGAGTAAATACCTAGGAGTATGATTTCCGGGTTGTATATTTATAAGAAACTGCCAAAACTGTTTTCCAAAGTAGCTGTACCATTTTTCATTCTTACCTGCAAATGTATGAAGAGTTCCGGTTGCCCTGTATCCTCCCTAGCACTTGATATTGTCAGTTTTTGTTGGTTTTTTTTTTAGCCACCTTAGTAAGTATATGGTGGTAGCTCCTTGTGGTTTTAATTTGCTTGTCCCTAATGACTAATGGTTCTGAGCCTCTTTTTATGTGCATCTTTTTATTTGCCATCTGTATATCATTGTTTCTGGAAAAATACTAAAATCTTTTTTTTTTTTGAGGTAGAGTCTTGCTCTGTTGCCCAGGCTGGAGAGCAGTGGCACAGTCACCACTCACTGCAGCCTCCACCTTCTGGGCTCAAGCCATCCTCCCACCTCCCAGTCTCCCAAGTAGCTGGGATTGCAAGTGTGCACCACCATACCTGGCTAGTTTTTTGTTGGTTTGTTTGTTTTAAATAGAGATGGGGTTTTGATATGTTGCCCAGACTGATTTTGAATCCTGGGCTCAAGCGATCTGCTGCCTCGGCCTCCCAAAGTGCTGAGATGACAGGCATGAGCCGCCATGCCTGGCCAAGATACCAAAATCTTTATTTAAGATGTTTAATTGGGTTGCTTTCTTTATTGTTATTCTTCTTTTATTTTATTTTTTTAAGACAGAGTCTCGCTCTTTCACCCACGCTGGAGTGCAGTGGCATGATCTTGGCTCACTGCAGTCTGTCATTCCCCTCGACCCTGGGCTCAAGGTGATCCTCCCACCTCAGCCTCCCAAGTAGTTGGGACCACAGGTGCATGCCACCACCATGTGTGGCTAATTTTTGTATTTTTAATAGAGATGGGGTTTCGCTGTGTTGCCCAGGCTGGTCTTGAACTCCTGAGCTCAGGCAATCTGCCTGCCTTGGCCTCCCAAAGTGCTGGGATTAGAGACATGAGCCACCATGCCTGGCCAATTTCTTCTTATTGGGTAGTAAGAGTTCTTTATATATTTTGGATATAAGTGCTTTGTTAGGTTCTGTGATGCTCATATATTTTCTCCCCATCTGTGCCTTGTGTTTCATTGTCTTAGCAGTGTCTTTTTCCCAGAGCATAAGTTTTAAATTTGGATGAAGTCTGCTTTACCACATTTTTTCTTTTACAGATTTGTTGTTCATCTAACAACTCTGCCTAACCCAGATCTTGCCAGACTTTTTCTGTAAAAGGTCAGATAGTAAATATTCAGCCTTGCTGTCCCTGTTGCAGCTCTGCCATTGTAGCAATGAAAGCAGTCGTAGACAATATGTAATGTCTATAGAATGAGAATAGCTGTTCCGATAAAACTTTATGAACACTGCAGTTTGAATTTCACATAATTTACAAATTATCAATTATATTGTTATTCTTTTGATTATTACAAAAACGGGTAGTGGATTGGCCATGGTTTGCTGATTCCTGGCCTGACCAACCCAAGTTCACAAAGATTTTCCTCTTTGATTTTGTTGTGGTCGTTGTTGTTCCACACCTTCTTTTTTCACTGTTTCCTTAAGGTAGAGTGTACATATTTATAAGGGTACATGTAATATTTTGATAGATTCATACAATGTGTAATGATCAAATCAGGTTAATTAGGGTATCCATCATCTCAGATGTTTATCCTTTTTTTTGTATTGGGAAGATAACAAATGTTCTAGCTATTTTAAAATATACACTAAGTTATTGTTGACTCTAGTTACCCTACTGTGCAAACAAAAACTAAAACTTATTCCTTCTATCTGACTGTGCTTTTATGCCCATCAATCAACTTGTCTTCATCCCTACCTGCTTCCCAGCCCCCAGTAACCATCATTCTACTGCCTATCTCCATGAAATCAACTTCTTAATCTCTCACATATGAATGAGAATATGCGATACTTGTCTTTCTGTCCTTGGCCTATTTCACTTAACATAATGTCCTCCAGTTCTATCCATGTTGCTGCAAATAGGTTTTATTTTCCAAACCTCTAGCTTTATAGATGAAGGATTTCACTTTTTTTTTTTTTTTGAGATGGAGTCTTGCTCTGTCACCTAGGCTGGAGTGCAGTGGCACAATCTCGGCTCACTGCAACCTCCACCTCCTGGGTTCAAGCGATTCTCCTGCCTCAGCCTCCCAAGTAGCTGGGACTACAGGCACCCGCCACCACGCCCCGCTGATTTTTGTATTTTTAGAAGAGACGGGGTTTCACTATGTTAGCCAGTCAGTTCTCGAACCCCTGACCTCGTGATCCGCCTGCCTCAGCCTCCCAAAGTGCTGGGATTACAGGTGTGAGCCACCATGCCCGGCCCGGATTTCACTTTTTTAATGGCTGAATAATATCCTATCGTGCATATATACCTCATTTTCTTTGATTTTTCTTTCTTTCTTTTCAAATAGAGATGAGGTCTCACTATATTGCCCAGGCTGGTCTTGAACTTTAGGGCTCAAGCAATCTTCCTGCCTTGGCCTCCCAAAGTGCTGGGATTCCAGGCTAAACCATTGTGCTCCTTTATGCATTTTTCTTTTTTTAAGACAGAATCTAGCTCCGTTGCCCAGAATGGAGTGCAGTGGCACGATCTTGGCTCACTGCAGCCTCCACCTCCTGGGTTGAAATGATTCTCGTGCCTCAGCCTCCCGAGTAGCTGGGATTACAGGCACCCACCACCACGCCCAGCTAATTTTGGATTTTTAGTAGAGATGGGGTTTCACCATGTTGGCCAGGCTGGTCTCAAACTCCTGACCTCAGGTGTTTCACCTGCCTCGGCCTCCCAAAGTGCTGGGATTACAGGCATGAGCCACCGCGCCCAGCCCCTTTGTGCACTTTTAAAAACATATCTTAGAATTTGTGATATATGTTTTATTTTCATTTTCATTTGGTTCACAATATAGTAAAATTTCTATTATGACTTACTCTTTGACCCATGATTTGTTTTAAAACGTATTGTTTAATTTTCAAACATTTAGGGATTTCCCAGATATCTTTGTTGTTGGTTTCTAATTTGATTCCATTATGGTTAGAGACCATACTTGGTATGATGAATTAAAAAAAAAAATTTAGAGGTTTGTATATGGCCTGAAACATTTTTTAGGTGAGTGTTCAGTTTGTAATAGGAAAGATGTGTCCTGCTGCCGTTAGGTAAAGTGTTTCATAAGTAATAATTAGGTCAAGTTGGTTGATCGTGTTAAGGTCTGCTCTATCCTTGCTGATTTCCTGTCTGCTTGTTCTAGTGATTACTGAGAAAGGAGTGTTGAAGTCTACAACGATTGTTATGGGTTTGTTCTCTTTCTCCTTGAAATTCTGTCTGTTTATGCGTCCTGTATTTTGAGGCCCTGTTGTTAGATGCAGAAACATTTACAGTTTTGTCCTCTTGATGATTATTTGACCCCTTTATCATTCTGAAATAACCTTTATTTCTGGTAATAATCATTATACTAAAAACCATTATTTGGCCAGGCATGGTGGCTCACGCCTGTAATCCCAGCACTTTGGGAGGCCAAGGCGGGTGGATCACCTGAGGTCAGGAGTTCAAGACCAGACCGGCCAACATGGCGAAACCCCGTCTCTACTAAAAATAGAAAAACAGCCTGGTGTGGTGGCACACGTCTGTAGTCCCAGCTACTTAGAAGGTTGAGGCAAGAGAATCACTGGAATCCAGGTGGTGGATATTGCAGTGAGCTGAGATCACACCACTGCATCCCAGCCTGGGAAGCAGAGCAAGACTCCATCTCAAATAAATACATACATACAGGCCAGGTGCGGTGCCTCACGCCTGTAATCCCAGCACTTTGGGAGGCCGAGGAGGGTGAATCACCTGAGGTCAGGAGTTCGAGACCAACCTGGCTAAGATGGTGAAACCCCGTCCCTACTAAAAATACAAAAATGAGCCAGGCGCGGTGGCAGGCACCTGTAATCCCAACTACTTGGGAGGCTGAGGCAGGAGAATTGCTTGAAGCCGGGAGGCAGAGGTTGTAGTGAGCCGAGATCGTGCCACTGCACTCTAGCCTGGGTAACAGGGCAAGACCCCGTCTTGAAAACAGACAGACAAACAAAAAACCATTATTTAATACTAATATAAAATTAGTGTTTTATATTAGTAACATAATACTGTTTTTGACTAGTGTTAGAATGACATATCTTTCCCTACCCTTTTGCTTTTAATCTATATATCATGATATTCGTTTACTTTCAATTTATAAAAATAGAGATGGGGTTTTGCCATGTTGCCCAGGCTGGTCTTGAATTCCTGGGCTCAAGGCATCTGCCCACCTCAGCCTCCCAAAATGCTGGGATTATAGGTGTGAGCCACCATGCCTGGCCACATCATTATATTTTCAAATGGTTTCTTGTTTTTTTTATTTTTCTTTTAAATGTAATCTGACAGCATCTTTTAATTAATGTGTGTTGGACCATTTACATTTAATACGATTGATAATGACTGGATTTAGGTTTCCTATTTTATTATTTGTTTTCTGATTATCTCTTTTTTGGGGGGTTTCTTCTGTTTCTTTTTTCTGCCTACTTTTGGATTAATTGAATATTTTTTAGTGTTTTGTTTTATTAAATGGCTTTTGGTCATATCTGGGCTATGTTTTTGCTGTAGGAATTACAAAATATACACCTAACCTACCTACTTAGAGTTAGCCTTTTACCTCTAAATACAACGTCAAAGTATTGCAACCATATAGGTTTCTTTATTCTAGTCCCCCTCCCTTATAATTGTATATGTGTGTGTGTGTGTGTGTGTGTGTATCTATATACACTTTCAATGTATGTAGGTATATAGATATGTATCTATACTTTCAATGTATATCTACATGCATACATTGTATATGTATGTAGACATATATCCACATACATTGAAAGATATATATCTATATACATATACAATGCATGTATGATACCTTTGGCCACTACATCCTTCTTAAATTTCCTGTTGCCACTCATGACCCAATTTCCTTGACCAGTTATTCCTCCTTCAAACATCCCTCTTACATGTGATAGTCCTCAGCATTTAGTTTCCTCAACTTTCCCCTAATTATCAGTTGACTCAATTACCACCAAAATATCAATGACTTCTAGATCCATTTTCCTACCTAGACCTCTCTTCTAAACTCCAGTTATGTATTTCAACTGCCTATGTTGTCCCCGATAAACTCCACATTGTAGGAAATAAAAAGAAAGGAGTTACAAAAGTTAGGTTCAAAGCAAAATTTAAAAACTCCTAAATGAAACAAAGATCTAGTGATGATAAAGGCTATGGCCCACAATGAAGATATAAAAGTAATGAACCTTTCTGTAAAACATGTGTGTGATAGAGCCGGTCCCCAGCTTTAAGCCTTTCAGCGATTCAAGTAACTGCAGAACATCTTTAAAGTACTGAGAGAAATGTCAATCCAGAATTCTATATCCAGCAAAAATACCCTTCAACAATTAAGGCAAAAAGAAAAAAAAGACATTTCAGATGAAGAAAATCTAAGAGAATGTGTTGTCAGAAGTTCTGCTCTAAAATAAATGTATAAGCAGGTCTTTAGGCCAAAGGAAAATTATACCAGTGGTAATACTAGAACTTCAGAGATAAAGAAAGAGCAGCAGAAATGGTATCTGGGAAAATTTTAAAACACAAATGGTTGTTTCTCCTCTTACGCTCTTTAAAATATGTATGGTGGTTGAAAGCACAAGTTAGAACCCTGGTGAGACTTCCAATGTATGTAGATATAGATAGATAGATAGATAGATAGATACATATATCTATATACATGTAGAGGTAATAATGGTAGCTATTTTATGGAGCTGATCTGAGGATAAAATAAGATAATGCACTTTAAAGTGCTCAGCACAATGTCTGGCAAATAGCACTCTATAGGCCAGGCATGGTGGCTCACACCTGTAATCCCAGCACTTTGGGAGGCCTAGGTGGGTGGATCACTTGAGGTCAGGAATTTGAGACCAGCCTGGCCAACATGGTGAGACCCCATCTCTACAAAAAATATAAAAATTAGCCAGGTGTGGTGGTGGACTCCTGTAATCCCAGCTACTTGGGAGTGAGGCAGGCAAGTGGCTTGAACCTAGGAGGTGGAGGTTGCAGTGAGCCAAGATTGCACCACTGCACTCCAGCCTGGGCGACAGAGCGACTCTGTCTCAAAAAAAAGAAAGCACCTGTAAAAGCTAGCTGGTGATTTTTATATTATTACTGACACAGAAGATAGGGATTGGGGGCAAATGGAATGTACTCAAAGAGCACAGCCTTGTTCAGTAATAATGTTAATACCAGATTGGGACACTATTCCACATCAAAAGGTGAATCCTTGTAACATTTGACAAGTAAGTTTCATAATTTTTAAAAGATTTCAATGCATCACAGATTATTCCTTCTTGATATGCCATTCATGGTTTATAGATGTGTAATAGCAGATTAAATAATTAGATTTTATTAGTTCTGGAGTATTAACTTCTGCTGGAAATGAACTTCCCCCTTCCCTATACCAATATTGAGTGAGGCCTCTTTTCTCAGATACCAATTAGAAACAAGGGGACAATGTTACACTTTTTCCTTCTAGAAACATACATTATACAGAGAGTTGTCTTTTGAAGTCTAGAAGTCTGAAAACACTGTAATTTTTTTTAAAGAATTAATACAATAAATGTATGGGTCAACTCGGAAAAATCTACAATGGTTTCTGGGATTTAATCTTGGCATGACTTTACCTCTGCACCTCTGCCCTCGGCGGGTACTTTTGTTTATGGGTGTCATTGGTTGAACAAATATTGTTTTAGTTACTACCATAACTGAAACATGATCTGTGCTCTAAAGGAGTCAACAAATGAGCCAGGGGGGCATGAGTAATTGCCTGTAATATAATCGTGCTCACGCTGTCATGGAGGACCGTACAAAGTGTCAGAAGCACAGCGCCAGGAGGCACAGCAAAGGGTAGTAGAGGTGACATTTGAGCCCGGCCTTGAAAACCGTCTAGGATTTCTCAGAATTTCAGCAAAGTAAGATAATTTCTGTCTAAAATATATAGGCAAACTTTTTATTAAAAATATGAGAAATTAATTAAATAACAGATTATGACCACAATGCAGATTTAAAACCCAAGGCATGATGAGTGCCGTTGACTAGTTCATCCAAACAGTTCAGAGAAGAGAACATCCATGTAGATCCTTCTTGTGTTACAGAATACAAAGGAACAGAAAATTTTGCCTCAGTAACTGCCAGGTCATTCTAATTAAAGTACCTATACATTGTAATATAATTCCTCCATTAAGGTAATAACCGATCAGGTGGTCCAGAGTCTGTGTCATTCAGTCAAGAAATTCACTCCCTTAACCTGGGGCTGTGCTGGAAATTCATTGACAAATTTTGGTCTTTGGTTCTCCGTTTTTCTTCAGAATTCATGCAGACCACTTGACTTCCTTAGCATTTTCTTTTGTAGGCGTATATTAATGTCCGTGGTTAAGCTTTGGCTTCCGTTTGCATCAATCCTGTTGTAATCGTGCCTCCTGAGGCATCTTTTTGCTTCCCTTGCATGAGTTTCCAAAATCCTACTTTCCACTTGGTAAGGGGAGTATCCATTTTCTTGAACGCAGTGGTTTTCAAACTTGCCTGCACATCAGAATTATTTGGGGAGAAGGATAAAAATACAGACTACTGAGCTTCACCTGGGATTCTGTAAATTTGGGTTGCATTTGAGATGACTTTTAACAATTTACCAGATGATTTTTGCTGCACCTCCACTTCAGTTTTAGGAAGGACTGTTTCAAGGCAGCTTTTCAAACTTTCATGACCATAGAAATCACCTGAAGATTGTGAGAAACTGCAGATCCTAATTTAGTAGGCCTGGGTTTAGGCCTGTGATTCTGAATTTCTCTCAAATGTGATAGTATCAATCCCTTGTTGAGTAGCAAGGTTGTTTCTTGTTTTTTTCTTTTGTTTCCAGGATCTTCATGACATTCAATGAGTAGCAAAATTTGAAGATAACTTCTGGAATTTCATCTAATGTGTACTCATCTGGATCTTAGGGGAAATAACCTATCAGGTTATAGGGAAGGAGGACCTTTAATAACCAAGCTAAATGTGTGGGCTGTTTACCTCTCCCTCTTATGCAAAGGTATCCCTTGCACACACTGAAAACTTCATAGACCAAAAGCATTATAGCTCTAGTTTGCCTTGAAGGAAGTTGTATTGTCTGTAGAGCATGTGGGCCATTTTCTGCCAATAAAATGTTCAAATGTTCTCTCTCTCCGAAGCTTTGTTCACTGTGTCTGGTGGAATTTTGGTTCTCAGGGAGTAGATGATACCTAGCCATGCTTCTAATGTGAAGTGTCTACCAGCCCATGGTCTCTATTTTGGATTTGAACTTACTTCGACCCCCCACCTGATGCCTTACCATTTAATCATATTGTGATTGAACATTTTTGTGTCCACATTTTTCATTTCTTATGTTATTATTCCTTAGTTCTTATCTGTAAGATCATAAAGTCCTTTGAACCAAACACAGTTGATATTTCATACATACGTTAAAAACTGAGCTGTGAGACCGGACATGGTGACCCACGCCTGAAATCTCAGCAATTGGGGAGGCCAAGACAGAAGGATCACTTCAAGCTAGGAGTTCGAGACCAGCCTGGGCAACAAAGCAGGACCATGTCTCTAAAAAAGAGAATTAGCCGGGCAGAGGGGAGTAGTCCCTGCTACTCTGGAGGCTGAGGCAAGAAGATCACTTGAGCCCAGGAATTCCAGGCTGCAGTGAGCTATGATAGTGCCACTGCACTTCAGCCTGGGTGACAGAGTGAGACCCAGTCTCCAAAAAAAACAGAAAACAAACAAAAAAACGAAGCATATGATGAGGAAACTTCCAGGAAAATGCTCTTATTTTCTGCTTTTAGAAACCAAAAGAATGTCTCATTGTGGGGTGCTACCATTATATTCAGGAAGTTTTAGAATGAAAAAGATTCTGAATTGATACTTGCTTACTTTATTTCAGAAAGTGGTAAAATAGCTGTGGAGTGCAGACCCAGTGAAGAGATTGTAGATGTCAGATGGGAAGAACTACACAGTTTAATTCAAGTATGTGGAGATAAAAACTCAAAGGTAACATGGCTGGGCGCAGTGGCTCACACCTGTAATGCCAGTGCTTTGGGAGGCCAAGGCGGGTGGATCACCTAAGGTTGGGAGTTCAAGACCAGCCTGACCAACATGGGGGAAACGGTGGTGCATGCATCCCAGCTACTCTGGAGGCTGAGGCAGGAGAATCGCTTGAACCAAGGAGGTGGAGGTTGTGGTGAGCCAAGATCATGTCATTGCACTCCAGCCTGGGCGACAAGAGCGAAACTCCATCTCAAAAAACAAACAAAACAAAACTCAAGGGTCAGATAACATAGCCAGTGTAACCATAATTCAAAACAAGCAGCAGAATTTGGAGGATAATTTGTTTCATTCTCAGGAAAATGTGAAACTCTGAAACTGCTTTTTGAGTGCAGGGTATTTCTGGGGCTTTTCCTAAAGTCTTGACCCTTGGTTCTGACCCCTTATTTGAAGTTTGGAGAGCAAAACTGAGGACTGTATTACTACAGTTGTGGACACAGGAGAGGGGTTAGTCTCCCCCGGCCCCAGGAGTAAGGGATGCTGGGCTGCTTGAACACAGGCCTTTTTAGAACTCCCTTCAAACAAGATACCAGAGATGTGGGGGGAATGTAACTGGCCTTAAGACTGATTGTGCTACAGCTTTCAAAAACTATAATGCCTTTCAAATGTGGCTTACTGCTTGGATCTCATTATCTCCCGTATACCTTGGGTGGACTATTTTGCTGAAGATCTTTCTGTCAATCATTTACAATCACGTGCTGCAAAATGAGGTTTCGGTCAACAATAGACCACATACATGATGGTGGTTCCATAGGAGTATAAAGGAGCTCTCCCTACACAGGCATACCATTTTTATCTTTGTTGTTGTTGTTGTTATGGAGTCTCACTCTGTGGCCCAGGCTGGAGTGCGATGGCACGATCTCAGCTCACTGCAACCTCTACCTCCTGGGTTCAAGTGATTCTCCTACCTCAGCCTCCTGAGTAGCTGGGATTATAGGCACGCACCACCATACTCAGCTGATTTTTGTATTTTTAGGAGAGACTGTTTTTCGCCATGTTGGCCAGACTGGTCTCGAACTCCTGACCTCAGGTGATCCACCCACCTCTGCATCCCAAAGTGCTGGGATTACAGGTGCGAGCCGCTGCGCCTGGGCCCCATTGTTATCATTTATACAGTATTTTAACTACACCTTTTCCATGTTTATATACACAAATACCTGCCATTGTGTTACAGTTGCCTTTAATATTCAGTACAGTAACATACAGTACAGGTTTGTAGCCTAGGCTATACCGCATAGCCTAGGTATGCTGTAGGCTACACCACCTATGTTTGTGTAAGTATACACTATGATGTTAGCACAATGGTGAAATCACCTGACACATTTCTCAAGCTCTTCACATGGCAAGCAATGCATGACTGCATATGAAAGCTCTTAAATAGGGATTAAATTTCTAAATTAATCTCAAAAGAAAACAGTAATTATTTACTATTTATGGATTTTTTTTTAAAAAGGGAGCAAAAGTTTCATTTCAATGGGAACTTAATTTGGGGCTAGAGTGTTTTATTTAACTTTCACTCCAAAGTTGCAAAGTGTTTTGAAGTTTTTCCCTGTAAAATAATTATTTTAATTCAATTTAAATCAAACCCACCAAGGAAACTTCCAGCTTTAAGAAGTCTAGCTTCCTGTGAAATGTGAGAGGAAGTTAGCACTGATTTCAGAAATCTGATTATAACAATAGATCCATCCCTAAATGAGGCGAATCTTGGAATCCCTTCAATTTTATTTTATTTTTTTGAGACGGAGTTTCTCTCTTGTTGCCCAGGCTGGAGGGCAATGTTGCGATCTCGGCTCACTGCAACCTCTGCCTCCCAGATTCAAGGGATTCTCCTGCCTCCTGAGTAGCTGGGATTACAGGCATGCACCACCACGCCTGGCTAATTTTGTATTTTTAGTAGAGACGGAGTTTCAGCATGTTGATCAGGCTGGTCTGGAACTTCTGACCTCAGTGATCCACCCACCTCGGCCTCCCAGAGTTCTGGGATTATGGGTGTGAGCCACTGTGCACAGCCCCCCTTCAATTTTAAAACCATCACTATGCACCCCGTGCCTGTGCTAGGCACTGGAAGAAGATGAAGCTCCTTCTTGGGGTTTACATGCTGATAATTGTGCCAGACAGTAATAAAATAGGTAAGGGCTGTGGGGGAAGTCAGCTGGGTTCTAGTTATAGTCGCATTTCAGGAAATGATTTAACATGCTGACTTTAACAACCTAAGCCTCTTCTCCATGTGTGCACACAGGGTAGATCTCTGAAGGGTGGCGCTGTAACTTCGAGGGTAATGGCTGTGTTGAGTTAAGGCAGGATGACAGTTCAGCCTCCTCCCAGGCTGGTGCAAAGGGCTGTTCCCTCGGATTGAAGCCTTCTCTCCCAGACTGAATTGCCCACCCCCAACACCCCTCCTACAGAAAATCTGGAGTCCTCGCTTATTCCCTGGCAGCCCCTACCTAATAGGGTGGTGAATTAATTATCAAACATGCGACAGTTTAGCGAAAACGGCAACATTTTGGAATAAATGACTGTAACGCGCGTCCTGCCTGCCACCCTAACTGGCGCCCATTTTGCAGGTCAGTTGCTCTCCCCTGAAGGAAGAGTATTCTCGGATTTCACCTCAGAGGAGGAAGAATTCAGGCTGCCAGAACTGGACTAGCACTTCTGAAGATCCCAAGGCCAGGTCCCGTGACTTCCTTGGGAAGCTCTGCCGTGCCCCCACCCCACCCCACCCCACCACAGCAGGCCGCTGGAGTCCTGGGACCACCCCGGTCTGCGGCCCAAATCCTTCCTCACTAAGGGGAGGGGAGGGGTGTTCCGGCCTGGCGGGGTGGGAAGGGGCGCTTGGGCGGGATTGTGACATAAGGTTGCCCTGGTAACATGGAACAGATCTGGACCCAAGCCTAATAAAGGTGACATAAATAAAGGTGTCATAAAGACAGGGCATGGCACACGCTTATAAGGGGCATGAGCATCTCAGGGCTGCCAGAATGGCTTTTGCTGAGTGCATAGCACCAGCGTGTGTCATGTCTTGGCTGCGTTTCTGGGGCCCATGGCCCCTCCTTACGTGGCAACTATTGTCTTTACTAGTCAAGGAGGCTCAGCCTCTGGTGTGGGTCAAGGACCCGCTCCAGCTGACCTCTAACCCCCTGGGGCCACCTGAGCCCTGGTCTTCCCGCTCCTCCCATCTCCCATGGGAATCTCCCCATGCACCTGCTCCCCCAGCAGCCCCGGGGGACTTTGATTACCTGGGGCCCTCTGCTTCTTCGCAGATGTCAGCCCTGCCTCAGGAACCAACTGAAAATTTGGCTCCATTCCTGAAGGAATTGGATTCAGCTGGAGAGCTGCCCCTGGGGCCAGAGCCGTTCTTGGCTGCACATCAGGACTTAAATGACAAGCGGACTCCAGAAGAAAGGCTCCCAGAGGTGGTTCCGCTTCTCAACCGGGATCAGAACCAGGCCCTAGTTCAGCTTCCTCGCCTCAAGTGGGTTCAAACTACAGATCTAGATCGGGCTGCAGGTCATCAGGCAGATGAAATACTTGTTCCACTAGACAGTAAGGTTTCAAGACCAACCAAATTTGTTGTTTCGCCCAAGAACCTGAAGAAAGATCTAGCTGAACGTTGGAGCCTTCCTGAGATTGTTGGGATTCCACACCAATTATCCAAACCTCAGCGTCAGAAACAGACTTTGCCAGATGATTATTTGAGTATGGACACACTGTATCCCGGCAGCCTACCTCCAGAACTCCGGGTGAACGCAGATGAGCCTCCAGGGCCTCCTGAGCAAGTTGGACTTTCTCAATTCCATCTAGAGCCCAAAAGTCAAAATCCAGAGACCCTTGAAGACATCCAGTCCTCTTCACTCCAGGAAGAAGCCCCAGCGCAGCTTCTACAGCTCCCTCAGGAGGTAGAACCTTCAACCCAGCAGGAGGCCCCAGCTCTGCCTCCAGAGTCCTCTATGGAGAGTCTAGCTCAAACTCCACTGAATCATGAAGTGACAGTTCAACCTCCAGGTGAGGATCAAGCTCATTATAATTTGCCCAAGTTTACAGTCAAACCTGCAGATGTGGAGGTTACCATGACTTCAGAGCCTAAAAATGAGACAGAATCTACCCAAGCCCAGCAGGAGGCCCCAATTCAGCCTCCCGAGGAGGCGGAACCTTCTTCTACAGCCCTGAGGACTACAGATCCTCCTCCAGAACACCCTGAGGTGACACTTCCACCTTCAGACAAGGGTCAGGCTCAGCATTCACACCTGACTGAAGCCACAGTTCAACCTCTGGACCTGGAGCTTAGCATAACTACAGAGCCTACTACAGAGGTTAAACCGTCTCCAACCACGGAGGAAACCTCAGCTCAGCCTCCAGACCCGGGGCTTGCCATAACTCCAGAACCCACTACAGAGATTGGACATTCCACAGCCCTGGAGAAGACTAGAGCTCCTCATCCAGACCAGGTTCAGACTCTGCATCGAAGCCTGACTGAAGTCACAGGTCCACCTACAAAGTTAGAATCTTCGCAGGATTCATTGGTGCAGTCTGAAACTGCACCAGAGGAACAGAAGGCCTCCACAAGCACCAACATATGTGAGCTCTGCACCTGCGGAGATGAGACTCTGTCATGTGTTGGTCTCAGCCCAAAGCAGAGGCTCCGCCAAGTGCCTGTGCCAGAGCCCGACACCTACAATGGCATCTTCACCACCTTGTAAGAATCACCTTTCCTCAATCATCCTCTGTGTCTTGCCTGACATGGCAGCCTTTTCCTGGAGGCCTTCCTGGGCCTTCTTTATCTCCCCAAGCCATACTGACAAGTGACTTTCTGCTTTCACCTTTGCCTGTCAATTCTCCCTTCTCCTCATTCTCCTTTAATGTTAGACCCATTCTCCAGTCTTTTACTTTTTCTCCAGTCTTTTACTCTTACTCGTTTTCTTATCCGTTCTTATTTACCCCATCACATCATTGCTTAACCGCTGCTCTGCTCCTATTTTCGCTTCACCCTCTTTTTTTTTTTTTTTTTTGAGACAGAGTTTTGCTCTTGTTGCACAGGCTGGAGTGCAATGGCATGGTCTTGGCTCACCGCAACCTCCGTCTCCCGGGTTCAAGTGATTCTCCTGCCTCAGCCTCCTGAGTTGCTGAGATTACAGGCATGCGCCACCACACCTGGCTAATTTTTTGTGTTTTTAGTAGAGACGGGGTTTCTCCATGTTGGTCAGGCTGGTCTTGAACTCCTGACCTCAGGCGATCCACCCACTTTAGCCTCCCAAAGTGCTGGGATTACAGGCGTGAGCCACCGCGCCTGGCCCGCTTCACCCTCTTTACAGCAGCCTGTCACTCTCCCAATCTCAGTGATGATGCTCTAAGTGGTTAAGAGTTGATTCTGGAGCCAGGCTGCCTGGGTTTGAACCCAGGTCTGTTTATTAGCTTGGTGATCCAGAGCAAGTTATTCTGCTCTGTGACTCAATTTCCTCCTTTTAAACTGGGGATTATGCTAGTTACCATTTCATAGGATTGTTGTGAAATTTAGGTGAGTGAATACATGGAACACTTCATCAGTGCCTAGCATATGTAGGAGTGTTGGCTGTTAACATGATTACTCTGTCCTTTAGTTATGTCCAGAACTCCTCTTTGTCCCTGGCTTTTTATATGTAGCACTCATTTTGTGTCAAACCCAGGACCAAGTATGCTATTGTCCGCAGAACATTAAAATGATAGGAGGGAAGAGAGAGAATACGCATAAAAAGGGCGGTGTATATAATTAATTCCTGAAAGATAATGCATACCATCGGTGCTAGAATTTACCAGAATCTGTGGTCCTTGAGGTGTGGAGATCAGGGAAAGCTACATGGATAAGCTAAAAGTTTACTTGGGTCTTAAAGAGTACACAATGAGGTATGGAAAGCCATTGAAAGTTTCCAAGCAAGAGAGATTAAATGATTAAAACAGGAAGATTATTTTATTTTATTTTGTTTTTTTTGCTTTATGTTCAAGTATAGACATGCAAAGGATTATTTTAGAATCCATATGTAGAGTGCCCAAAAGGAAAAGCTTATTTCAGGGAGACAAAATAGAAAGGTCTAGCAAAATGTAGGAGTAAAGTGTGAAGGGGCTAAATCAGATCAGTTGTAATAAGAGTGGAAAGAAAAAGCCTAGGATGTTTCAAGAGAGGGCAAAGCTTTGGTGTTGCCTGGCATGGGGTTTCTTTCTACTTATTTATCGATAAAGATAAGCTTATGCCCATTTTTCTGTTGAATTATTTACCATTTTTGTGTTGATTTGTAGGAGTTTGTTTAGACACATAAGTGCTTTTGGATAAAATACTTACATTCAAAGTAATTAACTGGCATCGTCTGTCCAAGAGATGGGATGGATAGGAAGTTAAGCTTCCGGGAGATGCCTCATCATTTGTGCCAGTGGCCCCGCATTATTTCTTGATGAAGTGTGCAAACTGGGAAGCTGATAGCTCTGGAAATGAGAAAGCAGGTGTTATTTTCTGTTTCCGAATATCCCCGACAAGGTTGCCATGATTCTTTTATTTATCCTGTTCATTCTTTGCGTGCCTATTCAAGGATATAAACTGTCTTTCTTTGCAGAAATTTCCAAGGAAACTATATTTCATACCTTGATGGAAATGTATGGAAAGCATACAGTTGGACCGAGAAACTGTGAGTATATTCTCTCCAAATATGACAAAAAACTAACTGCATTGTAAGATCCTTCTTGGTCCAGAATTTTGAGGTCCATACCTCTGAGAAAAGATATTTCCCCTCCATACCCCAAATCAGCCTCTGTGGATTGCAATCCTATGGTTATTTTAAAATTAAATTTGGTAGGCTCTCTCTAAAATAAGAAGCAATTTAAATTTATTTTTTATCATACAAATAATACATGGTTATATTCTTTTTTTTCCTCGTTTTTTTTTTTTTTTTTTTTTTCAGAGACAAGGTCTTACTTTGTCCCCTGGGCTGGAGTGCAGTGGCATAATCACATCTCACTGCAGCCTTCACCTCCCAGGCACAAGTGATCCTCCCATCTCAGCCTCCCAAGCAGCTGGGACCACAGGTGCATGCCACCGCGCCCACCTAATTTTGTATTTTTTGTAGAGACGGGCTCTTCCTATGCTGCTTAGGCTGGTCTTGAGCTCCTGGGCTCAAGTGATCCTCCCACCTTGGCCTCCTAAAGTGCTCATATTATAGGCATGAGCCACCACCCCCAGCCCATGATTCTATTTTTAATGTATAAAAATGCAATAACAGGTATAACAAAAACCCTCCTTGTGCCCTACTCCCTCATCCCTGAGGTAATGCTACTGTGTGTTTAGTATACATGCTTCCAGACTTTTCCCCATTTACCTACATACATATTTACATAAAGCAAAATAGATTTGTTGTGTGGTTTTTAAAATCTTTTTTCTTTTCATAAAGGGTAACATCTTGCAACTTGATTCTTTCACTTCATGGTATCACTTATATGATATTCTTTCACTTCATAATTTCTTTCCTTCCTAGGACTTAGAGGGTCACCCCATTCATTTAAACTCCTGCATAATCCATAGTATGGATGCATCATAGTTTATTTAATAATTTCCCCATTGATGAATGTTGAGCTTATGCTTAGTGGGCAAGTATTCCTGTAGCATAGATATCTAGAAATGGAAGAGTTGGGGTGAAGACTATGTAGATATAAAATTTTAATTGTCCTCAAAAATGTTGTGCCAACTGACTATATTGTCAGCAGAATATGACAGCATTCATTTCCCCACACCTTTTCACTGTTGGGAATTTGCCAGCTTTTTGTTGAAGTTATGGATGAATAAAAGGGATTCCATCCAAATTTGAATTTTTCTGATCACTCATGAATTTAATTAAATATCTTTATATGTTTATTGAACATTTGTGTTTCTTCTCTGAGTTTTCTGTCCTTTGTTCATTTTCCTGTTGAATTGTTTTATCGTTTTCTTCCTGATTTATAGAAGGAATTAGTTGAGACACATAAATGATTTTGGAAAAAATGCTTACATTCAAAGTAACATTTTTCACAACAGTTTGTGTCACATCATTAGTTTGACTTATATAGACAAGACATACATGAGTTCTAAATTAAAAATCAAACACATGCCATGTGCAGTGGCTCACGCCTGTAACCCCAGCACCTCGGGAGTTCGAGGCAGGTGGATCACCTGAAGTCGGGAGTTTGAGACCAGCCTGGCCAATATGGTGAAACCCCATCTCTACTGAAAATACAGAAATTAGCCAGGCATGGTGGTGGGTGCCTATAATCCCATCTACTTGGGAAGCTGAGGCAGGAGAATTGCTTTATTTATTTTTCGAGATGGAATTTTGTTCTTGTTGCCCAGGCTGGAGTTCACTGGTGCGATCTTGGCTCACTGCAAGTTCCACCTCCCGGGTTCAAGGGATTCTCCTGCCTCAGCCTCCTGGGTAGCTGGAATTACAGGTGCCCGCCACCATGCCCAGCTAATTTTTCTATTTTGAGTAGAGACAGAGTTTCACCATGTTGGACGGGCTGGTCTCGAACTCATGATCTCAGGTGATTCATGTGCCTTGGCTTTCCAGAATGCTGGGATTACAGGCATGAGCCACCAGGCCAGGCCAGGACTACATTTTAAAAGCAAGAAAATCATTACAAAAGTCAGGGTAGTGGTTACCTATTAGGGTTAGAGAGAGGAATATGATTGGAAAGGGGCACACTGGGGCTTCTGGGATGCTAGCAATAATCTTTTGTAACAATGTTTACATGGGTATCTGCTTTATAATTATTAAACTGAATATTTGGCCAGGTGAGGTGGCTCATGTCTGCAATCCCAACACTTTGGGAGGCAGAGACAGGAGGATCACTTGAGCCAGGAGTCTGAGACCAGTGTGGGTAACAGAATGGACCCTGTCTCAGAAATTAAATTAAATTAAATTAAATTAAATATAAACAACATTTATGTTATGTGCACTTTACGCACATTGTAGTTCTCAAATTTTTTTGATGGGGGAAAAATGTTGAATGGCTTCACTTGCAGCCCTGACATGGTCCCATGTGGGGCTTTTGTAATAAGGTTTGGGAGAAGAGAGGAGGAAATGGAGGTTCTGCAGATCTTGGTGCCACCCAGAGATGGATTCTGAAAGGTATATTATGATCTAGAGAGGAGTCATTAAAGATACAATTTGGTGGGAAGAGTGGAGCAGTGTGCTTGTGTGTGTGTGCTTGCACGTGTGTGCTTGCTTGTGTGTGTGTGCTTGTGTGTGTGCTTGTGTGTGTGTGCTTGCATGTGTGTGTGTGCTTGCAAGTGTGTGTGCGTGCTTGCCTGTGTGTGTGTGCTTGCCTGTGTGTGTGTGTGCTTGCCTGTGTGTGTGCTTGTGTGTGGGTGTGCTTGTGTGTGTGTGCTTGCCTGTGTGTGTGCTTGTGTGTGTG
This sequence comes from Homo sapiens, assembly GCF_000001405.40. Classification (NCBI taxonomy): domain Eukaryota; kingdom Metazoa; phylum Chordata; class Mammalia; order Primates; family Hominidae; genus Homo; species Homo sapiens. Next base: position 32,027,538 of record NC_000017.11, read on the forward strand.
TGTGTGCCTGCAAATGTGTGTGTGCGCTTGCCTGTGTGTGTGTGGTGGTGGTGGTGGAGAGGGATGAACACAAAAAGGAAAATGGAAGAAAAGGTTTGAACGAAAGCAGAGCAGATCCCACCATCTTGAAATGACCATGACCCAGCTTTCCTCCACATGCAGGAGATAGTCCTGTGTAGCAAATAGTTGTAGTTTGCATTTTAACCTAGAAATAACTTTTTCATTTTCCAGAATTCTCAGTGAAAATTATTTGACTGAATTACCTAAGGATTCATTTGAAGGCCTGCTATACCTCCAGTATTTGTAAGTTAGTTAATCATATTTTTGAGTTTTTAGTCATATTATCTTTAAAATGAATAAGAGGTTCAAATTAGATAATCTCTAAGATTTCTTCCAGCAATAAAATTCTGCAATTCTGTAAGTTTGTATAGGGTCTCAGCCCATCTCTAGCATTAGCTACATCCTATGCATTTTCAGTTTTTAAATTGTATAGACAAAATACAGACAGAAAAAATTTCACATGGTAAGAAGATCTGAGCAGTGACTGACACCCATATGAACCTTGTTTTATAAGGGTTTACATACCATCTTCTTCTATTCAGTCTACAGCCAGTAGATCAAATCTAACCTAAGGTCTATTTTTTAATAGCCTATTAAGAATGGTTTTTGCATTTCTAAAGGACTGTGAAAGAAAAAAGAAAGAGAAATATGCGAGAGAGATCATATGTGGCCCACAGAGCCTTAAAATATTTACTGTCTGACCTTCACAAAAAACGATTTGAAAAAGTTGGTTTAGTAGGATGAAAGGAATTAAAGTTAACTTCAGATTGTTGCCTAAAGGAGAAGAAAATATAGACCACCTACATTCATTTGAACATCATTAATCCAGAATTTTTTGGTAATTTAATCGCATTAAATTAACATTTAAATATTTGAAATCAGCTGAATTATAGAAATAATATTATCAAGAATATTAAGCTACCAAGAGAATAGACTAGTATTAAGGATTTCATTTCAGGAATTGTTATATTAAAACAGATGTTTAAAATGATGGTTAAGTGGTAGAGCTAGAAATGTTTACAGTAAGAAGCATATCAGAAATGCCCCTAACTCTTCACTAATTACACAGTAACTATCTCCCCAGCCCTGTTACCAAGAAAGGGATACCTGCATAGTATTTCTGTCTGTTTAGAGACAAGAAGATACTATGTTCAATTGCTATGAAAGCTTGATTCTTATCCTCTGTCCGCAGAGGTGTGTATGTCATTAATCCTTATTAGTGATGCTCTTTTGCAGACAGATTCTTTCAAATGTGAAAGGCTTAAGGAAAGTGGGTGTAAAGACCCTCAAGTGGATGCCAAAGTGCTACAGAGGCCATGAAGTAATAAAACTACATTTGCTTTAAAATAATCATTTTCCTACTACTCACTCCCCCAGCTATTCATTTATTTATTTATTTATTTTTATTTATTATTTTTTTTTGAGACGGAATCTTGCTCTGTCACCCAGGCTGGAGTGCTGTGGTGCGATCTCGGCTCACCACAAGCTCTGCCTCCCTGGTTCACTCCATTCTCCTGCCTCAACCTCCCGAGTAGCTGCAACTACAGGCACACGCCGCCATGCCCAGCTAATTTATTGTATTTTTAGTAGAGACGGGGTTTCACCTTGTTAGCCAGGATCTCAATATCCTGACCTTGTAATCCACCCGCCTCAGCCTCCCAAAGTGCTGGGATTACAGGCATGAGCCACTGCGCCCGGCCAGCTATTCATTTGTTTTACAAATATTTTAATTTACTTTATTTCCATGTGTCAGTTTTAAACATGGTGGGCAATGCAGATGATCAAGACCTAGTCCATGCTTTCAAGGAGTTTATGCTCAGAAAAAATGGGATGAACAATAACTACATTAAGAAGAAGAAATGGATGTGGGCACTAGGAGGGATAAATTGTTTCTGAAGCATAGAAGAGGGGAAAATGACTTCAGTTTGGACCCAGGAAGCTGTTACTAGAACAATCCCATTTGAATAGGACTTTGAAGGGCCATTGTGTAGCATCGGACAGACATCTTGGGGACAATATTCTAAACTTGCAAAAGGGAAATGGGAGAAGGGCAAAACACAGGAAAGTATTCGAGGAATGCCATGAGTACCTGTAGATTACAAGGAGGGAGAGTAGGAAATTGGAGCCAGATCTTCCAGGGCTTTGAATGCCAAGCTGAGGAGCCATCATGGGGAACCATGTTATCACAGCAGTGCTGTAAGATGGATCTGCATCACAGTCATTGAGAGGGCACGTTAGAACTCAGTTCTGGACTCCGCCCTCATAGTTATTGATTCAGTTGGTCTAGAGTGGGACCAAGAATTTGCATCCTCAATAATTTCCCAGGAGGTGCTGGTCTTTGCAAGCCACTTCTGGAGAGTTTATATGATGACTGTGTGGAGGATAGTTTAGGAAGGGAGAGACTAGAGATGGAGACATCAGCCAGACAACGTTACACCATCCAGGTAAAGAGGGAGGGAAAAGCCCCATCTCTGTATAACTGAAGAAACTGCTTTCATGAAATATTAAAGCAATATAAAACCAAAAATGAATTTCTATTAATATGATAGAAATTAATTGTATTAATATGATTTGAATATTAGTTCAAAGTTATGTATTAAGTAAAGGGGTAACTTCCTTTCAAATGCTGTTGAAAGGATGTCTTTTATTTCTTCTGATACTGAACTGGCTTAGGAAAACAAAGCTAAACTAGGAAGGTGTATAAATGTGAGGCTATTCGTTTTAATATTAGAAACTATATATAGAGATAAAAGCTTTGAGCTCATAATCTAGGATTTGATGAGACTACAAAAGGGCATCTAATCAAGTCTACTGCTCTCAGGAAAAATTAATTCCAAAGTCTATTAAGTTGTATATTTTGTTTATTAAAAGTATGAAGGCGAGACTCTAGGAGAGGTACAGGCAGGGTTAGGAGCTCTGGAAAGTTCAAATACAGGTCCAAATGTTTAGAGTCGAGATGAAAAATGTGTATTCAATATTATTCTAAACTCTTGCTATTATTCATACCAGTCAACACTGATAACTTATCAAGGCAATATTTTCCTTTTATTTTTCCTAGAGATTTATCCTGCAATAAAATACGATATATTGAAAGACAAACATTTGAATCACTACCATTTTTGCAGTATATGTAAGTTACAAATATAACTTTATTACATTTGGAATTTTTATAAAACTTAATTATAAACCTCTTTGCTATTCATTTTGAAATATGATTAAAATTTGACCAGTAGAAAGGTACTAAAATTATATAGCAAGTCCTTCTTGTCTCTAGCAAAGATTAGTGTGAGAATTATTACACAGATCATAGTGAATCATCAGAGAGCAGTGGTTCTCAACTGGTGTGATTTTGTACTCAGGTGACATTTGGTAATGTCCAGAGACACTTTTGCTTGACAAAACTGTGGTTGTGCTCCTGGCATCTGGTGGGCAGAGGCCAGAGATGCTGCTAAACATCCTGCAGAGTATAAGACAAACCCCCACGGCAAAGAGTTATATAGTCCAAAATGTCGATGGTACTGAAGTTGTGAAATCCTGTTCTAGAGAAATGAAGATCACTTAACACAGGTATTTACTGAGCGTTCACTGTTTTGTAGCTAATGCACCACATGTGCAATGTTAAAGTATAAACCATAAGCCAGTATCTTCCACAGTGAGATTGCCTTAGTGCACAGAGAAAAGATTGAGGTGATGTTCCATCCTATGTAAATTAGACTCACAGCAAATGATAAATGTTCTGAAATAATTTTTTTTTCCTTTGGCTTATGTCTTTTTTTGTAGAAATCTGGGCTGCAATTTAATTACAAAACTGAGCCTTGGAACATTTCAGGCCTGGCACGGAATGCAGTTTTTACACAACTTGTAAGTGAAATAGAAGATGAATACGTGTAAACGACTATTTTGTATAAAAACTCATACAATTATTGGTTAGCTGGGTATAAGCCCATTATGAACTCTGAAAAGTGTGTCTTAAGATCCATTCGTTTTTCTCAAATGGGGAAACTAAGGTACAAAGCAGCCAAGAGACTTACACAGTTTATATATGACCTGCTCTGCTTGTCCTAGTTCTGACCTATGGCATGGGCAAGAAAAGGCATCAAACAAGTGACCCTCAAATTAGCCTTGTTGCTGGGCAGGTGGCTCAGGCCTGTAATCCCAGAACTTTAGGAGCTGAGGGGGGCGGATCACCTGAGGTCAGGAGTTCAACACCAGCTTGGCCAACATAGTGAATCCCCATCCCTACTGAAAATACAAAAAAATTAGCTGGGCGTAGTGATGCAGTTTTTTGCTCCCTGGAGGACTTTGTGTTAAGCTTTCTTCCTTGCAGCTAAATGTTGCAGACATTTAAGCAGTTTGAAACTCTGCATATGAGCAGGAATCAAAGTTAAATCCAAAGTGTAGGGCTGGGCGTAGTGGCTCATGCCTATAATCCCAGCACCTTGGGAGGATCACTTGAGGTCAGGAGTTTGAGACCAGCCTGGCCAACATGGCGAAACCCCGTCTCTACTAACGATACAAAAATTAGCAGGTCGTGGTGGCAGGCGCCTGTGATCCCAGCTATCGGGAGGCTGAGGGTCGAGAATGGCTTGAACTCCAGAGGTGGAAGTTGCAGTGAGCCGAGATTGTGCCACTGCACTCCAACCTCCCCTCCAGGCTGGTCTCGAACTCCTGTGACCTCAGGTGATCTGCCCACCTTAGCCTCCCAAAGTGCTGGGGTTACAGGCGTGAGCCACCATGCCTGGCCAAAATGGTGTTTATGTTAAGCTATTGTGCAAAAAAAAATTTTGTAAAGAAAATACATCGCTCTACTTTAATTCCATATACTTTCCTGACTACTCTTCTACCGTAAGTGCAAAAATTCTATGATTTCTCTGTATAACATACCCAGCAAATCAGAGTGGGTATATTCAATGGCCTGAAGGGGACTTTAGACTCAAGGTGAAGATTCTCCTCTACATCTGACTTTAGAAAATACTTTCCACCTTTCTTGTGGTTCAGAAATCTAGTTTCACACAGTTCATTTTGAGGTAGAGGGAGGTGTTCAGGATGTGTCTGGATTAGAGCAGCAGTTTCTGCAGATGCTCCTCTCTGTCTTCATTAATTTGCTGATGCTTAACTTAGGGAAGACACACTGAGGGTCTGTTTTTCTTTTGCCCTCACACCAGAGAACAGGCTCATTAGGTCCCTCCACCAAGAGGTTTGGGTAGCATCAATACAAATGTCTTAAACTCACCACCTTTACTAAGCACTTTATAACAGTGGGAGTCCCACATCAGAATCTGGTGGCCAGGAGCGGTGGCTCATGCCTGTAATTCCAGCACTTCTGAAGGCTGAGGTGGGTGGATCACCTGAAGTCAGGAGTTCGAGACAAGCCTGACCAACATGGTGAAACCCCGTCTGTACTAAAAATACAAAAATTAGCTGGGTGTGGTGGCGGGCACATGTAATCCTAGCTACTCAGGAGGCTGAGGCAGGAGAATCACTTGAACCCAGGAGGCGGAGGTTGCAGTGAGCCAAGGTCATGCCATTGCACTCAAGCCTGGGCGACAGAGCAAGGCTCCAACAGAGATGGGGTTTTACTACGTTGGTCAGGCTGGTCTGGAACTCCTGACCTCAGATGATCCACCCGCCTGGCTTCCCAAAGTGCTGGGATTATAGGCCTAAGCCACCAGGCCCAGCCAATAAATGGAAACTTTAACTCAAAAGAAGGAAGGAAGGAAGGGAGGAAGGGAGGGAGGGGAGGGAGGGAAGGGAGGGAAGGGAAAGAAGGAGGGAGGGAGGGAAATGAGGAAAGAAAGAGAAAGAAAGAAAGAAAGAAAAGAAAAAATTGTAAAACCATAAGGTTAAAGTAAACCTTTTTTCTTCATACAGAGTAAGCACGTGAGTTCAGATTACAGCTTTGCTTCTTCATAGCTTGGTGACCTAGGACAAGTTATGTAACCTCTCTGTGCCTCAGTTTCCTCATTTATAAAATAGGGCAATAATAATATCTACCACATAAGGTTATTGTGAGGATGAAATGTGAAATGCTGATCACAAATACGTAGCAGCCTAATAGATGCTCACTGTAAGAATTATTATTTTTATATTTTCTGCAAAAGTACAGTGATGATTCTTGGGTTAACCTAAAGCGTGATTTTCTTTTATTTCTTCCTGTTTCTTTTCTTTTTCTTGTTCACTTTAAAGAATTAAAAAGAAAATAGATTCCAGCATTTTGGAATAAAAATTCACATCAAAATGAATTTATTCATTTTATTGACAGATAAACAAAATGTCATTTGTTTATTCAATAAACATTTATTAAATCCCTAGTAAATTTCAGACATCATACCAGGCACAGTGATGACAATGACAATAAGATGTGGTCTCTGCCCTCAAGGAGCTGATAGCCCAGGAGACTGACAAGTAGACAGGTGGTTACATGCAGTGTAACGAAGGCTGTGATGTCATACAGGAAGACAAGTGGGAGTATGTGATGGGAGTATGGTTTTGACCAGTTCCTCCTCTTAGATTTATCCCTTTTTCTTTGGGTATAAAGCAAAAGAATTGGTCCTATTTTTTTTCCTTAACTGTGCAAATTAAACCATAAATTTAAAAAACTTTATAAAGATAAAAGGCAAGCAGTCAGGCGCAGTGTCTCAGGCCTGTAATCCTAACACTTTGGTAGGCCGAGGGGGGTGGATCACCTGAGGTTAGGAGTTGGAGACCAGCCTGTCCAACATGATGAAACTCCGTCTCTACTAAAAATACAAAAATTAGCTGGGCGTGGTGGTGGGCAACTGTAATCCCAGCTACTCAGGAGGCTGAGGCAGGAGAATTGCTTGAATCCAGGAGGTGGAGGTTGCAGTGAGCCAAGATGGAGCCATTGCTGTCCACCGCCTGGGTGACAGAGCAAGACTCCATCTCCAAAAAAAAAAAAAAAAAAAACAACTTGAATTATAGATGAACAACTTGTATTATGGAGGACACTAGAAATAGTGTTTCCTACAGAGTCAGGGCTTCCTACCAACATTGTCATTTCTAGGGTTTTTGACCTGAAAAGTTCTGTGGCATATTTTTTCTTTCCTATCCATTTCTTGTGTGTTTTTTTTTTCTATTTCTTCCCTGCTTTCTCTCCTCTACTTTATCTTCTAGAGACCTAGGTAGTTCCCAAAGGAATAGTGCTTTATGGAGTCTAATGGTGATTTATTATGTAAAAGCAGAAAATTATTTTTTTTACCTAAAAGTTCCATACCAAAAAATGAATATAGACTTTTTATGCAGTTTCACACATTGAAAATGCAGGTAATTTTAATTTCATTGCATTTTTCAGAATTCTCAATCGCAATCCTCTGACTACTGTCGAAGATCCATATCTCTTTGAACTGCCGGCATTAAAATATCTGTAAGTACTATAGTACTCTCATGAGTCATGAGATGATTTATGCTTTTTAAATTTGTCATCAAAGATAAAGTATTTTGCATTTAGGCTAAAAAGTCATAATTTAAATTTTAACTGAGTTATTGAAAAAAGTTATTGGCAAAGAAAAGGATTAAGAAAGGATGTATAATGGTCAAGACAGCCAGCGGGGGAAGAGATTAGTGTTGAAGAAGCCGTATAGATTTGGAACATGTAGACACATGGAGGAATATTACTTAACCAAGAAAGCAAAGAGAAATAGGTGTTCATTATTCTAAAAAGAAAGAAAAGAGTAAATCAAGATGGGTGAATGCAATATGAAATGAGAAGTAAGATAATGGTAAAAAAAAAAGTGTAAGTTCTCTTAAATATCATTAATTTGATGACGTAGATCAACTTAAATTTCTTTAATAAGATCTCTCTGGAATTTTACGGCAAATAAACTATTGAAGTGGCTTGTTTTATAGAGAAGCCAAAATAGAAGTAATCACATGTCCTTGAATTATCTTTTGAAGTACAGAATTTTGTAATGGGTTCATATCATGAATGTTTCGGCTTTCTTCTTCAGAGACATGGGAACAACACACATCACACTTACAACACTTAAGAACATTCTCACGATGACTGTTGAACTGGAAAAACTGTAAGTTATTTTTTCTTAGATTTATTTTTACTTAGTTGGTTTTTTAGGTTTGTTTTATTATTTTCTTAAGTCAGGTTTATTGAGATTTAATTTTCATATAACATTCACCCTTTATAAGTGTATAGTTTGATGAGTTTTGACAAATGTATAGTTACATAACCACCACCACATTCCCAATATAAAGCATTTCTGTCACCTCAGAAAGGCCCCTCATTTCCCTTTGTAGGCAATCCCTTCCTCCCACCATCAGCCCCTGTTAGCTACTAATCTGATTTCTGTTCCTAGTTTTGTCTTTTTCAGAATGTCTTATAAATGAAATCATGTAGCATGTAGCCTCTTGTGTTTGACTTCTTTCACTTAGTATTGTTTTTTATTTTTTTTGAGACGGAGTCTCACTGTCACTCAGGCTGCAGTGCAGAGGCATGACCTCAGCTCACTACGACCTCCGCCTCCCAGGTTCAAGTGGTTCTCCTGCCTCAGCCTTCTAAGTAGCTGGGATTACAGGTGTGTGCCACCATGCCCAGAAAATTTTCATATTTTTAGTAGAGATGAAGTTTCACCATGCTGGCCAGACTGGTTTCGAACTCCTGACCTCAAGTGATCTGCCCACTTCGGCCTCCCAAAGTGCTAGGTGTGAGCCACCTCGCCCGGCCTCACTCAGCATAATTTTTTTTGAGATTATGCTACCATCCATGTTGTTGCCCCTATCAGTACAGCTGGCCCTCCATATCTACATGTTCCTCATCCATGGATTCAACTAACCATGGATGGAGAATATTTGGAAAAAATAAAATATATAAAATAATACAACAATAAAACAGTAGAAAATTTAAAACACGGTACAATTATTTACATACCATTTACACTGTACTAGGTATTTAAAGTATACCCGAGGCTTATGTCATTTATTATATCAAGTATTATGTCATTCCATATAAAATATTTCAGCATCTGTGGACTTTGGTATCTGCAGGGGGTCCTGGAGCCAATCCCCTGCAGACACCGAGGGACAACTCTTCACTCCTTTTTATTGCTCAGTAGTATTCCAGTTGTGTGGATGTATCAATTTGTTTATCCATTCATCAATGTATAGACATTTGGGTAGCTTCCAATTTTTTGCAATTATGAATAAAACTCCTAAAAACACTCATATACAGGTCTTTGTGTGAACCAATGTTTTCATTTCTTTGGGTAAATACCTAGGAGTTGGATTCTTCACATGCTTAGTGTATATTTAACTTTTTAAGAAACTGCTGAACTGTTTCCTAAAGTGGCTGTGCCATTTTACATTTCCACCAGCGTTGTATGAGAGTCACAGTTGTTCCACATCTTCAGCATTTTTTTTTTTTTTTTTTTTTTTTTTTTTGCAACACAGTCTTGCTCTATCCCCAGGCTAGAGTGCAGTGGTGCCATATCGGCTCACTGCAACCTCTACCTCCTGAGTTCAAACAGTTCTCCTGCCTCAGCCTCCCAAGTAGCTGTAGGCACCCGCCACCACACCCAGCTAATTTTTATATTTTTAGTAGAGATAGGGTTTCACCATGTTGGCCAGGCTGGTCTTGAACTCCTGACCTCAATGGATCCACACCCCCTGGCCTCCCAAAGTGCTGTGGTTACAGGCGTGAGCCACCATGTCCAGCCCAGCAGATATTTTTTTGAGACAGAGTCATTGCTGAAGTGCAGCAGCAAGATCTCAGCTCACTGCAACCTCGGCCTCCCAGGTTCAAGTGATTCTCCTCCCTCAGCCTCCTGAGTAACTGGGATTATAGCCACACACCACCATGCCCAGCTAATTTTTATATTTTTAGTAGAGATGGGGTTTCATCTTGTCGGCCAGGCTGGTCTCAAACTCCTGGCCTCATTTGATTCACCTGCCTTGGCCTCCCAAAGTGCTGGGATTACAGGCGTGAGCCACGATGCATGGCCCAGCCCAGCAGATTCTTATATTTGAGTTTTTAAAGAAATGTTCACCTTTCTACTGCTAGATGTGTAGTGGAATCTCACTGGTTTTAATTTGCATTTCTTTAATAGCTAGTGATGTTGAATGTTCATGTGCAAATATCTTCTTTACTGTACTGTTCAAATCTGTTCCCATATTTTAATTGGATATTAATATTTTTATTGAGGCTTTTTTCCCCTGTTATCCCATTGGAGATTCATTATTATTGAGTTTTAAGAGTGCTTTAGGCCAGGCATGGTGGCTCATGCCTGTAATCCCAGTACTTTGGGAGGCCAAGGCGGGTGGATCACAAGGTCAGGAGATCAAGACCATCCTGGCTAACACAGTGAAACCCAGTCTCTACTAAATACACACACACACACACAAACACACACACAATTAGCCGGGTGTAGTGGCGGGCACCTTTAGTCCCAGCTACTCGGGAGGCTGAGGCAGGAGAATGGCGTTATCCCAGGGGGTGGAGCTTGCAGTGAGCAGAGATCACGCCACTGCACTCCAGCCTGGGCGACACAGTGAGACTCCATCTCAAACAAAAAAAAAAGAGTGCTTTATAGATTCTAGATACAAGTCTTTTCAGGGACCAGGTACAGTGGCTCATGCCTATAATCCCAGCACATTGGGAGGCTGAGGCAGGAGGATTGCTTGAGGCCAGGAGTTTTAGACCACCTGGGCAATATGGTGAAACCTTGTCTCTACCAAAAACATAAAAATTAGGCAGGTGCAGTGGTGCTCACCTGTGGTCCCAGCTACACGGGAAGCTGAGGTGGGAGGATTGCTTGAGCCTGGGAGGTCGAGGCTCTGCAGTGAGCTGTGATCACCACCGCACTCCAGCCTGGGTCACAGAGTGAGATACTATCTCAAAAATTAAATAAGTAAATAAATAAAAACAAAAAACAAGGCCTTATAGATATGTGTTTGGTAAATATCTTCTCTCAGATTGTGGTTTGTCTTTTCATTCTGTTAAAAGTGTTCTCTGGCTGGGCATAGTGACTCACACCTGTAATCACAGCACTTTGGGAGGCCGAGGCAGGTGGATCACCTGAAGTCAGGAGTTCGAGACCATCCTGGCCAACGTGGCAAAACCCCAATCTCCACTAAAAATACACAAATTAGCCAGTTGTGGTGGCCCATGCCTGTAATCCCGGCTACTCAGGAGGCTGAGGCACAAGAAGTGCTTGAACCTGGGAGGTGGAGGTTGCAATGAGCCAAGATTGCACCACTGCACTCCAGCCTGGGCAACAGAGTGAGACTCTGTCTCAAAAAAATAAAGAAAGAAAGAAAATAAATAAATAAAGTTTTGTGAAGAGCAGAAGTTTTTAATTTTGATCAGCTTTAAGTTAGCAATTTTTTCTTATATGGCTTGTGCTTTTTTGTTTCTTACCTAAGAAATCTTTAAGAACCTGTTGTTTAATCCAAAGTGGAAAAGATTTACTCTATATGTCTTCTCCCAGAAATTGTGTAGTTACATTTAGATCTATGATCCATTTTGAGTTAATTTGCATATATGGTGTGAGGTTTATTGTTTTTTTGTTTTTTTGCCATTTTATTTTTATTTTTTGGAGAAATGAGGTCTCACTGTGTTGTCCAGGCTGGTTTCGAACTCCTGGCCTCAAGTGATCCTCCGGCCTCGTTCTCCCAGAGTGCTGCAATTATAGGCATGAGGCATCATGCCTGGCCTTCTTTGTAGATATAGGTATAGATATATATCCGTCTATATCTATATATATCTTCACCAGGTGTGATGGCACACTCCTGTAGTCCCCGCTACTGGGGAGGCTGAGGCGGGGGTATCGCTTGAACCCAGGAGGTAGAGGTTGCAGTGAGCCAAGATGACACCACTGCACTCCAGCCTGGGTGACAGAGCAAGAACCTGCCTAAAAATATATATATATATATATATATATATATATATATATATATATATGTATGTATTTTTATATATATTTCTATATATATATTCTATATATATATTTCTATATATATTTTATATATTTATATATATTATATATATATATATATTTCTGCAAGGCCCTATTGTGAGTTTGTTACACAACTTACTGCAACTTAAATTGTGCCACCACCACCCCCCACAATATGGCAAGCTAAATAGAAACTCAGTTATGCTAAGGCTGGTTGAGGGCATTATGCAAGATTAGCATGGAAAGGGCCCTTCATTTGGCACTCTGCTCCGTTCATTTTTGTCAGGTCACTTTCTTATCTTCACCGGGCTGTCAGATCTGTTTTACTGCTCTAGCCTCACTTTCCTCAGCCTCCTACAGCATCTTCCCTGTAAGCTACATCCCTTCCTCTCTGGATGAAGTCCTCTTCATTGACCAACTTTCTCACTTAGTTCTCTAAGATAGTGAGGATCTGTCTGCTTTCTTCTTGACCATTAGTGGATAGGAAAAAAATGCTCTGATTTTCTGTAACCATTTGTCACCAAGGCCATAAAGACATTGAACTAATTTCCTTATTGGAGTTCATTATTGGAAGTCTTGAGGAGTTTACACATTTATCTACAAAGTAAGTAGGCCAGCTCATTTGTCTTGGCTCATGTGTAATCTTTAAAGCATATTGAAAAATTACTATTCTCAAGTAAGGATAATGTATATCTCAGGTCACTTACAGTCTCAAAGTTTTGTCAGTATACTTTAAAACAATCCTGCGAACAGATCTAGATTGAAGGAGACTAAAGAATCATGAACTCGAGGTGGCCCCGGGGCAGGCGCAGAGCTGGCAAGCACGTGGTGGGGCCCCTGAGGCGTGCAGAGGGTCACGCACCTGGGAGCCTGTTGCTGGCACGGTCCGGGCGGAGGTTCTGCGGCGGGAGGCAGCCTGTCGGTTGCAGGGCTGAAAAAGCAGTTCTACAAGGCAAGCCAGCTGGTCAGTGAGAAGGTCGGAGGGGCTGAGGGGACCAAGCTGGACGATGACTTCAAAGAGATGGAGATGTCATCAGCAAGGCGGTGACGGAAATGCTGGCAAGGACCATCAAGTACCTGCAGCCCAACCCAGCCTCACAGGCTAAGCTGACCATGCTCAACACAGTGTGCAAGATCCAGGGCCAGGTGAAGAACCCCGGCTACCCGCAGTTGGAGGGGCTCCTGAGCGAGTGCCTGATCCGCCACCAGAAGGAGCTGGGCAACGAGTCCAACTTCAGTGACGCACTGCTGGATGCCGGCGAGTCCATGAAGCACCTGGCAGAGGTGAAGGACTCCCTGGACATAGAGGTCAAGCAGAACTTCATTGACCTCCTCCAGAACCTGTGTGAGAAAGACCTGAAGGGGATCCAGCACCACCTGCAGAAGCTGGAGGGCCGCCGCCTGGACTTTGACTAAAAGAAGCGGCAGGGCAAGATCCCCGATGAGGAGCTGCGTCAGGCGCTGGAGAAGTTTGAGGACTCCAAGGAGGTAGCAGAAACCAGCATGCACAACCTCCTGGAGACCAACATTGAGCAGGTGAGTCAACTCCGGGCCCTGGCGGAGGCGCAGCTGAACTACCACTGGCAGGCCATGCAGATCCTGGACGAGCTGGCAGAGAAGCTCAAGCGCAGGATGCGGGAAGCTTCCTCACGCCCCAAGCGGGAGTATAAGCCCAAGTTCTGGGAGCCCTTTGACCTCGGAGAGCCTGAGCAGTCCAATGGGGGCTTCCCCTGCACCACAGTCCCCAAGATTGCAGCTTCATCCCCTTTCCGATCTTCCGACAAGTCCATCTGGACTCCTAGCAGGAGCATGCCGCCCCTAGACCAGCCAAGCTGCAAGGTGCTGTATGACTTCCAGCCTGAGAACCATGGGGAGCTGGGCTTCCATGAGGGTGACGTCTTCACGCTGATCAACCAGATCAACGAGAACTGGTACCAGGGCATGCTGGACAGCCAGTTGGGCTTCTTCCTGCTCAGCTACATGGACGTGCTCATGCCTCTGCCCAGTGACTCACTGGTGCCCCCGCCCCGCCCCTCCATCCACACTGGGTGGCACCCCCGCCAGGTCTCCTGCCTTCCATGGGCTCCTGCTGCCAAGGCGGTGTCCAAGCCTGCCGGCGCCACCCAGGCCCGGGCCCTTGAGGTACTCCCTCAGCAGGGAGCCACACTTGGGTGGGAGGCTTATCTGGGTGGGTGGGGACGCTTGTTTAAACTAGCGCTGACCCCTAACGGTGACGGCTCCCTTCCTCACTCCATGGCGCCGGCCTCCTCCCTGCTCCCCAACTCCTCACCCAGCTGGCCCAGACGGGGCAACACTAAGGTGCTCTCAGAAACACTAATGTTCCTCCAGGGCAGCCCCCACCTCCGTCCTGACCCCATGGGGGCCCAGCCCACAGCCTACCCTCGAGTTCCACGGCCTTAACAGGCTTGGATCGAGTGTCCCTGTGGGGTGGCTCAGAGACAGGACCCTGGTTTTAAATCCCTCCACAAGCCTGCTCCTGGCGATGAACCCTAGCCCCACTCCAGGGCCACAGTACCCCAGCCTCACACATGCACTCCTTCTCCCCAAGGCCAGGGCAGAGGGCCTCACTGTTTCCCTGGCCTGCTGTCAGCTTGCAACCAGGAGACAGAGGCCAGCTGGGATCTGCCCCACCTTCCCCCCCATACTGCTCCCCTCAACCAGGACAGAGAACATGGCCTCCTCTAGGGCCCTGCCTCCCAAGCCTTACCCTCACACACCAAGTACCTTTTCAGCTTTTTAACTGCCCCCAGCCAGGCCCACGGAAGCCTGTGTCACTCTGGCACAAGCTGCCACCACCAGCCACCTACACACCCCCCCAGCACACCTCGCACGGGACCACAGCCCCAGCCGTGCTGCTAAGGGCCAAGCACAAAGGCTCCAGTGAGCAAATGTTCAAGCCCCTGGTAGCCAGGCCTCCCCTTGCCAAGCCGCTGCCACCCCACCCTGTGGGAAGTGGCCCCCAGCCATCTCCTCTAGACCACGGCAGGCAGCCCCGGGGTCCCCAGACCCCTGTCCAGGCCAGCATGTCTGCAGCCCCGACATCTGCTTCCTCTGTCGCCCAATCCAAAATCGACGAAATGGAGGGTCCTCTGGGCTGGGCCACATTCACATTCCCTTCCCCCTGAGGCCCAGCAAAGCCTCCGGACCCCAGGCTCTGCTCTGCACCCTCGTGGTCGGCAGTACATGAAGGGCACAGACACCCTGGCAGAGATGAGCACACAGCCTTGGGCACGGTTCAGGGCAAACTGAAATGTATGCCCGAATTTTGTAAACAGAAGTATTAAAGGTCTTTCTACAAAAAAAAAAAAAATCATGAACACAAAATGCAATGTCTGATGTTTGATTGGATTCTGAATTTTTTAAGCCATGTTATGATTGGGACAATTGTGAAAATGTGTATATGGAATGCATAGTAGGCAATGATAATATTAAGTTCCATTGGGTGATGAGAGTCTTCTGGTTATGGAGGAGAATGCATTGGTTCTTAGGGGCTGCACACTGAAGTCTTTAATGGTGAAGGGTCATTATGTCTGCAACTGACTCTCAAATGGTTTGTCCAGAAAATGTATAAACATACACACATGGAAAGGAAATGTGGCAAAGTATTAGCTACTGTTGATTCCAGATGAAAGTTATACAGGTGTTCATTATACCATTTGAAAATGCTTCCTAGCCATCCTAAGCCTTAAAGGAAAAAAAGAAAATGTTTAAAATCAAAAGCTGGAGGCAGGAAGAGAATAACAAAACCTTTGGGCTCATGCCTGTAATCCCAGCACTTTGGGAGGCCAAGGAGAGGGGGTTGCTTGAGCTCAGGAGTTTGAGACCAGCCTGGGCAACGTGGTGAAACCCCATCTCTACAAAAAATACAAAAATGAGCCAGGTGTGGTGGCACGCACCTGTAGTTCTAGCTACTCAGGAGGCTGAGGCGGGAGGATCACTTGAGCCCAGGAGACAAAGGCTGCAGTGAGCCGAGATTGCACCACTGCACTCAACCTGTGTAACAGAGCGAGACTCAGCCTCAAAACAAAAGAAACATCTTTGTGTCAGAGTTAAGGTTGCTATATAAGTAAAATGCTAGGTTATGGTTCTGGGTACATTCAATCTATATGAAGATCAGAGGCTTCTATTGGACCCAAAGGAATACGAGTCACTTGTGATTATTCCTCTATAGGTTTGAAAGATGTATCAGGCCAACTTACTGGATACAGTTTTAATTTAAAACTCTATACATCATACCCCCAACTCACAGACTTCATGTATCCATTGAATACTCTTCTGTTTCCACAGTCTTAATGTGGCCCTAACAAAGTCATCCTTTTAGAGGACTCAAAAGAGGCCCCCCCTACAACTTCTATAATGTAATATTTACAGTAGTTAACATTTATTGATCACTCAGTGTGTGCCAGACATTTTTCAGGTAGGGATTCATTTAATCCTCAAAACTCATTTGAGGTAGGTACTATTATAATGACAAGGCCAAGGAACAGAGATTAAGCAATTTGCCCAAATTTACATTATTCACAGAGCTGGGATTTAAGCCTAGTCTGGCTGTGGAATCTGTATTCTTAATGACCATGCTATACTGCTTAAGATTAACCTTGAGAATTTATTCCAGTTACAGAGATTGTTTTTATTTCTCTGAAACTGCCCCCAAGAAGCCATAACAATAAATTAATCAATTATCTTGGTTATCTCTTTTGCCCAAATTTATATTTTGAAAAAAATTCAAACATGCCAGAAAGATGAAAGAATACTACAGAATCCAGTCAAAGATCAGGCACTGCATGTCATGTCTTCATTTCCTTTAATCTAAAACATGCCTCTACTTTTTTTGATCTTTCATGACATTGGCATTTTTTGAGTCAAAGATAGTTGTCTTGTAAGTTGTCCCACAATCTGGATTTCTCTGTTTCCACATGAGATTCAAGGTAAGCATCTTTGGGAAGAATACTGCATAGGTGACGTATCTTTCCTGCCTCGTGACCCCAGGTGGCTCATAATGCTAAGTTTGATCACTTGTTTAAGGTGATCTTCCAGATCTCTCCACTGTGGTTATTTTGCTGGGTGTGGTGGCTCACACTTGTAATCCCAGCACTTTGGAAGGCCGAGATGGGCAAATCACTTGAGTCCAGTTTTAGACCAGCCTGAACAACAAGGTGAAACCCTGTCTCTACTAAAAATAACAAAAATAAAAAACTAAAATTAGCTGGGGTGGTGGTGCAAGCCTATAGTCCCATCTATCTGGGGGGCTGAATTTGGAGGGTCACTTGAGCCCAGGGGGTCGAGGCTGCAGTTAGCTATGATTTTGCCACTGTACTTCAGCCTAGGTGACAGACTGAGACCTTGTCTCATAAAAAAATAAAAAATAACTTTTCCCTTTGATAATTAATAAAAAATCTGTGGGGTGGTACTTTGAGATCAGTGAAGATCCTGTTCTCAAATGTCTTTTCACCCAACTCCATCAGTGATAATCTTTGTCTGAATCTATTTTTATTACATTGGTGGTTGCAAAGTGACACTTTTTAAAATTCTGTCATTCCTTCTACATTTATTAGCTATCATTATTTCATTAAAGAACAACTCCCCCTCTTTTAAAATATCATTCTTCATGGATTTTTTATATATTATGTTGTAGCTTATTGTTGTTATTCTTTTGAATGCTCAAATTGTCCAGATTTGGCCAATGCAATCTCCGTTATTTTTTTTAACCCCACAATCCAGGTTAAGCTGAGCTATTTTTAATGCCTAGAGTAATTTCTAATACTTCCCACTCCCAACAGAAATTGAGAAAGGGCCTTCAGAAGTTGGGGGCTTATTCAGACTCTTCTTAGAAGTCTACCTTCTTCCTGTATCTTTCAGCCCAAAGTGAGACTTTTGAGTCGGGAAGAGATACCTCTGAATTTAAACTACTGATCAGTGTCACCCAATTCTAATCCCAACCACCTTTATTCTAGGCATACCATACTCACTGCCATGCTTACCCTTCAGTTGGGCACCTGTGTCCTCCTTCCCATTGGCCTTCTGGTTCCTACCCAAGTGTCCAGTCCACGGGTCTCAGTAACACCTCTTTGCCCAGCCCTGTGGTAGCGTTGGCTGCCTCCTTTACCTACTCAAGTAACCGCTTTACCACTAATTTATTGTTTTGTGTTTTCATCTATAGGATCTTACCTAGCCATATGGCCTGCTGCCTCTGCCAATTTAAAAATAGCATTGAGGCTGTCTGCAAGACAGTCAAGCTGCATTGCAACACTGCATGTCTGACTAACAGCATACATTGTCGTGAGTCCAAATTGCCTGGTGATAAATTGTTACATTATTTTAAGTATTTGTTTTTAAATTTTTATTTTTAATTGATGAAATTTTAAGCTGATGATATAATTGTTTTATTTACTCAGTCAGATTTCAACTCCCTCAACTTCTGAATGACTCCCTTGCTGGGAGTCAGGTTCTCAGTTATTATTACAAAATTTAATAATGGAACAGTTCCATATGCATAAAGGACCAAGAGAAAGAAATGGGAAGGCTAGGGAATAACATTAACATCCACACACTGTGTACTGTGCTCTCTGCTTGGTGCTTTGCCCCCAGTGATAATTTCTTCATATAGTGCAATGTAGTTTGTAAGCTGGTTTTATATCTGTGAGGTCTCAAGTACTCTCTGCCTTTTAGGACAGATGTAGATCCGGTTTTGTTTTTGTTTTTGTTTTTACAGTTTTATAAGAGTAGAAGTGATGCTGTTTTATTTGAAGCCTGAGAGCTTCTGGTTCCATAACCAGAAATTGCTACCTGGCTCTTCTATTGGAATGGGGCTTTTCCATTCTTAGTCCATCCAACTCTGAACTTGCTCTGAATCTCAAACCTTTCTATTCGCAGAACAAATGCTCAAGTTTTTTCAAGAGTTTTTCTGTAGATTAGGTTTATTAGCACCAACTTCATGACTTCTAAAATGTGACTGCTTGAATACAGGTATCTACCAGTGATATGGGGTGGATAATTAATAATGCTTGGCTACTTCTATAAAGACAGTGTTGCTTATTTTTCAAAACTTTTTCTTTTTTTCTTTTTTTTTTTTTTTTTTACCAATTATATTCTTCCCTTCTCCCCAAGAGGTGGGCAGAAAAGCATTGTTAATCTCCTTTTACAGGTGAGGAAAAACAAGATCAGAGGTGCTAAGTGCTGTAGCCTAGTGCCAGGTCTTCTGTCCCCAATTCTGGGTTCTCCCCAAGCCCATGTTTCTCCTTTCTCGCAATCTTTACTTCTTCCGCTGACCTTCAGCACCACCCAAAATACTTTTAATTCTGGAAAAGAAGCCCAGCTGCACACTGGCACACTTGACCTTCATGCAGTCAGAAGCTTTGGATGGTTCCCCATCCAAAATATTAGAGATGAATGAAAGTGAAGTAGGCATCTGACAAAAGTCACTTTTTCCCTTCTGCATTTAGGACCTCAAGTAATGTTTATCCAGAAACTGCTACCATACCATAGATTCATTGTATATTTAACAACATAGGCATACAATCTGGCAAATTAAAAATCTCTTAACCTACACCCTGGATCCCTGCCCAAATTTAAGAAAAGAACTAAGGTGGACACAGTGTTTTTTTCCATGTCGCATCTTCTGTGATGGGGCTATGATATGTGGGAGCAGAGAATGGGGTGGGTGGGTGGAGCACATGCCAGATGAGGATCTATCAGCAATGGGAGGGGGCATCCCGCCCTGCTCCTTTAGCATCTCCACCCTGCTCCTCTCAGAGGACCGCCTTTGATTGCATTCAGCTGCGATGGTAGCAAGAACACGGGCACACTGAGGATGAGGAGAGTGGGAGCCTTGTGCTCTCTCTGCATATGAGGCAGGACAGCACAGGGTATGGAGCAGTCTGCAGAGAGGCCAGTTCATCAGCTCATCAGGGAAGCACTTGTCTTCCACCTTGGGCTTTGACTGAGCACTGGGCAATTGGCCCCTGGGGATCAACGGAATAATCCTAAGCAGAGTTACTCTATGTCACACTATGGAATGTTCCAAGTAGGTGGCCATGTCTTTTCCTCCTTTCGTTGTTGCCATTTCATAGGTTTAGGTTTGGGTGTATGTTTCTCCTCTCTGAATGGCACTCGAATGTTTGCTGACTCTTACTCTGTGTGACTGGGGCATATAGCTATGGACTGAGTATGAAAGATGATCAAAGATATTTCATGATCAAAGCAGTCTCTTCTTTTCTGACAGCTGAAGAAGCATCTGTAGGGAATCCAGAAGGAGCGTTCATGAAGATGTTACAAGCCCGGAAGCAGCACATGAGCACTCAGCTGACTATTGAGTCGGAGGCGCCCTCAGACAGCAGTGGCATCAACTTGTCAGGCTTTGGGGGTGAGCAGCTAGACACCAATGACGAGAGTGATGTTAGCAGTGCACTAAGTTACATCTTGCCTTATCTCTCACTGGGAAATCTAGGTGCAGAATCAATATTGTTACCGTTCACTGAACAGCTATTTTCAAATGTACAAGATGGAGATAGGCTCCTGAGTATTTTGAAAAACAATAGAAAGAGCCCCTCACAGTCCAGCCTTCTAGGTAACAAATTTAAAAACCAAATATTTGAAAAAAAAATTAGAAACTGTGCAACCACAGGAAAACAGCCTGGCAGATTCAAAGTGTAGGCAAAAACCTGCAGAGAGTGAACAGAGTCCTCATGGGCCCAAGGAGCATCCAGGAAAGGCACTTCAAAAAGGTGGGAAAGCACAGCACTAGGAAAGAACAGGATGCCCAGGCATTTGTGGACAATGCTGCCAAAGGAAAAAGGCTTGAGGGTCCAGCCCCAAGGGAGCTGGAACAGCCTCACATAGTGCAGGGGCCTGAGAAGGTAGTGGGAAACACCATCTACACCAAGCCTTCATTCACCCAAGAGCATAAGGCAGCAGTCTCCTCTGTGCTGAAACCCTTCTCCATGGGCGTGCCTTCTGCCTCTAGCCCTGCAAAAGCCCTACCTCAGGTCAGAGACAGATCGAAAGACTTAGCCTACACCATTTTAATTTTAGAAATGGCAATGGCTAGAGTGAAAAACATGAAGGCTGCTAAACCAATCACACATTCCAGAAAAAAATACCGCTTTTATAAAACTCACTCCCGTGTGGCCCACAGAACACCGAAGGCCAAAAAGATTAGAAAGTTTAGAAAGGGCAGTTATCTCAACAGACCGATGCTCGCAAAGAGGCCGCTGTTCTCTGCAGCGAAGAGCCTCATAAATTCGCAAGGGGTTTTTTCATCCTTAGGAGACCTGAGTCCTCAAGAAAACCCTCTTCTGGAAGTAGTTGCTCCTTCAGAACGTTTTATAGAAAACACTAGTGTAAAAGACACAACTAATGTAAAAGACACAAAAGAGATGTGTTCAAAGACACATCTCTGAAAACACAAACTACAATCATCCTCCTGAGGCAGTTTCCGCTGGGACTGCATTCAACTTAGAACCAACTGTTAAACAAACTGAGACAAAATGGGAATACAACAATGTGGGCATTGACTTGTCCCCTGAGCCCAAAAGCTTCAATTACCCATTGCTCTCGTCCCCAGGTGATCAGCTTGAAATTCAGCTAACCGAGCAGCTACGGTCCCTCATCCCCAACGAGGATGTGAGAAAGTTCATGTCTCATGTTATCCGGACCTTGAAAATGGAATGTTCAGAAACACATGTGCAAGGGAGCTGTGCCAAGCTCATGTTGCGAACAGGCCTCCTGATGAAGCTTCTCAGCGAGCAGCAGGAAGCAAAGGCATTGAATGTAGAATGGGATACGGACCAACAAAAAACAAATTATATTAATGAGAACATGGAACAGAATGAACAGAAAGAGCAGAAGTCAAGTGAGGTGAGGACCACACAGAAACATGAGACCCAGATTTCCCATCATTTAGCGTATGCCAGGAGAGTGCCCACATAGGAGAACCTGGGACTCCCAGGCCATAGCTTGTCTTGGCCATGTAACTTTGGCCATGACAGTGATCTCCCACTTTGCTCATGTAGACAGTGAAATAGATTAGGGCACAAGATGAACTGTAGGCCGGGGGTGGTAGCTCATGCCTGTAATCCCAGCACTTTGGGAGGCCGAGGTGGGTGGATCACTTGAGGTCAGGAGTTTAAGACCAGCTCGGCCAACGTAGTGAAACCCCGTCTTCACAAAAAATACAAAAATTAGCTGCGTGTGGTGACACGTGCCTGTAGCCCCAGCTACTCAGGAGGCTGAGGTGGGAGGATCACCTGAGCCCAGGGAGGTCGAGTCAGTAGTGAACTGTGATCGCACCACTGTACTCCCGCCTGGGTGACAGAGTGAGATCCTGTCTCAAAAAAAATAAAAAGAACAAAAGAACCTGTAAGCTACTCAACTGGCATACTGGGGTTTTGAAAAGTTAGCTTCCATTCTCTCTCTCTTTTTTTTTAATTGTTCTTTCTTTTTTCTTTTTTTTTTCTTTTTTTTAGCTCATGAAAGAAGTTCCAGGAGATGACTATAAGAACAAACTCATCTTCGCAATATCTGTGACTGTAATACTAATAATTTTGATTATAATTTTTTGTCTTATAGAGGTAAGGACAATAATTAATTCAGGTTTTCAGAATACAATCCTGTGTTTGTGTGGATTCAGAATCCACAAACTGAAAACCAACGTCACTTTCCCACTTGACATTCTTCTTCTGTCATTTAAGGCTGAGGTGTGCTTTGTTCTTTTACTGCAATGTATATTCCAGGATTGTTAAAGGATCCTCGCTTCCAGGAGGTCTCTGTGAAATAAAACCAAGTTAATCCCACTAGACTATTTTAAGAAGTTAAGTTGATATAATAGCAAAATTTCTCCCACCCAAAACTATGTCAACAATTGGATGTACTCACTGAGTCACCCCTTACTCTGCCACTAATTTATTTCCTTGTTGCTTAAATGATGAGAGACATATAATCTCCACCCTCACGGAGTTGTAATCACCCTGGAGAGGAAGAAGACAGCCAAAAGAGAGAAGTATTGTCTTGTAGACTTATTAGATTCACATAGTATCATCCTTCTCCAGTGTGTAAGGTGTTGTCTAAATAGGTCCAGTTAAAGAACTACAGGGTAGCCATTTTTAAAAAAAAATTTTGGCCACGTTTTCAAATTCACAGGGGAGGGGGAATGTCTCATACTCCAGCCCTCCTGAGCCTAGGCCCTCTGTGAGATGTGTCACCATTTCTTGGACACCATATGAGACATTCCCCCTCGGATTAGAGATGCTCAACCTGCATCAACAAATCTAAAGCCTACATCTGGCTACCCTGGGGCGAGTCCTGTTTACAGTGCCCATTCCTGGAGCTCGCCTCTTTTTGCCTTTTGTTTGATTATGTGATGTATTACTTTTCCCAGCAGGCCAGTGCTAGCACACTGGAAGAGGGATTTAATAAGCTGGCACCCTTGATGCTATGCTCCTAATCCAACCTTATTTGCCTCATTGGCCATTTCCATTATGGTGGCAGCCCTCCATTCCAGCCACAGCAGCCCCTCAGCGTCCCCCAGTCACACCGTCCCCATTGCTGCTTATCTGTGCCTTTGTCCATCTACAATGCCCTTATTTCACTCTGCCTGTGGGAGTCCTGTGAATCTCTCCAAAGCCAACTCAGTTCATCTTTCTGCTTGAAACCTTCCCTGAATAGGCCAGGTGCGGTGGCTCACGCCTGTAATCCCAGCACTTTGGGAGGCCAAGGCAGGCAGATCACAAGGTCAGGAGATGGAGACCATCCTGGCTAACACAGTGGAACCCCGTCTCTACTAAAAATGCAAAAAATTAGCTGGGTGTGGTGGCGGGCGTGTGTCGTCCCAGCTACTTGTGAGGCTGAAGCAGGAGAATGGCATGAACCTGGGAGGTGGAGCATGCAGCCAGCCAAGATCAGGCTGCTGCACTCCAGCCTGGGGGACAGAGCGAGACTCTGCCTCAAAAAAAAAAAAAAAAAAAGAAAGAAAGAAACTTCCCTGAATATTCCAGCCCTCCTGAGCCTAGTCCCTTTTTGAGATTTGTCCCCATTTCTTGGACACCATATGAGAGACTTCAGAGGCTGAAGTGGGAGGATTGCTTGAGCCTGGGAGGTCGAGGATGCAGTGAGCTGTGGTCATACCACTGCACTCTAGCCTGGGCAACAGAGCGAGACCTTGTCTCAAAAACAGCCACCACCAAAAACTATCTTGGGATTTGAATAGGATTACCTTAAATTTGTAGATAAATTTGAGAATTGACATCTGTACGACATTCTAGAACATGGTATTTCATGTCATGAATTCATTTCTTGTTAATGTCTTTCAGAAGAGTTTTAGGGTTTCCATCATATAGATCTTACACATCTTTTGTTAGATAACAGATCTTTGTATTTTTGTTCCTAAATACTTCAGACATTTGTATTGCCATTGTAAATGGGATCTTTCTTCCATTTTCTAGTTAGTTATTGGTGGTACATCTGAAAAGCATTTGAGGTTTGTGTGCTGCTCTCTTGATTTTGTTTCTAGCCACCGTACTGAATTCTCATATTACTTCCAGTAAAATCTTAGTTGATTCTCTTAGGCTTCTTTGGCTAACATTTATTATTTTATATGCAAATAATGACAGTTTTGTCTCTTCCTTTTCAATACTTACACTCTTTCCTTCCTTTCCTTTCTTTTTTTTTTCTTTCTCAGGGCCTTGTTGTCACCCAGACTGGAGAGCAATGGTGTGATCTAGCTCACTGTAACCTCAAACTCCTGGGCTTAAGGGATCCTCCTGCCTCAGCTTCCTGAGTGGCTGGGACTACAGGCAGGCAGTGAATTTGAAAACTTTTGTTGTAGAGACAAGATCTTGCTATGTTGCCCAGGCTGGTTTTCCTGCCACTTTAGAGCAGGTTTCCTTTTTTTCATACTTTTAAGAGTTTTTTATTAGGAATTGTCCGCTGAATGTTAGCTAAAACAGTCAATAAAATGCGTTAAGTACCAGCTGCATGCAAGACCCTAAGTTAGATACAGTCAGCCCTCTTCATCAGCAGGTCCACATCTTCAGATTCAACTAGATAAGGCTGAATATTTGAAGAAAGAAACAATAAAAATACAATTAGAAAGTACAGTATAACAACTGTTGTCATTATACAATATCTATACATTTTATTAGTGATGACCTAAAGTACATGGGACCAGGCACGGTGACTCACACTTGTAATCCCAACACTTTGGGAGGCCAACCTGGGCAGCATAGTGAGACCTTGTCTTTAATAAAAATAAAAATAAAAAAATTAGCTAGTGTGGTGGTATGCACCTGTAGTCCCAGCTACTCAAGAGGCTGAGGTGGGCAGATCACTGGAGCCCAGGAGGTTGCGGCTGCTGTGAGCTGTGATTGTGACACTGCTCTCCAGCCTGAGTGACAGAGGGTGATCCTGTCTCTAAGTAAGTAAATAAATAAAGTATATGGGGGGGGGTGTGTTGGTTATATGCAGACACTGCACCATTATACGTAAGGTATTGAGCATCCACAGATTCTGGTATGGTGTGGGGGCGATATCCTAGAACCAGTCCTCTGCAAGGTAGCAAGGATGACTGAACTGTGGAAGAATCAAAGCACTGTTAAACAGCATACAATTCCTGTCTTCAAAAAAGTTATCTCATCGGGTAGATGAGACTTAAAATGAATAAAAGGAATGAATACACATTGGAGATAGTGGTTGTTGTGATAGATAACCTTAATTGTGTTTTCTTCCAAAACAGGTGAATTCACATAAAAGGGCATCAGAAAAATACAAAGACAACCCATCAATATCAGGAGCCTGAGCATGAGTTAAAGCATGTGGATGGCCTGGAGCTATGTTTTTAAAATTGTTATTAAATATTGGTTTTTTACTTAAATCAATGAAAACTTTCTTTACTTTGTGGTTGTGTTCCTCAAAATGAGAATTTTTAACAATAATAAAAATAAAGCTTGTTAGATCATTTTTAATGGTAATAAATTGGTTACTGAAGATTTGACTAAAGAGAAAACTAGGCCAATCTAAGTAGAGTCCAAATGAAGTAGAAAGTCCATAGAGAACAGGCAAAAAGGAAGTTGTGGAACCACAGACAGTAAAAGGAAAAAATTGGCGGGGCGCAGTGGCTCATACCTGTAATCCCAGCACTTTGGGAGGCTGAGGTGGGTGGATCGCTTGAGCCCAGTTCAGGCAACATGACAAAACCCCCATCTCTACAAAAAAAATGGTCAACATGACAAAACCCCCAATGTCTACAAAAAAATACACAAAACACATGAGCCAGGGGTGGTGGTGTGCACTTGTAGTCCTAGCTACTTGGTAGGCTGAGGTGGGAGTATCGCTTGAACCTGGGAGGTGGAGGTTGCAGTAAGCTGAGGTTGAGCTGTTATACCCCAACCTGGGTGACAGTTGAAAGAGTGAGACCCTGTCTTTAAAAAAAAAAAAAAAGGAAGAAAGCAAAGAAAAAAAAAATTTATTTTTGTGACAAGGTCTCTTTCTGTCTCCCAAGCTGGAGTACAATGGCATAATCATAGCCCACTGCAGCCTCAAACTCCTGGGCTCAAGGCATCCTCCTGCCATAAAGGCCTCCCAAAGTGTTGGGATTACAGGCATAAGCCACTGTGAGGCTAGATTTTTTTTTTTTTTAAGCAAGGTTTGGCTCTGTCACCCAGGCTGGAGTGCAGTGGTGCAATCTTGGCTCACTGCAACCTCTGCTTCCCAGGCTCAAGTGATCCTCCTGCCTCAGCTTCTCAAGTAGGTGGAACTACAGGTACGTGCCACCAAGCCTGGCTAATTTTTGTATTTTTTGTAAAGAAGGGGTCTTGATACGTTGCCCAGGCTGGTCTTAAATTCCTGGGTTACAGTGATCCACCCACCTCGGCCTCCCAAAGTGCTGGGATTACAGGTGTGAGTCACCACGACTGGCCAAAAAAAGTTAAGTGTTAAAATCAAAAAGAAAATTCACCAAGCCATTTTGCATATTTTTCTGGAAAGATACAGATACATATGTATATAGAGAGAGAGAGAGAGAAAGAGAGATCTGGACTGGACACCTTATACTATCAGTTGGGTATAACTTTGTTTCAGAAAGGACAAAGGGAACTGATTAGAGTTAAGGCACATATATGTGTGTGTGTGTGTGTGTGTGTGTGTGTGTGTGTGTATTTTCCCAATTCCTCATACCACTCCTTTTTATTAATTTTTATTGAGATATAAGTTATACACCATAAATTCACCCTTTTAAATAAGTGCAGAATTTAGTGGGTTTTAGTATAGTATTCACAAGGCTGTACAGCCATCACCACTATTTAATTCCAGAACATTTTCATCACCCCAGAAAGAAGCCCCAGAATCACTGGCCCTGCTCCCCATTTCCTCTCCTATTTCCTGGCAAGTATTTACTTACTTCCTATGAATTTGCCCATTTGGGACATTTCATATAAATGAAATCATACAATACATGATTTCACTAAATAAGACTTTTGTGTGTGGCTTCAAACAATTTTTAAAAATTGAAGTAAAGTAGGCATAATATTTACAGTCTAACCACTGCCCCCTCTCCCCACCTATTTTTTGAGACAGGGTCTCACTCTGTCTTCCTGGCTGGAGTGCAGTGGTGTGATCATGACTCACTGCAACCTCAACCTCCCCGGGGCTCAGGTGATCCTCCCACCTCAGTCTCGCAAGTAACTGGCACCACAGGCACACACCACCAAACCTGGCCAAGTTTTGCATTGTAGAGACAGGATTTCGCTATGTTGCCCAGGCTGGTCTTGAACTCCTGGACTCAAGTGATCCTCCCACCTCAGCCTCCCAAAGTGCTGGTATTACCGGCATGAGCTACCACACCTGGCTGTCTCTAACCAGTTTTAAGTGTACAATTCAGTAGTGTTAAGTATATTCACACTGTTGTAAAACAAATCTCCAGAACTTTTTCATCTTCCCAAATTGAAACTCTGTATCTATTAAACACTAATTCCCCATTCTCTCCTCCCAGCCCATGGTAACCACCCTTCTACTTTCTGTCTTTATGAATCTGACCACTCTAAGTACCTCATATGAGAGGAATCACACAGTATTTGTCCTTTGGTGACTGGCTTATTTCACTTAGCATAATGCCCTCAAGGGTTCTCCATGTTGTAACATGCGTCAGAAATTCATTCAAGGCTGAATAATATATCCGTTATATAGATCAATCACATTTGAGTTATCCATTCATCAGTTAATGCACATGTAGGTTGTTTCCACCTTTTGGTCATTGAGAATAATGCTGCTGTATACATATGTGTATGCGTTTCTGCATGACTATTTGTTTGCAATTCTTTTGACTATGTATGTCTCAGCTCACTGCAACCTCCGCTTCCCGGGTTCAAGCGATTCTCCTGCCTCAGCCTCTCGAGTAGCTGGGATTAGAGGCACCTGCCACCACACTCGGCTAATCTTTGTATTATTAGTAGAGACAGGGTTTCACCATGTTGGCCAGGCTGGTCTCAAACTACTGACCTCAGGTGATCCACCCACCTCGGCCTCCCAAAGTGCTGGGATTAGAAGTATGAGCCACCACACCTGGCCATGAATTTGGTCCAGTGTCTGAACTTCACCTCTAGAGTCCCTTCCAGCCTCCTACCTCA
Source organism: Homo sapiens (assembly GCF_000001405.40). Taxonomy (NCBI): domain Eukaryota; kingdom Metazoa; phylum Chordata; class Mammalia; order Primates; family Hominidae; genus Homo; species Homo sapiens. The sequence continues at coordinate 32,056,153 of NC_000017.11, forward strand.
CTCCCACCTTGGCCTCCTGAGTAGCTGGGACAACAGGCTTGCGCCACCATTAACCAGCTAATTAAAAAAAATTTTTTTTCTTTGTTAATATGGGGTCTCCCCATGTTTCCCAGACTCCAAACCTATTTCCTAACCTTTATCATTATCTGCTTCTGTGGGATGTGAATGGAAGCGAGGTGTGCTACATTCAGGCTTTTAACACCTCCCACCTGCACCTTCTAATTCTTCCTTTGCATCTTCTGGCTGGACAAAGAGGGTCTTGTGGGGCCTCTGAGTCACTGGAAGAAGGTGAAGCCACAATATAGCTGGAGTCTGGTTCCCAGGTGCAGCAGTGTGATGTGAGTGAGAAAGTAGCCTTTAGTGCATTAAGCCACTGGGATCTACAGGTTGCTCGTAGATCAACCACGTCTACAGACGTGGGGGCACCACCATGCTCAGCTAATTTGTTATATGTTTATGTAGAGATGGGGTCTTGCTATGTTGCCCAGGCTGGTCTCAAACTTCTGGGCTTAAGCGATCCTCCCATCTCAGCCTCCCAAGTAGCTGGGACTGTAGGCGCATGCTACCATACCCAGCTAATTTTTAATATTTTTTTCTGTAGAGATGGAGTCTTGCTATATTGCCCAGGCCAGTCTCGAATTCTTGGGCTCAAGCAATCCTCCCGTCTCAGCCTCCCAAAGTGCTGGGATTATAGGTGCGAGCCACCACGCCCAACCAGTTATTTAATTCTTATAACAGCCCTCGGAGGTAGGTTCCATTGTTAGCCCCAATCTTATTTATTTAGATGGAGTCTCACTCTGTTGCCCAGGCTGGAATGCAGTGGCATGATCCCAGCTCACTGCAACCTTCGCCTCCTGGGTTCAAGTGATTCTCCTGCCTCTGCCTCCTGAGTAGCTGGGATAACAGGCACAGGCCACCATGACTGGCTCATTTTTTTTTTTTTTTTTTTTTTTTTTTTTTGTATTTTTAGTAGAGACAGGGTTTCACCACGTTGGCCAGGTTGATTTCGAATTCCTGACCTCAAATGATCTGCCCACCTCGGCCTCCCATAGCCCCCATCTTTAAATGAGGAAATTGAGGTGCAGAGAGGGTCGGCCACTCGCCAAATGGGAAAAGCTAGAATTCTAACCCAGACCATTTGCCTTCAAAACCTACCCTGACCACCACAGTAACCTGTGATAAGGTGCAACTCAGAGTAAATAACCTCCTCTCTGGGCCCTGATGTCTCTCTACCTACAATGGATTTCCTGTTCCTGTGTGGGGAGGGAGGTGCAACACCAGCCCCTGAGCTTTGAGCCTTGCCTCGTCCTCCCTGTATATTAAGGAGTGCTCAGATGTGGCTGTAGCTGCACCTCTTTCTCCAAGATGGAGCCCACCCAGAGATGCTGTGTGCAAAAGGCTTGACTCACAGCCGGCGCATAATAAGCCTTCAATAAATGTTTGAAATTATTATTCTCGATGGTGTCACGGTGCTGGCTGAAAGGCAGCATAGCTCAGCAGTTAAGCCAGACGGGCTGGGTTCAAATCCCATCTCTACCATGTAATAGCTGTGTGACCTTGGGTAAGTTACTCAACCTCTCTGTTCCCCCATCTATAAAATGGGGGAAATGACACTATCTATTTTATAGAGCTATTGCAAGGATTAGCATAGAAAATGCCTCAACCGTGCCTGCCACTGATGTCAGGTTTTATTATTGCTGTAACACTTTCCCCTATTCAGAGTTTCATCTCCTAGATCCCCGGGCACGGAAACAGCTGGCTTTCAGATCAGGGCCTCCCTGGGAGGTTTTAGTCTCAGCACAAGTCACCTGCCTTCCCCCTCTCTGGCTCCCAGCAGCCCCATCCTTCCCCCAGTCTTGGCCCGGGTTCCAGCACCGTCTCCTTTGCCCCTCAGCCCCAGGGTGACCAAAGCCTCTGCCTCGTGGGACGGCTTTCTAGCACTTTCCTCCTTTTAAGAGATTGACTGCAATTTCTATAGTAACATCACATTAGCCAGAAATTAATGTCCTCATTAAGATAGCAATTAGGCACATTAGCGTGGCAATAAAAGGAAGCTTATGAAATAACTGCTGGTTCCAAAATGCCTTTAATTTAGTATTTTATATTGTGCCATGTTATTAATTTTTTTCCCTCGGCAGAAGATAATAAGAGAAATGTTTGAATTGTGGGGAGGTTTAAAATAAAAAAAATTTTTGAGAAGGAAAGCAATGTTGATACCTGTAGACAGACGATCTGTCTTCTCCCCAAAACCTCATTGGTCCTGAGTCCATAGGGTGACTCCATGGGGTGTCAGAAGAGGGACAGCATTGATGGGTAGGGGGCCAGGCCATGTCCTGGGACTTTTGGCCGGGCTTGGCATCCAGCGGAGATTGGAGTGGAACAGCCTTTGATCCTAGAAGCAGGAGAAATGGTGCCATGTTTCTTTGCCCTAAACAACAAATACCTGTTGGTTTGGGATTTTTGCCCCAATAGGCTCCATCTCCTGAATTCAAATTCTTTCAGCAAATGTTTCCTTGGTACCCTGTGGCTCTGACTCTGCCGTTGAGGGCTTTCCAGATTGTTGGAGACGACAGATGTATAAATGGGAAAATGCCATGATAAACTGGGAATGCAGTATTTTGCAACTTGTAATGAAATCATGGCTCTAGGCCGGGCACCGCGGCTCACGCCTGTAATCCCAGAACTTTGGGAGGGCAAGGTGGGAGGATCGCTTGAGGCCAGGAGTTCGAGATCAGCCTGGGAAACATAATGAGACCCGCCCCCCAACCGCCAACCCCGTCTCTTAAAAAAAAGAAAAAGAAAAGAAAGAAAGAAATCATGGATCTAGGACATGATTAGCCATGGATAGTAAAATCATTAGGGGAAAGGTGGATGAGGAATGGTTTTGTGTGGCTGGGCACAGTGGCTCACACCCGTAATTCCAGCACTTTGGGAGGCTCAGGCAGGCGGATCACCCGAGGTCAAGAGTTCGAGACTAGCCTGGCCAACATGGTGAAACCCCATCTCTACTAAAAATACAAAAAATTAGCCAGGTGTGGTGGCATGTGCCTGTAGTGCCAGCTAACTTGGGAGGCTGAGGCAGGAGAATTGTTTGAACCTGGGAGGCAGGGGTTGCAGCGAGTCAAGATCGCGCCACTGCACTCCAGCCTGGGTGACAGAACAAGACTCTGTGTCAAAAAAAAAAAAAAAAAGAAAACAAAAGAAAAAAAAAGGAATGTTTTAGGGGAGGCCTGTTCTGCTCCCATCTGAGCCCTGGGTCAACTTTAGCGTCCTAGGCTGGACATGATGTGGCTCCCATTGGGAGCAGTAGTAGTAGGTTGGTGAGGGCCTGGAAGGAGACGTATCTCTCTGAGTTAAGGAGGGCACCTCAGAGGATCAGGCACATGAACAGAGACCTGAAGGAGAAAAAGCGGAGGATACACATAGAGATCTGGGGGAAGAAGGTTCCAGACAGGAGGAACAGCGGGTGCCAAGACTCTGGGGTGGGAACTAGCATGGAGAAGTAGAGATCAGCTAGGAGGCTGATGTGGCTGGACGGAAGTGAGAGAGAGAGGAGAGGAGGTGCAATCAGAGATATATCAAGGAAAGAAAACATGGGGGGCTGGGCACGGTGGCTCACGCTTGTAATCCCATCACTTTGGGAGGCCAAGGCGGGCGGATCACCCGAGGTCAGCAGTTAGAGACCAGCCCGGCCAACAAGGCGGAACACCGTCTCTATTAAAAATACAAAAATTAGTGGGGCATGGTGGTACATGTAATCCCAGCTACTCGGGAGGCTGAGGCAGGAGAAACGCTTGAGCCTGGGAGGCAGAGGCTGCAGTGAGCCGAGATCGCGCCACTTTGCAATCCAGCCTGGGCAACAAAGCGAGACTCCGTCTCAAAAAAAAAAAAAAAAAAGAAAGAAAGAAAAAGGAAAAATGGGGAATTTCATTGGAAGGCCATGCCAAAACACAAACAAAAAAGAAACAAATAAAGGAAAAATGGGGAAGGATTCCTCAGGAAGTTAAAGAGTTGACAATCAATTTCAGGGACCCCGGGATTTGAGTCTAGCTCCTTCGTGGGCAAGGGGACGTGCTGACCAATGCACACCTGTGCCTGCCAGGCTCCTTGTCAGTTACCTGTTGCCAGTTAAGCTGTCTAACAAAGGCCAGGCACAGTGGCTCATGCCTGTAATCCCAGCACTTTGAGAGGCCAGGCAGGTGGATCACTTGAGGCCACAAGTTTGAGACCAACCTGGCCAACATGGCAAAACCTCGTCTCTACTAAAAATACAAAAATTAGTCAGTCGTGGTGGCGGGTGTCCGTAATCCCAGCTACTCAGGAGGCCGAGGCAGGAGAATCGCTTGAACCCGGGAGGGAGGCAGAGGCTGCAGTGAGCCAAGATTGCACCACTACATTCCAGCCTGGGCCACAAAGTGAGACTGAGCCAAAAAAAAAAAAAAAAAAAAAAAAAGCTGCCTAACAACGCCCAAATCCAGCAGCTTAGGACAATCAGCATTAATTTTGGCTTCGCAGGCTACAGGGCAGTTTTTCTGCTCCTGGCTGGGCTCACCCACCAGCGTCTATGGGTCCAAGAGTCACACTGTATTTATTCAGGCTGGGTCTTTTCGTATATTTGGGCCCGGCTGGCTATAGGCTGGTCTAGGACAACAGGATTCTTCCCTCATCCTCCAGCAGGCTAGCTCGGGCTTGGTCACCTGACAGGGGCAGGGTTTCCAGACGTCGACCAGAAAGATGTACCACCTCTTCAGGCCTAGATTGGGAAGTGACTTCACTTCTGCTGCAATCCATTGATTGGCCAAAGGAGATCACGAGACCAACCCAGATTCAAGGGGTGTGGAAGTAGGCTCCACCTCCCAGTGGGAGGAGCTACCTAGGCAAAGAGTATAGATGGTGGGCGGTAGAATTGGGTCCGTGAAGCCAACTTGACCAGCCCCATGATTCCTTTGGGGCTTTTGATAATCATTCCCTGCCCCTCCCTGGGTACCCCAAGGCATTCTATGGTCCTCGACCCTAGCTTTGGCCCCTGTAGAAGTTCTTTTTTTTTGAGACGGAGTCTCGCTTTGTCACCCAGGCTGGAGTGCAGTGGCGCGATCTCGGCTCACTGCAAGCTCCTCCTCCCGGGTTCACGCCATTCTCCTGCCTCAGTCTCCCGAACACCTGGGACTACAGGCGCCCACCACCACGCCCGGCTAATTTTTTGTATTTTTAGTAGAGACGGGGTTTCACTGTGTTAGCCAGGATGGTCTCGATCTCCTGTCCTCGTGATCCGCCCGTCTCGGCCTCCCAAAGTGCTGGATTACAGGCATGAGCCACCGCGCCCGGCCCTCTGTAGAAGTTCTTTCTGCCCAGGTTTGCACTCTCTCTAAGCTCCCACAGGAGCTGTGGCTTGGGTTGTTCAAGGCCCCAAATTCCCGATTGGACTTCCTTTCTTCAGCTCTGCATTGGGGTGTGACCAGGACTGAAGTATTTTATTGAAATCATTGGCTCTCCTGATAGCAAACAGAGAGTTGGTGTCAGTAAGGCAGAGGAGAGGTTAGTCTGTAGTGTGCTATGGAGTAAGGGAGCAATGGAAATCGGGAGCTTAGTTTGAACACACTCAGTGTCCCCTTGTGCAGTGTCCAACCTGCCCAACCGTACCAGCCCACCCTGACTGAGGGACTAAAGAGTGGAGGAAAGGAAGGGGAAAGGGATTTCACTGACAGCTGGAGCCTTAGTCCTCGGGCCAAATGAAGGACCTTCCCAGAACAGAGTGACCCAGAAGGAAGCTGTGGCCCAACCACCAAGATGGGTAACCCCGACAGGCGCAACCTGCCCTCTTGTCAATCAAGGCTGGACCAGGTGGTGTGGGGAAGGGGTGGAGGACTAAGAGAGGGGGCAAAGAGGAGGGTAGGAAGGTCCTGGCCTAAACGACCCAGTTAGTTTCGCCATCACCCCCTACCCCCATCCTGTATCCCAGGGAAGTATAGTGCAGCTGGGTTCTTGGTTGCCATGGCGACTGACAAAAAAAAAAAGACTTGAGGGGAGGAAAACACCCCGGGGCATGAAGAAGCAATTTGCTCTCAGGTCTGGGAGTCAGCACCGGAATCAGAATGTCCTAAGGAGGAAAGAAAACTGAGCGAGCCGGGCTTGGGTAGGTGGCAAACCTTCCCAAGGCCCCCTGCCAGCCATCCTAAGAGAGAGAGGGTAGGGGCGACCCCAGCTCTGTGTGGGAGGCGCCAACTCTAAGCCCCCACCCCCGAGGCTGCCCCTCCCACCCGAAGCGTTTAGCACCCAGGGTCTGGGGTGGGGGGCGAGGCGGGGGCGGGGCTTCCCAACGGATTGCTTTTTTTTTTTTTTTTTTTTTAATTTCCAGTTCCGCCTTGGGACGAGTCCCTGGCTGGGGGAACCGCATCAGGCCTGACACCCATCCCAGTCCCCCCTAAACCCAGAACGAGATCCAACCTCACTCCCCAGCCCCTTCCCGACCTCGCCGCTCAGGCTGTGATGGGAAGGTCCCTGGGAGTGGGGAGGAGGGCAAATTTAAACCCGGAGGGGATCCTGTAGCCCAGTTCCCTAAACCTCCAGGAAAGCGGAGAAAGTCACATTGTGGTGGCAGCTGCGGGTTTTTTTTTTTTTTAATCTGTTAATAAAACGCAAGTGAATCAAATCCGCCCTAAGGGAAGGTGGGGGGGCGCGGCGAGGCAGAGGCCATGGTGTTTGCAGAAGTTGGAAATTTAATAAGAAGGAAAAATAAAAATAGCCACTGTGCTGGAGAGAGAGAGAGAGAGAGAGAGAGAGAGAGAGAGAGAGAGAGAGAGAGAGAGAGAGTTGGGAGAAGCAGGCAAGTGTGGGACTCCTGGCTGGGTGGAAACGTGCAGAGGGGGCTGGGGAAGGCGAGGGCACCGCACCACTAGTCCGGAGGAGCAAGGGAGACACTGCTGGGGATACCAGGAGGGGAGTCTTTGGGGTGTCACCAGAACAGTCCAGTTCCTTGGCAGATTTTTCACCAGCAATGAGCTGGGCACAGAGGTTGGGGTTTGGCCCTCTAAACACCTGGGTGTAGAGGTCCAGCCTCTGGTTACTTGGTCTTCACAGCGCCCCCCACCTTCTGAGCTACTCAAGAGATGGGGGACAGTAGCAGTACTGCCAAGAACAGTTGTGCAAGTTGCGCACTGCACAAGCATGCCAGACAGAGGCTAGAGCAGAAGCTAACATCATCTGTTCCCCTCACCACACATTGCATCTGCCCAGAGGAAGAGGTACCTTTTATTTTATTTTATTTTATTTTATTTATTTTATTTTTTGAGATGGAGTCTCACTGTTATTGCCTGGGCTGGAGTGCAATGGCACGATCTCAGCTCACTGAAACCTCTGCCTCCCAGGTTCCAGAAATTCTCCTGCCTCAGCCTCCCCAGTAGCTGAGATTACAGGCACCCGCCACCACGCCCAGCTAATTTTTGTATTTTTAATAGAGACGAGGTTTCACCATGTTGGCCAGGCTGGTCTCGAACTCCTGACCTCAGGTGAGCTGCCCACCTCAGCCTCCCAAAGTGTTGGGATTACAGGCATGAGCCACGGCACCCAGCAAGGAAGGGGTACCTTTTAAAGATCTACACAAGGCCGGGCACCATGGCTCATGCCTGTAATCCCAGCACTTTGGGAGGCCAAGACGGAAGGATCGCCCAGGACCTGAAGACCAGCCTAAGCAGCATAGGGAGACCACCATCTCTACAATAAATAAATAATGACAAAATAAACATCCTGGCCGGGCGTTGTGGCTCACGCCTGTAATCCCACTGCTTTGAGAGGCCTAGGCAGGCAGATTGCTTGAGCTCAGGAGTTCAAGACCAGCTTGGGCAACATGGTGAATCCCTGTCTCTATGAAAAATACAAAAATTACCCAGGCATGGTGGCGCACAACTGTGGTCCCAGCTACTCAGGGGGCTGAGGTGGGAGGATAGCTGGAGTGGAGGCTGCAGTGAGCTGTGATCACGCCACTGCACACCAGCCTGTGTGACAGAGTGAGATCCAGCCTCAAAAAAAAAAGAAAAGTCCACACAAAGTTGACAGTGAACCAGCTGCATCTCTGAACACATCCAGTGATACCCCCTCCACCCCCCTCCAGGAAACCCAAGATTGCTGACAGGCCCAGCTACAGCAGCTTTGAGCTGGCTGCAGCCTGTGGGGTCCTCTGGGAGCAGCTGAATGGAATTTGTTCATGCTTTCACTCAACAAGTATTTACTGGGTGTTTATTTCATGCCAGGTGCCATGCTGGGCAGTGAATGAATGAACCTTGCTCTGGGGTTAACACTCCAGTGGGATGAACAGGCAAACCCCACAAGCACTGCATACGGTATGCAAAATGGGGTGCATGCTATGGAGGGACATACAGCTGGGAGGGGTGGGGGCGGGCAGGGGCCCTGGGTGCAATTTTTACAAAGTGACCTCACTGAGGAGGTGACATTGCAGCAAACCCAGAAGCAGGCAAGGAGGAGTCACGTGGCTGGCTGAGGGAACAGCATTTTAGGCAGGGGGAACAGCCTGTGCAAAGCACTGAGACCTTGTTTTGTGAATTGAGCGCCTTGAAATATGGGTTGCTTGGCCCTAGTTAAGGTTCTGAAAGAGCCTTTAATTTTTTTTCCCCTAGACCTGGGTGTGGCGGCTCATGCCTGTGATCCTAACTACTCAAGAGGCTGAGGTGGGAGGATCACTTAAGTCCAGAAGGTTGAGGCTGCAATGAGCCATGATCATACCACACGGCACTTCAGCCTGGGTGACAGAGCAAGACTTTGTCTCAAAAACAAAAAACAAAAAAATCCAATTCCGGCCAGGCGCAGTGGCTCATGCCTGTAATCCTAGCACTTTGGGAGGCCGAGGCAGCTGGATCACAAGGTCAGGAGTTCGAGACCAGCCTGGCCAAGATGGTGAAACCCCGTCTCTACTAAAAATAAAAAAAAATTAGCTGGGTGTGGTGGCATGTGCCTGTAGTCCCAGCTACTCAGGAGGCTGAGGCAGGAGAATTCCTTGAACCTGGGAGGCGGAGGTTGCAGTGAGCCGAGATCGTGCACTGCACTCTAGCCTGGGCGACAGAGCAAGACTCCATCTCAAAAAAAAAAAAAAAAAATCCAATTCCAACCTATACAAGGCAGCAGCTGTGAGGTGACACAAGTATGAACCCCATTAAGTCCCCCCAAAAGCCAAGAATCTTGGATTTCCTTCACAAGTGAATGACCCCCCCAATCTTAAAGGAAAATCATTCTAGCAGCAAATCCTAGACAGGAGTTACTATCAGCCAGATATTGCCATCTGCCTTAACTGGTTTAATCCTGACAGTGAACCCCAGTGATGTAGAAAATGTTACCACCATTTTTTTTTTTTTAATACAGAGTCTCGCTCTGTCCCCCAGGCTGGAGTGTGGTAGTACAATCTCGGTTCACTGCAACTTCTGACTCCTGGGTTCAGGTGATTCTCCTGCTTCAGCCTTCCAAGTAGCTGGCATTACAGGGGCACGCCACCACACCTGGCTAATTTTTATATTTTTAGTAGAGATGGAGTTTTGCCATGTTGGCCAGGCTGGTCTCGAAGTCCTGACCTCAGGTGATCTGCCCGCCTCAGCCTCCCAAAGTGCTGGGATTACAGGCGTGAGCCACCGTGCCCGGCTGTTATCACCATTTTACAGGTGGAGAAACCAAGACACAGAGCAATGCAGTGGCTCCCATGTGTGGATAAGAAGTAGCTTGTAGATTTGAACCCAGGACACCTTTCTGTGCATTGAGCCAGGCCGATCTGCACCCAGGCACCTGCCCAGGTGGATGCAGGGCCTGTGAGATTCTTCCAAGGCCTCCCATTTTGATGGGGTCCCCAGGCCTCCAGGCCTGCACTGGAGCTGGTCTGCTTCCAGGTGGAGCCAACGGAGGGTCCTGGTGCGGGGGAGTCGGCGTTGGCGGGTGATTGATGGTTTAATATCTCGCGCTGCGACCTGGGCCCCTCCTCTCCCACGCCTCTGTGGGTGGCCCCCAGTGAGAGGCGGAGATGGGATAATTCGGTTACCAAAAAGAGAATGAAAATTCCAGAGAGAGAAAGAGACAGAGAAAGAAGTGCAGACCAGGGAGTGCGCTGGGAGCTGATTTGGCAGGGCTGGGCTTGGATGGGAGGGAGGAGGCCGACTCTCAAATCCGGAATCCCTCTGGGGGCCTGGGGACTCATAGGTCCCAGCCGTCTTCAACTCCCATCTGACTTCCTGTCTTGAGAACAGAGACAGCAGATGTGACAAGTGAGAGGTCACAGGCAGGGGCAAGGCCTCAGAGGAGAGGGAAGCATGTGGCCTCCGCCTGGGACAACTGCTAGCAGGTGAGGCCAAGGGGAGGTAGGGACTAGTGGAGTTGGGGTGGAGGGAATGGGAGACTCCAAGTTCCCAGCTCAGAGGCTTCTGGTCATCCTTGACTGGAGTCCTCTCTCTCTTTTTTTTTTTAGATGGAGTCTTACTCTGTCGCCCAGGCTAGAGTGCAATGGCATAGTCTTGGCTCACTGCAACCTCCGCCTCCCGGGTTCGAGCAAGTCTGCTGTCTCAGCCTCCCGAGTAGCTGGGACTAGAGGCGTGCAGCACCACGCCTGGCTATTTTTTGTATTTTTGGTACAGACGGGGTTTCACTGTGTTGGCCAGGCTGGTCTCGAACTCCTGACCTCAAGTGATTCTCCCACCTTGGCCTCCCAAAGTGCTGGGATTACAGGCGTGAGCCACCGCGCCCCGCTGGAGTTCTCTCTTTTTTTCTCTTTCCATCCACGTTCAAACCTCGGACTTCATTTCTTCCCCACCTCCCCGGCCCTCACCTGGTCCAGCCCAGCATCCCTCACCTGGACTGTGCAGTTCCCTCTACCCTTGCTCAGGTCTCCAGCCTGGCCCTGAAGCCTGTTCCCTCCGCAGCCTCCAGAGGGCGCGAGCGAACACCTGATCAGGCCACGCCCCCTCCTCCCGCTCAGAACCCGGAAGGCTCCCAACTTGTGTTAATTTCCCATGGTTGCCGTCACAAGCTAGCGTTTTTTTAACGACGCAAATTATCCTACAGCTCTAGAGGTCAGAGATGTGGTTCGGGTCTCACCTGCCTAAGACCAAGATGTCAGCAGGCTGCAGTCCTTTCTTGGAGGTTTTAGGGGACGATCTATTTCTTGCTCATTTAGGGGTGCAAGATTCAGTTCCTCGGGATTGTAGAACTGAGGCCCCTGTTTTCTTGCTGGTTGTCTGTTCCCCGTTTCTAGAAGTTGCCTGCATTCCTTGGCTCGTGGGCCCTCCCTCCATTTTCAAAGCCAGCAATGACGAGTCAAGTCCTTCTCATATGACAGCCTTCAACTCCCCTCTGCCGCCCCCTTGCACTTTAAGGACTTGTGTGATTAGATGATCCAAGGTCATTTCCCTGTCTGAAGGTCCTTAATTACCTAATCAGCAAAGTCCCTTTTGTTGCATGAGGTAGCAATTCACTAACCTTGCTTCTCAGGGCCTGGCTGTGTCCAAAGGACTCTTTCTCCTTTAGACACTTTTAAGTGTTTCACCTGTCCTCTGCCTCTCCCTGGGCACCTGCTCCCTGCTCAGCCTGCCTCTCCCGCAATTCAAGCCAGTCATATGCTTGACACTCCTCCAGGAAGCCTCCCTGAAGTACCCATATTTATCAACCCGCTGGAGCAGTTACCAGCCCCTTTCTCCTATCCTCCCCAGGCCACGAGATCTTGAAAGTTTAGGATGAGGAAGTAGACATCTTGGGAAGGAGGGCATTATTCTCCTTACCAACTGCCTCACTCAGAGCAAAACTCCAGTCCTCACGGAGGCCAGAAAACCCAGCTTTCTCCAAGCAGATGGGCCTCCTTACTGTTCTCCAAACTCACCAAAGACATCCTGCCTCAGGGCCTTTGCACAGGCTGTTCCCTCTGCCTGAGTCATCCTCCCCCAGATATCCACATGGCTCCTCCCTCACCTCCTCCAGGTCTCCCTTCACTTGTGCCCCTCCCCAGGGAAGCCTTCTCTGATGCACACACACCCAATTTACAACATCCACAGACTCTTATTGCTGCTTTTTTTTTTTTTTTTTGAGACAGGGTCTCGCTGTGTTGCTCAGGCTGGAGTGCAGTGGTGTGCTCTCAGCTCACTGCAACCTCCACCTCCGAGTTCAAGTGATTCTCCTGCCTCAGTCTACTCAGTAGCTGGGATTACAGGCATGCTCCATGACACCTGGCTAATTTTTGTATTTTTAGTAGAGACGGGGTTTTGCCATGCTGACCAGGCTGGTTTTGAACTCCTAGCCTCAAGTGATCCGCCCGCCTCGGCCTACCAAAGTGCTGGGATTACAGGCCTGAGGCTGCTGTATTTTCTCCATTGCACTGGCTACTTTTGGCTACACCACAGAATATTCACTCCTTGTTCATCTTGTCATCGCCCAGGTCTCCCACTGGAAAGTCAGCTCCAAAAGGGAAGTTCCTCCACACTGTTCTCTCCTGGCTCTGTATGCTGCCCCCTTCCCTGGCCCTTGGCATACAGCAGGTGCTCAATAAGTGTTAGGGCTGGGCGCAGTGGCTCACGCCTGTAACTACCAGCACTTTGAGAGGCCGAGCGGACAGATTTGAGCCCAGGAGTTCAAGACCAGCCTGGCCAACATGGCAAAACCCCGTCTTTACTAAAAATACAAAAATTATCCAGGTGTGGTGATGCATGCCTGTAATCCCAACTACTCGAGAGGCTGAGAAATGAGAATTGCTTAAACCTGGGAGGCAGAGGCTGCAGTGAGCAGTGATCATGCCACTGCACTCCAGCATGGGCATCAGAGCGAGACTGTGTTTCAAAAAATAATAATAAGTGTTTGTTGAGTGAATGGATGGCAGGCAGGCAGGGCCCCAGCCCAGAGGAGGATGGGGACCCAGTGGAAGGTGGGAGCGGCAGGTGGAGAGGGATTGGTGTGGAGATGTTAGAGAAAAAGACCTTCTAGAACAATCCTGGGGGTCAGGTGGTCCCTGTGATGAAATGAACCAGCATTGTGTGAATTCAGTCAAGGGCTGATCTCTCATGATCTCTATAACGTGCTTTTCACAGGGAAACGTGTCCCCCCTGCCCCACAATCCCCTTGATAAAATCTTAGCTTTATGACTTTGTTCTCTGTTCATCTCAGATAACAGATGTTCCTGGAGTTGCCTTAGTCACAGGGCAGCTTGGCTTCAATTCAAAACAAGGAATGTCCAGACCCAGGCTGGGGCCTTGATTTAGACTTCAATCCTATTTCCTTCTGCCTCTCCTCCATCCCCACCAGCATCATGTTCTGGGGGTCTGGGTAGTGCAGGGGCCCCTTCCTTCTTGCTTTCCTCTCCTTTCCTTTCACGGCCAGGGCTGCAGCTCCAGGAGGGAATATAGTGTGTCAAATGGTGGCCCCCAAAAAGGATGTGTCCACATTCTGGCCCCTGCAACCTGTGAACGTGATGTTATTATATTCACTTTTTTTTTTTTTTTTGAGATGAAGTCTTGCTCTTGTCTCCCAACTGGAGTGCAATGGCGCAATCAAGGCTCGCTGCAACCTCCGCCTCCCAGGTTCAAGTGATTCTCCTGCCTCAGCCTCCTGAGTAGCTGGGATTACAGGCGCCTGCCACCACGTCCCCTAATTTTTGTGTTTTTAGGAGAGACGGGCTTTCCCCATGTTGGCCAGGCTGGTCTCAAACTCCTGATCTCAGATGATCCGCCTGCCTCGGCCTCCCAAAGTGCTGGGATTACAGGCATGAGCCACCACGCCTGGCCAACTTATTTTTTTTTTTTAAAGACATGGTCTTGCTCTGTCACTCAGCGTGGCTAGAGAGCAATGGCATGATTTCGGCTCACTGCAGCCTGGACCTCCCAGGCTCAAGTGATCTTCTCACCTCAGCCTTCCAAGTAGCTGGGACCACAGGCATGCAACACCATGCCTGGCTAATTTTTGTATTTTTTGCAGAGAGAGATTCTTGCTATGTTTCCCGGGCTGGTCTCAAAGTCCTGGCCTCGAGAGAGCCTCCCACCTCGGACTCCCAAAGTGCTGGGATTACAGGCGCGAGCCACTGCGCCTGGCCTGAATGTGATCTTAGGTGGATAAACTGTAACTGTCATAGGCCCATTGTTTGAGGCACTGGGCAAGTCAACATGCTGAGATACCAGTTTGCAGCAGAGAAGGAGGTTTAATCATAGGGCCACAGATCGAGGAGATGGGAGCAAATCTAAAATCCATCTCCTGGGTGGGTGTGGTGGCTCACACCTGTAATCCCAGCACTTTAGGAGGCTGAGGTGGGCAGATCACTTGAGGCCAGGAGTTTGAGACCAGCCTGGCCAACATGGCAAAACCCTGTCTCTACTAAAAATACAAAAATTAGCCGGGCGTGGTGGTGCATGCCTGTAGTCCCAGCTACTTGGGAGGCTGAGGTGGGAGAATCAGTTGAACCTGGGAGATGAAGGTGGTAGTGAGCCAAGATCGCACCTCTGCACTCCAGCCTGGGTGACAGAGTGAGACTCTCTCAGAAAACAAACAAACAAAAATTTATAAATAAAAATGAAATAAAATTTAAAAATTCATCTCCCCGAGGAATTTGGGGCTGGGGTTTTTAAGGGGTATGGAGTGGGCCCAAGTGTGGAGATCCTTTGATTGGTCAAAGAGTGCAAGGTGAAGTCTTGGGACAGAGGATTGGGCGGGAGTTGAGGGACAAGGGGTGGGTGAAGAAGCTGTATTCTCATGCTGATCCCATTCCTATATGCGGGGTCTTCTTCAGACTGGTTGCTGGAATTCAAGATCTGCAAAAACATCTGAAGTGATCCTTAAGCAAAAGCCATATGATCCTGACTGGGCGCAGTGGCTCACGCCTGTAACACCAGCACTTGGAGGCCGAGGCGGGTGGATCACTTGAGGTCAGGAGTTCAAGATCAGCCTGGCCAACATGGTAAAACCCCTTCTTTACTAAAAATGCAAAAATTAGCCAGGCGTGGTGGTGCACGCCTGTAATCCCGGCTACTCTGGAGGCTGAGGCAGGAGAATCGCTGGAACCCGGGAGGCAGCGGTTACAGTGAGCTGAGATCACATCAATGCACTCCAGCCTGGGTGACAGAGCAAGACTCCATCTCAAAAAAAAAAAAAAAAAAAAAAAAAAAAAAAAAAAAAAAAAAGCCATATGCTCCTAATGTCAGAGATCCTGTCTGTAGAAACAATGGGATGTATTTGTGTTTTGTTTTGTTTTGAGACAGAATTTCGCTCCTGATGCCCAGGCTGGAGTGCAATGGCGCGATCTCGGCTCACTGCAACCTCTGCCTCCTGGGATCAAGCGATTCTCCTGCCTCAGCCTCCCCAGTAGCTGGGCTTACAGGCATGCACCACCATGCCTGGCTAATTTTTGTATCTTTGGTAGAGATGGGGTTTCTCCATGTTGGTCAGGCTGGTCTCGAACTCCCAACCTCAGGTGATCCACCCGCCTTGGCCTCCCAAAGTGCTGGGATTACAGGCGTGAGCCACTGCGCCCGGTGAAACAATGGGGTGTAAAAGTGCTACCTGACTTTTAGCAGCAAGGAAGGGGGCCCTAGTGCAGCCCGATTCATGGTTCATTGTAACTGTATTTCTGTCTGGAATCTAGCATGCAATCCTTGTCAACTCTGTAGGAGGGATTTTGAAAGGGTCATTGCAGATATTAGAATTCTCAAGATGAGATCATCCTGGAAAACATGGTAGTCCTAAATCCACAGACGACTCTCCTTAGGAGAGACACATAGAGGAGACACAGTAGAGAAGGACCTGTGAAGACGGAAGCAGAGGTTGGAAGGCTGTGGTTGCCACCGAGGAACGCCTGGAGCCCTCACAAGCTGGAAGGGGCCAGGAGGGATTCTTCCCTAGATCCTCTGTGGGGAGCGTGGCCCTGCAGATGCTTTGATTTCAGACTTCTGGCCTGTAGAACTGTGAGAAAATAGGTTTCTGTTGTTTTAAGTGACTCAGTTTGTGGTACTGTTATAGCGGCCACAGGAAGGAAACAAATCCGGGGGTCAGATGGTTCTCATTGCACTGGGTCTGCTGTCAGCCAACCTTGCCTCTCAGGGCCTAGTGGTGTTCAGAATGAAATCTTTCACTTTCTTTTTTTTTTTTTTTGAGACAAGGTCTCACTCTGTCACCCAGGCTGGAATGATGTAGTGGGGCAATCTTGGCTCACTGCAACTTCTGCCTCCCAAGTTCCAGCGATTCTCCTGTCTCAGGCCAAGTCAGGTGGATCACTTGAGGTCAGGAGTTCAAGACCAGCCTCACCAGTGAAACCTCATCTCTACTAAAAAAAAAAAAAAAAATACAAAAATTAGCCGGGCGTGGTGGTGTCCACCTGTAGTCCCAGCTACTCGGAGGCTGAGGTGGGAGAATCACTTGAACCCAGGATGTAGAGGTTGCAGTGAGCTGAGATTGTGCCACTGCACTCCAGCCTGGGCAACAGAGTGAGACCCTGTCTAAAAAAAAAAAAAAAAAAGGCTGGGTGCAGTGGCTCATGCCTGTAATCCCAGCACTTTGGGAGGCCAAGGTGGGTGGATCACGAGGTCAGGAGTTCGAGACCAGCCTGACCAACATAGTGAAACCCCGTCTCTACTAAAAATACAAAAATTAGGCTGGGTGCGGTGGCTCTCACTTGTAATTCCAGCACTTTGGGAGGCCAAGGCAGGTGGATCACGAGGTCAGGAGATTGAGACCATCCTGGCTAACATGGTAAAACCCCGTCTCTACTAAAAATACAAAAAAAAAAATTTGCCGGGCATGGTGGTGAGCGCCTGTAGTCCCAGCTACTCCAGAGGCTGAGGCAGGAGAATGGCGTAAACCCGGGAGACAGAGCTTGCAGTGAGCCGAGCTCGCGCCATTGCACTCCAGCCTGGGTGACAGAGTGAGACTCCATCTCAAAAAAATTTATCTTCCGAGTAATGTGCAAAGGAAATCAGTATTCGGAAGAGCTATCTGCACTCCCAAGTTCTTTGCAGCACTATTCACAATAACAAGATATGGAAGCAACCTAAGTGTCCATCAATGAATGAATGGATAAAGAAAATGTGGTGCATATACACAATGGAGTACTGTTCAGCCTGATAAAAGAAGGAAATCTTGTCATTTGCAACAACGTGCATGAATCTGGAGGACATTATGCGAAGTGAACTAAGTCTGGCGCAGAAAGACAAATAGTTCATGATCTCACTTGCATGCAGAATCTAAAAAAAAAAAGTCACATTCACAGAAGTAGAGAGTAGAACAGTGCTTACTAGAGTCTGGGGTCGCAGAAAACATGTGGCCCAAAGGATACAAAGTTTCCAGTAGGAAGAGTAAGTGCTGGTGATCTGTTGCACAGCAAGGTGGCTATAGCTAATCATAATGTATATTTTTTTCTTTTTCTTTCTTTTTTTTTTTTTGAGACAGAGTCTCTTTCTGTTGCCCAGGCTGGAGTGCAGTGGCACAATCTCAGCTCAAGGCAACCTCCACCTCCCAGGTTCAAGCAATTCTCTGCCTCAGCCTCCTGAGGAGCTGGGACTACAGGCGCCCGCCACCACGCCTGGCTAATTTTTATATTTTTAGTAGAGACAGGGTTTCACCATCTTGGCCAGGCTGGTCTTGAACTCGTGACCTCATGATCCACCTGCCTCGGCCTCCCAAAGTGCTGGGATTACAGGCGTGAGTGACTGCGCCCCGCCCCATAATGTATTTTCAAACTTGTGAAATGAGTGGATTTTAAATGGTCTCCCTATAGGGTCTGGTGCGGTAGCTCACATGTGTAATCCCAGCACTTTGGGAGGCTGAGATGGGAGGATCACTTCAGCCCAGGTGTTCAAAACCAGCCTGGGCAATATTTTACAGAACCTGTCTCTAAAAAAACAAACTGTTCTTGCTACAAAGAAATAAGTATGTGAGGTGATGGATATGTTCATTAGCGTGACCTGCTTTATAATATATACAGTATTGAAACATCATATCATAGTCCATAAACGTATGCAATTACTTGTCAATTAAAAATAAAAATTAGGGATCAGATGTGGTAGCTCATACCTGTAATCCCAGCACATTGGGAGGCCAAGGCGGGTGGATCACTTGAGGTCAGGAGTTTGTGACCAGCCTAACATGGTGAAATCCCAACTCTACTAAAAATATGAAATTAGCTGGGCGTGGTGGCACGCACCTGTAATCCCAGCTACTTGAGGGCCTGAAGCAGGAGAATCGCTTGAATCCAGGAGGGGGAAGTTGCAGTGAGCCAAGATTGTGCCATTGCACTCCAGCCTGGGCAACAGAGCAAGACTCTGTCAAAAAAAAAAGAAAGAGGCTGGGCACGGTGGCTCACACCTGTAATCCCAGCATTTTGGGAGGCCAAGGTGGGCAGATCACAAGGTCAGGAGTTTGAGACCAGCCTGGCCAACATGGTGACACCTCATCTCTACTAACAACACAAAAATTAGCCGGGTGTGGTGGTGCGCACCTGTAGTCCCAGCTACTCAGGAGGCTGAGGCAGGAGAATGGCATGAACCTGGGAGGCAGAGGTTGCAGTGAGCCAAGATTACCTAGTGACAGAGCAAGACTGTCTCAAAAAAAAAAAAAAAGAGAGAGAGAGAAGGAAGGAAGGAGAGAGGGAGGGAGGGAAGGAGAAAGAAAGAGGAAGGAAGGAAGGAAGGAAGGGCTGGGCGCAGTGGCTCACGCCTGTAATCCCAGCACTTTGGGAGGCCGAGGCGAGCAGATCATGAGGTCAGGAGATCGAGACCATCCTGGCTAACACGGTGAAACCCCGTCTCTACTAAAAATGCAAAAAGTTAGCCGGGCGCGGTGGCGGGCGCCTGTAGTGCCAGCTACTCAGGAGGCTGAGGCAGGAGAATGGAGTGAACCTGGGAGGCGGAGGTTGCAGTGAGCCAAGCTTGCAGTGAGCCGAGATTGCGCCACTGCACTCCAGCCTGGGCAACAGAGTGAGACTCTGTCTCAAAAAAAAAAAAGAAAGAAAGGAAAGAAAGAGAGAGAGAAAAAGGGAGGGAGGGAGGGAGAGAGAGAGAGAGAGAGAAAGAGAAAGAAAGAAAAGAAAGAAAGAAAAAAAAGAAAAGGAAAGAAAAGAGAAAAGAAAAGATCTTCACTGTGGTCTGGCTTCCATTGCTAGTCGTTGTGTCTGCCTGGTTGAAATGTCCATCTTAGCATTCTGTTACTCTATCGGCATTCAGCTCTGGTAGTCACTGGTGTGACATTATTGCATAAATGTTCCTGGCCAACAGAGAAGGGGAAAATTTGTAGAAGGGAAGAAAGAATGGATGAGGGAGCATGGGTGGAAAACTTAAGGGTGGTCTGAGCTATACCCAGGAAGCCTGGGATTGGGAAAACCCAACTCTCAGCGCCCTTGGGGCTAAGAGCAACATAAGGTTTAGCAGCCTTAGTAATTTCTTTAAAATCTAAATTGGGGCCGGGTGCAGTGGCTCGTGCCTGTAATCCCAGCACTTTAAGAGACGGAGGTGGGTGGATCACCTGAGATCAGGAGTTCGAGACCAGCCTGGCCAATGTGGCGAAACTCCATCTCTACTAAAAATACAAAAATTAGCTGGGCATGGTGGCAGGCACCTGTAATCCCAGCTACTTGAGAGGCTGAGGCAGGGATAATTGCTTGAACCCAGGAGGTAGAGCTTGCAGTGAGCCGAGATGGTGCCACTATATTCCAGCCTGGGCAACACAGCAAGACTCCATCTTAAAAAAAAAATCTAAATTGGACCAGGCATGTTGGCTCACACCTGCAATCCCAGCACTTTGGGAGGCCAAGGAGACCAGCCTGGACAACACAGCAAGACCCCACCTCTACAAAAAACTTTAGAATTTGCCAGGCAGTCACAAGTCCCACCCAGGTTTAGGAGGTGGGAACACAGGTCCTGTGATATGGTTTGCATTTGTATCCCCCCCCACCCAAATCTTATGTTGAATTGTAATCCCTGGTGTTGGAGGAAGGGCCAGGTGGGAGGTGATTGCATCATGGGGTCAGAGTCCTCCCTTGCTGCTCTTGTGATAGTGAGTGAGTTCTTACAAGATCTGGTTGTTTAAAAGTGTATAGTACCTCCCTGCTCTTTCTCTTGCTCCTTCTCCAGCCATGTTTCCCCTTGGCCTTCCACCATGATTGTAAGTTTTCTGAGGCCTCCCCAGCTATGTTTCCTGTACAGCCCACAGAACCATGAGCCAATTAAGCCTCTTTTCTTTATAAATTACCCAGTTTCAGGCATTTCTTCATAACAGTGTGAGAAGGAACTAATACACCCCGCCTCTCACGAGAGGAGCACCAGCACTTTGTAAGAAGAGCCTATGCAATACGATCAATACCAGGGCTGACAATCTTTGCAAATCACAACCTGTCATTCCTTTCTCACTTCCCAGCTTCCCTGTTGCTATTTCCTGGGATCTGCTCCCAGGTCAACAACTTACCCCTGCAAATCTTTGTCTCAGGGTCTCTGCCTTTGGGAGGACCCAAACTAAGATATCCCACAAAATCAATAGTGTGTTTATATAGCTGGTATAGGTGTATGTAAACATTTAGAAAAAGGTCTGTAAGGATACACTCCAAACAGACAGCAGTAGCTTCTGTAAGGAGGGAACTGGGATGGGGGTTGAGAGGGTTCATGTATTAGGCCGTTGCCTATATGGGTAAATTTGCTGTAAAGAAATATCAAAGAATGGGTACATTTTATTTTATTTATTTTACTTTATTTCACTTTATTTTATTTTATTTGAGATGGAGTCTCACTCTGTTACCTAGGCTAGAGTGCAGTGGCACGATCTTGGCTCACTGCAACCTCCTCCTCCCGGGTTCAAGCGATTCTCCTGCCTCAGCCTCCCAAGTAGCTGTGATTACAAGTGTGTGCCACCACACCGGGCTAATTTTTGTATTTTTAGTAAAGATGGGGTTTCACCATGTTTGCCAGGCTGGTCTCAAACTTCTAACCTCAAGTGATCCGCCTGCCTCGGCCTCCCAAAGTGCTGGGATTACAGACGTGAGCCATCACACCTGGCTAGAATGGGTAATTTATAAAGAAAAGAGGCTTAATTGACTCACAGTTCTGCGGGCTGTACAAGCACAGTGCTGGCATCTGCTTGGCTTCTGGAAAGATCTCAGGGAGCTTTAACTCATGGCAGAAGGTGAAGCAGGAACTTCACATGGCAAAAGCAGGAGCAGGAGAGAGAGTGGGGTGGAGGGGAGGTGCCACACACTTAAACAACCAGATCTCCAGGCCAGGTGCAGTGGCTCAAGCCTGTAATCCCAACACTTTGGGAGGCCAAGGCAGGTGGATCATTTGAGGTCAGGAGTTCGAGACCACCCTGACCAACACAGTGAAACCCCATCTTTACTAAAAATACAAAAAAATTAGCTGGCCGCAGTGGCGCAGGCCTATAATCCTGGCTACTCAGGCGGCTGAGGCAGGAGAATCGCTTGAATCCAGGAGGTGGAGGTTGCAGTGAGCTGAGATTGCACCACTGCACTCCAGCCTGGGTGACAGAGCGAGAATCCATCTCAAAAAACAAACAAACAAAACAACTAATTCTCCAAAGAACTCACTCACAATTGTGTGGACAGCACCAAAGAGATGGCGCTAAGCCATTCATGAGGGATCCGCCCCCATGATCCAATCCCCTCCCACCAAGCCCCACCTCCAATATTGGGAATTACAGTTCAACATGAGATTTGGCAGGGAAACAGATCCAAACTACATCAGTTCATCTATAATATATGATTTTTTATTTATTTTTTTTTTTTTGCCCCGAGGGAGGAAGAATTTTCTGAATCCCTGTGGTTAGTAAAAGAGAGAGGCGGCCGGGTGCGGTGGCTCATGTCTGTAATCCCAGCATTTTGGGAGGCTGAGGCGGGCTGATCACGAGATCAGGAGATCAAGACCATCCTGGCTAACATAGTAAAACCCCGTCTATACTAAAAATACAAAAAAAATTAGCTGAGCGTGGTGGTGCATGCCTCTAGTCCCAGCTACTAGGGAGGCTGAGGCAGGAGAATGGCGTGAACCCAGGAGGCGGAGCTTGCAGTGAGCCGAGATCATGCCACTGCACTCCAGCCTGGGCGACAGAGCGAGACTTCGTCTTAAAAAAAAAAAGAGAGAGAGAGAGCCATGATCAGGAAGCCGTCATGATGACTCGTGGAGACACTGGCCCTGAAGTAGCTGCAACCCTCTTAATACACAGGAAGAAAGGGCTGGGATGCAGGAAGGAAGGGCTGGGAGGCAAGCACAGGCAGCCCCTCTGTGAACCCTCAGGTAGGAGCCACCAGCCATTTTACTGCTGAGTTTAGCATTTGGGGTTGTTCAAGAGTTCAGGGCTTCTGGGAGACTAGAGAATGCCTTCATCTCCAGGGCACTAAAACCTCAGTTACCTAATCTGTGAAATGGGTATGATCATAGCAATCCCACAAAACTGCTGGTAGGGTTACATGTAATTATTTCTCCTTTTTTTCTTTTTTTAAGAGATGGGTTCTCCCTATGTATGTTGCCCAGGCTGGACTTGAACTCCTAGGCTCAAGTGATCCTCCCACCTTGGCCTTCCAATGTGCTGGGATCACAGTAAATTTTTTCTTGTAGAAACAGGGTCTCCCTGCTGGGCACGGTGGTTCACACCTGTAATTCCAGCACTTTGGGAGGCTGAGGCGGGTGGATCACCTGAGGTCAGGAGTTTGAGACCAGCCTGGCTGACACGGTGAAACCTTATCTCTACTAAAAATACAAAAAATTGGCCAGGCGCGGTGGCTCACGCCTGTAATCCCAGCACTTTGGGAGGCCAAGGTGGGTGGATCACGAGGTCAGGAGATGGAGACCATCCTGGCTAACATGGTGAAACCCCATCTCTACTAAAAATACAAAAAATTAGCCAGGCGTGGTGGCGGGCGCCTGTAGTCCCAGCTACTGGGGAGGCTGAGGCAGGAGAATGGTGTGAACCCGGGAGGCAGAGCTTGCAGTGAGCCGAGATCGTGCCACTGCACTCCAGCCTGGGCAACAGAGTGAGACTCTGTCTCAAAAAAAAAAAACAAAAAACAAAAGAAAACAAAAAATTAGCTGGGTGTGGTGGTGGGCACCTGTAATCTCAGCTACTCAGGAGGAGGAAAATCGCTTGAATCCGGGAAACAGAGGTTGCAGTGAGCCGAGATCACACCATTGCACTCCAGCCTGGGTAACAAGAGCAAAACTCTGTCTCAAAAAAATAATAATAATAAAATAACAATGGATTGGTTGAGAGATCACCGTATGCCAGAAGTTGCTTTAAGCATTTTGCATGTATTAATCCATTTTACACCTCACAATATCGCTACCAAGTAGAAACGATTATCTCGATTTTGTAAAAGGTGAAACAGGAAAAAACCACTAGAGCAGAGCTGGCAGACCCTCAACCTTCTTTTCCTTCTGACTCCAAATGACAGACAGCATTCTTTCCATCTCTCACCTCCTCATGCCTCCTGTGGAAAAAATGAATGAACAGATGAGAAAAGTTGGAGCTGGAGAAAGACCGTGTTCCTCGTGTTCTGTGAGACCTGGGAAGGCTGCTAAAACCCAGGGAGCAGGAGTTCTCCTCCCTCCATCCTTATCCACAGTCTGGGTCCCATCCAGACCCTCCTCTCCAAACCGGGGGTTTGCGACAAAGCAGGTGAGGGAGGCATTTCATTCCAGAGCAGAAGAAGGGGGTTCCTCCCCCATCCCACTCCCGTTTCATTTTTAAGGGGAAAAGCAGCTCCCCATACGGTGAGGCAATGAGGCGGACCAGCAGGTTCCTGGGGATCTCCGCAGCCCCGTTGCCATAACAACTGAACTCACTCGCAGCCTCTGATAGGGGAGTCAGCTGGAACCACAGCTTGGGCAGGAAACGGATGAGGGAGTAGGAAAGAAACTTCAAGATCAACCACTGGCCCTCACACCGAGCTGCGCACACCCCAAGGCCAAGTGAGGCTGGAAACCCTTGTTGTCCTTGGGAAATGGGGGAGGGCACTGGTACCCCTGGGACCTCCCTCCTGAATCTGGGCAGGTTTAAACATTTTTTTTCCAACTTTGGAAGACAGTTGTACAACCTCGAAGGAGAGGAGGTGTCAGGATTCACAAAGCGTATGGATCACACATGGCTCTAGGGGACATTCTCTTTGCTCTGTTTTATTTTTATTGTATATTTTATTCTTTTATTTTGCGATAGGGTCTTGCTCTATTGCCCAGGCTGGAGTCCAGTGGCATGACCACACCTTACTGCAGCCTCAAATTACTGGACTGAGGTGATCCTCCTGCCTCAGCCATGCGAGTAGCTGGGACTACAGACATGCACCACCACACCTGGCTAATTTTTAAAATATATATGTTTTTGTAGAGATAGGGTCCTGCTACATTGCCCAGGCTGGTCTCAAACTCCTGGCTTCAAGTGATCCTCCTGCTTTGGCCTCCCAAAGTGTTGGGATTATAGGCATGAGCCACTGCATCCAGCATCATTTCTTTTCATTATTATTATGATTATTATTTTGAGATGGAGTCTCGCTCTGTCACCCAGGCTGTAGTGGAGTGGTGTGACCTCGGCTCACTGCAACCTCCACCTCCCAGGTTCAAGTGATTCTCCTGCCTCAGCCTCCTGAGGAGTTGCGATTACAGGTACCCTCCACAATGCCTGGCTAATTTTTTTTTCTTTTTGAGACGGAGTTTTCCTCTGTGTCCCAGGCTGGAGTGCAATGGCGCGATCTCAGCTCACTGGAACCTCTGCTTCCCAGGTTCAAGCAATTCTTCTGCCTCAGCTTCCTGAGTAGCTGGGACTACAGGCAGGCACCCACCACACCTGACTAATTTTTGTATTTTTAGTAGAGACGGGGTTTCACCATATTGGCTGGTCTCAAACTCCTGACCTTATAATCCGCCCACCTCGGCCTCCAAAGTGCTGGGATTACAGGCGTAAGCCACCGTCCCTGGCCTAACCTGGCTAATTTTTATATTTTTAGTAGAAACGGGGCTTCACCATGTTTTCAAGGCAAGTCTCGAACTCATGACCTCAAGTGATCTGCTCACCTTGGCCTCCCAAAGTGCTGGGATTACAGGCGTGAGCCACTGCACCCAGCCTAATCTTTTTTTTTTTTTTTTTTTTTTTTAATGAAGACAAGGGCTCACTGCATCACCCAGGCTGGTCTCGAGCTCTTGGCCTCAAGCGATCCTCCCATCTCAGCCTCCTGAGTAGCTTGGATTACAGGCACAAGCCATCATGACTGGCTTCCTCTTTTTTTTTTTTTTTAATGAATATGGTAAAGTGCACAAATCATAAATTTCAGCGTGGTGAATTTCTACACATGTATACCTGTGTATCCACCATGCAGACCAGAAGAACATATTTGTCCCTCCAGGAAATTCCCAAATGCTCTTTCTCAGTCAATATCCTCCAATTTGACATTTTCATCATAGATTAGTTTTGCCTACCCCTGAACTTTGTGTAAGTGGAAATACATGGTTTGGCATCTTGCTTTTACGCAACATTGTATCTGTGAGAATCTATTGTCATGTCTGTTTTCCTGTTCTTTTTCTTTGTTGTATAATATTCCATTGTGGAGATGTATCACAATGTATTTATCTTACTGCTGATAGATATTTGAGTTGTTTGCAGTGAATGGTTATTGTAGATAAAGCAGCTATGAACATCCTTGTACATGTCTTTTGATGAACATAAGTTTACCTCTTGTGGGGATGTGGACAGGGTCTCACTCAGTAACTCAGGCTGGATCGCAGGAACCTGGCTCACTGTAGCCTCAACCTCCCAGGCTCAAGTGATCCTCCCACCTCAGCCTCCCGAATAGCTGGGACCACAGGTATACACTATCACACCCAGCTAATTTTTTTGTAATTTTTGTAGAGACAGGGTCTCGCTTTGTTGTCCAGGCTGCTCTTGAACCCCTGGTTCAAACTATCCTCCTGCCTCGGCCTCCCAACATGCTGGGGTTACAGACATGAGCCACTGTGCCCAGCATCTTGGTTTATTGAATGCTGGCGACCTGCCAAGAACTTTACATCAGTTATATCCTTACATAGTCACAACATTATTTATTTAATTCACTCATTCAACGCATATTTGAAAATCTAGTAGGTGCCAGGTATTGTGGGACACACCGAGAATAAGAGTCAAGGTTTATAAATTTTGGCCAGGCGCGGTGGCTCACACCTGTAATCCCAGCACTTTGGGAGGCCGAGACGAACAGATCACTTGAGGCCGAAACAAACGGATGATGGAGGCCAGGGCAGAAGCCAGGAGGCTGTGGCCAAGGCAACCTCAGTAAATCCAGGCAAGTGATGAAGGAGTTGGGAAGCACAAACGTGAATTCATGTTCTCTCTCTCTTTTTTTTTTTTTAGAGACAGGGTCTTGCTCTGTTGCCCAGGCTGGAGTGCAGTGGTGCGACCTCCGCTCACTGCAACCTCCGCCTCCCAGTTCAAGGGATTCTCGTGCGTCAGCCTCCCAAGCAGCTGGGATGACAGGCATGCACCACCATACCGGCTAATTTTTGTACTTTTTTTTTTTAGTAGAGACAGGGTTTCACCATGTTGGCCAGGCTGGTCTTGAACTCCTGACCTCAAGTGATCCACCTGCCTTGGCCTCCCAAAGTGCTGGGATTACAGGTGTGAGCCACTGTGCCTGGCCCTTAACTTGACTTATTTTTTCAAAAAGTTTTTTTTTTTTAATTTGAGACAGGGGTTTGGCTATGTTGCCCAGGCTGGTCTCCAACTCCTTGCCTCAAGTGATCCTCCCACCTCAGCCTCAGGTTCTTTGAACATAATTATTCCCAAATTACAAGTAGAGATAACTGAATCTCAGAGAGGTTAACTTGCCTAAGGTCACACAGCTATGAAATGGAGAAAGGGTAAGAAAATCCGTCTGACCTTCCTTCAGTTATGCAAAAGATGTCATGTGGTGGGTGGTGTGACCTCAGAAAACCTAGAGGAGTGGGGGTCCAGGCTGGTGGTGGGGTAAAAGACCCAAGTGAACACACCTGTCCTGCTGGGGTAACTACTCACCCCTAGGCCACAGGGCAAGCAAAGTGGCAAGCCGCAAATTGAATTGGGGGGCTGGAGGGGGATGTTTCATTGATGTCACAAATGAGCATGGACCCCATATCTGCAGCAGGGATGGTTCAGGGCCAGTCAAGGAGATGATCGGGGCCCACGGACCCTCAAACGCGTCAGGAAGCCAGGTTGGTCCCTGAGTGTGTGTGATGGGGTGTGTGTTTGTTGGGGGAACTGCCGCCGCCCGCCCCATTAGCAGCACCGTCATTATCCCAGATTTACGTATGTATAATTTTTCTTCCTCCCCCTCCCCAAACCGCTCCAACATCTCCCCTGGCTGCAAACCCGCCTCCCCCAGAAACAGCCACGGAGCCGCCTGCCACCGGGCCATTAGCACGCAGGGAAGGGGGTGTGGAGGGAGGGGGCAGGCAGCAGGGAAGGGGAAAGGGGGAGCCAGGAGAGGACGAGGGAGGCAGGAGCTGTATGGATGGGAGTGAGGCGGCAAGATGGAAGAGAAGAGGGGAAGGAAACAGGGCTTAGAGGAGATGGGGAACCTCTGAGGGTTCTGGGGGGAGGGGGGGACACGTGTCCCAGAGGACCTGGCCGCAGACAGAGGGCCCCAGGGGCAGCCGAGGGTCTCCTGCGCCCTTTCTGGCCAATGCCAGGGCTGAGAATAGGGAGGTGGGGGTCCCATCGGCCGGGACTCTGTGGCTGGGTCTCAGCCCAGAAGTTACTAGAGGGCCTCGCGCCGGAACCCCTCCCCCACTCTGGGAACCTCCGCCTGCGGGGTGGGGTGGGGGTCTCCAGGCTGGGCGCGGGGAGGGCGCCGGCTGCAGAGCTGGGAGCCCGGAGCGATGACTCCATCACCCTCCACTTTTCACTCCTCACCCCCGAACCTGGCCCCCTCCCTTCTTGCGCCCCTCGGGTTGGGGGCGCGGGAGAGCCCCCTCTATTACGAGGGAAATCATTGCCGCATTAATGCGAGGTTTCCAGGCAAGGAGAGGGGATCGCTTCATAAAAGATGCATTGTTCCCATTGCCTGCACGCGGCTCCCTCCCCAGCATCCTGCAAGATGGCGGCGGCCCCAGGGAGGGAGGGGGAGGGGCTGGGGGGAGCGCGGCCCCCTCTCTCCGGCTGGGGAAGGTGGGAAGAGCGGCCGGGATAAAGGAAGGGAAGGGAGAGAGGGAGGGAGGGAGGAGGGGGCTGGGAGGGTGAGAGAGCGGTGGGGAGGCGGGAGCCAGTCAGAGGGAGGAGGGCGGGCTGGGGAGGAGGAGAGAGGGGATGGCTGGGAACTCGGAGGAGGGAAGAGGAACGAAGCCCAAGGAGGTGGCACGGGGGAGGCAGGAGAGCAGGCCGGGGGGTTGGGAGTGGGGGGCGCTGGGGCCTGGAGGGGGGCAGGCGGGGGTGGGGGCAAAAGGGGAGGGAAAGGGGAGAAAAAGGCCGACTGGGCAGCGTGACCAGGAGAGAGGGGAAGACAGTACCCCCTCAACTGTCCCTAGGCTCCAAGCCCCCCTCCAGCGGGGCCCCTTGGTTCTCTCTCTTGGTCCCCGTACACCCTCCCGCCGAGGAGATGATCCAGGGAGCCCCCATTTTCTGGCATGGAGGCCGCTGCACCCCATTGGCTTGCCTCCCTACCCTCCTTCCTGCCTTGGCACCACGGCTGCCATGCTGAGAGGGATCAAGCCTCCTCCATCTGCCTCCCAAGTCAAGGCCTCCAGAGTTGACCCGAAAGAGCTCCTTAGGAAGAAACTGCCGTTTGGGCACACCTGCATCCGTCCTACCTGCTGGGGACGGTTCCAGAAACCAGACAGAGTTTCCAGAGAGGGAAACTGGGGCAGAGGACAGCCGAGAACTCAACACGGGGGGGCAGCGCCCCACCCGTGACCCCAGACCAACCTCAGCCCCCCTCCTCCCCGCCTTTTCCTCCATCCTCCGCGGGCAACCACGAAGAGAATTTCAAGGCCCCCCACTTCCCAGCCTTCCTGCTTCGCCTAGGGGAGCTCCCAAACGCCTGAAAATATCTTTAAATTAGGAAAAAGAGCTAAGCCGCCAGAGTCCTTTGGTCTATTAAAGGAAGAGCAGAGGCCACCGGCGCCCCCACCCCATCCCCAGCCCGGTTTTGCATTTGAAGCCCTGACCGCGGATCTAGCCGGAACAATGACCGGGCCTGCCCAGCCGGCCCCAGCTGAATCCCTTTCAGTGGTCCTGGGCCCCCTGCCAGGTGTGCCAAAATGAGGACGGCTCCCCTCCTAGGCGCTTTTCATCCCCTCGGGGCTGCTGGGGCCTCAGAGGCGCTAATGAAGCGCCTCTTGCCGCCCTCCCTCTAGGAAGAGGGGGCCTGGGGGAGCGGGAGGCAGGGCCACATTGGGGGCAGGCGCCTGGAAATCTGCCTTCCAAGAACTGCCCCAGGAACATGTTTTTGTGCCTTGGTCAGCGGCAGCTCCCTCCCTCCCTGCTCCTCAGGGTCCTCCCACAGGTTCTGGTGACATCCACCTCCTCCAGGCAGCCCTCCCAGCCTGCTGGCATTGGCTCCCTACTGTGTTTCCTTTGGAGTTCGGCAGTGGGGGCAGGCTGCCTGGATTCAGATTGGAGCTCCATTGCTTTCTGGCTGTGGCTCAGTTAGCCACCCTGAGCCTCAGTTTCCCTACCCGTCAAGAGAGGAGAATTATAAAAACCTATGTCATGAGACTGTTGTGAAGGAGTCGCTGTGTGAAGAACTGTGGAAGGTCACACGTGCAAAGTGGGTGCAATAATCCCTAGACTTTCGCCT
Organism: Homo sapiens; assembly: GCF_000001405.40. Lineage (NCBI taxonomy): Eukaryota > Metazoa > Chordata > Mammalia > Primates > Hominidae > Homo > Homo sapiens. Next base: position 32,085,905 of record NC_000017.11, read on the forward strand.
CAGCCACAGGGGCCCCTCACTGCACCCCAGACACACCCAGTGTGTGCCCATTTCTGGGACTTCCCACTGGCTGTTCTCTTTATTTTATTTGTATTTTTTCTTTTGAGGCAGAGTCTTGCTCTGTAGCCCAGGCTGGAGTGCAGTGGTGCAATCTCGGCTCACTGCAACCTCCACCTCCTGGGTTCAAGCAGCTTCCTGAGTAGCTGGGATTACCGGCGCATGCCACCACGCCCAGCTAATTTTTGTATTTTTAGTAGAGACGGGGTTTCACCATGTTGGCCAGGCTGGTCTAGAACTCCTGACCTCAGGTGATCCACCTGCCTCGGTCTCCCAAAGCGCTGGGACTACAGGCATGAGCCACCGCGCCGGCCTTTTTTTTTTTTTTTTTTTTTTTTGAGACGGAGTCTAGCTCTGTCGCTGAGGCTGGAGTGCAGTGGCCTGATCTCGGCTCACTGCAAGCTCCGCCTCCCGGGTTCACGCCATTCTCCTGCCTCGGCCTCCTGAGTAGCTGAGACTGCAGGCGCCCGCCACCATGCCCGGCTAATTTTTTGTATTTTTAGTAGAGACAGGGTTTCACTGTGTTAGCCAGGATGGTCTCAATCTCCTGACCTCGTGATCCGCCCGCCTTGGACTCCCAAAGTGCTGGGATTACAGGCGTGAGCCACCGCCCCCGGCCTTTCTTTTTTCTTAAGATGGAGTCTCACTCTGTCACCCAGGCTAGAGCATAGTGGTGTGATCTCACCGCAACCTCCGCCTCTTGGGTTCAAGCGATTTCTCCCACCTCAGCCTCCCAAGTAGCTGGGACCACAGGCACATGCCACCACACCTGGCTAATTTTTGTGTTTTTATAGAGATGGGGTTTTACCATGTTGGCCAGGCTTGTCTCAAACTCCTGACCTCAGGTGATCCGCCTACCTCTGCCTCCCAAAGTGCTGGGATTACAGGTGTGAGCCACCTTGCCAGGCCCAGTGGTCCCTGTTATTTACCATCATCTGTCTTACAGCCAGCTGACATTGTATTACTTACCTGAACTCAGGATCTTAGGCTCTCGAATCCAAGAACCTGGGTTCAAATCCCAGCTTCACAGTTATTAGCTGTGTGACATTGGGCATGTTACTTAACTTCTCTGAGCCCCTTTCCTCATTTATAAAATGAAGATGGTAATAAAACCCACCTGGAGCCGGGTGCAGTGTCCGGAGTCTGTAATCGCAGCCACTCAGGAGCTCAAGGTAGGAGGGTCCCTTTAGGCCAAGAGTTTGAGACCAGCCTGGGCAACATAGCAAGACCCTGTCTCTACCAAAAAAAAAAAAAAAAAAAAAAAAAGCCAGGCACAATGGCTTACACCTGTAGTCTCTAAAAAAAAAATCCACAAGGCCGGGTGCGGTGGCTCAAGCCTGTAATCCCAGCACTTTGGGAGGCTAAGGTGGGCAGATCACCTGAGGTCACAGGAGTTCGAGACCAGCCTGGAGGGGAGGTTGGAGTGCAGTGGCACAATCTCGGCTCACTGCAACTTCCACCTCTGGAGTTCAAGCCATTCTCGACCCTCAGCCTCCCGATAGCTGGGATCACAGGTGCCTGCCACCACGACCTGCTAATTTTTGTATCGTTAGTAGAGACGGGGTTTCGCCATGTTGGCCAGGCTGGTCTCAAACTCCTGACCTCAAGTGATCCTCCCAAGGTGCTGGGATTATAGGCATGAGCCACTACGCCCAGCCCTACACTTTGGATTTAACTTTGATTCCTGCTCATATGCAGAGTTTCAAACTGCTTAAATGTCTGCAACATTTAGCTGCAAGGAAGAAAGCTTAACACAAAGTCCTCCAGGGAGCAAAAAACTGCATCACTACGCCCAGCAAATTTTTTTGTATTTTCAGTAGGGATGGGGATTCACTATGTTGGCCAAGCTGGTGTTGAACTCCTGACCTCAGGTGATCCGCCCCCCTCAGCTCCTAAAGTTCTGGGATTACAGGCCTGAGCCACCCGCCCAGCAACAAGGCTAATTTGAGGGTCACTTGTTTGATGGCTTTTCTTGCCCATGCCATAGGTCAGAACTAGGATAAGCAGAGCAGGTCATATATAAGCTGTGTAAGTCTCTTGGCCGCTTTGTACCTTAGTTTCCCCATTTGAGAAAAACGAATGGATCTTAAGACACACTTTTCAGAGTTCATAATGGGCTTATACCCAGCTAACCAATAATTGTATGAGTTTTTATACAAAATAGTTGTTTACACGTATTCATCTTCTATTTCACTTACAAGTTGTGTAAAAACTGCATTCCGTGCCAGGCCTGAAATGTTCCAAGGCTCAGTTCTGTAATTAAATTGCAGCCCAGATTTCTACAAAAAAAGACATAAGCCAAAGGAAAAAAAAATTATTTCAGAACATTTATCATTTGCTGTGAGTCTAATTTACATAGGATGGAACATCACCTCAATCCTTTCTCTGTGCACTAAGGCAATCTCACTGTGGAAGATACTGGCTTATGATTTATACTTTAATATTGCACACGTGATACATTAGCTACAAAACAGTGAACGCTCAGTAAATACCTGTGTTAAGTGATCTTCATTTCTCTAGAACAGGATTTCACAACTTCAGTACCATCGACATTTTGGACTATATAACTCTTTGCCGTGGGGGTTTGTCTTATACTCTGCAGGATGTTTAGCAGCATCTCTGGCCTCTGCCCACCAGATGCCAGGAGCACAACCACAGTTTTGTCAAGCAAAAGTGTCTCTGGACATTACCAAATATCACCTGAGTACAAAATCACACCAGTTGAGAACCACTGCTCTCTGATGATTCACTATGATCTGTGTAATAATTCTCACACTAATCTTTGCTAGAGACAAGAAGGACTTGCTATATAATTTTAGTACCTTTCTACTGGTCAAATTTTAATCATATTTCAAAATGAATAGCAAAGAGGTTTATAATTAAGTTTTATAAAAATTCCAAATGTAATAAAGTTATATTTGTAACTTACATATACTGCAAAAATGGTAGTGATTCAAATGTATGTCTTTCAATATATCGTATTTTATTGCAGGATAAATCTCTAGGAAAAATAAAAGGAAAATATTGCCTTGATAAGTTATCAGTGTTGACTGGTATGAATAACAGCAAGAGTTTAGAATAATATTGAATACACATTTTTCATCTCGACTCTAAACATTTGGACCTGTATTTGAACTTTCCAGAGCTCCTAACCCTGCCTGTACCTCTCCTAGAGTCTCACCTTCATACTTTTAATAAACAAAATATACAACTTAATAGACTTTGGAATTAATTTTTCCTGAGAGCAGTAGACTTGATTAGATGCCCTTTTGTAGTCTCATCAAATCCTAGATTATGAGCTCAAAGCTTTTATCTCTATATATAGTTTCTAATATTAAAACGAATAGCCTCACATTTATACACCTTCCTAGTTTAGCTTTGTTTTCCTAAGCCAGTTCAGTATCAGAATAAAAGACATCCTTTCAACAGCATTTGAAAGGAAGTTACCCCTTTACTTAATACATAACTTTGAACTAATATTCAAATCATATTAATACAATTAATTTCTATCATATTAATAGAAATTCATTTTTGGTTTTATATTGCTTTAATATTTCATGAAAGCAATTTCTTCAGTTATACAGAGATGGGGCTTTTCCCTCCCTCTTTACCTGGATGGTGTAACGTTGTCTGGCTGATGTCTCCATCTCTAGTCTCTCCCTTCCTAAACTATCCTCCACACAGTCATCATATAAACTCTCCAGAAGTGGCTTGCAAAGACCAGCACCTCCTGGGAAATTATTGAGGATGCAAATTCTTGGTCCCACTCTAGACCAACTGAATCAATAACTATGAGGACGGAGTCCAGAACTGAGTTCTAACGTGCCCTCTCAATGACTGTGATGCAGATCCATCTTACAGCACTGCTGTGATAACATGGTTCCCCATCATGGCTCCTCAGCTTGGCATTCAAAGCCCTAGAAGATCTGGCTCCAATTTCCTACTCTCCCTCCTTGTAATCTACAGGTACTCATGGCATTCCTCGAATACTTTCCTGTGTTTTGCCCTTCTCCCATTTCCCTTTTGCAAGTTTAGAATATTGTCCCCAAGATGTCTGTCCGATGCTACACAATGGCCCTTCAAAGTCCTATTCAAATGGGATTGTTCTAGTAACAGCTTCCTGGGTCCAAACTGAAGTCATTTTCCCCTCTTCTATGCTTCAGAAACAATTTACCCCTCCTAGTGCCCACATCCATTTCTTCTTCTTAATGTAGTTATTGTTCATCCCATTTTTTCTGAGCATAAACTCCTTGAAAGCATGGACTAGGTCTTGCTCATCTGCATTGCCCACCATGTTTAAAACTGACACATGGAAATAAAGTAAATTAAAATATTTGTAAAACAAATGAATAGCTGGCCGGGCGCAGTGGCTCATGCCTGTAATCCCAGCACTTTGGGAGGCTGAGGCGGGTGGATTACAAGGTCAGGATATGGAGACCATCCTGGCTAACAAGGTGAAACCCCGTCTCTACTAAAAATACAATAAATTAGCTGGGCGTGGCGGCGTGTGCCTGTAGTTCCAGCTACTCGGGAGGCTGAGGCAGGAGAATGGAGTGAACCAGGGAGGCAGAGCTTGCGGTGAGCCGAGATCGCACCACAGCACTCCAGCCTGGGTGACAGAGCAAGATTCCGTCTCAAAAAAAAATAATAAATAAAAATAAATAAATAAATAAATGAAAAGCTGGGGGAGTGAGTAGTAGGAAAATGATTATTTTAAAGCAAATGTAGTTTTATTACTTCATGGCCTCTGTAGCACTTTGGCATCCACTTGAGGGTCTTTACACCCACTTTCCTTAAGCCTTTCACATTTGAAAGAATCTGTCTGCAAAAGAGCATCACTAATAAGGATTAATGACATACACACCTCTGCGGACAGAGGATAAGAATCAAGCTTTCATAGCAATTGAACATAGTATCTTCTTGTCTCTAAACAGACAGAAATACTATGCAGGTATCCCTTTCTTGGTAACAGGGCTGGGGAGATAGTTACTGTGTAATTAGTGAAGAGTTAGGGGCATTTCTGATATGCTTCTTACTGTAAACATTTCTAGCTCTACCACTTAACCATCATTTTAAACATCTGTTTTAATATAACAATTCCTGAAATGAAATCCTTAATACTAGTCTATTCTCTTGGTAGCTTAATATTCTTGATAATATTATTTCTATAATTCAGCTGATTTCAAATATTTAAATGTTAATTTAATGCGATTAAATTACCAAAAAATTCTGGATTAATGATGTTCAAATGAATGTAGGTGGTCTATATTTTCTTCTCCTTTAGGCAACAATCTGAAGTTAACTTTAATTCCTTTCATCCTACTAAACCAACTTTTTCAAATCGTTTTTTGTGAAGGTCAGACAGTAAATATTTTAAGGCTCTGTGGGCCACATATGATCTCTCTCGCATATTTCTCTTTCTTTTTTCTTTCACAGTCCTTTAGAAATGCAAAAACCATTCTTAATAGGCTATTAAAAAATAGACCTTAGGTTAGATTTGATCTACTGGCTGTAGACTGAATAGAAGAAGATGGTATGTAAACCCTTATAAAACAAGGTTCATATGGGTGTCAGTCACTGCTCAGATCTTCTTACCATGTGAAATTTTTTCTGTCTGTATTTTGTCTATACAATTTAAAAACTGAAAATGCATAGGATGTAGCTAATGCTAGAGATGGGCTGAGACCCTATACAAACTTACAGAATTGCAGAATTTTATTGCTGGAAGAAATCTTAGAGATTATCTAATTTGAACCTCTTATTCATTTTAAAGATAATATGACTAAAAACTCAAAAATATGATTAACTAACTTATAAATACTGGAGGGATAGCAGGCCTTCAAATGAATCCTTATGTAATTCAGTCAAATAATTTTCACTGAGAATTCTGGAAAATGAAAAAGTTATTTCTAGGTTAAAATGCAAACTACAACTATTTGCTACACAGGACTATCTCCTGCATGTGGAGGAAAGCTGGGTCATGGTCATTTCAAGATGATGGGATCTGCTCTGGTTTCGTTCAAACCTTTTCTTCCATTTTCCTTTTTGTGTCCATCCCTCTCCACCACCACCACCACACACACAGGCAAGCACACACACACACTTGCAAGCACTCACACATATGCAAGCACAGACACACACAGAAGCACACACACACAGGCAAGCACACACACACATAGGCAAGCACACACACACAGGCAAGCACACACACACACTTGCAAGCACACACACACATAGGCAAGCACACACACACAGGCAAGCACACACACACACTTGCAAGCACACACACATGCAAGCACACACACATGCACACACACAAGCAAGCACACAAACACAAGCACACACAAGCAAGCACACACACACGTGCAAGCACACACACACAAGCACACTGCTCCACTCTTCCCACCAAATTGTATCTTTAATGACTCCTCTCTAGATCATAATATACCTTTCAGAATCCAACTCTGGGTGGCACCAAGATCAGCAGAACCTCCATTTCCTCCTCTCTTTTCCCAAACCTTATTACAAAAGCCCCACATGGGACCATGTCAGGGCTGCAAGTGAAGCCATTCAACTTTTTTCCCCCATCAAAAAAATTTGAGAACTACAATGTGCATAAGGTGCACATAACGTAAATGTTGTTTATATTTAATTTAATTTAATTTAATTTAATTTCTGAGACAGGGTCCATTCTGTTATCCACACTGGTCTCAGACTCCTGGCTCAAGTGATCCTCCTGTCTCTGCCACCCAAAGTGTTGGGATTGCAGACATGAGCCACCTCACCTGGCCAAATATTCAGTTTAATAATTATAAAGCAGATACCCATGTAAACATTGTTACAAAAGATTATTGCTAGCATCCCAGAAGCCCCAGTGTGCCCCTTTCCAACCATATTCCTCTCTCTAACCCTAGTAGGTAACCACTACTCTGACTTTTGTAATGACTTTCTTGCTTTTAAAATGTAGTCCTGGCCTGGCGTGGTGGCTCATGCCTGTAATCCCAGCATTCTGGAAAGCCAAGGCACATGAATCACCTGAGGTCATGAGTTCGAGACCAGCCTGTCCAACATGGTGAAACTCTGTCTCTACTAAAAATAGAAAAATTAGCTGGGCATGGTGGCGGGCACCTGTAATTCCAGCTACCCAGGAGGCTGAGGCAGGAGAATCCCTTGAACCCGGGAGGTGGAACTTGCAGTGAGCCAAGATCGCACCATTGAACTCCAGCCTGGGCAACAAGAACAAAATTCCGTCTCAAAAAATAAATAAAGCAATTCTCCTGCCTCAGCTTCCCAAGTAGATGGGATTATAGGCACCCACCACCATGCCTGGCTAATTTTTGTATTTTCAGTAGAGATGGGGTTTCACCATATTGGCCAGGCTGGTCTCAAACTCCCGACTTCAGGTGATCCACCTGCCTCGAACTCTTGAGGTGCTGGGGTTACAGCTGTGAGCCACTGCACATGGCATTGTTTGATTTTTAATTTAGAACTTATGTATGTCTTGTCTATATAAGTCAAACTAATGATGTGACACAAACTGTTGTGAAAAATGTTACTTTGAATGTAAGCATTTTTTCCAAAATCATTTATGTGTCTCAACTAATTCCTTCTATAAATCAGGAAGAAAACGATAAAACAATTCAACAGGAAAATGAACAAAGGATAGAAAACTCAGAGAAGAAACACAAATGTTCAATAAACATATAAAGATATTTAATTAAATTCATGAGTGATCAGAAAAATTCAAATTTGGATGGAATCCCTTTTATTCATCCATAAATTCAACAAAAAGTTGGCAAATTCCCAACAGTGAAAAGGTGTGGGGAAATGAATGCTGTCATATTCTGCTGACGATACAGTCAGTTGGCACATTTTTGAGGACAATTAAAATTTTATATCTACATAGTCTTCACCCCAACTCTTCCATTTCTAGATATCTATGCTACAGGAATACTTGCCCACGAAGCATAAGCTCAACATTCATCAATGGGGAAATTATTAAATAAACTATGATGCATCCATACTATGGATTATGCAGGAGTTTAAATGAATGGGGTGACCCTCTAAGTCCTAGGAAGGAAATTATGAAGTGAAAGAATATCATATAAGTGATACCATGAAGTGAAAGAATCAAGTTGCAAGATGTTACCCTTTATGAAAAGAAAAAAGATTTTAAAAACCACACAACAAATCTATTTTGCTTTATGTAAATATGTATGTAGGTAAATGGGGAAAAGTCTGGAAGCATGTATACTAAACACACAGTAGCATTACCTCAGGGATGAGGGAGTAGGGCACAAGGAGGGTTTTTGTTATACCTGTTATTGCATTTTTATACATTAAAAATAGAATCACGGGCTGGGGGTGGTGGCTCATGCCTATAATATGAGCACTTTAGGAGGCCAAGGTGGGAGGATCACTTGAGCCCAGGAGCTCAAGACCAGCCTAAGCAGCATAGGAAGAGCCCGTCTCTACAAAAAATACAAAATTAGGTGGGCGCGGTGGCATGCACCTGTGGTCCCAGCTGCTTGGGAGGCTGAGATGGGAGGATCACTTGTGCCTGGGAGGTGAAGGCTGCAGTGAGATGTGATTATGCCACTGCACTCCAGCCCAGGGGACAAAGTAAGACCTTGTCTCTGAAAAAAAAAAAAAAGAGGAAAAAAAAGAATATAACCATGTATTATTTGTATGATAAAAAATAAATTTAAATTGCTTCTTATTTTAGAGAGAGCCTACCAAATTTAATTTTAAAATAACCATAGGATTGCAATCCACAGAGGCTGATTTGGGGCATGGAGGGGAAATATCTTTTCTCAGAGGTATGGACCTCAAAATTCTGGACCAAGAAGGATCTTACAATGCAGTTAGTTTTTTGTCATATTTGGAGAGAATATACTCACAGTTTCTCGGTCCAACTGTATGCTTTCCATACATTTCCATCAATGTATGAAATATAGTTTCCTTGGAAATTTCTGCAAAGAAAGACAGTTTATATCCTTGAATAGGCACGCAAAGAATGAACAGGATAAATAAAAGAATCATGGCAATCTTGTCGGGGATATTCAGAAACAGAAAATAACACCTGCTTTCTCATTTCCAGAGCTATCAGCTTCCCAGTTTGCACACTTCATCAAGAAATAATGCGGGGCCACTGGCACAAATGATGAGGCATCTCCCGGAAGCTTAACTTCCTATCCATCCCATCTCTTGGACAGACGATGCCAGTTAATTACTTTGAATGTAAGTATTTTATCCAAAAGCACTTATGTGTCTAAACAAACTCCTACAAATCAACACAAAAATGGTAAATAATTCAACAGAAAAATGGGCATAAGCTTATCTTTATCGATAAATAAGTAGAAAGAAACCCTATGCCAGGTAACACCAAAGCTTTGCCCTCTGTTGAAACATCCTAGGCTTTTTCTTTCCACTCTTATTACAACTGATCTGATTTAGCCCCTTCACACTTTACTCCTACATTTTGCTAGACCTTTCTATTTTGTCTCCCTGAAATAAGCTTTTCCTTTTGGGCACTCTACGTATGGATTCTAAAATAATCCTTTGCATGTCTATACTTGAACATAAAGCAAAAAAAAACAAAATAAAATAAAATAATCTTCCTGTTTTAATCATTTAATCTCTCTTGCTTGGAAACTTTCAATGGCTTTCCATACCTCATTGTGTACTCTTTAAGACCCAAGTAAACTTTTAGCTTATCCATGTAGCTTTCCCTGATCTCCACACCTCAAGGACCACAGATTCTGGTAAATTCTAGCACCGATGGTATGCATTATCTTTCAGGAATTAATTATATACACCGCCCTTTTTATGCCTATTCTCTTTCTTCCCTCCTATCATCTTCATGTTCTGCGGACAATAGCATACTTGGTCCTGGGTTTGTCACAAAATGAGTGCTACATATAAAAAGCCAGGGACAAAGAGGAGTTCTGGACATAACTAAAGGACAGAGTAATCATGTTAACAGCCAACACTCCTACATATGCTAGGCACTGATGAAGTGTTCCATATATTCACTCACCTAAATTTCACAACAATCCTATGAAATGGTAACTAGCATAATCCCCAGTTTAAAAGGAGGAAATTGAGTCACAGAGCAGAATAACTTGCTCTGGATCACCAAGCTAATAAACAGACCTGGGTTCAAACCCAGGCAGCCTGGCTCCAGAATCAATTCTTAACCACTTAGAGCATCATCACTGAGATCGGGAGAGTGACAGGCTGCTGTAAAGAGGGTGAAGCGGGCCAGGCACGGTGGCTCACGCCTGTAATCCCAGCACTTTGGGAGGCTAAAGTGGGTGGATCGCCTGAGGTCAGGAGTTCAAGACCAGCCTGACCAACATGGAGAAACCCCGTCTCTATTAAAAACACAAAAAATTAGCCAGGTGTGGTGGCGCATGCCTGTAATCTCAGCAACTCAGGAGGCTGAGGCAGGAGAATCGCTTGAACCCGGGAGATGGAGGTTGCGGCGAGCCGAGATCGCGCCACTGCACTCCAGCCTGGGTGACAAGAGCAAAACTCCGTCTCAATAAATAATTAAAATAAAATAATTCTAAATACATTCGGCTCATCATATTGTTACATTGATGATCTTAAAGTTGATTGAGATGTAGCTGAAACTGGCTTCCACAAAGTACTCTCATGTGGCTCTGAATTTTGAGGTCATCTTTCTCTGTATCAAGTTTTTTAGATGTCCTTTCTCAGAGTAAATCAAGTTTGAGTAAGACCTGCAGGGATCTCTTGTGAGCACATATATTGAGTTTTAGTGCATAAGCTTTGTTTTAACTTTTCACTGGGTAGATGCAGCTGTCAGATAAGTGGCATTATGTCTAACATATAATGTATTTCCCCCCATTTTTAAAGAGAAGAAGATACAGAAAATGAAAATGAAAATAAAATTTGGTACTACAGTGCAAAGGTTCAGCTTGCAGAATTAATTGACTGTCTAGACAAAGATTATTGGGAAGCAGAACTCTGCAAAATTCTGGAAGAAATGCATGAAGAAATCCACCGACACATGGACATAACTGAAGACCTGACCGATAAGGCTCGGGGCAGTATCAAATCCTTTCTGGCAACAGCTAATGGCAAGAGGGGCATTTTCTCATTTTATTTTTGTTAAGTCTGAGCTAAACTGTTGGTATGAAATCACTGCAAAATTTAAAAATAGATTAAAATTTTCTTTTCTTTCTTTTTTTTTTTTTTGATTTGGAGTCTCGCTCTGTCGCCCAGGCTGGAGCGCAGTGGCACAATCTTGGCTCACTGCAACCTCTGCCTCCCAGGTTCACGCCATTCTCCTGCCTCAGCCTCCCGAGAAGCTGGGACTACAGGTGCCCACCGCCACCACGCCCGGCTAAATTTTTGTATTTTTAGTAGAAACGGGGTTTCACCAAGTTAGCCAGGATGGTCTCGATCTCCTGACCTCGTGATCCAACCGCCTTGGCCTCCCAAAGTGCTGGGATTACAGGCTTGAGCCATCGTGTCTGGCCAAAAATAGATTAAAATTTTCAAGTACAGTCATGCATTGTTTAATGATGGGGATACATTCTGAAAAATGTGTCATTTGGCGATGTCCCAATTGTGTGAACATCATAGAGTACACTTATACAAACCTAGATGGTATGGTTTCCTATACACCTAGGTTATATGGCATAGCCTATTGCTGCTAGGCTGCAAACCTGTATGTCCTGTGACTGTACTGAATCCCGTGATCAGCTGTAGCACAACGGTAGGTATTTGTGTATCTAACCATATCTAAACATTTAAAAAGGTACTACATAAAATCTTATGGGATCACCGTCATGTATGTGGTTCCTCGTGGACTGAAACATTGTGCAGTGTATGGCTGTGTGTATATTTTACTTTAGTTCTCCATATTTCATTTTCCGAAGAGAACCTTGTTCATTCCCACATAAATTAGGGATGCTATACATTTTAGTGTTTTATTTCTGCCTTGGGTCATTACTAATATTCCCCAAAATGTTAGTTTTTTTCTTTAATTCAAGTATCTTTTTAAACTTTTTTGGCATTCCAGCTTTTAAGAAATAATATTTTTTGAACTTTTTGCCTTTTTAAAAAAATAAAACTTTAAATTTTAGAATAATTTTAGATTTGTACAAAAGTTGCAAAGATAGTAGAGGGTTTCCGTATATCCTGTACTTGGTTGCCCCAGTTATTAACATCTTAGATTAGTGTGGGATATTTGTTACAACTAATGGGCCAGTGTTGACACACTGTTATTAACTCAAGTCCATACTTTACTCAGATTTCCTTAGTTTTTACCTGATGTCTTTTTTCTGCCTCATGATCCTATACCACATGATATTTAGTCATCATGTTTTCCTCTAGACTGTCGGTTTCTCAGACTTTCCTTGTTTTTGATGGCCTTGACAGTTTGGAGGAGTACTGGTTAGGTATGTTGTAGAAAGCCCTCCTTATGGGTTTTTCTCATGGTTAGCCTAGGTTTTTGCATTTTGGGGAGGAAGACCACAGAGGTGATGTGCAGTTCTCGTCTTATCAAGAGTGCATGCTGTCGTCGTGACTTATCACTGATGATGTTAACCTTGGTCCTCTGGGTGAGGCAGTGTTTGTCAGGTTTCCCTACATCCTCCCCCATCTCCTCAAACCCCCAATACTGTAAGTCACTGTAAACAGCCACACTTAGTGGGTGGGGAGTTATGTTCTACCTTCCTGAAGGGGCAATATCTACATAAATTATTTGGATTTTTTCTGCACAGGAGATTTGTTTATTCGTTTATTTTTTCAGACATTTATTTCTATGAGTATATATTCATGGATATTTATTTTATATTCATTGGGTTATAACTGGTTATTTATTAGGTTATAATTCAATGTCACCTTATTTATTTTGTTACTCAACTCTGCTTTTCTTTTTATTTAAGTTTTAAAAACATACATACCTTAAAAGTTTAAATAGTATAAAAAGGTATGCTGTGAAAAATGAATCTCTCTCCTTCATAATCTCCAATCTGACCTCCTTTCTCCAGAGGCAATCATTATTGCTATTTTTTCATCCTGCTAGATGTATTCTGTGCATGTTTAATAAATACCACCTGTGTTTTCTAATATAGCCATCCCTCAGTATTCTCAGGGATTGCTTCCTGAGCCCTCTGCAGATAGCAAAATCTGTGGATGCCCAAATCCTGCAGTCAGCCCTATGGAACCTGCTGATATGAAAAGTTGGCATTCCACATCCAAGAGTTCTGCATCTTGAGAATACTGTATTTTCAATCTGAGGTTGATTGAATCCAAGGATGCGGAACCTTTGGCCACAGAGGGCCAACTGCAGTGCCTTTTAAGTTTTAACTTAGATAAAATTGTTAGGTAAGATTCTGCAAGTACACTTTTAAGTGCCTGGTTCTGAGTTCTGCTCTTCTGCATACATTATCTGCCATACATATAATCCTATTAATTTTCCCCATTCTCCATTTGCTTAAAAATAGAATGTTTATATTTAATTAAGACACCCAGATAGCTGCATCCAAGCTTGTTCTCACATATTCTGCATCAATATTCCTGTGAATTCGTGCATATTTTTGGAGAATGATAGGCTCTCACATATAAATAGTGTTGGGCACAAATATACTTCATCTGCAGAAAAAAGCATTCTTAGTTACTGTGAATTATATTTATTCATATCTGGTAGTTGGAAGTATTTCTCTATTAGATCTGTTTAGAAAAATGTGTAATTTTTTTATTAGAAAGGTTTTAGTGTTCAGGAGTTAGGATCAGTAATTGCAATAACACAATCACGGTCTTACTCTTTCCTCCATATATATCAAATCATAGGAAATTTTATTAATTTCAGCCAGCTTACTCCCCCCCTTCATTTCCTTTTATGAATCATGGCATTAAAATAGACAAATCCCTTTTTGCTCTCTCGTGTTTTGGTACAATAACAGATAACAATCTTTAGTCCCCTAAAAGGCAATGTGAGATATGATTTTATAAAGTATGTTGAATTAGAAATGTTTCCCAGAGTAAAAAATAAAAATAGAAAAAAAAAAACAAAAAACAATCAGAAGAATAAATATTTTCAAGGGCAAGCTTGTCTGTGTATAAAATTATATATACAGTATAATCATAATTAAAGAACAAAATCAAAACAGGAATGGATAATCAAAAGTGTTAAGTGGTCTGATTTGGGGCAATGTAAAAAACTAAAAATGTTAATATAGGGCAATTGGAAAATTTCATTATGAATTTTCATGTGATAGAACACTACGTATTGGAGAATTAAGTAAAGTACCATGCAAAAACTGTGCCTGGGTCATTGAGCTACTTAAATTCTCTTCCTCTAAATAACCAACTGGATCAGCTTTTATCGTTGAAAAATAACCAATTAGCATAGTAGAATTGTAGTTGATTTCCATTTCATATTTTTGGCATTTCCTACAATGAGCATGTTCTATTTAAGTATAATTCAGCATGTAATGTATGTTTAAAAATTAGTTAAACCTTTTGTAGTAATGGAGAACAACAAAGAGAGCATTGAGCTTTAGGCCACAATGTGTTCTTAGAAAGTTAGATGACTACCGCTGGGCACGGTGGCTCACGCCTGTAATCCCGGCACTTTAGGAGGCCGAGGCGGGCAGATCACCTGAGGTCAGGAGTGAGACCAGCCTGGCCACATGGCGAAACCCTGTCTCTACTAAAAATACAAAAATTAGCCAGGCATGATGGTGTGTGCCTGTAGTCCCAGCTACTCAGGGGGCTGAGGCAGGAGAATTGCTTAAATCTGGGAGGTGGAGGTTGCAGTGAACTGAGATCGTGCCAATGTACTCCAGCCTGGGTGACAAAGCAGGACCCCCATCTCAAAAACGAAAACAAAACCCCCAAAAAACAGATAGAGCTGAGATTTGAACCCAGAAAGTCTGATACATGAGTCCGCCCACTTACAATTGCTACATTCTACTGCTTTTCTGAAGAAACTTGAGAGGTAAAGCAACTTGTCCCTTGCCAGTGAATGAATGATGCAATGGGGAATTGAACCCAGATCTGCAAACCCAGCAGTCCTTGCTGCTTCCCTTATACTGAGTGCTGCTGGCCTCAAAGTGTTTCTTGTTCTGTGTTTCTACGTCCACGCTTACAGGGAAGCATGGGTGCAGAAATCACCAGGCCAGTCAGGGAGGCTGGGACGGGTGCTGACCCTAGCCCTGGAGCACTCTCCCTGGCTGCTCCCTGTAGTCTTGCTTCCTCTTGTGAAGTCTATGTGCCAGCCAAGACCCAGCCTGTGAGGCCTGACCTGATCTCTGCCCCCTGTCTGTTCCCCCAGCAAGACTCCCTGAGGAAAAGAATAGGGGATCACGTCTTAGCCATCAGAGCATCGAAGTGCCCAGGCCAAGGTTGGCCACATAGAGGGAGGGCAGGTGGCAAATGTTTGCAGGATGAGTGAATAAAAGGAAAACTGATAGCAAAGAATGGAACTACCAGGCACGATTCCAGGGCTGGGACTAAATATTTACCTTGCCTACTGGGCAAAGATAAGCCTGGTTTTCCAGGCTCTATTTATGCCAGCTTTCCTTCAGGGGCTGACACAGTCAACCTGGTATCGTTAGTTTGAACAGCGGTTTCCACATGTGGAGTCTGGGTGTATGAGGTGCTTGATCCTCAGCTTCTGCCATTCCCTAGCTCCATGTGTCTTCCCCAGGGAATCCGCTTTCCAGTCCTCGAGCCCTAGGAGGCTTTGCACCTCCATTCTGCTGCCTGGTCTGTCCCCGGTCTCCATGAGGCTATTGAATTGGGGTTCATTCTACTCTAGATGAAGCTGTGTATCCTTGTTTAGCCCCTGGGGTCAAGCCACATCAGGAGCTGCTTGCAACATGACAGGACAGACTTGCCTGGGTCTACTGCCTCAGTGGCCTCCTGGGAGACACCTCTCTTAATGGAATAGGGTTGGGTATGACAAGCTGGGTCCAAGTGAAGCTTCAGAGATGTAGAGATGTAGGGGAGGAGGGACTCTTGAGTTCAGTGTGGCAGCCATCACTCAGCCTCTGGGACTCACACCAGGGGCATAAGGAGAATGGAAGCCACACGTGAAAAAGGGAAGGGTGATTTCTTTCTTTCTTTCTTTTTGGGGAGCGTGATTTCTTTTTTTTTTTTTTTTTGGTTGGGGGGAGGTGGGAAGGGTGATTTTTTTTTTGGTGGGGGAGGTGGGGAAGGGTGATTTCTTTTTTTTTTTTTTTTTTGGTAGGGGGAGGTGGGGAAGGTGTTTTTGTGGAAATACGAACAGCTCTGCTTCAGGAAGGCCTTTGTGGAGTGTGAAGGGAGCAGTGAACAACTCTGGCCCCTGGTGTCCAGCCTGGGAGGCGATGCCTAGAGGCAGTGGTCATGTTGGGCGAGGGGTGCCCAGAAGATCAGGCGGTCCTGCTCAGAGGACACCACGTGGTGGCTGAAAGGACTAGTTTAAGAGCACATTTGAGATACCCTCTGGAGGCTGCCATCAGTACTTAGAGGGAGAGTGGGTCTTTGCAGGGGGATAAGGGAGAACCAATGAAACCTGAATAATTACAGCAAGTGAACTTTCACTGAGCCTGAGGCTGCTGTGACCAGGAAAACACAGCCAGCATAGAAGCAGATTCACAGCTGGGCGTGGTGGCTCGTGCCTGTAATCCCAGCAGTTTGGGAGGCCAAGGCGGGCAGATCACCTGAAGTCAGGAGTTTGAGGCCAGCCTGGCCAATGTGATGAAACCCCATCTCTACTAAGAATACAAAAATCAGCTGGGTGTGGTGGTGCATGCCTGTAATTCCAGCTACTTAGGAGGCTGAGGCAGGAGAATCACTTGAGCCTGGGAGACGGAAATTGCAGTGAGTTGAGATCACATCACTGCACTCCAGCCTGAGCAACAGAGAGAAACTCCCTCTGTCTAAAAAAAAAAAAAAAAAAAAAAAAAAAGCAGCAGCAGCAGATTCACGGAGACACACTGCTTGGAATTTGGTGATGTTCAGGGAGTGGGGCTGGAGCTGGCCTATGCTCCAGACAGCCATAAACTATCAACATAAACACAAGTACACCTAAGCCTCTGCAGGCACGGTGCTGATGCTGCCCCCTCCCAATGGGGTATCATCCGGGTGGATACAGTCCCTGGATGCTGACATTTTTCTTTTCTTTTTTTGTTTTTGTTTTTTTTTTTGTTTTTTTTGAGACAGAGTCTCACTCTGTCACCAGGCTGGAGTGCAGTGGCACGATCTCAGCTCACTGCAACCTCTGCCTCCTGGGTTCAAGCAATTCTCCTGCCTCAACCTCCCAAGTAGCTGGGACTAGAGGTGTGCGCTACCATGCCCAACTGATTTTTTTGTATTTTTAGTAGAGACAGGGTTTCACCATGTTAGCCAGGATGGTCTCAATCTCCTGACCTCATGATCTGCCTGCCTCAGCCTCCCAAAATGCTGAGATTACAGGCATGAGCCACCATGCCCGGTCAATGCGGACATTTTTCAAGTCAGCTATGGAGTTTGAATTTTCCTCCAAATTTACACTGGCTATTTCCCCAGTTCAAATTAGGCCTGACTGGTTTCTCTTTCTTTTTTTCTGAATACATATCAGTTTTGGATTGAGGCCTAGCATTTCCACCACCATCCAGAGGAGAGATGAGAAAACCAGAGCTGGGCTCACAATCCCAGGGGAAAAAACAATGGGCTGCTCTGGAATGCTGCAGAATCAGGGTTGAATGAATGCAGGAGAGGGGCAGGCAGCCAGCGGGCATGCCGGCCGCGTGACCAGCCTGCCATGGTATCCAGATGGACATGTGGTATTTGGTTTAAAGCCCACGCTACTGGGGCATAGTCAGCTGGGGATAAATGATCAGACTTAATTGTTCTCTCTTTTCCCAGGAAAGGCCAGGAAGGAAAAGGCCCCAGTTTAAGGGAGAAGGCATTGTCCTCAGTGAGTCTTCACCCACTACTGACTGAAGCATAGTCAGGTAGCCCAGTCTGGCAAGGGGCCGGTGGGGAGCATGAGATTCTCATATTCTCATGGCTGCTGTGGCTGGTGGCCACCTTCACAACAATAGCTCACTGGACCCCTGTCCTTCCCATCCCGCCTCTGAAATGATCACATCTGTGTTAAATCTCTGATAAGATACTATCAGGCACTCCAAAGTCCAGTTTGGAACTAGAGTCCTTGCTTGACTCAATCCAGAGTCCTTTCTCCTTCCCTGGTCCCATCTCCCCATTTACTCCCCCCAAATTCTTCTCTCTGTCCAGCTGCTAAGGTCCCTGGGCCACCAGAGGCAAATAGAATAAACCTAGGACATCACTCTCGATCGAGAGGCCTGCATGACTCTTTATTTGCACCAGAGTTTCTCATCTTCCAGGAACAAGAGGAGGAGCTGCTTTGAGACCCACTTCCTCTCCTTACATAACAACACACTGCATTTGCACAAGTGTCCTTGGTTGTAAAGGGTTCCACATTCATTTTCTCATTCAGGGCTTATTACAAGCCTCTAAGGTAGCTAGGGTCATGGTGACCCTGATCCTTTGTCAAAGATGAGCCCACTGAGGCTCAGGGTGGCTACCGTTGTGCCAGGAGTTGCTAATTGGTGGATCACAGACTCCAGTTCAGGGGGAGGCAGGGTGGTAAAGAAGCAGCTAGATGAACCTGGGTTTGAATCCAGCTCAGAAATGTTCCATCTGTGTGACAGCACAGGCAAGTGACTTAATCTGATTGAGCCTCAGCTTTCTCATCTAGAAAAAGGAGTGATCATGCATCCCTCATAGAGCTGTGGTGAGCATTTACAAACCATGAGTGAAACATGCATAGCACGGCATTTGGCAGATAGAAGTCCAGTACATGTCTAAGGATTAGTACTGATTGATTTTTATAATAGTCACCTGGATGATCTCCAATATGTATATATCAATGTATTTTTAGATCAAAATGGAAATTCAAAAATTTAATAATTTCTGACTATACCCCGAGACTCTGTGGATCTCATCTTTTTATTTTATTTTATTTTTTTGAGATGGAGTCTCGCTCTGTTGCCCAAGCTGGAGTGCAGTTGTGCGGTCTCGGCTCACTGCAACCTCCACCTCCTGGGTTCAAGTGATTCTCCTGCCTCAGCCTCCCAAAGAGCTGGGATTACCGGCATGCGCCGCCACGCCCGGCTAATTTTTGTATTTTTAGTAGAGAAGGGGTTTTACCATGTTGGCCAGGCCGGTCTCGAACTCCGGACCACAGGTGATCCGCCCGCCTTGGCCTCCCAAAGGGCTGGGATTACAGGCATGGGCCACTGCACCCGGCCGGATCTCATCTTAGGAAAAGCTAGTGTGGTGTAGGAAGAGGGTTAAGTTCCAGTGTGACCTGTGCACACCTGAAGGCACAATCCACACCCACCCACCCTCCACCTCTCTGACCATAACTCTTTTGACTCCCACTTCTTGTCCTCTTTGGGTCTCCCTGAGACCCACTGGCTACCCACCCCTTCAATGTCACCAGGTCCACTCAGGGCCTCAGGGCCCTTGCATTTGCTGTTTCTTTTTCATAAAAGACCCTTTCCTCAGGTATCTGCACATCTCTCTCATTTCCTTCAGGTCTTTATTCAAATTCCATCTTTAGTGAGTCCTTCTCAGGCCATCCTTCCTAAAATTTCAACCTTTTCTGCAAGTCATTCCCAAATCCCAACTCTGAACATTATCCTTCCTCCTGTCAGTTTTTCTAAGTACTTTTCTTTCTTTCTTTCTTTCTTTTTTTTTTTTTTTTGATGGAGTCTTACTCTGTTGCCCAGGCTGGAGTCCAGTGGTGCAATCTCAGCTCACTGTAACCTCTGCCTCCTGGGTTCAAGCAATTCTCCTGCATCAGCCTCCTAAGTAGCTGGGATTATAGGTGCCCACTATGATGCCCAGCTAATTTTTTGTATTTTTAGTAGAGACACAGTTTCACCATGTTGGCAAGGCTGGTCTTGAACTCCTGACCTCAGGTGATCCACCATCCTCAGCCTCCCAAAGTGTTGGGATATTAGGCATGAGCCATTGCGCCCGGCTGGACCAGCAGTTTAAATTTGATTTCCTAGCGAGCCTACACAGCATACTTCCTTGGGTGGTCTAGTGCTGTCCATTGTCTTATGCAAATAAATTTTCTTTATAAAATCCTAGAAAGCAATTATTATTCTTAATAAACCATACTAATGTGTCCTTAACTGTTAAAAATTAATACTTCATATATCATTTTCACTTATCAGATATATAACAGATTTTTTTTCCAAATCAGTACTCTGTCACAGATTCAGTAATAGGCAAAGGAAACTAAGTTGGATTAATCTTGAAAGAAGTCATTCTAAAAATCAATGTGGTGCTCAACACATCAAATCAAAATAAGTCTGTAAGAATTCTTACTTGTGAATTGCTTGTGGTTCCTCCAGAGCCTGAGGTATTGGGCCTGCCTGTGACTGTTGCTGTCCTGGGCTGGAATGAAGTAAAGGTTTGCTGACTGGTGCCTATACTTGGTGGAATGATACCCAGGACTTTCTGATGTACTTGAACAATGCCTTAAAAAAAGATGAAGCCATAATTAAAAACTGTCACTTTATTGGAAAGCATTACGTGGTGCTCCATTGCTGAGAAGAAACTACGTGTGGCAGGGTTTTATAGTGGGCTACACAGAATGTGAGATCCGAGGTCTGAAATCAGTGAAACGGAGATGAGAAATAATGCCAACAGTATGATCTGGCAAATGTGAATTAAAACTCTTCACATTTCCCTTACCTCCTTGTGTTGCTGGCACATTTACAGTGACAGTCTTGCTGTTTGCAGGAAGTGGCAGTTTGGTAATTACTTTTCCTGCCATAGTGACTGGATTGCCTGTAATTTGGAACGTCTGACCTGTGCTGGCAATGGTTGTAGCAGATGCCGCAGCTGTGCTGGTGGCTAATGGGGTATAAGACATTTAATAAGCTTCAGATTTAAAATAACCAGCAACGTAGTGACTTCTAGGAAAGGGCACCAATGCATGAAATGTGGCTCATTTTGTATTTTTAATAAAAACATTCCTCTCCACTCAAAGTGAACTACGTAAATGTTGAAAGTGAAATCATGTAAGAGACGAGTTTGCTAATGTAATATTATGAACATTATCTGTAACAAACCATTATAGCTTGTTTGCTCAATCAGCTGCAAAAGAAAAACAATCTTCTACAAAAAAGTTTCATTTCAGTAGCTAAAGGGTTGAAAATTCTTTTTCCTGAACAAAAGTAATCTTTTACTTAATCATAGTTGTATACCTGAATCTGACTGGCCTTGCTTAACACACATAGCAAAGGTTTGATGAAAGTTCTCATTTTGTTGGAATGCTACTGTAGCTGGAGATCCAACTTTAGTAGTTAGTACCATTTTGGTTCCAGTTGTAACTGAGCCACTTATGGGGGCCACCATAACCTTCTGTGCTGGAGAGATGGTACTGGTTGCACTGTTGGTTGAGGAAGTGGTGGAAGTTGCAATCACTGTCAGCTTCTGCTGCTTTAATCATTTCTAAAAAAGCGAGGGAGAGGAAACATGAATCAAAATAGTTCAAAATAAAAACAATACCATTCTACAAGAAGTCTGTCCACAATTTCTCTCACCTTAAGAAACTACACTATATTTCTGAAATATTTTACTTCCAAAAAGAATATATGCCCGTATAAATGTACCTGAGTTTATGGCTGGCCTCAGTGGCTCACGCCTGTAATCCTAGTACTCTGGGAGGCTGAGATGGGCAGATCACCTGAGGTCAGGAGTTTGAGACCAGCCTGGCCAACATGGTGAAACCCTGTCTCTACTAAAAATAAAAAAATTAGCCGAGCATTGTGGCTCATAACTGTAATCCTAACTACTTGGGAGGCTGAGGCAGAAGAATTGCTTGAACCTGGGCGGCAGAGGTTGCAGTGAGCTGAGGTCATGCCACTGCACCCCAGCCTGGGTGACAGAGTGACTCCATCTCTTAAAAAAAAAAAGATTTACCTGAATTTAATTTCTTGATAAAGGCCATATATATATTTTTAATTCCTCCAAGGTACCTATCTATGAAGGCAGTATTTTTATGTCTCTGTATCACATATATTACATTAAAAATACTAAGTTGTTCATAGCAGAAAATTTAAAATGATCAAGTTTTTCTGGCTTGTACAAATATTCAAGGTTTCAGACTGAAAGCAACAGAGATGTGGGTAATCTACTGGAGACAGGAACACCATGCTGCCCAGCAGTGAGATTCAGAGCTGAGAACAAATGGAGCTGCGAAAGGTTTCTGTTTCACTGTAATGCTAATTTTTCCAACTATAGAAAGCATGTCAATAGTTAATGACACTATTATTAAAGTTGGCAAACCTGCAATCAAGAAAGCTGAAAATTATAAAATAGTTTTCCTAGACTTCTTATATTATTCCTTCAAATATTTTTACAGAAAAAATAATTTATACTATACAGAGTAGTATAATATGATCTTTAAAACTACAGTTATTAAAGACACTCTGTATATCCTTTATTATAGATTGCTAAACTTTTCTAACAGCTTATCAACAGTGGTGTGATGAGTAACAGTATAACCTTACACATGTAAAAACAACAGGTGAAATTTACAGCAAACCTGGTGGCAGATGCTTTACCTTCAGTATCTTATAAGCTGAGGAAATGGAGATTCAGAAAGGTTGTGTAACCGGCCCAAGGCCACAGAGCTAGTTAAGGGTGATGCTGGGATGCCTGCTAAAATCAAATTCCAATTCTGCGCTATCTCCTGCCTTTGCAAAGTGCTCACCTATGACATCACATCGAATTTTTTTAGGACTACTTTTGTACCTATCTTATATACCTGAATATAATATAAAGTACATTACACAATTCCTCATTCTTCAGAAGAAAAAGAGTTTAGTTTTCAACACTTAGAGATCTCACCTGATTAAATCAGTTAAAAAAAAAAGAAAAAAGAAAAGAAAGAGGGAGGCAAAGGTGTGTGTGGTAGTGCATCTATAGCTCCAGCTACTCAAGAGGCTGAGACCAGAAGATCACCTTAAGCCTGGGAATTCAAAGTTGCAATGAGCTATGAGTGCACCACTATACTCCAGCCTCAGCAATAGAGCAAGACCCTGTCTCAAAAAAAAAAAAAAAAAAAAAAAAAAGGAGGCAAAGAAATAGAACAGATATTTAGTAGTTATTTACTGGAGGATATGCCTTCAAAGTTGAAGTGTTAGCTATCTTCGTAAAAAAGAATTTTAAATAAATTTTTAAAAGTAATATATTAGGGCCGAATGCAGTGGTGCTTGCCTGTAAACCCAGCACTTTGGGAGGCCTAGGTGGGCAGATCACTTGAGCTCAGGAGTTCAAGACTAGCCTGGGCAATATGGCAAAACTTCCATCTCTACAAAAAATACAAAAATTAGCTGGGCATGGTGGTGCATGCCTGTAGTCCCAGTTACTTGGGAAGCTGAGATGGGTGGATTGCTTGAGCCCACGAGATTGAGAATGTAGTGATCCGTGATCATGCCACTGCATACCAGCAGCATGGGCAACAGAGTTAGATCCTGTCTCAAAAAAAAAAAAAGTTACACTGCAGAAATTAGAAAACACAACAATAAAATAAAAAACAAAACAACTAGCCGGTTGTTATAGATATTTGGGTTTAGTAATGAATTTCCTGTGACAGATAGCATCATACGTAGAATCCAAACGTGCTATCATCTCAAACTTTGATGTAAGTGAAGGACCTATGGTAAACTGAAAGATACATAACAATTTGAAAAAATGTTTTATAAAATGCGAGGGAAGGCCGGGCGCGGTGGCTCACGCCTGTAATCCCAGCACTTTGGGAGGCCGAGGCGGGTGGATCACGAGGTCAGGAGATCGAGACCATCCTGGCTAACACGGTGAAACCCCGTCTCTACTAAAAATACAAAAAATTAGCCGGGCGAGGTGGCGGGCGCCTGTAGTCCCAGCTACTCGGGAGGCTGAGGCAGGAGAATGGCGTGAACCCCAGGGGGCGGAGCCTGCAGTGAGCCGAGATTGCGCCACTGCACTCCAGCCTGGGCGACAGCGAGACTCCGTCTCAAAAAAAAAAAAAAAAAAAAAAAAAAAATGCGAGGGAAAAGTAGTTTGAAACAAATAATTTGGTTTATATGTGATTTTTAGATAGTTATGTATAACTATGTTAATAATATTGTATATAGTATATCTATTCATCTGTATCTTCAATGTTTATATACTGAAGTTGGTAAAAACTTTTTTTACAACAAAATTAGTCACTTTTATTTAAAAGAAACATTACAAATAAGTGTGCAAAATTAAACATCATGATTAAATACACATAAAAGGAACATGCATACTTTACATCAAAATCCACATACAGAGTTAGTTGATTACATGACAGTAACAGTAAAGGAACTGAAGGAACTGGCAAAACCGAGAACTCGCTGCTATGCAGATTTTATATGTTTGCAATCTGAAATCAAAACCATAAAATAGGGTTTCTTTAACGGGAATTTAAGAAAATTAAATATATATCCCAAATAGCTGACAATGTAGAGCCCATAACCTATTTTAGTTACCAAATGTTAAAAAAAGTTATGTGCCTTTCCTTCCTAAAATGTTAGTGTGTAGCTATTCTTACAAATGAGGGGAGGGGAAGACAGTGGACTTGGGGGCTTGGAGGCCAGACCGAGGCATTTCCCTCTACACCAGCGGGAACTGCAGCGGGCACTACAGCGGGCCCTCCCAGATCCTGCTCTGCCAGACGACCCTGAAGTTAAAGGATGTTTTCCCCCATAACGAATGTTCAAAGTCCGTGCGTCACTCTGATGTTCCCTACACATAACCGGGAAACAGATTTAACCCAGAATGTAACCAGGAGACCCCGCGTCCCCGCCCCGCACACGCCTGAGGTCTGACAGCTCGGCTTCTACGGTGGCCTGGTGTCCATCTCATTCTAATGGCCCCAACAGAGACGGGGATGCCACGCAAGGGCACAGACGACATTACGGGCACAGATGACCACATTGCAGGTACGGAGAAGACCACAGGCTGGGCTCACACAAGGGGAAACATTCACGCTGTGCTCTCTCTACAGGGTCAGGTCGTTTTTCTTCATGTTCGGACGGGAGAAGGAATTCCTTTCTCCTTTTCTAAGGCAAGCTGCTGGTGTTCTATTTAAATCTGCTTATAATGTAAGAACTTACATTTGCACACTTGTTCACTTCCCCGCTGCAGACTCAGTAAGAACAATGGAATCTGTTGCAAAAACAAACTTGAACTCATCCACCCTCTCAGCCCAGTTCCCAGGTCCGTATGGAGCCCCCGTCAGCGTGAGGATGCGGTGGAGCCACTGAAGCTAACATCACAGCTGAACTCATGGGAACAGCCAGCGGCCACTCAAGCTGGTCACAGCACTGAGTACCTACGGTGCCTTGATGATGATTCTCTCTTTAATACTGGAAATGGGAGTCCTTAGGAAAGCAGACAACCACCTAAGGCTTCGAGACCAAGGTCCCTGGGCAGCCCCTCCAGCCCGTGGCCCAGGAGGCCCCTGGGGCTCTGGCACCAGCCCCGAGAGCCTGAAGGCGGCAGGTGGTGGGTGCTGTGGCGCCCCCAGCAGGGGAGTCACAACTTGTCATCAGTCATCTCTAGAAACTGCGCGTAGACATCTCGGATGCACTCCCCCTTGGGGTTGAACAGGAGTTTGTAGTAGCTGCAGTCTGCACAAATTGCAATGACGGCGTTTGGCTGTGTTCCAAAGGCACAAATGCACGGAGAGCCTGAGGGAACCTGAAACTTGGAGAAACTCCACTTGTAACTGAAGTATTTTGGAAGGAAACTGGCTGAGGCCAAACTGGACTGTTTATTCCTTTTTAGATCTTCAGCTGCAAAAATATGCACTGTGCCATGGTCGCTGGATACACAGATGAGGGACGCATCCTGATTGAAGTTAATGCAGTAAATATTGGCTGCTTGAGATCCTCTTCGCAGTTCCTGAATTAAATGCCCTGAGGAAGTATCAAATATTCCTATAAGGGTCCCTTTCTCGGATGCAGTTGCAATTCTTGTTCCCTGCAGTTTGAGTGCACTGCAGCTCAGAACACCCTCATGTGCAGGAATGTCCACTGGTGGCTTCTCTGTGCTGGCCAGGTCCACAAGTTGCACATGGCCCGTGTGGTGCCCAGAAAGGCCAGGAGGGAGTTGTTACTATTGGGACAAAGGACACAGAGGCCTTTGGGGTTATAGCAGGTTTTCAAGATGTGCAACCATTGGGGATTGTGTGTGAATGTGAACACCTTAATTACGGAGTCCAAAACCACCACAATTCTATCTCGCCGCAGTTTGACTGCCTTGACTTCTGTAGAAAATTCTGTTTCAATAACAGTCTTCTTCTTCAGGTCATCCCAGATCATTACTTTGTTGGGAGGGTATTTTGGCTTTTTTCCACCACCAATTAAAGCTAAATAGTTGCAGCGAAATAACATTTCAACATGGCCAACTCCTCCTTTAGAAATTCTTGTTTCTCTTTTTCATTTAGTGGATCAGCGTTATAGACTCGGAATCCATTTTCCATCCCACACGCAAAGCATCTGTGGTCCTGGTCGAAGCCAGCGTACAGCAGCCCGTTGCGGTGATGGTTACATGGCAGGAGGTTCATGGCGCCGCCCTGCTGGGTCGCCGTTCCTCAGCGCTGCATGCCGCTCACTGGGGCCGGCGATCTGGTCCCCTCGGGCCAGCGCTGAGGCCGCCGCGGCAGGAAGTGGTAAAAACTTTTATAGTATTTTCTCAATAGGAATAAGTGATAATCATCTTTCTTCCCTGCACACCACCCCCCCAACCCAACAGAGTTTTGCTCTTGCAGCCCAGGCTGGAGTACAATGGTGTGATCTCCGCTCACTAAAAACTCTGCCTCCTGGGTTTAGGCGATTCTTCTGCCTCAGCCTCCCGAGTAGCTGGGATTACAGGCGTGCGCCACCATGCCCGGCTAATTTTTACATTTTTAGTAAAGATGGGGTTTCACCATGTTGGTCAGGGTGGTCTCGAACTCCTGACCTCAGGCAATCCACCTGCCCCGGCCTTCCAAACTGCTGGGGTTATAGGCGTAAGCCACCACGCCTGGCCAGTAATCATCTTTTATTCGGGTGCTCAATGTTCAGCATATATGCACATTGTATTTTTATTTTTTTAATTTTGTTTTTTTCTTTTATTAGAGACAGGGTCTCCCTATGTTGCCCGGGCTGGTCTTGAACTCCTGGACTCAAGGGATCCTCCTGCCTTGGCCCTCCAAAGTGCTGGGACTACAGGCATAAGCCACTGCACCTGGCCATGGAACATTATTTATAGTATGAAAACACTAAGAAACCATCAGTAGCTTTATAATAATCAATTACAACAAACTCTTACGGAGTTTTAGCGTAATTTGCTTTTCTATATACTGCAGAAATTTTCCAAACTGGAAATTCACAAGAAAAAATTATTTTCAGAAATTACTCATGAAACTCTAAAGATAAATAATAGAAATCTTATTTCAGATGTCCTCCAAATATGTATACTTTTTACAAAACCACAGCTTGGTGTATCCACAGAGCTGTTTTCAAATAATGACAATACGATATATGTGAGATAAACTTAAAAAAAAACCAACCTGGCTGGGTACAATGGCTCACACCTAAAATCCCAGCACTTTGGGAGGCTGAGGCAGGTGGATTGCTTGAGTCCCGGAGTTTGAGACTGGCCTGGGGAACATGGTGAAACCCTATATCTATAAAAATTACAAACATTAGCTGGGCATGGTGGTGTGTGCCTGCAGTCCCAGCTACTAGGGAGGCTGAGGTGGGAGGATCGCTTGAACCAGGGAGTCGAGGTTGTGATCTGCTCTAGCCTGGGGGATAGTGCGACACTGTCTCAAAAAATAAACCACAAAACCCACAAGAATATATCATTGTGCATGGGTGTGCATGAATTTGGCTAAAAAATGTAGGTATGTATGTTGTCAAGTAAAAAATGTATGTATGCTATCAAGTAAAAAATGTATGTAAAAGTGGGACCAGTACCAACTCCCCCCGCTGATGGGAAGTCAAGTGCTGCTGTTTTGAAAGAGCCTCCATTTGGGCCTTGACATCCTCTGCCTTCTTCTGTTCACTAACCTTGGCCTGTTGCTCAACTGCTTGTGCCTTTTCTTTCTCCACTCTGCAGGAAAAAAAGGAGAAACTTATCAGAAACTACCCTATTAGGCATCTGGCATCTAATATAAGTGAAGTCTGGTTGACTTTCACATCATACGAAGGGATGATATTATTTCAATATTAAAATAAAACATTTGGCCATGCAAGGTGGCTCATGCCTGTATCCCAGCACTGTGGGAGGCCAAGGCAGGCAGATCACTTGAGACCAAGAGTTCAAGACCAGCCTGGCCAGCATGGTGAAATCCTGTCTCTACTAAAAATACAAAAGTTAGCTGGGGCTGGGCATGGTGGCTCAGGCCAGTAATCCCAGTGGAGTTTGCAGTGAGCCAAGATTGGGCCGCTGCCCTCCAGCCTGGGTGACAGAGTGAGACTCTATCTTAAAAAAAAAAAAAAAAAAAAAGTTAGCCAGTCTTGGTGGCACATGCCTGTAATCCTACCTACTTGGGGGACTGAAGCAGGAGAATCACTTGAACCTGGGAGGCAGAGGTTGCAGGAAGCCAAGATCGCACCATTGCACTCCAGCCTGGGGGACAGAGCAAAACTCTGTCTCTAAAATAAAATAAAATAAAACATTTATGGTAATTAGAAATCGACAAATGGGTAACACATTAAAAATAAGAGAGAGGACCTTACTAAACTATTTACAGCTAGCACTTAAAATCAAAAGTGGAGTAAAGTCAAGCTAGGATACACCCCTCATCTGACTAACGTCAATTCATCCTCCAGACCCCAACACGAATACAACTTCCTCACACTTGGATGTACAATATGTGTTTCCCTATCACCACATAGAGAAGGGGGATTTGAGAGTTACCAACATAAAGGGGAGATCTGAAACCTAAGAATAGATAAAATCTCCTAACAAGATTTAAAAAATAAAAAGTAGGGAGGGACAAGCATTGAAACTTCCCACATACAATCACAAGGAAGCAGCAGAAGGAAATGGAAATGGTAATAGGACCTGGACTGTACAAAGCCACGCAAGCCAAAGAAAAGTGATTTTAGGGGATTGCAGTGATTTGTGTCAAAGGCTGTGGGGTCAAGGAGACTGAAGTCCTGTCAGTTACATCTCCCATCTGTGTCTCTGCCCATCAACAGAGCTCTTTCTGTGCCAGGACGACCTTGTTTTTTGTTTTTTGTTTTTCTTTTTGTTTTGAGACAGAGTCTCACTCTGTTGCCCAGGCTGGAATGCAATGGGGTCATCTCAGCTCACTGCAACTTTCACCTCCTGGGTTCAAGCAATTCTCCTGCCTCAGCCTCCCAAATAGCTGGGATTACCAGAGTACACCACCAAGCCCGGCTAATTTGTGTATTTTCAGCAGAGCCCAGTTTTCACCATGTTGGCCAGGCTGGTCTCAAACTCCTGACCTCAAGTGATCTGCCTGCCTGGGCCTCCCAAAGTGCTGGGATTACAGGTGTAAGCCACCACATCAGCTTTTTTTTTTTTTTTTTTAAGAGATGCTAGAAGTGTGGAATTTTATGTGAAATCTCCCAATTTTCAGAAGTTGGCTTACATTTTTAAAACAGTTTATAGGACAAACAAAACAAGTTTGCAGACTGGAATTGGCGGCAGGCCACCAAGCTGCAGGTTCTGACAGCTCCACTGTCACTGGGAGGCATCTGGAGCTGATTCCAAGCTGCTACGCCCAGCATCAGGAAGCGTCAACTGCATGTTCACCCTCCAGCTTTCGGCTGCCACACGCTGTGTGCTCTAGTTACATGCTCTGACCCGCCACAGACCACGGTGGCCCTCCCCAAGGCCCGGAGTCCATGATGGCAGCCTGACATGGTGTCAGTGAGCTTCAGTAGAAAATGGGTCTCCCCCAACAGTGCAGCAAAAAGCAACAAGAGTTGGGGTGGGGACGTGGGGAACAACATGCTCACATGCAGGGCTCTGAGCTCTGTCCGCTCTGCCTAATTGTTCTTCTCTTGGTCATTGGACAACCCCAGCCCCTGCAGTTCCTGCTCTCCTCAACAGGGCTGCCCAGTGAGAAATGGACCCTGTCTGCTAGAACACTTTACCTTCACAGATGCAGGATTAAATACCCTGGCATCACACAGTGAGGACGTTATTTTCAAGTGTCTTCAACCCTTCTGATGACCTCAAGAAGAAAGTCTAGGCCAGGTGCGGTGGCTCAAGTCTGTAATCTCAGCACTTTGGGACACTGAGGTTGGAGGATCACTTGAGCCCAGGAGTTTGAGACCAGCCTGCGCAACATAGTGTGACCCTGTCTCTAAAATAAATAAATCAATAAATCAATTATTTTTAAAAAGAGAAAGGCTCAGGTTGGTGCCAGTACCTCCTCTCCGCCAGTGTTGATTGCATTTTTTTTTTTTTTGAGACGGACTCACATTGTCACTCTGGCTGGAGTGCAAAGGCTCACTGCAACCTCCGCCTCCCGGGTTCAAGCGATTCTCCTACCTCAGCCTCCTGAGTAGATGGGATTACAGGTGCCTGCCACCATGCCTGGCTAATTTTTGTATTTTCAGTAGAGACGGGGTTTCACTATGTTGGCCAGGCTGGTCTTGAACTCTCGACCTCATGATCCGCCCGCCTCGGCCTCCCAAAGTGCTGGGATTACAGGTGTGAGCCACTGCGTCTGGCTGCATTTTTTTTTAAAGAGATGCAGGTCTGTTTCTGTCACCCAGACTGGACTGCAGTGGCTATTCACAGACACAATCATAGCATGCTACTGTGTGGAACTCCTGAGCTCAAGCAATCCTCCTGCCTCAGCCTCCCAAGCAGCTGGGACTACAAGTGCACACCACCATGCCTGGGTCTGATCTCACTTTTAACACAAAGAGGGCAGGCTTCAGACTCAGAACTTTGAGTTGACTGCATTATCCCATCTGGAATATAATAGTAGTTGAGAGGGAAGCAGGCTCAATTCAATCAGGCTGAGCACCTGCATTCTTTTAATTATATACATTGCAGGGACAGAGCAGGTGTGTGGATTCTGGAGCAAAACAATGGGAGACTGTAAGTGAGTATTTTAGCTTTTTCTTCCTGATAGCTTTATATACACCTGCAGAGTTACCACAGCAACCTAGCAGTGATTGCCTTCCTCCCCCTACCTTTTTTATGTGGCAAAGTTACGGAACATAAAAGTTATCATTTAAACCATTTGGAAATGTGCAAATTACTAGCATTAGGTACATTCACGTTGTTATGCAACCATCACCACCATCCATCTCCAGAACCTTTTCATCTCCAAATGAAACTCCCATTAAACACTAACTCCCCTTTCCCCAGTCCCCTGAGTCCATGGGGGACACCAAGTCAGCCCTCAGCCCTGCTACGGTTTCCTGCACCTCCTGGAACCTCCGTCTCCTTGTTGATAAGCGAAGTGGGATCTTGGTACTTGGCAGGGTTGTGGTGATGACCAAATAAATGAAGCGTGTGAAGCACTTAGCACATAAGGTGAATGTTCAAAGCCTGATGGCTGCCCTCATCCGGCCAGGATCTGCACCTCCCTCCCAAGATCACTAAGTCCATTCCCAGAAGGGAAGCTATGCATTGATTGCAGTGACCCGGTAATGCCTTCTTTCCAGCCCACATGAGCTCTGGCAATGCATCACGTTCAATGCTTGCAGCATGTGGACAGCCTGTGACAACACTCTAGTTTCCAGTGTGAATGTAGATTTCCACTTCCCGCCCACATCCCACCTTTAAAATTGTTGGTTGTTATTTCGGTCAGTTTCTAGGCTGGGAGGCAGAGCCGCACTGAAGAAGTAGACACACCCTTCTCAGTCACCTTCTCATCATCAAGTAGGAACTGAGCATCTACTATCTTTCTCCCTTGAGCAAATGGCTGGACAATACCCCTCAGGAGTAGAGCTCATCAGAGGGAGGGTGCGGGAGGCCTGGGTTCTGAATCTTACCTATCCCTCCTTTGCTGGGGTATTGAGCAAGCCTTTAGTGTGGAAGGAAACAGGTCCCGAGGCATGGAGGACGTGGCCTGGGATTTTCCATATTTCTGTAACAGCACAACTATCACTGCAGCCAGGTCATTTATGATGGCCGCTGGGAGGACAATGAGAAGCAGCTGCTACCTGTGGAAAGAACTGTAGGATTTTAGTTGATGAGAACCACTGAGGGATGTGGCTGCAAAAATAATAAAATAATCTTAAGTCATATCACTAGTGGTAGAGTGTGTAGAAACAAGGGAGGTGAAAGCCCCCACTGCAGTGTGTTGGTCAGATTCCTTGGGGGACAGGGTCTAGGTCTGGGCACATGCCAGGAGGCCTGGCCAAAGGGAGAGATGGTCACTCACTGCCTACTACGCAGGATCATGCTACGTGCTTTACATGTGTTCTCTCATTTCACATCAGGGAAGTCATGTGAGAAAATATCACCCCCATGTAAGCAAGGGAAAACTGGGGGTTACTGCAGTGAAGTAGACTGCACAGGGTCATCCCACCTGGAAGTGAAGGAGCTTGGAATTAGGGCCAGGCCTGGCTGACTCCCAAAGTGTGTGCCCTTGTTGGACACTGCGGCTCCCCTAGAAGCTGGCGTTCCACTCTTTCATACCATGTTACATTCTTCTCTGGGGATCCCCAGATACAAAAGAGAATGGACTCGGCGTTCCTTCCTGTTCAGCAGAGCAGCCCCCACTACTCATTCCCTGCCACCCCTCTAGAATCAGCCCTGGATGAGAGACAGTTGATAGGACTAGGAGCTGAGCTGTGCCATTCTGGGCTTCCCACCCCCCAGGCACAGAAAACAGTGATCAAAATGAAACCACTTGGCAGAACCCTCCTCACTCCCTAGTGACAGAGTGCAGTCACCTAGGCCCATGTTCCCTGCAAAGACGTTGAGGTCCATGAAAGTAGGTCCATCCCATGAGGGGGCATCTGAGAAGACAGGTGGGGTGGTGCTGTGGTGAGCAGCACAGACTCCATTGCGGGACTGCCTGGGCTGAGTCCCGGCTCTGGCACTTTACTGCTGTGTGATTGTGGGCAAGTTGCTTCACCTCTCTGTGCCTTTGTTTCTTCCCAGGTAGAATGGGGATTATTATTTGTACCCGCTTCATAAAACTGACATGAAGTTAAATGTAAGGCACCTAGAATGGTGTCCAGCACATAACCAACTATACTAACTTTAACAAAAAATCTTGGCTGGGCACGGTGGTTCACGCCTGTAATCCCAGCACTTTGGGAGGCTGAGGCAGCCGGATCACCTGAGGTCAGAAGTTCAATATCAACCTGGCCAATATGGTGAAACCTTGTCTGTACTAAAAATACAAAAAATTAGCCAGGCGTGGTGGTGGGTGCCTGTAATCCCAGCTACTCAGGAGGCTGAGGCACGAGAATCACTTGAACCCTGGAGGGGGATCTTGCAGTGAGCTGAGATGGTGCCATTGCACTCCAGCCTAGGCAACAGAGCAAGACTCCGTCTCAAAAACAAACAAACAAACAAACAAACAAAAAAACTCTGTGCACTTCCTCCTTGATGCCATGTAGCCCAGCTGTATATCCATCTTACCCTTTGGAATATGAGCTGCTTAAGGCTGGGACTGTGTCCAATTCTCTCTGTACCCCAGTGCCCAGAGGAGTCCAGCACTTACTTATTGTCTGTGGTGGGCATTGAATTTTCCAAATATTTCTGGTTCCAGGTGCTCTTTCAACCTCTTGCTGCCTCCTGTCTAGAGGTGAGGTCCCTTTCCCCTCCCCTTGAGCCTGGGTGGTGCTCATGTGATTGCCTCAAGAAATAGAATGTGGTGGAAATGGCACTGGATGGCTTCTGAGGCTAGGTTATAAAAGGGATGTAAGTTCCACCTGGCTCTCACTGGGAATGCTCACCCTTGGACTCCAGCCACCATATTGTGGGGAAGCCCAACCCATGTGGAAAAGCCACTTGCAGGTGTTCTAGTCAATTGCCTCAGCTAAGATCTTAGCCAAGAGGCAATATTAAGCGGTAGACCTGTGAGTTAAGAAGCCTTCAGATATTCCAGCCCCAGCCTCCGGGCCACCTGACTTCATGCCGAGTGGAGCAGAGATGAGCTCTCTTCACCTAGCCCTGCCCAACTGGCAGATTTGTAAGCCAAATAAACCCTGTCATTGTTTTAAGCTACTAAGTGGTAGAATAACGTTTATGCAGCAGTAAATAACCAGAACGCCAACTAGCTAATCAGCCCTGGGAGTGTCAGCTCAGCAGATTAACTGTGGTGGCTGGTTGCTCTGGCAACTGCCTCAGCCATCACTTTGGGTAAGTCCAAAACAGAGGGAAGGGGCTGCTGGGTGTGGGGGAGCCGACAAACTTGGGAGCCAGGCTGCTATTATCACCCTTAGCCTGGTTCCACTGCTCCACACATGCATGGCCCTGGGCAGGTCTCTGATTCTCAGATGTGTCCATTATTCAACCCAGCAAGGGCTGTTGGGAGCTTGATCAGAGGTGCCAGACAGAGAGCGATCTGGTGTCTGGTAAATACTGGTTTCTTTCCTGGGGAGGGTTTACAGTGAATGAAGGGGGCTTTGTTCTCTGAACACACGGTGTGAAGGATAAAAGAAGAGCACCAGTGTGGGCCAGCGACAAGAATAAAATGGGCTGGGGCCAGAGGCTGCAACCAGACCAGGTGCGACCTCCATGAGGCAAACATCGCTACCTGCCAGCTCATCATTTGTCCTTCCCAGCTGGTCTAGGAGCTGAACCCAGAGGCAGGTTCATCGAGGAGCTAATACAGCTTGAGCTTCAGGGCCCTTCTCTGCATGAGCAATGTGTTCACATGCTCACAGACTTCTCTAATATTTGCAAAAGTTAAAATGTTTTAAATGGACTGACGCTACCATCTTCTTCCACTCCAACTTCCCCTCCAGCACACTTCCTCTTGAGTCAGGTGGTGGTGGAGAGGCCATGTACATTTTGGGAATCTTGCTAAGGAATTGAGTTGGGCAACATGTATTGTAGGTTTAGCAGGACAGGTCTATGTGGTTCACAGCCACTTCCATGAATGACTCAGTTATTCCCAGCTGTTAGGAATGGCTTCTAGAACACTCCTCTGCCAATTGCGCCAACCCACCTGGATCCAGATGCAAAGATGCAGGGCCGGAGGCTCCAAGGAGCATCATGAAGGAACATGTCCCATGGTGCCTGGCACCCAAAGTACGTGGGCAATGGAGAATAAACAGATCAATGGAAAGACAGAATGGTCATTCTATTTTCTTTATAGAAAATATGTTAAACCCTGGCCAGGCACGGTGGCTCATGCCTATAATCCCAGCACTTTGGGAGGCCAAGGCGGACAGATCACTTGAGGCCAGGAGTTCAATACCACCCTGGCCAACATGGTGAAAGCCTGTCTCTATTAAAAATACAAAAATTAGGGCCAGGCGCGGTGGCTCACGCCTATAATCCCAGCATTTTGGGAGGCTGAGGGGAGCAGATCACCTGAGGTCAGGAGTTTAAGACCAGCCTGGTCAACATGGTGAAACCCCATTTCTACTAAAAATACAAAAATTAGTGGGCCACGATGGTGGGCACATGTTGTCCCAGCTACTCAGGAGGCTGAGGCAGGAGAATTGCTTGCACCCAGGAGGCAGAGGTTGCAGTGAGCCAAGATCGCACCACTGCACTCTGGCCTGGGTGACAGGACAGAGCAAGACTCCGTCTCAAAATAAATAAATTAATTAATTAATAAAAATAAAATAAAAAAAGTAGCCAGGCATGGTTGTGTGTGCCTGTAACCCCAGCTATTTGGGAGGCTGAGGCAGGTGAATTGCTTGAATCCGGGAGGCAGAGGTTGCAATGAGCTGAGATCATGCCACTGCATGCTCACTGCCTGGGTGACAAAGTGAGACTCTGTCTAAAAAAAAAAAAAGTTATATCTTCATCATTTGAAGGAGCAATCAAAGAGTATGCTGAAGAAGTAGGACAGTATTAAAATATTAAAATATTTGGCAATTTTTTTTTTCTGAGATGGAGTTTTGCTCTTGTTGCCCAGGCTGGAGTGCAATGATGCAATCTTGGCTCACTGCAACCTCCGCCTCCCAAGTTCAAGTGATTCTCCTGCCTCAGCCTCCCAAGTAGCTGGGATTACAGGTGCCTGCCACTACACCCAGCTAAATTTTGTATTTTTAGTAGAGACAGAGTTTCATCATGTTGGCCAGGCTGGTCTCGAACTCCTGACCTCAGGTGATCCATCCGCCTTGGCCTCCCAAAGTGCTGAGATTACAGGCATGAGTCACCTCCCCCGGCCATCTTTCTGGATTTTAAGATGTTTGAGGTATGTGTCAAGTTTTTAAAAATCTGTAATCTGTTTTGATTTCTTTGTTTCTTCTAAACACATATTTACTTCAGTACCTGGCTTTGTATTCACAATTTTGTACATTTTCTTTTTTTTTTTTTGAGACAGTCTCGCTCTGTCGCCCAGGCTAGAGTGCAGTGGTGCAATCTCGGCTCACTGCAAGCTCTGCCTCCCAGGTTCACGCCATTCTCCTGCCTCAGCCTCCCGAGTAGCTGGAACTACAAGCACCTGCCACCACGCCCAGCTAAGTTTTTGTATTTTTTTTAGTAGAGACGGGGTTTCACGGTGTTGGCCAGGATGGTCTCGATCTCCTGACCTCGTGATCCACACGCCTCGGCCTCCCAAAGTGCTGGGATTACAGGCATGAGCCACCGTGCCCGGCCAATTTTGTATATTTTCTTAAAGAGAAATTGCAAAAGCTTCCGGACCCACTAAAAATCCTGGATATGCCCGTAACAGAACCCCAATTTTGTTTAGGGTGACAATATACCCAATAAGACTGCTTTTCAGTCTCCCTTGCAGTTATGAGTAGCCACGTGAATAAGATCCGGAAATGGGGTGAAGTTGAATTGCGTGGGACCCCCAGGAAGGCTTCTTAGAGGGAGCAAGCTAACTTGTCTGAGAGGAGGAGTGCCCTTTGCCCCTTCGCCTTGTTCTCCTTCATGTTGCCTGAAATAACAGATGCGATGGCTGATGCTCCAGCAGCCATTTTAGTTCATGAAGTAACAAACTAAGGGTGATTCAGGAGAAAATACAAGGAGCTGAGTCCCCAGGAACAGTGGGGCTGCCACCCCAGACCTGAATGGCTGACCGCCAGCCTTTTTCATATGAGAGAAAAACAAACCCTTCTATCTTGTTCAAGCCTCTACATTTGGGGGTTTTCTGTTCAATGCTCCCAAAAGTAATCCTCAACTATACAATGATCCCTTGAGAAAGTCACTTCCCCTCTCTGTGCCTCAGAATCGCATCTGAAAACTGCAATGAGGCTGAATGACTAAACTGGTGCTTCTAATATTTCAGCCAACCACATGCCACATTTCTGAATGTTCCTGTGTCCATGTGCCATCAACACTATTTATTTAATATTCTTCTTTAAATTGATCTGTACTTCAAATTTTTTATTACATACCTTTGACTAACCCCAGATTGCTGTTCTAACATTTCTGCAAAGATATGTCTTCAAATCTTGATTTTAAAAAATAACATTTTTTCTCAAAGAAGGCATGGGATTTGTTCTTTTCTTTCTTTCTTTCTTTCTTTCTTTCTTTCTTTCTTTCTTTCTTTCTTTCTTTCTTTCTTTCTTTCTTTCTTTCTTTCTTTCTTTCTTTCTTTCTTTCTTTCTATCTTTTTTTGAAACAGTCTTGCTTGTTGCCCAAGCTACATGATCTCAGCTCACTGCAGTCTCCATTTCCCACGTTCAAGTGATCCTCCCACCTCAGGCTCCCGATTAGCTGGGACTGCAAGCATGAACTACCATGCCCAGTTTATTTTTGATTTTTTGTAGAGACAGTGTTTTGCCATGTTGTCCAGGCTGGTCTCGAACTGCTGGGCTCAAATGATCCTCTTGCCTCCTAAAGTGCTGGGATTGCAGGTGTGAGTCACAGCGCCCAGCGGGATTTGTTTTTTTATGGCTATTTCAGTAAGCAACATGTTGACATGAGCAATTTGGATAACTTCTTTGAATTACGTTACTGTTTTATACACACAGTATTTTTGGAAGTTGGACACTGGGGAAAGTCCTGGTGGATTTGTAATTTGTGTAACTCCACAGGAAGTTTCACAGGGCTCTTATTTCACTACGAGCCCATTCTAATGTTGACCCTGTCGCAGGCCTTACTTTATATAAATTATGCTTCCCTTAAAAGATTGGGACTCACTGTTCTGGTTCACTCACTCCAGCCAAAACTTGAGGGTCTGAAGTTTAGGCTGTACCTCTGGAACTTGTCTTTGTTCATGAAGACAAAAAATGCTTAAATCACTTTGATCTGAGTAGCTCCATGGGGTCTGATTAACTCCACATGGGTGCCAACTGAACTGTCCCACACAAACCCCCACTCCCATCACAGTGTTTTATTTTTTATTTTTGTATTTTTTGTAGAGACGGGGTTTTGCCATGTTGTCCAGGCTAGTCTCAAACTCCTGAGCTCAACTGATCCGCCCACCTCGGCTTCCCAAAGCGCTGGGATTTACAGGCATGAGCCACTGTGCCTGGCCCCATCACAGTGTTTTATATTGGGTATTTCAGAACCTCTTGCCCACAGAGAAATGGGCAGAGGGGACCACACTATGAGAATTGATTGTATGTGCTCAGAAATGGGATCATGGGCCGGGCGCAGTGGCTTACACCTGTAATCCCAGCACTTTGGGAGCCCGAGGCCGGTGGATTGCCTGAGGACAGGAGTTCAAGACCAGCCTGACCAACATGGTGAAACCTCGCCTCTACTAAAAACACAAAAATTAGCCAGGTGTGGTAGCAGTCTCCTGTAATCCCAGCTACGTGGGAGGCTGAGGCAGAAGAATCGCTTGAACCCAGGAGGAGGAGGTTGCAGTGAGCTGAGACTGGGCCATTGCACTCCAGCCTGGGCAACAAGAGGGAAACTTTTGTCTTAAAAGAAAAAAAAAATGAAATGGGATTACGGTGCCAACATGGTTGCCAGACAGACCAGGCGTCTGCCAGGGAGTGGTTTCATATCAGATGACCTGCTATCTCTGTGAAGTTAATATTGTACCATGGCCTTATCCAGCCCTGCTGCAGTTCTTTACTGTGAGTAATAGGAAGCTGTGAAACAGCACTTTTCATAACACAAATGGCCAGTTACTTGGCCTGTCTCTGTCCCACTGCCATTGCCCAGGCTCTGAGCTGAGTGCGAGTCTCAGCTGGATGTCTGTACTGCCTCCCAGACAGCCTCCTGCGGTTTGTCTTACCTCCTCCAATCCCTCCGCCTCTTTACCACTCGAGTATTTTTATGACACACAAAACCTGCTTTCTTACTCCTCTGCTTACAGTCCTTCAGTGATGCTTCGCACTGCTCAGGAGAAAGTCTGAGCTCCTTTGCTGGAACACAAGGGCCTCCAGATCAGTCCCCTGCCCACTTCTCCAAACCAGGCCCCTGCTGCTTCTCCAGCACCCAGTGTCTAATCTCCTTGGCCTGGAATACGAGGCCTCCAGACTGGGACCCTGCTGCTTCTGCAGCACCTGGTGTCTAAGTGCCTCCTTCTTGATGTCTGCTCTTCAGTCACAAGGAGCTGCTCATCTCTCCCTGAGGACACACGTGCACAAACACACACACATGCACACACAAGTGCACACACAGAGAGGAGCGTGCTCTTCTACTCCTTCTCCCTGCAGTCCCTGGAATGCACCATCTGTCCTAAACCAAAGGCCCACCCCCTC
Organism: Homo sapiens; assembly: GCF_000001405.40. Lineage (NCBI taxonomy): Eukaryota > Metazoa > Chordata > Mammalia > Primates > Hominidae > Homo > Homo sapiens. The sequence goes on from NC_000017.11 coordinate 32,125,756, forward strand.
CCTGAAGTCCACCCTGGTCTCACCAATCACAGGTCCGATATGCAAAAACACAGATATAACTTAGAGTGCTCACTCTGTGCCGGGCACGGACTTAAGTACCTCACAGGCATTAGCTCTTTTAATCCTCACAACAACCTTATGAAATAGGTTCTGTGATGAGCTCCATTTTACAGATGAGGAAACTGAGGCTTGGAGATTTAAAGTAACTTGCCTGGTTTCACTTAGCTGCCGGCCCCCTTTTCTCCCCCCAGAACACTGACTACATTTCCTTCATAGCGTGTTAGTGCATTTAATAATTTTCATAACCACCAACTCTAATGATACATGGTGGGAAAGGTCAGTGCCCTCTTGGTTTGTGGTCCCCACAGTCAAGCTCAGGGCCTGGCACCCAGCAGGTGCTCAGTAATGCTGTGACTAAAGCACTGGTCTGTGTTTCTTCAAGGAAGCTCTTTCTTCCTGCATCAAAATCCTCTTGGCTCAGAAGTGGACTCATGGGAAGGGCTACGAGGCTTGTGCCGCAGGGTCCTTCCCTTGTGTGGGGCCCCACTAGCAATGCACACAGATGCTCATCTAGTTTTGTAAAGTAAGATATTATTTTTTGGCCAGGCACGGTGGCTCATGCCTGTAATCCGAGCCTTTGGCAGGCCAAAGTGGTAGGATCGTTTGAGCCCTGGAGTTCAAGGCCAGCCTGGACAACATGAGGAAACCCTGTCTCTACAAAAAATGTAACAATTAGTTGGGCGTGGTGGTGTGCACCTGTAGTACCAGCTATTTGGGAGGCTGAGGTGGGAGTCCTGGAGGTGGAGGCTGCAGTAAGCAGAGATCATGCCACTGCTCTCCAGCCTGGGTGACAGAGCCAGAGTCTGTTTCAAAGACAAAAAAAAAAAAAGAAATTATTTTTCTTAAAGATGCCCCCTATATTTGTAATCTTTAGGGCCCACAAAACCAAGGTCTGTGTGAGAGGCTTGCTGAAAATGCAGCTTTCAGCTGGGCATGGTGGCTCACACTTATAATCCCAGCACTTTGAGAGGCCAAGGTAGGAGGATCACTTGATCCCAGGAGTTTAAGACCAGCCTGAGCAACATAGCAAGACTCTGCATCTACAAAAAAGTAAAAAATTAGCGGGGCGTGGTGGTGCATGTCGCTGGTCCCAGCTACTTGGGAGGCCGAGGTGGGAGGATCACTTGAGCCCGGGAGGTCGAGGCTACAGTGAGCCATGATTGAGCCACTGCACTCCAGCCTGGGCAACAGACCGAGACCCTATCTCAAAAAAAAAAAAAAGAGAATGCACATTTCTAGCCCTACCCCCAAGCACCCAAATCTTGGAAGATTCTTGTCTTACCAAAGTCTGAGCACCACTATGCGAAATGTTTCTTCCCTACCCCAGTGATTTTTCTATTTGCTTTAGGGCTCAAAAGAGTCATTGCAGTGGTGGGGTCAGCTATTAACATCTCTCTTTTCCTGGAAACCAGTTGATGCCTATAAGAGGGGTTTCCTCAGCTCTCTGAATAACTTCAATTTGTTCTTTTTGGGCCAAGCCCTGTGCTGCCTGGTCCTGCTGATGAGAGTTCGGCTAGAGGGAGGGGTGGGGAGGGGCCTGAGCTGGGGGACCAGCAGGGGGGCAGCCTGCAGCCCTGAACCCTAATCCTCGTCACTGTCCCTTCTCTGCCTCATAAAGGTGTTCTTGCTCTTTCTCCTTTCTAGCCAAGTCTCCTCCCTCCACATATGTGTTCTCATCTAGATCAGTTTCGATTCCCGCTGGTGGAAAGCAGCCTCAGGCAGGGCCACTGCGCAGGAAGGGCGGGCCTGGGTGCAGGCGGGGCTCCGGGAGTCACCCCCAGACGCGCGGCTCCCCTTCCTTGTCCTCCGCATGACGCCCGTGCCGGAGCCCACGTGAGCCTTTGCCAAGGAGAGATTCAGAGATATGAGCAGAAAAACTGGAAGATGGACTTCTTCAATAAGGCAGCGGGACGGTTTGGCTGATGGAAGATGTTTCCCGGAAGCCTGTTCACGCTCCACCCTGAAAGTCCCAGGGCCGTGAGAGTCAGCCGGGCCGCCGAGGCGGTGCCCTCCAGGCTGCAGGATGATCCAGGGACTGTTTTCCTCAGCACTGTGTAGGTTTCAGCTTATGAGTTCTGTCCATGTTTTGTGAGATTTATAGCTAAGTATTTACCTTTTCGAATGATTATAAACAACATAGTAGTTTTAATTTTAGTGTCTACTTGTTTTTTGTTACTATATAGAAATACAATCGATTTTCATATATTTATGTTGCATCCTCTGTGCTTCTAAACTCACTAGTTTTGGAAGCTGTTTTTTGTTTTTAGATTCCTTAAAATTTTATATATGGGCAATCATGTCATTTAATAATCAACCTGTATGCCTAAAATAATCAACCTGTATGCCTAAAATAATCAACCTGTATGCCTTTTATTGTAAGAAAATCCCTAAATACTGGGATTACAGGTGGTGAGCCACCGTGTCCAACCTGAAACTTTTTTTTTGGTGATTTCAAATGAACTTGACTTTTACTGTAATTATACCTAAAGTATTTGTAAACAATTGTTTAGAACTTCTATTTGTCATGGACTTTTGAGTTTATTCTTTGGATCATATAAAAAGACTTTTTTTTTTTGTTTTTAAAGTTATAAATCTCTGTATGCACTTTGCTTTTCTTAATTAAACATAATCCAAAGTAAGCTGTGACTCATTTATTTATTTATTTATTTGAGACAGGGTGTCGCTTTGTCACCCAGGCTATGGCTCCATCTTGGCTCACTGCAGCCTCAACCTCCCAGGCTCAAGCAATCTTCCCACCCACCTAGGCCTCCCGAGTAGCTGGGACTACAGGCATGCACCAGCATGCCTAGCTAATTTTTGTATTTTTTGTAGAGACAGGGTTTCTCCATGTTGCCCAGGCTGGTCTCAAGCTCCTGGACTCAATCAGTCCTTCTGCATCGGCCTCTCACAGTGTTGGGATTACAGGCGTGACTTTGCCACCATCCCCGGTTTGTTTTTTTTCAACAGGCAGAGTTTAACTATCACGGAAGCCTCCCGCCTCAGCCTCCCAAAGTGCTGGGAATACAGGTGGAAGCCACTGCACCCATCCAGCTATGATTCTTCGGTAGTGTACAAGATTGTACACTACCAATGTATCTGATTTTCAATTTTTCTTGAAATGTGATGCAAGTGGTGTCAGCCTGCTGATAAGTTAACATTGTTCAGGATGAATCTTCTACAGAAATAATTGCTTTTTTTCCCCAGTATTTAGTACTGAAAGATATTAATGGTAATATATTTCTGGTTTAATATAAATTAAGCATGTTTTCTAGTTGTGCGTGAATGCTGGCTGGCAACTTAGTAAGTTTTGACAGTTGTTTAAATATGTAATGTTAAGCTTAGGTTTTAAAAAAGTAAAACTTATAAAGGAAAATAAAAAGAATCTCAGGATCCCCAAACTCCTTATGCCAAAGAGAAAGTTAAGCCTGGAGGTTGTGCCACACAACACTGCCATGCTTTTGCCAAGTGCAAAGCTGCTACTTCACAAGCTTGTGTGAAAGCATGAAGCATTAGCCAGACCCCCACAGGATGCAAAAGGCCTCAGGCAGCTCCAGATGTTTGCCCCACAAATCAGTCACACTTAAATATTTTGCTGCCTCAAAAACTTTCAAGATGTCAAGATGTATATCCACCCGTAAAATGAGGGCATGTTGATTGTAACTTTAGGTCTGCAATCTAAATGTAGCTCCTGAAACCAATGTTGTTCCTTTCTACACGGATAATGTTGATTCCAAGCTTATCTTTCCAGGTGCAGAACAAAGCGAAGATGAGATTAATCATGCTTCCACCTACCCGGAGACACCTGCACAATTAATTCTTCCTTTACTCCCTTTTTTTCCTTCAGAAGTTCACCTTATCTTATGTAAAATGCAGATCTACTGGGCACTAACTAAAGTCTCACAAGAATATAACCATTCCCTGTCTCACTACTTACCTGCCCCTCATCCTACATGCCTTCCCCACCCCTCTTTTTTTTTTTTGAGATAGAGTTTCGCTCTTGTTGGCCAGGCTGGAGTGCAATGGCGTGATCTTGCCTTACCACAACTTCCGCCTCCCAGGTTCAAGCGATTCTCCTGCCTCAGCCTCCCGAGTAGCTGGGATTATAGGCATGTACCACCACGCCCATCTAATTTTGTATTTTTAGTAGAGATGGGGTTTCTTCATGTTGGTCAGGCTGGTCTCCAACTCCCGACCTCAGGTGATCTGCCTGCCTCGGCCTCCCAAAATGCTGGGATTACAGGCTTGAGCCACCGTGCCTGGCCATGCCTTCCCCTGTTTAAGGATATGTATAAATACTAAATCTCCTTAAAACCTCTTCAGAGAATCCATGCCACAGACTCTTTCTGTGCCTTGTGTTTTTCCTGGGCACTTCCTCAAGCTTGGACTCAATAAACTTTGGCTGATGGAGACTTACCTCAGCCTGTCATTTTTTTTGTTTAACAAACTGATAAACTGCTGTTTATTATTTACTTTTAAAAAAAGAAAATAAATATGAATGTGTTTGGCACATTCAAAAAAATTTAAGAACTGCTTTCAAAAGACGCTGTTGAAAAAATGAAAAGATCGTCACAGGCTGAGAGAAAATATTTGAAAATCAGATTTCTGATAAAGTGCTTGCATCTGTCAAGTCTTGTTAAACACCAACAACAACAAAAAAAAGTACTCTCATCCAAAATATGTAAATTACTCTCAAAATTAAATAATGAGAAAACCATCTAAGTTTATAAATGGGCAACATGTTGGAACAGACAATGCAAAAAAAGAAGAGACACAGGCATAAATAACCAACTGAATAGATGTTCAACATCATCACTCTTTAAGGAAATGCAAATTAAAACCATTAATGAGACACCACTCCACAATTATTAAAATGAAAACATTTCACTCAGGCTTGAGAGGCTGATAATGAGGTTCTGCCTGTCTTGTCACCCAGAGTTATCTGATACACCTTAGGAATGCACCCTGAGACTGGGTAATTTACAAAGAAAAGAGATTTATTTTGGTTCACAGTTCTAGAGGCTGGGAAGTCCAAGATTGAGCAGCTCATCTGGTCAGCTTCTGGTGAGGGCCTTTGACCTGTGTCCTAACATGGCAGAGAAGCAGAAGGGCAAGCAAGCATGTGCCAGAGAGAGAGGACAAAATAGGCTGACCTGCTTTATAACAACCTACTCTCAGGAGAGCTAATCCATTCTCTCGATAACCCACCCAGAGGAAGTCATTCATCCATCCTAATAACCCAGTCACCTCTTAAAGACCCTGCCTCCAAACACCATCATGTTGGCAAGTAAATTTCAACATGAGTTTTGGTTGGCACAAACCACATTCAAATCATAGCACCTGTCAAGCAGAGAGACCAGCCTGTCCTGAACACCCTGAAGTAAGTGCCTAGGGTAAGGCCCTGTGGGGGGATGGGGAACAGAATAAACCTGGCAGTGGTAGATTCTCAGTCTGGTTCATAGAGACCATCATACCTACATTAAAAAAAAATTTTTTTTTTGAGACGAAGTCTTGCTCTTGTTCCCCATGCTGGAGTGCAATGGCATGATCTCGGCTCACTGCAACCTCTGCCTCCCGGGTTCAAACGATTCTCTTGCCTCAGCCTCCCGGGTAGCTGGGATTACAGGCACCTACTACCATGCCTGGCTAATTTTTGTACTTTTAGTAGAGACTGGGTTTCACCATGTTGGCCAGGCTGGTCTCAAACTCCTGACCTCAGGTGATCCGCCCACCTCAGCCTCCCAAAGTGCTGGAATTACGGGCATGAGCCACCATGCCCGGCCACATTTTTAAAAATTTTAATTGCAGGCAGGTGCAGTGGTTCATGCCTGTAAATCCCAGCATTTTGGGAGGCCAGGGGCAATCTATTAACACAGCCAAGCGGGGACAGCAGATTGCTAGAAGGAATGGGACACAGTCACACAGGCCAAGCTAGCATGGGCTATCGATGGGGTGGGGAGGAGGAAGGCAGAGGAGATTTAAATTATGAGATGTACCTCTTAGGGAAGATTTTTGGAAGGGGTGATTAGAGCAAATAGGGAATGATTTGGAGGATTCTAGTGAGAAGAAATATGGAAGCCTAAAGATGAACTTCCTTGTTCACAACTTGCCTGCCTTGATAAATCTGTGTTGTTCATTACTATGTCCCTAGCACCTAGCGCAGAGCCTTAAGCATAGTGGAACTTAGTAAATATTTGTTGAATGACTTAAAAAACATGATATGCTATATTAATATCTCACTTAAAGCATTGCTATCCTTCTAAATATTTCTACTTAGTTTAAAATACATAATTATTAAATTAACTTTGGGCCAGGTGTGGTGGCTCACACCTGTAATCCCAGCACTTTGGGAGGCTGAGACGGGTGGATCATTTGAGGTCAGAAGTTCGAGACCAGCCTAAAAATACAAAAATTAGCCAGGTGTGGTAACGTGCACCTGTAATCCCAGCTACTAGGGAGGCCGAGACAGGAAAATGGCTTGAACCTGGGAGGCAGAGGCTGCAGTGAGCTGAGATTGCACCTCTGCACTCCAACCTGGGCGACAGAGCAAGACTTGAGACTCTGTCTCAGAAAAAAAGCTGGGCCAGGTGCGGTGGCTCACACCTGTAATCCCAGCACTTTGGGAGGCCAAGGCAGGCGGATCACCTGAGGTCAGGAGTTTGAGACCAGCCTGGCCAACATGGTGAAACCCTGTCTCTACTAAAAATGCAAAAATTAGCCGGGTGTGGCAGTGGGCGCCTGTGATTCCAGCTACTCGGGAGGCTGAGGCAGGAGAATCTCTTGAACCCGGGAGGTGGAGGTGAGCCAAGATCACGCCACTGCACTCCAGCCTGGGCAACAGAGACTCCATCTCAAAAAAAAAAAGGCCGGACGTGGTGGCTCATGCCTGTAATCCCAGCACTTTCTGAGGCCGAGGCAGGCAGATCACCTGAGATCAGGAGTTCAAGACCAGCTTGGCCAACATGGCAAAACCCCATCTCTACTAAAAATACGAAAATTAGCCGGGTGTGGTGGTGCATGCCTATAATCTCAGCTACTTGGAAGGCTGAGGGAGGAGAATCGCCTGAACCCAGGAGGCAGAGGTTGCAGTGAGCCGAGATTGCACCACTGCGTTCCAGCATGGGCAACAGAGTGAGACTCCATAAAAAAAAAAAAGATAATAAATAAAAATAAATCAATAAACTTTGAAATTTTACAAAAGATGGTTGTACTAAAATTAATTTATGATCTTTAACTTACTTTTTCCTTCATTTGTGCTCTTATCTAATATTTATGTATATCCATTAGTTTTTATTATCTGAGTAACGCATGGGCATGCTTGTAAAAGTTCAAAATTTAAAAAGTCTAGAAGGTTAAAGTTGCATAAATGAATATATCACATGATTTTTACATAGTCATAATTGCATATAGTTTTATATTTCTATATTCTCACTTATTTTGTAAATACTTTTCCATCTCTCTAATAGTCACTAATTTAAATGACTGCAAAAATTCCAATCATGTTATGTCATACTTAATTTAGCTATTCCCCTACAATTGTACATATTTCAATTTTTAAACATTTTTTAAAGCACGTAGTGTTGCTTACACAGAATATATATATATATATATATCTGTTGATATAAACAGAATATATGTACTTGAGATATCAAGGGAAAAAAAAACAAAGTGTCTTTTTTTTTTTTTTTTGAGACAGTGTCTTACTCTGTCGCCCAGGCTGGAGTGCAATGGCACGATCTTGGCTCACTGCAACCTCCACATCCTGGGCTCAAATGATCCTCCTGCCAAAGCCTCCTGAGTACCTGGGACTACAGGCATGTGCCACCATGCCTGGATAATTATTGTATCTTTTATAGAGATAGGATTTCATCATGTTGCCCAGGCTGGTCTCAAGTTCCTGGCCTCAAGTGATCTGCCCGCCTCGGTCTCCCAAAATGCTAGGATTGGAGGCATGAGCCACCACACCCAGCCCAAAGTGTCTTTTTCCTATTCTCTTACACAGTCATTCAGCACAACACTTTTGATACCAGATATGTGTGAGTTTTTTTCCTCACACACCAAACAAGCAATTCTGTAACAGACACCAGCTGGATGTCTTATAATTCAATTCAATTCTGACACCTGGTGATCCCACAGGTTACGGCTCAATGCCATAAAACCATCCCCCATTGCTGCGAGGCACGAACTACAACATGTTACTACACTGAATACTGTAGGCAACAGTAACACAATGGTGAGCATTTGTGTATCAAAACGTATCTAAACACAGAAAAGATATGGTTAAAATACAGTTTATAATCTAATGGGACCACTTTCATATATGTGGTCCATCACTGACCAAAATGTTGTTGTGTGGTGCGTGACTATATAGATACATGGTCATCCCTCGATACTGAAGGGGAATTAGTTCCAGGATCCCCTTGAATACCAACATCTGAGGATGCTCAGGTCCTGCAGTTGGCCCTGCTGAACACCCGGATGTGAAAAGTAAGCCTCTGTAACTGTGGGTTCTGCATGCTGAGAATACTGTATTATCCCCATTTGGTTGAATCCACAGACGTAGATCTCGTGGATATGGAGGGCTGACTGTACATATTTATCTATCTATATTTTTTCTTTTGAATTATTTTCTTATACTATATTTAATTCTGCTGATTTCTTTGCAGAGGTAAACAGAAATGATAATTTTTTTCTTGCTTTACAAAAGAGCAAGAAAATAAATTATAAATGTGCCATTCCATGGAATTTTTTTGTTGGACAGAACTAGATTGTGGTCTAAAAAAATCTTGAGAATATATATATGTTTGTGTGTGTGTATGTATGTATAAAAGATTTAAAAAGTCAGCAGGCCAGGTGGCTCATGTCTGTAATCCCAGCACTTTGGGAGGCCGAGGCAGGCGGATCACTTGAGCCCAGTTCAGGACCAGCCTGGGCAACATGATAAAAACCCCGTCTCTACAAAAAATACAAAAAAAATTTAGCTGGGCATAGTGGTGCAAGCCTGTAGTCCCAGCTACTCAAAAGGCTGAGGTGGGAGGATCGCTTGAGCCCAGAGGTGAGGGATGGCAGGGTGGGGGTGGAGGTTGGGGTGGGGTGGAGGTTGCAGTGAGTCGAGATTGCGTCCTGGGTGACAGAGTGAGACTCTGTCTCAGAGAAAAAAAAAATAAGTCAGCAAAATTTTTAAAGTCTCTAAAGTGATTAAAAATTAAATACGTTTTTGCCTTTCAGAGTTTACAATTTGGTAGGCTGTAGGGACCAGCCCCACAGGGTCGGTGGGTCTCTCCCCATCTGCGGAGATGAGAGAGTGTAGAAATAAAGACAGAAGACAGAGATAAAAGAAAAGACAGCTGGGCCCGGGGGACCACTACCACCAAGATGCGGAGACCGGTAGTGGCCCCGAATGCCAGGCTGCACTGATATTTATTGGATACAAGACAAAGGGGCAGGATAAGGAGAGTGAGCCATCTCCAATGATAGGTAAGCCCATGTGGGTCACATGTCCACTGGACAGGGGGCCCTTCCCTGCCTGGCAGCCGAGGCAGAGAGAGAGAGGGAGAGAGAGAGGCAGCTTACACCATTATTTCTGCATATCAGAGACTTTTAGTACTTTCACTAATTTTGCTACTGTTATCTAAAAGGCAGAGCCAGGTGTACAGGATGGAACGTGAAGGCAGACTAGGAGCGTGACCACTGAAGCACAGCATCACAGGGAGATGGTTAGGCCTCCCGATAACTGCGGGTGAGCCTGACTAATGTCAGGCCCTCCACAAGAGGTGGAGGAGTAGAGTCTTCTCTAAACTCCCCCGGGGAAAGGGAGACTCCCTTTCCTGGTCTGCTAAGTAGCGGGTGTTTTTCCTTGACACTTAGACTACCGCTAGACCACGGTCCGCCTGGCAACGGGCGTCTTCCCAGATGCTGGCATTACCGCTAGACCAAGGAGCCCTCTGGTGGCCCTGTCTGGGCATAACAGAAGGCTCGCACTCTTGTCTTCTGGTCACTCCTCACTATGTCCCCTCAGCTCCTATCTCTGTATGGCCTGGTTTTTCCTAGGCTATGATTATAGAGTGAGGATTATTATAATATTGGAATAAAGAATAAGTACTACTAATGATTAATTATATTCATATATAATCATATCTAAGATCTATATCCGGTATAACTATTCTTGTTTTATATTTTATTATACTGGAACAGCTCGTGTCCTTGGTCTCTTGCCTCGGCACCTGGGTGGCTTGCCACCCACAGTAGGTAGGCTAATCAATTTGCCCTTGGGAAGATGATGTAAGTCAGCAAAAGAATTCCTAATTTAAAATGTAGCTGTTAAGGGTGATATGTGAGCATGTTTAAGCAATGTGACAAATGCTTTACCTGCATCATTTTATTTAATCCTCAGAAGTGTCCTATGAAATAGCTCCATTTTGCAGATGAGGTTTATATTTTTCAGAAAGGTCAGTCACTTGCCCAACATTGCTAGTCAGTGTTACACAGCTAGCAAAGTGTTGGAGATAAACTGTAGACTCCAGAGCCCATGCTCTTAATCACTCCATAGACATTCAGGCCATTTGGAGGTAGGCTTCTCAATATCAATTATGTCTTAATTGAGGGTATTTGTTTTCCAATTTATCTGAAAGGAGCTCAAGAAAATTAAAAAGAAGACTGGATGCAACCTCATTAACAGATGAAGCTCTTGTCTGGAAATATACTTTCAACACTGACAGTTATAATCAAATGCCTTTTAATAAGTAATTGTGCTGAGTGATGTACCTTCAAGCGAAATCAAGCAAACAGGCAGAATCCATGTCCTCTAGAGATGGACCCTTGTGACTGACTATGCCAAAGACATGGATGTTTGAACAATGAACCAATAACGAGTGTGTTGAAAGGCAAGATAAAATACAGCATTTACCTGGTATCAAAGCATTGGACTTTTCCACTCCACCAGAGTGGGCCTGGCAGGAAAAGGAGGAAGGCATCCTGGAAGGAATGGGACACAAAAGTGAAGAAAACACAGATGATGGATGCTGCTTTGGGTTTAACTTGAAAGACCAAAGATAGGTGGGTCTGAAGCATGGGACTGATGCCAAGCCAAGTCTTATTTGGTTTCCTGCCCAGGACTCACCAATCAGAGATTGGTGAGAGACTCTGTCTAACTCACCAATCAGAGATTGGTGAGAGACTCTGTCTAACTCACCAATCAGAGATGGGGCCCCTGTTCCCACCCAATGTCAGTCATTTAACACACACTTTATCTTCTACCCAGCAGGCCTGCCCATTTGCCCTGGGTGTTCTGCTGTTCTGGAACTCAGAGAGAGGCTGTGTCACTAGGCATAAAGATGGATCCTCTTATCTCCTGGCGAAAGCACTTTGCCCTGACCTCCTCCCCTGCACAGTTGAGGAGGCATGAAGCCTGTATTGTGAGGGTAGAGCTCCTTCCTGGCATTCTAGAGGAAAATTCCATCAGTGCCTTCTAGATACCAATCTGTCCTCTTGGCCTTATCCAATCTATTTAATACATTGTATTCAATCTGTAATATCCCAACAGTAAATTCACTGCCAACAACTCTGTTCTTTGGCTTATGATTTGCTGCAGTATGTGTCATCATGAAGCTCTGTCCTCAAGCTCAGAGAGGTGTACAGAAGCCACTTCCCTTATAATTTATTTTATTTGATGTGTGGGTGGGAAGGGGGAGACTAAACCTCCTTATTCGCATCCTCCCTGGAATATTTCTTCATTATCTGCCAATGAACAAGGAGTGTGTCTTTCCTATCTCCCTCTTCCAACATTTATATATCACTGACCACACGCCAGGCACAATTCTAAGTGTTTTCCTAATATATATATATATATATATATATATATATATATATATATATATACACGTATACATGTATACGTGTATATATGTATACATGTATATACATATACACGTATATGTATATGTATATACATAAAAATATATGTATATACATAAAATATATATATATACATATATATGTATTTTTTTTTGAGACAAGTTCTTGCTCTGTCACCCAGTCTGGAGTGTAGTGGCACAATCACAGCTCACTGCAGCTTTGACCTCCTAGGCTCAAGTGATCGCCCACCTCAGCCTCCCAGGTAGCTGGGACTATAGGTGCATGCCATTATGCCCGGCTAATGAATCTTTTTTTTTTTTTTTTTGAGATGGAGTATTTCTGTGTTGCCCAGGCTGGAGTGCAGTGGCATGATCTCAGCTCACTGCAACCTCCACCTCCCAGGTTGAAGTGATTCTCGTGCCTCAGCCTCCCAAGTAGCTGGGATTACAGGTGCCCACCACCATGCCTGGCTAATTTTTGTATTTTTAGTAGAGATAGGGTTTCACCATGTTGGTCAGGGTGGTCTCGAACTCCTGACCTCAGGGATCCACCCACCTCATCCTCCCAAGTGCTGGGATTACAGGCGTGAGCCACTGTGCCCAGCCTTTCCTATTATATTAACTAATTTAATTTTCATAACAATCTCATGAGGTATGTCCTATTGTTATTCCCATTTGGCAGATGAGGCAAAGAGAAGTTAAATAATCTGTCCAGTGATGCACAGCTAGTAATTGGCACAACTGATGTTCAGATCTAGCAGGCAGACTCCAGCATCCTTAGTCTTTGTTGTTGTTGTTGTTTAAGAGACGGGGTCTTACTCTGTGGCCCAGACTGGAGTGCAGTGGTACAATCACAGCTCACTGCAGCCTCAACCTCCTAGGCTCAAGCAATCTTCCCACGTAGCTGGGACTACAGGTGTGCACCACCACGTCCAATTAATTCTTTAATTTTTTTTGTTTTCTTTTTTTTGGAGACAGAGTCTCGCTTAATCCCCCAGGCTGGAGTGCAGTGATGCGATCTCGGCTCACTGAAACCTCCGCCTCCCGCGTTCAAGAGATTCTCATGCTTCAGCCTCACAAATAGCTGGGATTACAGGCGCCTGCCACCACACCCGGCTAAGTTTTGTATTTTTAGTGAAGACAGGATTTTGCCATGTTGGCCAGGCTGGTCTCAAACTCCTGGCCTCAGGTGATCTGCCCACCTTGGCCTCCCAAAGTGTTGGGATTACAGGCGTGAGCCACGGCGGCTTAATTCTTTAAAATTTTTTGTAGAGACAGGGTCTCCTTGTGTTATTCAGGCAGGTCTCGAACTCCTGGGCTCAAGCAATCCTCTCATCCCCAGCCAAGCTTCCCTGCTTTAACCAGCGACCTGTGCTGTCTCCAGGAGAACATCAGAGTGACACCTAGTGGACGTTTGTTAACATCATAAGGAGGGAATAAAGTTCAAGGCAAGTCAGGGAGCCAGACTGGCAGAAGTATAGATGATCAGGAGATGGCTGCGGACTGTAGAAAGAAACTTACATTGCAGGGGAGGCAAACCCTGGCATACCAGACTCCCTCTCCCCAACTTTAGCAAGTGCTGGCCTCAGTTTGTACCAAACCATATCCATTGCTCACTGAAAGTGCTTGATATTGCCTCTTTTCTGCAGCTCTTGAGTTAGGTTTTTTTTTTTTAGATGGAGTCTCACTCTGTCACCCAGGCTCGAGTGCAGTGGTGCGATCTCAGCTCACTACAACCTCCACCTCCTGGGTTCAAGCGATTCTCCTGCCTCAGCCTCCCGAATAGCTGGGATTACAGGCATGCACCACCACGCCCAGCTAACTTTTGTATTTTTAGTAGAGACAGGGTTTCACCATGTTGGCCAGGCTGGTCTCAAACTCCTGAGCTCAAGTGATCCACCCGCCTCGGCCTCCCAAGGTGCTAGGATTACAGGTGTGAGCTATTGTGCCCGGCCTAGTCAGATTTTTATTTTTTTTTATTTAGAGACAGACTCTGGCTCTGTCACCCAGACTTGAGTGCAATGGTGCCATCATAGCTCACTGCAGCCTCCAACTCCTGGTCTCCAGTGATCCTCCCACCTCAGCCTCCCAACTGGGACTACAGGTGCATGCCACCACGCCCAGCTAATTTGTTTATTTTTTGTAGAGATGGGGTTTCAATGTTTCTCAGGCTGGTCTTGCACTCCTGGCCTCAAGAGATCCTCCCACCGCAGCTACCCCAAGCTTTGGGATTATAGGTGTTGAACCACCATACCTGGCTGGATATGGATTTTTAAGTAAGTTTTATTTACAAAGGAGTTCTTTGCAATATTGTATCTGTGATGTCCCTCTAAATAAATGCTTTTTCCAAGCCCCTGCCTACCAGACATTACCCAGTACACATCTACAACCCCACGAAGACCTTGTTACTGCTCACCCTCCTGGAGAAGCCCCAATGAGTCAACATTGTCATTAACTGGCAACGCTGATTGAGAGCTCTTAGGGATCTAGATTCTTCACAAAGCTGCATGGTGCAAGCAGTGCCCTAAAGAATTTGCCCCTCTGTAAAAGGCTTTTGTCCTCTGTGCTCTGATATTTGTGTAACTTGTTTTTTGTTTGTTTGTTTTTTAGGAAAAAGATTTACAATTCATTACATTATTCACATAAAATACATTATTTTATGAGCTCCTCCAAACAATTTCATAAGAGATCACAGCCTTCACTTGGTAGAGAGGAAACTGAGGCACAACTAGGTGACATGAGTTGCCTAGAGTCATGCACTAGGAATGGCAGAGCAAAGCTCAGCCTCAGCCATGCCGTCTGTGCCAGGTCATTGCGTCTCTGTGGGCCTTGCTTTTTTTTTTTTATCTACAGAGTAACGGGATTGGAATAGGAGCTCTGTCAGGGTTCTTCCAACTCAAACATTTTGTAACACTAAAATTCTGAGGGCTACTTTTCCCTGAAAGATCAGGTAACCAAGCCTCCTGAATTTCACATTTCCACTCATTGAGGTGTGGGGGGAGGAGGGAGATGAAAGCACCTTATTTACATCTACCCAGGAACGCGACTTCATTATCTCTCAGTGAACAAGGAGTATGTCTTTCCCATCTCCCTCTTTTTCCTAACACGGACAGGGATAGAGTTGTTTTTGAAAGGGCTTTCTCCCCTGTGCTCCTTATGGACATCAAATAACTAAGATGGTGAAATTCTGCAGTAAACACAACAACATATTTGCCTCAAAACCTGTGGATTAGGCTGGGCGCGGTGGCTCACGCCTGTAATCCCAGCACTTTGGGAGGCCAAGGCAGGCGGATCACGACGTCAGGAGATCGAGACCATCCTGGCTAACACGGTGAAACCCCGTCTCCACTAAAAATACAAAAAAAAAAAAAAAAAAATTAGCCGGGCGTGGTGGCGGACGCCTGTAGTCCCAGCTACTCGGGAGGCTGAGGCAGGAGAATGGCGTGAACCCAGGAGGCGGAGCTTGCAGTGAGCCGAGATTGCGCCACTGCACTCCAGCCTGGGCGACAGAGCGAGACTCCGTCTCAAAACAAAACCAAAACAAAACAAAAAATCTGTGGATTACAACTTTTTAGTGACTTTTTAATATAATAATGATAGCTGAGATCAGTAGAGCACACGCTCTGAGTCTGGCACTGTACCAAATGCTTGACAAGTATTATAGTATTTATTACTCACAACCATCTCAAGAGGAAGGTATTATCATCATTATTTCCATGCTACAGAAGAAGGAACAGTGGCTGAGGGAAGTAAAAATAAAAGCACTTAGTCGAGATCACAGAGCTATTATGTGGAGCCTAGATTCAAACCCAGGAAATTTGCCAGCAACTCTTAACTGCTGCAAGAGACCACATGACTTCTCCTAGGAGAAAGGGAAGTTGGTATTACGCACATTTCATTCCCTTTAAGTGTTTATTGTGTAATATTTAAGATAGAAAAAATGTACATTATGCACAGATAGTGCTTCCTCATTAATTTATGTATTTTATATTTCCCACTGTGTGCCAAGTATTAGGGATGTGATATATATTCGCACGCGTATGTATATATATATATTTGCCATTGTGTACCAAACATTAAGCATGTAACAACAAATTCCTCCAGATGGAGAGGGTCACGAGAAAATTAAGGCAATGTTAGAAAAATCATCTAGAGTTTATTATCGAGTGCCACCTCCGTGTCTAGCATTACGCTGGGTAAGCCTGAGTAAAGAAGAGTGTCCGAAAACCCTGCCATAAAATAAACTACATAGACAGAAAAAAAGTCACTTAGTTTGGTTATAAAGAAAGGAGTCTTGTTCACACAGCGTAAAAACGAATCTTATAATCGTATTTTATAAGCATCAGAGGCAAAAGCAACTAGGGTGACGGGCTTTGGGGAGTGGAAAGCGCCGGATCCTGGGAGCCAGTCGCCCTACTCGATCAAGCATTTTCTGACGGCCCTATCCAATAACGTGGGGACGCAGCTGAAAACCATGCAAGCTGATCGCTGCCCTCCCGGAGTTTATGGTCTGGTGAGAAGATCCCTGCTCTGAGTCACTGCCAAGCTCTAGCTATGTGACTTTGAACAGGGAATTTCTGTCCCTATCTATAAAATAAACGGGGTTAAACCAGGGAATCCGCCATTCAAATTCCTGGCCCAAGTGTCTCCGGGGTCGCGGTGCCCAAAGGAGGGTGGGCGAGGCTCCCTGGGCCTGCGCTGCGGCGGCCTGACAGCGGGAGCGCTGTTCCGGCGCAGAGCGCGTTCGCGTTCCGAAAGCGCGTGTCCCTCGCCGCGTGCCGTCGTCCCCGCCGCCGCCGCCGCCGCCGCCGCCGCCGCCGCCGCCGCCGCCGCCGCCACAGCCCGCTGGGCCGGAGGAGGCGGAGCTGGCGCTGTCCCGGCTCTCTTGCGGGGAAGCAACTGAGGGGGCGGCGCGGCGGGCCCCGGCGGCCGAAGAGGCTGGCAGGTGGCGCCGTGGGGTGGGTGCTCCTGGTGAGAGGAGTCCACTCCGTGCGTGCGGGCGGAGGCCGGCCCCCGAGAGCCGCCGACATGAAGAAAGACGTGCGGATCCTGCTGGTGGGAGAACGTGAGTCCGCACCCTCTGGCCGGCCCCTGAGTCCCTGCCCTCCCTGCCCCTGCAGCCCCTGTCGCCCCTGTCGCCCCTGCAGCCCCAACCTTTGCAGCCCCGGCCCTTCTCGCGCCTCACAGCTCCGCTCGCCTTTCTCCGCGTTCCTAGGCCTTCCAGCCCCTTCACTCTTCTCTTTTGGCTGGCCGCCGGCGGCCCTCACCCTGTCACCTCACCTGGGCCCTCCAGAGATCTCCTTTCCCTGTTCCCCAGCCGTCCTCCCAAGCCATGTCCCTATTAGCCCTAACCGCCCGACCTCATCCCTCCGAAGCTTCTCTCCTCCTTTTCCTCTTCGAACCCTGTCCTTCTGGGCCTCACAGTTTCCCAGGCCGCCTCCTTTCAGACCTTCTTGTCTTCTGGAGATTCCCTTATCACTGCCAGGCAGGTGCTGGAATAAGCAGACTGACCAATAGGGATTGCGTGAACCGGCTCCCGGGGAAGCTGGGGGAGGGGTGCAGAACTATTCGACTTGTGGGCAAGGTCAGGTTTCTGCATTTTTTTGGCACTCGCAGTCTTCACTCTCTCTATGTATTGACATTAAGATATGAGTAGTGGAAAGGGCCGGATCCTTTTTAGCAGTACTTGTACTTTG
Organism: Homo sapiens; assembly: GCF_000001405.40. NCBI lineage: Eukaryota > Metazoa > Chordata > Mammalia > Primates > Hominidae > Homo > Homo sapiens. Next base: position 32,143,361 of record NC_000017.11, read on the forward strand.
CATTGGACTAACTCCTCGTACTCGAGATATTTCATCAAAAATTTTTACTCAACTTCGAGTTATGCAAGCGCTCAATGAATTAGAATTATCTGGGGAGGGTCCAATTGTTGTTACCCTAAAGCGTAATCTTTGCCCTCTTTTTAAGCATTATTTATTCCATAGTTACTTCGTAGTTAACTTATTAATAACCACAGGCACACAGACATTTGATATCTCCCCCCACCCAGAAATTTCATACATTTCACCTTTTGAAAATATAATAAAGGAGAGTTCCCTCTGTTCACTGACATGAGGACGCAACAGCGGGGACTTCTTGATTTCACTCTGCAAGTTATGTAACTCAGTTGCTAGGACTAAAATAAGAAAGTGGGCCAGGGATAACTGGATTGTTTGTTTTAAAGAGTTAATACATTCGTTAATAGTCTGCCATTGCTGTTTCGAAGCATTCTGTTTTAAACCATTATTTCATTCTTGGTAACCCCTCAGGGTCACCGTGATGGAATCCCAAGGAAGAAAGTTAACACGTTTTTACCCTCTTCTGTAGTGTTCTTTGAGTTCATTGAAATTTCATCCACCTGCTGTTTGGAGAAATCTTCCTTTAGAATTAGAATTTAGGAGTAAGCTTAGCCAGCCATAGTTTACTTTTTGATTTGCAGTTGTAAATTTTTATTTTTATTTATAACTATATCTTAATCTGTATTTTTCATGGACTTCCTTGACAAGGTTCAGGAAGGTGTTATTTAACATATAATTCATGCTTATGCTTTTGGAGCAAGGTAGGGAAAGTGAGTAGACGACTTGCTTAAAAAACTGATCCTTAAATATATGATGAAATAGTTTGTTGTTGTTGTTGTTTTGAGACAGAGTCTCGCTCTGTCACCGAGGCTGGAGTGCAGTGCCTGGGATTACAGGCACTGTGGCTCATGCCTGTAATCCCAGCACTTTGGGAGGCCAAGGCAGGCAGATCACTTGAGGTCAGGAGTTCGAGACGAGCCTGGCCAACATGGTGAAACCCCGTCTCTACTAAAAATACGAAAATTAGCCGGGTGTGGTGGCACACACCTGTAGTCCCAGCTACTCTGGAGGCTGAAGCAGGAGAATCACTTGAACCCTGGAGGAGGAGGTTGCAGTGAGCTGAGACATGCCAGCCTGGGCAGCAGAGCAAGACTCTGTCTGAAAAAAAACCTTTAATAATGCTCCCACACAGCTGGGTGAGGTGGCTTATACCTGTATTCCAAGCACTCTGGGAGGCTGAGGCAGGAGGATCACTTGAGGCCAAGGAGTTTGAGACCAACCTGGGCAATGTAGTGAGATCCTGTCTCTACAAAAAATTTAAATATTAATGGCTGGGCACAGTGGCTCACTCCTGTAATCCCAGCACTTTGGGAGGCTGAGGCAGGAGGATTGCTTGAACGCAGGAGTTTGAGACCAGCCTGGGCAACATAGTGAGACCCCGCCTCAAAAAAAAAAAACCACAACACTATTAGCTAGGCATGGTGGTGTGCACCTGTAGTCCTAGCTACTGGGGAGGCTGAGATGAGAGAATTGCTTGAACCCAGAAAATCGAGGTTGCAGTGAGCCATGATCACACCACTGCACTTCAGCCCAGGTGACAGAGCAAGACTGTCTCTTAAAGAAAAAATTAATTTTTAATGGCTGGGCACAGTAGCTCATGCCTGTAACCCCAACACTTTGGGAGGCCAAAGTGGGCAGATCACCTGAGGTCAGGAGTTTGAGACCAGGAAACTGACCAACATGACGAAACCCAGTCTCTACTAACAATACAATAATTAGTCAGCTGTGGCAGCACGCACCTGTAATCCCAGCTACTCAGGAGGCTAAGGCAGGAGAATGGCTTTCACCCAGGAGATGGAGGTCGCAGTGAGCTGAGATCACACCACTGCATTCCAACCTGGGGGACAGAGTGAGACTCTGTCTCAAAAAATATATATATATATTGATAATAGTAAACAGGATAGTTTTCATTTTAATGGAGTCTTCTTTTTAAATTAAATTGAGATATATTTGTTTTCTACTAGTTAAGTTCCTTAAGAAAATGGAACTGTTATCTTCTTTTAAAATGAATCTGGCAGATCTTTAACTGGTTTGTCTAACTCTGATTATCATGGCAACCTCTGCCAAACTACTTCAAAATTCCACTGGCTTTGGCCTTGACTTTTGCAATATCTCCCTTAACCAGTCTTTCTGCTCCTGCTTTCCTCCATTTTCCGTGGAGCAGGCAGATTCATTTTTATTTTTTTATTTTTAATTTTTTTACCCTGAAGTATAGATTCAAGCTGTCCTGAATATATACAGATTCATATTTAGAAAATATCTCAGATTCTGCTATGCACCTTAAAAATCATCTAATGAGCCAGGTGTGGTGGCTCATGCCTATTATCTCAGCACTTTGGGAGGCCGAGGCAGGTGGATCACTTGAGGTCAGGAGTTCGAGACCAGCCTGGGCAACATGACGAACCCTCATCTCTACAAAAAATACAAAAAATTAGCTGGGTGAAGTGGCGTGCACCTGCAGTTCCAGCTACTTGAGAGGCTGAGGTGGGAGAATCACCTGAGCCCAGGAGTTCGGGGCTGCTGTGGGTCATGACTGCACCCCTGCACTCCAGCCTGGTTGACAGGGTGAGAATCTGTCTCAGAAAATAGATGTATATCATCCAGTGATTTCTACTTTCACTTAGAATAAAGTCCAAACTTTTTAATGCAGTCCTGTAAGGCCCTCCACAATCTAGCCCTTACTTCCCTTTTATGCTACTCTCTCCTTCATTGCTCTCTCTATAAGAAGGCTCTGACCTGGGCATTATCCCCATAACCATGTATATTTGTACATTTTTTGTCCTGTCTCTTGGGCTAGAAAAGAATCATCATGAAGGCAGGGGATTTGTCTTCCTTCTTGCTGTATCCCCAGTGGCTAGAACAGACCTGGCACAAAAGAGGCACTCAGGTATTTCTTAAAAGAATGAATGAGTTCAAGCTAGTTCAGTTTGTTTAGACTTTCCTTGTTTTCCAAACCACTCCTCTTTGTCATAAAAATTTGATCATTTTTCTGTATTATTATTATTATTATTTTTATTTTATTTTTTTTGAGATGGAGTCTCGCTTTGTCGCCCAGGCTGGAGTGCAGTGGCGCGATCTCGGCTCACTGCAAGCTCCACCTCCCAGGTTCAGGCCAGTCTCCTGCCTCAGTCTCCCGAGTAGCTGGGACTACAGGTGCCCACCACCACGCCCGGCTAATTTTTTTTTTTTTTTTTTTGTATTTTTAGTAGAGATGGGGTTTCACCATGTTAGGCAGGATGGTCTCGATCTCCTGACTTCATGATCTGCCTTCCTCGGCCTCCCAAAGTGCTGGGATTACAGGAGTGAGCCACCGCGCCCGGCCTATTATTATTTTTTTGAGACAGGGTCTTGCTCTGTCGCCCAGGCTGGAGTACAGTGGTGCCATCTTGGCTCACTGTAACCTCAGCCTCCCAAGTAGCTGGGATGACAGGCATGCACCACCATGTCTGGCTAATTTTTGTAAATTTTTTTTTTTTTTTTTTTTTTTTTTAGTAGAGAGGGTTTCACTGTGTTGGCCAGGCTGGTCTGGAACTGCTGACCTCAAGTGATCCACCCACCTCGGCCTCCCAAATACTGGGATTATAGGTGTGAACCACCATGCCTGGCCTGCTCTTTTTTTATTTTTTTGAGGCAGAGTCTCACCCTGTCACCCAGGCTGCAGTGCAGTGGCACAATCTCGGCTCGTTACAGCATCAGCCTCTCAGGTTCAAGCGATTCTCCTGCCTCAGCCTCCCAAGTAACTGGGATTACAGGCGCATACCACCACGCCTGGCTAATTTTTGTATTTTTAGTAGAGACAGGGTTTCACCATGTTGGCCAGGCTGGTTTTGAACTCCTGACCTCAAATGATCCACCCACCTTGGCCTCCTGAAGTGCTGGGATCACAGTCATGCACCACTATGCCTGGCCTAAGATCATTTTAAAACCATATTGCTAATCCCAGCACTTGAGAGGTTAAGGCGGGAGACTTGCTTGACCCCAGGAGTTTGAGATTGGCCTGGGCAACATAGTGAGACCCTGCCTCTACTTTTTTTTAACTATTAAAAAAAAAAGCCATATTGCTTTCCATTCTGGTCTTTGTTGGAATGATATTTAAAGATTAAACTGGCCGGGCGCGGTGGCTCACACCTGTAATCCCACACTTTGGGAGGCCAAGGTGGGTGGCTCAAAGGTCAAGAGTTCGACACCAGCCTGACTGACATGGTGAAACCCTGTCCCTACTAAACATACAAAATTTAGCTGGGCATGGTGGCGTGTGACTGTAATCCCAGCTACTCAGGAGGCTGAGGCAGGAGAATCACTTGAACCCAGGAGGCGGAGGGTGCAGTGAGCGGAGATTGCGCACTGCACTCCAGCCTGGGCGATAGAGTGAGACTCCATTTCAAAAAAAAAAAAAAAGATTAAACTGCTCCAGTTTCAATTACACTGTGTTTACTACCTGGGTAATATTCTATGGCCAGGGATGTTCAAACACCCATTGAGGTGAACTGCATCTTTTCTGGGCCCACTTCTGATGCGTGTAGGCTTTAATGAAAATTGCTTAATAAGGGTGGGGCGCAGTGGCTCACGCCTGTAATCCCAGCACTTTGGGAGGCTGAGGCGGGCGGATCACAAGGTCAGGAGATCGAGACCATCCTGGCTAACACGGTGAAACCTCGTCTCTACTAAAAATACAAAAAATTAGCCAGGCGTGGTGGCAGGTGCCTGTAGTCCCAGTTACTCGGGAGGCCGAGCCAGAAGAATGGCATGAATCCGGGAGGCGGAGTTTGCAGTGAGCCGAAATCATGCCACTGCACCCCAGCCTGGGTGACAGAGTGAGACTCCCATCTCAAAAAACAAAAAAGAAAAAGAAAATTCCTTAATAAGTATTTAGTGCTTAGATAAAAGAAGTTAAGCTGTCTTTAAATGCAGAGAAAGTCAAAGTTCAAACATCCCTGGCCATAGAGTCCATTCTGCATAAAGAGTCTATTCTGTTCGTACAGAGTCCTTTCTATAACATCCTCACATATGTACTGAAACCTATTCTCTGCTGTCCTTTATTGCTGCACCAGTTGGTTACTAGTGTTGATCTCGTTTGAAGGAGAAGGATAGCTGAGCGATAGCTTTTGTTCTGCAGGCCACATCATCTGCATGTGGGCAATGAAATTGTCCTTTGGAACAGTGTTTAGCTATTTCGCCAAATGCTAAAGTTTTCCAGTTAAAAATATAACTCCATAGTTACCTTCCTCCCCCTAGTGTATTCTAATTTCAATAACTTAGGAAGAGCCAACAACGCTTCTTACTAAAGAAACATAAAAATGAGGAGTAGTTCTCTTTGCCACTTGAAGCAGGGGGTGTTTGTTATCAAGAAAAATAGCCAGTATGGCTGGTAGATTGGTAATTGGAACCAGAGAATGTTATTTCTGCTTCATGAATATTAGGAATTTGCTGTCATTTGGAACTAGATGTTCAAAAGATGTGATGAAAAGACACATTTGTAGCCTGGATAAATCTGGATAATTTGTTCTATAGTGATGAATTATGTTTTCCATGGATGACCTGCTTAGAAGCATGGAGTCTCAGAACTGTGGCATATTCTATTGAACTGGATCAGAAGGCCTTCTGTCCTTGTGGATAATTGTGGTCTTGCTTTTAGTTTTTATAGATTACTTCAATATTTCTCAGGCAAAATAGAAGAAATAGAGACCATTAGTCGGTTGGCTAATGAAGGATAAGTTTTTTGTCCTCCATATTAATAACATACTAAATGTTTGTATCAAATGTATTTATATTACATTTTATACATTTTATTATAAATTTTATTTGTAATTATTTGTTATAAGTTTTATTATAAAATACAATGTTTTATATGCATTTGTCCTATAACTTTTATAGTAAATATGAAGTTTAATTAGTGTAATTTAAGAAGAGCTTGGGATTTTTGTTTCCTCATAAACAATCTTTATTTTCTGAAGCAGTTAAAAATATATAGTGTTTATATCATATTTGCCATTATTAAGATACCTTTTTGATTGTAAGCATATTTAAATAGTTTTTAGAATTTAATATTCTAAAATGTTTCATTATCTTTAGCATAGTCTGGGTGTGGTGGCTCATGCCTGTAATCTCAGCACTTTGGGAGGCCGAGGCGGGTGAATCACTTGAGCCCAGCAGTTCTATATATATATATATATATATATATATATATATATATATATATATGTGTGTGTGTGTGTGTGTGTGTGTGTATACACACATGCATACATACATACACTCACACACATATATATACACACATACACATATATATACACATATATATACACACACACACACACATATATATATAGAGAGAAGAGAGTCTCACTCTGTTGCCCAGGCTGGAGTGCAGTGGCATGATCTCGGCTCACTGTAACCTCCGCCTCCTGAGTTCAAGTGATTCTCTTGCCTCAGCCTCCATAGTAGCTGGGATTATAGGCATGTGCCATCATGCCTGGCTAATTCTTTGTATTTTTTTAGTAGAGATGGGTTTTGCCATGTTGGCCAAGCTGGTCTTGAATTCCTGGCCTCAATTGATCCACGTGCCTCAGCCTCCCAAAGTGCTGGTATTACAGGTGTGAGCCACTGCCCCTGGCCAAAATATTAATTTTTTAAAAATAGCTTAAAAGTGGCTTTTACACTTGCTGCTTTATTATTCCTTTGATAGTCTCACATAGGGTTAGGTAGGGAGGCCCTAAGGAGAACAAAAAGCCCTAGTTTAGATTTACTGAAGGATTTTTTGACTAAGTCACATTTGTCTGATCCTTTATTAAAGTAGCTGTTATTTCACTGCTCTTCCAAAAGGAAACACAAAAATGATACTGATGAAGATGTGCTATTTTTTTTCCATAAATTCACTGTAATCTGTCCCTTTCCAATTTTGAACTTTTGCTGCTAATGAACTTTTTTTTTTTTTCATGTGTAAGATGCAAGAAGACCTCTTTTCTAAATGGTCCATATTTATTAGTACTCTAGTCAGAGAAATCCAAAGTCTACCATATTGGAGGTTTTCTGGAATTCCAGGCTGTCTGTTAGACTGTAGTCTTTAAAGCCTTGCCTTATCATACTGGGCCAGGTTTGTGTGGGAGATAGGCCTACAGCTAGACCAGCAAAGGTGCTGAGAGAGGAACCCTGTCCTCCTACCTGGTACTTTGTGAGTGAGAGATACTGATACAGACAGTGGAAAGAAGAGCTGGATATCTCATTCTCATCAGGAAGATTATACAGTTCTATGATTTGGGATATGTCATAGGCATCAGAGTACAAAGCAGGAACTGAGGCCACCAGCCTCTCCCACTGAGTATCTTGCATTTGGAAGTCACTTGTGGGACTCTCAGTGAAGGTAGAGTTCCATGCCCAATTGGAAGGGTCTAAGAGCTGAGGTGGAAGGGAGCTGTAGAAATCTGAAACCACGGGAGAAAAAGCATAAGCACTGGGGGATGTTCTGGGGGAGGTGGGCACATTCTTCTTGGATGGAAGGTATCTGGTTTGGTTGCTTTGCTGATTGCTGCTGCTGCTGCTGCTGCTGCTTCAATTTGAATCGCCGGTTCCTAAACCAAACCTGGGAGTGGGGGAAGAGGGGAGATTGTGGTCTGTTCTTGGAGAAGGCATTCCAGGCTTCTCCTGAGTGAAAACAGCCAGGTTATCATCTCACATCCTCTCCAATTTACCATGACACTGGGTTCTTTACTGTTGACTCTGGTAGGTTGAGTTTCAAAGCTAGTTTCTCCTGAAGATTTCTGTCTGGGAACATGGTCTGGCTAAACAGAGCTTCTAGTTCTTTATACTGTTGGCGGGTGAATGAAGTACATTCTTGATGCCTTCTCCATATTGCTGTAGTCCCAGATACTTGGGAGGCTAAGGTGGGAGGATCACTTGAACCTGGGAGGTTGAGGCTGCAGTGAGCCAAGACTGCACCACTGCACTCCAGTTTGGATGACAGAGTGAAACTGGGACTAGCTGGATCCTGTGGTGGTATCACCTTCATGTTGGAATCATTCCTGTTGATGAAAGAGTCTAGCTAGGGATTCTCTGGGGCCATTCTGTTCATCATGGTTTCTGAAATCTGTCATGAATCCCCTTAGACCATTTTCAGTCCTGCGCGGTGTGTCTCTCTCTCAATGAACTTTTTAAAAAAAGGAAATCATGGCCCGGAGCAGTGGCTCACGCCTGTAATTCCAGCACTTTGGGAGGCCGAGGTGGGCAGATCACGAGGTCAGGAGTTCAAGACCAGCCTGGCCAACATAGTGAAACCCCATACCTACTAAAAATACAAAAAATTAGCCGGGCATGGTGGTGGGCGCCTGTAATCCCAGCTACATTGGAGGCTGAGGCAGGAGAATTGCTTGAACCCGGGAGGCGGAGGTTGCAATGAGCTGAGATTGCACCATTGCACTCCAGCCTGGGCGACAGAGCGAGACTCCGTCTCAAAAAAAAAAAAAAAAAAAAGGAAATCACTCTTGGATTTTAATGTGGAAGAGATTCACGTTCTTTGATTTTTAGAAGATCTTTTATTGTACAATTACTTCACAAACTAGATGGTATTTTTTATAATGTAGTGAGTGCTAAATTACCTCAAATTCTTTTCCAGATAAGGCAGGATATGAATAAATTTTTTAAAATCACACTTTAAAAGATAGTGACTGATACAAATAACTTAAACAGAATTGCCCCCACTCTTTGTTACCACTGTGTTGTGTGTCTGTATGTTCAAGCGTGAGTAAAGCTACTTGATTATTGTTGTCTTTACGACACCTTCTCTCCTGCCAGAGTGTTTTCTTTCCTATCTCTGAGGCCTGCCCTGCTGGAATAGACCTGGTGTACTTTGGCGGGAGCCTGCTGCTACACAGGCAGCCAGAACTGACCTTCAGACTAATGAGCAGAGCTGTGAAGAAATCTGAAGTTCCTCATAATGTTGGTTGTCTGTTCTGAAAATATCATTGCAGACATAGGGAGTCCATGGGAAAAGCAGAAGGAGACTGTGACTGGGAAAAAGTTTGTTCTAATGAGTTTTAAGAAGAGAGATGAAGGTCTTTTCTCTCTTGGACCTTCAGACACCCACTTGGGTCTCTAGCAAGTAAATTTTTCATTTGTTTCCTCTTATAAAGCCTTTTAAAATAAACTTCCACTTCTGCTCTGAAAAAAAAAAGAGAGAGAGAGATGAGGAAGAATGGATGAGTTTTAAGGGCCATGGTGAGGGAGGGAACTTCAAGGGGAACAAAACATCTCTTGAAAGCCTGAATTTTGCTAAGAGATCCTATGTGATTGGGATTAAGGAACAAGTGCTTTCTTGGAAACCAGTAGCCTTTCAGTGTTGGGGATTGGCTTAATTTTGATCACATTATTTATCTTTTTTTTTTTTTCTTTTTGAGACAGGGCCTCACTCGGTTGTCCAGGCTGGAATGTAGTGGCGTGATCATGGCTCACTGTAGCTTCGACTTCCTGGGCTCAGGTGATTCTCCCATCTCAACCTTCCGAATACCTGCATATAGGCATGCATCGCCATGCCTGGCTAATTTTTAAATTTTTTGTAGAGATAGAGTTTCACCATGTTGTCCAGGCTGGTCTAGAACTCCTGGGCTCAAGTGATGTGCCTGCCTCAGCCTCCCAAAGTGCTGAGATTACAGGCGTGAGCCGCCTCACTTGGCCTGTTTAACATTTTTTGAATTGTGGACTAAAAGGTAGGTTTTTTTTTCTTTCTGAAACTGATGAGGGCCTTAGAGTGGTGGAACAAGAGCAAAATTTTAAAAAGATAATTCTGAAAAGGGGATTATGAGAAGAATCAGGGTCTTAAGCATATTAAGGTAGGCACATTTCTTATGGACCTAGAGTGGGACTGAGTTATTGAATGTCAGCTTCATTTTTGCCATCCTTAGTATAGTAGATGAAGGATGAGAATATGGAGATATTTGAAATATCCAGGTAGCTGGGCTCTGTGGCTCATGCCTATAATGCCAGCACTTTGGGAGGCCAATGCAGGAGGATAGCTTGAGGCTAGAAGTTTGAGACCAGTCTGGGGAACATAATGAGAACCTATCTGTACAAACAATTTTTAAAATTAGCTGGGTAAGGTGGCATGCACCTGTAGTCTCAGCTACTTGGGAAGCTGAGGCGAGAGGATCACTTGAGCCAGGAGTTCAAAGCTGCAGTGAGCTATGATCATGCCACTGTACTCTTGCCTGGGCAAAAGAGTGAGACCCTGTCTCAAAAAAGAAAAGTGTAAAATATCCAGGATAGCTCTTTAGAAATGGAAAAGTTCCTGGAAATATCCATGCTGGTGGTAGTTGTGATTATGGAGACACTCCAGGAAAAGCAGACATCTCTACTGGGAATAGTCAGGTGCAGAAGTTCAGAGGTCTTAGAAATTATATAGGCATTGTATCCTTTAAAAGGCCTTGCTGTTTTGAGTACCTGGGAGTTATACTACTGCTAAAATAAATTACATAAAGTACAGGGCTTGGTGGACTTGATGGGACTTCATAACAGAGGCATTCTGTCTGTGATCCACAGAGAGCTCTGTCTGCTGTGTATTATTCATATAAACCAATTGTAAAGTTGAAAAATCAGGGGACAGGCGTGGTGGCTCATACCTTTAGTCCCAGAACTTTGGGAGGCCAAGGTGGGAGGATTGCTTGAGCCCAGAAGTTCAAGAGCAATCTGGGCAACATAGTGAGACTTTGTCTCTAAAAAAAAAAAAAGAGAAAAGGGGCCAGGCACAATGGCTCATGCCTGTAACCCCAGCACTTGAGAGGCCAAGGCAAGAGACTCACTTGAGCCCAGGGGTTTGAGGCCAGCCTGGACAACATAGGGAGACCCCGTCTCTACGAGAAATTAAAAAAAAAAAAAGGCCAGGCGCAGTGGCTCACGCCTGTAATCCCAGCACTTTGGGAGGCTGAGGTGGGCAGATCACGAGGTCAGGAGATCAAGACCATCCTGGCTAACACAGTGAAACTCCGTCTCTACTAAAAAAAAAAATACAAAAAAATTAGCCAGGTGTGGTGGCAGGCGCCTGTAGTCCCAGCTACTCGGGAGGCTGAGGCAGGAGAATGGTGTGACCCTGGGAGGCAGAGCTTACGGTGAGCAGAGACGGCGCCACTGCACTCCAGCCTGGGCGACAGAGCAAGGCTCCATCTCAAAAAAAAAAAAAAAAAAAAAATTGACCGGGTGCAGTGGCTCATGCTTGTAAACCTGGCACTTTGGGAGGCTGAGGTGGGTGGATCACTTGAGGTCAGGAGTTCGAGGCCAGCCTGGCCAACATGGTGAAACCATGTCTTTACTAAAAATACAAAAAAATTAGCCGGGCATGGTGGCACATGCCTGTAATCCCAGCTACTCGGGAGGATGAGGAAGGATAATTGCTTGAACCCAGGAGGCGGAGGTTGCAGTGAGCCGTGATCGTGCCATGCACTCCAGCTTGGGCAACAGAGCAAGGATCCATCTAAAAAAAAAAAAAAAATTAGCTGAGTGATGGAGTGGTAATTAGCTGAGTGACGGAGTGGTGTGTGCCTGTGGTCCCACCTACTTGAGAGGCTGAGGCAGGAGGATCACCTGGGGCCAGGAAGTTGAGGTTGCAGTGAGCTGTGATTGCACCACTGCACTGCAGCCTGGACAACAGAACAAGATCCTGTCTCAAAAAAGAAAAGAAAAAGAAAAACAGAACTATGGTAAGTCAGGGACTGTCTTTCTGTGTTGTTAGCATTAAATGCATTCTCTTTTTTTTTGAGATGGAGTCTCGCTCTGTCGCCCAGGCTGGATGGAGTGCAGTGGCGCGATCTCGGCTCACTGCAAGCTCCGCCTCCTGGGTTCACGCCATTCTCCTGCCTCAGCCTCCCGTGTAGCTGTGACTACAGGTGCCCACCACCACGCCTGGCTAATTTTTTTGTATTTTTAGTAGAGACAGGGTTTCACCATGTTAACCAGGATGGTCTCGATCTCCTGACCCTGTGATCTGCCAGCCTTGGCCTCCCAAAGTGCTGGGATTACAGGTTTGAGCCACTGCGCCCAGCCTAAATGCATTTTCTTTTCTTTTTCTTTCTTTCTTTCTTTTTTTTTTTTTTTTTAAGTTTTGGTTGCCAGGGAGGATCCTAACACATTTCAAAAAATTTTTTGAGACAAGGTCTCACTCTGTTGCCCAAGCTGGAGTGCAGTGGCTCAATCATGGCTCACTGCAGCTTCGACTTCCCAGGCTCCAGGGATCCTCCCACCTTAGCCTCCCGATTACCTGAGACTATGGGTGTGTGCCACCATGCCTGGCTAATTTTTTATTTTCTGTAGACATAGGGTCTCACTTTGTTGTCCAGGCTGATCTTGAACTCTTGGGCTCAAGTGATTCTCCCACCTCAGCCTCCCAAACTGCTGGGATTACAGACATGAGCCACTGCATCTGGTCTAAGTATATTTTTAACTTATATTTTCAACTTATGATGGGTTTATGGGGAAGAAATCCTATCATAAGTGAAGGAGCATCTGTGTTTTGCTTCCATGGTGCATAATCATCTGGAATCAGGATGTACTACTATGAATGTTGACAGGAATACTACCTTGAGCTAGCTGAAGGTTTGGGATTGCTGGAACCTTAAGCAAGGGCATGATAAATGTAGTTATTTAAGGAAAAAGGGTTATGAAATGTTGCATGTAAGTTGGCAAGATCTGAAAATTCCGGGACCCAACATTGGCTTGGTGAGTTCTACTTTGTTCTTGTAGCTAGATGAATGTTTCTGCCAAATCACTTTCCCACACACAGTTAAAACATACAGTTTGCAGATCTCTCTGCCATTTCTAGGGTACTATATCTTACGTAGTGGTGTGTGAATGTGTGTTTTGAGACAGGGTCTCGCTGTGTCACCCATCCTGGACCAGCTTGGCGTGCAGTGGTGTGATCATGGCTCACTGCAGCCTCAACCTCCTGGGCTCAGATGATCCTCCCACCTCAGCCTCTCAAGTAGCTGGGACTACAAGCACACGCCACCATGCCTGGCTAATTTTTAAAATTATTTTTGGTAGAGGCGGGGTCTCACTGTGTTGCCCAGGCTCGTTTTGAACTCCTGGGCTCAAGTGATCCCCTCACCTCAGCCTCCCAAAGTGCTGGGATTATGGGCATGAGCTGCCATGCCCAGCCCTTAATGTTAATGTGCACTTTTTCTCATGTTACAGACCTGTTTTCTAGGTGTGCTCCATGGAAGTTTAAGCATATGCCGTAAGCATTTAGATAACATCTAGTCCACCTATCCCCACCTTTTCTTTTTTTAACTGATTTAACTGGTGAGAAAAATTGAGGCCCAGAGAGAGTTGTAACTCAGGGTCATACTGTTAATGGCAAAAGCCGGTTCCTGAATCCAGATTTTCTGGCCCAGGCCAGTGCTCATTTTAACACCTTTAATTCAAACTGATCATTGTCATGACATTTACCATTTGTGTACTTAATGTGTGACAGGTGTTGTGCTAAGCATTATATAGCTCTCATCTTGATTAATCCTCTTAACAATTCTATGAGGCTGGCCAGTATTTTATAGATGAATAAGCAGCCTTGATGACTTGCCTGAAGAAGCACAGCTAGTAAGTGCTGGAACTAAGATTTCAGCCCAATTCTGTGTAGTTCCAAAGCCTGTGTTGTTTTTTCTTCTTTTCTTTTTTGATTAAATATTTATGTAAAAGGTAATAAAGAATAATATGACAAATACTCAACACCCAGCTTAAGAAATAAAGTATTACCAATCATTTGAAGCTCCCTTCCCATTACATTGTCCTCTCTTTTCCTCCAAAGTAATCATCCGCATTCCTGAGTTTCAAATTTGTGCTCCTAACCACCAAGCTATACAGCTGCATTTATTAAGTGCCATGGGAGCTGGAGCCACTGTTATTCAACAGTAAACAAGAAAGACATGTTTTCTGCCCTTGAGGAGTTTCCTATGGGTGATAATGAAATATTTGTTTCTTAATCTTTCTGGAGATCTTCAGTAGCTGGTACGAAATGTGACATCAAGGAGGTTTAAGAAGTCCTTCAGGAGATCACTGGTGATATGTTGGAAGGTTGCCTAGATATTACACAAATGAATCAGAGTTAAGAATACATGTGTTGGCTGGGCGCAGTAGCTCATGCCTATAATCCATTTGGGAGGTCGAGGCGGGTGCATCATGAGGTTAGGGTTCAAGACCAGCCTGGCCAACATGGTGAAACCCCGTTTCTACTAAAAATGCAAAAATTAGCCAGGTGTGGTGGTGCACACCTGTGATCCCAGCTACTCAGAAGGCTGAGAGACAGGAGAATCAGCTTGAACCCAGGAGGTGGAGGTTGCAGTGAGCTGAGATCATGCCATTGTACTCCAGCCTGGGTGACATAGCAAGACTGTCCCCCGCTCCCACCCCGCCGCCCAGAAAAAAAAAAAAGAATACGTGTGTCTTAATTGGATCACTGATTATTTTTTCTTCCTAGAGACCAAGTTATAGATTGGGTGTTTTGTTTTCCGACAAGGTCTTGCTCTTTCATGGCTCACTGCAGCCTCAACTTCCTGGGCTCAAGTGATCCTCCCACCTCAGCCTCCTGAGTATCTAGGAATCCAGGCCCTGCTAGTTTTTGTATTTCTTATAGAGACAGAATCTCGCCACATTGCCCAGGCTGGTCTCAAACTCCTGGGCTGAAGTGATCTGCCTGCCTCAGCCTCCCAAAGTGCTGGGATTACAGGCATGAGCCACTCTGTGCTCAGCCTTGTCTTAGTTAATATATTTTCCATATTATCCCCACATAGTATGTAAGACAAAACTTTGTCCTTAGAAGACAATCAGGTCAATAATTATAAAATGAACTAATAGTAGGAGTCTAGACAAAAAAGATGGGTCATGTAGAAGCGTAAGTTAATACCCTGCATGTTCTAGTGTTTTCCCTAGTTTGTTATAGGCAGGGTAGACATGAGTCTGGGTGGAACTAGTGCTCTTGGATAAAAAATCTATTACAGTGTTTCTCAGTTTTTGTTTGTTTGTTTTTTGTTTTTTTGAGACAGAGTCTCCCTCTGTCGTCGTTTTTTGAGACAGAGTCTTGCTCTGTCACCAGGCTGGAGTGCGGTGGCGCCATGCAATCTCGGCTCACTGCAACACCTGCCTCCCGCTTTCAAACGATTCTCCTGCCGCAGCCTCCCTAGTAGCTAGGACTACAAGCACATGCCACCACGCCCGGCTAATTTTTGTATTTTTAGTAGAGACGGGGTTTCACCATGTTGGCCAGGCTGGTCTTGATCTCTTGACCTCGTGATCCGCCCACCTCAGCCTCCCAAAGTGCTGGGATTGCAGGCATGAGCCAGCGTGTCCGGCCGTTTCTTGGTATTTTAGCTATAAGTTCTTTTGATAAATACAGAGCTCACGTACCCTCTGAGTTCCGACACCAATTTTCCTATACCAACTGAGTGTCATACAATTCAATTCAATTCTAATGATGGCAGTGGCGGCCATCTGGAGTGGCCATCAGCTGCAGCAGGGAGGCGCAAGCGGTGGCAGCAGGAGTGGCTGCTGGAGCAGCAGTGGTGGTGGTGGGACCCCTGTGCCCTGCATCCCTGAGGCAGCTGAGTGCATCACTCCTACCTCACATGGCTGGGCAGGACCTGCTTCCAGGCCTGGAGCCTCCACTATGGCCTCAACCTCTCCCCACACCGTGTCTCAGGAGCCCATGAGCACCCGGCTGAAGGCGCAGCTGGGACTCGTGGGGCCAGCCTCAAGATCATCGGGTTTGTTTGTGCGGGGTTGGCCGGGGCTGCCACGCCACCTGTACCTCTCCTGCTCCTGCTGCAGGGAAAATGTGGAGAGGAGGCATGTAGTCCCCAGAGCCCACACCTGGGAGCCCCCTGGAGCCTGATATCCCCAGAGCCACCATGATGGGGCCGGGCCGAGTTACCCGTTGGCAGGGGAGCAGTGTGATCAGGCATGGAGGGGTGGACAGAGAGGAGCCCCGAGGTGGAGCTGGGCCCTGAGCGGTGCCGCGCTCCATGGAGCTGGCAGGAGCTGGAAGCTGGCAAGAGCCCCACCTCCCAGTCGCAGCTGCAGCTGCCCAGCCGTGGCTGTGGACCCAGGCATCTCTGCAGTCTAAGGGGCCCAGGAAGCCTGTGGGCTTGGAGATGTCTGCTCCTGCTGCCTGGCCTCTCCCTGCTCCTGGTGCCCGTTCTGATCTCAGAGCGAGGTTGGGGCCAAGCCTGGGTGCTGTTGCAGCCTGACCGGGTGTGCGCATGCTTGGGACAGTGGTGACATGCCAGGCCCCTGCCACTTTGGCCTCCTCTAGACTTCAGGCACTGGCGAGCATGGGAGGGAGGCTGAGATGGGGACTGAGGGCAGCTTGGTGTAGGCCTGCAGGTACCCTTTGGCATGGCCTTGGCAGCTTGAATGCCAGCAGGAGGCAGACAGGCTCCTGGGCAGAAGGGGGCAGATGCCCCGTGAAGCCCCACCTTCAGGCTGGGAGGGCCTGAAGCCCGGGGGCTGGGTTGCTGATCCCGCAGACCAGTGTGGGAACTTGTGACGCGGGTCCTCCCATGGCTGCCCATGGACCAATCGGCACACTCTTCTTCCCCTCTGAGGCCCATAAAAAGCCTCCCGGACTCTGCCAGACCAGAAGAGAGACGACGGCATGACCTGCCTACAGGGAGGAACTACCCTCTCTGCTGAGAGCTGAAGGGGTGACAGGATGATCTGCCTGCAGAGAGGAGCTACCCTCTCTCCTGAGAACTGAAGAGACGTTGGGATGACCTGCCTGCAGAGAGGAACTACCCTCTCTGCTGAGAGCTGAACATTCTTCGGGACAGCCTGCCAAGCAGAGAGGAGCTATCCTCTCTGCTGAGAACTGAACACTTGTTGGGACACCCTGGCTACAGAGAGGAGGTACTCACTGTAGGTTTCCTCTGAGCTGTTGTGTCGCTCAGTAAAGCTCCTGTTTGTCTTGCTCAGCCTCCACTTGTCTGTTACCTCATTCTTCCTGGATGCAGGACAAGAACTCGGGACCTGCTGAATGGTGGGGCTAAAAGAGCTGTAACACAAACAGGGTTGAAACATGCCCCTTGCTTGCTACCTTGAGAGTGTAGAGAAGGAGAGAAGAGCTGCAGTCCTTCAGGGAGCCCAGACCTGGGAGCTCCCTTAGCCAGGGCTGTGACTCCCTCTTTGGGGCCCTGTGGTTCCTGGAGTCGCCAAGCTTCCGGGCACCACTGTGTTCTCCAGTGCCAGCTGTGGAAGCTGCTTGTGATGCGCCTGGTCCAGTTGCAGCCTCGCAGGGAGATGGTGCCCAAGCTGGCATCTGGAGCTGCCCACCCCACAGCAGCAGCCGGCGTGCCTGGCTGTGCACAGAGGTCAGACCCCATGCTTGCTCACACATCCCTCACCACTTTGTGCCTGGCTCACCTTTGGCAGGCGTGGGATCCAGGCTGGTCGTGTGAGTTGAGCACAGCCTGCCAGGCTGAGTGGGTGGAACGAGCCCAGTGGGCCAGAGCAAAACTTGGACAGAGGCACCACTGGCCACAGAAGTTTCCAGTTGGTGAAGTGACTCCCCAACGATCCCGTAACACTGACACCACCCAGAGTTAGCTTCAGATCCACTATAGTTGCCCAGTGGGTTCTTCTGCCTGCTACACAGACAGACCAATTCACTGAGACCACAGTATTGTAGTAAAGAAATAACTTAATTAACACAAGGCTGGCCATGCAGGAGAACTAAATGTATCACGCAAATTAGTCTCCCAGAAGGCTCAGAGGTTTGGGTTTTTCAAGGATAGTTTGGTGGGTGGGGGCTAGAGAATGGAGGATGTTGATTGGTTGAGGATGAAATCATCGGGATGTGGAAAACGTTCCTCGTGCTCAGTCAGCCGCTGATTGGGGGCCACAGGATCGACTGAGTCACAAGTTGTGGGTTCCGGTAGAGTCAGTCCTTCACCAGAAATGCAAAAATATGAAAAACATCTCAAAATGCCAATTGTAGGCTCTATTATCGTGATGTTATCACAGGAGTAACTGGGGAAAGTTACAAATCTCCTGACCTCCAGAACAATGGTTGGTTATCATTTACACCTGTATCTTAGCAGAATTCAGGTCCCTCACATAATCCTAACCTTGTGGCCTTTCACTAGTTTTACAAAGGTGGTTTAGTTTTAGGAAGTGCTATTATCATTCTTGCTTTAAGATTAAACAGTAAACTTAAATTCCTCTCAAGGTTATCTTGGCCTGTTCCCAGGAATGACCAGGGACAGCTTGGAGGTTAGAAGCAAGATGGAGTCAACTATGTCAGATTTCTCTTACTGTCATAATTTTGCAAAGGCAGTTTCACCACCAGTTAAAGAGCAAGGTTTCCAACAACATTGCCCTTACTTCAGCAGCATGCACTTTGGCCTGACCAACCACAAATTCAGGGCTTCCTACTACCCCCTCAGACTAGAGTGAGTCACAAAACTCGGGAAAGTGCTATATTCACGATTATACAAATGAACAACCAGATTGAAGAGGTACATGGGGAAAGGTCTGGAAGAGTCCCGAGCTCAGGAGCTTCTTTCTCTGTAGGGTCAGGGTGCACCACCTTCCTGGTACATTGACCTGTTCACCAACCAGGAAGCTCTCCTGAGCTTTGATGTTCGGAGTTTTTATATGGGTTTTCAGTAGGTAGATGTGATTAAGTCATTGGCCACGTGCTTGACTCCAGCTGTTTCCCTGTTGGAGGTTTTGGGGTGGGGCTGAGAGTTCTGACCCTCTAATCATGTAGTTGGTTTTTCTGGTGACCAGCTCCCATCCTGCTAGCATGCTCTGTTGCCCCCTCCTCCCCACGTGAGTCACCTCATTAGGATGAACTCTGTGGTTGAAAGGGACTCATTATTCATAATAAAAGACACTCCTATCATATAGGAAATTCCAAGGGATTCTGATGCTCTGTGCCAGAAGCTGGGGACAAAGACCAGATGTATTCTATGTTATATCATTCCCTCCTTTATATTATTTGAAATTTTAACATTTTATTTTTTACCAAAAACAAATTGAACACAGTAATTTTAGCATATGTTTATATTTTAACTGCCTCAGTAGCGACCTGTTATTCCCAGTTCTCCGGTTGCTGTTAAGAAAATCTTTGAATGCTAGTTCCAGAATCTCCAGGAGGTGGGACCAGTTTCGTTAGTGGTGATGTCGAAAATAACAGCAGTACCACTGTGCTTGGGCCAGGTGAAATCAAATCAGATGATTCAGTCTGGTTGATGTGCTAGAGGCCCTTTTCCCATTCATGTAAAATTGGAAAATTTTGTTCACTATCCAAGTGTTTCCAAATATTTGGTTATTGTGTCAATGTAGATTCATACATATTAAGTATGTATCTTGGGTATAAATTTAAGTTATAATTTAATATAAATTGTGTGGCACAAAAGTAGTTCAAAGGAGGAAGTGGAGGAAATAAGAGCTATAGGTAGAATTTGAACCATCCTTGAAAGATAATTATTAATAACATTTGGGAAAGTAGAGGGGAAAGCAGGAATGATGTTTAGATGAGGGAAACTGTGAGGTGGGCAGGATTTATCATGGCTTGTTTGCACTTAAACAATGCAGAATGGCCTTATTTGAGCAAATTGAGTGGGGGATAGTGGGAAATGAGATTAGGTAGGTGAGCTAGGGATAGATTATTTATGATATTCAAAGGCCAGTAGAATGATTTCATTTTGGTGTGGTAGATAATTGAGAGTCAAAGAAAGCGTTTGATCAGGTGAGTCAGAAAATGAAAAGAGCATGTAAGAAAAATGGACCAGCATTTATATTGTTGGTAGATTAATGAGGAGAGAGACTGGAGAAAGGGATAGGAAATTTGGGACTGGGAGATTTTTCAATAAAAGTACCATAATTAGGGAAATAGGGGAACAGTGAGGGAAGGAATGAATGTTAAAAATTTCAAAGGAAAATTTGACAGATCTTGACTGCTAAATGCAGAAGAATGATGAATCGGAGATGGTACATTTTTAAAATTTTTCTTTTTATCCAGATATGTAAAAAGAATGTTAACCAAGGCTGGGTGTGGTGGCTCACGCCTGGTAATCCCAGCATTTTGGGAGGCCAAGGTGGGCAGATCACAAGGTCAAGAGTTCGAGACCAGCCTGGCCAATATGGTAAAATCCCGTCTCTACTAAAAATACAAAAATTAGCCAGCGTGATGGTGCGCACCTGTAATCCCAGCTACTTTGGAGGCTGAGGCAGGAGAATCACTATAATCTGGGAGGCAGAGGTTGCAGTGAGCTGAGATCGTGCCACTGCACTCCAGCTTGGGTGACAGAGCAAGACTCCATCTCAAAAAAAAAGAAAGGGAAAAAAAAAACAAAGAATGTTAACTATATTGGTGATAACTATCTAAGTCTGTTACAATGTAATGTAAAAGTAGAGAGGACCTAGTGGCCATGATCAGTGGTATCCCCAGGATGAAGAATAGTGCCTGGTGGCCAGGCGTGGTGGCTCACCCCTGTAATCCCAGCACTTTGGGAGGCCGAGGCAGGTGGATCACGAGGTCAAGAGATCGAGACCATCCTGGCCAACATGGTGAAACCCTGTCTCTAATAAAAATACAAAAATTAGCCAGACGTGGTGGTGTGCACCTGTAGTCCCAGCTACTAGGGAGGCTGAGGCAGGAGAATTGCTTGAATCCAGGAGGCGGAGGTTGCAGTGAACCAAGATCGCGCCACTGCGCGAAAAGAATAGTGCCTGGCTTATAGAATTGCTTAAAAAATATTTATCAAAGGATGAAAGAATGCATTTAACCTGTCAACTTTTGGGTAAATTTTAGTTGTCATCTTTAACATCCCAATTTTTTTCTTTTTTTAGACGGAGTGTCGCTCCGTCGCCAGGCTGGAGTGCAGTGGCGCCGTCTTGGCTCACTGCAGCCTCTGCCTCCCGGGTTCAAGCGATTCTTCTGCCTCAGCCTTCCAAGCAGCTGGGACTACAGGCGTGTGCCACCATGCTCAGCTAATTTTTGTATTTTTAGTAGAGACGGGGTTTCACCATGTTGACCAGGATGGTCTTGATCTCTTGACCTCATGATCCGCCCACCTCGGCCTCCCAAAGTGCTAGAATTACAGGCGTGAGCCACCGTGCCCAGACTAACATCCCAATTTTTAATACCAAAAATTACCTTAAAAATAATACTTACTGAGGCTGAATGTGGTGGCTTACACCTGTAGTCCCAGCACTTTGGGAGGCTGAGGCAGATGGATGTCGAGCCCAGGAATTCAAGACCAGCCTGGGCAACATAGTGAAACCCTGTCTCTACTAAAAATACAAAAAATTAGCCAGGTATATAGTAGTGCACACCTGTAGTCCCAGCTACCCAGGAGGCTGAGGTGGGAGGATCGTTGATCCTGGAAGGTCAAAACTTCAGTGGTCTGTGATGGCACCACTGCACTTCAGCCTGGGTGACAGAGTGATACCCTGTCTCAAAAATAAATAAGCTGGGTGTGGTGGCTCACACCTATAATCCCAGCACTTAGGGAGGCCAAGGCAGGTGGATCACTTCAGGCCAGGAGTTCAAGACCAGCCTGGCCAACATGGTGAAACTCCCTCTCTACTAACAACAACAACAGCAAAACAAAAAACAAAAAAACAAAACAAAACAAAAAAAACAGGGCCGGGCGTGGGCGTGGTGGCTTACGCCTGTAATCCCAGCACTTTGGGAGGCCAAGGCAGGCGGATCACAAGGTCAGATCGAGACCATCCTGGCTAACACGGTGAAACCCCATCTCTACTAAAAATACAAAAAATTAGCTGGGCACGGTGGCAGGTGCCTGTAGTCCCAGCTACTTGGGAGGCTGAGGCAGGAGAATGGCGTAAACCCAAGAGGCAGAGCTTGCAATAAGCCGAAATCGCGCCACTGCACTCCAGCCTGGGCGACAGAGCAAGACTCCGTCTCAAAAAAAAAAAAAAAAAAAAAAAAAACAATACAAAAATTAGCCAGGCATGGTGGCACATGCCTGTAATCCCAGCTACTCAAGAGACTGAGGCACAAGAATGGCTTGAACCTGGGAGGTGGAAGTTGCAGTGAACCAAGATCGTGCCACTGCACTCCAGCCTGAGTGATCGAGAGAGACCCTGTCTCAAAAAAAAAAAAAGTTACTGATCTTTTCTAGTTAAAAAATTTTTGTGTTTATTTTCCAAGATAACCACTTTAGTATAATATATTCATCCAGTGGTTTTTTCTATGCACATACATATTTATCTTTAAAATGGGATCATATTGCACATGTTGACTTATACCTGCATAAATATCATTTTTAGAAGTAAAATGGAACTTGAACCTCCAAATAATGACAAACCATAAAATAATAGGATAATAGAGGAATCTGTTAGTCTATACTCATATATAAATAAGTAAACAGGCATACCTCAGAGAAACTGTGAGTTTGGTTCTACACTACCACAGTAAAGTGGCTCACAAATTTTTTTGTTTTCCCAGTGCATATAAAAGTTATGTTTATAGGCTAGGTGTGGTGGTGCATGCCTGTAATCCCAGCATTTTGGGATGCCAAGATGGGCGGATCTCCTGAGACCAGGAGTTTGAGACCTGCATGGCCAACAAGGCGAAACCCCATCTCTACTAAAAATACAAAAAAATGTAGCCAGGCATGGTGGCACATGCTTGGAATCTCAGCCACTCGAGTGGCTGAGACATGAAAATCGCTTGAACCTGGGTGGCAGAGGTTGCAGTGAGCCAAGATTGTGCCACTGCACTCCAGCTTGGGTGACACAGCGAGACTCTATCTCAAAAAAAAAAAAAAAAAGTTATGTTCATACTATACTGTAGTCTGTTAAGTGTGTAATGTAATATCTAAAAAATGTACATACCTTAATTTAAAAATACTTTATTGTCAAAAAATGCTAATGATCATCTGAGCCTTCAGTGAGTTGTAACCTTTTTGCTGGTGGAGAGTCTTGCCTCAGGGTTGATGGCTGCTGACTGATTAGGGTGGTGATTCCTGAAGGCTGGGGTGGCTGTGGCAATTTCTTAAAATAAGACAACTATGACATTTGCTGCATCGATTGACTCTTCCTTTCACTAAAGATTTCTCTGTAGCATGTGATGCCATTTAATAGCATTTTACCCACAGTGGAACTTCTTTCAGAATTGGAGTCAATCCTCTCAAACCCTACTGCTGCTTTATCAACTAAGTTTATGTAATATTCCAGGTCCTTTGTTGTCATTTCAATATTGCTCACAGCATCTTCACCAGTAGATTCTGTCTCAAGAAACCACATTCTTTGCTCATCCATAATAAACTCTTCATCTGTTCAAGTTTTATTATGAGATTGCAGCAATTTAGTCACATTTTTAGGCTTCACTTCTAATTCTAGCTCTTTTCTTGCTATTTCCACCATATCTGCAATTCCTTCATTGAGGCTTGAATCCCTCAAAGTCATGTGAGGGTTGGAACCAACTTCTTCCAAACTCCTGATAATGTTACTTTGATCTCCTGTGAATCACAAATGTTCTTGATGGCATCTAGAATGGTGAATTATTTCCAGAAGGTTTTTAGTTTACTTTGCCCACATCCATCAGAGGAATCACTATCTATGGCAGCTATATATAGGCTTACACAATGTAAATAGTAAGCCTAAATAATAAGGCTTGAAAGTTATAATTACTCCTTGAACCATGGACTGCAGACTGGATGTCATGTTAGCAGGCACGAAAATAATCTCCTTGTACGTCTCCATCTGAGCTCTTGGGTGACCAGGTGTATTGTCAGTGAGCAGTAATATTTTGAAAGGAATCTTTTTTTTTTTTGAGGAGTAGGTCTCAACAGTAGCCTTAAAATATTCAATAAACCATTCTGTAAACAAATGTGCTGTCATCCAGGCTTTGTTATTCCATTTATAGAGCACAGGCAGAATAGATTGAGCATAATTTTTTTTTTTTTTTTGAGACGGAGTCTCGCTCTGTCGCCCAGGCTAGAGTGCAGTAGTGCAATCTTGGCTCACTGCAAGCTCCGCCTCCCGGGTTCACACCATTCTCCTGCCTCAGCCTCCCGAGTAGCTGGGACTACAGGCACCCACCACAATGCCCGGTTAATTTTTGTATTTTTAGTGGAGCCTCCCAAGTAGCCGGGATTACAGGCGTGAGCCACCATGCCCGGCCAGATTGAGCATAATTTTTAAGGGCCCTAGGATTTTCAGACTGGCAAATGACCACTGGCTTCCACTTAAAGGCAGCAACCTGCATTAGCCCCTAACAAGAGTCAGCCTATCCTTTTAAGCATTGAAACCAGGCATTGATATCTGCTCTCTAGCTATCGATGGCATCTTCTTCTGATACAAGGCTGTTTCATCTACATCGAAAATCTTGGTTGGGTCGTATAATACCAGCAACTTGGGAGACCAAGACAGGAGGATTGCTTGAGGCCAGGAGTTTAAGATCATCTTGGGCAACATGGTGAGACCCTGTCCGTACAAAGAATTAAAAAATTCACTGGATGTGGTGGCGTGGCCTGTGATACTAGCTACTCAGGAGGCTAAGGCAGGAGGATTGCTTGAGCCCAGGAGTTTGAGGCTACAGTGAGCTATGATCATCCCACTATGCTCTAGCCTAGGTGACAGAGACCCCCATCTCTAAGGAAAAAAAGAAAAGGAAACATTTGTTTACAGAATGGCTTATTGAATATTTTAAGGCTACTGTTGAGACCTACTCCTCAAAAAAAAAAAAGATTCCTTTCAAAATATTACTGCTCACTGACAATACACCTGGTCACCCAAGAGCTCAGATGGAGACGTACAAGGAGATTATTTTCGTGCCTGCTAACATGACATCCAGTTATGTCATGCACACACACACACACTCACATACACATGCATGTATTTTTTCCTCCAGACAGAGTTTCACCATGTCACCCCGGCTGGAGTGCAATGGTAAGATCATGGTGCTCTGTGTGGCCTCCAACTCCTGGGCTCAAGCAGTCCTCCTGCCTCAGCCTCGCAAGTAGCTGGGACTACAAGTGTGTGCCACCACACCTGGCTAATTTTTTAAAAACTGTTTTGTAGAGACAGGGTGTCATTATGTTACCTAGGCTGGTCTCAAACTCCTGGCCTCAAGTAGTCCTCCCACTTCAGCCTCACAAAGTGCTGGAATTACAGGCATGAGCCACTGCACCAGACATATATATATACACACACACAAACACATATATGTAATATATAATATTTATATATATAAATATATTTTTATATATTTTATATATACGCCTCATAAATTATTCTGATGCATGGCTTTAGAGGTCACCATTCCCTTTCGGTGTTGTTAACTTGTATTAGCAATATTTTTTAAAGTATGGCACAAGAAAGAGAAAGCATTGGCTTGGCCATCAGGAGATGGGTTATTCTCTTAAATCTGCAACTAATCTTTTAGTAAGACTTAGAAAATGACTGTCTCTGGATCCCAGATTCTTTATCTGAAAATTTTCTGGGGAGCTGAATAAACTGACATTGTTAACTAGATTCTAGCAGTTCTGTGATGATGGATTCACGGACATCATCAGAACTCAGTGAAATGTGACCTGTGGTCAGCCATTTGAAAAAGGCCTAAACCTTCTTACACAAGTCAATTGAAAAGGCCTGTAGAAATCAGAGCTCGAAGACACCTGTTAAATCATCTGATCTATCCCTCTACCAGCGGTACTCGGTTGTTCATAGCCCTCTCTAAGCTGTTTTCACTCTCCTTCCTGTGTTCCAGACATTCATTATTTTCCCAGAGACTGGACTTGTGTTCACCCTTTTAATCATTTAAGAAGGGAATGTGACTTTTCTTAACTCAAAAAATTTCATTTATTTTATATTTAGACTTTAATTTTGGAAACTGTTGATAATGGCAGAGATTAGTAAGCATGTGGACTGTTTTCCTCTAGATTCACAAAAGGATTTAGTTGATGAATGTCTAACAATAGTAATTATATGATCAGAAAGTGACGGGAATACAAGTCAAATTTCATAATAAAAGTTAAGATTTTAAAGTTTGTGTATAAAAAAATTGCTAGAATAGAAAATGTAATAGGAGACTTTCTTTGCTTTTACCTTGTTACTAACCCTTTAAATATGATGCTCTATGGAAGAAAGAATGTAGAGATGCAGAGAAATGAGCATTCTGATATTCTGTTTATGAGGATGTAAATTGGTTTATTCGTTTTTGGAGATAATTTAACAACATCAGTTAAAAATAAAAAAGATCTTGTGCACTAACTTGAGTTCTACTTCTAGGAATTTATTCTGTAGAAATACTAATTGTTGCATTGTTTATAAAAGTGAAAACTTAGGGCCAGGTGTGGTGGCTCACACCTGTAATCCCAGCACTTTGCGAAGCTGAGGCAGGTGGATTGCTTGAGTCAAGGAGTTTGAGACCATCCTGGGCGACATGACGAAACCCTGTCCCTATTAAAAATACAAAAAAAATTAGCTGGTTGTAGTGGCATCTGCCTGTAGTCCCAGCTACTCGGGAGGCTGAGGTGGGAGAATCACCCAAGCCTGGGGAGGTTGAGGCTGCAGTGAGCCAAAAAAATCACACCACTGCACTCCAGCTTGGGCAATCAGAGTGGGACCCTGAATCAAAAAAAAAAAGTTAAAACTTGGAAACCATTCCAATGTTCCTTGTTAAGAGTTTATTTTAATAAATTATAATACATCATGCAGTGGATTCTAATACAACTATCAAAAATAATGCAGGATGGCTGGGCGCGGTAGCTCACGCCTGTAATCCCAGCACTTTGGGAGGCCGAGGCAGGTAGATCACCTGAGGTCAGGGGTTCGAGACCAGCCTGGCCAACATGGGGAAACCCTGTCTCTACTAAAAATACAAAAATTAGCTGGACGTGGTGACACATGCCTATAATCCCAGCTACTTTGGAGGCTAAGGCACGAGAATCGCATGAACCCAGGTGGTGGGGATTGCAGTGAGCCAAGATTGCGCCACTGCACTCTAGCCTAGGCAACGGAGTGAGACTCCATCTCACAAAAAAAAAGAGATTTAAAAAAATATTAATATAAAATGGGTTTATTATTGCTGCTTTTAAAAATTGGTTAAAATACATGTAACAATTATTTTAACTGTAAGTATACAATTCAGCAGCATTAAATTTATTCATAATGTTGTGTAACCATCACCACTATCTGTACTTAAAACTTTTTTATTATCCTCAACAAAAACTATGTACCCATTAACCAGTAACTTTTGTCTTCTCTTCTAGGAGTTTTTATGTACTGACATGAAATACTGCCCAAATGCATAATTAAGTGATAAAGGAAAATTGCAAAGTAGTGTGATAACTATGATTCCATTGTGGTAAAATATTGCAAGTTAATATAAGTATAGGAAAAATCTGGGAGAATATTAAAATGTTAGTAGAGGATGTTAGGAGGGATTTGTACTTTTACAGAATATATTTTGGCAAGTTTTTAAAAAAGAGTATGTGTGACTTTTCTAAACATAAAGATATACTTTTAAGTATTATACTAAAACTTAATAATTTGGATGCCTTAGATTTTAGCTAATGAGTAACAGACTGCCTTATGTGGTTGCCAAATTTGAGCTTATGTAGAACCTAACACTTTATTAAAGTAACGATTTTTCTTTTCACAGCTAGAGTTGGGAAGACATCACTGATTATGTCTCTGGTCAGTGAAGAATTTCCAGAAGAGGTAAACATTTTGATTTCCATATTTAAATTTTAAAAAATTTATCAAAATCAAATTAAAATGAACTGAATTCTGTCTCTTTTGGCATGTGTTATGTGCTTCCTTTTGGACAGTTGAGACTTTTTTTTCTCCCTTCTTTAGAGACAGGGTCTCACTCTATTGCCCAGGCTGGAGTGCAGTGGTGCCATCATAGCCCACTGCAACCTCCAACTCCTGGACTCAAGCAATCCTCCTGTCTTGGCCTCCCAAAGTGCTGGGATTACAGGCATGTGCCACTGTGCCCTGCCAGTTGAGACTTTTTAAAAAGCTAATATTTGTTTATCACCTGTATCTATGAAATACAGTATAGGAGAAATAACCAGCCTGTGTCTAAGTTCATCTAAGTCTTTTGCATTTTCTTCCTTTGACTTTGTCTAGGACCTTTGTATTCTCTGTGTCTCAGTTGTCTCATCTATAAAATGGAAGCTGAAAGGGATATAAATGTCATATAAGCTCTGTGACCCTTTCTTAAAAATAAAATGTTGCTCATAAACCCAAAACATAAAAAAGATAATGAGCATTCCGTGAGTTGAAGTTAAGGGGAAAGATGTGAATCCCTACTTGCCTTCTGCCTGACACTCCCTGGTCTGTGAGGTGTTTTTGTCGGAACCACTAGAATTATGATACATATATTTGAAAACCTTTAATATGATCTACCTGCTTCATTTTACAAATGTTGAAACAAACTCATTCCACCTTTGCCTACCTCAAAGGATTGTTATGGGTCTCAAATGAGATGAACTTAATAGCAGGGAAGTGCCACCAAAAGTAGTAAGGTGGTTTTATTATTACTGGCAATAAATTTACATTTTGGAAGTTCTAGAGTGAGGAGCTGTTGGCTAAACTTTGCATAAAGTTAGCATATAGTTATAGGGAATGAAATTTGTGCAATGGGATGAAAATGATTTCAAATTACCCTCTTTCTTGCATAGTAGGTATCATTAGTGTCACAGTTTACATTTATCCTTCCTTTACTCTAGTTTAGATAGGAATATCTGTATAATTTCATTGTTCAAATAGGAATTTGATGTATCATGTGATAGTGTTTTCAACATTTACAGCTGCCAAAAGACTATTTATTATTATTTTTTGCTTTTTTTCTCTTAGACAAGATGGTTAAATAAGTAATTGCTTAATTTAAGAAATGAAGTATATTTTCGTGTATTATTTGTAGAATCAGTAACATTAATTTATAATTACTCTGGGTATAACACCTAAAAGTTTTCTGTGAGAGTTTTAGTTTAGAATTGTTTTAGCATACTCCTCTTGATTGTGGATAAGGGTTTTGTGTTTTTGGTTTTTTAAAATTTAGTTTTTCACTTTTTTAGGGATTGTAAGTAATCTAGAAGGGTTTTTAATTAATTTTTAAAAATTCAGTCCTTGTGAAAAATGGAATCATTAAACATAAGGCTTGGCTGGGCGCAGTGGCTCACGCCTGTAATCCCAGCACTTTGGGAGGCTGAGGTGGCCGGATCACTTGAGGTCAGGAGTTCAAGACCAGCCTGGCCAACATGGTGAAACCCCATCTCTAGTAAAATACAAAATTAGCCAGGTATGGTGGCGCATGCCTGTAATCCCAGCTACCTGGGAGGCTGAGGCAGGAGAATAGCTTGAACCCAGGGGCAGAGCTTGCAGTGAGCTGAGATCGTGCCATTGCACTCCAGCCTGGGCAACAAGAGCAAAACTCTGTCTCAAAAAATAAATAAGTGAATGAAAAACAAGCAAACATAAGGCTTATGTAGCCAGTCAATTATTTTCTAGAGGAAATGAATGTTGATAACCTGTTGGTTTATTTGCAGATTGTTGTGGATTTAAATACCTCCTCATTTGCAGAGTATCTTCAGCCTTCAACAAAATAGAATGAAAACAACATATTTAAAAAATCTAACACCGAAACACCAAATTAATCCAAGAATCCACTGAGTCTGTGTCACATCTGAAGTATCCTTAATGTATTGTGTCTATGTAGATAGAAATACGCATTTAAAATGTTTTTATCCTATAGTTTTAATATATATTTGCATCTGTGGTAAAGCACAAAAATAAACACTTATATATACAACAAATGGGTATTGGTGAGAGGGGTAATACAAGTTGAGCATCCTTTATCCAAAATGCTTGGGACCAGAAGTGTTTCAGATTTCAGATTTGTTCAGATTTTGGAATGTTTGCATTATACTTACCAGTTGAGCATTTCCCTAATCTGAAAATCAGAAATGCTCCAATGAACATTTCCTTTGAGTATCATGTTAGTGCTAAAAAGTTTAGAATTTTGGAACATTTCAGATTTCAGATTCTGGGCTTAGAAATACTCAGCCTGTGATCCCAGCACTTTGGGAGGCCGAGGCGGGTGGATCACAAGGTCAGGAGTTCAAGACTAGCGTGGCCAAGATGGTGAAATCGTGTCTCTACTAAAAATACAAAAATTAGCTGGGCGCAGTGGTAGGCGCCTGTAATCCCAGCTACTCGGGAGGCTGAGGCAGGAGAATCACTTGAACCTGGGCAGCAGAGGTTGCAGTGAGCAGAGATCGCACCACTGCACTCTAGCCTGGACCATAGAGTGAGACTCCATTAAAAAAAAAAAAAGAAAAGAAACACTCAACCTGTGTAGATAAATTTATATCATCTATTACAAGTTTGAGTGATAATATTCAAAGGTGTTTTTTTTTTTCTATATTTGTTTGTAAATGAAGGTTCCTCCCCGGGCAGAAGAAATCACCATTCCAGCTGATGTCACCCCAGAGAGAGTTCCAACACACATTGTAGATTACTCAGGTAATGAATATCCTCTTGTAGATGAAGGTGTAGGTTAATTTAATAGACTTGAAAAAAGATACTTACTGAGCTTTTACAAATGTTCAGAGAGGTGGTCTTTTCTCTGTAGCAGTAAATGATCCTTTACGATTCTTATCTCATTTATGTCTGTCAACCTCTACCCTATACCCCACCCAGTGCCTCCATCTGACAGTTCTTCGTCCCCAGATTACTAAGTTGGGTTCCATAATACCTGTGGCTGTTGAACACTTGAAATGTGACTGTTCTAAATGAAAATGTGCTGTTAATTGTAAAATATAACTGGATTTTGAAGACTTAGTATGAAAAAAGGATGTAAAATATGTCATTAATTTTTCTATTGAGTACATGTTGAAATTTAAATACTTTTGATATTTTGGGTTAAATGAAAATTTAATTTTACCTTTTTTACTTACCTTTTTAAAGGTTGCTACTAAAAAATTGAAAACTATGTATGTGGCTTGCATTATCTGTATGTTGGACAGCACTGTACTGAAAGCTGAGGGAGGTGAATGACTTCTGCTACAATCAGTCTCATAACTAGATTTATTTACAGAATTATTCTTCAATATGTGTAGCCATATAATTAGATTCACCTCAGTATTAGAATTGAAGCCTTAACCCATTGATTACTTAACATATGGAAAGATATTAAAAATATGGCCTGTTATTTAGCATAGTATAAAATACCATTGAATTCATGTATGATATTAGTTTATATGTCAGAAGTAACAGGCATTTTTAGGGGAAGATATATGTAACCTAAGGTGGTCTAAATCAGTATGCCAGTAATTGCTTTGCTCTTCAATTATTTGCTTTCTATCCTAGC
Organism: Homo sapiens; assembly: GCF_000001405.40. Classification (NCBI taxonomy): domain Eukaryota; kingdom Metazoa; phylum Chordata; class Mammalia; order Primates; family Hominidae; genus Homo; species Homo sapiens. Next base: position 32,174,760 of record NC_000017.11, read on the forward strand.
TATATCATTCATATCCCTGCATGCGTGGAATTGCAGGCACACCCACCCATTGAGACCAGTTCTAGCTAAAGATACATGCTAGAGAGGGAATTCTCATCACTTCATTATCAAGCTACAGTTTTGCCTCTGGGTCTTGGTTATTATTACTCCCACCTGCTATCTAGATCTTAAGCTTGTATTACCCAGAATCTCACCTGCCTTTTGATCCTGTGTGTATAGACTCTTTGTCCGAGCTTCTGACTCTTCAGCACCCAGTCTGCTAGCTTGGATTTCTGAAGTCCTTTGCCTGACCCTTTTCAACTCTGGACCAGATGCTGGCCTAGATTTATTACACAATGCTTCTGCTGTTCCATGCCTGAGTTATCCTTTTATAGACTCGTCTTTCAGGGCCAGCTGCCTTATCGTAGTTGAACCTTTTCCTTCCCCTGGCTTTCCCTTGTGTTTGCTACACCATGTCATTTTGAGGGATGTTAGATGAGTGTTGCATAGAATTTAGCTTGGCCATTAGTTTTTATGAAAGTGTCTGCAATATGAAACATTGACTTCCTGTCATTTGTAGAAGCAGAACAGAGTGATGAACAACTTCATCAAGAAATATCTCAGGTGAGCTTTAAAAAACAGAGGTGTGGGGTTTTGTGTAGAAAAACAGTGATGATTTTATGAGCCTGCCTTTTTCATTCTCTTTGTTTGTTGGTTTTTGTGTTTTTTTTGGGACCGTGTTTCACTCTGTCACCCACTCTGTCACCCAGTGCAGTGGCGCAATTTTGCCTTATCGCAACCTCCATCTCGCAGGCTCAAGCGATTCTCATGCCTCAGCCTCCCAAGTAGCTGGGATTACAGGCATGCACCACCATGCCCAGCTAATTTTTGTATTTTAGTAGAGATGGGGTTTTGCCATGTTAACCAGGCTAGTCTCAAACTCCTGCCCTCAAGTGATACACCCCGTCCCTTTTTCATTCTCTTAATTACCAAAAGTTCTTTTGCAGTTCTTTATTGTTATGGCTGTTACTGAGTATGTGTTTTTGCTTTAAGTCCTTAGGAACATTTTCTCTTAGAGGCAAGCTAATTCTTTTTTTGTTTTTTTGTTTTAGCTGTTAAATTTTTTCTTCCTTTCACCCGAATATATTAATAAGTTGCTAATTAAGTGCTGTCTATGTTTTTATTATTTTTAGATACGATTAATTTGTTAATTTTTCTTCTAGGCTAATGTCATCTGTATAGTGTATGCCGTTAACAACAAGCATTCTATTGATAAGGTAGGTGTGATCTTTTTTTCCCTATAGTTGGTTTCAGTGGAGTGCTTCCAAAGTTGATTCTCAGTTTAGAATTTTAGGGGTCTAAGGGAAGAGTGTTTTGTAAAGATCCTTATCATGGCTAAGCGCTTGTTAATTTTCATTTTAGGTAACAAGTCGATGGATTCCTCTCATAAATGAAAGAACAGACAAAGACAGCAGGTATTTTTTCCTCTCTCAAACTTTTTATAATTAAAAAGTTTAAAGCTTGCAGAAAAGGTACAAGAAGTAGTACATTGAACTTCCCTAAATCCTTCACTTAAATTTACTAGGTAACGTTTTGCCACGTTTGCCTTATCTATCAGTTTTTCTGTCTGTTCATACACACACCCACGTGCCTTTTTTGGGGGGATTCATTTGAGGCAGTAGATATACTTGAGAGCAAAGCAAGAAACAGAACTCTGATATCATGATTCACAACTTCAGACAGATTATTTTGGTCATAAATCTTACATTTCTCTTCCTCAAACTGCTGCTTGAAAAGTCTCAGTTTTATTTATTTATTTATTTATTTATTTATTTATTTATTTATTTATTTTGAGACAGAGTCTTGCTCTGTCGCCCAGGCTGGAGTATAGGAGCACAATCTTGGCTCCTTGCAGCCTCCGCCTCCTGGATTCAAGTGATTCTCATGCCTCAGTCTCCTGAGTAACTGGGACTGCAGGCATGTACCACCATGCCTGGCTAATTTTCGTATTTTTTAGTAGAGAGGGTTTCGCACGTTGGTCAGTCTGGTCTCGAACTCATGACCTCAAATGATCTGCTCGCCTTGGCCTCCCAAAGTGCTGGGACTACAGGCAAGAGCTACTGTGCCTGGCCTGAATCTTTTTAAATAGGAAAATCAGACTAATATCTATATATTGTACACATTTAGTCCTTTTCTCAATTTTTTAGATTTCTCTTTTAGTTGGAAGTTTTTGTGCCTTGAAACGCTAAAGATCTGGTTCTAAACATATGACTATGGTCATTAACCCTCTGTCTTACATATTTTGGAAGGGAGACTGAGATGACATTATATGTGCTGTGAGAAATGCTGTGGCATTGTATGGCTTCTCTTTTATCATGGTTTTAACTTTGTGATGATTTGACAAGGTGGAAAGGAAAGAATGACCCTTTAGAGCTCTGCTGTCCAGTGTAGTAGGCTCTCGTCAGTTGTGGTGATTTAACTTTAAATTAATTAAAATTAATAAAACTAAAACTTGTTCCTCGGATACACTTAGCCACGTTTCAAGTGCTCATAGCCACATGTGACTAATGCTTACAGTAATGGAGAGTAGAGATAAAGAGCATTTCCATCATCATAGAATGTTGTATTGGACAGGGATGCCTTGGGGGATCCAATACCCATATGTTCCTAATATCTGCTTTTCTTGCTTTTGCTTGCGCCATTTCTAGGAGGGAATCTTTAAGAGAGGGCAGTTTTGCCAGGTGCGGTGGCTCACGCCTGTAATCCCAGCACTTTGGGAGGCCGAGGCAGGCGGATCATGAGGTCAGGAGATCGAGACCATCCTGGCTAACACAGTGAAACCCCATCTCTACAAAAATACAAAAAAATTAGCTGGGTGTGGTGGGAGGCGCCTGTAGTCCCAGCTACTCGGGAGGCTGAAGCAGGAGAATGGCATGAACCCAGGAGGCGGAGCTTGCAGTGAGCCGAGATCACGCCACTGCACTCCAGCCTGGGCAACAGAGCGAGACTCCGTCTCAAAAAAAAAAAAAAAGAGCCCCATCGAGCCTGCAGATGGCTGCAGCCCCCAGTGACATCTTTCTTTCTTTCTTCTTTTTTTTTTTTTGAGATGGAGTTTCCACTCTGTTGCCCAGGCTGGAGTGCAGTGGTGCGATCTTGGCTCACTGCAACCTCTGTCTCCCAGGTTCATGCAATTCTCCTGCCTCAGCCTCCCGAGTAGCTGGGATTACAGGTACCCACCACCACACCCAGCTAATTTTTGTATTTTTAGTAGAGACGGGGTTTCACCATGTTGGCTAGGCTGGTCTTAAACTCCTGACCTCAAGTGATCCACCTGCCTTGGCTTCTCAAAGTGCTGGAATTACAGGCATGAGCCACCGCATGAGAGATGCTGAGTCGATCGACCACCCAGCTAGGCCACTCCCAAATTCCTGGCCGGAAGAAACTACATGAAATAATAAATGCCCTCCCCCCCCCCAGTGATCTCCCTCTCTTGCCGAGTCTGGACTGTACTGCCGTGATCTCGGCTCACTGCAACCTGCCTGCCTCGGGCTCCCATGATTCTCCTGCCTCGGCCTACCGAGTGCCTGGGATTCCAGGCACGTGCCACCACTCCTGACTGGTTTTTGTATTTTTGGTGGAGACGGACTTTCGCCGTGTTGACCGGGCTGGTCTCCAGCTCCTGGCCTCGGGTGATCTGCCTGCCGTGGCCTCCCGAGGTGCTGGGATTGCAGACGGAGTCTCGCTCACTCAATGCTCAGTGTTGCCCAGGCCGGAGTGCAGTGGTGGGATCTCGGCTCGCTACAACCTTCACCTCCCAGCCGCCTGCCTTGGCCTCCCAAAGTGCTAAGATTACAGCCTCTGCCCGCCCGCCACCCCGTCTAGGAAGTGAGGAGCATCTCTGCCCGGCTGCCCATCGTCTGGGATGTGAGGAGCGCCTCTGCCCGGCTGCCCCGAATGGGATGTGAGGAGCGCCTCTGCCCAGCCGCCCTGTCTGGGAGGTGAGGAGCGCCTCTGCCTGGCTGCCCCGTCTGGGAAGTGAGGAGAGCCTCTGCCCGGCTGCCACCCCGTCTAGGAAGTGAGGAGCATCTCTGCCTGGCCACCCCGTCTGGGATGTGAGGAGCGCCTCTGCCCGGCCGCCACCCCATCTGGGAAGTGAGGAGTGCCTCTGCCCGGCCGCCACCCTGTCTGGGATGTGAGGAGCGCCTCTGCCCGGCCGCCACCCCGTCTGGGAAGTGAGGAGCGCCTCTGCCTGGCAGCCCTGTCTGGGAAGTGAGGAGCGCCTCTGCCTGGCCGCCCCGTCTGGGAAATGGGAAGCGCCTCTGCCTGGCCGCCCCATCTGGGAAGTGGGGAGCGCCTCTACTTGGCTGCCCCGTCTGGGAAATGGGAAGCGCCTCTGCCCGGCCGCCCCGTCTGGGAAGTGAGGAGCACCTCTGCCCGGCCGCCACCCCGTCTGGGAAGTGGGGAGCACCTCTACCTGGCCGCCCCGTCTGGGAAATGGGAAGCGCCTCTGCCCGGCCGCCCCGTCTGGGAAGTGAGGAGCGCCTCTGCCCAGCTGCCACCCCGTCTGGGATGTGAGGAGCGCCTCTGCCTGGCTGCCCCATCTGGGAAGTGGGGAGCGCCTCTACCTGGCTGCCCCATCTGGGAAATGGGAAGCACCTCTGCCCGGCCACCCCATCTGGGAAGTGAGGAGCGCCTCTGCCCAGCTGACACCCCATCTGGGATGTGAGGAGCACCTCTGCCCGGCCGCCCCGTCTGGGAAGTGAGGAGCGCCTCTGCCCGGCCGCCCCGTCTGGGAAGTGAGGAGCGCCTCTGCCCGGCCGCCCATCGTCTGGGAAGTGAGGAGTGTCTCTGCCCGGCCACCCCGTCTGGGAAGTGAGGAGCGCCTCTGCCCGGCTGCCCCGTCTGGGAGGTGAGGAGCGTTTCTGCCCGGCCGCCCATCATCTGGGAAGTGGGGAGCCCCTCTGCCCGGCTGCCCCGTCTGGGAAGTGGGGAGCGCCTCTGCCCAGCCACCCCATCTGGGAAGTGAGGAACGCCTCTGCCCGGCCACCCCGTCTGGGAAGTGGGGAGCGCCTCTGCCTGGCCGCCCATCGTCTGGGAAGTGGGGAGCGCCTCTACCTGGCTGCCCCATCTGGGAAATGGGAAGCGCCTCTGCCCGGCCACCCCATCTGGGAAGTGAGGAGCGCCTCTGCCCAGCTGACACCCCATCTGGGATGTGAGGAGCACCTCTGCCCGGCCGCCCCGTCTGGGAAGTGAGGAGCGCCTCTGCCCGGCCGCCCCGTCTGGGAAGTGAGGAGCGTCTCTGCCCAGCCACCCATCGTCTGGGATGTGAGGAGCGCCTCTGCCCGGCCACCCTGTCTGGGAAGTGAGGAGCACCTCTGCCCGGCCGCCCTATCTGGGAGGTGTACCCAATAGCTCCGAAGAGACAGCGACCATCGAGAACGGGCCATGATGACGATGGCGGTTTTGTCGAAAAGAAAAGGGGGAAATGTGGGGAAAAGAAAGAGAGATCAGATTGTTACTGTGTCTGTGTAGAAAGAAGTAGATATAGGAGACTCCATTTTGTTCTGTACTTAGAAAAATTCTTCTGCCTTGGGATGCTGTTAATCTATAACCTTACCCCCAACCCTGTGCTCTCTGAAACATGTGCTGTGTCAACTCAGGGTTAAATGGATTAAGGGCAGTGCAAGATGTGCTTTGTTAAACAGATGCTTGAAGGCAGCATGCTCGTTAAGAGTCATCACCACTCCCTAATCTCAAGTACCCAGGGACACAAACACTGTGTAGGAAAACCAGAGACCTTTGTTCACATGTTTATCTGCTGACCTTCTCTCCACTATTATCCTATGACCCTGCCACATCCCCCTCTCCGAGAAACACCCAAGAATGATCAATAAACATTAAAAAAAAAAGTACAAGAAAAAAAAAAAGAAATAATAAATGCTTATTTTTGTTTTAAGCCAAAAAAAAAAAAAAAAAAAAGAGGGCAGTTTTGCTAAGATCTATCAATCTATCAAGCACCAGCTTGGACCACTGAATTAAACAATTTTGGCTTTACCATGACAGCTTCCCAAGTAGCTGGGACTGCAAGTGCGTGCCATCACACCTGGCTAATTTTTAAAAAACTTTTGTAGAAACAGGGTCTCACTATGTTATCCAGGATAGTTTTGAGCTCCTGGTCTCAAGCAGTCCTTCCGCCTTGGCCTCCCAAAGTGCTGAAATTACAGGCGTGAGCCACTGATGCACACCTTTGGTTACAAACCACTACATTTTTGGAAACCCTCCTGGTTCTGGTAGGAATTTATATTTGGGCTATATGGTGGTCGGTCTTTTCAAGCATAATGGCACACCAAGGGTTAGGTAAGCTAAATGCTTTCAAGTGCTTCTCTTGCAGTCTAGAGTTCCAGCAGGATGATTTGCTTTCCCTCCAAGCTCTCTTGCAGGATTCACAACAGTTCTCCACTAGGTTGGTCCTCCTTAATATCCCCATTAAGATTTTTCCCCACAGACTTATCAGATTTAACTTGTCTAAAAGAAAATCTTTAATTCCCTGCCTACTCGCTGCCAAAAACAGAAACAAAAAATCATTCTTAATCTTCTGTATCTTCTGAGATCTACCCATTTTTTTCCAGCCAAAACCTAAATATTTTTCTTGGTTTCTGCTTTTCCCTCAATCTTCACATCTAACCTATCAGCTGTTTCTGTCTTATAAAATATATCTGAAATTTGAATATTTTCCTTTTCATCTTTACTGTCACTGTCACTAGTCCAAGTTACTATTATATTTTTTAAAATTTTCACTAAGAAATTTTTAAAAATTTGTTAGTGATAGTGAAAAAATGTAACATATACTGAGGTACATACCTGTTATCCAGCTTCAACAATTAACTCATGGCCAGTCTTGTTTCATCTATTACCCCTCCCATTGAGATCATTTTGAAGCAAATAGAGACATTATTTTCATGCTGTATTTCAGTATGTAGCTCTAAAAATCACTGCATTTAAAAATGTTAACCCCCTTCTTAGAATCATTCAATGACTTCCCATTTTACACTAACAATAAAACCTACACTCCTTACTGCAGCTTGTAAGTCCTTATGTGTCTGACCTTTGATCCTCTTTCTAACCCCATTTTATACCTTTTTCTCTTTACTCAGTACTCTGTAGCCATTCTGGCATTTTCCTGTTGTTTGGCCCCATCAGGATGTTTTTTCAGTTTGGGGCCTTTGCACATGCTGTTCCTTCCTCCTCGCTTGCTCTTCCCTGACTCTACATGGCAGATTTCATCTTATCCTTCACCCCTTGGCTCAAATGTCACCTTTACATAGGGAGTTTTCCTTAATTACTATACATAACTAGCTCCTTCCCACTACTCTATCCCCCTATTTATTTCCTGCATAGTACTTACTGAATTGGAAATTATTTTATTTGCTTATTGCTCATTTTCTGTTTTTCACTATTGGAATGATCAGGTTTATAGATCTGCCCAGGCATAGTAGCTCATACCTATCATCCCAACACTTTGGGAGGCCAGAAGTTTGAGACTAGCCTAGGCAATATAGCTAGACCCTTCTCTACAAAAAAAAAAAATTTTTTTTTAATTTGCTGGATGTGGTGGCTTGTGCCTATAGTCCTAGCTACTAGGGAGGCTAGGGCAAGTGGATCACTTGAGCATAGGAATTTGAGGTTGCAGTGAGCTGTGATCCTGCCACTGCACTCCAGCCTGGACAACAGAGCTAGACCCTGTCTCAAGAAAACAAAAAACAAAACAGAATGGGTAGGACCTTCTGTCTTGTGTCCTTAATACTTAAAGCAGTATGTGGCTTATAATAGGTGCTCAATAGATAACATGTTGAGTAAATACGTGCTATCTAGGGGGCTCAACCTGACTGTAGAGAAAGGTTCATGTTGTTGAGAAGATTAAATAAAAGCTTTTTAGTTAGAATGGGTTATGATATAAATTAAAATATAAATTTAATGTCTTTTGCCTTCCTTATTACAATGTGCCCTGTTTATTTTAGGCTGCCTTTAATATTGGTTGGGAACAAATCTGATCTGGTGGAATATAGTAGTATGGAGACCATCCTTCCTATTATGAACCAGTATACAGAAATAGAAACCTGTGTGGAGGTATGCCTTGTAATTTGATTTGAAAATTTATTTTTAATGAATTCTTACTAAATTCGGGTTTTAAATAGGGGGGACAATGTGGGATGGAATAAATTTCCTGCTATTTGTGAAGTCACGTAAACCAAATAAAACAGAGAAGTTGGAGTTGGCCTCTGAACTCTTTCTAGACATTCATGTTGTGATGTCCACAAAGATGCATTTTTCGTTTTTTTTCAAGGAATCTTTTTTTTGCCTTATGTTGATAATTTGAAAATTGTTTTTAGCTCTCATAATTGATTTCAGAGTGTAAAATTTTATTTTTTCAGTGTTCAGCGAAAAACCTGAAGAACATATCAGAGCTCTTTTATTACGCACAGAAAGCTGTTCTTCATCCTACAGGGCCCCTGTACTGCCCAGAGGAGAAGGAGGTAACAGGCTGTGTTTATAGGGGCTGGAATGTGTATGTAGTAACTCTAGTATGGTAGTGATTTTTAGTAACTCTTAAGTATTTGTGTAGAGATTAAACTGCTGAAATTTAAATTTATTGCTTATTAAATGGTTACATTTTGGTACTCTTCTTCAATGACATTCACATTAAATATTCGTAATATTTTCCACATCAATGGAATCTAATCAAGTACTGCTTCAGGAAGTGCCATTAAAACAAACAAGAATTGGCAACAATAACAACAAAAAAGTCCTCCAAAGACTTAGCTAATGGTCTTCTTGTTTTGCTACTATAAAATCTACAAACTGAAAAACACACACAAATAAAAACATTATGTAGTTTTTTGACATAGGCACAATGTAATACAATGTGACTACTACTTTTGTTTTTGTTTTTTTTCTTTTGAGACAGAATCTTGCTCTGTCACTCAGGCTGGAGTGCAGTGGCACGATCTCGATCTCGGCTGACTGCAACCTCCAGCTCCGGGGTTCAAGTGATTCTCATGCCTCAGCCTGCCAAAGTGGCTGGGATCACAGGCATGCGCCACCATGCCTGGCTAATTTTTGTATTTTTAGTAGAGACAGGGTTTCACCATATTGCCCAGGCTGATCTCGAACTCCTGACCTCAAGTGATCCGCCTGCCTGGGCCTCCCAAAGTGCCGGGATTACAGGCGTGAGCCACTGCGCCCAGCCCCTTTTGTTTTATAGCTAAGAAACACAGTAACTCCTTATTGAAATATCCAAAATTTAATATTTTGCCATAGACATTGAAAAACTAAATTTTTTTGAGATATATCTCAAGTACCTTAAAATTCATCCTTTTAAAGTTGTACTATTCCGTGGTTTTTAGTGTATTCACAAAGTTATGCAATCATCACCACTGTCTAATTTCAGAACATTTCATCACCCCAAAGAGAAACCCTGTACCTATTAGCAGTCACTCCCTATTGTCCCGTTACTCAGCCCCTGGCCACCACCAGTCTACCTTCTGTCTCTGTGGATTTGCCTCTTCTGGACATTTTATATAAATGGACTCATACCATATGTGACCTTTTGTTTCTGGCTTCTTTTACTTAGCGTAATATTTCCATGGTATATCCACATTGTAGCATGTATCAGTATTTCATTTCTTTTTATGGCCCGATAATCATTTTATGGATAAACCATGTTTTTGGTGGGTTTTATTTTTTTTATTTTTTATTTTTTTTTATTTTTTGAGGCAGAGTCTCATTCTGTCACCCAGGCTGGAGAGCAGTGGTGTGATCACAGCTCACTGCAGCCTCAAGCTCCTGGGCTCAAGTGATCCTCCTGCCTTAGCCTCTCGAGTAGCTAGGACTGTAGGCATTCGCCACCGTGCCCAGCTGATTTTTTTTACTTTTATTTTTTGTAAAGACAGGGTTTCGCCATGTTGCCCAGGCTGGTCTCAAACTCCTGGGCTCAGGCAGTCTTCCCGCCTCCACCTCTGCCTCCAAGAGTGCTGGGATTACAGGTGTGAGCCACCGCACCTGGCTGGATACATCATATTTAGTTTATCCCCATATCTGTTGATGCATATTGAGTAGTTTCTACTTTTAGGCTATTACGAATAGACTGTTGTAAACATTCAATACAAGTTTTTGTTTGAACACTTGTTTGCTTTTTTTTTGAAGACAGAGTCTTGCTCTGTCACCCAGGCTGGGGTGCAGTGACATGATTACAGCTTATTATAACCTCAAATTCCTGGCTCAAGCAATCATCCCACCTAAACCTCTCAAGTAGCTGGGACTATAGGCACATACCACCATGCCTGGCTAGTTTTTCTTTTTCTTTTCTTTTTTCTTTTTCTTTTGTTTTTTGAGACGGAGTTTCGCTCTTGTTGCCCAGGCTGGAGTGCAATGGTGCGATCTCTGTGCACCACAACCTCCGCCTCCCAGGTTCAAGTGATTCTCCTGCCTCAGCCTTCCAAGTAGCTGGAATGATAGGCATGCGCCACTACACCCTACTAATTTTGTATTTTTAATAGTTATGGGGTTTCTCTATGTTGGTCAGGCTGGTCTTGAACACCCAACCTCAGGTGATCCTCCTGCCTCAGCCTCCCAAAGTGCTGGAATTATAGGCGTGAACTACTGCTCCTGGCCTACTCTCCTTTTTTTTGGGTCAGGGCCTTACTCTATCGCCCAGGCTAGAGTGCAGTAGCACAATCACAGCTCACTGCCCCCTCGACTTCCTGGCTTCAACGATCCTCCCACCTCAGCCTCCCAAATAGTTGGGATCACACCTGTGTGCCACCATACCCAGCTAATTTTTGTATTTTTAGTAGAAGATGGGGTTTCACCATGTTGCCCAGGTTGGTCTTAAACTCCTAGGCTCAAGCAATGCACCCGCCTTGGCCTCCCAAAGTGTTGGGATTACAGGTGTGAACCGCCATGCCCGGCCTCTTTTTTTTTTTTTTTTTTTTTTAAATTTAGAGACAAGATCTTACTTTGTGGCCCAGGCTGGAGCACAGTGGTGTGATCATAGCTCACTGCGGCCTCAAACTCCAAGGCTCAGGCCATCCTCCCACCTCAGCCTCCTGAGTAGTTGGGACTACAGGCACATGCCACCGTGCCCAGCTAATTTTTAAATTTTCTAGTAAAGTCAGGATCTCACTATGTTGCCCAGGCTGGTCTCAAACTCCTGGCTCAAGCAATTCTCCCATCTCAAGCCTCTCAGAGTGCTGGCATTACAGGCATGACCCAACACTCCTGGCCTGTTTTAAATTCTTTTGAGTACATTTAGTAGTTGAATTGCTGAGTCACATGGTAATTGTATATTTGACATACGGAGGAACCAGCAGCTATTTTACACAATGACTGGACCATTTTACATTCCCACCAGCAGTGTATGAAGGTTCCAGTTCCTCCACATCTTTGCCACACTTGTTATTTTACTTTTCTTTTTTGGTTTATTATAGCCATCCTAGTAGATGTGGTTGGGATCTCATTGTTTTGATTTGCATTTCCCTGATGGCTAATGATGTTGTGTAATTTTTCATGTGCTTATTGGCCATCTTCTTTGGAGAAACGTCTATTGCCTATTCAAAGTCCTTTCCCATTTTTTTTTTTTTTTTTGAGACGGAGTCTTGCTCTGTCGCCCAGGCTGGAGTCCAGTGGCACAATCTCGGCTCACTGCAAACTTCACCTCCTGGGTTCACACCATTCTCCTGCTTCAGCCTCCCGGGTAGCTGGAACTACAGGCGCCCACCACCACGCCCGGCTAATTTTTTTTGTATTTTTAGTAGAGACGGGGTTTCACTGTGTTAGCCAGGATGGTCTTGATCTCCTGACCTCGTGATCCGCCCGCCTCGGCCCCCCAAAGTGCTGGGATTACAGGCGTGAGCCACTGCGCCCGGCCCCCATTTTTGTTTTAAAGAGACAGGGTCTCACCATCATCCAGGCTGGAGTACAGTGGCATGATCATGGCTCACTGCAGCCTTAACCTCCTGGATTCAAGCAGTCCTCCCACTCAGCCTCCTAAGTAGCTGGGACTACAGGTGCATGCCACCACACACAGCTAATTTTTAATTTTTTTTGTAAAGAGGGGGTCTCGCTGAGTTGCCCAAGGTGGTCTTGAACTTCTAGCCTCAAACAGTCCTTCTGCCCCAGCTTTTCGAGTAGCTGCCTTTGCCCGCTTTTTAGTTGGGTTGTCTTTTTTTAAATTATTATTAAAGGTAATTTTTATTTTAAGAAGCGGGGGCCGGGTGCAGTGGCTCATGCCTGTAATCCCAGCACTTTGGGAGGCTGAGGCAGGGGGATCACTTGAAGCCAGGAGTTCGAGACCAGCGTGGCCAACGTGGCAAAACCCTGTCTCTACTAAAAATACAAAAGTTAGCTGGGCATATTGGCGCATACCTGTAATCCCAGCTACTCGGGAGGCTGAGGCACGAGAATCATTTGAATCTGGGAGGTGGAGGTTGCAGTGAGCTGAGATTGCACCACTGCACTCCAGCCTGGGCTACAGATTGAGACTCTGTCTCAAAAAAAGAAAGAAAGAAACAGGTCCTTGCTATATTGCCCAGGCTGGTCTTGAACTCCTGGCCTCCTCCTGCCTCAGCCTCCTGAGTAGCTGGGATTACAGGTGTGAGTCACCACACCACCACACCCAGCTTGAGGTGATTGCTTTGATTCTGTTTGTCGGGAGAGGTATTGTTTTTAAGAATAAAAAGTTGCAGATATCTTTCAGGAAAAGTTTATAGTATAAGTGAGTGGTTAGCAATGACTCATGGCCTACCACCTATTTTCACAGTCTGTACACTAAGGAAACATTTTATATTTTTATTTATTTATTTATTTGAGATGGAGTCTCGCTCTGTTGCCCACGTTGGAGTGCAGTGGTGTGATCTCAGCTCACTGGGTTCAGGTGATTCTCCTGCCTCAGCCTCCCAAGTAGCTGGGACTACGGGCATGTGCCACCACATCCAGCTAATTTTTGTATTTTTGGTAGAGACGGGGTTTCACCATGTTGGCCAGGCTGGTCTCGAACTCCTGACCTTAGGTGATCTGCCTGCCTTGGCCTTTCAAAGTGCAGGGATTACAGGTGTGAACCACTGTGCCTGGCCATATATTTTTAAATGATTGAAAAAAGTCAAATAATATTTTGTGATAGGTGAAAATTATATTACATTCAAATTTTATCATTTCATAAAAATAAAGTTTGATTGTAACATAGCCATGGTCATTCTTTTATGTTATCTGTGGCTGTTTGTGTGCTGCAAAGGCAAAGTTTAATAGTTTCAATAGAGCTTATATGTGCTACTCTCATCTCTTCTCACTGCTGCTGAGTGCACTACTAATTGCGCTGACACACTAGACAGCATTTCAAGTACTATGTATATCACTCTACCAGGACCTTTTATTTATATTCATTGCATACTCATCATGCCAAAGCATGAAAAGAATAATAAAGTGTTTTTTAGATGGGAAAGCAGATAAATATTCCAGGTTCAAATTACAGTTCCAGCATCATCTTTTTAGACCTTGATGCAAATGCAAAGGAAATTTCCATATTTTGTAATCCACTTAACTATGCAATTGAGTTTCCATTAACCTTCAATTGGAATTGATTAATCTGCAGTGTAATGACATGCTAAAAGGCAAACATCAAGAAAATAATCAAATATAATTTTATAAATACCTTGTGCTCTATAAAGTCATAGGTTTGTGGATATGTACCAGTATTGGCAGTATATATTTGTGCAAAGAGACATTTTCAAAGATGGGACATGTAAAATCTCATTACAGATCAGCATTAACATATAAACATTTGCAATTAATTTTCATGGTGGACAACACTAACTTCAAACCCCAACAAAGCAAAATGTTTTCCTTCCAAAAAGAATTTCATTCTTCTCATTAATAAATCTGTATTGCAAAACTGTACTCAGTTATATTTTGAGTTTTGTCAAAAAAACTTTGTAGAAGTTTGATTTCTTTCTTACTATGTAAGTACCTACATGACATGCTTGATTTTGCCTGTTGGCCCCAAAGCCTAAAATATTTGCTATGTGGTCCTTTACAGAAAATGTGCCAACTCCTGGTATAAATAATTAATTTGAGTTATCCCTTAATCTGGTGCTAGTTTACTCTTATTCCTGGTTTACTTTTCCTTAGTTAGGATTCTTCTTTCTAATTTACTCCGAATCCAGTATTTCCCAAACTTACCTCATCGTAATAGTCACTAAGTGTTACTTGTTAAAAACATAGATTCTGGCCGGGCAAAGTGGTTCACGCATGTAATCCCAGCACTTTGGGAGGCCAAGGCGGGTGGATCATGAGGTAGGATATCGAGACCATCCTGGCTAAGATGGTGAAACCCCGTCTCTACTAAAAATACAAAAAAATTAGCTGGGCGTGGTGGCGGGCACCTGTAGCCCTAGCTACTTAGGAGGCTGAGGCAGGAGAATGGCATGAACCCAGGAGACGGAGCTTGCAGTGAGCCGAGATCGTGCCACTGCACTCCAGCCTGGGCGACAGAGCGAGGAGACCCCACCTCAAGAAAAAAACAAAACAAAAAACAACAAAAAAACACATAGATTCCATTCTGATTCAGCTAGGTGTTGTATTTATGATACAGGAAATTTGGGAAACAGTCTTAATACTGTGGGAACTCTTACAAGAATTTACCTCTGAGGCCTTAGCCTAGCAGTATATGAAATCCCCTCTATTAGTTTGTTCTCAGTTTTTTAATTGTTACTTTGTTCTCGGGCCTGTTATTAGTTCTGCTAATCTGTTAATCCCTCATCCCCACCCCCATCCCACAAGAGTAAAATATCTACCACCATCTGTTACTCAGTTCTTAGGTGGACCTGAGTGAGAGGTAAAATTTTCAACTTTTAAACTATACCTTGTTTTACACAAGTGCAAACTTTAAATTGCCTATAACGGAATCTTTTATTTAGACAACAACAATATCTTTTCTTTTCTTTTCTTTTTTTTTTTTTTTTTTGAGATGGAGTCTCTGTCTCCCAGGGTGGAGTGCAATGGCACGATCTCAGCTCACTGCAACCTCCGCCTCCCAGGTTCACATGATTCTCCTGCCTCAGCCTCCCAAGTAGCTGGGATTACAGGGATGCACCACCATGCCTGGCTAATTTTTGTATTTTTAGTAGAGATGGGGCTAGCCTGGTCTCAAACTCCTGGCCTCAAGTAATTTGCTCGCCTTGGCTTCCCGAAAGTGTGTGAGCCACCACGCCCAGCCAAATACCATAATTTTTTATAGCTTTATTAAGTAGAATTTTTAATACTTTTTAGTAGTCCTTTTTTGGTGTTACATTTTCAGGTGGTTAGTTTTTAAATATGACATTGGGCCAATACCTTAGAGCTCTTTAGCTTTGCATTTCAAGCTTTAATGAAAAGTGCATCGTTGGCCGGGCGCAATGGATCATGCCTGTAATCCCAGCACTTTGGGGGGCCGAGGCAGGCAGATCATGAGGTTAGGAGATCGAGACCATCCTGGCTAACATGGTGAAACCCCGTCTCTACTAAAAATGTGAAAAATTAGCTGGGCATGGTGGCAGGTGCCTATAGACCCAGCTACTCGGGAGACTGAGGCAGGAGAATCGCTTGAACCTGGGAGGCAGAGGTTGCAGTGAGCCAAGATCGCACAACTGCACTCCAGCCTAGGCGACAGAGCAAGATTCTGTCTCAAAAAAAAAAGGAGAAAAGTGCATTGTTTATTTTTCTTAAAATTACTTTTTGAAAATGTATCCCTTTATTATGTGAGGAAAAATCACTTAGACAAAATAAAAGATTAGGTTCTGTTTTGTATATTCTTGCTATTGCTTCTTTTGGAAACATTTAAATTATTAAACTTTTTTAAAAGGAGAGTAAATAAAATATAACAATGTAGTTTTTATTAATCTTTAATGACTAACAGGATCACATTTATAGAAGCATTATCTTACCATTCATTATTTTAAAGAATAAATCATGTGTGATTATAGATGTTATAGTCCATTTAGTACTCTTTTATAAGGGAAGCCCCGTCAGATGCTTTCTTTTTTTTGAGACGGAGTCTTTCTTTGTCTCCCAGACTGGAGTGCAGTGATGGAATATCGGCTCACTGCAACCTCTGCCTCCCGGGTTCAAGCGATTCTCCTGCCTCAGCCTCCCAAGTACTGGGACTACAGGCACATGCCACCACACCCAGCTAACTTTTGTATTTTTAGTAGAGACAGGGTTTCGCCATGTTAGCCAGGCTGGTCTCGAACTCTTGATCTCAGGTGATCTGCACTCCTCGGCCTCCCAAAGTGCTGGGATTATAAGTGTGAGCCACCGCGCCCAGCCTCAAATGCTTTCTAAATGTTTGACTTCTTTTTCTCGTTTCTTTCTCTTTGTATCTTAAGTTTTATCTTTTTCTCACTATATCAAATTACTCTCCCAGAGACCCCATTTAAAACAAGAATAGAAGGGGTTAACTGTGTATGTTTGGAAGATAATTATTTTCTTTCCTATTTTTTAAAGAATTTCTTTTCTGCATTTGAGTTTGATAGCATGATCAAAGCTGTCATCATTACCATTTTGTAAGTTAATAAGTTTATATTTCCTCACCTTGACATCTCATTTCTCTGATTTAGATGATCTAAATAAAGATCTATCTCCAAGCTTAGACAAAAGTCAGAGCTCTCCTTGAAGTTTTATTCTCAAAATTGTTGATAGTGATTACCCTATAGTGGTTATACAGTGTAGAAGCATGTGGGCCTTATTTTAAAATAGTCATATATTTATTCTATCCATGATGAATCATAAAACAAAAATGAAGGAAATTGTCAGAATATATTTCCAGCAGCATTAGTCATAAAAGTTTTAGAGTCACAAAAGGCAAAATTCTTTTTAAAGTATAAATAATTCTTATACTAGGAAGTTAGTAAAAATTTTTTACACTTATTAACCAGTGATAATTTTGCCACTTGTTTGTGAATAAGCGTATTTTATTTCCCAGCTTTAACATACACACAGGGGAAAGATCAAAACAAATCTCATTCTGCTACCAGAAGTCTGATGATCAGAAATCAGAAGTTGAGGGGAAAGTCCTTAGTAGTTTTAAAAGTCAGTTCATATCCTCTATGGAATGAGGGAAGATATAAATAAATAAACAGTTCTTCTTTCTGTGACTAGAAAAATGAATCCCTCCTAAAGATGAACTTCTCTTTTCCCTGTTCTTAGAGGATTTGTGGTCTTAAGGGGAGAGCTTGACCATTCCAAATATCAGTCCCAGCAAATATTGCCTCATTTACTTAAAAAGGCTTGCATATAAAGTAAATGGCTTTGCTTTAGTTCATTTTTCCATGTTGGTTGTATTTGATATTATGTAAAAATAATCAGAATTATTCTCAGCATTGCTTATGAAAATCACAGTTTAAACAATTATTTCTTTTCTCAATGATTTATAGATGAAACCAGCTTGTATAAAAGCCCTTACTCGTATATTTAAAATATCTGATCAAGATAATGATGGTACTCTCAATGATGCTGAACTCAACTTCTTTCAGGTAATGGTCCTTTATTTCAGACATTTGCGTATCTTTTTTTTTTTTTTTTTTTTTGCTGAAAGCTGTAAAATGTGTTAGCTTAAACAACAAGAACAGTATGTTATAAACATAAGTTTCTTTCTCATAAAACTATCTTTCACATCAACCTATATATGCCTAAACTCTCTTATGCTCAGGAATTGAGGGGATTCTGATAGCTTCATTTTATGGTATAAAGTGGGTGTGTTAAGGATGACTTGGAGTCTGAACTCTGAATCATTTTGCTTTCTTGGTTTTGAATAACATAGCTACAGAAAGAGCCCTGTGTTTTAGAAACAGGATGGAGGGAGTTGGGAATGTTTCTTTCTAAGAATGACATGTTTTACTTTTTTTTTTTTTTTTTTTGTTTTTGAGATAGAGTCTCGCTCTGTCACCCAGGCTGTAGTGCAATGGCGCCATCTCGGCTCACTGCAACCTCCGCTGCCCGGGTTCAAGCGATTCTCCTGCCTCAGCCTCCCAAGTAGCTAGGACTACAGGCATGCGCCACAACACCCAGCTAATTTTTGTATTTTTAGTAGAGACGGGGTTTCACCATGTTGGCCAGGGTGGACTCGATCTCCTCGTGATCCGCCTGCCTCAGCCTCCCAAAGTGCTGGGATTACAGGCGTGAGCCACTGCACCCAGCCCATGTTTTACTTAAATAATACATTTAAAAAAGTGGTGACTATTCCTAATGTAGAATATGTTTCTTTGGTTGCAATTCATGGATTTAATATTGCTTTGTAGATTATCATTTTATATTATTTGTGGTTTTAACGCTGGTTTGTTTTTAAATATATTTTTATGTTTTTTGCTAGAGGATTTGTTTCAACACTCCATTAGCTCCTCAAGCTCTGGAGGATGTCAAGAATGTAGTCAGAAAACATATAAGTGATGGTGTGGCTGACAGTGGGTTGACCCTGAAAGGTGGGTAAATGGTATTTTTCCCCCTTTTGAAACTTAATATTTTCAAAATTTGGCAGAAGGTGAAGGTCTTTATTGCATTATTTATACTTTAAGGAAATGTTAATATTTACTAGTATGCCTAAAGTCTGATTTGGATATTTATGAGTTGGGAGGGACAGGCCATTGTTGGGGATTATCATCTTTACTACCAATATAAATTAGAGGTAGGGAAATTGGTTGGATCTCAAGGATACAGAGGTCCACCTGATGGAAGGAGATATCTGGAACAAAAAAAAAGTATCTTAAAATTCTTCCTACTCATAAACAGCCTTTAAATAGTCATTATTTTTAGGGAATTTTGTCTATGAGTCAAATTTACCAGTATAGAATGTTCCCTGGAGAATATATTATAGAGGCACAGTGAAGTTAATGAGATTGAAAACCAGAATTTTCCATGACAAAAATAAGCTCAAAGATCTGTAGAACACTACTCTCATATAACTTTGTGCATGTCAGTATATTCCTTGAGATGCAATGTTGGCCATTTCCTCTAGTGCTCTCTCTTGCTGAGCTGGGTGTATATGTGAAACAATTCTGAAATCAGCTCTGTTTCATTGAGATACTTGTGAATTTTGTTTTGTTTTGAGCTTTACAATGCAAAGCTAGCATCCGTATGTTCATGAATCTGGTTCTTGCCATTATGTTACATGCTTTTCTCCTATGTGACTCTGTACACTTTATTTACTAATTTACTTTATTTCAGGTTTTCTCTTTTTACACACACTTTTTATCCAGAGAGGGAGACACGAAACTACTTGGACTGTGCTTCGACGATTTGGTTATGATGATGACCTGGATTTGACACCTGAATATTTGTTCCCCCTGTATGTACCTTTGTTTTTTTTGTTGTTGTTGTTGTTTAATTTTTTATTGAGACAGGATCTCACTATGTTTCCCAGGCTGGTCTTGAACTCCTGAGTCAAGTGATCCTCCCACCTTGGCCTCCCAAATTGCTGTGATTAAAGGCATTGAGCCATGCCCAGTCACCTTTGGTTTTGTAATGATTTTACTTGTTAAATATTTTTAAGGTTGATTTAGCACACATGGGGAGGTGGGCTTCAAGCTAATTGGGAATATTTTAGAATTATAGCAGAGCTTTATAGCAGGATTTCTCAACCTCAGCACTATTGGCATTTTGGACCAGAAAATTTTTTGTTGTGGATGTCCTGTGCAGTATAGGATCTTTACCACATCCGTAGATGTCAGTGACACTTCCAGTTGTGACAACCAAAACTGTTGAGAAATTGCCGAATGTACCCTCTGAAGTGAAATTATCCCCAGTTGAGAACCACTGATTCCCTCATGGCTCAAACTTTTCCTCTTCTTGTCGAGACTACAAGTATCTTTTTTTGTTCATTTTACTGAGGAAGGAAAAATAAGATGCTAGACAACAAACTTGTTTTGGGAGTCAAGAGATCTCAGAAATATGTTGATTCACATTTTTCTTACATTGTTCTTCTCCCTCAGTTTTATAGCCTGTTCTTAGCTTAAGTTGAAGTAGGTATTTTCCTAAACGACTGGTCTATTTGTGGTTCTTTTTCTTTCTTTTTTTTTTTTTTTTTTCAGACGGAGTCTCGCTCTGTCACCCAGGCTGGAGTGCAGTGTCACGATCTTGGCTCACTGCAACCTCCCACCGCGTTTAAGCGATTCTTCTGTCTCAGCTTCCCAAGTAGCTGGGAATACAGGCGCCCGCCACCATGCCCGGCTAATTTTTTGTATATTTAGTAGAGAAGGGGTTTCACCGTGTTAACCAGAATGGTCTCGATCTCCTGACCTCGTGATCCACCCGCCTCAGCCTCCCAAAGTGCTGGGATTACAGGCGTGAGCCACTGCACCCGGCCTTTTTTTTTTTTCCCTAAGAGACAAGGTCTCATTTTGGCTAGCTCACTGCAACCTCAAACTCCATGGCTCAAGCAATCCTCCCACCTGACCTTCCCAAATAGCTGGGACTATAGGTGTGCAACACAATGCCTGGCTTTTTTTTCTTTCTTTCTTTGTTTTCTTTTTCTTTGTAGAAAAGCGGTCTCACTATATTTCCTAGGCTGATCTTGAACTCCTGGCCTCAAATGATCTTCTTGCCTCAGCCTCCTAAGGTGCTGCGATTACAGACATGAGCCACCATGACTGGCCAGTTATTTTCCTTTGATAATGCTGTGTTTAAGTTCTGTTTGTTTAAAAATGGACCCAGTGCCATCCCCAAACAAGAGACCGCCTTGTTGCAGGATCCTTCTTCTATACCCCAGGGAAGCGAGCTTTTCAGGGATGGTGACTTCCCAGGATCTGGCCTCAGAGTTTTCAATCATTCTTCATTTTTTCATTGGCACATTACCTTCATAGTGCTCTTTTATTTTAGCATAGCACCTTCAGCTGTCTATGTAATGGTTCAGAAAGACTGTTGCTTTTTACTTCTCCGTTATTGAGGAAGCAAAGTTCTTTCTGATTAGATTCCTAGTCCATTAATCAGTTCTAAATTGAAACTTCCTTTGACTAAGTTACTAAATCTTGGCTCAAGTTAATTTCCTAGATTTTTCAATAAATATATACTAAATGAATGAATTTGTTATAGGACTCTCTCATAAGGTTTTCTTTTCTGTGTCATTTATGTGAATAGATGAATTCTATGGGAGGTTGCTTATTGCTTTCTTAAGTATGACAGTTAGGAAATTCCACGTCTTGTCGCATTGTGGCTTACACTAATCACCTCTTTCAGTTTTTTTTAATCCTCTTTGCCTTTAATTTTCTGCAAAATAACTCCCTGGAGCTACTACACGAATATTTCTATCCTTATGAAACCCTCTGCATCTATCCTTCACATTACTGCTAGAGTAGTGGATAAATAAATAAAAATTTGGCTCTGTCACTTCCCTTCAAGACACAGGATAAAACCCAAGCTGCTGCTTTTTTTTTTTTTTTTTTGAGACAGGGTCTTGCCCTGTCTGTCATTCAGGCTAGAATGCAGTGGTGTGACATGATCACAGCTCACTGTGGCCTCGGCCTCCTGGGCCCAAGCAATCATCCCACTTCAGCCTGCCAAGTAGCTGGGACTACAGGCACATGGCCACCATTCCCAGATAATTTTTAAATTTTTTGTAGAGATGAGGTCTCCCTTTGTTGCCCAGGCTGGTTTCTGTCTTTCAGGCTCAAGAAATCCTCCCGCGTTGACCTCCTAAAGTGCTGGGATTACAAGCATTAGCCACCACACCTGGTCTAAAATCCAAGCTTCTTAACATGGTTTGCAAGGTCATTCATGATCTGTTCTCCTCATGCACACTCCCTGCCTTCATTCTGGAAGTCAATACCAAACTATTTGTTGTCCACCAAGCATATGTTCTTTTCTACACCAGGCTTTTGTCCATGCTATTTTCACCTCTCTCCCTCTCGCCCCCACCTAATTAATGCCTCTCATCCTTCAAGTCTCAATTCAGATGACAATGTTTCTCAGCAGTGTTGAGGTTTTCCCAGTCCCCAGGCCAGAGATGTTCCTTTTCATGTGGCTCCCTAGCATCCTTGGCTTGCACATTCTTAGCTCCTGCCTCATTCTGTTGAAATGTCTTTGGGGGCCGGGTGTGGTGGCTCACGCCTGTAATCCCAGCACTTTGGGAGGCTGAGGTGGGTGAATCACGAGGTCAGGAGTTCGAGACCAGCCTGGCCAACATGGCGAAAACCCATCTCTACTAAAAATACAAAAAATTAGCCGAGTGTAGTGGCGGGCACCTGTAATCCCAGCTATTCGGGAGGCTGAGGCAGGAGAATCGCTTGAACCTGGAAGGTGGAGGTTGCAGTGAGCCGAGATCGCACCATTGCACTCCAGCCCTGGCGACAGAGTGAGATTCCATCTCAAATAAAAAAAAAAAGAAATGTCTTTGTGGTCCACCTCCCACTTGTTTGTGGTTCCTTAGAAGTGGGGAGCCTGTCTCATTTTTGTCTCCCTAGTACCTAGCTCAGTACATTTGCTTTTTTTTTGAGATGGAGTCTCACTCTGTCACCCAGGCTGGAGTGCAGTGGCACAATCTTGGCTCGCTGCAACCTCCGTCTCCTGGGTTCAATCACTTCTCCTGCCTCAGCTTCCCGAGTAGCTGGGATTACAGGTGCGTGCCACCACACCCAGCTAATTTTCTTTTTTCTTCTTTTTTCTTATTTTTTTATTTTTTTATTTTTTGAGATGGAGTCTCGCTCTGTCGCCCAGGCTGGAGTGCAGTGGCGTGATCTCGACTCACTGCATGCTCCGCCTCCCAGGTTCATCGACATTCTCCTACCTCAGCCTCCCGAGTAGCTGGGACTACAGGCGTCCACCACCACACCCAGCTAATTTTTTTTTGTATTTTTAGTAGAGACGGGGTTTCACCGTGTTGTCCAGGATGGTCTCAATCTCTTGACCTCGTGATCTGCCCGCCTCGGCCTCCCAAAGTACTGGGATTACAGGCGTGAGCCACCGTGCCTGGCCACACCCGGCTAATTTTCATATTTTTAGTAGAGACGGGGTTTTACCATGTTGGCCAGGCTGGTCTCGAACTCCTGACCTCAAATGATCCACCTGCCACAGCCTCCCAAAGTGCTGGGATTACAGGCGTGAGCCACCACGCCCAGCCAGTACATTTGGTTTTTGTTTGTTTTTATGTTTGTTTGTTTGAGACAGGGTCTCATTCTGTCACCCAGGCTAGAGTGCAGTGGTGCAAACACGGCTCACTGCATCCTTAACCTCCCAGGCTTAACCTGTCCTCCTGCCTCAGCCTACCCAGTAGCTGGGACTACAAGCATGTGCCACCATGCCTAGTTAATTTGTAAAATTTTTTGTAGAGATGGAGTTCACTTTGTTGCCCAGGCTGGTCTTGAACTCCTGGGCTCAAGTGATCCTCCTTGCCTCGGTCTCCCAAAGTGCTGGGATTACAGGCATGAGTCACCATGTCCAGCACTCAGTGCATTTGGTTAATGTTTATTAAACAGAATTTAGGGTGGGTCCAAAAGGTCAAGTCAGGTAGAAATAACTTCTCTGCATCATTTTCAACTCATTACAATATTGGAATTAATATGAAGCTCATAAGTATGACTTAAAATTTGTAGGAAGAACAAACCCATGACAGGTAAATCAGTATTATTTGTAAATTTTTTATATTAACCTGCTTTTCTGATATTTAAGAAAATGGGCCTGCTACAGTGGCTTATGCCTATAATCCCAACACTTACTGGGAAGCCAAGGTGGGTGGATTGCTTGAGCCCAGGAGTTTGAGCCAGCCTGGGCAACATGGTGAGACCCCATCTCTACAAAAATACAAAAATTAGCCAGGCATGGTAGTGTGCGCCTGTGGTCCCAGCTACTCAAGAGGCTGAGATGGGTAGATTGATTGAGCCCAGGAGGTCGAGACTGCAGTGAGCTGTGATCGTGCCACTGCACTGTAGCCCGGGCAGCAGAGTGAGACCCTGTCTGAATTTAAAAAAGAGAAAAAAAGAAAATGTTGTTACTTTGGAATGAGCATTATTATGACTCTTCTGAAGAGTGCCAAAATCACTCCAGAGAGTTTCCTTGGGAAAGTCTAAATGATACCAAGTGAAGATATTCTTGTAAATGGTGTTACCTCACAAAAGACTTGTTGCAATTTTATATTAATTTCTTAAATTTTAACATTTGATTAATGATTTATTTTACTCTTGAATTTTTTCAACAGGCTGAAAATACCTCCTGATTGCACTACTGAATTAAATCATCATGCATATTTATTTCTCCAAAGCACCTTTGACAAGCATGATTTGGTAAGCCTTTAGCTGTAATTTTCCATTATATATAGTAAAACATTTTTCTATGGATGATATAACTCTGTTCCCTGAGCTATGGGATGTGTATGTTACATAGCCAAAAACTGCTTAACCTCTCTAAGTTAAATTCGCAAAAATATTTTCTGCTGTTTACCTTTGTTGTTTTCTCAAGATGAAAATGTCTAATTTCTAATAGACTCTCTTATAGGTTTTCTTACATACATTTGAGGAATTTTCTTGATAAAATGTAAAATTTGTTGTCATTTATTAAGTAGTTTTAAAAAGCATAGCTTTACTAGATTGGGGGGCTTTTGAGTTGGGAATTATTATCTTAGATATCTAAACATTCTGTATCCTTGTGTTTCTTCAGGATAGAGACTGTGCTTTGTCACCTGATGAGCTTAAAGATTTATTTAAAGTTTTCCCTTACATACCTTGGGGGCCAGATGTGAATAACACAGTTTGTACCAATGAAAGAGGCTGGATAACCTACCAGGGATTCCTTTCCCAGTGGACGTGAGTATAGAGCTCACCTCTTTCCTCTAGAGTTACAAATAGTTTAAAATTATGGTGTATTACATTTGTCACTTTGTAAGCTTGTGAGGCATTATGAAATTCTTCAATCATAATTGCCTCTAAGCAAGATTAGCTGCTGATATCTCTAAGATGAACTATAAATGTTCTATAAATTTATCAGGAAGGGATTGTTTTCTTTTGAATGATATATAGGGAAAAAGTAGTAAGTCTTTGAAAATTGAACTACATTTTAGCACTTTTTTGTTTGATTAAGGGAATTGGAAATGTCATTGCTGTTGCACAATTCTTACTCTTTCAGAATATGGGGTGAAGCATATTTTACTTGACACTGAAGATTCTGTTTTTTTGTTATTGTTTGTTTTTAATGAACTCTTTTTTTTTTTTTTTTTGAGATGGAGTCTCACTCTGTTGCCCAGGCTGGAGTGTAGTGGCGTGATCTTGGCTCACTGCAACTCTGCCTCCTGGGTTCAAGCCATTCTCCTGCCTCAGCCATGAGGTTCTTTCACTCAGCACATTGTGGACATTTTTCTGTATCAATAAGTATACTTTTATATATCTTAATGTTAAATAATGTGTCACAATATGGATGTCCTATAACTTATTTAACTATCCCATAATTATATATTTTTATCATTTTTGGGTTTTTTTCTACTATCACTAGTATTCTGGTGAGGTCTGTTGTAGTTCAGTCTTCAGGTATAGCCTAAGGAGGTTGTTTTTTTTGGTTTGTTTTTAACTTGGAAGGTAGATCGCATAAAATATCCCCACTCTATCTAGATTTTACCAGCCACTCACCGCTTATGTTTGTAAGCTTAGTGTTTCTGGACAGATGGAGTAGAGAGAGGAATTACCCACCATCTTGCATTCTTCTCCCTTTCTTCTCTGCATTAAGAATGGCAGTGTAGGGCCAGGCAGCGTGGCTCATACCTATAATCCTAGCACTTTGGGAGGCCAAGGTGGATGGATCACTTGAGCTCAGGAGTTCAAGACCAGCCTAAGCAACATGGCGAAACCCTGTCTCTACTAAAAAATTTTTTTAAATTAAAAAAAAAATTAGCCAGGCTTGGGGGCACATGCCTGTAGTCCCAGATACTTGGGGAGCTGATGCAGGAAGATCACTTGCACCCAGGGGTTCAAGGCTACAGTGAGCCATGTTTGTGCCATTGCACTCTAGCGTGGATGACAAAGTAAGGCCCTATCTTTCAAAAAAAAAAAAAAGAATGGCAGTGTAAGAAAAACTATGGTTGGGCTCATAGGAAATTAAAGTAGTCTAGACAAAAATTATCTAGGTCTGGTGCATAAAGTTTTTTTAGCTATTGGCTTTTTTTTCCCCATAAATATTCGTTTAGGAACTTTTCACATTTTAAACTCTTTTCTTTCATAGGCTCACGACTTATTTAGATGTACAGCGGTGCCTGGAATATTTGGGCTATCTAGGCTATTCAATATTGACTGAGCAAGAGTCTCAAGCTTCAGCTGTTACAGGTAAGTATCTAGATACTGTTCAGCTCATGATTAGAGATATTTTTTAAGACTCCATTTTCAAATGTAACAAAGAGTAAGAATACACTCATCTTCATTAGTCTTCCATCTACACTCTATTAGTTTTCCTTGTGATCAGATCATTTCTTTTGTGTTGAGGTGCTTGATTTTATTGTTTATGAAAAGAAAGAAAGTAGAGACTTTGCTTCAAGTCTACTCCCTGGGGTTACTCCACTGATGAAAATGAGGAAGAGCTGTGGGCATTAAAGGATTTACCAGTTGATCTTGCGTTTTAATTTTCTTTAAACATTAAAAATAATGCGTATTAACTGTTTTCTGTATTAATACAGCTTTCACAAATCTTGTAAGCCAGGCATTCTTGCCAAGCAATGTGCACCACTTAAAGTAAACCATATGTATGGAAATAGCAAGTTAAGGAACTGATCATTTCAAGAGTTTCTTATATCCCTGTTGGTGGAAAATCTGCCATATCTTATGGGAAGCCCTAGCACAAGAAGACAGCCTTTCTTAAATTGACAGAGCAGGTACCCTTTAAAATACTTAACCAATTAGACAGTATTTAATTCAACACCAGAGAATAAGAAAACAGTCACTAGCCAGCCATGAGGTTCTTTCACTCAGCACATTGTGGACATTTTTCTGTATCAATAGGTATACTTTTATATATCTTAATGTTAAATAATGTTTCACAATATGGATGTTCTATAACTTATTTAACTATCCCATAATTATATATTTTTATCATTTTCGGTTTTTTTTCTACTATCACTAGTATCTCTGGTGAGGTCTGTTGTAGTTCAGTCTTCAGGTATAGCCTAAGGAGGTTGTGTTTGTTTGTTTGTTTGTTTGTTTGTTTGAGATGGAGTCTCTCTCTATCACCAGGCTGGAGTGCAGTGATGAGATCTCAACTCACTGCAACCTCCGCCTCCTGGGTTCAAGCGATTCAGCTGCCTCAGCCTCCCAAGTAGCTGGGACTACAGGCATGCACCACCATGCCCAGCTAATTTTTGTATTTTTAGTAGAGATGGGGTTTCACTGTGTTGGCCAGGATGGTCTCAATCTCTTGACCTTGTGATCTGCCCCTGTTGGCCTCCCACAGTTCTGGGATTACACGCGTGAGCCACTGCACCCGGCTCTAAGAAGGTCTCTTTACCTCAGGAAGGGATGCTTGCTGTCCCTATGATACAGCATTGTTTTCTGGCATGCCTCTTTTACAGTTTACATTTGAAAGGACGGCTAACCCCAAAGTGTGTGTCCCTTTCCGTTTTATGGATCCAGCTCCAAGAGAGTGCAGATTTGAAATAGCATCTTTTAGTTTATAATATGTGACAGTTTATCACAGAAAAAATTAGATGGAATATAATGTTGGCTATATTCTTAGTAATTTTCATTCATTTATAGGATATTTTCCTTATGAAAATATACTATTTTATGATGAAATAAATGTTTGGTTACTCGAAATTCACATTCCAGTCAACTTTCAGAAATGCATTTTTTCCACTAACTGGGGCCCTTCTGCATTCTGTGTACTTCATTCACATACAGCTTGACTGTTGTACAATATGTTTGTTTATAGATCAGCTACTTCATAAAAATAATAAGCAGCAATGCCCTATTTTGCAAAAGGTGGAATGGAGGCTTAGTGAATCTAAGTGGTACATATTTAGTGGGGTTTTTTATTATTATTATTTTTAGTGACAAGAGATAAAAAGATAGACCTGCAGAAAAAACAAACTCAAAGAAATGTGTTCAGATGTAATGTAATTGGAGTGAAAAACTGTGGGAAAAGTGGAGTTCTTCAGGCTCTTCTTGGAAGAAACTTAATGGTGAGAGTTCTCGTAAAATACAATTTTATCCAACAAATTTTTATAGTTACTAGTTTACATAATGTTTTCATAGCCATTGACCTTTTTAGATAATTATTAGAACTCAATGGCCTGTATTAGTCAAGTACAGTCTAAATGTAACAGTAATCCTGTTGAACTGTCTTTGTTTCATTGATATTAGCTATCATTTGTCTTTTTTTAACCAGTGTTTAAATGGGCATTAAATGACTACAGATGTGAAAGCACCTAACACAGTCCTTGGCATGAAGTAAATGCACAGTAAATATTTTGAATTGAATATTGATATCTAGTTCTTACTACTCCCTTGAGTAAGAAGAAGAAGACATATTTCTTTTCTTCTTCTTCTTCTTTTTTTTTTTTTTTTTTTTTTTTGAGGCGAGGCATTGCTCTGTTGCCCAGGCTGGAGTTCAGTGACATGATCATGGCTCACTGCAGCCTCAACCACCTGGGCTTAGGTGATCCTCCCACCTCAGCCCCTGGAGCAGCTGGGACCACAGGCGTGAACCACCAGGCCCAGCTAATTTTTGTATTTTTAGTAGAGATGGGGTTTCGCCATGTTGCCCAGGCTGGTCTTGAACTACTTGGCCTCCCAAAGTGCTGGGATTACAGGCATGTGCCACCACACCCTGCCGACATATTTCTAGATGGGTATTAATCTCGATCAGACCAAATTATGGTATAATGAAGATTGCCAGCAGGTGGCTCTAGAATATACTTTCAGTAATACGGATAGTTTCCTTCCTTTTTAGCTACTGCTTGTACTTTATGCAGAACAAATACATCTTTTATTTTAGGTCTTAAGAACTAAGAAACATAAAATCAATATCTCCTTTGTACTGATAAATAGTACACAGTGTAGGGAAGAATGCCCTTTTATTTATAACACACCTGCACATATACACAGAGATGTTTGTATATTGTTGAAAACTAGTTACTGCAGATATTGAGATTTTCGGTTCTGTTTTCAGAGGCAGAAGAAAATTCGTGAAGATCATAAATCCTACTATGCGATTAACACTGTTTATGTATATGGACAAGAGAAATACTTGTTGGTAAGAAATTCTGTGGCATACAAAAATTACTAATTATTGGGTACATTTTTAAATGACTCTTTGAAAACAAATTGGCTTCAATTGAATGACTCTCTGTAGAACTTCTGTGTGATTTTTTTTTTATTTAATTTTTTTTAGAGACACGGTCTCACTATGTTGCCCTGGCGAGCTCTTGGGCTCGAGGGATCTCCCACTTCAGCCTCCCAAGGAGCTGGGACTGCAGGCATGTGCCACCATGCCAAGCTTGATTTTATTTTTTTTCATCTGGTTTATTCATTAGAATTTTAAGTCTTTTGGCTAGGCGTGGTGGCTCACGCCTGTAATCCCAGCACTTTGGGAGGCCAAGGCGGGCGGATCACCTGAGGTCGGGAGTTTGAGACCAGCCTGACCAACATGGAGAAACCCCGTCTCTACTAAAAATACAAAATTAGCCGGGCATGGTGGTTCATGCCTGTAATCCCAGCTACTCGGGAGGCTGAGGCAAGAGAATCGCTTGAACCCAGGAGGTGGAGGTTGTGGTGAGCCAAGATAATGCCTGCCTGGGCAACAAGAGCGAAACTCCATCTCCAGAAAAAAAAAAAAAAAAAGAATTTTAAGTATTTTTATCATGTGATGATTACATAGGTTTAGATATAAATAAAAATTCATCATTTAAAAAAATTAAAAAAAAAATTAAGTTGGTACACTTAATTGTATGTTAGCTATACCACAATAAGAAAGTTGAGAAAAATGGGTTAGGCATGGTGGCTCACGCCTGTAATCCCAACACTTTGGGAGGCTGAGTCAGGTGGATCACCTGAGGTCAGGAGTTCGAGACCAGCCTGGCCCTAGTGAAACCCTGTCTACTAAAAGTACAAAAATTAGCTGGGCGTGGTGGCACGTGCCTGTAATCCCAGGTACTTAGGAGGCTGAGGCAGGAGAATCACTTGAACCTGGGAGGCGGAGGTTGTAGTGAGCCAAGATTGTGCCACTGCACTCCAGCCTGGGCAACAAAGTGAGACTCCGTCTCAAAAAAAAAAAAAAGTCGAAAAAACTGAACTCCCCTTTTACTTTCTTCTACTTCTATTTTTTTTTTTTTAAATTTTACTTTAAGTTCTGGGATACATGTGCAGGTTTGTTGCATAGGTCAACCCATCATCTAGGTTTTAAGACCCGCATGCATTAGGTATTTGTCCTAATGCTCTCCCTCCCCTTGCCCCTCACCCCCTGACAGGCCCCTGTGTGTGATGTTCCCCTCCCTGTGTCCATGTGTTCTCATTGTTCAACTCCCACACTTATGAGTGAGAACATGCAGTGTTTGGTTTTCTGTTCCTGTGTTAGTTTGCTGAGAATGACGGCTTCCAGTTTCATCCATGTCCCTGCAAAGGACATGAACTCATTCTTTATTTATGGCTGCATACTTCTATTTTTTTAAAAAAATATTTCCTGTACTATTGACTAGAAATTAATATGAAAACCCTGCTAGTGCTTGGTAGTTTATCTGTAATCTGAATCAAGTTTATTTAGCAGGGAAGGGAGTATTTAACAAATATGTTAGCCTTAAAAATGTATAGGCTACTCTAGGCACACTGCCTATGGGTTAGCCCTGCTCTGCAAGGAGCAATAAAATCAAACAAACAATAAAAAAAGTACAAAAGAAGAGCTGAAAAGACACTATGAAATACAGTAGAAGGAGGGTTATATGGGCCAGGTGTGGTGGCTCATGCCTCTAATCCCAGCACTTTGGGAGGCCGAGGCGGGTGGATCACCCTAGCCTGACCAACGTGGAGAAACCCTGTCCCGGGCTGGTCTCAAACTCCTGGGCTCAAGCGATCTGCCCACCTCAGTCTCCCAAAGTGCTGGGATTACAGGTGTGAGCCACAGTGCCCACCCCTGAATTTTACTCTTGTTGGAGATCATTATAGCATAGATGGAATATTTAAGAAATTTTATAATAAGCACCGAAGAGTGGCAGTGAAACAGAACAAAAATGACCTTACTGTAAAGAGTCATTTGCTTTTTGTTTTTGATTAGTGGGGAGAAAAGGTGTGGTAGAAAGAAAATAGATTTGAGAATCATATCTGAGTTTAAATTTTGATTTGATAACTTCTTAGATGTGTACCATGGGCAGCTGACTTAATCTTTCTAGCCCGTCTCCTTATCTGCAGAATGTAAACAATGCATGTAGAGGGCCTGCCCCCACACATTAGTCACTCACTAATACTAGCTTCCATAGAATCTTTTTTTTTTTTTTTTTTTTTTTTTTTTTTGAGACAAGGTTTCACTTTTGTCACCCAGGCTGGAATGCAGCGGCGTGATCTCGGCTCACTGTAACCTCTGCTTTCCAGGCTCAAGCGATTCTCCTGCCTTAGCCTCCCCAGTAGCTGGGACTACAGGCACACGTCACTGCACCTGGCTAAGCTTCCACAGAATCTTAATCACCATTTTTAGTCTGCAGAATCAGAAGATACTTATTTGTCTATACTTTCTTTTTTTTTTTTTTTTTTTTTTTTTTTTGAGACTGAGTCTTGCTCTGTCGCCCAGGCTGGAGTGCAGTGGCGCAATCTCTGCTCACTGCGAGCTCCGCCTCCCGGGTTCATGCCATTCTCCTGCCTCAGCCTCCCTAGTAGCTGGGACTACAGGCACCCGCCACCACACCTGGCTAATTTGTTTTGTATTTTTAGTATAGGCAGGGTTTCACTATGTTGGCCATGCTGGTCTCGAACTCCTGACCTTGTGATCCGCCCACCTCGGCCTCCCAAAGTGCTGGGATTACAAGCGTGAGCCACCGCGCCCAGCCTTGTCTATACTTTCTACTTTTAAAACTGGCCTGAAAAGTTATGCTTAACCAGTACTTTTAAACTTAGGAAGTCCAGGGAAGGAAGTAATAAGCTATCATGACTTAATATATCAATATTATGATACTTATATTTTTCATTATCTTTTTCTTTTACAAGTTGCATGATATCTCAGAATCGGAATTTCTAACTGAAGCTGAAATCATTTGTGATGTTGTATGCCTGGTATATGATGTCAGCAATCCCAAATCCTTTGAATACTGTGCCAGGATTTTTAAGGTTTGTTGCTCCTACAGACTATGACTGAATGTAACTTCATATGGACTTTTTATGGAATTGCAGTGTGGTGTTTCCTAACCACAAAAATGCAACAAAATCATGTGTATTTTAAAAATACATACATCTTTACCCTATTCCTGAAGGTTCTGGTTTTGTTCTAAAGTGGTAGAGTCTCAGACATACATATTTCTGAAAGTTTTCGACATGTGATTGTGAGGTGCATTCCTGATTGAGAACTTTTACATTAATGCAAGCTCTTCCCAGCTGTTAAAAGTTACATATGTCTGCCTTCTCTCTGATGAAAAAAAAGAGTAGTACATATGGATTATATATTGCCAAATATACCAAGAATAACAGCCAGAGGAAAGGGATAAATCTGAAGCTTAGAAAGTCTATCAGTCACTTAGGGATTATCAATAAGATTCAATAGGAGTAAAAAGCTATATGTACAAAGGTGTTTATTCTAGCATTGTTTTTAACAGGAAAAAACTGGAAATAATCAAGATGGCTAACAATGGACGATGATTTACTGAAGTAAGATAAAATAATCTAGTGGAATGTTAGGCAATATTTAAATTAAAAAATAAAAACAATAAATGTAAAATTAAAAATAGTTTTGAATTCTGAAGAATATGGAGGACACAGTATTACATTTTTAAGTGGTTATGTCCAGCATGACTGCGACTATACAGACACACATAAAAATGCATGTGCTCAAGGACTAGAGGTGATATTAAAAAATGAAAGTAGTTTTTATAAAAGAATTTAGGTGGATTTCTTTATATTTCAAAATATGTGTGTTTAATGTGTGTTTTTAATTACATGTTTTTTTTAATTGTAATAAATCTAAGGAATCAGTATAGGTCTGTTTTGTCATCAGCATTGGAAAAGTGATCTGGATCTTATTTATTATATGAGATTTACCTAGACCACTGCCAATCTTTGCCTTTTGGTTCACTTTTTCGCTTTGAAACTACTGTTGCTTTGCCCATCTGGAGGAAATGCTTGGTTCACATTTAATTAAATAGTAATTTTTGAACTTGTTATCAGATTTTGATTTCATTTTTTATTCCATAGCAACACTTTATGGACAGCAGAATACCTTGCTTAATCGTAGCTGCAAAGTCAGACCTGCATGAAGTTAAACAAGAATACAGTATTTCACCTACTGATTTCTGCAGGAAACACAAAATGCCTCCACCACAAGCCTTCACTTGCAATACTGCTGATGCCCCCAGTAAGGATATCTTTGTTAAATTGACAACAATGGCCATGTATCCGTAAGTACTTGCTGTCTTCATTTTCATGTTGCATGGTTCATAACATTGCATGCCATTATTAGCCATGAAGGGAATATCTTTGTCACATAGGAATTGTTCAGCAACAGAAAGATACTTTGTAATGAGAAGGTACAAATTTGAGTAAATGCAAGTTTGGTTTGAATGCCATAATAAAATGATATAAACAGTGCTTCTGACAATATCTGTATATTTTTGAGCAGGCTGTAACTATCTTAATAGAATAGTACAATAAAACACAACCCCCCACCCAGCATTAAAAAATAGTTTTACTGGAATAAAATGGGTTTGGCATCATGTTGTTTTATGCTTATAAAGCATTTTCATATGAACAGAAAGTTTATATTTTTCTGTTTTTGACCTTAGGTATATGAAGTTTTCTAAAATATTTTATTAATTTATGTTGAAATTGTGGGTATGCTTCAGTTAGGATATGTCTTTTTTAAGTGCTGTAAAGAGTAGTTGTAATTGGAATTTCTACTGTATAAATGTTTTACATTAAGTGTTACGAGCCACAAATTTCATGTACATTTATTATATATCTATACATGCATATGCACAAGCACATAACTGTGGTCATCTCTGTAGTTTACTAACTGCCTTAAAATTGCATGGTTCTTAATGGCATTCGCCTCAAGTAGTGTGTTTGTATAAATTCTGTTTTGTAACAAAATAGTTTTTCAGGCAGTGCGTTTCTCAGGACTTTATAGCTTATTCTACTTATTCTTATGTTAGTCTCTAAATTATTTTTCTTCTTATGAAAACTACAGTGTAACACAGAGTAATAATCAAACATTGCTATAAACCAAGAATGACATTTTTCAAAAAGGTGTTGATTTGTACAGATTTTTAAAGTCAGTTAACTTTACTGCTATTTTATTACCTAATACTTTTTTTAGATGCAACAAACCCTTGAATTTCTATTTGTATTCGAAGACAAGTCATTCCTATTATTATAGAATAACCAAAACCTTATTTATGTTTTACCTTTGCTTTAAAACTCTCATGTATGTTATCTACAGAGAGGATCATTACAGAGACAGACTCTCCCGAGACATGGGCCACACTGATAGAATAGAGAATTTGAGAAAAATCTGGGTCTTTCTAAAAACTGCTTTGTAAGTTACTTTTTCTTTATGACTTCTGTGGGATTTTGTTGATATTTTCTTAGAGAATGACCAAATCTCCTTTCTTGCCATAATTAACATTTAGTAATTATGTAGAAACGCACTGCTTGGTCAGGCTTCCTGCCTAGCTATATATTACGTTGTCTTCCTTACTACATAAATGTACTTCTTTAATCTTGTGATTACAGTAACTGCAAGTGTGTTTTTACATCTGCATTTTTAAAACATTTTACTGTAATTCTGTTGTGTGTGTGTGTGTTATATGATAAATGTACATACATGGACCACTTGTTTATATGGTTAATCCCAAACTACTTCTCATGAAGCATCTCCCTGTTGCTAAGCATACTTTGCATCTCTCCTTTTTGGTGGGTGGAGCCTTGTGTATGTTAAAGAATCAGATTTGATTTATAAAATAACAGATGGATTCCAGTATGACAGCTGGCAGAGACTTAGTAGCAGTGATTTGTTCATCATCACAAGTCAAAAAAAATGAAAAAAAAATGAAAAAGGAATGTCTTGGGCCTATACAAGTTTTTTTTTTTAATTCTTGTTTTTCTTCATATTGGGAATTAGGCATTATTGGAATGCTGCTAATCGTTACAACCATGCCACCATGTGCTGTGGTCTCATCAGATCTCATAAGCTAAGCCAAGTCAGATTGGGCCAGTCTTTTGACTGAGAAGCCTATAAAAAAATGTTCAGGTGTTACAGGAAGTGATGTCATTGATTCATCAGGTGGCGCTCTTCTGAGTGGGTTCTGAACCAGTACCTCTTCATGGGTGGTGTGATGGCTTTGTATGAATGAGTGGCTCTGACCACTGAACAGTCATTGGAGACCCCCTACTTTGGTAGTTAGAGCCGAGGTGAAATGGGTTGCCCCCTGTGCCTGCACCAACTAGTGCAACTCTCCTCAACCAGAAAGGAGTCAGAAAGCCTCCCTAAATTTCATATCTGATTTCAATTGGATCCATTGTTGATTTTACATCCTTACCCAGAGTTTCATACTGTCATATATAGCTGCTGTGTTTGGGTAGCAGATGAAATCAACCCTATATTTTATTTGAGTAGAAATTTATAAAGCACCTTGATTTAGTTCCTTTGAGAGCCAGGGTGCTTGATGAATTAAAGACGTTGTTGTTCACATCTTCTCAGGGTTGAATACACTTGTCTTTTGACTCATTTGTATATTTATCATTCTTCTCCTTCCTGGTTTTCAGGCATGTGTGTATGCTGAGGGAGGAGGAGGAGGAGGGAATCGTTATTTAAACGCTAGCAAACTTTGTCCTTTTGGTGGGTGCTTATGGCTTACTCAGGTTTTCTTTTTATTAATTTAGACGAGGGTGCCATCTATTGCTGTGCATATTTATTCCACAAAAATTCATGTAATAATAATTCCATCCCCCCTCCAAAAAAAGCAAAAGTATCAGCTAATTTTCCCTAGATTTTCTACAGGGAGGGAGGAGGAAGCTATTACTATTTATTATGTTTTTGGTAAATGTGGAATTCTGCACAACTTTAGCATGCCCCATACTGTCCTTTTCCTTTCTACAAAGAGTGTTGCTTATGCCTAAGTCTTTTTTTTTTAAGTTGGCACACCCTGACTTGTGCCATATTTGTAAGTAAGAACTCAACTCCTGTCCTTCTGTGTGTTTTCGCAGCCATGCCCGGTTACGCTGTATGTGCACCTGCAACAGGTGTACATTTTGCATCTGTCAGAACTTCCTCAACTCAGACTTGCTGCAATCTGTAAAGAACAAAATCTTCACTGCAGTTCTTAACAGGTTCTTAACTTTATTTACTGGGTACCAGGCATTCTGTTAAAATACAAAAGAAAAAAGCGGATAACTATTTATTATACAGATACTCACTACAAAGACAAGCTGACTGATGCCCAACTAACTTCCACTAAAATTCTCACTGTGATGACAATGTTTAGTTTTGGAAGCATCCTTAATAATGTTTTTAAATTAATAGGTATATTTAGAGGACTATAAAATAAGATTTTGGATGTTTTTTTCATAAGGAAGATAAATTATCTTTCCTATTAAAAGATAATATGTATAGGGAAATTAAAATTTTTTGGCTGTGAGTTAATAGATTAGGACTTTTGTAGTAAAGAAAAGACACATTAATCCTAAATGAAAGATATTATACTGTACTCAGCTTACAATGAAATAATATATCTCATTAAAACCATAGTAATGCAAACAGTATTTTGAGTTTGAAACAATATTCTATTCTTGAAACCATTTATAATTATAATCTGCTTTTAAGTACCTGGAGTGTTTATTTGAAAGAACATGGTTTCTAGACATGAGGATAATAACCAACTTTAAGAACTCAAAGGAATGTGGAAAAGAGAAAAAGATCTGTAGTACTGTTTTTTTAGGCCTTTATAATTGAACCAAAAGCATGAAGTAATCCTATAAAGTAACACGCTTTTAAGAAAGAAAGAGAAAAAAAAAGGATGCATATATTCCCTCAAAGCAATAATCTTGGAAGGTTGTATTCTTATGCTGATCATGCTACCTTTGTTCAAATCAGTTTTACATTTTTTGAGCATTTAAGAGCTGAATACTAATTTGTACCTGATGTCATATGTGTATGCATTAGGTTTTTGAAATCATTTAAAAGTCTTTGGGAGCTGGGCTTGATTAAGATCAAGCTAAATATTCAATTTTGGTTAGAAATGGGTCAGTTATTTGGCTCACCATTGGACACTCACTGAGGGCTAGACTTTAACTGTATCAAATGACCATAGTTTGTATCCACCAGCAATATAGTGGATGTGTCTATGAAACAGTGAGTTTATTTCTTCTGTGAGTCAGAAACTGATTTTGAAGGCATTCTGAGAGTTTCAGTGATGTTTCGAGCACTAACAGCTCTGGAATAAGAATGCAACCATCTCAGGTGACTGCTTTGAAGGGATCACCGCACCCATTTGGTGGCAAAGTTCTGCTTCTGTGCTTTAGCACCTTGTAAAGTAGTAACATAGACAGATTCTCTCATGATGACTGACAGAAAATGCAAGGCTAGTTCAAACCAAACAACACTCAGGTGCTCCAGTGTTGGGAATCGTTGAGTTGGAAGAGATTCTAGAATTCATCTGGCCTAACCTCCTGTTAGAATGCCTTCCTGCAAGCCTTCCTGAGAGAGTGCTGTTTATCTGCTGATGGCTTGCCTCATTGGAAAGCATTTTTGCTTTTGCTTTTATTATTTTTTTTTAACTAAATGTTTTCCCTATAACTTTCTCTCTTTAGTTTTAGTTCTGCCCTTTAGAACAACATACGACTATCCTACTCCCTCTTCAACATAGCAATCCTTCAGGCATTTGAAGACGGCCATCATGTCTCCCCTAATTTTCTCTTCTCCAGGTAGAACATCCCCATTTCTTTCAGCCTTTTCTTAAATTAGATGGTTTAGTGAACTTATCATTCCTGGTTGTCTTCATCTGAAAGCCCCTTAGGTTTTCACAGTACCTCTTAAAAGGTGCCACCAAGAATAGAAAGCAGTGTTGCAGTTGTAGTGCGACTAGTCCAGAACAGTGGGCAGCTGTTTTTCACAATTAGGACAGCATCTGTCTAGGGCATGAATTAACTTTTTGGCAGTCCCATCCCACTGTTGACATATATTGTCTTGGGGCTAATTAAAGTCAGATGTTTTTCATATGAAGAGACAGATGTCCCCTCCTTTCTGATGTGTATTTGACATTTTTTAGTTGATGCTTTAAATCTAAATGCAGATACATATATATCTCTATTAAATGTCATATTCTTCTTTTTGATCCATTTGTTCTAGCTCAGTCATTTCAAACATTATTTCTGTCATTTGTCCCATTATATATTTCTCTAAGCATTGTGTTATTTGCAGATTTGGTAGATATGTACTGTTTTTCAAGTTACTGATAAAAAATGATGTTGAATACCCAGAGGTTGGAGAGAGAGAGAGTGCTAAACTGAGCAAGCCCTATAGTATTCCACCAGAGAACTCTTTGTCAATGACAGGTTCAAAATTCTTGGGGAAGGATTTTTCAGTCAATGAAAAATATGTTATTATCCAGCCCACATTTTGTCTTCCTGTCTTATCAGATATTTCATGAAGGATTTTTCTAAAATCAGTATATAATTTCTTCCATATTCCTCTGATCTACCAATATCATAATTTTATCTAATTAGCAAGCAACATCTATTTGATGTCTTATTTTGGTGAACTCACCTTGGCTCCCCGTAATTGCTGATCACAAACCACCTATTTTATTACCTATTCTAGAAACTCTTGATTGTCCATAATTACAGATTGATTCATTGTCTGTGTCCCTGGTGACAATTTTATTCCTAGATTGGTTTAGTTAGCTTTCAAATAAAATTGATTTAGTTAGCTTTCAAATGAAATAGGACAGATGTGCATTAAATGAATACTATTGTGCATAGTAAATTATACAATGGCCCTCAAAGAGAAATCAGTACGTTTCGGTCATATCTATTTATAAACTGGTAGTAATTTAATGGTGATGTCAGCACACATCCTGACATCTGGTAATCAAGAATGGAAAGAATGAAAACGACAAGTAGAGGAACCAGTATACTTTTCAAACACTCCTTCCTTATCCCCGTTAGTATTTCAATCATTTATTTAAGAGAAGTACAGTGGAATTTTAGGGGCTGCGTATTGGAGTTTCTTCTAGTTTATGAAAGGTAAGTAAGATAGGTAGGTGGGGGCCAAAAACTCAGTGCCCACAGGTCCCGGATGGATACTGTAAAAGAATGAAGGTGGCCAAGTATAAGAAACAAGGAGAGGTGGGGACTGTGACAGGCACTGTCTAAAAGAGGCAGCCACCACTCAGCTCTGGCCGTTTGTTGTTGTACAGGTCTGGTGTTGCCAGGTTTTCTGGTTTTACAAGAGACTGGAAATCAAGGCTTTGGTGTGAAATTTCCAGATTGTTAGAGATTAGCAATTAATTAACAAATTTTTAAGTACTAATCAGAACAAAGCATGTTTATAGTCCACCAGCTTGCAACCTCAGTCTTAAGGTATGGCCTAGTCATGAAAATAGAGGCCAAGGAAAAGGACACATAGAATGAAAATGTCTCTGGTCCCATCACCACCACCACCACTTTACTCCTTTCCCATGAAAAATTTGAAAAAGTTATTGGGTGGTGGGATGAGAATGGAACCACCTTTCCCTGTTACTTCTCAGGTTTTGGCAGCTGTTACTGGTTGGTCACTATTGGTTTCCTGTGTTAGACATATCCTAATGTTAGGCACAAAAAAGATTGATTGACTAAGTAAAAGTCATTTAAAATTTTTTCACTGTATTTTATTCATAGGGAGGGTTCTCACCTAACACTAGGTCCTAAGTCTTTGTTTTTAGATATCAGAACTACCATGCTTAGTGTTTGATTTAGAATTGTGAAAGAGCAGTTCTAAAAGGCTTGTCTTTTTTTTTTTTTTTTTTTTTTTTTTTTTTGAGATGGAGTCTCACCCTGCCACCCAGGCGGGAGTGCAGTGGCATGATCTCGGCTCACTGCAACCTCCACCTCCCAGGTTCAAGTGATTCTCGTGCCTCAGCCTCCGGAGTAGCTGGGACCACAGGCATGTGCCACTTTGCCCGGCTAATTTTTGTATTTTTAGTTTCGCCATGTCTCAAACTGGTCTCGAACTCCTGACTTCAGGTGGTCTGCCAGCCTCAGCCTCCCAAAGTGCTGGGATTACAGCTGTGAGCCACCGCACCCAGCTGTCATTTTTATTTAAGTAAAAAGTTTCATTGAATGTCTACAAAGAATTAAATTAGTAGACAAGTATTGGTCTCAAATCAGCACATTGTTTTAGTGTGCTTGTAAAAATTTTGGTCACTGAAATAGAAATTACTACCAGATATGATACATGTTTGAGACCACATTCTCTTATTACCCCACTGTCCCCTAACCCCACCTTGATGTGATTTATTCATTCAGAGTACTTAATTTAAGTACCTGCTTTAAATAGGAACCTGCTGTGAACTGGGGCAAAATTTGAAAATGAAGAATATATGGAACCTGCCTTTAAGCATCTTTCTAAATATTATTTCTCTAAGAAAAACATTTTTTAACTTTGGTTATATTTTCAGTGATGTTAGTCCTTCATGCTAAAAAGGAAAGTGCTATATAACCTGATAATGAATTTAGGCAGTTTCAAGAGGTTAATTTCTGCAAGTGTTTTTCCTTTTATGAGAAAAAAATTGTCTTTTTTCCTGAACTTATTTACTAACACGATATATTTTAAGTATAGAAAGAATGAATTAAAAATTTTTATTTCCAATTTAATTGAACGTATATTAACTTTGATGTGTGAGAGTAGTGTTAAACATACATCTATCTCACATGTAATCTTTCTCTTGGTAATTATGAGCTCACTCAGATCTGGATAGGTTTATGTTTTACTTTAGACTAATTTATGAATAACTGGAATTATTTGAATTTGAATACATGTGGAGGATGAGTAACATGTGGTCAGATGATTTTAATCTTTGGGACTGCTTTCATTTCAAGTGGTATAAATTACGTTACTGGAGAAAAAGACCTTTTGAATATATTTTAAATTTTAAATATCTTTTAAATTTGAAAATGATTATATATAGATGAGCTTGATTGTTGGTTTGAACTACCCAGGATTTTTATTTATTAAGTATTTATTACTCTGACTTGAGAACACTCCTGCTTTGCATGAGAATGTTACTAGATTGTAGTGTATCGTGAACTTTAATTTGTCCTTTTTTAGGTGTTTGTTTTCATTTGTTTGTTTGTGTAACTTAGTCATTTTTTGATACTCTCAATCTCCTTCCCAGCTAGGTTTTTGTGTATAATCTCACCACTTCTAACCTGTTATTTAATCAAATATTGCTTATTTTACAGTTTATTCTTTGGGCGTGATTTCCTTTGTGCATATTTTGGTTTTAGGATTTCTTTCATTCTATTTTATTATTTGCATTAGCCATATAAGTTGTTGGTTCATGTTACTTCTTAAGTTCAGTAGCAGCATTTTATTTTGACAACCAAGTGCATAGTTCACACCGAATATTTACAGAGACCCAAAAGTATGATGGATAGACATCATACCTATTGCATTTTTTACCCTATTTATAATGTATTTTTAGATTAAATATATGTGTGACTTTTAAGCCACTCATTAATGACTTCATTTACCCATATTGCTTTAATAATCACCCAAGTTCTTCCTTTATGTAGTTTGAATTCATTACTTAATATAGGAGCCCTTTATTGAAGAAAGGATTTTATTATTGTCAGACAAAAATGAACTGCTTTTTCATAGGATTGCCTTATGAAAAGGATAGGTTTCTAAAAATCTTAATGTTGTTAAATGTTGGAAATCTAAGAGTCTTTGGGATATTACGTTATAGTAAAATATTTTGTCCAAGGAAGTCCTGCTTTAGTTTCTTATGAAACTTATTTATTCCCTTGTATGAAGGTCCTTATAAGACTGTTTGTGAATTTGTATACATAGTCATATATTTAAAGTTATACAAGAGTTTATGTTATAGATTTTCATTAAGTAAGCTGCTGCTGCTTATAATTTTTAAATTTTTTGTCATTTGGTTAATATATTAAAGGACATGACAAGGTGAAGTTTGCCTTATCTGATCTTTAAGTATCACTAGTTAACATATAGATATTGGAGCATTTCCTTTGTATTCATGATCATCTGTAAATTCAGATTCTTCTAATGCTTGGTGAAGCATTTCTTGACATTAGTGCACACCTGTGTCGTTTCCCAAAGTATGTTACTATTTAGGCGTGCTCAGTTAACAGCTTGCTTATGGTTTGTGTTGAAGCTGCTAGACACTGTGTATTGATTCCTTAACCTATTTTATCCTATTAAATATTTATCCTAATATATGTTTATCCTAATAAATATCCTATTAAAATATTTTATGCCTATTGGCTCAGTTAGGAGAATTGTCCTTTTTAAAATTGTTATTAGCAGTAGTGGCATTATTTTTAAAAGTAGATACAGAAAATACAGCCAGGCGCCTTGGCTCACGCCTGTAATCCCAGCACTTTGGGAGGCCGAGGAGGGCAGATCACGAGGTCAAGAGATTGAGACCATCCTGGCCAACATGGTGAAACCCCATCTCTACTAAAAATACAAAAATTAGCTGGGCGTGGTGGTGCGCACCTGTAGTCCCAGCTACTTGGGAGGCTGAGGCAGGAGAATTGCTTGAACCCGGGAGGCGGAGGTTGCAGTGAGCCAAGATTGCACCACTGCACTCCAGACTGGTGACAGACCAAGACTCCATCTCAAAAAAAAAAAAAGAAAGAAAGAAAATACTTCACCAGATTGAAACATTTGGAGAAACAAAAGCAGAGAGTCCAGAAGACTTTTTTTAATTTTTAATATTTTATTTTATTTATTTATTTATTTATTTTGAGATAGAATCTCACTCTGTTGCCCAGGCTGGAGTGCAGTGGCCCTATCTCAGCTCATCGCAACCCCCACCTCCCAGGTTCAAGTGATTCTCCTGTCTCAGCCTCCCAAGTAGCTGGGATTACAGGTATGCACCACCACACCTGGCTAATTTTTTGTATTTTTAGTAGAGACGGGTTTCACCATGTTGGCCAGGCTGATCTCGAACTCCTAACCTCATGTGATCTGGCTACCTCGGCCTCCCAAAGTGCTGGGATTACAGGCATGGGCCACCATGCCCGTCCTCAGAAGACTTTTTTTTTAAGTGGAATATTTGAAAATAGAAAAGGGCCAAGCGCAGTGGCTCATGCGTCTAATCCCAGCACTTTGGGAGGCAGAGGCAGGAGGATCACTTGAGCTCAGGAGTTCAGGACCAGCCTGGGTCACAAAGTGAGAGCCTGTCTCTACAAAAAATTTAAAAAAATAAAAAAATTTTAAAACAAGCTGGGTGTGATGGCTCACACCTGTGGTCCCAGCTACATAGGAGACTGAGGTGAGAGGTTTGCTTGAGCCCAGGAGGTCAAAGCTGTAGTGAGCTGTGTTTGTGCCACTGTACTGTAGCCTGGGTGACACAATGAGATCCTGTCTGAAAAAAAAAAAAAAAACAGAGCTGGGCACAGTGTTTCACACTCATAATTTGAGCACTTTTGGAGATCGAGACAGTAGGATTCTGTAAGCCCAGGAGTTCCAGACCAGCCTGGGCAACAAAGTTGTATTAAGACCCCCATCTCTACAAAAAATCATAAATTAGCCAGGTATGGTAGCACGCACTTGGGGTCCCAGCTACATGGGAGGCTGAGGCAGGAGGATCACCTGAGCCCAGGAGGTTGAGGCTGCAGTGAGCTGTGTTCATGCCATTGCATTCCAGCCTGGGTGATAGAGTGAGACCCTGTCTCTGAATAAATAAATAAATAAAGACAGAAAAATTTACTGTAGTTTGGTGACCTCAGTATAGTTTTCAACTTGAGATACGTAATTACAAATGAGAAAAAGCTAAATATGGTATCTCTGTGCCCTGGTAACTTTAGATACACTTCTATTACAGTTATATTGGTTGTTTTAGGGTATTATCTTAAAAATCTATACCTGAGATATATATATGGGTAGAGTTGTAAAATTAGAAGACCATTCACATTAGTGCATTTGTACATCTCTTAGTTGTATTTTGGAAAGAATAAGGTGGGGAGATGAGAGGAGTGAAAAATAGGAAATTCAAATACATTTCTGAGAAATTGTGTGGGAAGACTGATAAAAATGACTCTCTGGAGCTCCTCTGAGTAAAATCTCTCAGTTTTGCTTCTTTTCAGTATTTTCTACTGAACTTTTCTTTTCCTCTGCATAATAGCTTACAGTCTAAGACAAGGTTAATTGATATCTGGGTAACAATTTCTGAATTCTTACCCTTCCGCTATGTTGCCCAGGCTGGTCTTGAACTCCTGGTCTTAAGCAGCCCTCCAACTT
This sequence comes from Homo sapiens, assembly GCF_000001405.40. Classification (NCBI taxonomy): domain Eukaryota; kingdom Metazoa; phylum Chordata; class Mammalia; order Primates; family Hominidae; genus Homo; species Homo sapiens. The sequence goes on from NC_000017.11 coordinate 32,219,379, forward strand.
CAGCCCCCCAAAGATCTGGGATTACAGTGTGAGCCTCTGTGCCCAACCAGTTCATGTTTTTATATTCACCTTAAGTTGCAGAATTAATTAAAAGTATTTTGTATGCCCTTGCACTAAAGATATTCAGTGCAAAGGTACATAGGAATTTTGGCCAGTCTGCATATGCCTTGTGTGACTGTTCACAGTTCACACAGTTGTTCGTTTAACTCTTTATTACCTGAATTTTGCAACATTTTCTTCTCTCTGCATTATTAAGTAGTGGCCTTAATAAAACCCAAGTCCAGACGTGTTGGTTGGCTCCTACACCTGTGTCAAGGAGAACTTGACGTCTGATACATTAATGGGCCTTCAGCACTTCTAAGCCAGAAAGCCAACATCCCAGACACAGGAATTTTCACCTAAGAACTTGAAAGCTCTAACAAACTGCGAATGATTAGTTAGGGTTATATTCAACATTTAGTCATTATTTCTAATGTTCTAAAAAGAGATACTGCTTAACTAAATGATCTTATTCCACATAGAGTAGGAAGGTTTGGTGATTTTGATATATCACTAGGTTAGAAAAAAAACCTTTATACATAGACACACGTACACATTTTTGACCTTGTAACATTTAATTCTGGAAAGTCTATCTTAATGAAAACATCCTAAATATAGAGAAAAATTTTATGTAGAAAGATAGTCTTTTTTTTGTAGCCACAAATAAATGGAGATAGCCAGGTTGGGCATGGTGGCTTATGCCTGTAATCCCAGCTCTTTGGGAGGCTGAGGCCAGGAGTTCAAGACTGGCCTGTGCAACATAGCAAGACCCCATCTCTACAAGAAAAATGAAAATTATCCAGGCATGATGGCACACACCTGTAGTCCCAGCTACTTATGTGGCTAAAGCAGGAAGATCACTTGAGCTCAGGAGTTCGAGGCTACGGTGAGCTAGGATTGCACCACTGCACTATCCAGCCTGGGTGACAGAGCAAGACGCTGTCTCTGAAAAGTAAAATAATAAAATAAAAGGAGATAGCCAGCAATAGGAGAATAGAATATAATCCAGCTATTTAGAATGTTTCCATAATTGATGAAGAAGTCCATACCTTATAACACGTGTGAAAAATATATAGAAATATACACACATTGTGTTTGCAGCTGTGTAAAAAATACATAGAAAAAGTCTAAAAGGGGCTGGGCACAGTGGCTCACTCCTGTAATCCCAGCACTTTGGGAGGCTGAGGCAGACAGATCACTTGAGGTCAGGAGTTTGAGACCAGCCTGGTCAACATGGTGAAACCCCATCTCTACTAAAAATACCAAAAATTAGCTGGGCATGGTGGTGCACGCCTGTAATCCCAGCTACTCGGGAGACTGAGGCACAAGAGTGACTGGAAGCTGGGAGGTGGAGGTTGCAGTGAGCTGAGATTGCGAGACTCTGTCTCAAAAAAAAAAAAAAAAAAGTCTAAAAGGAAATACCTGACCTTTTAATTTGTTGCCTTGGGTAACATAAATGATTTTTTTTCTTACTTTGCCTTATTTTCTAATGAGTGTATATTAGCTTTTTTATATTTGAAAATAAAGTAAACTTTAGAAAGAAAAACTATGCAGTAAGATACTATAAGTTATTCTAAGATGATATTTTCTATAAGTCATTTTGAAAGAATTATGCTTTTGAATTGTGGAAGAATTATTTCTGCTTAAGTTTAGAAATGAGCCAGAAGCGGCCAGGCGTGGTGGCTCACGCCTGTAATCTCAGCACTTTCGGAAGCCGAGGTGGGTGGATCACCTGAGATCAGGAGATCGAGACCATCGTGGCCAACACGGTAAAACCCTGTCTCTACTAAAAATACAAAAATTAGCTGGGTGTGGTGGCATGTACCTGTAGTCCCAGCTACTTGGAAGGCTGAGGCAGGAGAATCATTTGAACTTGGGAGGCGGAGGTTGCAGTTTGCTGAGATCGCATCACTGCACTCCAGCCTAGTGACAGAGTGAGATTTCGTCTGTCTCAAAAAAAAAAAAAAAAAGAAAGAAAGAAATGAGCCAGAAGCTTTATGAAACTGTACTTGCCTCTGTTTGAAAACTGAAAGGACAAACATGAATTAGTTTTTGATACTTTTGGAATACATGTGAGACCACATTATTCTCTATTCAGGTTAAGCAATGATAAGCGTGCCCTCCATTTTAAATGCTTTCTCTTTTATAAATAGAGCCTGGTAGTGCAGCCTTTAAATGCAGGTGGTACAGGTGTAAAATAGTTCTGTAAGTAACTTTCCATGTCTAAAAGTGTCTTAAACAGCTACTGTGACATTGATGGAGCCATCGAAATATATTTTATAAGTTAATAGTTACCTTAAGTTTTAAACTAGCTGTATCTTGAACATGTATCTATATTGATCTTGAAATGCAAAAGAAAACTAAGCAATAAGGTCAGTCAGAATATATTATTTCATGTGTCTTAAAACACAAGGGAGACCAGCCTGTAGTTCCAGCAGTTAGAGAGGCCAAGGTGGAAGGATTGCTTGAGCTCAGGAGTTCAAGACCAGCCTGGACAACATAGTGAGACTTCATCTCTATCAACAAACAAACAAACAAGAAACCACATATCTGTGAAACAGATATCTATATTTGAAGACTATCTATGAGAAATCATTTTGATTGATTTTAATATGATTATAGCTAGCTTAAATCCTAATTCTTTTTTCCTCCTAAGTTAAAAAATAAATGTAAAAATGTAAAAATAAGATAAAAAATCTCCATCAGTGCAGATGCATGATAATCACAGGGAGGCCAAAGATGAAGAGAAACCTCTAATGCACCTTTACCTACGCTCTGACTTTAAATTCTATGCATCTGCATTGACTTGGAGTTGTAAACTTCTGTTACTCTCATCATAGGTCCATGGCGGTCTGTGAGTTTGGGATGTTGGACTCAATTTTTTCACAGATATATATTTGTAGTTTTTGATAACCCAAAGTTATAATCATCTGTAAACTTCACGACTAATCGTTGTTAACCTCATTTCTGTTGAATACTTATGGTTACTACGTGTTGTCAGGTACTGCTTATGGTATTGGTTTAAAGGACTTGGTATTTCAGATGCACCAAGACCAGCCTCATAGGGATGTTTAGAGAATGTATATAACAGCTTTAGGTTTCCTTGTCTGGAGTGGGTGTGTGTGTGTGTTTGTTAACAGAGTACATACAGATAGATTTTTTTTTTAAGTTTGGCAATTTGCTATAGAATACATTTATTTTAAATATAGAAAACATGAGATCCATCATATAGGGTGGCAACTCAATTTATGTGTGGGATGCATAATTGAGAGATGTTATTTTGAGTCCCTTTTTTTGTGAGCTCTGCTGTGAACTGCAAACTGTGTGCATGTGTATAAAAGGTTAAGAGCCCGGATAGCTGAGTGGGGTGCCATGCTGTTAGCAGACGATGAGGGCAGTATTACTCACCAGGTGCATGCTGTCAGCTCTGTAGAAGATTCCATCTTCATGGAGTCATCTCATGGTCCACTTTTTCTTGAAGCCAGGTAACATTTCCAATGGGTTGGCCTCGTTGGAGTTTTTCCAGCTTGAAAAACCTAAGCATTTTCTTCTCTGACTTTTTTTTTAATAAAATGCTGCCTGTTGGAAAAACTAACTTGCAAGCTGGAATGAACCTGTGATATCACTTTGCTTTGTAAGAAATAATTATGTGAGGAGTGATTTTTTTTTTTTAAATAGAAACTGGTGAGGGTGAGAATTGGAGTGTTGTGTCTTGCTTTGTTGTGTTAAGCATGGAGCACTCTGGCTTGTGTTGTAGACTTTTGTTTCTAGGGATGTACAGACTATTTTGTGATAACTAATCTGTTCTCTTTGACTATTACTGAGGCAAAGTAGTTTTGTGCAGTTTGAATTCTTGGCTCTTAACTCTTTTGCATATGTCAGTGCCTTGGTCTTTTAATGATATCTGACTTTTGCTTCAAATCTGTTTAACTTAGTTATAAAATAACCTAAACTAGACAGTCTCTCTAAGCTCTTAATTTTGTAAGTTTTCTTTTCTTTCTTTTTTTTTTTTTTTGCGATAGAGTCTCACTCTGTCACCCAGGCTGGAGTGCAGTGGCACCGTGTCGGCTCACTGCAAACTCCGTCTTCTAGGTTCAAGCAATTCTCCTGCCTCAGCCTCCCAAGTAGCTGGGATTACAGGCACCCACCACCATGCCCGGCCACTTTTTATATTTTTAGTAGAGACGGGGTTTCACCATGTTGGCCAGGCCAGTCTCGAACTCCTGACCTCAGGTGATCCACCCGCCTCAGCCTCCGAAGTGCTGGGATTACAGGCATGAGCCACTGCACCCGGCCAATTTTTTAAGTTTTCTACATCATCTCAATTGTGTTCACTTAGTAACTAAGACTTCAGTGACATTTAAATAAAATGTTCTGACCTTTTCTTTAGAGCTTTATCCTCTTCATGGTAAGCTGTCATACTTGAGACTCTTGAGGGTACTTACTGAGCATGCTCACAACTCAGTTTGTGGTACAGGCTGTCCCTGTTCTTGTCATGCATACTATGGCTTATTTTATGTCATTGCCTTTCAATCCATCACATTACGTTATGTCTGTTAGTTGGTATCATTATCACTGCCTGTCTAACACCAGGGATTGGTTTTTTTCTCTTTAATTAGCAGTAACCAAATTAATGCAAACTGATAAATCTTCCCCTCCCCCTTCGGGTTTTTTGGGGGGTTTTTTGTAAATTTTTATGAGGCTCAGTGTTTCCAAAGTTGACTTTAATCATTTCTCTTAGAAAAGTATTGTCACTTGTCACTTAACTGCTTACAAAATAGCTTTCAGTTCCTGGGGATAGGAGATTGCACATTATTTAACCATGAATATGATCCTCAAAATTGTGGGAACACCGCCTTAATTTTCATTTTGAACAACCGTAACGGTATTATAAAATGCTAGATTGATTTGTCTAACTTCTTTATTTCCTGTGTGAAAAAAAGTTTACAAATTTAGATGTCTACTCCCACAAAGTAGCTAATTGTCTTTATTAGTATCTACATTGTGTCATTTTCTTAAAGTAATGATTAAGTAATTATATATATGGCTATATTGATCAATGTTTTTGATAAGCATTACTGTATGCAGTTAGCTTGACAAGTGTGCTAATACTTCCCTAAAAGTAGACTGCTAAATAACTGGTATAGGGTTTTCATACTAATCATGTTTTAAATAATAATTATATTTTCTGACTGCAGGCACGTGACACAAGCTGACCTCAAGAGCTCCACGTTTTGGCTTCGAGCAAGTTTTGGTGCTACTGTTTTTGCAGTTTTGGGCTTTGCTATGTACAAAGCATTATTGAAACAGCGATGATATAAAAAGAAATACTGTCCCTACCAAAAACAAATACTTTTATGTACATTCTGAATGCTTTAAGTTCTGCTAGAATTATTGAGATATTTATACATGCAGAGTTACTTTATTAATATTTGTAATTCATGCATAAGAGTATTTTAATGATAGTTATAACTGCAGTATTGGCTAGCATATGGAAAGAAAACAGCTAACAGCCAAACTAAAATGGCTAAATTCCAGAGGCCAAAAGGGAATATTTTGTAAATATATGTACATATTCAGGCAAGATATGGTCTCCCAAGCTGAGTTCTAGAAATGATGTTTCTAGACATTTCTAAGTGGTATTGTTAGTGCTCACTTGGCTCACTCTTCTAGGTTTAAGTTAGCCCAGAGATTGTATTTACTCATGGATCACTTTATTTATTTCACATTTACTCAGAATGATCCTTTGGGTTCTATAAGGACATAAGGTACAATTTGCCATTGTCTCTCCATTTTTAAAAACATACAAGTCAGTGTCAGCTTACCAACATGACATTTTTTCAGTCAGTTGTGGTAGGCCAGCCTTGAAGCCATCGCACAGTCTAGAAACTTGTGTAGCTGAGTGTGCAGCTCACCTTTAAGGGTGAAGTTAGGTAAAAGCAATTAGCAGAGGCGTTATCTATGTGATTATGTTGCTTCCTTGTCAGTATGTTGAATTTTATAGCCCTTTCAATGAAATAAAAAAAAAATTTGTATATTACCAATGTTTTTAGTTTAAATAAAGAGTCACCCTTACTACTGTTGAATTTCATCCCAAGTGTAAATCATTCTATAATGGCTGTGTCTGTTATAGTATATTACAGTAACTGCATGTGTCACCAAGTGTTCTATATCAGGCTAGGATAACCTAGAGGCAGTAATTTTTTAAATGATAAAATAAATCTAATGAATATAAACTCTCATGATAAACCTATTTTTTCCATCATCAGCCTTTTCAAGTATTTAAATAAATAACTGCTGTGTACTGTGATCTTGAGTTCTTTTGTCATCTAAAGTAAATATTTCTGTACAGATGTGAGTGAAGTCCTCTGGTTTCTATCTCTCATATTGAAAATTATTCTGTATAAAAGGAATACTCAGCCGGGAGTGGTGGCTCAATCGTGTAATCCCAGCACTTTGGGAGGCCGAGGTGGGTGGATCACCTGAGGTCAGGAGTTTGAGACCAGCCTGACCAACATGGTGAAACCCTGTCTCTACTAAATAAAAAAAATTAGCTGGGCATGGTGGCGCATGCCTGTAATCCCAGCTACTTGGGAGGCTGAGGCAGGAGAATCGTTTGAACCTGGGAGGAGGTGGAGATTGCAGTGAGCCAAGATCACGCCATTGCACTCCAGCCTGGGCAACAAGAGTGAAAGTATACCTCAAAAAAAAAAAAAAAAAAAACTTATTAGGAAAAAAGTCAAGTATGATTTATATATGTAAGAGGAAATTTATTTAAAAGTTGTAGAGAAATCTATTCTGGTAAAAGGCCAATTGTTTTCCCTACACATAGCTAATTAATGTGGTTTCTGCTATTGTTTGCATGTTTATTTTCTCCTTTAACATGATTTTTCCTCTTTGCCATTCTGAGGGACATTTTCTTACAAGATCACACTTCTTGAGCAACTAGTAACAGTATAGCTTACTAGCTGGCAAAATAACATGACACTTCATTTGTTATTTGTTATTTTTTGATAAGGTCTTACTCTGTTGCTCAGGCTAGAGTGCAGTGGCGCGATCATAGCTCACTGCATCCTTGAATTCCTGGGCTCAAGTGATCTTTCCATCTCAGCCTCCCACAGTGCTGGGATTACAGGTGTGAGCCACCACACCCGGCCTGACTCCTCATTTTTTATTATTTTCTGAGAATTTCCCACTTACCAAATTTATGTCAGTTGTATAGTTTGCAATGACAGTTAATTTTTTCCAAGTTCTTTTCTAGTTTGTCTGAAATACTGCTTTAAATGAATATGCTTTATAGATTGTTGTGTTTGTGAGAAGCAGAGGTAAGAAGCTAGCTTACCAAGAGTTAATAAGTGGTGTGTTTATATATTTAGATATTCTCTCTCCATCTTTTCATTTGGGGAGCTTACATTTCTTTGGTTCAGAAGAAGGCAGGGGGCAGCTGCCCTATCTTGCACTTGCTCTGGACACACCCCCTTGCTAAGCTAGCCCCTTTCCTCACTTGTCAATCACTCCAGGTGGGGCGAATTAGTAGAGGGAATGCTTACTGTTTTCTCATCTTTAACCTACAGGCACATATGGGTTTTTTCTTTCTTTTGGAGACAGAGTCTTGCTCTGTTGCCAGGGCTGGAATGCAGGGGCGTAATCACAGCTCACTGCAACCTTGACCTTGTGTGCTCAAGCAATCCACCCTCCTCAGCCTCCAAGTAGCCGGGGCTACAGGCATGTGCCACCACACCTGGCTAATTTTTTAAAAAATTTTTTAGTAGAGATGAGGTCTCACTCTGTTGCACAGGCTGGTCTCAAACTCCAGAGCTCAAGTGATCCTTCTGCCTGGGATTATAGGTATGAGCTGGGATTATAAGTATGAGCCACCAGGCCTGGCCTATTTTTCTTCATTTTGCATCCACTTTAGAGACTAGTGAATGTGAGAAAATAATGTGAACACAAGAAAAGGCTTTTTCTGGCTTTTACAGTTTACTCAGGAGATGCAAGCTTTAAGAGTACTAAGGAGAAATAAAGAAAATAGGAACTTGAGAGTCGAAAGGAGATCTTTCACTTTACACCAGTTGGATTGTCTTTTTTTTTTTTCTTTTGAGACAGAGTCTTGCTCTGTTACCCAGGCTAGAGTGCAGTGGCACAATCATGGCTCATTGCAACCTCAGCCTCCCGAGTAGCTGGGACTACAGGCGCCCACCACCATGCCCGGCTAATTTTTTTTTTTTTTTTTTTTTTTTTTTTAGTAGAGACGGGGTTTCACCATGTTGGCCAGGCTGGTCTCAAACTCCTGACCTCAGGTGATCCGCCTGCCTCAGCTTCCCAAAGCATTGTCTTTTATTTTTTATTTTTATTTTTTCAACATCTAAGTATTTATTAAGGTGAGTTTTTACAAACAAGCATCTATCCCAGTGTGCGGGGTGAGGATGGGAGAGGAGAGTGGGGCAGCAGGAAGATGAGGATTCTCATCTTTTGATAATAAAGCTCCAGGTTCATCCCATTGTGGATTTCATAGTCCCCCAGAGACACATGGTCCTTAAAAATTGTGTACCACTTCTTCAGGACAATCTTGTTCCAACGGGTGCCAGTTTAGGCTGCAATCAGCTTCTTAAGGTCCCCGATGGTATCATCCGTGTTGCATTTAACGTGGACCTTTTTCCCCAGACGGTCGTTGCAAACAACCTCGATCATCCTAGCTGGAGCTCGAATTGCCTTGCATCCTAGCTAGAGCTCAAATCGCCTGGAATCTGTGAGGCCACTAGCTCCTCAGCATTGTCTTTCAAATGGGCAATTCTGAGGCTGCAGTGCCTTAATGAATAATAAGGCAGTTGTGTGAAGAAGCATTGCTTTGAAGGTTTGTAGTCCTAGCATAATGTAGTAACTATATCAGGGATCTGTTGCTTCTTGCTATTCATGTCTTTCTCTTTCACATTTGACCAAAAAATGAGCAATTTCTCGCATTGTTGGCACTGATAATGCTACGGTAGGAGTGGGCTCTGATATTAGGAATTTGGGGAGCACATGACCATTCTGAAATGGCCTATGAAAGTGGTAGGAGGACTTTGGGTATCAGTGCATATATGCACATCATCTGCCAGGGGAAGGCACCAAAGAAGAAATATACTGATGAGGCTGGGCACAGTGGCTCATGCCTGTAATCCCAGCACTTTAGGAGACGAAGGCGGGCGGATCATTTGAGGTCAGGAGTTTGAGACCAGCCTGACCAACACGGTGAAACGCTGTCTCTACTAAAAATACAAAAAAAAAAAAAAAAAAAAAAAAAGCCGGGCCTGGTGGCACATGCCTATAATCTCGGCTACCCAGGAGGCTGAGGCAGGAGAATTCCTTGAACTCAGGAGCTGGAGGTTTCAGTGAGCTGAGATCACACCACTGCACTCCAGCCTGGGCAAGAGTGAGACCCTGTCTCAAAAAAAAAAAAAAAAAAAAAAAGAACTATACTGATGAGCCAGTCTTGAATGAAATGAGAACTTTCCCAATCTATGAAGGCAGCTGAATAATGAATAAAGAGAGGGAAGCAGATGTAAGTGCCCGATCTCTGTGGTAGAGCATAATTCTTTCCTAAACAGGCCCTCAAAATGCACCTGGGGTTGGCTTTTTTTTTTTTTGCCTATCATTGGCTGTTAGGTTAGTTTTGATGCCCCTTTTGTCTGAATTGCACTAGTAAAAGTCAGTACAAAGATGCCTTTAAAATATATGTGCAAATCCTAAAAATAAGTGTGTAATCTAGTTCCATTAACATGTTTATTTGACTTCATACTTTAATATATCTTATTTTTTATTTATTTTTTTAACCAACATACCAGATTCCTAAATCATACTTTCACAGTCCACGTGTTTTTAGGAAACTGATTTGGGACTAGATACTTTTTGAGAAATACCACGTCAAGATGCTAAATTTAATGTTCACAGTATGAGAATGACCCATGCAGGCAGCTTGACCTTTCCAATGCCTTTATCCCCAGATCTACAGTCCAATAACACACTTATTTAAACCCCTAAGGTTGCAAGTAATTCATGTCTTTTTAACTCTTTTTATCAAACATTGCTGTCAGTGAGAGCGAGTGTCTGTTAACCTGCTTGGCCCTCAGCTCTGTGGAAGTCTGACCTGTGAGTATCACAGCTGTGTATCTCAGGTTTCTCTAGTGCATCTCAGTTTCATAAAATATCCTCTTGCTCCCATGGCACTCAGACTTGTCAGACCATTTGTCCCAGATATTTTGGGTTCAGAAAGTATCTTACTAGAAGGCAAGATTTTATTTTATTTGAGACAGAGTCTCCCAACGGTGCCACTCGGCTCACTGAAACCTCTGCCTCCCGGCTTCATGTGATTCTCCTGCCTCAGCCTCCTGAGTAGCTGGGATTACAGGCATGTGCCACCATGCCCAGCTAATTTTTGTTACCACGCCCGGCCAATTTTATCTTCTTTAGCATAGACAGTTGCAGAGGTCCAATGGCGAAATCGAGAGATTGTTAGTCCTTCTGGGTTTGAAAGCTGAATGTCAGCTGTGTACACACAAGGAGGAATTGCCAGTATCGTTTTCATACATTGAAAATTCCAAATTCCGCAAGAACAGTGTGTTTCTCTTTCAGCATTTTCCTATTTATAGTTTACATATAAGTGTTTTTTATTTTTTTGAGACGGAGTTTCGCTCTTGTTGCCCAGGCTGGAGTGCAATGGCGCCATCTCAGCTCACCGCAACCTCCACCTCCCAGGTTCAAATGATTCTCCTGCCTCAGCCTCCCGAGTAGCTGGAATTACAGGTGCCTGCCACCATGCCCAGCTAATTTTTGTATTTTTAGTAGAGATGCGGTTTCACCATGTTGGCCAGGCTGGTCTCGAACTCCTGACCTCAGGTGATCTGCCCACCTCGGCTTCCCAAAGTGCTGGGATTGATTACAGGCGGGAGCCACCGTGCCCGGCCCATATAAGTGTATTATAATCAACCCTTAGGAGTTTTATTAGGATGACATGAATGTGTATACTGCAGTTTAAGTTATAAGTCGCAAACTTTTTCTGCAAAGGGCCAGATAGTAAATATTTGAGACTTTCACAACTACTCAACTCTGTTGTAGCATGAAAACAGTCATAGACAATACATAAGCAAATGAATTACTTCATTCTAATGAAACTTTATTTATGGACACAGAAATGTGAGTTTTGTATCATTTTTATGTACCAGAAAATATTCTTATTTTGATTTTCTTAACCATCTAAAAATGTGGAAACTAGCCAGGCGCGGTGGCTCACACCTGTAATCCCAGCACTTTGGGAGGCTGAGGCGGGCACCTGAGGTCAAGAGTTTGAGACCAGCCGGTCCAACATGATGAAACCCCTTCTCTACTAAAAATACAAAAATTAGCCAGACGTGGTGGGGCATGCCTGTAATCCCAGCTACTCGGGAGCCTGAGGCAGGAGAATCACTTGACTCCAGGAGGCAGAGGTTGCAGTTAGCCCAGATCACACCATTGCACTCCAGCCTGGGTGACAGAGCAAGACTCCATCTCAAAAAAAAAAAGTGGAAACCATTCACATGCTGTACAGAAACTGACAGTGAGCCAGATTTGATAAACGCCCCCTGTAACGGATGAAAATATAGTAGTAAATGCACAGCAGCATTTACTAATGATTTAAAAAAATTACCTGATTGTTTTGGAATGTGAAAAGTTTCAATACTATGAAGAACTTAAAAATACTGTAGTCATGTTTTGTTTGTATGAAAACTAAGAGTGGATGTAGGAGTTGTTTGATTTTTTTCACTTTTACTGATCATATTGTTTATAAGAGCACGGTGCGCCGGCCAACGTGGGGTTAACCTCAAAGAGCAGTTTGATGCTTAGAAGGTAAAGGGAGCATCAATTCCACTTCTTCTGAGGACTCACGTGGAACTGTTCTTTTGGCACTTTATCTATGCTTGTTTTCAGTTTTCCAGTTGTATAATTGGTATACATGGAAAGTAAAGGAATCCCACGAGAATGTTTAGTTTGAACTCTAGTTATCTGGGGAATTTACCCCCTTGTGTGCATGAACATGTGATCATGCTTCTTATTTCTTTAAATTTTAAAGCCAAAATTTCAGAGCTTAGATAGCTTACATAGTATAAAGGTCATCTGTCCAACTCCATACTTTCATAGCGTACAGGGAGCACAAAAAGGCGAGAAGTGACAGCTCGGTGCAGAGGCTCACGCCTGTAATCCCAGCACTTTGGGAGGCCGAGGCAGGAGGATCACGAGGTCAGGAGATCGAGACCATCCTGGCTAACATAGTGAAACCCTGTCTCTACTAAAAATACAAAAAATTAGCCAGGCATGGTGGCAGGTGCCTGTAGTCCCAGCTACTCTGGAGGCTGAGGCAGGAGAATTGCTTGAACCCAGGAGGCGGAGGTTGCAGTGTGCCTAAATCGCTGAACTCCAGCCTGGGTGACAGCAAGAAGTGACTTACTCAAAGCCACAGTATTAGTTTGTCCTCGAGCTAGGACTGGAACCTAGGTATCTTGATTCCCAGTTTGGTACTCCTTCCACTGTAGGAGCCAACCTAACGACTGGGCTTTTGTTCCTACCTTTGGTAGATTTGCAATATAGTCTGTGAAAAACAATAACAACAACAAAAAAACAGGCCTAAGGGGAAAAAGAGAAAGAAAGAAAAACCCCGCTAAACAGTTTTGACATCTCTATAACTAAAAAGGGTTAAAGTTGGCAAAGCAAATTTTCTGGAAGCCTTTCATTTCCTCTGAGGCATTCTGCCTTCATTTCTGCTAGCTGTCACTAGGTAATTGATGTGTCTATTGAGAGGAGTGCAGACACGTGGTTAGGTTTATTTCAGGTACAGATAACTGAGGAGAAGTAAGGATATAACTACTCTTTGAAAAGCACTCTATGATTTTTAATTGTTCTTAAGTTGTTAATTTTGAAAAAATACTCTTAAAATTTATTCACATTTTATAAATGGAAAAGTACTTGTGTCAGGGGCTTTGATGGGGGAGAACTCCTAGAATAAAGTTTTGTCACTAACATTTTTCATCTCTGCTTCTGTAATCTGCCTCCAGGATTTCTATAATTCCAGTGGCATCCAGCCACTTCTATATACCATCTAGAGAATGAGTGGCTGAATATGTCTTCACACATTCACCACACTTTTTACTGACTTCCTCTTACATCTTTTTTTTCTTTTCTTTTTTTTTTTTTTTTGAAATGGAGTCTCACTCTTGTCGCCCAGGCTGGAGTGCAATGTCACGATCTCAGCTCACTGCAACCTCCACCTCCTGGGTTCAAGTGATTCTCCTGCCTCAGCCTCCCGAGTAGCTGGGATTACAGGTGCCCACCACCACGCCCGTCTAATTTTTGTATTTTTAGTAGAGACGGGGTTTCACCATGTTGGCCAGGCTGGTCTCAAACTCCTGACCTCAGATGACCCGCCCTCCTTGACCTCCCAAAAGTGCTGGGATTACAGGCGTGAACCACCGCGCCCAGCCCCTCTTACATCTCTTACTTTTCCCCCAGATTCTCAAAGTGTGATCACATCACCTGGGAATTTGTAAGAAATACGATTTTCAATAGCCCTTCCCCCACCCCCACCCCAGACCTCCAAGACTCTGAGGCCTCAGAAACTTGGAGGATGGGACCCAGCAAAATCTGTGTTAACAACCATCACCACTACCCACCCCCTACCCTGCCCTGCGATTCAGATGCACGTGAAGGTTTGAGAACTGCTGCAGTAGATATTGAAGGAGTCAAAGAGGTTACAATCTTTGGGGGCAACAAAACTATAAATTTGCTAGCAGTACAGTGGTTAAAATTTTTAAGAGAAATTATACATACGAATAATTTTGGTAAAACAATAGAACAACCCCTTCTATGTCTCCCTCTTTCCCCTAGGAAAATTCCAATTCAAATCTCAAGGCCCTGCAGACCCAGACCCAGACCTTTGCAGCCAAATCTGCACTCTCCCTATCCTACTACAGTCTAACCACAGAGAACTTCCTTCAGTTCTAAGAATGTACCTTGCTCATTCTCTTGAGCCCTTTGCAGATGCTTTCTCTCTAGAAGCCTGTCCTCCCAGCTCTTCATCCTTTAGGTCTCAAGGAGGGCCAAGGCCTGGCTGTCAGCATCCAGGAGCTGAGCCTTGGCATTTAGTGCTCATCTATCCACTTCATCCCCCTGTGCACAGTATGGCACCCCTGCCCTCACCTGTGCTTTGTCCAGTGATCCTCTCTTGGCCCTCTCTAGAGATTCCATTAAAGAGTGTTAAGCAGGGGAGGGATATACTAGTCAGGTCTCAGCAAATGTCCTTTTCCCTGACCCCAAGGAACTGAACCTGGGGAAGCTAACCTGTCTCCATCCTACCCAGTACTGAACTAAGTACTGGACCTTTGCACCTGCCTGTCATGCACTTGCCTACTCTTAGAGTACCTAGGGGGATGTATACCAATCCGTTTATTTGTAATTTCATTTTTTTTTTTTTTGAGATGGAGTCTTGCTGTATTGGCAGGCTGGAGTGCAGTGGCACAATCTCGGCTCACTGCAACCTCTGCCTCCCGGATTCAAGCCTTTCTCCTGCTTCAGGCTCCCAAGTAGCTGGGACTACAGGTGTATGCCACCACACCTGGGTAATTTTTGTATTTTTAGTAGAGATGGGGTTTCACCATGTTGGCCAGGATGGTCTCGATCTCTTGACCTCGTGATCCACCCACCTCGGCCTCCCAAAGTGCTGGGATTACAGGCGTGAGCCACCGCACCTGGCCTGTAATTTCATTTTCTTGATTTACACAACCCTTTCTTGAGAAGCAGCTTTACTCAGTCACTGAGTCCATGTGGAAAGAACTGACTAGCAGCCCTGGAAGCTAAATGATCTCTTAGTGGTAGTGGAAATTCACTAGATTATGGGTTGGGGAGTAGTAAAGGATTGAGTTAAGAGCTAAGATCTGAGTTTAAATCCCAACTTTGCCACATTCTATGTGCAAGTTACTTGAACTTTCTATTTCCCTCCTAAACAATGAAGATTGGGATTGTGCACATTTACTGAGATCTGTTCCTGGGGGGTGTTATTTCCCCTTCCCCTTGTCAGGAGAATAGGAGGTCTGCATCCCATATAAAGACCCACAGGATGGCAACCCTCTGCCCTTCCTCCTGCACTTGAGCAGAGCTGCACCACTGTGTCTGGAGAGTGGGAGAGGCATGGGTGGCAGCCAGTTTTTTCTCCTATATGTATCTGAGAAATGTCTTGCTTCTCTTGAGTATTGGAGCTGTCTTAGCCTATTCAGGCTGCCATAACAATGTAACAAAATACCATAAACTGGGCAGCTTATAAACAACACTAATTTATTTCTCACAGTTCTGGAGGCTGGGAGGTCCAAGATTAAGGTACCAGAAGATGCAGTGTCTTGTGAGGGCTCGATTCCTGGTTCATAGATGTCACCTTCTCACTGTGTCCTTACATGGTAGAAGGGGCAAAAAGTTCCCTTGGGCCTATTTTATAAGGGCAACTAATCCCATTCATGAGGGCTCTACCCTCATGGCCTAATCACCTCCCAAAAGGCCTCACCTAATACTGTCACCTTGGAGGTTAGGATTTCAACATAAGAAATTGGGGTGGGGGGGATATATTCAGACCATAGCAGGGGCCAATAAAATGTCCCTCACCCCTATTGTCTTGGCAGGCAGCACAAACAGATGAGTTTCCTTATTTCACTGGCTCCTTTCTCAGTCTTGTGGGCTGCCCGACCTCTGCTCAACCTCTAGGATACTCGAGTACCCCAAGGTTCTGTCCTGAGTTTCCTTATCTTTCTTATCTAGACTTTGTCTCTAGGTGATCTCATTCAGCACCTTGATTTTGATTTTTTAACTTTTTTTTTTGACAGGGTTTCGCTCTTTTGCCTAGGCTGGAGTGCAGTGGCTCAATCTCGGCTCACTGCAACCTCCACCTCCTGAGTTCAAGCCATTCTCCCACCTCCTCCTCCTGAGTAGCTGGGATTACAGATGTGCACCACCATACCAGGCTAACTTTCATATTTTTTTGTAGAGACAGGGTTTCGCCACATTGCCCAGGCTGGTCTCCAACTCTTGGGCTTGAGCAATCAGCCCACCTTAGCCTCCCAAAGTTCTGGGATTACAGGCGTGAGCCATCGTGCCTGGCCCTGATTTTTAAACTTTTTATGTTGAAATAATTTGAAACATTAAAAACAAAGTTACAAAAGTAATCATAGGACTTGCTCCTTTGGGGTATTTCTTATAAATGGAATCGTACAGCCTGTGGCCTTTTGTGACTGGCTTATTTCACTTAGCATAAAGTTTTCAAGACTCATCCGTTTTGTAGCATATACCAGTACTTTACTCCTTTTTACTGCTGAATAATATTCCATTGTATGGATATGTCATATTTTGTTTATCCATTCTTCAGTTGATGGACATTGGGATTATTTCTAATTTTTTACTGTTATGAATAATGCTGCTATGAACATTTGTGCACAAGTTGGTTTTTTCATTTTCATTTTGTGTTTTGTTTTTCTGTGTACAAGTTTTGGTGTGGATGTATATTTTCATTTCCCTAGGGTATATACCTGGGAATGGAATGGCTGGGTCATTGAGTAACTCTGTGTTTAATATTTTGAGGAAAAGCCAAACTGTTTTCCAAAGTGGCCGCACATTTCACATTTTCACCAGCAATATGTGAGGGTTCTAGTTCCTCCACTTCCTCACCAACACTTACCTGTCTTGGTTTTTGTAACTATTTAATAGTGAATGTGAAATGGTGTCGCTGTGGTTTTGACAATTGTTGATCTTGCCCAGAACATTTATTACTGCAGTATTTCCCAATTTTCTACTTCAGTTATTCCCCCTGTATTTATTAATTGGAGTTATACAGTAAAGGAGAAGAGTGTCCGTCCCCCATTGACTTATTTATTTATTTGATATTTATTTATATGATGGATATTTACTATTTACTTTATCCTATGGGTCATAACACATTACTCTTTTCTTTTTTTTCTTTTTTTTTTTTTTTTTTTGAGATGGAGTTTCACTCTGTCACCCAGGCAGGAGTGCAGTGGCGTGATCTCGGCTCACTGCAACCTCTGCCTCCCGGGTTCAAGCGATTCTCCTGCCTCAGCCTCCTGAGTAGCTGGGACTACAGGCATGTGCCACCACGCCCAGCTAATTTTTATATTTTTAGTAGAGACGAGGTTTCACCATGTTGGCCAGGCTGGTCTCGATCTCCTAATCTCGTGATCCGCCCACCTCGGCCTCCCAAAGTGCTGGGATTACAGGCGTGAGCCACTGCGCCCGGCCTCCATAACACATTACTATTGTTATTTATTTCGTTGTTCAGTTTTGCTCATCCTGTTCTTATCCTAGATTGGGCCATCAGGAGCTCCTTCAAGCTGGCCCCTGCACCCGTCAACATGTGCCCCATTATTTCTGAGCACTTCCTTATTTCTAGGCATCACAAGATGTTCCAAGCAACTTGTTTACTTCCCATCCTCATCCTGTACTTTACTTGCCCTTGTCCCAACATCAACCATTTCTCCAGGAACTCTGGTTCCTTTGATTAGAGAATGGTTATTTAGAAACAAAGATTCTGGCATTAGGTGTAGCTCGTTGCTACTAGCAGCCCCTGGACTTTAAATACAATCCAGCTGCAACTCCTAAATTGCTATCACCAGCCCTGTCCTGATTCCAGAAATCTACACTCTGCTTCTAGTTTATTATTTTTTTCTTTTCTTTCTTTCTTTTTTTTTTTTTTTTGAGACATAATCTTGCTCTGTCACCCAGGCTAGAGTGCAATGGCGCGATCTCGGCTCACTGTAACCTCCACCTCCCGGGTTCAAGCAATTCTCCTGTCTCAGCCTCCCAAGTAGCTGGGATTACAGACGCCCGCTACCACGTCCAGCTAATTTTTTGTATTTTTAGTAGAGATGGAGTTTTGCCATGTTGGCCAGGCTAGTCTCAAACTCTTGACCTTAGGTGATCCGCCTGCCTCAGCTTCCCAAAGTACTGGGATTACAGGCGTGAGCCACCGCCCCCAGCCAACTGATTCTAGTTTCTTGCCTGTTGTTTCTTCATGGATATCTGAAGCACCTTAAACAGAACCCTTCGTACCCAGCAGTAACTGCCCCTTTCCCGATCGTCCCTGTCCTGTTGACTCTACTTCCAATACATGTATCTGTCTACTTATCTCCATCTCCACTCCTACCACCCAGGGCCAGCCCATCACGACTTCCCACCTGGAATAAATGCAGGATAACCTCCTAATGGCTGCAGCAGTTTCCCAGTTTCTTCTTTTCCTTCCAAAATCCATTCTCTTTAAGCAGCCATCTTGCCACCCCTACACTTAAATTCTTTCATTATCTTCCTGTCACACTTAAATAAAACCCAGTTTCCTTGTCCTGCTTTTTTATTTGTTATTTTATTTATTTATTTATTTATTTTTGAGACGGAGTCTCGCTCTGTCGCCCAGGCTGGAGTGCAGTAGTGCGATCTCGGCTCACTGCAAGCTCCACCTCCCAGGTTCACGCCATTCTCCTGCCTCAGCCTCCCGAGTAGCTAGGACTACAGGTGCCCACCACCATGCCCGGCTAATTTTTTGTATTTTTAGTAGAGACGGGGTTTCACCACATTAGCCAGAATGGTCTCGATCTCCTGACCTTGTGATCTGCCCGCCTCGGCCTCCCAAAGTGCTGGGATTGCAGGTGTGAGCCACCACGCCTTGCCCTTGTCCTGCTTTTTAAAACCGGACTGCGCTGTTCCTTGCCTGCTTCTCTGAACTCACTGTTTCCAGACCTATTGCCTGCTTCCTTCAGAGCCTTTGCACTGGCTATTCTCTGCTTGAAACACTCTTCCCTCTTTTTTTAAAAAGCTGCCTCATGCTTGTCACTTAATCTCAGTTTAAATGTTACCTCCTCAAAGTGGAGCCTTTCCAGATTGTGTAAAGAAACCATCTGGAAACTCAATGTGACAGTCGAGTGTGGTGGTTCACACCTGTAATCCCAGCACTTTGGGAGGCTGAGGTAGGTGGATCACTTGAGGCCAGGAGTTCGAGACCAGCCTGACCAACATGGTGAAACCCTGTCTCTACTAAAAATACAAAAATTAGCTGGGCATGGTGGCGGGTGCCTGTAATCCCAGCCACTCGGGAGGCTGAAGCAGGAGAATCACTTGAACCCAGGCGGCAGAGGTTGCAGTGAGCTGAGATCACACCACCTACTCCAGCCTGGGCGACAAAGCGAGACTCTGTCTCAAAACAAACAAACAAAAACTCTATCTGACATCACCTTGATTGTCAGCATCTCACCACCAGCCATCCTCCCTCCCTCCCTCCCTTTCATCCTATCTCGTTACCTCCCTTCCATCCTCCCTCCCTCCCTCTCTCATTCCCTCCCTCCCTCCCTTCCATCCTCCCTCCCTCTCTCGTTCCCTCTCTCCCTCCCTCCCTCTCTCTTTCCCTCTCCCTCCCTCCCTCCCATCCTCTCTCCCTCCCTTACTCCCTTCCTTCCTCCCTCCCTCCCTTCCATCCTCCCTCCCTCCTTCTCTCGTTCCCTCTCTCCCTCCCTTCCTTCCTTTTCCATGTGTGCTCCTTCATTTGTTGAGGGTCTCCCTCCTGCTTCAATGTAGGCTTTATAAGAGTAGGGCTTTGGGCCGGGCGTGGTGGCTCACGCCTGTAATCCCAGCACTTTGGGAGGCTGAGGTGGGTGGATCACCTAAGGTCAGGAGTTCGAGACAAGCCTGACCAACATGGAGAAACCCCGTCTCTAATAAAAATACAAAATTAGCCAGGCATGGTGGTGCATGCCTGTAATCCCAGCTACTCGGGAGGCTGAGGCAGGAGAATTGCTTGAACCTGGAGGCGGAGGTTATGGTGAGCCGAGATCGTGCCGTTGCGCTCTGGCCTGGGCAATAAGAGCAAAACTCCATCTCAAAAAATAAAAAATGAAAATAAAAAAAAGAGTAGGTCTATGACTGTCTTAATCACCACTTTATATTCAGGGCCTAGAACAATACTTGGTACATAGTCGATGCTCAGTAAATATGTTTTGAATCAATGAGTAAATGGACAAATAAATGAACTTTAAGCCATTTGCCTTAAAACTCTATGAAAGTCAGTGCAGCTTATTGGACTGAGTGAGGAAATAAAGCTAAAGGACAACCAAAATATTTCCTGCAGAGCTGGCTCCAACAACTGAGCTGTGGGGAAGTGCGTCCACAAAATCAATGACACAATGTCAGGGACTTGCACAATTCAGAGCCAGGGGTCACAGGCCTCAGACTTGGGGTCTGAGCCTTTCTTCAAGTCGTCTGGTCAACTAGGCCTCTTGGCCAGGGCTCAGTGATCTCTCTTCTACTGCTACACTTAGTTTATCACAAGGGATTCTGTTCTGCTTGGTCATTCTTTCCTTCAGAAACATGTACTTGGAGCCTCCTTTGTATAAAGTGCTGGGCTGTATGTGGTGAGAAATAGAGATGAAATAGTTATGGGGGAGATGCCTGATTCAAAGATCTTCCAATACAATAGGGAGAGGTAATATGTAAATAAGCATCTACTATAGGTAGAAAAATAAGACCTATAAGAGATAAAATCAAGTGCAGGCCAGGCGCGGTGGCTCACGCCTGTAATCCCTGCACCTTTGGAGGCCGAGGCAGGTGGATCACCTGAGGTCTGGAGTTCAAGACCAGCCTGGCCAACATGGTGAAACCCCATCTCGACAAAAATACAAAAATTAGCCGGGCATGATGGCAGATGCCTGTAATCCCAGCTACTCGGGAGGCTGAGGAGGCAGGAGAATCGCTTGAACCTGGGAGGTGGAGGTTGCAGTGAGTCGAGATCGCGCCATTGCTCTACAGCCTGGGCGAAAGAGCGAGACTCCATCTCAAAAAAAAAAAAAAAAAAAAACAAATGCAATGGGAATTCAAGCAGAGGGGAGATTTTCTGCTGTTGAGGAGCTCCCAGAAAGCTTTTATGGAGGAGGTGGTGTTCACCTTGCCCCATAACAATTCATACATAAAGAATATTTAGTTAGTTTCATTTGGCCTGAAAGAATTCAGGTACCTGTGTGCCTCACGCTTCTGGGGCTGGAGATCAGTAATCACTTCACTGGATAAATTTCCTCCAGTTTGGTATGTAAAAATTGAGACACATACTTTCTATAAAAACTGTCAAAGTACAGCTGAATTTGAAAAAATATGCTGTGTAATAATGTGCTTGGAACAGAATAGGTGTTCATTTCAAGCAGCATGAACGCTGTGCTCACCTGTTATGTGTAAGTGGCAGCTGAAACATGTACCAGATTATAACTCTGCCACCAGCCAGGTGCAGCTGTAGCATCTTACATTGTCATCAGGATTCTTCCACATTTTAGGATCCACGTTTTGGGAGTGAGAGTTACTGTTTGCCAAAAATGACCTCCCAAGCCCAAATGAAGAGGACCTACTAGCGCAGCAGTCAGCGAGAAAGAATTGGGAGATGCCTGTCACTGGCAGAGAGAGCCTTCCTTATGTGGTCAGGACCATGGAAAGCCCAAAGCCAAGGGACCTGGGAAGTCAGCCAAGGACGCTTGCCTGGGTGTCTCCTGGCTGGTTTCTCTGTGCTGTGGAGCCACCTATGTTTAGAACCTCTTGCCGCGCTCCCTCTGCTGAGCTTATATTTATGCTAGATCAAATGTTTAAACTGCTTTTCTCTTTGTGGATCACAAATTTTAGAACAGAAAATGCGGGTTCCGGAGGGTGTGAGAGACAGGGACAACCATATGTATTGCTTCAGTAGATGCTTCAGAGAAAGAAGACACTTAGTTCTCTAGTTGTTCACCCAACCCAATACGGTTTCTGCTCCTTAAGCTACATTCCTATAAAGATTAGCTTTCAGCTGCTACCACCAAGAAACAGTTCAAGTGCTGCTTATGTTGTATTTTAACTAAAGATCTCAAGAACAAAAAGAAATCCCTAGATGCTGACATTCCAAGCAAACTTAGGTCAGGGGTGGAGGCGGGGAATTGACAGATAAAGATTTCGGTGAGCAGGCAGTTCTCACCTTAGGTGAGTTCACAGTGTGCAGGGGTGCTTGGTGGGATGGTATCCATTTCTTTCATCTTTGAGAGATTTAAGGGGTGCTTACAATAAGGGGATACCCAATCTGCCTATCCTGACACATTCAACACGAGTTCTTAAATTCTCAGCTAATGGGTTGGATTCCCATTCATTTTATAGGCAGGATGGCTCTATTTGGATGACCCTTCTCAAAAAGTAAAAACAACAAAGGCAAATAAATCCTTCCGAGAGAGAGTATGAGGCTATGGCAGACAAGGTAAAATGCCTGTCACAGGAGATAAATTATTTTGCTCATTAACAAGTCATTTGTCCTTTGATTTCTCAAAGCCCTAGAGAAACAGGAGCTCAGCTGACAATGACCTGAGGGGACCCCTACAGTGCTTCAAACAGTGGATGGAGGAGGAGATGCCTTCCTGGTTAAGAAATTATCCCTGAGCCCTTGTAGAGGACAGTCCAGCACAGGAAATTCTGGAACTACAAGATGAAAATGTGTGCCAGCATGCTTCTACTTTCAGGGTACAGTCTGAGGCCCTAGGGAGGAGGAGTTCCTCAAGTGCTTTGACCTCTTGCCAGGACAAAGACGGAGAAGTATTTAGAAGCATCTGAATTTGTTAGCTCTTCAGTTTTCCTCCTCCACTCCCTACCCTGCACACAGAGCCTCAGAAGGACAGACCAGCTTCACCCCCTTACCAGCAATTACTGAAGAATCACACCCCACCCACCTCAGGATCACTGATCTCCTTCCTATATGGGAACCCTGACCCTTGGAGAAAAACCGCTGACCTACAAACTCCCCACATTCACCTAGAGAGCACCAGAGCAGAGTTCTGAGTGAGATAAGCAGTCCTTTAGGGGGATCTGTTTTTCCAGCTCTCATTTTTCCCCCCTTATTTCCTTTATCTCTAGAATTCTAAGAGCTGTACTGTTCATTGTTTCTACCCATCATTATTAAGGGAGAGATATGGAAACATTCCCATGGTAACAGTTTCATCTCAAAATATCTGAATGCTATTAGCTGCCTTTCCACTCCAGGGAAAAGATGAGATTTTTTTTTAAAAAAAGAAATCTTTATTCTCAGGATATAGTTGACAGGTCCTCTCCACACTGCAGGGAGGCCTGCCCAGATCAGTGGAGATGGGAAAGGGCTCATAAAGCCAAATTTGTTTCTTAGCTGACTTCACTTCCTGAACATTTCAAAAACTTATTATTACATGGTTCTGACACCGACCCAGAGAATTGCTGGTGGAAGTACTGATGAAAACACCAACATCTCTGGGGGAAGTCATCAACTGGGAGCATATGAGATGGGCCAGCACAGACTTGGCTCAAAGACCCACAGACCACACTGTGTTACTGGAGAGCAACAGGTTTGAACAAACTCAGAGGTATGCGCTGGTTGCCATCAGAAAGCTGGGGAGAGAAAATGGGATAGGAAGCGTTGTACCTCATGTTCATGACACGCTTTATGGCTGGCCAAGGGCTTTTCCTATTGAAATGGGATGATGGAGGAGATAGGACACATTTATCTTAAACATGCATCTTAATTATCTATTGCTGGCGGGGTGTGGTGGCTCACACCTGGAATCCCAGCACTTTGGGAGGCCAAAGCGGGTGGATCACTTGAGCCCAGGAGTTCGAGACCAGCCTGAGCAACATGGTCTCTATCCATCTCTACAAAAAGTTAAAAAATTAGCCGGGTATGGGACTGCACGCCTGTAGTCCCAGCTACTCAGGGGGCTGAGGTGAGAGGATCTCATGAGCTGAGGAAGCAGAGGTTGCAGTGAGTTGAGATTGTGCCACTGCTCTCTAGCCTGAGTGACACAGCAAGACCCTATCTCAAAAAAATATATTTTATATATATAATATATATAATATTATGATATATATTATATAAAAATTATATATATAATATATAATATATGATATATCATATATGATATATGATATATCATATATCATATATATCATATATCATATATATAGCTGCATGACAAATTATTCCAAAACTTGGCAGCTTAAAATAAACATGTTATCTCACAGTCTCTGTGGGTCAGGAATTTGGGAGCAATTTAGCTGGGTGATTCTGGCTCCAGGTCACTAATTAGATTGTATTCAGACTGTCAACCAGGGCTGCAGTCACCTGAAGGCTTGACTGGGGCTGGGAGATCCCTTTCCAAGATAGCACATTAGCCATTGGCAGGAGGCCTCAGCTCCTCACCACATGGGCCTCTCTTCACAGCGCTGCTTGAATGACATGGCAGTTGGCTGACCCTGGAGCAAGTGACCCAAGACATAGAAAACAGGAGGAAGCTGCACTGTCTTGTTTGACCTAGTCTCAGAGGGCACACATCATTGCTTCTGCCATATTCTGTTCTATAGAAGCATGTCACTAAGTCCAGCACACATGTTTGGGGAGGGGAATCGAGCCACCTCTTGAAAGGAGAAGTATCAAGGACTCTGTGAACATGTTTTAGGACTATGATGTCATGGCAGTTATGAAAACTAATGTGTCAGTGCTGTATGTACTGATATGAAGCAATCTCCAAGATGTATCTTCAGTGACAACAGCATGATGCAGAACGCTAGGTAAGTCTGGATACTATTTGCAGTTTTAAAAAGGGAGGAGGGAGCCAGGCGCGGTGGCTCACGCCTGTAATCCCAGCACTTTGGGAGGCCAAGGCGGGTGGATCACAAGGTCAGGAGATTGAGACCATCCTGACTCACACAGTGAAACCCCGTCTCTACTAAAGAAACACAAAAAATTAGCCAGATGTGGTGGCGGGCACCTGTAGTCCCAGCTACTTGGGAGGCTGAGGCAGGAGAATGGCCTGAACCCGGGAGGTGGAGCTTGCGGTGAGCCAAGATCGCAACACTGCACTCCGGCCTGGGCAACAGAGCGAGACTCTGTCTCAAAAATAAATAAATTAATTAATTAATTAATAAAAAAGGGAGGAGGGATAAATATGCAGTTATGCATAGACTACCTCTCAGAGGACATACAATAAACTGGCCTCAAGGAGGAGGGCTGGGGACAGGTGGGAGAGAGATTTGTTTTCTGTACCTTTTGGATTTTATTTGAGCAAGTATTACTCTTTGATAATAAAATTTAATTTCAAAAATAGATTAAAATAACATAGAAATAAATAACATTGTTGAAAGAACTTAGAATGACCAGTTTGAGATGGAATTTTTTTTTTTTTGAGGTGGGGTTTCACTCTTGCCCAGCAGGGAGTACAGTGACACGATCATAGTTCACTGCAGCCTCGCCCTCTCAGGCTCAAGCACTCCTCCCACCTCAGCCTCCCAAGAAGCTGGGACTACAGGCACATGCCACCACACCTGACGAATTTTAAAAAATTTTTAGAAGAGGTGAGGTCTTGCTAGATTGCCCAGGCTCAAATTCCTGAGTTAAAGCAGTCCTCCTGCCTCAGCCTCCCAAAGTGCTGGGATTACAGGCATAAGCCATTGTGCACCTGGTTGGAATTCACTTTTTAAAGCTATTGGGGCCAGCAGTGAGCTATGATTGTGCCTGGGTGACAGAGCAAGACCCTGTCTTGAGGAAAAGAAAAGAATAAAACTATCAGGGTAGATGATTTTAGGGGATTGGTTTGCTTGCTTTCTTGCTTGTTTTCTTGGAAGCAAGTGTACTTTCTTGGCAGGCATGTTTTGAGACAGGAGGCTATAAGCAAGATGTTGAAGGAAAACAGACCAAGCTCTCTGAAGGAGAGCACTTGGAAGAGAATCTCGTCCAGTTCTCATCCCGTGCATGCCCACCTACCTGGACTTGCACATATCTGCTATATTTTCCCTTCTGTGACTACAGAGAAACTGTCCACAGGCAGCTCCTTCACTTACGCATTAGAGTCTGGCCTCTGTCGTCTGCATCCTCCAGCAATTCCCCCTGCCTTTCTTGGATCTTTGATTTGTGTTCCTCTGGATTTATTAACAAACAAACAAACAAACATTACTTCTCCCATCTGAAAAAAAAAATCTCTTCGTCCGCATTTCTCTGTTCCCTTTATAGCTTGCTTGAAAGAGTTTCCTCAGTGTCTCCTATTCTGTCTCTTTTCAGAACCTGAGATATAGCTCACACTCCATAAAATTCACCTTTTTAGCATGTACAATTCAGTGGTTTTTAGTACAGTCACAAACTTGTGCAACCGTCACCACTATCTCATTTCATCACTCCCGAAAGAAACTCTGTACCCATTAGCAGTCACTCCCCAATCCTCCTTTCTCCGAACCCCTGGTAATCACTAATCTACTTTCTGTCTCTACGGATTTGCCTCTTCTAAATATTTTATATCAATGGAATCATACAATATGTGGATCTTTGTGACTAGCTCCTTTCAGATTGCATAACGTTTTCAAGGTTCATCTGTATGAACCTTGTATCAGCATGTATCAGCATTCCATTCCTTTTCATGGATGAGTAATGTTTCATTGTATGGAAATATCACATTTTGTTTATCGTTCATCAATTTATGGATATTTGGGCCGCACGGTGACTCACGCCTGTAATCCCAGCACTTTGGGAGGCCAAGGCAGGCGGATCACTTGGGGCTGGAGTTCGAGACCAGCCTGGCCAACATGGCAAAACCCTGTCTCTACTAAAAATACAAAATTAGCCAGGTGTGGTGGTGCATGCTTGTGATTCTAGCTACTGGGGAAGCTGAGGCATGAGAATCACTTGGACCCAGGAGGTGGAGGTTGCAGTGAGCCGAGATCACCTGGGCAACAGAACAAGACTCTGTCTCAAAAAAAAAAAAATTATGGATATTTTGGGTTGTTTCCGCCTTTTCATTATTATCAATAATGCTGCTACAAACATTCATATACAAGTTTTTGTATGGGCATATGTTTTCAATTTTCTTTTCTTTTTTTATGACAGGGTTTCACTCTGTTGCCCAGGCTGCAGTACAGTGGCATGATCTCGGCTCACTGCAACCTCTGCCTCCCAGGCTCACACGATCCTTCCAGTTCAGCCTCCCCAGTAACTGGGACCACAGGCACAGGCCACCACACCCAGCTTTTTTATTCTTTCTTTCTTTCTTTCTTTTTTGCAGTTTTGCTCTTGTTACCCAGGCTGGAGTGCAATGGTGCAATCTCGGCTCATCGCAACCTCCACCTCCCAGGTTCAAGCGATTCTCCTGCCTCAGCCTCCCAAGTAGCTGGGATTACAGGCATGTGCCACCATGCCTGGCTAAGTTTTTTTGTATTTTTAGTAGAGACAGGGTTTCTCCATGTTGGTCAGGCTGGTCTTGAACTCCCGACCTCAGGTGATCAGCCCGCCTCAGCCTCCCAAAGTGCCAGGATTACAGGTGTGAACCACTGTGCCCGGCTAGTCTTTCTTTCTTTTCCTTTTTTTTTTTTTTTTTTGTTTTTTTTTTTTTGGCGGAAACACAGTCTTGCCATGTTGCCCAGGCTGATCTCCAACTCCTGGGCTCAAGCGATCCTCCCTCCTTGGTCTCCCAAAGTGCTGGGATTAGGCGTGAGCCACCACACCAGGCCTCGGATTTTCTATACATAAGATCATGTCATCTGCAATTAGAGATAGATTTATTCCTTCCTTTCCAAAGTATATGTCTTTTATTTATTTTTCTTTTTTAATTGCCCGGCCTAGACCCCCCAGTACAATGTTAAGTACAAACGACAAGAGCAGACATCCTTGTTCTGTTCTTGATCTTAGGGGGAAAACATTCAGCCTTTTCAGTAGTAAGTTGTCGGTTAGCTGTGGCTTTTCTCTCTCTCTCTTTTTTTTTTGAGACAGGGTCTTGCTCTGTCATCCAGCCTGGAGTGCAGTGGTGTGATCTTCGTTTACTGCAACCTCCTCCTCCTGGGCTCAAGCAAGCCTCCCAGCCCCCAAGTGTCTGGGATCACAGGCACACACCACCACGCCCGGCTAATTCTGTTTTTTTTTTTTTTTTTCTTTTCGGAGACGAAGTCTTGCTGTGTCATCCAGGCTACAGTACAGTGGTGCAATCTCGGCTCACTGCAACCTCCCCCTCCCGGGTTCAAGCAATTCTCTTGTCTCAGCCTCCCAAATAGCTGGGATTACAGGCACGTGCCACCATGCCCAGCTAATTTTTGTATTTTTAGTAGAGACAGGGTTTTGCTATGTTGGCCAGGCTGGTCTTGAACTCCTGACCTCAAGCGATCCGCCCGCCTCGGCCTCCCAAAGTGCTGGGATTATAGGGGTGAGCCACCGCACGCAGCCTCCGGCTAATGTTTGTATTTTTTAGTAGACAGGGTTTCACCATGTTGCCCAGGCTGAGCTGTGGGTCTTTCATAGATGTCTTTTATCAGATTAAACCAATTCTCTTCCTAGTTTGTTGAGTGTTTTATTTATAATGAAGCAACATTGGATTTTATCAAGTGCTTTTTTTCATTTACTGAAATGATCATTTGTTTTTTGTCCTTTATTCCATTCATACAGTGTGTGTATTACATTGATTTTTGTATGATGAACCAATCTTGCATTTCTGGGAAAATCCCATTTGGTCATGGTATATACTCCTTTTTATATATTGTTAGATTCAGTTTGCTTGTATTTTGTTGAGGATGTTTGCATCTATAGCATAAGGTGTATCATTGTGTAGTTTTCTTTTTTTTTTTTTTTTTTTTTTTGAGACGGAGTCTCGTTCTGTCGCCCAGGCGGGAGTGCTGTGGCGCGATCTCCGCTCACTGCAAGCTCCGCCTTCCGGGTTCACGCCATTCTCCTGCCTCAGCCTCCCAAGTAGCTGGGACTACAGGCGCCCGCCACTGCGCCCGGCTAATTTTTTGTATTTTTAGTAGAGACGGGGTTTCACCGTGTTAGCCAGGATGGTCTCGATCTCCTGACCTCGTGATCCGCCCGCCTCGGCCTCCCAAAGTGCTGGGATTACAGGCGTGAGCCACCGCGCCCGGCCGGTGTAGTTTTCTTGTGATGTCTCTGTCTAGTTTTGTTATCCAAGTAACACTTTTCTTTTTTTTTCTGAGATGGAGTCTCACTCTATCTCCCAGGCTGGAGTGCAGTGGCGTGATCTTGGCTCACTGCAAGCTCCACCTCCCTGGTTCACACCATTCTCCTGCCTCAGCCTCCTGAGTAGCTGGGACTACAGGCGCCTGCCACCACACCCGGCTAATTTTTCGTATTTTTAGTAGAGACAGCGTTTCACTGTGTTAGCCAGGATGGTCTCCATCTCCTGACCTCGTGATCCACCTGCCTCGGCCTCCCAAGATGCTGGGATTACAGGTGTGAGCCACCGTGCCCGGCCCCAAGTAACACTTTTCATGGTAATACTGGCCTCACAGAATGAGTTGGGAAGTGTTCTCCCCTTTTCTATTTTTTGGAAGAATTTTTGAAGAGATTGATGTTCCTATTCTGTCTTGAGCCACTCCTCCCAGCTTGTTACCTCCCCTACCATACCGAAACTGCTCTTGTAAAGGTCTCCAATGTCCTCCACATTGCCAAATTCAACAATCAGTTCTCAGCCATCGTCTTACCACTCAGCAAGAGCATCTGATCTCAGCCATCGTCTTACCCTCAGCAACAGCATCTGATCTCAGCCATTATCTTACCCTCAGCAACAGCATCTGACACATTTCCTTTCTCCTCGGAACACTGTCTGCTTCTGGCCTCCACAATCTCCTGGTTTTCTTTCTGCCTCACTGGCCACTATTTTCCGGGCTTCTTTGCTGGATTGTCTTCCTCTATCAGATATCTTAATGGTGAAGAGACACAGGGCTGAGTCCTTGACACCTTTTTTCTGTCTTTTCTCAGATTTTTTGTAATTTTATTTCTCTCCTAAATTTAAACACCAACTATATGCTGAAGCCTCCCAAATTTAGAGCCCAAATATGGTCTCTCTCTTTATCTTTAGATTTATATATCCTCTGCCTATTAGACACCTTACCTTGGATGCTGAATGTATATCTCAAACTTAACATGTCCAAAATTAAACTTTTGATCTATTCCACCAAAATCTGCTATGCCCACCATCTTCCCCATCATTATTAACCACAACTTTAGCTTTTCAGTTGATCAGTCCAAAAATATCCGAGTCATCCTTATTGGATACTTTCTTTCCCTCACTCCCTACAGTCATTCTATTAGCAAATCCTGTTGGGCCTACCTTCAAGATAATCAGAGAGTGGCCACCTCTCACCACCGTCATGATCCAATTATCTCCCTAATCTTTCTCTAGCTGGGATTGATGGACTAGGCTTCTACTGGTCTCCCTCCTTCCCCCTTTGCCCACCTTCAGGCTGTTCCTGGGACAGCAACCACCTCAGAGTTTCTGTCATAAATAAATGTTGAATTTTGTCAGATGATTTTCTGCATCTATTGAGATTATCGTATAGTTTTCCTTCTTCAGTCTGTTAATATGGTAAATAACATAGTTTTTGGTTCTGTTTTGTTTTAGATGGGATCCCTGCCTCCCAGGCTGGAGTGCAGTGGTGCAATCATGGCTCACTGCAGCCTTGATCTCGGCTCACTGCAGCCTCGATCACCCAGGCTAAAGCAATCCTCCCACCTCAATCTCCCAAGTAACTGGTACTATGGGCGTGTGCCACAACGCCTAGCTGACATTTTAGAAACAAAATCTCATTATAAGGTCTCATAATGTTGCCCAGGCTGGTCTCAAATTCCTGAGCTCAAGCAGTCTCCCTGCCTCAGCCTCCCAAAGTGCTAGGATTACAGGCATGAACCACCACGCCCAGCCAACATTGATTTACAAATGTTAAACCAACTTGCTGTGCTGAGATTAACCCCATTTGGTCACGATGTATTATCCTATTCATATATGTTAGAGGTGACTTGCCAACATTTTAAGAATGTCTGAACCTATGTTCATGAGGGATATTGGTCTGAAGTTTTCTTTTCTTAAAATGTCTCAAGTGTTTGTTGAGTGTATAAATGAGAGCCTGTTGGTCCAAGGGGGGTGGGTGGGAGAGTGTATTAAGAAGGAAAAAAATAGACTGGGTGCGGTGGCTCACGCCTGTAATCCTAGCACTTTGGGAGGCTGAGGCAAGCGGATCACCTGAGGTCGGGAGTTCGAGACCAGCCTGACTGACATGGAGAAACCCCCGTCTCTACTAAAAATACAAAATTAGCCAGGTGTGGTGGCGCATGTCTGTAATTCCAGCTACTCAGGAGGCTGAGGCAGGAGAATCGCTTGAACCTGGGAGGCGGAGGTTGCGATGAGCCTAGATCGCACCATTGCACTCCAGCCTAGGCAATAAGAGTGAAACTCCATCTCAAAAAAAAAAAAGAAGAAGAAGAAGGAAAAAAAATAGCACATTTATAGGGCTGTTTCCAAAGCCCTTTTCACATACCATTTAATTGTCATAACCAAGAGGTGTAGATATTACTATCATGCCCATTATAAGAGAACTAAGACTCAAGGAGTTTAAGGAACCTGTCCCAGACCTAGCTAACCAGAAGGACTGGGACTTGAACCCATGCCCTCTGTCTGCAGATGCCATGTTCGAGGTTAGTACCCAGTGAGTGAAGACCTTTAGGGACAGGCAGAAGGGCTCCTTTCAGCTTTGATTATGCTTGTGACCATTTCCCAAGGGAAGGAGCAGAGCTTCTGCCATGAACATGATACAAGTAATTCCATGTTTCTTACTTACAGCATCTTAAGAAAACTCCAGCATGGCAGAATGAGCACTCCACCTGCAGATGCCCAGGAGAGCCTGAGACTTATTTTTAGCCAGAATAGGAAAATGCCAAATATCTTCTAGGAGAGTTGGCAGCTGGAGGGCTGCTGATACAGCTGTGTTTATATAAGCTGGTGCAGAGGGGAGAATGGTGGTTGCAAAGGAGGCAGGAGGTGCTTAATCCACCTATACACTTGCTGAGGTTTTCTTGGGAAGTTCTGGTCAGGAGTTACTGCTCAGGAGAGAGCGTCATGCAGACAGTCTGGAGATTGCCAGGAGCATAGGTGCAACTGGCTTCCTTGAGTCAGAGCATTTGTCAAAGCCGCCCTTAAATGACCTGTCCACTGGTCGTTGGCCTCTTCCCACCCTATTATCCAGGGGTAAATAAAAGAACAGAAGCTCTTTCAAATGGTGCCATTTTATTTATTTTTTGAGACAGGGTCTCTGTCACCCAAGCTGGAGTTCAGTGGCGCCATCACGGCTCACTGCAGCCTCCATCTCCTGGGCTCAAGCAATCTTCCTGCCTCAGCCTCCTGAGTAGCTGGGACTAGAGGCCCACGCCCACCCCCCACCAGCTTTTTAAATTTTTTTGTAGAGGTGAGGTCTCCTTATATTGCCCAAGCTGGTCTCGAACATCCTAAGCTCAGGCGATCCTCCCACTTCTGCCTCTCAAAGTCCTGGGATTATGGGCATGAGCCACTGCACCTGACCCTCAAGTTTTAAAGCATAGAGGTTCACCCGATTCTGACCATACTTCTCAGATGTGCTTGGTGAAAGCAATCTATAACACCCCATCCTACAGAAGCTGTCAAATAGTTTTCTCACAGAGGCAGCAAAATAAGGCTTTTAAAGGTGTTACCTATGGGCTCTCAAAGAGAATTAAAGTAAAACGTACCTTAGTAAGGATTTTTTAAAATATTTTTTAAAATGTTCAAATAAAAACAAAAGTAGAGTAAATAGTATAATGATCTCTCATGTACATGTACCCACCACTGAACTTCAACACTTACTAACATGGTCAATCTGTTTCATTGTTCCCCCACCCATTTTGGAATTATGCTGAACAAAGCCCAGATAGCCCATTATTTCATCTGAAAATACTTCAGTGTGTACCTCTAAAGTATAAAGAATCTTAAAACAAAACAAAACAAAACCACAATACCATCTTCACACTTTAAAAATGAACTATTGGCCAAGCATGTTGGCTCATGCCTGTAATCCTGGCACTTTGGGAGGTGAAGGTAGGCAGATCGCTTAAGTTCAGGAGTTCAAGCTCAGGAGTTGCCTGGTCAACATGGCAAGACCCCATGTCGACAAATACAAAAATTAGCCAGGCATGGTGGTGCAGGCCTGTAGTGCCAGATACCCAGAAGGCTGAGGTAGGAGGATTGATTGAGCCTGGGATGTCGAGGCTGCAGTGAGACCTGATGGCACCATTGCACTCCAACCTTGGCGACAGAACAAGACCCTGTCTCAAAAAAACCACAATTCCTTAAGATCAAATATACAGTGTTTGGATCGCCCCAACTCTTTAAACAAGTCTTTTTTTTTCACTTGTTTTTTTTAAGTCAGGATCAAATATATATTGCTGACGAAACCAGGTGATTTGTCCTGTAGTTTCCTATGGTATGGATTTTCCTGATCATATACCTGTGGTGTCATTCAACATACTCTTCTAAATATATTTATTCATTAATGACCAATGTATTTCCTGTGAATTGGATCTAGAGACTTGAACAGATTCACGTTCAATTCTGTAGCAAAAATACTTAGGGGGTGCTGTATACTTCCATCAGAGGCAGCAAATATCTGGTTTCTTTCTGTGATGCTAGCCTATCATTATCGCCTAGACCCGCAAATTGACTGACAATTAATTTTAAGGAACAAATGTGGCTGCAATGGCTTTCTGAGTAATACGTGCAGAAAAACACGTCCTGTAAAGTGTATTGTTTGTTTGTTTTTTGTTTTCTAGGCATGAAAACAGCCCTGGAAGTCTGCCCTGGCGCCTGCACTGAGACTAATCCAGGTCACTTTAGGGAAACTGCCCAGCTCTGGCACCGCACTGTGTGTCTGTCAGCTCTGTGGGGTGCTATGGCCTCATTTTCCCACTAGAGGACACTGTGGCTCCAGGACTTCATGTGGCGCCCAGCCAGTCTTGCTACTCCAGCACCTCTAAGGAGGCAAAGCCTTTAGTGTGCATTTATTAGGTACCAACTGGGTGCTTTCTGTATCAAGCAGAGAAATAAAAGAGGTCAAACACAAGGTCCTGTGGCATTGTTTCCTGATGTAGTTTCTTTCTTTTTCTTTTTCTTTTTTTTTGAGATGGAGTCTTGGTCTTGTCGCCCAGGCAGGAGTGCAGTGGCGCCATCTCAGCTCACAGCAACAACTGCCTCCTGGGTTCAAGCGATTATCGTTACTCAGCCTCCCAAGTGGCCGGGATTACAGGCGCCCGCGACCACACCCGGCTGATATTAGTATTTTTAGTAGAGACGGGCTTTCCGCATGTTGCCCAGGCTGGTCTCGAACTCCTTACTTCAGGTGATCCACCCGCCTCGGCCTCTCAAAGTGCTGGGATTACAGGCGTGATCCACCACGTCTAGTCGTGTTTCCTGATGTAGTTTCTTTGCATTATTTTATTTTATGTATTTGTTTATTTTTTGAGACAAGGTCTTACTGTGTTACCCAGGCTGGAGTGCCGTGGTGCAAACACAGCTCACTACAGCCTTGAACTCCTGGGCTCAGACAATCCCCCCATCTCCACCTTCTGAGTAGCTGGGACTACAGGTGCCTGCCACTGTGCCCAGCTAATTTTTAAATTTTTTATTTGTCAGGATGGAGTATCACTATGTTGCCCAGGCTGGTCTCAAACTCCTGGGCTCAAATGATCCTCCCACCTCAGCCTCCCAAAGTGCTGGGATTACAGGCATGTATTTCCCTTTAGAAAACAACAGAGGTGCTTCTCCATCTGCTGGAAACCATTTTAGCCCCTGCTGTAGGATGGCTGCCTCCTGCAAATTCGGTTACCTAGTTGTTTTTTTTTTTTTTTTTTTTTCAGACAGGGTCTCACTCTGTCGCCCAAACTGGAGTGCAGTGGTGCAGTCTTGGCTCATTGCAACCTGTGCCTCCCAGGCTCAAGTGATTCTCCTGCCTCAGCCTCCCGAGTAGCTGGGACTACAGGCGCTCACCACTACGCCTGGCTAACTTTTGTATTTGTAGTAGAGACGGGGCTTCACCACATTGGCCAGGCTGGTCTCAAACTCCTGACCTCAAACTATCCACGCGCCTTGGCCTCCCAAAGTGCTGAGATTACAGGCATGAGCCACCGCACCCGGCCGTTGGATGTTTTTTTTTTAACTGCAATATTTGGGCTTTGGGGAGTGTGAATATATCCAAGAAAGATGCCAAAGTGTATTCATCTCTGAAATAATTTATTCATTTATTCAACTCCATGTATTGAGTATCCTGGGCGGGGAAGGAATGGGGAACGGATGCTTACTGAGAGCTACTCTGTGCCAAGTACTGTCCCATCCTTTTTACCTACATCCTCACAAGATGGGTAATATTAGCCTCATTTAAATCCAAGGAAACTGAGGCTCATTGAGGTTAACCAGCCTGCTGAAAGTTATCCTGCCAGATGCAAATGGAAGTCTAAATGGATAAATATGTATGTTTTCCACCAAATCCCTCAATGCCACACTGACAAGCATGGTACTAGGATGTAGAGAAAGTAAGATGATTATAGAGACATCCTTTCCTTAAGGAGGTCATCATATAACACAGAAGTTGCAATAAATGGACAATTATAGAACTTCTAATAGGTGGGCACCCTTTCAATAAGTAGCTGACCACGCA
Organism: Homo sapiens; assembly: GCF_000001405.40. Classification (NCBI taxonomy): domain Eukaryota; kingdom Metazoa; phylum Chordata; class Mammalia; order Primates; family Hominidae; genus Homo; species Homo sapiens. The sequence continues at coordinate 32,254,965 of NC_000017.11, forward strand.
CAGCCTCCCTCTGCTGCTATGACACTGTCCTTATGCAGAGGTAGGCACTGACCACCAAGAATAGGGCCTCTGCTTGTAGTGATGCCTTTGTGTTGACTGTCCACTCACCCTCACCCCATCACCCCCATGACCAAGGTTTCTGGGGGCAACAGCATGATTCAGGCTATAACCACCAATCCGCATGGAGAATGTAGCAAAGCCAAGACAGACATCTTCCCTACTGCTCAAAATCTCTAGTTTAGGCTGGGCGCAGTGGCTCATGCCTGGAATCCTGGCTTTGGGAGGCTGAAGCAGGTGGATCATTTGAGACCAGTTCAAGATCAGCCTGGCCAACATGGTAAATCCCCATCTCTACTAAAAATACAAAAAAATTAGCCAGATTTGGTAGTATGCTCCTGTAGTTCCAGCTACTTGGGAGGTTGAGGCAGGAGAATTGCTTGAACCTGGGAGGTGGAGATTGCAGGGAGCTGAGATTGCGCCACTGCACTCCAGCCTGAGTGACAGAGCGAGAGTCTGTCTCAAAAAAAAAAAAAAGTCTCTAGTTTAATGGAGGAAGACAAACACAGACATATGCAATACCAGGACAAAGCAATGAGTTCTTGAAAATTCTGTGATAATGCAGCAAATAATTTTAAATGCCCTTCCAGTTATTCATATTTTCTTTTCTTTTCTTTTCTTTTTTTTTTTTTTGAGACGGAGTCTCGCTCTGTCGCCCAGGGTGAAGTGCAGTGGCGCGATCTCGGCTCATTGCAAGCTCCGCCTCCCAGGTTCACGCCATTCTCCTGCCTCAGCCTCCCAAGTAGATGGGACTACAGGCGTCCGCCACCATGCCCGGCTAATTTTTTTTTTGTATTTTTAGTGGAGACGGGGTTTCACCGTGTTAGCCAGGATGGTCTCGATCTCCTGACCTCGTGATCTGCCCGCCTCTGCCTCCCAAAGTGCTGGGATTACAGGCGTGAGCCACCGCGCCCAGCCGGGTTATTCATATTTTCAAGCCCACTTAGCCTGTCCCAGCCTTGTCCCTACTGCCTCATAGTTCGGCCCTGGCAGCACAACTGAATTCATATTGTCAGAGCCCAAGCTGTGTTATTTACTAAAATCTGACCAGTTGCACTAAGGAGAAAATGACAGCTGGCAGCTGGGAGAATGGACTGGCTGGTGTAAGTTGGGAAAAAGAGACACAGGTGGCAGGTGTCTAAAGAAGCAGAGCTGTGGGTGTTTGGAGAGGCCCAATCCCAAATGCCACTTCAGCTTCAGGCAACCACAGCTTCAAGGTTCCGGGAAGGAAGGACAAGCGTGGGTGTGCTCCAGCCACCACCCTCCTCCAAGTGAGTCCTGGGATAATGAATGAGCGGTCAGCCAGAGTCTTTGCTCTCTGATGAAAGGACCTCCGCTGCAGACTGTCCCTCTGCAAATACGATTGTGCCCCAGGAACCATCTGGCAAATGTGCCAGTTCCTTCAGCATTTCTGTTATTTCCGTGACTTTTGGCCCCTTTTTTTCCTGGGATATAAATTGTTGCAGCAAGCCAAGCCAAGCCAGCAGAATGTTTACTGCCGCTTTGCAGGCCTTCTCTGAGCCTGGTTAACCCCATGGCTCACAGCCTATGAGGCTGCTCACAGCTAATGATGTCTTGGATGCATGCGTCTCCCCTCTGCCGTTCTTGTGTATTTTGGAGTATGCAGAGCCAGGCATGTGAGCTGCAGCCCAGAGCTACAGTGACCACATTGAGAAGCTGGGTTTGGGGGAAGTGCATTTCTGTTGCAGGATGTCCTTCACGGAGAAGGGACAGGTTGATTTCATCTCTCTGCAGATGACGTGGACAGCTCCCCAAGGAGCCACAACAGGCCACCCCAGCTGTAGGACAGATCACGTGCTTTGGCTGCACAGGGGAGGATGCCCAACAAACCGAGACGGCCCACGTCAGCCACTGGGCCCCATTTTGCACAGTGCCACGTTCCTCCTCTGACCTGGCCTGATGGTGGGCGAGGCTGAAGAGTTATGGGTCACCTTCAGACCCTTTGAGCCAGCCCCTCAGTTTCAGTCTGCTTCGCTGATTTTCATTCAGAGAACAGATACCGGCATGTGGAAGGGGAGACTTACTCAAGTCACTCATCTCCTTGGTGATGCACTTCATGGGCAGGGAAGCCATATGGAGCCGTCAACCATAAGTCCCCTCATCCCAACCCAGGGAGTACCAGATTGTTCTAAAGGGGGGGCAGAGGAAGCAGTCAATGCAAAGACTCCCCGAATGTCACTGTCAGCCTAACAGTGGACAAGTGGGCAGTTCCAATGCAGATTCACACCTTCCTGCCTTAGTACATGCAGTTCCTTCTGTCTTGAACACATCAGGCCCCATCCACCTGGTGAACTCCTACTCAATCTTTTAAGATCCAGCTCCAGCATCACCTACTTGGACGCCTTAATGCCACCACATCCTTTGCACCCATCTCTACTTGTACCTGTCACATTGCACCTGCAGTTGTTTTTAGCTAGCATGCCTTTTCCACCTGACTTCGAGTTCACTGAGGGCAGAGAACTATGTTTCACTAATCTCCAGGTCTAGAGACTTGGTCTGTAAACGTGTTTATCAGCAGTGTTTTGGAAGGGAAAATCAGGGATTATGGAATTTAGAGATGGATTCTCCTCCAGAAATCTCTTAGTCCCTCCCACTGGTTTCACAAAAGACAAAACTGAGATTAGGAAACTGCCTTCCCCAGGGCCACAAGGCTAAACAGTGACAGAGCTTGGACAAGAGCCTAGGTCTGCTGGCCCCTTGTCCTGCTCTCAGGTACTAAGAAATCAGATCCTGCCGGGCGCGGTGGCTCACGCCTGTAATCCCAGCACTTCGGGAGGCCAAGGCACGCAGATCACCTGAGGTTGGGAGTTCGAGACCAGCCTGACCAACATGGAGAAACCTCGTCTCTATTAAAAATACAAAATTAGCTGGGCATGGTGGCACATGCCTGTAATCCCAGCTACTCAGGAGGCTGAGGCAGGAGAATCACTTGAACCCGGGAGGAGGAGGATGCGGGAGGCAGAGGTTGCGGTGAGCTAAGATCGCGCCATTACACTCCAGCACCTGGGCAACAAGAGCAAAACTCTGTCTCAAAAAAGAAAAAGAAAAAGAAAAAGAAATCAGATCCTGAACTGTATTTCCCCTGCCAGCTGGGAAGGAGAGCTGACGGTAATGAACAGGCTTCTGGGCCCGCACAGGATGGAGAAGGGTTAGAGGGACACCAATTGAATTTAGAGCTGGAAGGGATGTCATAGATCATCTAGTCTGACCCCTGCATTTACAGATGGAAAAAAAAAATGGAGGCCCATGGGGGTGAGGTGTCTGCCCAAGGTCACACAGCAAGCTGGTGAGAGAACTAAGCTGAGAACGCAGGCCTCCTAATTCCTAGGGAAGTGCCCTTGCCCGACTGAATGAACCTCCCACCCCAGAAAGATGGATGACCAAGCCCCTCCCAACCGGCTGCTATCCGAAAAGCAGATCCCTGGAGTCCTTGACTCTTCCAGGCTTTGTCTTCTCTCTGCTGGTGGTGCAACACTTAAGTAGGGTGCATTCTGCATAAATAATAAAGAATGCTTCCTTTGCAGGGAGGAAGGCCGCATCTGGGCAGGCAGTGTGACAGATGGTATTTACAATGTGCACTGAGAAGTTCTCACACAGCCTCGCTTGGGCTGTGTGGCTGAGAGATGGAGGAAACGGATTTGAGTGCCCACTGTCTCACTCCCCTGCCTGATGCTCGCAGGCAGCGGCTGCTGCTGTTACCGCTGCTCCTGCATTTCTGTTCGGGACTGCTTCCCTCACGCCCGTTGCCTCTTGCCATACTGAATATGGAGCTCCAGGATGTCTTGCTGCTGCTGCTGCTGATGCTGATGCTGCTGCTGCGGCCTCACCATCAAAAAGCCTGCCTCGTGGACCCCACGTCATTCTTCGCTGCAGCCCCTCACTGGAGCAGGTGCTGGGCTGAATTGATGTTCTTCCCCAGAGGAGGCCAACGAAGTCCTAAGAGACTAGATGCTGGGCAGACTTCCCAGGGATTCTGGCCTCGGGGAGGCCTTCTCTAGGCCTGAAGAAGTATAAATAGGACAGGTTCATTCAATGAGCAAATACTTTTTGTGAACCTTCTATGTGCCAAGAATCATTCTAGGAGTCAAAGATGCTACTGCAGGGCAGGGGCAATGCTCACGCCTGTAATCCCAGCACTTTGGAAGTCTGAGGTGGGTGGATCACTTGAGGTCAGGAGTTCAAGACCAGCCTGGCCAACATGGTGAAACCCCGTCTCTACTAAAAATACAAAAATTAGCTGGGCATGGTGGTGCACGCCTGTAGTTCCAGCTACTCAGGAGGCTGAGGCAGGAGAACGGCTTGAACCCAGGAGGCGGAGGTGGCAGTGAGTTGAGATCATGCCACTGCACTCCAGCCTGGCTGACAGCCAGACTCCATCTCCAAAAAAAAAAAAAAAAAAAAAAAGATAATACTGCAAACCAACAAAACCAATCCTTGCCCCTCATAGACAGTGAGCTCTAATGTCAAGGTTTGCCACAGGTCTCTTACAGCTAATTACCCTTGGCTGTGCCAGACTCGCACCATTTCTTTCCCTCCACAGTCTGTTGGACACTCTGGTGCCTGGTTCTGTGCAGTGGGTAAGAAAATCAGATCATTCTCTTTTTTTCTGAGGACACTGATTGCACACTTAGGTTGAGAGAAACAAAGCAGTAAATAGACCAATGGAAGTTTTAGCTACAAAGCCAGAGACAACCCCCAAAGTTTCTGACTCATACAAGCCTGCAGCTGGACAAGCCCTATTTGTGCGCTGGGATTCAGCCTGGTCCAGTTGCCCTGGGAAAGCAGTCTCTGCAGACAGTGGTCAGCGGTCGGGGCCAAGGGCACTCACTACCATCAGGGGCTTTTGTATTTCACTCTTTAAATAAGAACTTTGGTGACAGGCATGGAGAATCAAACCTCCCCGGGGCCCAGGGATTTTAGTGTCCCCATTTATAAAATGGAGGCAATTGTATCTGTTCTGCTCACCTCAGAAAGGCTTGCTTTTTGAGGATGAAATGCAATGGCAAATGCGGAAGTATTTTGAAATAAAGGCAGCAGGCATACAGGCGCATTATTATTATGCAGAAGAATTTTTTTCTCCATAACATAAAAGTTGTCTCTTGTTGCAGGTTGAGAGTAATAACTATATAATTAGACTTTGTGTCATATCAAGAGAGGCATCCCCTTTTTTTCATTAAACAGACATTTGTTCAGTTTCTACAGTGTGCAATGTTGTGCATTGCGAAGGATGCAGAATTGAATAAGCCATAATCCTCCCCTTCAAGGAATGTACGTTCTAGTATCAGGAAGATAAAACTTAGAAGATATAATTCAAAGTCAAAAGGAAAAAGGGATTCAGAGGAAGGAGTGGTTCATTTGGGTTGGAGAGTTGAGGAAAGGCTTTGTGGAGGAGAGAGCATTCGTCAGAGAGATGGGCAAGATTCTCTCCTTTATTTTAAGGGATCCTCCCACCTCAGCCTCCCAAGTAGCTAGGACTACAGGTCCCATGCCACCACACCTGGCTAGGTTTTAATTTTTTTTTTTTTTTTTTTTTTTGTGAGACGGAGTCTCGCTCTGTCGCCCAGGCTGGAGTGCAGTGGCGTGATCTCGGCTCACTGCAGGCTCTGCCCCACTGGTTCACGCCATTCTCTCGCCTCAGCCTCCCGAGTAGCTGGGACTACAAGTGCCCGCCACCAGGCCCGGCAAATGTTTTATATTTTTAATAGAGACAGGGTTTCACCGTGTTAGCCAGGATGGCCTCGATCTCCTGACCTCGTGATCTGCCCGCCTTGGCCTCCCAAAGTGCTGGGATTACAGGCGTGAGCCACCGCGCCCGGCCGGTTTTAAATTTTTTTGTAGAGGCAGGGTCTTGCTATGTTGCCCAGGCTGGTTTTGAACTCCTGGACTCAAGTGATCCTCCCACCTTGGCCTCCCAAAGTGCTGGGATTATAGGTGTGAGCCACTGTGACTGGCTGATGGGTAAGATAGAACAGGTGGTTTACTGAAGACACAGGACCTGCCTATAGCACAGTGAAGGTCATATGGAAGTCTTGAGGCCCAATGAGAATTCAGAAATGGGACCCTGGGGACCAGCCAGGCCCCAAGGAGGTGGCAGGAAAGGAAGGTAAGACCTGGCAAAGTAGCTGATTGTTTCCCTGAATGTGTGACTGGCTAAATCTTGGGACTGGGAAAGTTTTTTTCTGTGCTTTTCTGAGCTCAACTTCTGGGTGCCCACGCCTTGCTTTGAAAGGGTTTGGTCTGTGAACCTACACATCTCTCAGTAATGATTTAAGTTACTCAGAAAACTGGGAGCCCTGGAGTGAAAGGAAGAGACGAAAGGGAAAGAAATCCATGTAGCAGTCTTGCTCCGTTTGATCTGGCAGACAGCGGGCGATGATGGAAGAATGCTGGAGATGGAGGTGGAGGGTGGTCGGATTCTGCCATCCTGAGCCATGTCTGCTGTTTGGACTTGCAGACTTCAAACACGGCTGGGGGATTCCCGGAAGACAAAAGAATTCAGGGCCGGGACTTGGATCTCAGTCAAAAATAACTTACGTCTTCATCTCAGGAAGGCAAACAGTGGTAGCTCAGGGCTGGTTTCTCAGAAGATTAGAGCTACAGGTGGGGACAGGGTGCCACGAAGGTCAGTTTAGGTTTAAGCTGGCTGCAGAGAGAGAAGGGGCTCGGAGGGTGTGGGTCTGGCAGAGGGAGATGTCAGAATGAACCCCAAGTGAAAGAGGTTCTGGAGAAAAAGTCATCCCTGTTTGCCCCCCTTCTGGGCATTGCCATTGCTTTGAGCAATAATTACAGCCCTTCATGTTTCTTCCCTGGCTTCTCATTAGCTCAAGGTGTCCACAAACAAACTGCTCAGCCCCCTTTGCCTTCCTCTCCCCGCTTCCAGCAGCTACTCCTGGCTTTTCCATGGCAGCCAACTGTCCCAGTTCCCAGGACCAGAACATCGGGTCCTTAAAAAAACTCCTTCCTCTCTTGGAGGGCACATTTGAGAGACTCAGCCCTGGAAAGGCTCTTCTCTCTCTCCTCCCCCTTATCCCACTGGACTGTCATTAGAGGATGACCTCATTTTCCCCCAGGAGGCCAGGGCCCGGGTCTCATCCCCTTTGTACTATCAGTACCTCGGCCAGGGTCTGGCACATAATGGACACTCAGCACGTGTGAGCTGAATGGCACTGCTGAGCTGTCGCCAACTTAATCTTCCTAAAATGCTGCTCCAGTTAGAAGCCATCACCGCTTCTCTATCTCCCACTGGGCGAGGTCCAACCTCCTCAGACTGGCACTCGGGGACTCTGGCGACACAGTGCTCCTCGCCTGCCCGGCCATCCTCACTTTGTGCTCAGCCACTTCATGGTTCCCAACACAGTCAACAGCTTTCCTATCTCTGTGTCTTTGCCGCAGCAGTTCCCTCCACCTAGAAACCCTTCCACGTTCTCTACCACAAGCTTGCCCCTTTCAAGGCTCATCTCAACATCATGCTCCTGCCCTTCTAAACCGAGTTTGATCCACCCTTCCCCAGCCCTTCATCCTGCTCTGCGTTGACTTCAAGTGTCTTGTTAGGAACCTTAAAAGAGGCCATGGTGTAGCGCACTTGCAAAATGAAGAGCAAGGAAGAAGTGCCAATAGGCCCAGTTCCGTGTCACTTCTCATTAGCGCCAAAGGTTCTCCCAGGGAGGGGCCTCTGCATGGCACACCTCCAGGCATCGACGAGTGCCTGCCTGCTGCAGCTGGTCAGTGAAAGTGACACCATGCCTACTCCCTCCTCTGCCCCCAAAATGCCACAGAATATGCCAGTCCTTAGGCTGTCTCAGGTGAGAGTAGAACAAAAGGTGTCAGGGTGCCTAGCCACTCCTATCCCCTGGAGCTTTCTAGGCCTGGACCCCAGGCCCCATGTCCTACTGCCTGCTCGGGAGTGGGTTGCAGATTCGCCTGGAGCTGAGGGGCAGAGTGGTCTGACCAGCTGGGCGTAGGTGACATTGAGGACAACAGGTAAAGGGTGGCCTCAGGCTCATGGAGGATGATGGATGTAACAACTTGTCCTAACAGTCTCCAAGTCCAGACACCATCACCTCCCAGCAAGGGCCAAGGTGAGAGAAGCTGCCCCGTGAAGCAAGAATCCTGGTGAGAGATCAGGAATTCCTTCTTAGGAGACTTTTGGAAACATAGCCTGCCAAGGCGGGGTAAATGTTCCTAGGGACAGAAGGAGGAACAAGATAGCCTTCTGGATGTTTCCCATCTTCCCTCTCCCTTTTATTCTAACTGCTGCCGCCCTTGTGACCTCTTCCTTGGACAGCACCTCTCATGGCCCTCTGCTCAGGCCAACCTCCCTCCTGTCTAGACTCTACACTACAGCCAAAGGGATCTTTTTTGTTTGTTTTGAGACGGAGTCTCACTCTGTCGCCCAGGCTGGAGTGCAGTGGCAGATCTCGGCTCACTGCAAGCTCCGCTTCCTGTGGTCAAGTGATTCTCCTGCCTTAGCCTCCCGAGTAGCTGGGATTACAGGCGCCCACCACCACGCCCGGCTAATTTTTTGTATTTTTTTAGTAGAGACAGGGTTTCAACGTGTTAGCCAGGACGGTCTCGATCTCCTGACCTCGTGATCCGCCCGCCTTGGTCTCCCAAAGTGCTGGGATTACAGCCGTGAGCCACCGCGCCTGGCCAGGGATCTTTTAAATATTACTCTACTGCTCACAATCCTTCAATGGCTCCCTATTGCCCTTAGGTAAAGTCCAAGCTCTTTTCCCATGAAACTCACAGCCCCTCACAACCTTCCCGTCCAGGCTGGGCTCTTTAGATTGGTCATCGTGCTCCAGTTTCCAGCCATGCCAAACTGCTTGTCGTTTGCCTCCCATATGATGCTGCTCCACAAGCCTGGTCGTGCTGTTCCCTCTACCTGGAACACCTCCTTCACCTTTTCCATGTTGCCTAGTTCTGGAGGCTTATCCTTTGGGAAGCCTTCCTGGACCCACAGCGACCCCCTCCTTTGGAGTTCTACACCTTCTGGGCTTCCCTTGAATCCAGGACTTACCCTTGTGTTGAATGTGACTGTCACCCCCAATTATCCATTTCTGGAGGGCAGGGTCTGGTTCTTATCCACCTCTGTATTCTCAAAGCTCTGTCATTGGTACTTAGTAGGAGCTTAATACATGTTCAGGAACAGAACTGAGCCTGCTAAGCTCCCTTCCCCACGAAGGGATGACAGAGTTGGATATGTTGATAAGAGCTGTCCCTGGGCTGATGAAGAGGCAGCTCCCTGGGTAGCTGGTATCAGAACACTGTCCAGGGTGGCTGGGCATCCCAGCAGAGTGGCCAACCCTTTTCTGTGCCCTTCTCCTTCCAGTTCCCCTGGAACCAGACTTCCTGGCCCACTTCTCTAGTCCCAGAGATCTAAGTATAACAGAGCCAACACCCATACCGGTCATGCAAATGACAGCCTGGGATGCGGGAGGCAGCGACACAGACCCCAGGGCCCCAGCGGTCATTTGTCCTTCTGGGCTCCTCTTCACAAAGGAATCAGCCTCTCTTCTGTCCCCTGAAGGCTGTTTTCAAAATCACACCCCATGCAGACAGTTTTATTTACAAGGAAATCTTGGCAGGATCTTGACTTGTTAGTAGAGTAGGGATGGGGAGGAGGGTGGTGAGAAACAAAAATAGTTGAAATGATCACACTTTCTGAAACAGAGATGAAAATTGGTGTCTGTAGCAAACTCACCTAATTAGAATCAAGTGAATTCCCTTCTCGGTGTTTAAGGGGAGCAGTCATTGCTGGGTGATGGTCGCAGTTCGGATCCTGGGCACGGGGTTATGTCTTTGCTTTCTGAAGATGACTGCATTAGTTGCAGCTCTCACTAATGGAAAGGAGCCTGTTCCGTTTCCCAGAGGAAGGAAGAGGGCAAAGACTAGTGAGTGAGTGGGTGGTGGGAAGAGGAAAGCAAGAGGAGTGGAAGGGCACAGCCTTGGTGTGGGCTGGGGACTGACTGCGAGATGCCTCCTGGAGAAGCTCCTGAGCCTCTGGGGAGAGCTGGCCCCTGCCAGGCCGGCCACTAGCACCATTTACAGCCAGAGCCTCTGCTTCGGGAGATGGTCTCTCTTGGGGGCGCTTTCCTGCAGGGAAACAGCATCGATTGTTTTCTTTAAAAGATCCCCTACTCCGTTTTGGCTAACTTCCTTTCTGATTGCTTTAGTTTCTTTACCGTCCCTCTCCCCAGATGGGGCATTTCCCTGGGCTTACCTTTGTCCATGTGGTCAAATGAAGCCTGGGCATGGTCACTTAGCTCTGGGTGTAGGAAGGGCAAGATTTAGGCTTTGGGGCCCACGACCCCGCAATCTGACTTCTCCCATTTCTGGGCCTCCCGAGACCTCCCAGAATCTGAGACCGCAGTGAATAGGGCGTAAGGATAATGGGGCGGGAGGCAGGAATCCCGTCCTTACAACATCGCGCCCCCAATTCACTCCTAGTTAACCCTGACGTCGCCAACATAGTGTCTCCATCACATATCTGCCACCTCCAAGTGATGGTTAAGCCGATGGAAGAGCCAAGCCCGGGCCCGGAGTGCAGGCCGGTGGTGACCGGGCCGGGGACGGCGCAGTCCCCATCCCCGCCCCGGGCAGCGCCACCACTTCCTCGCCAGCCCCGCCGCAGCCCTCCCGCTCCCGGGCCGCGCCGCTCTGACCGACTGGGCCCGGGTGGCGGCGCCCGGGGTGGGGTGCGGGGCGGGGGCCGGCGTTCCCCGCGAGCAGCCCCGCCCCCGCCCGCGCGCCGCCCCCGAGGACTCCGCGGGGAGGAGGAGACTCGGGCGCAGAGCGGGGGCCGCGAGAAGCGGGAAGGGAGCGCGGGGAGCGGCGGGGCCGGGGCCGGCCCAAGGGCGCCCTCGCCTCGGAGCCGGGCGCGAGGGCCGGGGCGGAGGCGGAGGCCGGCGGGGCAGCTAGCGCAGTGAAGTTTGGCGGCGGAGGGGCCGGGCGTCCCGGGGTCGCGAGGAGGCGGCGGCGGCGCGGGGACCGGGGCCATGGGGGCGGGCGCGGGCTGCGGAGCGGGCGCGGAGGCGGCGCGGCGCGCACTGAGCCCCTGGAGCGGCGCGGCCGCCGCGGCGCAAAGTTAGCCCGGCGCCCCGGGACGAGCCCCGCAGCCGCCGCCGCCCCCGGACCCCGTCTCGGCCATGGGCGAGCACCCCAGCCCGGGCCCCGCGGTGGCCGCCTGCGCCGAGGCGGAGCGCATCGAGGAGCTGGAACCCGAGGCCGAGGAGCGGCTGCCCGCGGCGCCGGAGGACGTGAGTGCCCCCTCCCCGCCCGGCAAACTTTCTAGGGGGCGCCGGGGGGAAAAGCCGCCCCTGTCTCGCCCCACGCCGGGCAACTTGGAGGTTTCAGGGTGACGCGGGAGCGCCCCGGATTGGCCGGGTCCCCGCGGGCAGGAGGGGGCGGAGGGACCGGTCTCCCCGAAACGCGCGCGCACCGCTTCCCCCGCTCTGGTTCCCGCGGCTTCCCTGCGGGACACAGCACCGCCACTGCGCCGCGGACCTGTCACCGCCGGAGCCCCCTCCCCGCCGCTGGTGCAGTGCCCGGGACACGGCGTTTTCCCGCAGAGGCGGCCGCGTCACGGCGGTGACTCCCCCTCCCCTCACGCCCGCGACCTGCGAGCTCCCGGAGCTGGGGAAGGAGCGGACGCCGCAGAGTCCCCGTCCCTGGCCATGCAAGCCGGCCTGGCGACCCCTTCCTCCGCTCCCGGATTAGCTCCCGCCCGGCACCTGCCTTGCCGCGACACTGATTGAAATTCAAGCCGGCCCCCGCCTCTGACCCCGGCCGGAGCAGGGAGGCAAAGAGTGCTGGGAGCGGCTTTGCTCCTAGAAGGAGGCCCGGGAGTCCAAGACCGTGGCGGTGCCAGGGGACGGTCCCCTGGGCGAGGAGAGGGAGGGGCTGCCCCGAGGGCTTCCCCGCCGTCTGCTGCTCGGGTCTCCATCCCTCCGGTCCTGCGGGCCGGCCCTGCGAAGCCCTGGGAACTGGAGTTTCTTGGGTTAACCTCCCGGGGCTAACCTACACATAGGGGTGAAAAACCGGGCAGACACCCTGCCCTGCCCACTCCTCCCTCAGGGTGGGGAGATGGAAGTGAAACCAGGCCCCCAACCCACACAACGAAAGCGGGAAAGTCTGAATGGGGTTGGGGGGTAGTTTACGATCTTCTCTCTTTGGCGTCTGCGGTTAAATCTATCACTTCCTTCTGGCCCTAAACCCCTGGCAGAATCTGATGTAGTCACCACTTAGACTCAGCCTTGGAAGAGAATGGGTGGGCTTCACCGCATTCGGCATTCACCACCCCCCCTTCCCCGCAAAAAAACAAAAAACGAACAAACAAACAAAAAACTGCAGGCAAAATGTTAGTGTTTATGCAGAGGTGAGTTCTCCTGGGGGGGGAGGGGGGGGCTCTAGCTCCCAGCAGGTGAGACTCATTGCGCCGGGGTCTGATGGAATTGCACCTGGCCATGCTCTCCCAGGCCTGGGAGTAGCTGTGGACATAAGCTTTAGGCAGCAGAAATTATTAGAGGCGCTTGGACATATTTGGACGCCTTTATTTAGTAATTGTTGAGAATCACTTGTTCTGCCAGTTCCAGAACCAGCAACACCCACCTTGCCGCCCCCGCCCCCACCCCATCCCTTACTGTGAGTTTCCTCCCTCTGCTCAGTGTGGACTCATTGGGGAGCTCCTCCCAGACTTCCCCTGCTCTCCTGTGGCCAGTCCCTGAGCCTGGTCATGACTCCTGGGCAGCCGCTGGGAGGCTATGTCAGAAACATCCGAGGACTACAGAGACCTTGGTGATAAGTGTGTCTTTCTTTCTCTCCTCTTCTTCCTCTCCTGCATGGCCTCCCTCTCTGCCAGCACTGGAAAGTCCTGTTTGATCAGGTATGTGAGCAGTTAACCCCCCATTTCCTTCCAGCCCTCCCTGAAATCGGTCTCAGTCTCCCTGCTTGCGTGGGCTTCCCTAGCTCCGCGCTCCTGAGATGGTGACGTGGGGTGGGGGTGTGGCTTTGTGCATCTCTAGGGCTGAACGACACTGCTCTCCAGGTATCAGGAGGAAGAGATGGGCTCCCCTGAGAGGATCTCCCTCCTGCCTCCTCCCTACTCTGCTGCACCAGAGCCGGGTTTACACCATGTAGAAATTGGACGTTATATATTGAATGCCTGGGAAATCCTCCATATGCCAGGGGATTGCAGTAGGGGGCTGGAGAGGTGGGGGAAGGGCTTGGGCTGACAATCCCTCTCCGTTTCTACCTCCACTATGGAGGGTCCATGGCCACCGCTGAAGTCAAATCTCTGCCATCCTTGGGGGCTGACTCACAGTATGGACTCTTTTGAAGTCTAATTCAATGTCTTTAATTCTGTCATAGGGATGAGGGAGTGCTGGGAGGTTACAGAGGGGAAATTGTGTGTGATTCTTCGCAATGCCTGGAGTCCAGGTGTAGGGCATGGAGTTGGGGGTGCCAAGTATTGGCTTTTGAACCTGGAGATGGACATTTGACCTTCAGCAAGGAAATGGTTCTCCTCTTAGCATTCGTGGTGGGTGCTGTTATGTGCTTCCTTCTCCCTCTTTGCCCCATGTTGGAGGATAGTTGAGTGCTATAGTCCTGGGGTGAGAATGATTGTGCCATGAAGTTTGTGCAACTTTAAGAAATTGGTGTGAGTGGGCCAGAGGGAATGTGTTGGGTAGGAGAAGGAGATAAAGCTGAAAAATTAGCTTGAACCAGGACTTCGTTGTAGGCAGGGGAAGCCTTAGAAAGTTTTTTAGCAGGGTTGTTATGTGATCCAAGCCAGGCTTGGGAAAGCTCCAGTGTCTTAGGGGATAAGGAGTGAATGGGCTACGGGGATGAGGGAAGCTAGGCAGGAGCTGCAGCACTGAACAGAGGCAAGAAGGTGACAGTGAGGATGGACGGGAAGAGGGACATGGTGATGGAAGAATTGGAAGATCTTAATAGACCGTAGGTGAGGGGAACCACATATCTAACTTTGAGATTCTGAACCTAGGAGGGAAAGAAGTTGGAGTGGGGCCAGGTGTGGTGACTCACGCTTGTAATCCCAACACTTTGGGAGGCTAAGGCGGGAGGATCACTTGAACCCAGTAGTTCAAGACCAGCCTCGCCAACAAAGTGAGACCTCATCTCTACAAAAAATTAAAAAATCAGCCAGGCATGGTAGCACACTCCTGTGGTTCCAGCTACATGAGAGACTGAGGCAGGAGGATTGCCTGAGCCCAGGAAGTTGAGGCTGCAGTGAGCCACGATCGTGCTACTGCACTCCAACCTGAGTGACAGAGTGGGACCCTGTCTCAAAACAAAAACAAAAAACAAGTTGGAGTGAGGAGAGACGTTTGGCAAAAATGACAACTTTGGTTTGAGACAAGTTCAGTTAGAGGAGCCAGCCGGTTGCAGATGCCGGAGTGGGCGTGATGACACGGAATTGCAGCGCGAAAGGCCTGGGGTGAGGATTTGGGGTGATCATCCACATTAACCACGAGGTCTGGCTGTGGTTTGAAGTTCAAAGCATGCACTGGCTCCTGTCCTGACGGGTAGAGCATCTCTCCCTCTGGCTCCTAAGAGTACAGCAGCTGCTGGCCTGATGCCCCAAGGCAGGAGGGAGCCCGCTGCGCCACTGCCACCACTACCACCAAGCTGCCAGCCCTTCACACCTCCTGCCAGATTTAGAATCAGAACCTAGAACAAAGTGTATCATTCTTTTTTTTTCTCTGTCTGTGTCTATCTTTTTCATTTGATTAATTTCCTTTGCCAGTCCCTGTGTGTATGTGTACATTTTAAAACAAACCATTTGGGTGAAAGGAAGAGAGCTTTTAGTAGGAAGATTTTGGAACTCAAGGGAGCAGAAAGAATGTGTAGCACCTAATAGTAGCTAGTGGTCTATTAAATCGAATTTTTCCAACTGAAGGTAGGTCCTGGGTCCTGGGTGTCACAAAGAGCATACCCCTGCTTCTGGGAGGCCTGCCCAGAATTAATTCTAGGAAAGAAATTAGGCCAGGCACAGTGGCTAACGCCGGTAATCCCAGCATTTTGGGAGGCTGAGACAGGAGGATGGCCTCCCAAAAAGTGAGACCCTTTCTCAAAAAAAAAAAAAAAAAAAAAAAAAGAAGCAAGCAACCCTGATAGATCAAACTGCAGTCATGGATGGGACATGACACCTCTCAGAGTCCCTGTAAGCACAAGTGACTCTGGAGTTCGCCTTCCAGAGATCAATGGCATGGGTGGCTAGAACCAGTCAAGTATCTCCTCCCTCCCTTCTTGGGTCAAGCAGACACCAGTGGTAGCCCAATTTCAAACTGGGATCTGCTAGGGTCTGTTTTCCAGGTGTTAGGGATGGATTAGACCAGTCCCTCCATAATGTCTGGTTCTTCAGCATGTGGAGTAGCCTTGATCTAGCATGACGCCAACTGGACCCCAAGGGCTAGAAGCCATGGTGTTGGTCTTGTTGGTCCTATATGGTCACCGTCGAACTAAATGGCCAGGATACCTTTTGTGGGGACTGGAGGTGATGAAAGCAGGTGACCCCAGTCCCATGGAAGCTTCTGCATCCCCCTCCCTGGCATTGTGGCATCTGGCCCACTCAAGCAGGAGTGTTAGCAGGGCCAATCCATGCCACGCACCCTCACTCCCCCGATTCTTCCCCATGGGTCCCAGAAGTTGCAGCAGGTGGGAGACCTGAGGGTCATCAGTTCAACTCGGTATGTTCCATGTGTTCATGTCCTGTTCAAACTTCTTCTTGAGGGAATCGTCTTTTCATATTTTGGAGATCTTGATGGTTTTCCTAAATATTTAAGTAGATTTAAAATTTACCATAAATATTAGTCTGTTGTTATAGTATAATATCGTAGTAAAGATGTTTTATTTTTCTGACTGGGTGCTCACACCTGTAATCCCAACACTTTGGGAAGCCAAGGTGGGCAGATCGCTTGAGCCCAGGAGTTAAAGACCAGCCTGGGCAACATAGCGAGACCCCACCTCCGTTTTTTAAAAGTTTAAAAAAAAATTTGTTAAAGAAAAAAGTCTTATTTTCTGTGGAATCTGTTGAGCTTTTCCTTCCTGATTCCTTCTGTTGATTCAGACCTGAGATAGTTTTCGTACCTCCCCAGATCTCATAAATATGCCCTTTTATTTCCTACTACTTTTTCTATGATTAAAAACATCATATAACCCTGCACTCCATCTGCATCTGATTCCTATCCAGCTATGCTAGCATCACTTATTAAGTAAGCCTTCTTTATTATATTGTTTGAGAAATGTTATTTGGTAAATTTTTGTGTGTGGTTGGGTTGATATTTTATTTCTGATTTATGCCACTGATATTTATAATTTTGCACAGGTAATGTCCCCTTTAGTTATCGCTTTACATCTGTTCCATAGGTTTCTGAAAAGCTTCCCTTTTTCGGGTTATGCTTTGATAGTCTTATTCTCAGTCCCTTCCTGAATCCCAGGAAGCTTTGATTCAAGGTCAAATATTTAGTCAAAGGCCAAATAGCGGGGCAGTGACAGATATGGGACCAGAGCCCAGTTAACCCACAAAGGGCTTCTTGGGTTGGAAAAGTCATTTCCAGGTTTACCCTTAAAAATGCCTCCAAGATCTGTGAATGTTTAATGAACAAAAGAGTTTGGAGCAGAGTTCCGTTAAGTCAACAAAGCACAATTGCTTTCAAGCTCAAAAGAACAAGAGGGAAAATGCAGTATTGAAAGTAACTTGACTATCTTCCTTTTTCCCTTCTCACTGGGAGCCTGTATTTCCTAGACCCCCAAAAGAGATCCCCAATTTTGCTAATCTCCCAGAAGGAAAGCAGACAAGTACTGACTGTCTCACCAAAATTATAAACATAAACATGTGCTACGATGAACAGAAGGCGTGGATCCGCCGCTTCGGTGGGTTGCTGGGGTCAGAAACTTGGATTTGGAGTCAGATAGACCTGGGTTCAAGTCTTACTCACTTTGTGATCGGAGGTAATTACATTAGCTCTCTGAGCCTCAGTTTCTTCCTCTGTACAATGGGGACGTAATATTTAACTTCAGGGTGACTATGAGAATTAAATGGAAGTGGAAGCTCCCTTTGCAATATCTGATTTGCAGTGGATATTCAACAGAAGTATCTTCATTGAGAATCAGAATTTGCTTGGAGAAGCACAAGGACCACTTCTGAGATCCAGGCCCCTACGGGGAAGGCAGCTCCTCAACACTTCTGAGCCCAGAGGATTTTTTTGCTTTCTGACTTCCAGTGTCTCCCCTTCCCAGTTCCCTGCCCTCCAGCCTGGGGCTCTTCCCTTGGCCTGACTTCATTTGTAGTCCCCCCTGCAAGCTGGCTTAAAGGTGTTCTGGGAGCTGAAAAGAGGTTCAGATAAGACCCCTGAAGGGATTAGCAAGGAGCTGCAGAGAAAACTCCTGCCCCAGAGACAGGGTGTTGGCCACCCCCAGAACTCACAATTAACCAGCAGAGCAGGGTTCCCAGAGAGGAACAAAGCCACGGGCTTAACTGGAGCCCTTGGGCTCTGCACCCCCAACTCCTTATCAAGTGGTCTCTAGGACCCTTGAGGCTGTGGACTCCTCTTCACCACAGAGCCTGCTTCCCTACCTTACTCCTGCCCCAGTGACCCCATCAGCTATACTGACATTAACCCTTTTATTCCTGACCACTCACAGAAATGCATTTGATTGCTTTGGGCAACAGGGCCGAGGGATCCGAGGTTGAACTTCGCCTGGCTGCCTGCCTGACACATAATAGATACACACGTTTGAGCGAACGACAGGTCGAACTACAGCTCTGCATGCATTGTCTTGGGTTAAAATATCCTCTCCAAGAGCAGGCCCTGACTGTGCAGCTACCACACTCACGGCAGCCCCTCTGCCACCGTATGGCTGCTGCCACCTCAAGGAATATAGGTTATTAGAAGGTTAATGGAGGCATCTTGTCCAGTCTGCTCATTTTGTTTTTGTTTTTGTTTGTTTGTTTTGAGACATAGTTTCGCTCTTGTTGCCCAGGTTAGAGTGCAGTAGCGCGATCTCAGCTTACCGCAACCTCCACCTCCCGGGTTCAGGCGATTCTCCTACCTCAACCTCCCGAGTAGCTGGGATTACAGGTGCCTGTCACCAGGCCTGGCTATTTTTTGGTATTTTTAGTAGAGATGGGGTTTCACCACTTTGGCCAGGCTGGTCTCGAACTCCTGACCTCAGGTGATTCACCCGCCTTGGCCTCCCAAAGTACTGGGATTACAGGCGCGAGCCACCGCGCCCAGCCCAGTCCGCTCATTTTGCAAATGAGGAAACAGAAGTCAGTGGCCTACTGAGGTCACTTGGTGCAATACAGCCAGAGCGGAGACTAGATCCCAACCCTGCTTTCTATCTGAACTGTGTTCCTGCCACCAGGCCATTCACTTAGTTGGTGCCTTGAGTAACCAAGGCAGGTGGAGAGGACACATATCTAGGTCAAGTCTCAGTTCTGCTCCTACTAGGTGTGTGGCAATGGGCAAGCCAGGTGACCTCTTCACGCCTCAGTTTTCTCATCCGTAAAGTGCCAGCCTAGTACCTTCCCCCCTACGTTGTTGTGAAGACGGGATGCTGTGTGTATAGTGCTTGGCACAGTATGTAGTGAGCACCTCATAAATACTGTTGTGTGTTACAGCAATTTAAACAAGTAAAAAATAAAAAGACATATAATAGAGTAGGTTTTTTTGTTTTTTTGTTTGTTTTGAGACAGAGTCTCACCCCGTTGTCCAGGCTGGAATGCAGTGGTACAATCTCAGCTCACTGCAACCTCTGTCTTCCAGGTTCAAGTCATTCTCCTGCTTCAGGCTCCGAAGTAGCTGGGATTACAGGCGTGTGCAATCACACCTGGCTAATTTTTGTATTTTTAGTAGAGACAGGGTTTCACCATGTTGGCCGGGGTGGTCTTGAACTCCTGGCCTCAAGCGATCTGCCTGCCTCAGCCTCCCAAAGTGCTGGGATTGCAGGCGTGAGCCACCGTGCCTGGCCAGACCTCGGTCTTGAATCGAAGTGTTCAGAGCCCCAGTTGGGGTTCCTTCCACCATATCAGGCTGCCTGCTTTAGGGGAGAAGCTGAAAAATCACATTTCCCCTGAACTTTCCAGAGAGAAAGGAGAGAAGGTTTTGGACAAAGGCTGCCTGGGGAGTGTTGTGCATGGCAGAGGGTGAAGGGTGAGACGAGGCGTCTGGCCATCAGGTAGACAGGGCTAGCACTCCTCTGTCTGGTGTTCTGATCTGGCAATTCCTGCTGGAGCTTTACTTAGTGGTCTATCGTGACACTGGGGCCATTGTCTTGTGCTAGAGAAACCAGTCCGTGTGTGGCTTAAGCTGTGAACAACTAGAGGTAGCCCCCATCACCATTCCCCAGGCTTTTGTGAAGCAAGGTACAGGTTGAAATCAGTATATTTGAGTCAGTAAATATTCTTCGAGGGAGCAAACATTGAATGTCTAACTGCATGCTTATAAATTTGTTGTCTCATTTTGATCTCTCAGCAGCCCTGTGAGGTGTGTGGTGCTGCACCTCAAAAGAGGAAACTGGCTAGGTGCAGTAGCTCACACCTGTAATCCCACCACTTTGGGAGGTTGAGAGGGGAGGATGGTTTGCTTGAGGCCAGGAGTTCAAGACCAGCCTGGTCAACATAACAAAACCCCTTCTCTATTTAAAATAAAAAGGGAAAGTGAGGTTTGAGGGGGCGGAGCTTGCCCAAAGACAGCAGTGAGGACCTTTTGCGGCAGTCGCATGTGTATATATGTGTGCACGTGTGTTTGTGCATGAGTGTGCATGTGTGTGTATGCATGCATGTGTGTTTGTGTGTGCAAGAGTGTGCATGTGTGTGTGTGTGCACGCATGCATGTGTGTGTGTCCCCACAAGGCTTCTGGGTAGCTCCTGAAATGGGCCAGGAGATGCAGGAGCAGCTGAGCACCCTTTATCCTTCCAGCCCTTTATCCTGCCTGCCATGCACCCGCTCTGCATCTTGCTCCCCTCCTTCTCCCTGGATCTGTTGGCTCTCTCTCCTCTGGGGGACCAGAGAGACCCTTTGGTGGCTGCCAGGAGAAGCAGCGGCGGCCAGCAGTTTAGGCTGAAGGGGAGAGATGGGGCGATGTCAGATCCCTCCCTGCTGACATTCACTCCCCACTCCCTGCCTGCAGTTCCCTTGAGACTCCTGGGCTTCATGGCCATGACTCGGCTTCAGTCCCCAGGCGGCGCGTCAGGCTGGGCCGGATGAGTCAGCATGGATGTTACATCTGCTCCTCCTGGGTACCCAAGGGCCTCTGAGTCACAGCCCCTGGCAGCCCCCTCAGTGGCCTGCCAAAGGCAGGGGCCATTCTGGAATGGGAAGGGAGCCGTCTGTGTGCCTGGGAGGCCTTGTGAGGAGGTCGGAAGGAGGAGAAGGGGCTGCAGGAGTCCCCCAGGGGCGGGAAGGAATAGGCCCAGTGGAGGAGGCAGTCCCCCAACCCGTGCTGCCCACCCCACCCATCCCCAGCTGCATGCGTTCCAGGGAAGGTGTGAGGTCGTTTCTTTCCCTCACTTCCCAGATGTTGGGAGAGCTGGATGGTTTTCTGGAAGCATGCCGATTGTCAAGGGCTCAGCCTGAGTTCAGGCCAGGATGCCTGTCTCTCCCTAATCAGCCTGGCTGCCCCATCCTAGGATTCGGCTGTTCGACTTTGGGCAAGGGGGATGCTCAGGAGGCTGCTTGGGGCTTTTGGGAGAAGCACCATGAGAGGGCTGAGCTGCCTCCCGCACCCCTCTATGGTGGCAGCTGAGGGAGCAGAAATAATAAAACTGGGAATCCCAGAATCGTGGAGGCTTCTCCAGCTGTCAGGGGCCTGGCCTGGCCAGATCCCAGGGGAGTAGGGGTCACAAGGGCCCCTCATGCCTCCATCTGGTCTCTCTCCTTCCCACAGAGGCTTGAGGTCTCTGAAAACCCACTCCCAGCCCCAGCTTGAAGCAGGCCAGACTGCCTGGGTCCACCCCTTCCAGAGTGCCTCAGGCAGGGGGCATGTCTCTGAGTACCTCAATTTTTGTATCTGTTAAGTGGGACGAACCAGACTTACTCTAGGGTTGGCATGAGAATAAAAAAACAAAACAAATGTGAAAGTCAGTATTTTAAAGAGTCAGGGGAAAAGGTCAGGGGAAGGGTATGAGGTGGTTTTCTCTATGGGACAAACCAGACTTACTCTAGGGTTGGCATGAGAACAAAAAAACAAAAAAAATTGTGAAAGTCAGTATTTTAAAGAGTCAGGGGAAAAGATCAAGGGAAGGGTGTGAGGTGGTTTTCTCTATGGGTGAATTAGCATCCTCATTTGCAAGAAAGCAGAACTGGGAGAGAAAGCTCCTACTCCCCTAACCTCCCCGCTGACCTTGGCAGCTGCAGCCTGGACCTAATTTACGGGGCTGTAAATATCCATGAAAGGGCCAGAGTTCCCTTTTGGGCTCTGGCTGTTGGGTGGGGAGAGCTCTGCTGAACCACAAACCCCTGGGCAGCCTCGTTAATTCTGCTCTGCTCAGAAGACGAGTAATGAGGCAGGGGGCCAGCAGTTGAGCCATGGTAACCTTCACCAGACAGCTGCCTGCACCATACTTCAGCCCTAGCACCGTACTCCAGCCCTAGCACCGGACTCCAGCGCTAGCACCGTACTCCAGCCCTAGCACAGTACTCCGGCCCTAGCACCTTACTCCGGCCCTAGCACCTTACTCCAGCCCTAGCACAGTACTCCGGCCCTAGCACCTTACTCCGGCCCTAGCACCTTACTCCGGCCCTAGCACAGTACTCCGGCCCTAGCACCTTACTCCGGCCCTAGCACCTTACTCCGGCCCTAGCACAGTACTGCGGCCCTAGCACCTTACTCCGGCCCTAGCACCTTACTCCAGCCCTAGCACCTTACTCCGGCCCTAGCACCTTACTCCAGCCCTAGCACAG
Organism: Homo sapiens; assembly: GCF_000001405.40. Taxonomy (NCBI): domain Eukaryota; kingdom Metazoa; phylum Chordata; class Mammalia; order Primates; family Hominidae; genus Homo; species Homo sapiens. Next base: position 32,276,969 of record NC_000017.11, read on the forward strand.
TACTGCAGCCCTAGCACTGGACTCCAGCCCTAGCACACGTGCCTGTGCTCATTTCCCAGGGCTCATTCTGCCTTGGTGTGTGTACATGGGAGAAGACAATGGGGATCCGGGTGGGAACCTGCTCTAGATCCCAGGTCTCCACCTTCCTGACTCAAGAGGTCTTTACCCCAGTGGCAGCTGGTTCCTTGGCTCTGGGTACTGCCTTTGAGGTCCTTGAAAGTACTCACATCCCTCACTGAGGTCCAGGGCCTGTCTAGAGCATGGACAGGGAGAGGGTCCTCCTGGGAGAGAGAATTCAAGCCTTGGAGGCAGAGACCAGACGTGTGTTTGCCCTGAAAATGCAGCTGGTGAAAATCACACATACATCATAGACACAAGAAGACAGAGGTATGTCCTTCTCTCTCTCATGCTTCCCTGTTGCTGGGCAAATTCTGAAGCCTTGGCCTGGCTCATGGGCCTGCAGCTGGGAGGGGAGAAGCAGTGCTGCTGTCCTGGGTGCTGAGCAGGCAAATCCCAGCTCCAGCGGGGTTTGCTCCCTGAGAGCTCGGCTCAGTGGCCCCATTAGGCCAGTCACGGACTCCTCAGCCTCTTCTGAGGCCTGGTGTCCCCAGTCAACCCTCAGGCTGGGCCTGGAGCCCACAGACTTCTAGCATTGCTGGAAGACTCCAGCAAAGTGTCAGCTGCTCGGAGACCTATGCTACTCATGGGGCGGAAGTGAAAGGCTCTGGTTCTGAACCAGCGGCAAAGGGGCTAGGTTCACCAAAGGGAAACGTGACTGCTGTGGACTCATACCTTGTTCCCAAAGAGTGTTCCATCAAGTGTTACTGTGAAAAAATACTACGACCAAAGGTCAAATAAGTTTGAAGAATGCTGGGCTGAACAAAATCAGACAGGTTTCTCCAGCCTAAAACCTTGCAGAGTCCTTGATATGGTGCGTTATGACCCTCCAAGAGGTTTTTCCACTTGTAGGACCACAGAACCCTTATTTCAGGTACCATCAGGTACCTGGTATTCCACAGAACACACATTGGGAAACCCTTAAAAATCAGCTGGGTGTGGTGGCTCACACCTGTAATCCCAGCACTTTGGGAGGCTGAGGCAGGCAGATCACTTGAGGTCAGGAGTTTGAGACTAGCCTGGCCAACATGGTGAAACCTCGTCTCTACTAAAAATACCAAAAATTAGCCGGGTGTGGTGGTGGGTGCTGTAGTCCCAGCTACTCGGGAGGCTGAGGCAGGAAAATTGCTTGAACCTGGGAGGTGGAGCTTGCAGTGAGCCAAGATCGCACCACTGCATTCCAGCCTGGCGATAGAGTGAGACTCCATCTCAAAAAAATAAAAATAAACTCAGGGGCTATGTTTCATTCAACCGAACAAGACAGAGAAAAACAAGGGAGGGCAAGATGGGACCAGCCAGCACAGTGGAGGAATCCTGAACTATTTCTGTCTTGACCGCGAACTCACTCTCTGACCTGGACTAGTTTATTTTGTTCCTTTTGCCCTATGCACCTGTTTCCCCATAAAACGAGTGGGATGCCTGGGCCACAGTTGATCCTTAGTGAATATGTGTTAGGTGGACACATAAGAGGATTGGATGAGGGTCTCTCAAACTCTCTTTAGCCACAGCACTCTAGTGATGGGAGAGAGTGCAGGCTCTCGCCCCTCTGCCTGGATATGAATCCATCTGCACCTATTACCAGCCATTCACACTTGGGCAACCCAGCTCTTGGTGCCTTGGTTTCCTCTCCTGTAAAATGGAGCTCACAATAGTGTGTACCTCTTAGGGTTGCTGTGAGATTTAAATAGGGGGGACCACTCTCAAAGTGACCAAGTTAGGACACTTTGAGAGTAAAGGAGCTACTGTAAATCACACTCAAGGCTGGGCAGGGTGGCTCACGCCTATAATCCCAGCACTTTACGAGGCCAAAGTGGGAGGATTGCTTGAGGCCAGGAGTTCAAGACCAGCCTGGGCAACATAGCAAGACCCTGTCTCTACAAAAAAATTTAAAAATTAGCCAGGTATGGTAGCACATACCTGTGGTCCCAGCTACTCAGGAAGCAAACACAGGAAGATTGCTTGATCCCAAGAATTCAAGGTTATGAATTCTACAATCACATCACTACACCCCAGCCTGGGCAACAGAGCAAGATCCTGTTGTTTCTTAAACAAGAACAATAATAATTAATATGCTTGGACAACAGGTATATGCCAGGACTAACACAGAAAAACCAGGGTGTGTGGTGGCCTGAGGTTTCAGTCAAGGGGTGCCTGATACATAGCAAACTTTCCACACATATCAGCCCTTATCGTGTTGCTGTTCACCAGGATAGTATGCAGAAGGCCAGCACATAAACTAGCTCCGAATGGAGCTGCCCTGCCTGAGGAGGGCTGGGGGCTGCTCCTCAGTGCCCTCCCCAGCACCTCTGGGCCTTGGAGGCCCCATAGCCCCTAGAACTCTGCAGCGTAGTTTGAAAACCACTGAGTTTCCCTCCTGCTCCGTGATTTCTGATTCCCTGACCTGCTGTCCCTCTCCCCAGTGTTGCCAGGCCCCTCTGACAGCACAGACCCAAATGACCCCGGCCCTTCCTCACTCCATGTGGAATTGCCTGCTGTGATCCCGAATGTCCTGTAGCCCCTTGACTGTGCAAAGATTCCAAATAGAAGATTGGCTGCCCTTGTGGGCTGCATGGGTTGTGGATTTCTCATTTTCTACCCCCCGTTTCCGTATGGCACGCTTATGTGCACGGGGTGGGTGGCCCTTATAGCTCCCTGAGAAGAGTTTCTGCTTGATTGATGGAGAAACAGAGGCAGGGTGGTTGAATGAACTACCCAAGATGGCACAACAGCTGCGAGTGGAGCCTCTTTCTGGAACTCTCTTCCTCCCCTTGCCCCAGACTGGGGAAGGAGCCCCAGATGGCAGCAATACAAAGAGAGAATCTGGTAGGTCAGTTCCCCTACCTAGATGGGCTGAGCGCCCCAGGAATGGGTGCAGCATAGAGGATAGGAGAAGGCAGACCGTGTGGGAGGCCTCAGGCTGAGGCCAGCTGTGACCTAGAGGATTAGGGTCGGACGCTGGGTGCTGGTGCGATTAAAGGCCGAGGCAGGTGGGCGGGCCAGCTCCTCTGTGTCTTCCGCTCAGGCTGAATGTGGACTTGGCCGCCCCTCCCTCCAAGGCACTGAGCCCTATTCAGGAGGCAGCTTCCAGGACGCTCCCAGGCTCCTGGCTCCCTGCTGGGCCCCTACGGCCCATTCACAGCCCACATTCTAACGGCTGCCCCGACCAGCCCCAGAGCAGCCCCGGTCAGGCCGCCTCAATCCCACCCAGCCCAGACCCCATCAGGAGCACCTCACTACCAAAGTGGGTGAATCTGGGGCACAGTGCCTGGGGGAGGGGAGCTTCAGGACCAGTGGCACGGTATTAACAAGGAAATTGCATTGATGGGGCTTGTTTTCCCGAAAGCTCCAAACCACAGTTTGGATCTGCCTAATGATCCCAGTCCTCCTTAAGCAGGCTGTGAAGGAGGAGGAAGGGTAGGATATGTGCCCAGAGAGGGTCAGCCACACCCCCATCACAGTAGGATGCTCCCAGCTTCGCAGCAAGGGAAGCTGGTCTGGCCTCCGAGCCCAGGCCCTGGTGAGCTGCTGCCCTGCGAGAGGAAGGTAGCCCACTTTGTAGATGAGGTAGTTGTGGCTCGGGAGTTTGCTGTAAATGACACAAACCCTGGTTAGTGGTGGAGACAAGCATGAGGTTTGCCTTGTTCCTTGCTACCCCTGAGTGAGGGGTGCAGCCTCTGTTAGAAACTCCCAGCTTCCTTCTGGGGCAATGGGATGCACCTCTCTCCTGCTTTCTGTGCACTCATGCTCTCTCTGGCTCTCTCTGTCTCTTTCTCCCTTTGCCTCCCTTTCTCTCTCCCCCACGCCCCATACCCAATGTCAGCACCTGCCCTTGCTTTCATCTTCCTGGGGGTGGGGTTGGGGGTTGAAAGGTGTCCTGTGCATTCATGGAGCCCAGGCAGCCGGCCCATTGCTGCCTCTCCCTCCCCCTGCCCCAGCCGTCCTCCATCCTCCGGGCATCCCCAAGGCCTCATTATTAGGGTAGCGGTGACCCCGCCCCCCATTGTCTGGCCCTGCCATGAAAGGTAGAGTTTTGGCAGAGAACCGAGGCTCGGCCTGATTCCAGCTTGTTCTCTGCTGTCTGGAGCCTGTTACTATGCTTGGGGCAGGGCAGGCAGGCCCTGGTGGGGGTGGAGGCTTGAGCCACAGGGCAGCCATGTCACTAGGACAACAGCAGGGAGCACTGGAGGGGGAGATTGAGGGGGAGAGCAGGTGGCTCTTTGTCTGCAGCCTGATCCCAGCACCCCCACTGCACCCCCACCCCACGGCCCTCCCCAGCCTGGGAGGCAGCCCCTAGGAGGGGATTGGTGCTTGCTCCCAGGGCACGCAAAGTCATTGGGCTCCCTTCTCTAGGCCGAGGCAGGAGAGACTGCACAAGCTGTGCCGCAGACCAATGGCCCTCCTGCAGCCCCCACTGGGGGGCTCCCCAGGACTCCACCTGCTCCTTCTCAGCCCGCACCCCACCCCCTATCTACCCACCCAGAACAGGAGGGCCAGGCTAGTGAGACCCTGTGATGGAGTAGGGGTTGGCACAGGTGGCTTGTAGAGATGGGAGGGGTCCCAGGCACCAAAGAAACAGACCCTCCCTGGCTGTGGTTGCCACATTCCCTCTCCAGGGTCCATTTCCTTAGCTGAGCAATGGAGGAGGTCAGAGCTGTTGCTGTCCGGGGCTGTTTCCTGATTTAAAAATCTCTGCCTATGGTAGGGCTGTGAGACTCATGGAGCCCCTTCCTCTCCTGGGCCCACACTCACCTATTTGGTCCTTAAATTTTGTTCCTGGGCATCAGAGCAGTCCCTGGAGCTGGAGGTCAGTGGCACCTGGCCATGGCTTAGAGGAGTGCTCAGCTGTCTGGAGGTGGAATCCTGGCTCTGCCGCTTGCCGGGCAAATCACTTCACCTCCCCGTGCTAACTCTTCTGTGCCTCTATTTCCTCGTCTGTAATATGGGGACATGGATAGGATCTGCTACATAAAGTTGTGTAGGAGTCAAAGACATTATATGCATAAGGTGCTTAAACAGTATTTGGCTCCATGAAAACACTCAGCAAATATTAGGTGTTTTTATTCTTCAAGATCTTTACTGAGCAACAAGTAGGTGAGTTTCCTGAAATACTTGGTGTTGTGAACCAAACAGATGTCATCCATGAAACCTGGCATTTTGGCTTGAAGGTGGGAGATATACAGATTTAAAAATATGCCTCGGGGCCAGGCATGGTAGCTCATGCCTGTAATCCCAGTACTTTGGGAAGCTGAGGCAGGAGGATCACTTAAGCCCAGGAGTTCGAGACCAGCCTGGGCAACGTAGTGAGAGCCCATCACTACAAAAAATTTAAAAATTCGCTGGTTGTGGTGGCACACAACTGTGGTCCCAGCTACTTGAGAGGCTGAGGTGAGAGGATTGCCGAGCCCAGGAGGTCGAGGCTTCAGTGAGCTATGATGGCACCACTTCACCCCAGCCTGGGTGACAAGAGTGAGATCCTGTCTAAAACAAAAAACAATAGACCTCATTGGAGATGTCCTTTCTTGTTCAATTCTGTGGAGATTTTTTTTTTCTTTTTTGAGACGGAGTCTCACTCTGTAGCCCAGGCTGGAGTGCAGTGGCACGATGTCGGCTCACTGCAAGCTCCGCCTCCCAGGTTCAGGCCATTCTCCTGCCTCAGCCTCCCAAGTAGCTGGGACTACAGGCGCCTGCAACCACGCCCGGCTAATTTTTTGTATTTTTATTACAGACGGGGTTTCACCGTGTTAGCCAGGATGATCTTGATCTCCTGACCTCGTGATCCACCTGCCTCGGCCTCCCAAAGTGTTGGGATTACAGGCATGAGCCACCGCGCCCGGCCTTCTGTGGAGAATTGAAATAGCCCATGACTGAGACTCCTGACTGTTGCTCTTTGATTTTCTCAGAAATGCTACACACAGAATCCACTTTCCTAAAATAGCCTTCATTGACCATCTAGAAAAGGCGAAAACGTGGGTTTGGTATTCCGGACTCCCTCGTCATGCACACACATACATCCTCAATGTCTGTTTGCCTTTTAAACAACTCACAGCTGCATCTCCAGGATGCAGTGGAGTCTTATGTAGGGAAGCACCTTCTGAACAAGAAAGCTCCTGGCGTCCAGGAGATGCTTGGTGTTAAAAGTGTTGCTGTGGGCATTGGGTGGGCTCCGTGAGGAAAGGGATAGAAATGATAAGGTCTTCTCTGGGAGAGGTGACTAAGATCCTGCCTTTTCTTCTTTTTTTTTTTTTTTTTTTTTTGAGATGGAGTCTCGCTGTGTTGCCCAGGCTGGAGTGCAGTGGCGTGATCTCAGCTCACTGCAAGCTCCGCCTCCCAGGTTCACGCCATACTCTCCTGCCTCAGCCTCCCGAGTAGCTGGGACTACAGGCGCACACCACCACGCCCGGCTACTTTTTTGTATTTTTAGTAGAGACGGGGTTTCACCGTGTTAGCCAGGATGGTCTCCATCTCCTGACCTTGTGATCCGCCCGCCTTGGCCTCCCAAAGTGCTGGGATTACAGGCTTGAGCCACTGCGCCTGGCCCGATCCTGCCTTTTCTAACTGAACTGATGAGGCTTTTCATGGAAAATCAGTGCCTGTCTGTTCATCTGAACACCCACTAGTTATTCATCCAACAAATCTTGATTGAGTGCTGATAATGCCAGGCTCTGTGCTAAGTACCGGGGATAAGTTGTGATACCGACCCGCGAGGCGCCGCGGTCCAAGGAGGAGGCAAAAGCAGACAGACATCAGTGTGGGCTGGAGGCCCAGAGGTCTGGACAGAACAGAGGGTTCCGTGAGAACAGGCCATGGCTGAGGTGAGCCTGCCAAGAGAAGGGCATATCTGAGTAGTCAGGAAGGGTGAGTCGGAGTCTTCCAGGGAGACGGAGGAAGAAAGGGAATCCCAGGCAGAGGGACCCACGTGGTGCAAAGCTGCAAACGATGAAAGAGCACGGTGTAAAACACACAGACGCGCACTCCTACTCATGCGCGCGCACAAACACCCCCCAAACAAAACAAAAACCACAGAGCAGAGTGTCTCTGGGGAGCCCCACCAATCCTCCCCGCCTGGGTGTGTGGGAGGGGCCATGGGAGGGCGGCCAGGGGCAGAAGGACTTGCAAGGCAGTGCTTCTTGCTCCCCAGGGCCCTCTGGCATCCCCCCTGGGGTCCCTCTGGCCCAGTCCCCTTTCCCTTTGCCAGTCGCAGCTGAAATGTCCTTCTCCTGCTGTCCTCTCACCCGTCCCAGGCCCCAGAAGTTTCTCATCTTCCTGCACTCATTGCCTTTTCATTCGCACTTCCCTCTCCATGGTGAGAGGAGGCGGTTTAACCTCTCTGAGCCTCAGTTTCCTTATCCACGTGAGATGGTTGGATTGGGTGATCCTGAAGGTCTGCAGGTCCTCCAGGACATTCCTATTTAGATGTTTCCCAGGGGGGTCCTTGGAAATCTCCCAGACACTGAGCCTCTGCCAGGGGCTGGGGACTAAAGCCAGTGAATAGTGGTGGAGATCAGGGCACCCACATCAGTGTGAAGAGGAGGTGGTGCCCTGCTGACCCTGCTGCTGTCTGCTTTTCCCTCAGTTTGACCCTGGGAACACAGGCTACATTAGCACAGGCAAGTTCCGGAGTCTTCTGGAGAGCCACAGCTCCAAGCTGGACCCGCACAAAAGGGAGGTCCTCCTGGCTCTTGCCGACAGCCACGCGGATGGGCAGATCGGCTACCAGGATTTTGTCAGCCTAGTGAGTGCTCTGGGGCCCTTGGTACTCGGGGGGACCTGTTTGAGGGTTATGGCTTCCACACATTTAAAGGATTTAGGCAATTCAAAGGATCTGTTGGCCTGCAGCATTGAAAAAGTCCAGGCTTCTGAGGTGAAAGGGTGCCACCAAGGACTCATCTTCTCTTTGTCTCTAGGCTCTGCCCTCCGCAGTGTCAGCCCATCCTCAAGGCAGCACCTGGCAATTTCAGACCCTCCTGTTGTGGCAGCAAAGTGGCTGCAGCTGTTCCAGCCCTCATACCCTCAGGCTGCACCTTGCAGAAGGGAGGGAGGGAGGGAGAGAGAGAGGGAGGGAGGGATGGAGGGAAGGGGAGAGAGAAGAGGAGGGGAGGGGAGAGAGAGGAGAGAGAAACCCTTCTTGGTGTAGCTCTTGCACAAGGCCTGGTATTTTCTCCCTCCCATTGGCCTAGATTGGGTCAGTAGGATGGGTAGATTGCGTTAAATCAATCATTGCCCCACTCCTGTAGCTGAGAGTGGGGTCAGTTACGCCAAAATGAAGGGCTGCGAGTAGGTAGGGTATTGGTGGTAGGAGAAGGGGCTGGGGAGTGGGGGCCGGGAGGGTCAGTGCAGCATGTGGTAGAGCCAGAGCTCAGCATATCTGCTCAGCCGATGCCCTGGGCTGCCAAAGAGGCTGGAGAAGATAGGCCCATGGATCCTGCCCAGCGGTCTGTTATCTCGGAGCAGAGACTTCCCCTCACTGAGGGTTAGTGCTGCGCTATTTCAGGGGCTGCTGTGGACTGGGGTTCAGTGGGGTTAAGCAGGCAGTATTTCACCCACCATGGGATGCAGGTGACATCAGTAGAAAAGCGGGGTGAACAAGCAGGTTGAAAATAAGACCCAAAGTTTTTGCTGGGTTTTCCTATTGGTGAGATGGAGCTGGTCACCTCTCTTCATGTCACCCATGGAGGGAGCGAGAGTGAAATGACTTGTGTGAAGCGCCCCAGACTCCTAAATTCAAAGGCACCAGTGATGGGGGAGCCGCCACCACTGGAGCCTGTCATTGTGCCACATGAGCGCTCTGATGTGGATGCCCAGGCAGGGGAGATGTTTCAACAGCCTCTTGGCTGAGGTCCAGCCTTGGTCCAAGGGTTGGCGTGATTGCAAGGAGCTGCTGTGGGGTTTTTAGGAGTGGAGGAATCGACTGCTGTTCAGAGTGGACCCGGGGAGCAGACCTCCTGGAGAGCAAGGGACAGAGCTGAGCTGAGCAGGGGAGGGGGACAGTGAGGATTCATAGGATAGGCAGTGAGGGTGAGTCCTGTGACTTGGAACCCAGCAGTGCCACCAAAGACCAGGCCAAAGGTTTGAGCCTGCCCAGGCTCATCCACAGCCACAGCCCCAGCACCTGTGTGTTTGCTGCAAGATGCCCTGCTAGGTCTTAGGGCACGTGGGGCCCAGGAGTGGCTTCTCTCCAGCCAGGGGTCAATGGAGCCTCTGTGTGAGCTCAGGACAGCAAGTTACTTGTTACTGCTGGGATTTCTGAGATTTCTCTGTTCAAATTCTGCACTGGATCTGTATGAGCAGGGCTGCCCTGGAGAGCAGACAAAGGGACTCACCAGAGGGGAAGCTCTGAGTAGAGCAGAGAGCTGAGGACCTGGAGTCTAGCAAACCCGGGTCCTGGTCTGGCTCTGCCTCTGCCACTCACTGGGAAAGAGCCTCTGAGCCTGCCTTTTCCCATTTGTAGAATAGATCCAAAGGATCCTCTCTTTAGGGTTGTTGCAAGGATCAAAAAAAGTATTTGAATATTTTTGATGTCTCTTAATGTTCTTCCACCAGGTAAACTCCTCTGCATCCTTTGTGAGCCTTTATCTGCTCAAGCCAGGCAGAGTGAGTCAGCCTTTTTCAGAGCTCCCACAGTGCCTTGCCCAGGCCTCTCTCGTAGTACAGACCGCCACACTGCATTACAGCTGAGCAACCCGGGTAGTCGTGTATGAGTGTGCAGGTTGTATACTGTACAATGGTGCCTAGCTGAGAGATGATGGAGACTGAAATCTGGCCCGGACTTTGCCCACCAAGGCCTGGCATGGGTGCACCCATCCAGAAGAAGAGGCTCCTTTATCTGATTGGCACAACAGCTCTGTATGGGCTAGCATGGACTGTGGAGTCAGGCAGATCTGTATTTGAATCCTGACTCTGTGGTTTACTAAGTATGAGTACCCGGGGAAACTACTCACCCTCTCCAAGCTTCAGTCCCCATATTTGTAATGTCGGAATAATACGGGGTGCCAAATAACTATGATGGCACCCTTTTTTACTGTTTTTACACTTCTGTCTCCACTTGTAAGCTCCATGAGGCCTGGGACCATGGTCATGGACTGTGCCCAGCACAGCACTGGGCATGTGAGGGACGCAGGTGGATGGTGAGTGTGTACCCCTGCTGAGCCAGCTCCCACCACGGGTGCTGTGCACTCCCCTGTGCAGGTGCATCCTCAGGGACTGGGAGAGAGACAGGTGAGAGTGGCCACAAAATAATCTGACATCGTGATCCTGTCTTGGGCTCACAATGTGCACCAGGCGCCTAACCCTGGCCTACATTTACAGAGCTCCTGGGCCATTGAGAAGAACTAGGTCCAAGCTTTGTAGGCATGGAGAGAATGGGGATAGAGAATGGTTGGAAAAGGTTCATCTGGGATGGCCTGCTGGAGGGGGCGAGCTTTAAGCTAGATTTTGACTATGAGACAACAGAGCTCAGGAATGTGAGGTGGGGGGACCCTATAGATGGAAGTTCACACCACCTGGCCTGGTCTGAACCTAGATCCTCCCCAGCCATCTGCCCTCTGACAGGGCCTACAACCCCTGTGCCGTGGTCTGGCCTGGTTTACCTCACCAGCCCACAGGGCTCCTGCCTTCGGGTTTAGCCTGATGTCTACTGCTGGGCCTAGAGTCCCAGGAATACACTGATAATCCCCACACCAGCAAACATAGGGACAGCTGAGGTGTGGGCTTGGGAGAGCCATATCTCTAGGACTTCTCCCCGTAAGAAGGGTCTACAGTTGGCCGTGGAAGGCAGGTGGGAGGTAACGGAGGCCTCGGGAGGCCAGGAGTCAGCAAGGCCACCTCTGGTCTCCGAGTCAGGCTGACCACTGGGTGAGGCTGCCAGAGCTCTACCCAGTATGTGTCAGAGAAGCTTCAGGCCGCTGAGGATAGAGCTGGTCCCCAGGTGGAGCTCTGCAGCCAGTCTTTGGGCTTGCTGGGCATTCCAGGTCCTGTGAAGGCCCTCGGGAGTGGTGACCTTCCCCAGGCACAGCTTGGGTTTTGGCTCTGGGTGCCTCTCTGCAAACCCATCTAACCAAGGGCTGCCTGCCTCTTCCCAAGCTAGCGTGTCTGAGGGTGCTACCTCCTGCTCATCTTTTGATTCTCACTCAGACTTCACCTACTCCAGGAAGCCTTCCTTGACCTCTGACCTCCCTGGGACTGGATTGGGCTCCCTCTTGTGTGCTCCCACAGCAACCATCACTCTGAACTGTGATTGCTGGTTACTAATCTGTCTTGAGCACCACCGTATCCCTCCCTGTGCCTGGTAATGAGCCTGACACTTAGTAGTTGCTCAGTAAATTGTGATGGATGGATGATGAGTGAGTAGATGAAGGAAGGTATAGTGAACACAAATACGGGCTCTGGAGCCTTACTGAGTGTGAACTTGATGGATTCCTAAAGCTCTCGGTGTCTCAGTTTCCTAATCCAATAGAATGGGGATGTTAATAGTCCTTATCTAACGGGAAGACTGGTGATCATCAAATGAGCCAAAAGACGTGAAGGGCTGAGAATAATAACCCCTGACACCTAACAAGACCTTGGTGAATGTTGCTTCTTATTAACAATTATAGGAGAAAGGGAAATGCGGGGTCAGGCCTGGTGCAAGGAACATGCTGGCTGGGAAGTGGGTGGGGAGCTCCGCTGGGCCCCAGCTCTGACCCTCTCCCCACTCCATTTCCTGCACAGATGAGCAACAAGCGTTCCAACAGCTTCCGCCAAGCCATCCTGCAGGGCAACCGCAGGCTAAGCAGCAAGGCCCTGCTGGAGGAGAAGGGGCTGAGCCTCTCGCAGCGACTTATCCGCCATGTGGCCTATGAGACCCTGCCCCGGGAAATTGACCGCAAGTGGTACTATGACAGCTACACCTGCTGCCCCCCACCCTGGTTCATGATCACAGTCACGCTGCTGGAGGCAAGGACAAGGGTGGGGAGGGGGTTGCTCTGCCTTGGGGAGTGGCGGGTATGGGGAGAGGAGCCAAGAGGATGACACACAGATCATGGGGGAAGAGGGACATTTCTTTTCCATTGAAGGGCAATGGTTGAGGATCAAATAATAGTTGTATTGCAAATCAGACTCTGTTGCGGTGCATACCAGTGTTGTAACCGTGGACTGCAAAGAGATATTCCAAAGATTATTACTTCAAACAATACTTACTGCAGCCAAATCCCCGTAGGACCACTACCCCCCACCCACCCCAAAACAACAGCAATAAAAACAATGTCATAAGTTCATTGACTTGGGAGATCTAGCCAGGCTAACTCATTAAAGCCAGTTTATTTAGTTCCTCCCTAGGTGGGTAATGTGGACCAGTCATTTGCTCCTTTTTCCCGCCTGAAAATCAGAAATAACCAGACCTGCCTTCCCTCTCCCAGGACACCTTTATTTAAAGTGAGAGAATGGCTACTGGTGCTTTCTGAACACAAAAGCATCACACAAACACATCTGGGAGGGAGTGTGAACAGGTAAATATGGGCTTAACATTTTTAAAGAACATTCTCCCCTTAGGGAATCCTCTGTGCCTATTGTTATGCTAAATTCTACTGCTTATGCAACAGAATCCAAAGGTACCCCTTGCTGCGTTGGTGCCCATGTGTGATAAAACTCAATTCTTTTGGGTCCTCCACTCAACAACCTGTGCAGCCCACCCCAGCTGCAGCTCCTGAATGGATGCTTGGCTTCACTTTGGGATTTTATGATCTCCGCTGTTTCTCTTCCAAAGCCACGGGCCTAATTACCGCCTCTGCATATGTTCTTGTAAAGTTCCTGCCTAATCAAAAGCTTCGCGGCATCCTTCTTTTCTTCTAAGTCAGAATATCTGGTCTGCAGGCCAGCATTCCCCTGTTTGTTGTTATGGCTTCATCCAAGTACATGTTGAAGTTGCGATTTTTCTGAGATATTCTTGGACTCGTTCTTCAAGCGCTTACTGTGCTGGTCTATTTATTAACTTCTGTTTGAGGCCCAATAATAACGAGATGCCTTGGAAGCAGGATTTGCTACCAGGCCACCCTCATGGTATTAGGTGGACAGAACGGCTCCTCAGAGAGCCCAGGAGAATACAGCTACCAGGGGCCTAAGCCATTCCCAGGCTGAGCCCAGAAGATTTTAACCCAACACGAATTATAGCTTCCTTCTCTAAGTGTGTGCCGGGCAGGGGGCTGGCTCTTTGTGTATAGTTTATCACTTTTAAACCTCCTGGCCACTCTGGAAGTCTAGGTATCGGTACCCATTTCCAGATAAAGAAACTGAGGGCCAGAGAATTCAGTTTGCCCAGGTTGATCAAGAGGAGCAATTTTGTGTCCAGATTGGTTCAGATGAACCTCAGCTATGTAAACCCGAACCACCAATCTAGAAGAAACTGGGAAGTGATCAAATAGCTGAAATAACGATCTCGAAGCCCTGGGGCTACAATGCCCAAGGCTTTTGTCTTCTATACAGTTCTGGTAACCTGGCTTTCGGATTTCATAATGAATAGAAAATAGGAGGGACATGGTGTAAAGCAACAAAGGGGTCCACTACCAGCAAGCAATAAGAAACAGCAGCCGACAGCCTGGCAGTGAAGGAAGTGACAAAAGAAAAGTTTAAAGCAGACCTGAATCTTAAAGAAATAAAAGAATTGGCTGAGTGCAGTGGTTCACACCTGTAATGCCAGCACTTTGGGAGGTCAGGGTGGGAGGATCTCTTGAGCCCAGGAATTCAAGATGAGTCTGGACAAAAAAGTGAGACTGTCTCTACAAAATATCAAAAAATTAGCCAGGCATGGTGGTACATGCCTGTGGTCCTAGCTACGTGGGAGGCTGTGGCAAGAGGATCGCTTCAGCCCAGGAGGTCAAGGCTGTAGTGAGCTGTGTCCATGCCACATCACTCCAGCCTGAGTGACAGAGCGAGACCCTGTCTCAAGAAAAAAAAAAAAAAAAAAGGAAAAGAAATACAAGAATTTGGGGGATTGGCCGGACGTGGTGGCTCACACCTGTAATCCCAGCACTTTCAAAGGCCGAGGTGGGCGGATCACTTGAGGTTAGGAATTTAAGACCAGCCTGGCCAACATGGTGAAACCCTGTCTCTACTAAAAATATAAAAATTAGCCAGGCATGGTGGTGGGTGCCTGTAATCCCAGCTACTGGGGAGGCTGAGGCAGGAGAATTGCTTGAACCCGGGAGGCGGAGGTTGCAGTGAGCCAAGATCGTGCCACTGCACTCCAGCCTGGGCGACAGAGCAAGACTCCGTCTCAAAAAAGAAAAAAAGAAAAAAAAAAAAGAATTTAGGACCTTGAGTGTATGAGCAAAAACACTATCCTGGCCGGGCACAGTGGCTCACGCCTGTAATTCCAGCACCTTGGGAGGCCGAGGCGGGTGGGTCATTGAGGTCAGGATTTCAAGACCAGCCTGGGCAACGTGGTAAAACCCCGTCTCTACTAAAAATACAAAAATTAGTCGTGTATCATGGTGGGTGCCTGTAATCCCAGCTACTCAGGAGGCTGAGACATGAGACTTGCCTGAACTCAGGAGGCAGAGGTTGCAGTGAGCCGAGACTGTGCCACTGCACTCCAGCCTGGGTGACAGAACAAGACTCTTATTTCAAAACAAAAACAAACAAAAAATGTCATCTTCCTGGGGTTGCTGGAGAAACAAATCACTCTTATAGCCCAGATCAATACCTGAGATATTCCTTTTTTTTTTTTTTTTTTTAGACAGAGTCTCCCTCTGTCACCCAGGCTGGAATGCCGTGGCGCAATCTTGGCTCACTGCAACCTCCGCCGGCTGGGTTCAAGCAATTCTCCTGCCTCAGCCTCCTGAGTAGCTGGGGTTACAGGTGCCTGCCACCACGCCCGGCTAATTTTCATATTTTTAGTAGAGACGGGGTTTCACCACATTGGTCAGTCTGGTCTCAAACTCCTGACCTTGTGATCTGCCCGCCTCGGCCTCCCAAAGTGCTGGGATTACAGGCGTGAGCCACTGTGCCCAGCCCATACCTGAGATATTCTTAAACAGTTATGCATATGCCCTGATTAAGAACACAGGGACGTAAATGATACATTTTAGAAGGAGTCCCAGAAAAAAAAAAGAGTTAAATACCCTTTTAGAGATTAAACAAGTATGCTTCAGTCACGTTTGCAAAATCAACTTCTGTGGAATGTTGGTGAGAATGTGGAGAAATTGGAGCCCTTGTGCACTGTTGGTGGGAAAGTAAAATGGTGCAGCTGCTATGGAAAACAGTCTGGCGTTGCCTCAAAAAATTAAACATAGAATTACCATATGATCCAGCAATTCCACTTCTGAATATATCCCAAAAGAATTGAAAGGGACTGGAAGAGATATTGATACACCCATATTCATAATAGCATTATTCACAATAGTCAAAAGGTAGAAGCAACCCAAGTGTCCATCGGTAGATGAATGGAGAAACAAAATGTGGTCTGTGTTTATAGTGGAGGGCTCACGCTGGTAATACCAGCACTTTGTGAGGCTGAAGAAGGTGGATCACCTGAGGTCGGGAGTTCGAGATAGCCTGGTTAACATGGTGAAATGCTGTCTCTACTAAAAATACAAAAATTAGCTGGGCATGGTGGCACACGTCTAATCCCAGCTACTTGGGAGGCTGAGGCAGGAGAATTGCTTGAACCTGGGAGGTAGAGTTTGCAGTGAGCTGAGATCACGCCACTGCACTCCAGCCTGGGCGACAGAGCGAGACTCCACCTCAAAAAAAAAAAAAAAAAAAAAGGAAGGGAAGGCTGGGTGCAGTGGCTCATGCCTATAATCTCAGCACTTGAGGAGGCAGGAAGATCGCTTGAGCCCAGGAGTTCAAGACCAGCCAGGAGGTAGAAGTTGCAAGCTGAGACTGCCCCACTGCATTCTAGCCAGGGCAACAGAGTGAGATCCTGTCTCAAAAAAAAGGGGGATCATTCTGACACATGCTACACAACATGGATGAACCTTGAAAATATTATACCAAGTGAAATAAGCCAGACACAAAAAGACAAATACTGTATGATTCCACTTATATGAGGTAGCTAGAGTAGTCAAATTCATGGAGATAGAAAGTAGAATGGTGGTTGCCAGGGGCTGGAGGGAGGGGGTGGGGCGTCATTGTTCAGTGGGTACAGAGTTTCAGTTTTGCAAATGAAGAGTTCTGTGGATGGATAGTAGTGATGGTAGCGCAGCAACATGAATGTCATTTAATGCCACTGAACTGATTAAGGCCGGGCGCAGTGGCTCATGCCTGTAATCCCAGCACTTTGGGAGGCCGAGGTGGGCAGGTCACATGAGGTTAGGAGTTCTAAACTGGCCTGGCCAACATGGTGAAACCCCATCTCTACTAAAAATTCAAAAATCAGCCAGGTGTGGTGGTGCACTCCTGTAATCCCAGATACTTGGGAGGCTGAGGTAGGATAATCGCTTGAACCCGGGAGGCGGAGGTTGCAGTGAGCCAAGACTATCATTGCACTCCAGCCTGGACGACAGAGCAAGACCCTGTCTCAAAAAAAAAAAAACCCAAAAAACTGATTAAGATGGTAAATTTTATGTTTATTTCACTATAGTTATTTAAGAAATCAAGCTATGTGGAATTCGTCATCTCCCAAGTGGGTGCGTGAGTTATTACTGGAATTAAAGTTCAAAATCCTCCAAATCCTTTCTGCTTAGCACGGAGGAAGTGTGGACAAAGAGACCCCAGGACCATGTTGCGGCCATTTGACACAAAATAAGCAAACAGAAGTGGGTGAGGGGTGGTTAAAAGCTCAGCTGAGACAGGCACAGTGGCTCACGCCTGTAATTGTAGCACTTTGGGAGGCCAAGGCGGGTGGATCACCTGAGGTCAGGAGTTCAAGACCAGCTTGACCAACATGGAGAAACCCAGTCTCTACTAAAAAATACAAAATTAGCCAGGCGTGGTGGCACATGCCTGTAATCCCAGCTACTCAGGAGGCTGAGGCAGGAGAATCGCTTGAACCCAGGAGGTGGAGGTTGCCGTGAACCGAGATTGTGCCATTGCACTCCAGCCTGGACAACAAGAGCGAAACTCCATCTCAAAAAAAAAAAAAAAAACTCAGTTGGGCCCTGGCTGTGGGGTATCCCTCTTTCTCTGAGAAGGAAAGGTGATAACTTCCTGTAGGGACTCCCAGTGCTAGTCAGCACAACAGGAAGTTTCCTGGGCAGTGTGCACCTAGTAACAGACTCTCTCTCTTCTGTCCAGGTTGCCTTTTTCCTCTACAATGGGGTGTCACTAGGTCAATTTGTACTGCAGGTAACTCATCCACGTTACTTGAAGAACTCCCTGGTTTACCACCCACAGCTGCGAGCACAGGTTTGGCGCTACCTGACATACATCTTCATGCATGCAGGGTGAGTACCTGTCTTCTTTTGCTCTGTCAAAAGACCCTACAGAAAAATAAGTGGTCAAGATAGCCTGGATTGAAATATAGTTTTTAGTTTATTTTTATCTATTTGGACATAGGATTTGGGATGGCTGCTTGAAACTCATTTAATACCAAAATATACAAGTAAATTATTGAGAGTGAATGGGAAAGGGGAAAATATATAAGAAGGAAAATGCTAAAAGCCAGCAGTGAGAACAGCACACACATACACAGCATTTGATTCTATGTACTTGCTAGACGTGGCTTGAAAATTTATTCTAGTGCTTCCTAGTGGCTTCCTAGAGCTTTTGCTTTGGCCACTAGAGCAAAAAGGGAGTCAAGCCACCAGATTTATTGTCCATAACTGTGTGTGAGTGCCTCCCAGTGTGGTCTCCATATATAGAGAGGGTCTTCTTGAGGAACTCTGACGATAATTATAGTTTCTGTTTATAGAACCCTGTAGCCTGTTTTGGGGCTGCAGCACAATCGGTTCTCACTGGTGCCTCCCACTTCATGATAAGGGCCTACCAGCTGGCCAGGTGACCACCCAGGTCCATATCCCTTGAAGAGCAGTCTGGAGGCTTTTATATGGTAGAAGCACTTTGATGGGAGAGGAGAGACCCCAGACACCAGGCCTCTGTGGTGTCTTCTCTTCTGTAGCCTCTCCAGAGAAGTGAAGGAGCTCACAGTTAGCCTGGGGAAAACCGTGGGGGTGCCTGGCCCTGGAGTGGGAACTGGGAAGGGGGTCACTCTGGCCCCAATGACGCCATAATTCCCATTGCTCAGCAGAAAGACCCACAATGGCCAAGAGGGAGTTGTCCCATGAGCCTCCCTTCCCCTTAGCCTCTAAAGCAGGTGCAAGAGCTAATCCCAAATTGGCTGCACCTGCGGGGGAGGGTGCTTTCGGGTGAAGAGACCTGAATGAACGCCTCTGCTCAGGCCAAAGAGGACCATTGGTACATGCTGCTTACCTTGTCTGGCTTGCCCCAGGCTTCGATCTTACAGGGCTAAGGAGCAGCGGGATGGCTGTCATGCTTCACTCACATCCACTCATGAGCCAGGGGTGACAACAGACACGGGGGCTTCCCTGCCCAGGCATCCCAAGCCAGTGGCTGCACGTGGGTTGGGACTGTCTGCCTTCTTTCCAGGACTGCCCCCTGACCTCTCTTGGTGCCTCAGGGTGAGGAAGGAGAATAGCCAAAGCCTCCTTGCTCCATCCTCTGCCTCCTGGAGCCAAAAGCAGTGAGCTGAGGGCATCTGAGCCCTGTCCCAGGAGCTTCCCAGGGGATGTCAGCTCAATTTAAATGAGACAGTGGGTGTTAAAGTGCTGTATAAAGTTGGAAGCACCTGATTGATTTAGTAATAGTCATGTTACAGTCTTTTCTGGTCACATGCACACAGCTAGATGCCCCACAATTTTAGCAGCAAGATGTAGTCACAGGTAGTATAGGGAGGAAGGTGTTCACAGGGTCAGAAAACCTGGGGTCCAGCCGGGCGCGGTGGCTCACGCCTGTAATCCCAGCACTTTGGGGGGCCAAGGCAGGCGGATCACGAGGTCAGGAGATCAAGACCATCCTGGCTAACATGGTGAAACCCCGTCTCTACTGAAAAATACAAAAAAATTAGCCAGGCCTGGTGGCAGGCGCCTGTAGTCCCACCTACTCGGGAGGCTGAGGCAGGAGAATGGCATGAACCCAGGAGGCAGAGCTTGCAGTGAGCCGAGATCACACCACCGCATGGATGGTGTGAGAGAGACTGCCTGGATGACAGAAAGAGACTCCATCTCAAAAAAAAAAAAAAAAGAAAAAAGAAAAAAAACAGAAAACCTGGGATCCCATATCCTAGTCCTGAGGGTTTTGGAGCAGAATAGGTCTCTTTTTTTTTTTTTTTTTTTTTTGAGATGGAGTCTCGTTGTGTCACCCAGGCTGGAGTGCAGTGGCGCGATCTTGGCTCACTGCAGCCACCACCTCCTGGGTTCAAGCGATTCTCCTTCCTCAGCCCCCTGAGTAGCTGGGACTACAGGTGCATGCCACCACTCCCAGCTTATTTTTGTATTTTTAGTAGAGATAGGGTTTCACCATATTGGCCAGGTTGGTCTTGAACTCCTGACGTTGTGATCCGCCCACCTCAGCCTCCCAAAGTGCCAGGATTACAGGCTTGAGCCACCGCACCTGGCCTAGATCTCTTCTTATACCAGTAAAGAGAAACCTCTCTTATGAGACTTTAAGGGAAAGCTTTGAATTATTAAGTTATAAGATGTATATTTAATGCCTGCACTTGTTTTGAGAACATATTTTTCTTTAAACACCCGTAGCTCTTTTTTATTTTATTTTATTTTATTTTATTTTATTTTATTTTATTTTATTTTATTTTTTGAGAAGGAATCTCGCTCTTTTGCCCAGGCTGGAGTGCAATGGTGCGATCTCGGCTCACTGCAACCTCCACCTCCCAGGTTCAAGCTATTCTCCTGCCTCAGCTTCCCGAGTAGCTGGGATTACAGGCACCTGCCAGCCTCAGCTTCTCTAGTAGCTGGGAGTACAGGCACCTGCCACCATGCCTAATTTTCATATTTTTAGTAAAGACGGGGTTTCACCACGCTGGCCAGGCTGGTCTCGAACTCCTGACCTCAGGTGATCCACCTGTCTGGGCCTCCTGCAGTGCTAGGATTACAGGCATGAGCCACCACGCCTGGCTAACATCCATAGCTCTTACAAATAGAGCCAGAACATGGCCAGGCGCAGTGGCTCATGCCTGTAATCCCAAAACTTTGGGAGGCCGAGGCGAGTGGATCACTTGAGGTCAGGAGTTCGAGACCAGCCTGCCTAACATGGTGAAACCCCATCTCTACTAAAAATACAAAAATTAGCCGGGCATGGTGGCCTGTAATCCCAACTACTTGGGAGGCTGAGACAGGAGAATCGCTTGAACCCAGGAGGCAGAGGTTGCAGTGAGCTGAGATCATGCCACTGCATTCCAGCCTAGTTGACAGAGCAACACTCCATCTCAAAAAACAAAACAAAACAAAAACAAACAAACAAAAAACAAAGAGAGCCAGAATGACCACATGGCCCAGTGAATGGAGCAGGTCAGGCAGATTGGAGACCTGAACTGTTGTGTCAGCGTGGCCACTAACTGTGGCTGGTCACTATCTCTGAACCTTGGTTTTTCACATGTTAACTGATGGAGTTGCTGGATCTTTTTTTTTTTTTTTTTTTTTTTTTTTTTCAGAGATGGTATCTCACTATGTTGCCTAGGCTGATCTTGAACTCCTGGGTTCAAGTGGTCCTCCCACCCTGGCCTCTCAAAGTGTTGGGCTTACAGGTGTGGGCCACTGCGCCCAGCCTAGTTGCTGGATCTTGACTGTGGTTAGTCTGTCTCACTGTGCCAAGTGAAATGCTGCCAGTCACGCCCAGGCCTTGCACATCTGTTCCTGTCCCATCTGGAAGGAACACTCTTTCCAAGATGGTCTGTCTGAATTGTCATTCCTTCCCCTAGACCATGAGCTCCTCGCAGGCAGAGGTGGTCTTGTTCATTGCTGGATCCCTGGCATCTTGGGGGATGCAGGTGTTTGTTGAATGAATGAATGAATGAATGAATGAATAGATGAATGAGTGAGTGTGGTCTCTCTGTCACAGGATAGAACACCTGGGACTCAATGTGGTGCTGCAGCTGCTGGTGGGGGTGCCCCTGGAGATGGTGCATGGAGCCACCCGAATTGGGCTTGTCTACGTGGCCGGTGTTGTGGCAGGTAGGCAGGTAGGCCCCGTGTCCACAAAGGCACACTGCCCCAGGGTGGGGTGGGAGACCCTGTGGGGCGGGGCAAGCCCCAGGTTTCCAGGACACACAGAAGATCCTCATCTCCAAGGCTCCTGACTTAACCAGGCTGTCCTCCAGGCACACCCACCTCCCTATGAGGCTGGAGAACGGACTGCTGCCCATAGAGGGAGGTGTGTGGCAGGACGGGGGAGGAGAGCACTGGATTTGGGACAGGCTGGACAACCGACTCTCGGTCTCACACCACCATGTGGTAGCTCTCTGAGCTTGGGGAAATTTCCTAACCTCTTTTGGCCATGTTAAGCTTTAAGAGGGAACTAATGAGATCTGCCTGTAGGGTTGCCAGGAGGGCAGAGTGAGTGAGGCAACAGATGGAACAACAGTGCTCCGAAAACTGCAAGGGCACAGTGAGATCCCCACAGGGGAATCAAAGGGGTGAGTGGAGCCAGGTACCACCCTGGCCACGTAGCACCTGTCCCCAAAAAGAGAGCTGGCTGCTACCCAGACCAACCGCAGTCCCCTTGCCTGACCCACTGCTGACAGGGAGTCTGACCTAAGAGGCAGTGAGCCCTGGCTCCATCTGAAGGCATCTGGGCCTCCAGCTGAGTGGGCACACGTGTGGCCAGTGATCATCCTTCATGGATAGTGGCCAGAGTGACTCCCAGTGAGCCTTCCACCTTCTGCCCCCTCCCCAGTGGGAGGTGAGGTGGGTGAAGTTAGCTGGGGAGAGCACGGATTTCTGCAGGAAGCGTCTGCCAGCCAGGCCTCTGAACATGAGGATCTCCCTCGTGATGTCTCCAACTTTATTGCCGGCTGTTTTTTTTTTTTTTTTTAACAAGGTTTGCCGCCTCAGCTCTTCAGCTTGACAGCTGTGCCCAAGGGAGCTTTGTGTGTATGTTTAAGTAAGATCTTAATCCTTTCTGAGTGGTATTAAAGTTGTCATCAGGAGAGCCGGGCAGCGTCAGCCTTGTAAACAACAGGCAGGCAGGGACCCTGGGAGTAACTGAAGTGGTTTCAGAAATCAAAGAGGAAGGGTCCCACCCCACCCACACGAGGCTGGTCTGCTAGTGCATGAACCCTTGGCCTGGGAGATTCACCCTGCACCATCTCCTTTGCTCCTGTATGCGCTGAGGTTAAAATCGTTGGCCACCTTGGTCAGCACCCCTGCAAGCCCCTCCCAGAATCCAAGGCTCACCACGTCCTTGAATAAAGGGCTAATGAGCATCTCTAAGTGCCAGACTTGTTCAGCCACCCACACACCCCCTAATCCTGACATCTGAGGATTGATAGCCTCATTTTCCATACCTCAATACCCAGAGACCCAGATGTTAAATAGCAAGGAACAGGGAAGACATTAATAACATTTGCAGTTAGTATTCAATTAGATGGGAATGCCAATAACCTAGAAGACAAAAATAAGATTCAAATGGACTCAGACCTCACCCAAACCAGGTGACATGCAGTGGGGAGACAGAGTAGGTGTCACCTCCCCAGTGACACCAGTGCAGAGTGGGAAGATTCAAACAGAAGCAGAGCTCATCACCTGAATGTGAGCATGTAGGGCTGTATCATTGAGCACATGGCGTGCACTGTTCTGTCTGAGTCAGTGATTAAGACCAGAGGGCACTCTGGTCACCACACATGTCATTGATCTCCATGATTGAGTTGATTGATCTGTCTCTGCTGTCTACCCTTTCCTGTCCTCCCAAGCTTTCCTCTGAGAGGTGAGCCGGTTTACAGCCAGCCAGCCCTAGATTGGACGGGTGGCACTTATCAGTGCCTACCATATGCAGGCCGTAATTCATCCACACAGCAACGCTACGAGGTGGGCACTGCTGCTCTCCCCCAGCACAGATATGGAAACCAAGGCTTAGATGGCTAAGTGGCTCGCCCAAGAAGACACAGCTAGAAAGTGGTGGAGCTGGGCAGGGTCTGACCCCCAAGGCTGTGATCTCAACCACTATAATAGTATGACGAGAACCAAAAGGTGGTCCTTGTCCTTTTTGCAGTTAATTTATTGTCAGAAACCAAGGCAGACCAGGTGCAGTAGCTCACACCTGTAATCCCAATACTTTGGGAGGTCAAGGCAGGAAGATCGCTTGAGCCCAAGAGTTCCAGGCCAAGCTGAGCAACATAGGGAGACCCTGTCTCTACAAAAAGTTTTTTAAAAATTAGCTGGGCATGGTGGTGTAGGCCTGTAGTCCCACCAGCTACTTGGGAGGCTGATGCAGGAGGATCGCTTGAGCCCAGAAGTGCAAGGCTGCAGTGAGCTGTGATAACACCACTGCACTCCAGCCTGGGTGACAGAGCAAGAACCTGTCTCAAAAAAGAAAAAAAGAAAAAAACCAAAGGAGACCTTAATAGATGTCTGGCAGCCTTACTCTCTAATTCCTTCCCAGTGAAAGTGTTTCCAATCCACACTTTGTAATGAGGATAGCTAACCTCTATGGGGCATATACATGCTCCAGGCATATGATGAGGGGTTTGCGGATGATCGTGGATGCTATGCTCATCACTGCTGTCCTATATGGTGGGTACTACCACTCCCATTTTACAGGCAGCCCAGGGAGGTGAAATGACTTGCAGATTTGCTTACCTGAAAAGTACTAGAACTAGGGAGGAGCCCTTCCCAAGCCCTGTGCTTCTTTCCTTTTTTTTTTTTGATTTTGAGACGGAGTCTCACTGTGTCACCCAGGCTGGAGTGCAGTGGCATGATCTCGGCTCACTGCAACCTCCGCCTCTTGCGTTCAAGCAATTCTCTGCCTCAGCCTCCTGAATAGCTGGGATTGCAGGTGCCCACCACCGCGCCCGGCTAATTTTTTTGTATTTTTAGTAGAGACGGGGTTTCACCGTCTTGGCCAGGTTAGTATTGAACTCCTGACCTCATGATCCACCCGCCTTGGCCTCCCAAAGTGCTGGGATTACAGGCGTGAGCCACTGCGCCTGGCAGCCCCCTGTGCTTCTTTCTAACCAATGCTTGAGGCCAATGTGAAAATCACTTATGGCTAGCAATTATATGGCACACAATGTAGGTATTTTAAAAACCAGTATCTTGGGCCGGGCAAAGTGGCTCACTCCTGTAATCCCAGCACTTTGGGAGGCTGAGGTGAGGGGATTGCTTGTGGCCAGAAGTCAAGACCAGCCTGGGCAACATAGTGAGACCCCCATCTCTACCAAAAAAAAAAAAATCAATATCACCAATCTTATATTATAGATTATATAGATTACTAACCACGTGTGCATCCCCAGGGCCTAGCACAGGGCTTGGCACATGTTAGGCAATAAATATTTATAGAATAAAGGAAAGTTGGCGGGCATGGTGGCTCACACCTGTAATCCCAGCACTTTGGGAGGCCGAGGCGAGCAGATCACATGAGATGGGGAGTTTGAGACCAGCCTGGCCAACATGGTGAAACCCTGTCTCTACTGAAAATACAAAAATTAGCTGGGCATGATGGCAGCCACCTGTAATCCCAGCTACTCAGGAAGCTGAGGCAGGAGAATTGCTTGAACCCAGGAGGCGGTGGTTGCAGTGAGCAGAAATCTCATCATTGCACCCCAGCCTGGGCAACAAGAGTGAAACTCTGCCTCAAAAAAAAAAAGGAAAGATACGTAAATAAAGTTACATTACTTAAAGATAAATGTTCTGCCAATTTTTATTTGGATTTTTTTTAAGGCCAAAGAAGATGTTGAAGAACACCTGCTTTAAAATTTTCTGGGCTAAAATTATCACAGCTGTACCTTATGGCAAAGTTGCCAGTTTATCTGTGTGCTGGCATGACCTCAGAATTTTGGGGTGCAGGATACAGAATTTGTAATCCTGATGAGAACTAAGGCCCATGGTTTGCCTCTGTGCAGAGGTGTGGCATGTCACTCCAGTTTGCCATTCTCTCCTAGTCCTCTGCCTCCATGACCTCTGTGGAATTCATACTGGTCTTATCTGCCTGTACCTGTTAGGATTGTTCAGAGCTCTGGAGGGGATTCCTCCCTGGCCCACACTTCCTGCCCGGGGAGGGCCTTTATTACTGTGTTTATGTGTACACAGCCCCATGTTTGTCTTTGGTCTCTCCCAGTTGCTCTAGTCCAGGCCTCACCTGCAGTCACTTGAAAGTCTGCTTTTTTTTAGTTTTTTGGAGTTTTTTTTGAGACGAAGTCTTGCTCTGTCATCCAGGCTGGAGTGTAGTGGCACGATCTCGGCTCACTGCAACCTCTGCCTCCCAGGTTCAAGCGATTCTTGTGCCTCAGCATTCCGAGTAGCTGGGGGGCTATATGCATGCGCCACCATGTCCAGCTAATTTTTGTATATATATATATATATATATTTTTTTTTAGTAGCAATGGGGTTTCACCATGTTGGCTAGATTGGTCTCGAACTCCTGACCTCAGGTGATCTGCCTGCCTCAGCCTCCCAAAGTGCTGGGATTACATAAGGGGTGAGCCACCCCACCTGGCCCAAAAGTCTTTATATCACCAATGTGGGGGCAGGTGGATTCAGGCCGTTACCTTTGAGGTTCCAGAATCGGGACCCGAGCCGCGGCCCCTGGATCTTAGGCCAAGACTCAGGTCACTGAATTTCTGATCTGGAAGGAACCAGGGAGGTCCCCTCCAGCACTGGCAAACTGTTCTCTAGGCCCCATCCCCACTTAGCCAGAGCTGCTGCCTGTGTTCTGCTCCATGGGTTAGGGCGTCCCTGAAAAGTTTCCTTTGAAGAGAGTTTTGCTGCTCAAAAGTCAGAAAGCCTTAGACCTCATTTTATAGACATGAAAGAAAACCGAAGCCCAAAGAATTCAGGGACTGTGCCCAAGGTCACACAGCTAGCTGGCCAGGCCCCTTCCATACTCCTGCCACAATCCTACGCTGACCCCTGGCCCTAGGGTCAGGACTCCGAGCCATGGATAGGGTGAGGGAAAGGTCAGTGTGTGCCAGCTTGACCCTCGCAGGGGCCCATCCCTGCCTGGGGCTGCCCTGGGGCGGCTCTGCCTTGGTGGACCGTGCTGGGGCAGGGGCGAGGGAGTGGACTCTGGGCCAGTTTGTACAGACCTGCTCTGAGAAGAGAAGCCAGCCTAGGGAGGCTGGGGCTTCCTCTGTCCAAAAGGTAATTAATGAGGAGCAGCTTGGGCAGCCAGCCCTCATTGTAGCCCTGCAATGCAGCCTTCGAAGACAGCCCCACCAGGAGAGCGTGGGAAACCTTTGTCATGCAGATCCTGCTGCCTGTTTGTTTGCCACCCTGGGATTTTTCTTTCCTGTTATATATGGCTGACCCTGTGGCTAAGCAGTAAAAAAAGCAAAAGCAAAAGAAAGTTATCTGACAATAGATCAATACCTAATTAAAGCCAGAGGGAAGGCATGAAAGATTTATAGTTGCCCTGGAAGGGGAGGAGGACTTGGGAGTCCTCAGTTCATGACAGGTTTTTTTTGTTTTTGTTTTTGTTTTTGAGAGATTACATCCCCCTTGAGACCAAGAATTGGTTGTGGGGACTCTCTTTCTTGAAGGAGCTCAGTGAGTAGGGGAGGCCTTGATGGAGGTGGGGGCAGGGGAGGTGGAGGAGTTTATCAGGGGGCTCTGCTGCCAGGTCCTTGGGTGCTCTGGTTGCTGGGCTGGGCCCAGCCTCCTCCTAAGTCCGTGGATCTTGCACCCTATACAGCCTGCAGAATTTGGCTTTCTGCCTGTCCCTCCTTTCTCCAGCAGCTAATTGGCTCTTGAGCCCCTGGGCATTTTCCAGTGGTAATTTCTGCACACTCACCCAGGCCAGCCACCTCTCATCCTCTGAGCCCTGGGCTCTACCTCCTAGTTATTTTTAGTCTCCCATGTCCTCCCTTGGAAGACAAAGCATTGATCACACTTAAATGAGACCAGAACAATAAATTTCCCCTCTTTTCTTTGCTCAGCTTCCCTCCCAGGACAAAAGTTTGTCATCCCCCAGACCAAGCCTCGCATACCCTTCCTTTCCCCCAGAGGGTATGACATCATCTCTCTCTCTTCCCCATGACTTTTCAAGGACATGTTTCCTCCAAAGGAGCCCCACTGGAGAGATGCTGTTGGCCTTTTGTGATTTAGCTGGGCTGGAGGAAGGGTGGACGTAACCCTAAGCAGTTTTCTAGATGCTGTTGAACAGAGGGAGAGATGGAAGAAGGTGGAGGTTAACCTCTGGGCCAGTTTGGGGCGTGGCTGCTAGAGAGGCCAAGAGTGCAGGCTTTGGTCAAGAACACGGGTGGGTTTTGCATCAGGCAGACCCAGATGCAAATCCTGGTTCCGGCACTTCCTACCAGGAGACTCTGGGCTTAGTCTCCTCATCTCAGGAATGAGGCTACTGGCGCCTGCCTCAGAGGGCTGTCTTGAGGATTGAAGGGAAGAAAGTCTGTAAAATGTTTGCTTGGTATCCGTGTCACCTAGGTGGCAGCTGTTTCTTCAATAACTACTGCTACTATTTTTGTTATGGTTCCAGAACCCTGACATAGCACCATGTCAGGCAGACATTGGATTGAGAGGCAGATAATCCAGGTAGAAGTCTGAATTTTACTTTGGGCAGGACACTTCCCTCTTTGAGTCAAAGAATCAAATGGTTCTTTCAGCCAGAAATTAATCCTCTAAGAAATGCACTGGAGGCAGGGCTCTGTGGCTCACACCTGTAACCCCAGAACTTTGGAAGGCTGAGGCAAGAGGATTGCTTGAGTCCAGGAATTTGAGACCAGCCTGGGCAACATAGTAAGACTCTGTCTCTACTAAGAAAAATACAAAAATTAGCTGGGCATTGTGGCGCACGACTGTAGTTCCAGCTACTTGGGAAGCTGGGGCAGGAGGATCACTTGAGCCCGGGGGTCAAGGCTGTAGTGAGCTGATCGTGCCACTGCACTCCAGCCTAAGTGACAGAGTTAGACCTTGTCTCAAAAAGAAAGAAAGAAAGAAAAGGAAAGGAAGGAAGGGAGGGAGGGAGGGAGAGGGAGGGGAGGGGAGGGGAATCTCCCTGGCAACATGGACTCAAAGGAGGAAGAGGTGGAGCGTCTTGCTCTGGAGTCTTAGCACGGAGCCTGCAGAATCCAAGGCCTGGGGCTGGGTTGGGTGAGCCGAGTCCCGCACTCCTGAGAATTCTCGCTGTCTTTCTGTACTAGGGTCCTTGGCAGTGTCTGTGGCTGACATGACCGCTCCAGTCGTGGGCTCTTCTGGAGGGGTGTATGCTCTCGTCTCTGCCCATCTGGCCAACATTGTCATGGTGAGCACCTCCCGTTCTCAATGTGTCTTTCTGGCCCTGTCCTCTGCCATCACTGGGCCTGAGTATTAATCCACTGGGGCTGGCTCACCAAAAACCAGGCAGACCTGACCTGGAGCAGAGTTCTCACACACTCCTCACCCTCTGCAGGCCCATTTCAAATGAGCGCCTTCCAGATGCGATTCCTATTTTCTCCAGTCACGGCTTGGCCTAGGACCATGCCCATCTGCCCCTTCTGCCTCTTTCCCATTCACCAACGTTAAAGAGTTAACATTTGGTACCATCCTGGCTAACGCGGTGAAACCCCATCTCTACTAAAAATACAAAAAATTAGCCAGGCGTGGTGGCATGCGCCTGTAGTCCCAGCTACTCGGGAGGCTGAGGCAGGAGAATGGCATGAACCCAGGAGGTGGAGCTTGCAGTGAGCCGAGATCGCGCCACTGCACTCCAGCCTGGGGGAGAGAGTGAGATTCTTTCTCAAAAAAAAAAAAAATTTGGTCACTAGCATATATGGCCATTGGAATTGCTTATTTATCATAGGTTGTTAAAAATACAAGGGCTTTAGAGATTATCTCATCAAAATTCTCAAATAGGAAAGGAGGCTGTGAGAGGTTAAGTGACTTGTCCAAAGTCACAGTCAAGTTTGTGGCAAAATGAGGGCTTAAACCCGTATCTCCTGACAACCATTCAAGAGTCATTTCCCGGCCAGGCACAGTGGCTCATGCCTGTAATCCCAGCACTTTGGGAGGCCAAGGCAGGCGGATCATGAGGTCAAGAGATCGAGACCATCCTGGCCAACATGGTGAAACCCCATCTCTACTAAAAAAATACCAAAATTAGCTGGGCGTGGTGGCACGCTCCTGTAGTCCCAGCTACTTGGGAGGCTGAGGCAAGAGAATTGCTTGAACCCGGGAGGCGGAGGTTGCAGTGAGCCGAGATCGCACCACTGCACTCCAGCCTGGGTGACAGAGCGAGACTCCGTCTCAAAAAAAACAGTTGTTCCCCTATCCCAGTCTGTCATGGGAGGGGGGCACCACTCCATTTCTCACCCTCTGCCTTTTCCTGAAAGGTAGTACAGTGTGATAGTGAAGAACATGGTCTTTGGAGCCAGTCAGCCTAGGTCTAAATCCCTGCTACACTCTGGGCAAATTACTTAACTGCTTTGCACCTCACTTTCTACATCTGTGAAATGGAATGGGAGCTGGGCACAGTGGCTCAGGACTGTAATCCCAGCACTTTGAGAGGCTGAGGTGGGCAGATTGCATTGAGTTCAGGAGTTCAAGACCAGCCCAGGCAACATGGTGAAACTCCATCTCTATAAAAAATACAAAAATTAGCTGGGCACGGTGGTGCATGGCTATAGTCCCAGCTACTCCAGAGGCTGTGGCTGGAGAATCAGTTGAGCCTGGGAAGCAGAGGTTACAGTGAGCAGAGATTGCACCACTGCACACCAGCCTGGGAAACAGAGTGAGACCCTGTCTCAATTTAAAGAAAAGAAAAGAAAAGTAATAGAATGACATACAGTAAATGAAATAAAGTGCAAATAACCACCTATATAAATGTAAATTTAATTTCCTTCTCCTGACAGAAGAGGCCAGGATGGGGTCAGACTAGACAAAGCCTTGAAGGCCAGAAATTGGGATCTGATAGTCTTAGAGGATATCAAAATCCTTTTTTTGGAGGCGGTCTGAAGTCTGAAGGCTGATGGAGGAGTCAGTGGCTAACCCTGCCCGATCCCTCTGCTGGCCTGGGAGCCTCCGGGTCTTACTTGTCTATTTCCCAGTACCTGGCATATGGCTGGGAGCATGGTAGATGGTGCCCACTAGATTTTAGTGAATGAAGGAAGGAAGGCATAGCTTTTCTTTGGGGTCCTCCTGTTCTCACCCACTCCTCCATCAGTGTCTTCGCCCACGTGGCAGATGTTTGAATGCTCAATGATCACAGTGCACAGGGCTTGGCGTTCCTGAATTATCCCATGTTTTTCTTCCTTATCAATCTCTCTGTCACCCACCCTGCTCCCAACCCTGTCCCTTTTGTTCTCATCAAAATGCCCATTGTACATTGAGCAAGAGAAGAAAGAGCACAAGAGGGAGGGGAAAAGAAAGGAAGAGAGGGGGAGAGATAGACAGACACTGAGTACCTGCCTATACTTGCTACTGGCCTGAATTTTGGCACCTTCAGGTGAGTGCTCAGAGAGAGGCTGCGGGTGTTGGGAAACGTGGAACGGTGAGCCTCTCAGTGTGTGTGTGCAGGTGTGTTTGCACATGCACACACTTCAGTTTGTTGAAAACCTGAGTGCATGGGCTGCCTCCCATGGCCCTTTTAAATGGGTCATTCTGTATCAGTGCCACATCTTTCCCCAGACACAGCTTTTCCTCTGAATTCTGCCTCCTCCACTCCCCCCTCCCCCTGCCCCAATTCCTTTCAGTAGGGGAAGGAAATGCTAACCTCCTCCCTCCCATTCCGCCCAAGACTTGTATGTGTGTAGGGGTGGTGAACAAGCTCAACTGAAAGAGAACACAGGGAGGAAGAAGCACGCTGGCATTCATAACGATGCCCTGTTCCCACCCTCTTCCCCACCTCATGGGAAACAGCCCTGATGGCCCAGAAGTTCCCATGGTGAAGGCAGACCACTGAAGGACCATGGAGTAGGGCACGTTTGTCGAGAGAGGTGTGAGAGCAGTTTTGTTCCAGTTGATGCTTCTCTCTGTCAAGTAGCCCATGGCCTGCCGCTGTGGAGATGAGCAGCCTCATCTGAGAGCCCCGTGCCTTCCAGAAGCAAACGGCTTTCCTTGGCCAACTGGGAGCTGTGCAGTCCCCAGAGCATGACACATGGGGAGCCCTTCTCCAGGAGGTTGTGTGGGTTGGGCGCGCTGGCTCACACCTGTAATCCCAGCACTTTGGGAGGTCAACACAGGCAGATCACTTAAGCCCAGGAGTTCAAGACCAGCCTGGGCAACATCTCTACCCACCTCTACCAAAAATACAAAAAATTATCCTGGTGTGGTGTCATGCACCTGTGGTTCCAGCTACTCTGGAGGCTGAGGTGAGATCACCTGTGGTTCCAGCTACTCTGGAGGCTGGCTGAGATCACCTGAGCCAGAGAGGCAGCGGGCAGTGAGCTGAGATTGCATCACTGCACTCCAGCCAGGGCAACAGAGTGAAGCCCTGTCTCAAAAAAAAGAAAGAAAGAAAGTTATGTGGTGTTTATTGACGATGAAAGAAAACTCATCGTCTCATTAAAAAGGCTGGTTTCTCTTTGTCAAGAGGCTACCTTTACTCAAATTAGTTCAGTGCTAAGCAGTTCAGAGATGCGTTGGGTCGACCCATATGAAATGGCCCTTTCTGGCTGGGCACAGTGGCTCACGCCTGTAATCCCAGCACTTTGGGAGGCCGAGGCGGGTGGATCACGAGGTCAGGAGTTCAAGACCAGCCTGACCAACATGGTGAAACCCCGTTTCTACTAAAAACACCAAAATTAGCCAGGTGTGGTGGTACGTGCCTATAATCCCAGCTACTCAGGAAGCTGAGGCAGTAGAATCACTTGAACCTAGGAGGCAGAGGTTGCAGTGAGCCGAGATCACACCATTGCACTCTAGCCTGGGTGACAGAGAGAGAGAGACCCTGTCTCAAAAAAAAATTGCCCTTTCTATGGGCCATCAGCATTTGAATATTGGCAAATTCATATCGTTCTACCTAATAGATATACTATTGTTTTCAGCTTCAAAATGAAGGTTTGGAGTGTGTGTGTGTGTGTGTGTGTGTGTGTGTGTGTGTGAGATACACAGTAAAGTACCTCATCAGAACTAAAAGTAGAAAAAGCATGGACTTGGGCTGGGCGCGGTGGCTCACGCCTGTAATCCCGGCACTTTGGGAGGGCGAGGCAGGCGGATCAACTGAGGTTGGGAGTTTGCGACCAGCCTGACCAACATGGAGAAACCCCGTCTCTACTAAAAATACAAAATTAGCTGGGTGTGGTGGTGCATACCTGTAATCCCAGCTACTCGGGAGGCTGAGGCAGGAGAATTGTTTGAACCCAGGAGGTGGAGGTTGTGGTGAGCCGAGATCACGCCATTGCACTCCAACCTGGGCAACAAGAGCGAAACTCTGTCTCAAAAAAGAAAAGAAAAAGCATGGACTTGAGAGAAAATCCACATTTGAGTACCAATGTCACCATCTTAATAGCTATGAGTCTATTACTCAACTTCTTGGAGCCCCAGTTGTCTCATCGGTAATCCCATCTTCACAAAACAGTTGTTTGGGAGATGAAAAAATGGACAAAATATTTCAACAAAAGATCTGGAATGCAAAAAGCCCTATAATCAAGACTTCTTTTTTTTTTTTTTTTTTTTTTTTTTTGAGACAGGGTTTCGCTGTGTCACCCAGGCTGGAGTGCAATGGGGTGATCTCGGGTCACCACAACCTCCACCTCCTGGGTTCAAGCGATCCTCTTGCCTCAGCCCCCCGAGTAGCTGGGACCACGGGCTCGTGCCACCATGCCTAGCTAACCATGTTGCCCAGGCTGGTCTCGAACTCCTGAACTCAAGTGATCCACCCACCTCAGCCTCCCAAAATGCTGGGATTACAGGCGTGAGCCACCATGCCCCGCCAAGACTTCTTATTTTAAACACTAGAAATATACAGATACACCTAATTGAATAATTTATTAATTGCCTCCTGCTGGCCAGAGTTCCATTTTTTAATCTACAAGATATTTACTTACACTTCGCTCTGTATGATTGATGTTTTCCCAAAATGTTTGAGGTCTGAATTTTCACAAACTGAACCACATTGTCAAAGCACAAGGGAAGATGGTTGCCTAACAGACACTAAAGATTTCTGTTATAAAGTTTACTTTATTGGCCGGGCGTGGTGGCTCATGCCTGTAATCCCTGCACTTTGGGAGGCCGAGGTGGGCAGATCACGAGGTCAGGAGATCAAGACCATCCTGGCTAATACGTGAAACCCCATATCTACTAAAAAATACAAAAAACTGGCTGGTGCGGTGGCTCATGCCTGTAATCTCAGCACTTTGGGAGGCTGAGGCAGGCGGATCACAAGGTCAGGAGTTCGAGACCAGCCTGGCCAATATGGTGAAACCCCATCTCAACTAAAAATACAAAAATTAGGTGGGCGTGGTGGCAGGTGCCTGTAGTCCCAGCTACTCAGAAGGCTGAGGCAGAAGAATCGCTTGAACTCGGGAGGCGGAGGTTGCAGTGAGCCAAGATCGTGCCACTGCACTCCAGCCTGGGCGACAGATAGAGACTCCGTCTAAAAAAAATATATATATAAAAAATTAGCCAGGCGTGGTGGCGGGCACCTGTGGTCCCAGCTACTCAGGATGCTGAGGCAGGAGAATGGCTTGAAACTGGGAGGCAGAGCTTGCAGTGAGCCGAGATCACACCACTGCACTTCAGCCTGGGCGACAGAGTCAGGCTCCATCTCAAAAAAAAAAAAAAAAAAAAGGTTTACTTTATTAAGGAAAAATATTTTTGTAGGACAAAGAATCAACTCCCTAATTTATCTGCGTCATACTTTCACATTCCCTGTGTTGGGTTTTCTTGAAGTCATTTCACAAGAAACCGTTTCTACCAGGGATAGATATAGAAAGCTGTATTGGAATGGAAGCTCCCTGCCTGGCTTTCAGCCTCTGCACTCTTAACCCGTTTGGGTGAGCAAGATGCTGAGGGGACTGGTTACCAACTTGTTCGCTGTGGGTGAGTACTATCTCACTCTTTGAGGCTCTGGGAGAATGAAATTAAAGGGCCTGCAAAAGGTTTGTATTCCCCAAAGATCTGCAGGCTTTCCAGCTTTTATAGCAGCAGCAGTGCTGGCTGCATGTGAGATTTTTTTTCTTCTCTCCCGTTGTTTCAGTGCACTGATTTTATTGGCGGGAATATTGGATTAGGGAAGTAAGGCAGCTGGTTGGAAGCGGGGACTCTCTAGTTTAACCCCTCGGCTGCTGGGAGGCAGGTCATATTTACTGGCGTTTTTTCGCTCCATTTGTGGGCAGCTGGGACAGACGGCCCAGGCACATGGAATGTGACCTCTGAAGTGTGGGTGGACAGAGCCCTGGACCAGGAGCCCAGTCAGCTCACCATTCACTCACTGTGACCTTGAACCAGCCCTCCTGAATCCTCAGTTTCTTCTTCCCTAAAGTGTGCGGCAGAGGGATGGACTGGATCAGCTTGGCAAGCTCCAGGGCTTTCAGGGTCCAGGCAGATGTTGTAAACTCATAAAGCGGGCCTGGGAGGTGCTGTGGCAAAACTGGAGTCATTCAGATTCAGATTTTTTCAAGCCACTCTGCAGGGCAAACTCCCCGTCTTTGTCTCAGGTCAAGATACTGTCACACATTTAGATGATGCCTACTGTGTGCCAGGCAGTGGTCTTAGTGCTTTACATATATTAATTCATTTCATTCTCACAACCACCTGATGAGGTGGGGAACTGAGATAAGGGGCAGTTGTTATCTCAAATTCACAAATGAAAATGACAGAGAAGAAGGAATTCTGAGCCACCCCACTGATGGCCAACCAGGCCAAA
Source organism: Homo sapiens (assembly GCF_000001405.40). Classification (NCBI taxonomy): domain Eukaryota; kingdom Metazoa; phylum Chordata; class Mammalia; order Primates; family Hominidae; genus Homo; species Homo sapiens. The sequence continues at coordinate 32,311,982 of NC_000017.11, forward strand.
AATAAGGATGGCGCATTTAACATCTATCCCAGATAGGGCCCAGGAGGGGCATGGAGGCTGGAGACCTCAGATAAAGGAGAGAGCTGTCCATACATTCTAACTTACTTTGCCTGATATTATCACTCAGGACATAGTGAAAGAGACACTGTCTTCAGATAAGATATTCACTTAGGCCAGGCTTGGTGGCTCACGCCCTACAATCCCAGCACTTTGGGAGGCCGAGGAAGGTGAATTGCTCGAGCCCAGGAGTTCTGAACCAGCCTGGGCAACATAGGGAGACCCCATCTCTACAAAAATTTAAAAATTAGCCGGGTGTGGTACAGTGTGCCTACAGTCCCAGCTAGTTGGGAGGCTGAGGTGGGAGGATCACTTGAGCCCAGAAGGTCAAGGCTGCAGTGAGTCGTGATCATGCCACTTCACTCCAGCCTGGGCAATAGAGTAAGACCCTGTCTCAAAAGGAAAAAAAAGAAAAATAATAAGATATTTACTCAGAGGGGGCCGAGCACAAATGGCTCATGCCTGTAATCCCAGCACTTTTTGTTTTGTTGTTGTTTTGAGACAGAGTCTCACCCTTTGCCCAGGCTGGAGTACAGTGGCGCAATATCGTCTCACTGCAGCCTCCACCTCCCAGGTTCAAGCAATTCTTGTGCCTCAGCCTCCAGAGTAGCTGGGGTTACAGGCATGTACCACCACACCCAGCTAATTTTTTTATATGTTTAGTAGAGATGGGGTTTTGCTGTTTGCCAGGCTGGTCTTGAGCTCCTGGCCTCAAGTGATCCGCCTGCGTCAGCCTCCCAAAGTGCTGGGATTACAGGCCTGAGCCACCACACCTGGCCTGTTGTTTTTGAGAAAGGGTCTCACTCTGTTGTCCAGGCCAGAGTGTGCTGGTGCAATTTCAGCTCACTGCAACCTCCACCTCCTGGGCTCAAGCGATCATCCCACCTCAGCCTCCTGAGTAGCTGGCACTACAAGTGCACACCACCACGCCCAGCTAATTTTTTATAGAGGCAGGGTTTCGCCATGTTGCCCATGCTGGTCTCGAACTCTCAGGCTCAAGCATTCCTCCTGCCTTGGCCTCTCCCAAAGCACTGGGATTACAGGCGTGAGCACCTAGCCTGTAATCCCAGCACTTTGGGAGGCCGAGGCTGGAGGACCACTTGAGGCCAGGAGTTCAAGACCAACCTGACAACATAGTGAAGTTCCATATCTACAAAAAATAAAAAATTTAGCCAGGTGTGGTGGCACATGCCCATAATCCTAGCTACCTGGGAAGCTGGGGCAGGAGGATTACTTGAGCCCAGGAGTTTGAGGCTGCAGTGAGCTATGATTGCATTGCTGCATTCCAGCCTGGTTGGCAGAGTGAAACCCTGTCTCTTAAAAAGTCTTCTGTACTTTTGCTTTTAATTGTGATAAATGTACATACCATAAAATGTACCATCTTAAAGTATACAGTTACATTTTAAATGTACAGTTCAATGGCATTAAGTACATTCATACATTCACATTGTACAATCATCGCCATCTGTCTCCAGAACTCTTTTCATCTTACAAAACTGAAACTCTGTACCCACTAAACAATGACTCCCCACCCCCTCCTCCCTCCAGCCCCTGGCAACCACCATTCTACTTTCTGTCTCCATGAATTTAATTACTCTATACTTCATCTAAGTGGAATCATACAGTATTTAGCTTTCTGTGACTGCCTTATTTCACTTAGCGTAAGGTCCTCCAGGTTTATTCATGCTGTAACATGGGTCAGAATTCCCTCCCTTTTTTTTTTTTTTTTTTTTTTTTGAGACGAGTCTCACTCTGTCGTCCAGGCTGGAGTGCAGTGGTGTGATCTCGGCTCACTGCAAGCTCTGCCTCCCGAGTTCACGCCATTCACCTGCCTCAACCTCCAGAGTAGCTGGGACTACAGGCACCTGCCACCATGCCCAGCTAATTTTTTTGTATTTTTAGTAGAGACGGGATTTCACCATGTTAGCCAGGATGGTCTCGATCTCCTTTGACTTTCTGATCTGTCCGACTCGGCCTCCCAAAGTGCTGGGATTATAGGCGTGAGCCACCGCCTTTTAAAGGCTGAATTGTATTCCATTGTATGTATATATCAGCAGGTGACAACGTTATCCTGCCATCTGCTTCTTAGCTTGGAACATGAAGATTAGTGAAGATTAGACTTTCTACCTAAAAAGGGAAGGCAGGTGGCTCACCTCACCTTCTGTGAAGAAGGGGTGGCCGGTCAGTGAGGAAGAGTCAGGGAAGGGAGGAGGTGGGCAAGAAACCAAATATATAGACATATGTATGTATATTTCATGTATCCATCCATCCATAGACACTGGGGTGGCTTCCGTGTCTTGCCTATGGTGAATAATGCTGCTATGAACATGGGTATCGCTTTTTTTTATTTTTATTTTTTTTGAGACGGAGTCTGGCTCAAGTAATCCACCCGCCTCAGCCTCCCAAAGTGCTGGGATTACAGGCATGAGCCACCGCGCCCAGCCGGGTATCACCTTTAAGGGAGAATTGAAATCCATGGAGGGGACATTATAGGGAAGGAAAGCCTGGCAAACAACAGCAAGAAGAACCGTTAGGGGTGAGAGCCCTTCCCAGGGCTCCCAGGGAGACAGGGAGCACCCCATCACGTGGGCTGGAGGGCCATCTTGTTGGCTACTTGGCAGTGGGTGTCCGCCTTTGGGAAGAGATGTCCCATTAGATGATTCCCAAGTTTCCTCCCATCCTAGGGTTTCAGCTTGAAGAGGGGGCTGCGGTGCCCACCATCTGCTAACTGAGCCAGCTCAGATTGGGTCGCTAGATTCAGGGGAGGGCACTGACTCCTGTTTTCTTCCTCGTCTCCTGGCAAGGCTCCTCTGTGGGCAGACACCAGCAGATGACACCGATATCCTGCCATCTGCTTCCTAGCATGGAACATGTCGGCAAGCGAAGACAGGCTTTCCACCTAAAGCGGGACCGCAGGTGGCCCACACTTCACTTTCTGTGAAGAAGGGGTTGCTGGTCAGTGAGGAAGGATGGGGAGAAGGGAGGAGGTGGGCAAGAACTGAAGGCTGTGAGGATTTCCCCCTCTTTGGCATGTGCTCTGTGTCCTGCTTGCTTGACTGAAGTGTTCATAGATGTTAGTGTCCATGCCAGTGTTCAGGGCCTCTGTAAAGTTACACGGATGTTCCTGCAACCTCAAAGAAGTGCCACACGTGCCCCCGAGCTGGGCCTGGGCCAGGCAGCAAAGGCAGATTGGGTGGTGGGAGGAAACCAAAGTCCCCTGGTTGTGCCCTCCTTCCCTGGGGCTTATGTGTTCCAGGAAGATTCCGGGCTTATTTCTGTGCACGCGCACCTCTGTATAAATGGAATAGTGCTTTGAATGCACTGCAGGAGTGCCTCTCAAAGGAATCCTGTGGTGAAGTCTTTTGTAAAGTGAAAAGTCCTTTTGTAAAGCGAATAATTGTACTGTTTATCTGCTTTGGAGGTTCCGAGTTTTCCAAGATTCTCAGGGGAGAGAGGGAGTTGTTTGAAGGCCACCTGGCCCACCCCCTCTCCAGTATCTGATTCTCCTCTGGAGCATCCTTTCCGAGTGATGTGAAACCCCCGATGGTTGGGAAACTCACGAAGCCTGCAAGACGGACCATTCTATCTCTGGAGAGCTCTGCTTACTAGAAATGGAAACTTACTCTGAGCTAAAAAGTCTCTCTCTGAAGTTTTCATCCATTGCATCTTCTGCTTGCAGGTTACACTGAATTGAATGTGCCCTTTCCTTGTGTTGACTCATTTGATATTTGACAACAATGAACTTGACCCCTCAGTCCCCTCTTTTTTGAGCTAAAAGATCCTGGCTTCCCCATTCATTCCTCATTTGCAGGATTTTGAGCTCTTTTATCATCCTGGTGGTTCTGTCTTGACTTTGCTTGGTTGGCTGTCCTGCATCCTTTGCAACCGTGGAGCTCAGCAATGAATGCAGCTCTGAGATGTTCTCTGTCCACGTTGAGGAGACAGGGCCTCTCCTCTTCCTAGATCTGGAGTCCCTTCCTCTTGTTAGTCCAGCTCAAGAACTCTTATGACGGGAGTAAACTTGCTGTTGCCTAAAATCTCAAAGCCATGTGGTGTGTTCTGCTACTAAGCCACAACCCTCTCATTCAGGACTTCACGGAGATCCTTATTTTAATGTCAGGTTTTCTTAAGCAAGACACACCGGCAGAAGAGTGGTCTAATCTGGAACTGACTGAGCTCTCCTTTTTCCCTAGAACTGGTCAGGCATGAAGTGCCAGTTCAAGCTGCTGCGGATGGCTGTGGCCCTTATCTGTAGTAAGTACTGATGGGGCGCTGGGGAACCAAAGCCTGGCACCAGGGCCTGAGGTTCAAAGATGGCACAGTTCCTGCCCTTCACGGGCTTATGGTCAAGAAAAAAAAAGTGGGACATGTCAATGGTTAGCAAAAAAGTAGGGATATTGTGAGAGCTGTCTGTCCTGCTGTGCTGCTTCGTAACCATTCATCTTTTATTTATTTATCTATTTTTAAAAATTATATTTTCATCTTTTTTTTTGAGACAGGGTGTCTCCCTGTGTCATCCAGGCTGCAGTGCAGTGGCACAATCATAGCTCACTGCAGCATCAGACTCCTGCCTGGGCTCCGGTGATCCTCCCTCTTCAGCCTCCCAAATAGCTGGGACTACACATGTGTGGGTCCATGCCTGGCTGTTTAAAATTTTTGGCAGAGATGGGGGTCTTGCCATGTTGCCCAGGCTGGTGTTGAACTCCTGGGCTCAAGCAATCCTCCTGCCTTGGCCTCTCAAGTTGCTGGGATTACAGGTGTGAGTCACCACGCCTGGCCTTTTATTTTATTTTATTTTATATTTTATTTTATTTTTATTTTATTTTATTTATTTTATTTTATTTTATTTTTGAGATGGAGCCTCCCCCTGTCACCCAGGCTAGAGTGCAGTGGTGTGATCTCGGCTCACCACAACCTCCACCTCCCGGGTTCAAGTGATTCTCCTGTCTCAGCCCCCCAAGTAGCTAGGATTACAGGCACGTGCCACCACGCCCAGCTACTTTTTTGTATTTTTTGTAAAGACGGGGTTTCACCATGTTGGCCAGGCTGGTCTCAAACTCCTGACCTCAGGTGATCTGCCCGCCTTGGCCTCCCAAAGTGCTGGGATTACAGGCATGAGCCACCATGCCTGGCCCCAGCCTATTTTTTCATCTTTTTATTGACATATAATATGCAAACAGAAAAGTGCTTAAGGACCAGCACCCAGATCAAGACAAATAACTTCCTAACCTTTTTGGTCATGGAACTGATCCTTTGAGATCCCTTGTTGAAAGTCCAAGACCCTGTCGCCAGAAAAATACATATATGTGCACTCATGTGCATACACACATATATCAAAAGCTGCAGTTTTAGCAGGTTCGCAAACTGTAACTAGTCCAAGAACCTCTAGGAACAAGATGTCTTCAGGGCCCTAGTTGGGAGAGCTCAGTTCTACCTACAGAGGTCATTCTGAGTGTTAGAGGCAAGCAGGTGTCCACCAAGTAAACATGGTGTAAGAGGACATTTCAGGCAAAGCTGCAGCCTGAACTAACATATAGATGGGTGAAGGGTCATGGCCAGCGAGTTGGTTAGCAAAACCAAGAAATTCGTTTTGGGATTGTGTGTGATTTTGATCAGAGATAAAGTTAGTGAAATAGTATGAGTCAGATTGTTAAGGGCTTTAAATGCTAAGAAAAGAAAATGTACTTCACTTTGCGTTCCCTGGGATCCCACTGGAGGGCTTTCAACAAGAGAGTTATTGATGGATAACCAGAGTTTTAGAAAACCAGTCAGGCTGCAGTGTGGAGAATAGATTGTGGGGACAAGGGGGATAAGACCAAAGACCAAAGGCCAAAGGGCTCTTTCTGAGATTGAAAGAGATGAGTCTGAACAGAAGCAATGGAGGTAGGGGTCGGGCAGTGTGGCTGACGCCTGTAATCCCAGCACTTTGGGAGGCCAAGGTGGGAGGATCGCTTGAGCCCAGGAGTTTAAGACCAGCCTTGGCAATATAGCAAGACCTTGTCTCTACAAAAAAAAAAAAAATACAAAAAAATTAGCCCGGCATGGTGGCTTGCGCCTGTAGTCCTAGCTACTTAGACTGAGGCAGGAAGATCTCTTGAGCCTAGGAGTTCAATACCAGCCTGGGCGACAGAGCAAGACCCTGTCTCCACACACACACACACAAAAATTAAAAATTAGCCAGGCATGGTGGCTTATGCCTATAGTCCTAGCCCAGGAGCTTGAGGCAGCAGTGAGCTATGATCATGCCACTGCACTTCAGCCTGTGTGACAGAGCGAGACCTTGCCTTAAAAAAAAAAAAAAGAAAAGAAAAGAAAAGGCCAGGCGCAGTGGCTCACGCCTGTACTCCCAGCACTTTGAGAGGCCAAAGCGAGTAGATCACCTGAGGTCAGGAATTCGAGACCAGCCTGACCAACATGCTGAAACAAAAACAAACAAACAAAAAAACCAATGAGGATAGAAGAGGGAGTGAACGCATTTTCTCATCCAGTCCTCCAAACCCACCTAGAAAGGGTATTATTATTAGCTTAATTTATAGGTAGAAACTCCAGGCTCAGAGAGTTAGGTTCCTAGCCCAAGGTCACCCAGCTAAGAAGTGATAGAGCCAGAATTCAGAGCCAGCCTGTGCCATTTCAAATGTCCCACATGTTAGCCAAGCTAGACAGTAAGCACCTGGGCTTTCTCTGGGTCAGCTACCTGCTGTGTAGGTAAGAGGAAGACTGAGTCTGAACAAACCTGGGATGGAGGGTCAGGTCTGGGAGGGCTCCACTTCAATTCACGGAGGGTCAGGCCTGGGAAGGCTCCGCTTCAATTCACGTCCACCTTCCTTACTTCTTACCCCATGGCTTTCAAGAAATCAGGTCTGCCCCTGACCCTCTGTGGGTCTCTCTGGATCTGTTTCCTGGATGGGGCTGGAGAATCTCTCATCCCAGGAAGGAACTTCCAGCCTTAAAACCTGAGGACTCCTTGAGTCAGGGTATTAGGGTGCAGTGGGGTGGCAGTGGGTGTGTCATAGCTTCTGCGTCTGCTTAGGCTCTGAGTTTGTTCGTTTTTGAGGAAGGAAAGAGAAGCACGAGTCTTGTTGTTTAAAAAAAAAAAAAATCCGGCCGGACGCGGTGGCTCACGCTTGTAATCCCAGCACTTTGGGAGGCCGAGGCGGACGGATCACGAGGTCAGGAGATAGAGACCATCCTGGCTAACACGGTGAAACCCCGTCTCTACTAAAAATACAAAAAATTAGCCGGGTGTGGTGGCACATGCCTGTAGTCCCAGCTACTGGGGAGGCTGAGGCAGGAGAATGGCGTGAACCCGGGAGGCGGAGCTTGCAGTGAGCCGAGATCGCGCCACTGCACTCCAGCCTGGGCAATAGAGCGAGATTCCGTCTCAAAAAAAAAAAAAAAAAAAAAAATCCAACCGTAAGCATCATAAAAACTAAAATGCTGTATCGGAGTTGGAGACCATCATCTTTCATACCTCCTTTATCAAACCCTGGACCTGGGGAGCCAAGGCTGGAAGGCTGTCCCAGGGCAGGAGTGGGAGTGCGGAGGGCGGAGGGTCAGTCCCTGGATGCGCCTTTTCTGCCATCTATCGGCCATCCTTGGAGTTGCAGGGCTCAGCCCAGAAGGCTGGGCAACCCCAAGGGAAATGAAGGTCCCTGGAGGTTCTGGCACCCCCTGCAGTGGTTAGGGTGGAGAGAAGTGCCCTGGCTCATTAACTGGTAGCTAAATAGGTATAAAATTCCCCTCAAAGGGCTTTATTTCAGTGTCAAATTTGCCTTGGTTTTTCTCATCTGTAAAATGGGAATAAGAATATCTACCCTCAGTGTTCTTTTGGTAGTGGATAATGGGATGGCAGTTTCCTAGCGCCCATCCCCACTTGACTGGCTGACCCAAGAAGTTCACACAAGAAGCGTGGATTGGTGATCAGGATGAAGGCATCTTAGAATCTGTTACAGGTCTGGGTGTGGTGGCTCATGCCTATAATCCTAGCACTGTGGGAGGCTGAGGCAGGAAACTCACTTGAGCCCAGGAGTTCAGGCCTGAGCAACATAGTAAGACCTCATCTCTACAAAAAAAAAAATTTTTTTTTTAATTACCCAGATGTGGTGGTGGGTGCCTGTAGTCCCAGCTACTTGGGAGGCTGAGATGGATCACCTGAGCCCGGGAGGTTGAGGCTGAAGTGAGCTGTGATGGTGCCGCTGTACTCCCGCCTAGAGTGAGACCTGTGTCAACAAGAACAACAAAAAGAATCTGTTAAGGGGTCAATTCAGCAGTTTGTTGGGGTCAGGGTTTTCTTTTTTTGTTTGTTTTTGAGACAGTCTTGCTCTGTCGCCCCAGCTGCAGCGCAGTAGTGCAATCTCAGCTCACTGCAACCTCCACCTCCTGGGTTCAAGCAATTCTGCCTCAGCCTCCTGAGTAGCTGGGATTACGGGAGCCCACCACCACACCCAGCTAATGTTTGTATTTTTAGTAGAGACTGGGTTTCACCATGTTGGCCAGGCTGGTCTCGAACTCCTGACCTCAGGTGATCCACCCGCCTCGGCCTCCCAAAGTGCTGAGATTACAGGTGTGAGCCGCCGCACCCGGCCAAATGTCACCTCTTTAGAGAGGTCTTGCGTGACTCCCCGGGCTAAAGAATTTCCCTCCTTAAAACAGGCATTGCTTTTAATCACCTGTTTCCCCCCATAGATGTCTCTCTTCCTGAAATTATCTCATGTATGTAATTGCTTACTGGTTTATTGCTAGACCCTGTAAGCTCTGGGAGAACAGAGATTTGCCTGCCTCCTTCACTACTGTGTCCCCAGTGCAGAGAATGGTGCTTGGCCTAATAGGGAATGAATTCATGGGTGGGTGATGAAGTGAAGGCCCTCAGCCCCTGCTCAGGGCCCTCCTGTGACATCTCTCTGCTTCCTCCCCTTGCAGTGAGCATGGAGTTTGGGCGGGCCGTGTGGCTCCGCTTCCACCCGTCGGCCTATCCCCCGTGCCCTCACCCAAGCTTTGTGGCGCACTTGGGTGGCGTGGCCGTGGGCATCACCCTGGGCGTGGTGGTCCTGAGGAACTACGAGCAGAGGCTCCAGGACCAGTCACTGTGGTGGATTTTTGTGGCCATGTACACCGTCTTCGTGCTGTTCGCTGTCTTCTGGAACATCTTTGCCTACACCCTGCTGGACTTAAAGCTGCCGCCTCCCCCCTGAGGGCTGGAGGCCCAAGGTCGGGGAGGGGAGGGAAAAGCAGCACCCACAGGGAGCGCCTGCGAGGTTTCTTCTCATCACCAGCTCAGCTAGGCCGGGCAGACAAGGACAGAAGACTCTGGGCCACTGTAATGTTTGTGTTTAGATTTGGACACACAGTGGAGACCCTTTTCTGAAAGGCATCTGGCGGAGGAGTTGATGTGGCTGCTGTCGTTTTTCTCGGCTGCTCTGATGACATCGGGCCAGGGTGAAGGTCTGGGGTGGGGTGTGAGAGTGGCCCTCCCTCACCTGGGCTGGGCTTCTTCCATGGGGCCAGGGGGTGCCCCCTCACTGCTGCGGATTGAGCAGCAGCTTCTTCCTCCTCCTCTACCCTCAGAGACCCTAAGAGACATGGGAAGGCTCGAAGGTTGTTGCGTCCAGGCATGGCCCCTCTCTAGCTCAGAAATAATTGCAGGCCATGTGGTGTCTCCTTGACACCTGCTGTGTCTGGGGCTCCAGTAAGAAGAGGGCCTACTGGACATGTCAGCTGTGACCTGGCTGAAACCAGGGTGCCCTCCTGGGCTGGTTGGTGTGCACCGGGGCATGATCTGTTGTGCCTGGGTTGGGCAGAGCAGGGAGCCTGTAGGCTCTAGGACCCCTCTTGTGCTGGGGGTACCCAGTGAGAGGGACCCATGCAGGGGGAATAAACTTCATTCCAAGTTCCACCCTGGAGAAGACAGACCCAGGACCAGCTTCAGACTTCTCCCTCCCTTTCTTCCAGGATATTGGCATCTCACACGGGTGCCCCAGCCTCCATGCCCAGCCTTGTTTTAGGGTCTTTTTCTTTCCTTTTGCTGCCCTGACACTACTTTGTGCCTCTCTTTGGTTATGGAGACAGTGTTTTGAAACATTCATGCGTGTGTGTGTGTGTGTGCGTATATGTGTGTATGTGATGGGAAAGGTAACTGAGGCACGACAGCGCCTGCAGAGAAGGCATGGAGGATGCAGGGGGCCCATGTGGGCATCCGTGAGAGGTGGCAGACCGTGGTGTGCTGTGGTTGCTGAATGTCCTTGCTTTGACAAAGCCTGCCCCCTTCCTTCCCATCTCCTGTCCCTTCCACACCTGCCCCTGAGCATCACTGACCGGTGGCAGAATGGCCCTGCTGGAGGGAGAGCTCAAGCCCTCCAAGGATCCCTGGATGCTGAGGTTTGCCAGGTTCAGCTCTTGTTTCCGTCTGAGATGGCCTTCATATCCAAAAAGGTTCCATCCTATCTCCCTTAGGAGAGAAAGAGCTTTGGGGGCGCAAGAGAGGCTGGGGTAGGAATGTTGAGGCCATGTGTCCATTTAAGTTAGGGGGACAGGAGGCTACAGGAAGAGGAATTCCAGTTTAGTTGGAAAACTTTGCCTCAGGAGAATTGTTGGGTGCATGGATGAACCTCAGAGGGAGGGCAGCCAGTAGCCTCGGAGGCTTGGATGCGGGAGAGAACATGGTGGTTATCAAATCCACCCCACCCCATTACACAGGTGAGAAAACAAGATGGAGGGAATGACCCTCCTAACAGGAGCTGGTGCAGGCCCCGAATGGAGGGCATGAGGATGACCTTTGACAAAAGATGACACTCCCTTTATCGTGCTCTTGGAATTCTCAACCACTGACAGCCCAGAAGAACAAAGAACGCCAGGCCTGGGAGGAGGCAGGGGGGCTGGGCGTGTCCAGAAACAGGGGCAGGAGTGTGGGAACGGTCTTCCTCCAGCCTGGTGCCCATCCTGGCCCTTGAGTGTAGCAGGGTCCAGGGTCAGTCAGGCCAGGCATTTGGGGTCTTGGGCCACAGTGGCTTCCCATCCTGGTGACTACATGTAAATGGGCTCACTCACTCACTGGCAGGCGAGGCCCAGCCATACCGCATCTTGGCCCACTGCTAAATAGATTGCCCTGGCCTCATCCACATATGTAGTTCCCTAGGTCCTGCTCCCCTGCACCAGTGCCATGCTGAGGGCCGCAGCCTGTGGCACTGTGGGCCCACGCCTTTGGCGGTGTTGCGTCAGCCTGGGGCGTCTTGTGTGTGCCCTGCCCACCGTTCTCTGCCCTAGTGATAGAAAGATGTAGATGGAAGTCAGTGCCTCAGAGGAGGAGGCTCTGAGGCTGTGGAGCTGGGCTCAGGGAAGACCAGGGGAGGATGCAGAAGGAGTCAGGACATTGCTGCCTCTGCCTGGGCTGCAGCCGCACTAAGCTGAGCGATGAGGTCCTTTCCTGGAGGGATGGAGAATCCCCTCCAGATTCCTGTCCTGGCCCCTGGGGATTCTGTGGTGTGGGTGGAATGAGCAGAGTGCCACCTCTGTCTGGTATGACCTGGAGAGGGGGCTTCCTCTCTTAGGGGTGAGAAAGCATTGAACTAGAAGATTCTAGAAATCCCTCATAGAAGCACTCAGCTCCCTCGGGGACTCCCAGGGAAGCTTGTTACTGAGAAGGACAGTGGAGGCGGAATCGTGTCTCCCACCATGTTAAGTGTGTCCTCTGCTGCCAAGGACCCTCGTCTACACCTTAGACCACCAGCCCCAGCTGTTCTCTGTCAGCACACCCACCTCCATCCCCTCTCCCAACCATGACTTCCAAGCGGGGCCACAGGGTGGGGTCATAGGGTCACTTCACCTGACCCAGGCCTCTCCCCAGGTCAGGAGGCAGCTGTCTGGTCAGAGGGGTTCTCTTTGTGGCATCTGGCTTTCTCCTCAGCAGGTCCCACCACCCTCTCAGCAGCACTTCCCCATGGCCAAGGCTGGCCGTGTCCTCTGTGCCTCTTTCCTTGTCTGAGGTGGCTGCCAGCCCAGGGGGTGGTGTGTAAATCTTCAGGCTGGTGGAGGTAGGTTGGCCTTTTATCCACAGGATACAGAAACTGAAAGCTGGGGAATCCCCAAACAGCAGCCATAGACTCACTGGCTCTCATTAAACGGGAGAGGAATCACAGAAACTGGGGAAGGGAAAACAAACCTTCAAAGGAGAAATTTCGCTTTAATGACACCATTCATCATTCGTTTTTTAATTAGGAAAAGCTCCCTAATGAGGCTCTTTTGCCAGCTAATAGGACTCTCGATTTCCATGAGAACCATTCTTGCCCAGAGGATTAGGGGAGCTGTTGCTCACCACACCAGGATCTTCCCCCAGCGTCCAATTTAATTTGCAAATACGTAATGCAGATTCCCTGGGTGCCGTGAAAGCCTTTCCTGGCATCATTCATGTTGCTCCCCGTGCTGGCTGGAAAGCACGGTTCTCCTCTGCCTTAAAAACAGTGCCCAACAGTGAACTGCCCCTCCGAGGACTTGAGTAAGTGGAAAAAACAAAACACAGACTGCAATGTTTGTTTCTAAGTATTTTTGTATTGTGTACATTCTGTATATTTTTGTTGTAACATATTATTTGAGCACAGATTCCATTAAATATTTTTTTTCTTTTTCCAAGCCATTGGTTATTCAGGAAGTGACCTGAAGGGCTGGCATTAGGGCCTGTTTCATCTGGGTCTGGGTCAGGATGGGTGGGAGAGGGTGAACAGCAGCGGTGGTGGATCCAGGATTTCTATAAAATACAGATTGGGGCATCAGTGCTTAGCACCAGTCTGTAGCTGTGTGCATCTTACTTAACTTTTCTCAAATCACTGAACTCTTTTGAGTGGTTGATGAAAGCTGTGATTTCTCTTCCCATAAAAATGTGTATGTAGGACGGGCATGGTGGCTCACGCCTGTAATCCCAGCACTTTGGGAGGCCGAGGCGTGTGGATCACCTGAGGTCAGGAGTTCAAGACCAGCCTGGCCAACATGATGAAACTCCGTCTATACTAAAAATACAAAAAATTAGCTGGGTGTGGTGGCGCACGCCTGTAATCCCAGCTACTCAGGAGGCTAAGGCAAGAGAATCGCTTGAACCATGGAGGCAGAGGTTGCAGTGAGCCGATATTGCACCACTGCACTCCAGCGTGGTAACAGAGTGAGACTCCGTCTCAAACAAAACAAAACAAAAAAAACCAGGCCAGGCGCATTGGCTCACGCCTGTAATCCCAGCACTTTGGGACGCCGAAGTGGGCGGATCATGAGGTCAGGAGTTCGAGACCAGCCTGGCCAACACAGTTAAATCCCGTCTCTACTAAAAATGCAAAAATTAACTGGGCGCTGTGATGGGCACCTGTAATCCCAGCTACTCGGGAGGCTGAGGCAGGAGAATCGCTTGAACCCTGGAGGCGAAGGTTGCAGTGAGCCGAGATCATGCCACTAAACTCCAGCCTGGGCGACAGAACTAGACTCTGTCTCAAAATAAAAAAAAAAAAAAAAAAGGAAAAGAAAAGAAAATTTAAATGCTGCAGAATCTATCCAAGAACAAACTTTAGAGTGCCATTAAGGCTAAAGGCCAAAGAACCCACTTCTGTTTACAGTGTGGAGATCCAACTTCCCTAGAAGGAGAAATCAGGATCCTCTCTGAGCATCAGTGCTCTTATAGGTCAACTTCAGGCTAAAGTACCTGAGCCATTTAAAGGCAAGCTCCTGCCAGGCGCAGTAGCTCATGCCTGTAATCCCAGCACTTTGGGAGGCTGAGGCAGGCAGATCACTTGAGGCCAGAAGTTCGAGACCAGCCTGGCCAACATGAAAAAACCACATCTCTACTAATAATACAAAAAAACTGCCAGGCGCAGTGGCTCACGCCTGTAATCCCAATACTTTGGGAGGCTGAGGCGGGCAGATCACGAGGTCAGGAGTTCCAGACCAGCCTGACCAACATGGTGAAACCCTGTCTCTACTAAAAATACAAAAATTAGCTGGGCGGTAGTGGTGCGTGCCTGTAGTCCCAGCTACTTGGGAGGCTGAGGCAGAATTGCTTGAGCCTGGGAGGCAGGGGTTGCAGTGAGCCAAGATCCTGCCACAGCACTCCAGTCTGGGTGACAGAGTGGACCCTGTCTCAATAAATAAATAAATAAATAAATAAATAAATAAATAAATAAATAATAAAGGCAAGCTCCTTGGAGAGCCAGAAGCTGTTGAATTCTCTGCCTTTGCCTTCTCTCCCTTTTTCACTTTCCTGGTTCTTCCCTTCTATTAATACTAGATTTTCATTCTTCCACACATTAATAAGGCACTTCCCAATAATAAGGTAATTAAGAAATGAAGGGCCGGGCACAGTGGCTCACACCTGTAATCCCAGCACTTTGGGAGGCCGAGGCAGGTGGATCACCTGAGGTCAGTAGTTTGAGACCAGCCTGGCCAACATGGCAAAACCCCGTCTATACTAAAAATAAAAAATTAGCCAAGCATGGTGGTGCATGCCTGTAGTCCCAGCTACTCAGGAGGCTGAGGCAGGAGAATCACTTGAACCCAGGAGGCAGAGGTTGCAGTGAGCCGAGATTGCGCCATTGCACTCCAGCCTGGGCAACAAGAGCGAAACTCCATCTCAAAAAAGAAACAAACAAACAAAAAAAACAGGTGCAGTGGCTCATGCCTGTAATCCTAGCACTTTGGGAGGCTGAGGTGGGTGGATCACCTGAGGTCGGGTGTTCGAAACTAGCCTGACCAACGTGGGGAAACCCTGTCTCTACTAGAACTACAAAATTAGCCAGGAGTGGTAGCACGTGCCTGTAATTCCAGCTACTTGGGAGGCTGAGGCAGGAGAATCGCTTGAACCTGGGAGGTGGAGGTTGCAGTGAGCCGAATTCGTGCCATTGCACTCCAGCCTGGGCAACGAGAGTGAAACTCCGTCTCAAAAGAAAAAAAGAAATGAAGACGATTTCCTGTGTACCTACTATGTGCTAGGCACTGAGGTAGGCATTTCCACAGCTACTTTATGTGAACTAGGTATAAATATCCCCCTATTTATACACAAGGGAAAAGGTTAGAGAAATTTAGTTACTTGCTGGTAGTATGTGGCACAGCTGGCTTCACACCCAAGACTGGTGGTACCAAAGTTCATGCTGTCAGCCCTCAGGTATTTGCACAGGACTGTAAGGGCACTAAGCATGTGCAGGCCTCAGGGTCTTTGTTTAAAGATCCATCTCATTGCATTAGGCCTGGGGCCATCCAGTAACAGGAATGAACCTCGGGACATTCACTCAGAGTTCATGTAATAGGACCTTCACCTTATCAGCCCTCATAGTAGTTTACAAGAAAAACCACAGCTGTCGATTCATTACTGCTTCCATATATATGTATTTTTTCTCTTGTTGCCCAGGCTGGAGTGCAATGATGTGATCTCGGCTCACCGCAACCTCCACCTCCCAGGTTCGAGCAATTATCCTGCCTCAGCCTCCCGAGTAGCTGGGATTACAGGCACGTGCCACCATGCCTGGCTAATTTTGTATTTTTAGTAGAGATGGGGTTTCTCCATGTTGGCCAGGCTGGTCTCGAACTCCCGACCTCAGGTGATCTGCTCGCCTCAGCCTCCCAAAGTGCTGGGATTACAGGCATGAGCCACCGTGCCTGGCCTATTTCTTTATATTTGAGAGAGGGTCTTGCTCTGTTGCCCAGGTTGGAGTGTAGTGGTAGTCATAGCTCAGTTACTTTGAGCTCCTGGGCTCAAGCGATCTTCCAGCCTCAGCCTCCTGAGTAGCTGGGACTATAGGCACATACCACCAGGTCCTGCTAATTTTATTTTTTGTAGAGATGGCATTTCACTGTGTTGCCAGGCTGGTCTTGAACTCTTAGGCTCATGCAGTCCTCCTGCCTTGGCCTCTCAAAGTGCTGGGATTACAGGCCTGAGCCACCACATCCAGCCACATTTAGGAACTTTAGCAATTAAGAGAACTGGACTGCCCTCTCAGACCTCCAAGTGGAAAGACTTCATTGAAGTCAGCAGGGTTTCCATTAAGTGAGAAGACACACTGTTAGGAAAGTGTGGTCCTAGTAACTGCATCTTATTTCCAAGAAGCCCGCAGGCTTTCCTGGCACCTGGTCTAAGGGATCCTCTGGTAGAGGACAGGCATTCTGTCATGGTGAATAATGAATGAGAGTGAAAGGAAGTAACTTGGGTTATTGAGTTCTATGAGTATAACTCTACTGGACAATGAATAAAACATTGTGAGGGAAATTGCTCTTAGATTCTGCTTGATGCCTCCTGCAAGAAGCAGAAAGGTGTGTATCCCAGCAAGTGATTTGATCTTCTTCAACAAATTCCTTAGTATAGCAAGTATAATTTCCTCACAACCTTGTTGGGAATACAAATGTTAGGCTTGAGGACTGAGCTCATTAAACAAAAACAACTGTCTTGATGAGAAGCTAAGTTTTATTATTATAATTACAAATTAATTACAGAGAAACTGAAGCCATTCTTCATACATGACAAACATACATTTCCTCTGTGTGTACAGCACACAAGTAATATACACAAATATATTCCATGTCTGAACAAATCCTTTTTAAAACTTTAAAAGCTGGCTGGGCACAGTGGCTCACGCCTGTAATCCCGGCACTTTGGGAGGCCAAGGCGGGTGGATCACAAGGTGAGAAGATCGAGACCATCCTGGCTAACACGGTGAAACCCCGTCTCTACTAAAAATACAAAAAATTAGCCATGCATGGTGGCACATGCCTGTAGTCCCAGCTACTGGGGAGGCTGAGGAAGGAGAATCACTTGAACCTGGGAGGCAGAGGTTGCAGTGAGCCAAGATTGCACCACCACACTCCAGCCTGGGTGACAGAGCGAGATTCTGTCTTAAAAAATAAAACAAAAACAAAAAAAAAAACAACTTTAAAAGCCAAGATAGTAGCTTATTAAAATTTGAATACAGTACATGTTTCTAGTCATGAACTCTGTGGTTTCTTCTCATGACCAAGATATTCAGTTCCATGACACCATTTTCCTTGTCTACAGTAGTGATACAGAGTTTGTCAGACTTTTTTTTTTTTTTTGAGACGGAGTCTCGCTCTGTCGCCCAGGCTTGAGTGCAGTGGTGTGATCTCGACTCACTGCAAGCTCCGCCTCCCGGGTTCACGCCATTCTCCTGCCTCAGCCTCCCGAGTAGCTGGAACTACAGACGCCTGCCACCACGCCCGGCTAATTTTTTGTACTTTTAGTAGAGACGGGGTTTCACCGTGTTAGCCAGGATGGTCTCGATCTCCTGACCTCATGATCTGCCCGCCTAGGCCTCCCAAAGTGCTGGGATTACAGGCATGAGCCACCACACCCAGCCCAGACTTACTTTTTTTAAAATAAGACTACCAGAGGCCGGGTGCAGTGGCTCAGTTTGGGAGGCCAAGGTGGGAGGATTGCTTGAGTCCAAGAGTTTAAGACCAGTCTGAGCAACATAGTGAGACCCCATTTCATTAAAAAAAAAAAAAGATAAAATAAGACTATCATATAGAGCTGTGTAATGTAGTGAGCCTACATTACAAAAATATATACAACCACACAGAGAATATGTAATTACACCTTGCCTATATCCATAAATGATTTGAAGCAGGTAACACATTTGCTTTTAAATGCCATTTACAACATAGACTCTTGAATGACATGAATTTGAAAATGAAGTATTTTTTCAGACTTAAAACGTTGATGTGCTAATGTAGCTTACTTTAAAAAATGATTTCCAAGTGGGGAACCAACTACATTGGGAAAAGACAGTCAGATTCAAGGACAGTGTCATAAAATTGCTGGTTTTCCTTAGTCACCCTGACTTTATTTTTTTGAGACAGAGTCTCGCTCTGTCACTCAGGTTGGAATGCAGTGGCGCGATCTCGGCTCACCGCAATCTCTGCCTCCCGGGTTCAAGCGATTCTCCTGCCTCAGCCTCCCAAGTAGCTGGGACTACAGGCACATGCCACAGTTCCCAGCTAATTTTTGTAATTTTAGTAGAGACAGGGTTTCACCATATTGGTCAGGCTGGTCTGGAACTCCTGACCTCAGGTGATCCACCTGCCTCGGCCTCTCAAAGTGCTGGGATTACAGGCATGAGCCATCGTGCCCAGCCACTCTCACTTTAATACTATGAAAAATGCTACTTAGATTTTTTTCTATACTGCCTACATTCCAAGTTATTAAAGTTTAAAACCGTATGAAAGCATTTATGAAGATTCTGAATTGTATTTCTCATTAAAAGAAAAGAAATGTGAGTCATGTCCCGAGGCTTATGTAGAGGAGAAAGCAGAAGGCCATTGTCAGTCATTTTGAAAGTTAAAACTCAGCACTTAATGTGAATTTAGATCCATTTAAGAGAGGATTCCTCAGTTTTATGGGTTTGTGCTCCTCTGAGCATCCTCAGGGAAGTGAGAACACAAGACTTCTGTTCTTCTAAGCAAAAATCATTATCAAATGAATTTATTAAAGAGCTATCCCGAGCAAATTGCAATTGTATGTATGTAGCTACATAGGCTTCCATGGGAATTGTAAATGGCTAGCTGAGGGCACTTTCAATTGATTCAGAGTAAAACAATCTGAGGCTTGTAACAAATGTACAAAAAACTAAAATCAATGAGTAACTCTAATAGGAAGAAACTGTTTGCATTCCTTATGTTACAGTTTGCTTGTAAACTGTATGTACTTTGTTTCTTTTCTCAACACTGTTTTAAAACTCCAGCATTTTCACCTAAAAGAAAACACAGGCTCTTCATAAATACCTGTGAACAAATAAATGAAATGGTGACTGAAGGCGATTTCTGCAGTAGCTTTCTCTCAGAGATAATTATTTTTTTTTTTGAGACAGAGTCTCGCTCTGTCGCCCAGGCTGGAGTGCAGTGGCGCGATCTCGGCTCACTGCAAGCTCCACCTCCTGGGTTCACGCCACTCTCCTGCCTCAGCCTCCAGAGTAGCTGGGACTACAGGCGCCCGCCACCATGCCCGGCTAATTTTTTGTATTTTAGTAGAGACGGGCTTTCACTGTGTTAGCCAGGATGGTCTCGATCTCCTGACCTCATGATCTGCCCGCCTCAGCCTCCCAAAGTGCTGGGATTACAGGCTTGAGCCACTGCGCCCAGCTCAAAGATAATATTTTATCTTGAAGCTAGTGCATCGATTTGTAAAGCTCATTTAATTTTCTACATACTCAGGATTTGCATATTGACTTAAAATCTGACTTTATCATCCATGCCGTTATCAACTAGACAAAAAAATGTATCAAGCACCCACAGGATGCACAGATCTATCTCTGAACTGGTGTAGTGGTATTAATCTGTTCTAAGACTAGAATTACATTTTTTTTTTTAAGAAGCTACAGTCCACTGAAAAGGAAGTATTATGGTTTTTCTGAGAAGAAAAGTTGCTAAATACTGCAGCAAACTCAGGCTTTTCCTGAGAAAAGCCACAAACAAAATCATCTCTGAAATTTTTTAAGCAACAACTTCCTGAAGCGTGGAATTTATGGGGCCAGTGAGACACTAAAATTTCACAACTCTCACATACATTATCTATCTAGGACTCAGTGAAGATGTTCTTCAGATTTTTATTTAAGTTAAATTGGTAAAATACAAAAAGAAAATCTGGATTGAGTTTCAAATCATCTTAAATAGCAATCCTATGAACAATTATAACTGCAATTTCAAACACTAAGACTTAAATATACAACTTGATCATACAATTATCTCAAAACATATGATCAAAAACTTTGGTCAAGAGCTTCTTTCATGAATTCTTCAAGGACAGCTATCACATTTTTGGCTTCAGGCATTTCTTCATGTTCCACTTTAACAATCTTCAAAAGTATATCTCCACTACCACAGTTCTTTAGGAACATGTAACATTTAAACAAAGCATAATGATTCATTTCTGCCTGTCGGATAAATCTCTTCAAATTGTTTGTGTCTTGTATGGCCTAGAAAATGATTACCCAGTTAAAAATGTGTTAAGTGAAATAATAATGAAGCTCAAAAAATAACTCCTATCCAGCTGAGAACTCAACATATCTTCCTGAATTGTTTGCTTTTCATATTAAATATTTCCAAAATTTAAATTGCAGTATGCTTTGCCCTTGGTAGAAGAAGAAAATCTCCTTTTTTTTCTTGTTTCGCTCTTGTTGCCCAGGCTGAAGCGCAATGGCTTGATCTCGGTTCACCACAAACTCTGCCTCCTGGGTTCAAGTGATTCTCCTGCCTCAGCCTCCCAAGTACCTGGGACTACAGGTGTGTGCCACCACACCAGGCTAATTTTGTATTTTCAGTAGAGACGGGGTTTCACCATGTTGGTCAGGCTGGTCTCGAACTTCTGACCTCAAGTGATCCACCCGCCTCAGCCTCCCAAAGTGTTGGAATTACAGGCGTGAGCCACCACGCGCAGCCAAAAATCTCTTATACAAAATAAAAATACTTTAAAATAATCTACCTAGCATGGTGGCTCATGTCTGTAATCCCAACACTTTGGGAGCCCCAGGCAAAAGGATTGCCTAAGGGCCGGTAGTTTGAGACTAGCCTGGGCAACACAGCAAGACCCCGTCTCTACAAAAAATAAAAATAATTAGCTGAGTGTGGTGGTGCACACCTGTAGTTCCAGCTACTCAGGAGGCTGAGACAGGAAGACTGCTTGAACCCAGGAGGTTAAGGCTGCAGTAAGCCATGATTGCACCACTGCACTCTAGCCTGAGTGACAGAGTAAGATTCTGTCTCTTAAAACAAACAAACAAAACTAAATAAGGTGACAACACGTCCCCATCAGAATTTTTTTTTTTTAGACAGAGTCTCACTCTGTCACCTAGGTCGGAGTGCAGTGGCACAATCTGGGCTCACTGCAACCTCTGCCTCCTGGGTTCAAGCAATTTTCGTGCCTCAGCCACCTGACATAGCCAGGATTACAGGCATGCGCCACCAGGCCCAGCTAATTTTTATAATTTTAGTAGAGAAAGGGTTTTGCCATGTTGGCCAGGCTGGTCTTGAACTCCTGGCCTCAAGCAATCCACCTGCCATGGTCTCCCAAAGTGCTGGGATTACAGGGGTGAGCCACTGCGCCCAGCCCCCATCAGAATTTTGAAAACTTAGCCACTGAACCAGTTTTTTTGTGCTTTCCAACT
Source organism: Homo sapiens (assembly GCF_000001405.40). NCBI lineage: Eukaryota > Metazoa > Chordata > Mammalia > Primates > Hominidae > Homo > Homo sapiens. The sequence continues at coordinate 32,333,167 of NC_000017.11, forward strand.
AAGTTAAGTCACAAATTGTAAGACTGATGTTCCTTAAATATAAGCAAGCATTCAACCCAATTTATTAGAAATGATATGTATACAGAAGCTGCCAAAAAATAAAGTAAATGTCTTCTGATAATTCCAGTTTTGAGAACATCCTAATTAACAGACATCACAGCTATAAAGCAATTTGTTACTCTGTCACTGGTACTAATTAAAATTCAGACAAAAATTTCATGTGGCACTTGGCACACAGCCAACTAATTACCTTTAGTTTAAAGTTCTCCAGTACTTGTCGGAAAAGAAAAGGGTTACCTCCTTTGGCACCATTTAAAAAAGCTTGCATCCAATCCTCACAAAACCGGTTACTTCCTATAAAACATTTCAGAGAGACTAAATAAAATGAAATTTTACAAAGCTTTATTTATTTATTTATTTGAGACGGGAGATTCGCTCTTGTTGCCCGGCTGGAGTGCAGCCGGAGTACTAACTATATCGTTAGTAGAGATGGGGTTTCACCATATTGGCCAGGCTGGTCTCAAACTCCTGACCTCAGATGATCCACCTGCCTCAGCCTCCCAAAGTGCTGGGATTACATGTGTGAGCCACTGCGCCTGACCCATTTATTTCTTTATAAAAACACCTATAATGAATTATTTAAGACATGTATAATGGCCTAAAAAAACAGTGTGCTCACCACATGGCTAAGGAATACCAAAATGGCTGAAGCCCCCTGTATGCCCCTTCCCAATCACATCCCCCTTCCTTTCCCATCAGAGAGGATAATCATTCCCACAGACGTCTTTAAACTTTTCCCATATACCTTTGCACGTGTAAGCCTTATCTACATTATTCTGCATATGTTAAAACTTTTATGTATTTTTTCTTTTATGGCTATTTCACTAAATAGTATGTTTGAGAGCTATATTGACACAAGTAGCTCTAGTTCATTCTTTTTCACTGCTCTGTTATATTCCATTGCATGAATATAGCAGCTTATCAGTTTTCTTGTTGATAAACACTTAAATTGCTTCCAATTCCTTGCTTTTTCAAGTAATGCCTTTATGGACATTTTAAAATTCATCTCCTTGTGTACACATACTAGAATTTCTTTATGTACCTAGGTGTGGAATTGCTAGGCATGGCATGATTTCCATGTTTCTAGAATTATATTGTTTTCACCAAGTGGTTTCTCATGGTTTGAGATAACCATGTAAAACTGCACAAGGCAGGAAGAATAAGGTTGTATCATAGGCTCTCAGTGCAAAGATGGGGACTCGCAAGAGATGTAGGAAGGCTGCTTCAGAGGTTGTAGCTCACCTGCATTGCAGAACTGAGGCTGGGAGCTGCTGCAATCGATGACCACAGACTTATGCTGCTCCTCTGTCATGGCCATGCACAAAGAAGTCATGGTGCCTTCATGAATAAGTCCTTGAAGACTGGCCACACTCAGAAACCTGCCACACACACAAGTCCATTTCCACAAACAATATTGCAGGACGGAAGGATGAAAACAAATTTATTTTGCACTGGGCTGGTGGGGAAGGGATGGAAGGAGCAGTTTACAAACACAGATGTCAATCTTGCTGTGGAAAAGCTTTTCTCTTTGAAAAAACTGTTCTTTACCTGTTAATGTCTCTCTTTGTTTTTTCATCTGATTCTTTAACTTCAACAGGAGTGTAACTCAAAGCCTATGAGAGAAAAATAAAGCCTGATTGGTACATATATTCCAGTTTTTCTTGAGCAGCTACTCATGACTAAATGTCCCCATAAGTCCCTACCACACTGGACAACAATTGATGGGCACTGGTCACAAGCTCTCCAGAGCCTTGTTCAGCCACTGCTCATTAACATTTTATAGAATCAAAATTGCTCTGGATTTTTGTTTTCCTTTTCAAATTGTTTTGGAAACTATACCTTTCCCAGATCACTTGGAAAAGTAATTATTTTAAAATGTTTTATCCTATTAGGAAGACTCAGCATTTGAAATTCAACTCTACCTTAGTAATATCACTTTCTAGATCTGAGAAAATAAAGTGTGGTCTATCTTGATAGCAAGCATAGTTTGAATATTTGGGGAGGGATGGGAGTCATGTTCAGAGAAAATGAGTATGTTTCTAAATCATCCAAAGTGATTCTCAGTTAAGGAAATGCTCTCATTTGGCAGTACTTACAGCATGTAGCAGAAAGGTAAGCTTTTCCTGAAAGAGAAGAACAACCCTTTGGATTGGGCATACAACATCCTCAAACCAGCTGCTCAGATAGGATTTTATGTGACTCTCCAGGCCCCTTGCCTAAATCAAGAAAGAACATCATTTGCTTTAATATAAGCCTTTCCTTTAGTGGACTTCATATTTTCTTCATCATATCCTTGATGGTGAAAAAGACCAGGATAGACACCTCCCTTTTTAAAGCTAACACCACCAATTCAAAAAAAGAAATTGTGATATACCTTTCCTGGCTTGTTGGGCAGGGTGAGGGTTAAATCTGTACTGAATTTATTTAAAACACACCAAGAAATGCATTCTATAAAATGAAGAGACTGAATAGGGTTCCATGCTATTTCTTCACAGGGAAGAGTTGGGCACTCACAAGTCCCTCTCCTCCCACTGTACTGTGCACTCAATGGAGATACTCACTCAATAATCCTCATTTCCCTGGCACCTGTGGTACAGTGTCTAAAACATGCATAGTATGAGCTTATTAAGTGCCTTTTGAATTAGTCATGTAGATAGAGAATTCATTCGTATTCAGAATGTGAATGGGGAAGGATACAAGTAACTCATCAAAGCACTCCACTCCACTCCAGATGTCAGACATGCTACCGTGAGCACATCTGGCTTTCTAGGCTATACTGCTCCCTGAAGACTAGTGTCACACACGAAGAGCTCTAGTCCGGGAGAACAACTCTATTAGACTTGCATCAGTTGCTCACTCCTGCACTATCCCTTCCTCTCTCCTGCAGTATCTTCTAAGTATGTGAAAAGTATAACTTCTACTATATATGTAATGGGTAGTAAATTTGTGAGAGTCATGACTAACAACTGCTACAAGCTGAAAGCATTGTTTTTGTTTGCTTTTTTGAGACAGGGTCTCACTCTGTCATCCAGGCTGGAGTGCAGTGGTGCAATCATAGCTCACTGCAGCCTCAACTTCCCAGGCTCAAGCGATCCTCCCACCTCAGCCTCCCAAGTAGCTGGGACTACAGGTGCGTGCCACCATGCCTGGCTAATTTTTGTATTTGTTGTAGAGATGGGGTTTCACTTTGTTGCCCAGGCTGGCCTTGAACTCCTGGGCTCAAGTGATCTGCCCGCTTTGGCCTCTCAAAGTGCTGAGATTACAGGTGTGAGCCACCACACCCAGCCAGTTTTTCAAAGGTTTGAATAAGTTGATATGGATATGCCTAATTCATAAAAGATCAATTAATGAAAATAGAATGTTTTTAAGAATCTTTGATGTTTAGTTCAAGAACAGCCATACTATTGCATAGCATGTCTTTGGTGCCAGAGGCTGCATGGACCAGTACTTCTGACCATAATATAAATCTTATATGCCTAGAAATCAGGAAAAGGACATCCTCTTCCTCGCCAGGCATGTTACTACATGCCATTGAATAGATCGAATTTTTCATAGATACAAAACATCAGACGTAGTCTTGTGAAACTTTCAGCACTTACAGGACTATGTTTCCTGTATCCCTTTAAGATCACCTGTAGGCTGGGTGCAGTGGTTCATACCTGTAATCCCAGCACTTTGGGAGGCCGAGGCAGGTGGATTACTTGAGCTCAGCAGTTCAAGAGTTCAAGACAAGCCTGGGCAATATGGCAAAACCCCACCTCTACCAAAAATACAATTAGCTGGGCATGGTGGTGCATGCCTGTGGTACCAGCTACTTGGGAGGCTGAGGTGGGAGGATCGCTGGAGCCCAGAAAAGGCTGCAGTAAGCCATGATCGTGCCACTGCACTCCAGCCTGGGTGATAGAGTGAGACCCTATCTCAAAAAATGAAAAAGAAAAAGAAACCACCTGTAGGCTGGGCACAATGGCTCGTGTCTGTAATCTCAGCACTTTGGGTGGCTGAGGAGGGAGGATTGCTTGAGGCCAGGAATCCTAGACCAGCCTGGGCAACAAAGTGAGATCCCCATCTCGACAAAAAATACCAAAAGTTAGCCAGGCGTGTTGGTATTTGCCTGTAGTCCCAGCTGTTTAGGAGGCTGAGGCGAGAAGACTGCTTGAGCCCCAAGAAGCTGAGGCTGCAGTGAGCCTGATCGCGCCACTGCCCTGCAGCCTGGGCAACAAAGCAAGACCCTGTCTAAAAAAAAAAAAAATTCACCTCTCTACTAGCTCACAAGGTGGCAAGTTTCTAGAATACAGGCGTCTTTGTGTCTACCTATATGATTTGACAAGTAGAGCAATCACAGTATATTAATCATTTCAGTCATTATTTTATTTTTTTAACTCTGTCGCTCAGGCTGGAGTGCAGTGGTGCAATCTCGGCTCACTGAAACCTCTGCCTCCCGGGTTCAAGCGATTCTCCTGCCTCAGCCTCCCAAGTAGCTGGGACTACAGGTGCCTGCCACCATGCCTGGCTAAGTTTTAGTAGAGATGAAGTTTCATCATATTGACCAGGCTGGTCTCTGACCTTGTGATCTGCCCACCTCGGCCTCCCAAAGTGCTGGGATTACAGGCGTGAGCCACTGAGCCTGGCCCCATTTCAGTCTTTAAAAACCATTAAGTCAGTCACCTTACCTCACAATTCATGTTATTTTTCAGCCCTTGAATGTACTTGTCCAATTCAAGCCTGAAAGTATGTTCTTAAGGAAGCAATAAAGGATGAATAATGAAGACAGTATTTCATCTCTCAACAAGAAATATAAAATCTCTCAAATAATGTGAGCTGCAAATGCAAACAAGCCAAGGCAAAATGGCCACATGAAGGTATGAAATTCAACTAAATACACGAGGAGTAGAAAAGCTTTTTGGAGGTTGGTAGTAATATTCTTCCACCTGCCTTCCCATGTTTTCCTTCCTGATGTTCTCAAAAACCAAAGAAAGGATATAGCTCAAGTCCTTTTTCAGACCCTCCTAAAAAACAGACCACATATTCTGAAGGGTTACGTTCAGAGTCTATCGTTACTGTTTCAGGAAGCAGTTTTTCATTTTGGAAAAGGCAGTAATAACAACCAACTCGGTAACCTGGAATTCTAGAAAAGAAAGAAAATGTAAAATGCATTATTTTGGTTACTCATGCATCTATAATTTTGTGGACTGCTCTGAATTCTGGTCATCTTGATCTGGCAACACCATTAAACTGCCCACTAACTCAGAGCTTCCCAGACTTCTCGTTGGTGTACTTGCAGCAGCAAAGAAAAATGAATGTATACCCTGGAGGGCTTTAGTTAAAGCAGCCACTAACATACATGAAATTTCTTTGAATTCTCCTGTCTTATGTGAAAAATTCACACAAATTTCACTCTAGTTCATACCCATGTTTATATTAAAAAAAAGTATGTTCTCCCCTCTCCCAAAGCTTCACAAATTGATGTTTAAGGCAGATGTGCCTGAAGGTGGCCTTATCCTTGGGAAGTGGCCTCAAACTCCTGAGGACCTGTATGCTAACTTCACGGTCTGAGTTGAACTAGAATAAAGAGGTGTAATGGAGGCCGGGCACAGTGGCTCACACCTGTAATCCCAGCACTTTGGGAGGCCAAGGCGGGTGAATCACCTGAGGTCAGGAGTTCGAGACCAGCCTGGCCAACATGGTGAAACCCCATCTCTACTAAAAATACAAAAATTAGCCGGGTATGGTGGTGCATGCCTGTAATCCCAGCTATTCGGGAGGCTGAGGCAGGAGAATTGCTTGAACCAGGGAGGCGGAGGTTGCAGTAAGCCAAGATCATGCTACTGTACTCCAGTCTGGGCAACAGAGTGAGACTCTGTCTTAAAAAAAACAAAACAAAACAAAAAAGGAGAGGTGTAATGGAAAGACAGTTGGAATTGGACTAAGAATGCTCATGTTTAAGCCTGAACTCCATCAATTTGACCAGCCTCATGACTTAAGTTTACATAAACTCTGAGTTTATTTCCTCATCTGAAAATGAAAATAAGAGAGTATCTGCTATATTTCCCCTTTGTAAGGAAAACTACATAAAAGTTTGTGAAAATACAAACTGTATACAAATTTAGTTTTAATAATCAACACTTTTCTTCTTCTAAGTACAAAACTTATTAGCCTGGGCAACATGGTAGGACCCCATTTCTAAAAAAAAAAAAAAAAAAAAATTAAAAAAATTGCTGGGCATCGTAGTGCCTGCCTGCAGTCCCAGCTACTTGGGAGGCTGAGGTGAGAGGATTGATTAAGCCCAGGAGGTCAAGGCTGCAGTGAGCTGTAATCGGGCCGCTGCACTCCAGCCTGGGCAACAAAGCAAGACCCTGTCTCAAAAAAAAATAAACTAATTAAATAAAGTGCAATTGGGTGCCAGGGTCTCTGCCATTCAATTAATTCCATTCCACAAATGTTTATGTGTGAGGCCCAGTGCTCGGGCTGCCAGAGAATAAAGACAAATTCTGCAGGTCTAGTAGGAGCTGATCTTTTGGAGTTTCTCATCACTTCTCATATTTAGTTCAGAAATAAAAACTCAGGACACAGCACATTTTGCACTTACTTTAGCTCCACAGATGCAACATTACCCAGCCCTTCAAAGACTGCACCTCTTGAAAGACGCTTAGCAATGAAACTGCGCAGCTCTGGCTCCACTTCGGATGGTAGATTAGTATCTGCCAAGGAGAGGCTTGACAAATGAAAGACACACATTCTTTACCAGTGGACTAGGGTATTCACACCCATTAAGTCAGACAGAATGGTACCAACGCCAGGGGCTCTTTTAAGGACTGGGGAAAGCTGTCCTTATGACCCCTATTGGTGAGGCTTCTAGGAATGTATGTCACTAAGTATGATCTACCTCATCAAATAGCTTAAAATATTCCTATCTTTCCAGCTCATTCTCTCCAGTACTGTGACTCCACTGGAACCCCCAATCCACTGACCCTACCTCTTTTTCAGTCTCTCAAGTTTCTCATCTCACTTCCCTCCTTATTCTGCCTTAATTCCATGGTCAGTCATTATAATCACACCCCTGCACACATTCTTATCTTTTTTATCTTTCAACTTTATTGAGGTATAATTGATGATTTAAAAATTTCAGGGCTGGGGCCGGGAGCAGTGGCTCACGCCTGTAATCTCAGCACTTTGGGAGGCCGAGGCAGGTGGACCACAAGGTCAAGAGATAGAGATCATCCTGGCTAACACAGTGAAACCCCGTCTCTACTAAAAAAAAATACAAAAAAATTAGCCGGGCGTGGTGGTGGGTGCCTGTAGTCCTAGCTACTCGGGAGGCTGAGGCAGGAGAATGGCGTGAACCCGGGAGGCAGAGCTTGCAGTGAGCTGAGATCGCACCACTGCACTCCAGACTGGGCAACAGAGGGAGACTCTGTCTCAAAAAAAAAAAAAAATTTTTCAGGGCTGGGCAAGGTGGCTCATGCCTGTAATCCCAACACTTTGCGAGGCAGAAGTGGGCGGATCACTTGAGTCCAGGAGTTCAAGACCAGCCTGGGCAACATGGTGAAACCCCATCTCTACCAGAAATACAAAAATTAGCCAGGCGTGGTGGTCAGTAGTCCCAGCTACTGGGGAGGCTGAGGTGAGAGGATCACCTGAGGCCGGGGAGGTTGACGCTGCAGCGAGCCAAAGTCATGCCACTGCACTCCAGCCTGGGCAGCAGAGCAAGACCCTGTCTCAATTTAAAAGGAAAAAGAAAAAAAAAGGATTTCTTTTTGGCTAATCACCAAGCACACTATCAGTATGTGGATTTGTTTGCCCCAGCCTTGAATGAACCAGCCAATGAGGAAATCAGGATGAGGTTCCTAGGGGATAGGAGGAATTGACGGTTTGACTCAGGGAAAGCTCAGTGGAAATAGAGTATCCACTGACATGTACAGGCCAGAGATGCAGGGAAGATGAAAGCACATGCATGAATTATGCTGAAGCTCTTTTTACCTGAAATCATCACCAGAGGGAGTTTCTGCATTTGTGCCACTTGGGCTTCCGTCCTCACTGTCCCCTCGTTGCTGTGCCAATCTACAAGCCACAAAACCAATAGTGCTATCAATTATGGGCTCTAAACCAAGAGGAGTATGGGGGCCTGGCAAGCAGGGTAAGGCAAGGAGTCAACTAAAAATGCTGCAAGGTGGAAGTGCACTGCCTATCCTCATGACAAGGAAAACCCATACAGCAGTGCTGACAAGAGCCCCTTCTCTCTCCAGGCCACTTAACGGGTGGAGGAAAGGCTAAATACCCAGAAGGTTCAAGGAAACTCCTTTAAAAACCAAACTTGACAAGGCCAAGAAGGTTCCAGGAAAGTCAGAAGGAGGAAAAAGAGGAATCAAGAACAGAGGAAAACCAGAGGGTGGGGATGGGGGTGTGTGTGACAGAAATGGGAGAAGTGGGGAGATAATGACAGAAAGGAGAGGGGACGGGAACTGAAATTATTGAGCATGCGGGGCACTGCGCTAAACAAAGGGCAGCCGCGAGAGTAAGAGGCTGGGATGATATAGGGGCAGATGAAGGGCACAGGCATGGTTGGGCCAGGCATACAAGTCCACGACGGGGGCCAGGAAGAGCAGCGGGAGGCGAGGAGCGCCCTTCAGGCCAGAGACCTTGGCTGGGAGAGGAGAAGATGGCTTTTAGGAGCGGCCGGGCCGCTGGGCCGGGGGTGGGGTGCAAGGCCGGGCGGCGGGCCGGGGGCGGGGCCGCAGGGGCGGGCGGGCTGGCAGGCCGAGCTGGGCGCCAGCACCTGCTTCCGCGATAGCTGTAAAGACAGTAGTGGCTGCTGGACGGCGGCTCGAGTCTCCGCTCCTCGGCTGAGCCTCCCTCTTCGCTGCTCTCTAGTTCCTTTTCATCTCCATCCATCGACTCCTGCAAAGAGGGGAGCATTGCGGCGGCCTCTGAGCGGCCCTGTGTCTCCGCCAAACCGCTCCCCTGCTCCCGTGCAGCCGTCGGTATCAGGGCTCGTCCGGCTCCCGGCCCTCGCACACCTGCGTTCCGCTGGTTTCCCCGGGTTCGCAGGCAAGGACTGGCCTGGAAAGGGAGTCTCTTCTCCCCACAGGGGCTGACAGGCGTACTGAGTTCGCCTTTACTGACAAGCTTTTACCATTTATTTTGAACTTATTTTCCTTTGAGACATCTGGGAAACTTTCTATGTGATAAAGGTGGCACAACTACCTAGCCACATGGAAAAGAATAAGGCTACTCGTCTGCCTCCTTGCGCGCGTGCCAGCACGCACAGACACCCGTTTGATCAAAAAGTTAAGAATTTAAAATGAATTTTGTTAAAGTGAAAATATGGGATAATTTTGTTAATTCTTGAAGAGGGTCTTTCCAAACATAACAAAACACTTAGAAGTCATACAGGAAAACGTTTAAAAAAATGACTACGTAAAAACTAAAAGGCCGGGCACGGTGGCTCACGCCTGTAATTCCAGTGCTTTGGGAGACCGACGCAGGCGGATCACTTGAGGTCAGAAGTTCAAGACCAGCCTGGGCAACATGGTGAAACTGTGTCTCTACTAAAAGTACAAAAAAATTAGCCACGTGTGGTGGTTCACGCCTGTAATGCCAGCTACCCTTCCAGTCTCTGCCCATTACCCAGTTCTAACACCAATTCACATTTTCAGGTGTTTGTTTCTGCAACACCCCATTCTCTGGTACCAGTTTTCTGTCTCAGTCCATTTTATGATGCTATAAAAGGATACCAAAGACTGGGCAATTTATAATTAGCTCTTAAAGGCCCCACTTCTTAATAGTCTTACAATGGCAATTACATTTCAACATGAATTTGGGAGTGGACAAACACTCAAACCATAGCGCCACGTGAAGGAGGAGGCAGACTGGAGTGATGTATCTACAAACCAAGGAATGTCAAGGATTGATGGTCATCACCAGAAGCTAGGAGAGGACATGGAACAGATTCTCCCCTAGAGGCTTCAAGAGAGTATGTCCCCACCAGCACCTCCATGTCAACTTCCAGCCTCCAGAACTGTGAAATAATACATTTCCATTGTTTTAAGCCACCGTGTGTGTGTGCATGCGTGTGTTTTGTGTTTTTTTTTTTTATTTTTAGTAGTGCAAACTTTATTCATAAATAAAACTTCATAAAGTTAAAAGCAGGGGCAGTTCCTATTTTTAAAAAGGAATAGTGGAAGGCAACCTGCCATTTCATTTAAAATTACAAGTTAGGTTTTTCAGATGGATAACAGTTGAGATCGTTAAATCCCCTTCCTGCTTCTCAGATTTTCACAAAATAGCACATTAAATCCTCAGTCCTAAGCAATTATGGCAGAGATTCCAAATTGCCTCTCCATATCAAAGTGGATAGCACAGTTTCTTCTCTTGCAATAAAGGTACTCATTTGATGAACAAGTGAGTATAGCAGTCAGATTCTTAAAAGATTGTATTGCAGAAGTTACTGCCATGTCTTCATTCGCAATGGGTATCCTCACCTCTATCTCCCATTCAGTAACATTGTCAGTTTCCTTATCTCTCATTTCAACTACATTTAAAAGAGGATTCTGATTGCGGACAACACATGACAGAGGCATTTCAGATCGGCAGTAGTCTCTTGAGATATACTTGATTTTAGTTTTAAGCAGAAGAACTTCCTGGAGAGGTTGAGTTACCACAGTCATGAGGATGGTAGAAAAACTCATAGTAGATATTTGGCAAAACTAGGTTACAAGGCAGCCATCTCCTAGAAACACTTCATCGGGGTTCATATACAAATTGTGAAATATCGTGGGTTTAATCCTGGCACAGAACCAAAACTGGGTGCATTGTACTTGAATAGCCGACCAGTCCCCAGCACAGGTCCATATCAAGGAATTGAGAAAAAAGAGCCCATTTAACCGCAAAATGGTCTTCATTTGCCCAGACTGAAAGCCAAATCTCACTCAGGAAACAGCTGTATTTTTATTTTTTATAGAGACAGTGTATCACTTTGTTGCTCAGGCTGGTCTTGAACTCCTGGGCTCAAGTGATCCTTCTGCCCCATCCTCCCGAAGTGCTGACATTACAGGTGTGAGCCACCATGCCCAGGTGGTACGTGTTATAGCAGCCATAAGAAACTAATACAGTGGCTGGGTGTGGTGGCTCACGCCTGTAATCCCAGCACTTTGGGAGGCCGAGGCAGGCGGATCACAAGGTCAGGAGATCGAGACCATCCTGGCTAATACGGTGAAACCCCATCTCTACTAAAAATACAAAAAATTAGCCCAGTGAGGTGGTGGGCACCTGTAGTCCCAGCTAGTTGGGAGGCTGAGGCAGGAGAATGGCATGAACCTGGGAGGCAGAGTGCACTCCAGCCTGGGCCATAGAGCCAGACTCTGTCTCAAAAAAAAAAAAAAAAAGAAAGAAAGAAACTAATACGGCCGGGCGTGGTGACTCACACCTGTAATCCCAGCACTTTGGGAGGCCGAGGTGGGTGGATCACTAGGTCAGGAGTTTGAAGCCAGCCTGGCCAATATGGTGAAATCCCATCTCTACTGAAAATACAAAAGTTAGCCTGGCATGGTGGCACACACCTGTAGTCACAGCTACTCAGGAGGCTGAGGCAGAAGACTCACTTGAACCCGGGAGGCAGAGGTTGCAGTGAGCCGAAATCATGCCACTGCACTCCAGCCTGGGTGACAGAGTGAGACTCTGTCTCAAAAAAAAATAAATAAAAATAAAAAAAGAAAGAAAGGAAGTAATAGAGTCCCCCCCAACAACCCTTTCTTCTATTCTTATCTGGATTTCTTCACATTCTTCCCTGTTAATCCCATTTTTTCTAGATTATGGTTTATTCTCTTGATTTGCTCAAGTACTGCCTCCAATATTAGCCAAGAAAGGGTATATATAAAATAATTTTTAAGCTCTTGCATGTCTGAAAATATATCCTCACGTCTTTATTGTATTTTCACATTTGATTGGATATTCCTTAGAAATAGAATTTTAGGGGCCAGGCATGGTGGCACACACCTGTAATCCCAGCACTTTGGGAGGCTGAGGCAGGCGGATCACAAGGTCAGGAGTTCGAGACCAGCCTGGCCAACATGGTGAAACCCCGTCTCTATTAAAAACACAAAAATTAGCCAGGCCTGGTGGTGCACGCCTGTGATCCCAGCTACTCAGAAGGCTGAGGCAGAAGAATCACTTGAACCTGGGAGGCAGAGGTTGCAGTGAGCCAAGATCATGCCACTGCTCTCCAGCCTGGGCAACAGAGTAAGACTCCATCTCAGGGGGGAAAAAAGAAATAGAATTTTAGATTGATATGATTGGACATCGAATTCTAGGTTGAAAAGAATTCCCCTGGCCGGGCGCGGTGGCTCACACCTGTAATCCCAGCACTTTGGAAGGCTGAGGCAGGCAGATCACAAGGTCAGGAGATTGAGACCACCCTGGCCAACATGGTGAAACCCTGTCTCTACTAAAAATATAAGAATTAGGCGGGCGTGGTGGCGCATGCCTGTAGTCCCAGCTACTCGGGAGTCTGAGGCAGCAGAATCCCCATGTTCGTCAGGCTGGTCTTGAACTCCTGACCTCGTGATCTGCCCTCTTCGGCTTCCCAAAGTGCTGGGATTACAGGCATGAGCCACCGTGCCTGGTCCGAATCAACCATTTCTCCAAGGACCTCAGGTTGCTTTTACTGGAGAATGGTATTACAAACCAAGATCTCTGGACAAAGTATGCTTGATATGGGACATTATTGCTTCTAGGCCCTCTCAGCTGATATATGTATCTATACTAACTTTAGTATATACACATATCCATAAATATTTCTCTATGTATCTATTTTAAAATAAACACGAGTTCATTCTGGTGTCTCCAGCTCTAATCCATGGCCGCATGGATCATTCTAGCCTCCTCCCCTTGCTTATCTATAAACTCACTACAACGAGAGGCACAGCATGGTGGCTCACGCTTGTTAATCTTAACACTTAGAAGCTAAGGCAGGAGGATCACTTGAGCCCAGGAGTTCAAGACCAGCCTGGACAACAAAGCGAGACCTTACCTCTACAAAAAACACAAAAATTAGCAAGGCATGGTGGCATGGCCCTGTAGTCCCTGCTACTCCGTGGGCTGAGGTGGGAGGATCCATTGAGCCCAGGAGATCAAGGCTGCAGTGTGCTACGATTGCACCACTGCACACTACCAGCCTGGGCCACCGAAACCCAGCTAATTTTTAATTTTTTCATAGAGACAGGATATTGCTTTGTTGCCCAGGCTCGCCTTAAACTTCTGGCTTCAAGTGATTCTCCCACCTCAGCCTCCCAAGGTACTGGGATTACAGGAATGGGCTAGCGCACCAGGCCTTCTTTAATTTCTAACAGCAATTTTTTTTTGTTTTTTTTTGAGACGCAGTCTCGCTCTGTTGCCAGGCTGGAGTGCAGTGGCACGATCTCGGCTCACTGCAACCTCTGCCTCCCAGGTTCAAGCGATTCTCCTGCCTCAGCCTCCCGAGTAGCTGGAACTACAGGCACACGCCACTAGGCCCAGCTAATTTTTGTATTTTTAGCAGAGACAGGGTTTCACCATGTTGGCCAGGATGGTCTCAATCTCTTGACCTCAGGTGATCCGCCTGCCTAAGCCTCCCAACTAACAGCAATATTTTATTGCTTATTGCTTTCATAGTAAAAGTGTTTTAATCTGTTTATGGTGCTGTAACAAACACCACAGACTGGGGAATTTATGAATAACAGAATTGTATTTCTTTCTTTCTTTTTTTTTTTGGAGCTGGAGTCTCACTCTGACACCAAGGCTGGAGTACAGTGGCACAATCTCAGCTCACTGCAACCTCCACCTGCCAGGTTCAAGCCTCAGCCTGGGTTCTACTGTCTCAGCCTCCTGAGTAGCTGGGATGACAGGCACCCACCACAATGCCCAGCTAATTTTTGTATTTTCAGTAGAGACAGGATTTTGCCATGTTGGCAAGGCTGGTCTCGAACTCTTGATCTCAGGTGATCAACCCACATCGGCCTCCCAAAGTGCTGGGATTACAGGCATGAGCCACCACACCTGGCCAGAATTTTATTTCTTTTCTTTCTTTTTTTTCCCCCGAGATGGAGTTTCACTCTTATTGCACAGGCTGGAGTGCAATGGCGCAATCTCGGCTCACTACAACCTCCGCCTCCTGGGTTCAAGTGATTCTCCTGCCTCAGCCTCCAGAGTAGCTGGGATTACAGGCGCCCGCCACCACACTCAGCTATTTTTTTTGTATTTTTTAGTAGAGACAGGGTTTCATCATGTTGGCCAGGCTGGTCTCGAACTCCTGACCTCAGGTGATCCACCTACCTCAGCCTCCCAAAGTGTTGGGATTACAGGGGTGAGCCACCACCACACCCACTGAATTATATTTTCTTATAGTCTGGAAATTTGGAAATCCAAGATCAAGGCACTAATACTCAGTGTCTGATGAGGGCATTCTTGCTGCATCCTCATTTGGTTGAGGCAAGAGAGAGTAGAGTTTAGTTCCTTCCAGCACTTTAATAAAATCACTAATCCCCCCCCACCCAGTTTACTCATGATTTAATCACCTGCTAAAGGTCCCAACTCTTAATGCTATCACATTGGTGATTACGTTTCAAGCAGTTGGGGGGATATTCAGCACATTGCAATACGGTTTTAAACTTTTTCATTTTTCAATTTATTTTTTCATAGAGATGGTCTCACTATGGTGCCCAGGTTGGTCTCACACTCCTGGCCTCAAGCCACCCTCTTGCCTCAGTCTCCCAAAGCACGGCAATTACAGGCTTGAGCAACTGCACCCAGCCTGAACTTTTTTTTTTTTTTTCTTTTTGAGACAGAGTCTTGCTCTGTCGCCCGGACTGGAGTGCAGCAGAGTGATCTCGGCTCACTGCAGCCTCCGCCTCCCGGGTTCAAGCGATTCTCCTGCCTCAGCCTCCGGAGTAGCTGGGATTACAGGCGTGCCCCACCACGCCTGGCTAATTTTTTTTTGGTATTTTTAGTAAAGACCGGGTTTCACCATGTTGGCCAGGCTGGTCTTCAACTCCTGATCTCAGGTGATCCACCCGCCTCAGCCTCCCACAGTGCTGGGATTACAGGTGTGAGCCACTGCGCACAGCCCAAACTGATCCTTTAAAATTCAAATTTAATTCAGCTCCACACATACTTTGTGTTTTGGGGCAAATTATTCCAGCTCTCTTAAGTCTCTTTTATCTCATCTCTATTAACAAGTTGACAATAATGGCTCCTACCCCAGAGGCTGAGACAAATAATGTTAAAACTCACTACAATGCTTGGCACACGGTAGGTGCTCCATGGATGTCTGCTATTATTTTTTGCTTTTAATAGTAACATAATTTACATTACTAGTTATTATTATATGCTAAGCTCTGTTTTAAGTGCAGCCAAGATGAAGTTTAACTGCCTTGCCCAAAGTCAGGCAGCTAAGCAGTGGCACTGGTGGACTATGAACCCAAGCACTGGACTTTTAACCACCTCTCACTTGCATGATCCTCCAGTTGCCCTCTTAGAACCACTGTGCCTTCTCAGAGACTTCAGCTGAAATCCAACTTCTGAGAATGCTTCTAGGGTTCGCCAGAACCCGCCTTTGCTAGCCTCCCTAGGATTATCTCTTGTGACCAGCACCTTCACTGACAGCTCCAGTCTTTTTTTTTTTTTTTTGAGACGGAGTCTCACTCTGTCACCCAGGCTGGAATGCAATGGCGAGATCTCGGCTCACTGCAACCTTCACCTCCCAGGTCCAAGTGATTCTCCTGCCTCATTCTCCCGAGTAGCTGAGGTTACAGGCGCCTGCCACTACGCCTGGCTAATTTTTGTATTTTTAGTAGAGACAGGGTTTCACCATGTCGGCCAGGCTGGTCTCGAACTCCTGACCTCAAGTGATCCGCCTGCCTCGGCCTTGGCCCATAGTGTTGGGATTACTGGCGTGAGCAACCGCGCCCGGCTATCAGCTCCAGTCTTACCACGATTAGTTTTTCACGTGCCCAGCCTCAAAGACTTAAACTCTTTGCTCCCTTACGGAGATACCCTTTCCTTCACCTTGCTTGCTCCCGTTGACTCCTCAAGAAACCTTTCTTATGTCGGGCGCAGCGGCTCAAGCCTGCAATCCAGCACTTTGGGAGGCCGAGGCGGGCGGATCACTTGAGCCCAGGAGTTCGAGACCAGCCTCGCTAACATGGTGAAACCCCATTCTACTAAAAATACAAAAATTAGCCGGGCTTGGTGGCGCGGGCCTGCAGTCCCAGCTACTCGGGAGGCTGAGGTAGGAGAATCGCTTGAACCCGGGAGACGGAGGTTGCAGTGAGCAGAGATCGCGCCGCTGCACTCCAGCCTGGGAGACAGAGCGAGACTTGGTCTCAGAAAAATAAAACAAAACAAAGAAAAACAAAACTTTACTTGACAACCCAACGACCACTACCACTACAGCCGCCCTAGGACTCCCGCTCTCTGAGGTCCTACAGCACTTCGCATTTCCCTCAACGCCGCACTGAGAACTCTGCATTGTGTACTCGTCTGTCACCAATCTGCGAGTTACAAAGCAGAGACTAACTTATTTGGTTTAGCATTTAATAGGCACATAATCAACATTTACTGTTCAATTGAAACAAAATTAAAATTGGGCGCTGTCTCTATCTTTATTTGTGATCGGCCCTAACTGCACTGGCAATCTTTTCCGTTTTTTTGTTTTCTGTTTTCCATTCGCATGCCCCTTAGCGTACCTGGGGCTCCGGCTCCTTTACAAATGAAACCCAAAGTGCTCCGCAAGCACAGCCAGCGAAAGCGAAAAACTCTGAAACGGACAAGATGGCTGCCACCTCTTCGCGCCTCTTAGTCCCACCCACTCAGGGCGGAGGTCTGCGTCATGTGACCCTCCCCTTCTTGGCTCCGCCTCCTACCGCAGTGCTTGACGGGAGGCGGAGCGGGGAACGAGGCCGTCGGCCATTTTGTGTCTGCTTCCTGTGGGACGTGGTGGTAGCCGTTGGGTTGGGAAAGTGAGGGATTTTTGGCCTCGTTTCTCCTGCTTCTTTTCTCCTCCCTTTTACTTTGCCGGTAGAACACAGTTATGGGTCGCAAGAAGAAGAAGCAGCTGAAGCCGTGGTGCTGGTATCCTTTGTCGGTTTGAAGTCGAGGTCGCGTTGGGGTGCCGGTTGTTGGGGCCTGGGACTAGGAGGCCTGGATTTGGCTTACGGCGTGGAGCGTTTGTATTTAGGCGTCTGCGTGGGTGGCCTGGTGGCTGGGATTGGACTTGGGAAGGCTTCTAGGAAAATGGGGTTCCGAGGTCGACAGGCTTTTGCAGTTGTGGGTCGTGTGACTCTGTGACTCAGGAGGATCTTGTTCGGTGCGAATTTTGGACTCCGGGAGGCGGCCTGGACCCCTCCGCCAGGGACAGTGTCCCCTAGGGACTATTCAGCCACCTTCCGTTGTTTTGGTGACGATTCAACAAGGGACTTTTCTTCGAGTGCGATAGGCTTATTACTTTCATGGAGGGTTGGGGACAGCTTCACAGTCTGTCACCCACTTTTTCTGTTTTTATTTACTTTATGTGTGTTTTGTGTTTATTTTTTCGAATTGGCGGTTTAGTAAAGAACCAAGTTAGTCAACCCTGGTTTCGAACCTTTTTTTTTTTTTTTTTCTTTTCGGGGCGGGAGGAGAACTAGCTTCCGTGTCTCACCCAGAGGCGCCTTAATCTTCAGGAAGCGTTCTCACAGGGCGGAGTTTCTGTTACCCAACTTTGTAGGACTAAAAAGTGCCTATCTTATTAGGAAAACTCTTACTACAGTGTGGTATTAATGCTTTTTCTGGAAGCGTTAATATTCTTTACATTAAAATTGATTTTATTTACTGTTTTGTACGTAAAGGCGGCTTGTTACAGTACTGCGTTTATGTAACAGTTTTAAAAATAGCTTAAATACGGTTACGAATTTTGTAATGTGATTTTAGGAAAATCTGAGTAGTGAGGTAAGAATTCTGTTTTATTGATGTAAGAATTCTGCTTTATTGATTTTATTGATCTGTGAATTTAAATACATTGCTTGGCAACATAAATTCATACGGAATTGGAAACAACTTTATGGATTGTTCATTCGAAATTATGTGATTATTGTTCACCATATAGTTACTCTTAGATTCTAAATATTGCTAAATTCCTAATCCAGTTATTGCTATCGTCTTCATATCTAGTGAAGTAATTGTCTTGACAGAACCTTAGGGATTTCTTAACTGAACTCTTTCCTGTCCTCAGTGTGCATTTGTAAATGTTGAAATATTTATAACAAAAGTTTCACCGACATCTCTGTTAAACACAGGAATTTGACAAAGTATATTGCTGATTATTGAGATGTGTTTTTTGGGGTGGTGAAGAGAGCTGGCCTTCTAGGAAATTGAAAATACTGAAATAACATGGCAAGTGTAGTCCCTAATTGTGTAATAAATATAAAAAGCAGAGTTTCTATACAGTACCATTTTGGTTTTAGCTGTTCCCATATTGTAATGTTATCCATATGTTTTTATTATAGGCAGTGTCATCATTAGGCTGTCTTTGTGCCTTAACAGTATTGATCAGGTATTGTAATAGAGATTTTGATGATGAGAAGATCCTTATTCAGCACCAAAAAGCAAAGCATTTTAAATGCCATATATGTCACAAGAAATTGTATACAGGACCTGGCTTAGCTATTCATTGCATGCAGGTAAGGATTTTTCTTCTGTATTTATTGTCCGCTTGTGATTTGGAAACAACTTGAAAGAATAATCTTTTTTATTTTTTTGAGTTTCGGTCTTGTCGCCCAAGCTGGAGTGCAGTGGTGCAATCTCGGCCCACTGCAACCTCTGCCTCTCGGGTTCAAGCTATTCTTCTGCCTCAGCCTCCGGAGTAGTTGGGACTACAGGCAGCCGCCACCATGCCCGGCTAATTTTTTGTATTTTTAGTAGAGACTGGGGTTTCACCATGTTGGCCAGGCTGGTCTCGAACTCCTGACCTCAGGTGATCCACCCACCTGGGCCTCCCAGAGTGCTGGGATTACAGGCGTGAGCCACCGCGCCTGGCCGAAAGAATAATCATTTATTTCTCTGACAACTGTAGTTTTGTTTTTTTTTTGTTCACTTACTTACTGCAAAAGATAAGATAGCCAATCAGCATTAAAAAAAACAAAAAATTTGTTCGATAGCCATCAAGACAATAAACAAAACTGGCTTTTTATGTTTAAAGAGGGTTTGTATTTGTATTTAGTTTGATAGTACCTTACTAGGTTAGATTGGTAACATATCGAAATCACTAAATATTTCCTGAGTACTTGGAGCAGAGAACAAGGATCAGCGATTTAGATTTTGTAGGTGGTCTGGCCTTAAGAATTAATACTTAATTAGCAGTCATTACTCACTGCCATTGAAGGATCTGTTATTATCTGTAGCTTGGGGCTAGGCTAATTTCAGCAATTTATTTATTGGACTTCTTTTGGAATGGCAGCATTGTACTTTTTGCTTTTGTTTTTAAGAGATGGCCTTGCTCTGTGGCCCAGGCTGGATTGCAGTGACATGGTTATGGCTCACTGCAGCCTCATATTCCTGGGTTCTAGCCGTCTTCCTGCCTCGTTCTCCCAAAGCCCTGGGATTATGGGCATGAGCCATTGTGCCAGCCCAGAATTGTATTTCATTTAATAATTTCTAGGTTTCGGCTGGGCGCGGTGGCTCACGCCTGTAATCCCAGCGCTTTGGGAGGCCAAGGTGGGCGGATCACAAGGTCAGGAGTTCAAGACAGCCTGACCAACATGGTGAAACCCCATCTCTACTAAAGATACAAAAATTAGCCGGGTGTGGTGGCATGGGCCTGTAATCCTGGCTACTGGGGAGGCTGAGGCAAGAGAATCATTTGAACCCTGGAGGCAGAGGTTGCAGTGAGCTGAGATGGTGCCACTGCATTCCAGCCTGGGCAACAGGGTGAGACTCTGTCTCAATAATAATAATAATGACAATAATTTCTAGGTTTTTAAAGTTCTTTTAATAAATAGCGAGAGCATTGTAATTTATATTTTTTAAGATCTAGTAAGTACCTTCATGTCTCATTCAACATTATTCTACTTTGCTTAGTCCTAGAGCTGTCTGAATTTTTGCTAAATTAGACCTTACAGAAATATGAGATGAGCAAATACCAAATCATTGGAAACTACTATGGGTGGGAGGTAGGGAGACGTGATTTCTCCAGGTTTAAAGATAAATTTATATAGATCCTTTTCACTCCAGATACTTTAACAATAATTTAATATTCATTTTAAAATGTTGACCAGATGTGGTGGCTCACGCCTGTAATCCCAGCACTTTGGGAGGCCGAGGCTGGTGGATCACCTGAGGTCAGGGTTTCAAGACCAGCCTGACCAACGTGGTGAAACCCCATCTCTACAAATACCAAAAATTAGCTGGGCATGGTGGCAGGCACATGTAGTCCTGGCTACGGGGGCGGGGGGAGGGCTGGGGGCGGGGGGCGCGAGGCGGGTGCTGAGACAGGAGAATCACTTGAACCCGGGAGGCAGAGTTTGCGGTGAGCTGAGTTTGTGCCACTGCACTCCAGCCTGGGTGACAGAGACTCTGTCTCCAAAAAAAAAAAAAAAAAAAAAAAAATTGTTAGAGAACCTACTACATGTTAGACTCACAGCTGTTCACTGTTGCAGCCATTAGTTACATGTGGCTATTTAAAATGATATAAATATCTAAATGCTCAGTTTCTCTGTCAAGTAGCTAACTTATATTGGGTAGTGTGGATAAGAACATTTTGTTTTGATTGATTGACAGGGTCTCATTCTGTTGTCCAGGCTGGAGTGCAGATCATAGCTCACCGCAACTTTGAACTCCCTTACTCAAATGATCCTTCCACCTTAGCCTCCTGAGTACCTGGGACAACAATTGTGTACCACCATACCTGGCTATTTTTAAAATTTTATTTTTGTAGAGACAGGGTCTCACTATGTTGCACAGGCTGGTCGCCCAACTCCCAGGATCAATCGATTCTCCCACTCGGCCTCCCAAAGTGCTGGAATTACAGTTGTGAGCCACTGAGCCCGGCCATTTTCTTTAATTCTGAATGAAATAGGGGTTTAAATAGAGATGTATGCTCTGTCAGTTTTTTTTTTGTTTTATTTTGAAACGGAGTTTTGCTCTGTCTTGTGCTCACTGCAGCCTCCGCCTCCTGGGCTTAAGTGATTCTTGTGCATCAGCCTTCCAAATAGCTAGGATTACAGGCATGCACCACCGTGCCTGCCTGAGTTGTATTTTTAGTAGAGATGGGGCTTCACCACGTTGGCCAGGGTGGTCTTGAACTCCTGGCCTCAAGTGATCCCATCTACTTTGGCCTCCCAAAGTGCTGGGATTACAGGCATAAGTCACTGCAGCTGGCCTCTATTAGACTTTTTTTTTTTTCTTGAGACGGAGTCTCTTTCGTCCAGGCTGGAGTGCAGTGGGCGTGATCTCGGCTCACCGCAGCCTCTGCCCTCCGGGTTCAAGCAATTCTCCTGCCTCAGCCTCTCGAGTAGCTGGGATTACAGACGCCTGCCATTGTGCCTAGCTAATTGTTTTGTATTTTTAGTACAGATGGGGTTTCACCATCTTGGCCAGGCTGGTCTTGAACTCCTGACCTCCTGATCCACCTTCCTTGGCCTCCCAAAGTGCTGGGATTACAGGCGTGAGCCACTGCGCCCAGCCTGTAAGACTTTTTAAAAGGATTTTTCTGGCTGCAGGGTTGAAAGTAAAGTGCAGAGTACGGTGAGACCACTTTAGAAGACTTAGAATATTCCAGACAAGAGGAGATGGTGACAGAGACCAGAGTTTGATAGGTTAGATATGGGGTATAAGAAAAAGTGAGGAGTTAAGGGTGGTCTCAAGATGTTGATCTCAAGATGGTCTGGCTAGGTGCGGTGGCTCACGCCTGTAATCAGCACTTTGGTAGGCCGAGATGGACTAATCACTTGATCCTAATAGTTCGAGACTAGCCTGGGCAATATAATGAGACCCTGTCTCTACAAAAAATGCAAAGTTGGGCATGGTGGCACGTGCCTGTGTCCCAGCTACTCAGGAGGCTGAGGCAGGAGGATCGCTTGAGCTGGGGAGGACGAGACTGCAGTGAGCCGTGATAGCACTACTCAGCTCCAACTTGGGCTACAAGAGTGAAACCCTGTCTCAAAAATGTTTATTTTGAGCATATGACGAGATGTGAAAAGCTACAGGGATAATAGGCTTAAGAATGAGAATAAGGGAGTCCTGTGTTAATTTTGAGTGTAGGTATGTTTGAGGTCTATTAAATATCCAGATGAAAAGGTTACCGAAGCAGTTTGATGTACAAGTCAGGAGTTCATAGAAATTAAAACAGGAGATAGAAATTTGGACGCATACAATGTAAGGGTGGCTAGTTTAAGCCGCGCTACCAGATGTCCTTTGTAAGGACTGTAGTGTGGTTGGAAATTAGGTGCTCTCTGCTCTAGGCCACTTCCAACATTTGAAGGTCAGGAGATTAAAAGGAATCGTCTAAGGAGATGAAAGGTAGGAAAACCAAGAGTAGTGCCCTGGAAGTCAATGACGTGTTTCAAGGAGTGAGTTATTTAACTGAGTCAAATGCTGGTTCAGTAAGAGTACTGAGACTGGGTTAATAAGGTCATTGGTGACTTGACAAAGAGCGATTTCCAAGAGTGGTGAGGGTGAAGTGTGATTACGGTGCTTTGAAGAGACAGGGAGAGGAAGCGAAGGCATTCTTAGGGAGTTGCACTTTATGAAGAGCAGAGAAGTGGAGTGGAAGCTTCAAGGTTAGTTGAGAAACTTAGTAACATTATTGTCTGAGTGCCTTTATTTAGTCCTATTTTCACAGCAACCTGTGAGATAGACCTGGCAGTTAAATCATACCAATTTTATAGATGATAAACCCTAAGACATTATTAGTAAGTTAGGTGGTTCCCTGCAGTTTCTCATCAGTGCTTGCTCCTGTCTTTTCAACCAAGACGCTATGACTTTGCTTGGCAGGGTCCCAAGAAATCTAATTCTGGCTGTACCATAATAGATACACCTTTAATTGTTGCCCTTCTCAAAAATGTAGTGAAGATTAGTGTGTATGTGAATGTAATTGTTTATAGAATGCCTGTTGCATCATCTCTTTATTAAGAATAGCAAAATATTCCAAAAAACCTTAGGAAACGGCAATTAAGTCACTTGTTAAGCCGCTTTATCCATAAATATTTTAATTGCAATATAAGGAATAGCTTTTAACAATCAGATATTAAGATAATTTCTGAGTTTGATTTGCATGCCCCAGTTTCAAATCTTTAAGTGAGATACATTGCTAAGAAGAAAATACTTAGCTTTTTGTAGTTACTTTTCTGTTCGTACATGAAAATGTCTTAGGAGGAAAGAAAAAATGAGTATTATTTGGGCAAATATATCTAAGTCATTAGCCTAAATGAGTGCTTCTCAAACTTGAGCATGCATTAGCATTTCCAGAAAGGCTTGATAGTCTAGGCAAAATACTTTGACATCTACTTCAGCAAAATGGCTTGCTGAAGAAACCAAGACTGGCAGGGATATTACATTATTGGCAAAAGTTACCCAGATCTGAAGATTAGAAGCGCTTATGTAGCAAAACAATATAATGAAAAAAAATCCCAGATTTTCAGTGTGTTGCAATAAACATGTTAAAGTGCCTCAGGGCTGGGCATGGTGGCTCACCTCTGTAACCCAGCACTTTAGGACACTGAGGTGGGTGGATCCCTTGAGTTCAGGAGTTTGAGAGCAGCCTGGGGAACATAACAAAACTACCTCGCCACAGAAAATACAAAAATTAGCCAGGCATGGCGGCACGCACCTGTAGTCCCAGTTACTTGGGAGGCTGAGGTGGGAGGGTGGCTTGAGCTTGGGAGGCGGAGGTTGCAGTGAACTGAGATAATGGCACTGTACTCCTGCTTGGGTGGCAGAGTGAGACCCTGTCTTAAAAAAAAAAAAAAGTAAAATGCCTCACGTAACTCATTAGTTACAAGTGATACTGATTGCAAATGTAACTTTTCTAGTTTGTAACCAGAGGCTTGTCTCAAGATCTATACTTAGAAAATTTGCTATTCTAATTATTATTATTATTATTATTATTATTATTATTATTATTATTTTTTTTTTTTTTTGAGACAGAATCTCGCTCTCTTGCCCAGGCTAGAGTGCCGTGGCACGGTCTCGGCTCACTGTAACCTCTGCCTCCCGTGTTCAAGCGATTCTTCTGCCTCAGCCTCCTGAGTAGCTGGGATTACAGGCACGTGCCACCATGCCCGGCTAATTTTTGTATTTTTAGTAGAGATGGGGTTTCACCATGTTGGTCAGGCTGGTCTCGAACTCTTGACCTCGTGATCCGCCCGCCTCGGCCTCCCAAAGTGCTGGGATTACAGGCGTGAGCCGCCCCACCTGACTTTTTATTTTTTATTTATTTTTTTTGGAGACAGTCTCTCAGTATCTGCCCAGGCTGGAGTGCTCACTGCAACCTCTGCCTCCCAGGTTCAAGTGATTCTCATGCCTCAGCCTGTCGAGTGACTGGGATTATGGGTGTGCACCACCACGCCCTGCTAATTTTTTTTTTGTTTTTTTTGAGGGACTCTCCCTCTCACGCAGGCTGGATTGCAGTGGTGTGACCTCTGCTCACTTCAAGTGATTCTGCCTCCTCAGCCTCCCCAGTAGCTGGGATTACAGGCAGACCCCACCACACCCGACTAATTTTTTGTATTTTTAGTCGGGACAGGGTTTTGCCACGTTGGCCAGGCTGGTCTCAAACTCCTGACCTCAGGTGATCCACCCGTCTTGGCCTCCCAAGTGCTGGGATTACAGATGTGAGCCACCTCGCCTGGCTATATTCTAATTCTTAATATGAGGCTGTTTCATAATCTTTACTTAATTCACACTTGAAACATCCCTGATTTGGATAGGACTACTAGTTACTGCTAATAATTGAAGTAATCAAGATTATATGGTAAACTTGAAAGAATGTTTATTGAATGCTTACTGTATGTTAGACATCTCGCCAAGTGTTTTTTATATACAGTATTTAATCCTAAAAACAACTCTAGAAGTTAGCTATTATATAGGTGAAGTAAACTGAGGCTTAGAAGTTCACTGACATGCTTAATGTCACAGAGCTAGTGAATGGCAAAACTGGGAATTGGCTCTACATGGCCTCACTATAGAACATTTATTCTTTATACTAAGCAGTCTTTGATTAACTTGGAATTATTCTTAAAAAAGACTTTTATCTAATGGAAATTGTTGTTGTTAGGTACATAAAGAAACAATAGATGCCGTACCAAATGCAATACCTGGAAGAACAGACATAGAGTTGGAAATATATGGTATGGAAGGTATTCCAGAAAAAGACATGGATGAAAGACGACGACTTCTTGAACAGAAAACACAAGGTAAATATTGGGATAAGTTTTATTTTATTTATTTATTTTTTTTAATTTTTTTTTTTTTGAGACAGAGGCTTACTCTGTCCAGCCGAGGCTGGAGTACAGTGGTGTGATCTGGGCTCTCTGCATCTTCTGCCTCCGGGGTTTAAGTGATTGTTTGTTTGTTTTTTTCTTTTTTGAGGTGGAGTCTTGCTCTGTTGCCAGGCTGGAGTGCAGTAGCATGATCTCGGCTCATTGCACTGCAACCTCTGCTTCCCAGGTTCAAGCCATTCTCTTGACTTGGCCTCCTGAGTAGCTGGCACTACAGGCATGCACTACCACGCCCGGCTAGTTTTTGTGTTTTTAGTAGATACGGGGTTTTACCATGTTGGTCAGGCTGGTCTCGAACTCCAGACCCTAAGTGGTGATTTGCCCACTTTTGCCTCGCAAAGTGCTGGGATTACAGGCGCAAGCCACCACACCCAGCTGATTTTTGTTTGTTTTTGTTTTTGTTTTGAGATGGAGTCTCACTCTGTTGCCCAGGCTGGAGTGCAGAGGTGCGATCTCGGCTTACCACAACCTCCGCTTCCCAGGTTCAAGCAATTCTCCTGCCTCAGCCTTCGGAGTAGCTGGGATTAGAGGTGTGTGCCACCACACCTGGCTAATTTTTGTGTTTTTAGTAGAGACAGGGTTTCACCATGTTGGTCAGGCTGGTCTTGAACTCCTGACCTCGTGATCTGCCCGCCTCGGCCTCCCAAAGTGCTGGGATTACAGATGTGAGTCACCACACCTGGCCTAGTTTTTATATTTTTTAGTAGAAACGGGGTTTCACCATGTTGGTCAGGCTGGTCTCAAACTCCTGACCTCAAGCAATCTACCTGCTGAGGCCTCCCTAAGTGCTGGGATTACAGGTGTGAGCCACCATCTCTCTCCCCTTGTGATAATATTCTTTTTTCAGCCTCACTTAAGCCCAGAGTTAGTATTTTCAATTATAAATTTAATGGTAGGGTAGTTGGAGTGGCTCACACCTGTAATCCCAGCACTATGGGCAGGCAGTGCAGGAAAATTGCTTGAGCCCAGAAATTGGGAGACCAACCTAGGCAATAGAGAATGACACCCTGTCTTTACAAAAAAAAAATACAAAAATTAGCCGGGTGTGGTGGCACATGCCTATAGTCTAAGCTGAGGTGGGAGGATCTCTTGAGCCCAAGGGGTTGAGGCTTCAGTGAGCTGTGAATTCTCCAGTCTGGGCAACAGAGTGAGATCCTATTTAGATAAATCGATTGATTGATCACTTGATAGATAGATAAAATTGAATGGTAGATGATAGATTTATTTGGAATTTAAAATTTGAGCTCTGTTTTTGAAGACATACTTGATTTGTATATATGCAGTACCATTTGGATCATTCCATTTTCTTATATTATTATTCATAATTGAATTCCAAATAGAATTAGCAAGTGTTAAGGCATATGAAAATGAAGGACTCCTATAATTTCAGTGCTTTAGGTAGCTGAGGCCGTAGGATCACTTGAGGCCAAAAGTTCAAGACCTCACCTTTACCCCCCCCCCAAAAAAAAAAAAAAAAAGCCCAGTGTGGTGGCATGTGTCTGCAGTCCCAGCTACTTGGGAGACTGTGGCGGGAGGATCGCTTCAGCCCAGGAGTTTGAGAGTGCAGTGAGCTGCAGTCGTGCCACTGCTGTACAGCCTGCATCGCAGAGCAAGACTTTACTAAAAATTTAAAAGAAAAAATACTGATTTAGGATAATCATTTTACCTTTCATAGGACAGGGAAAGAACGTTAATCTTGTTTAATATAGGGCGAAAACACATTTGAAGAACATAGAGCAGTATTAATTGAATTTTTGGGGAAGAAAAATCTCATGAAGTAATTTTACCCATATATGTATTTTTAAATATTGAATGTTGTAAATAAACTTTCTTAGTTTTTACTCTATGGAAATAATTTTTTTTTTTTAACAGAAAGTCAAAAAAAGAAGCAACAAGATGATTCTGATGAATATGATGATGACGACTCTGCAGCCTCAACTTCATTTCAGCCACAGCCTGTTCAACCTCAGCAAGGTTATATTCCTCCAATGGCACAGCCAGGACTGCCACCAGTACCAGGAGCACCAGGAATGCCTCCAGGTAGCACATAGGATTGCTTAAAATCTAACATTTTTAGGACATTATTGATATTGTATCGAAGTATTACTTTCTTCCCTCTAACTCTTTAATATTTGTTATTATTTTGATTGAAATTCTTGCTTGTAGGCATACCTCCATTAATGCCAGGTGTTCCTCCTCTGATGCCAGGAATGCCACCAGTTATGCCAGGCATGCCACCTGGGTAAGAAAATTCTTTTAATTGCCCTGTAGGCTTGTGCCTAGTAATGATCTTTTTCAATTTGGATGTTATATGAATGAAATGTTACTTTCCATTTTTTGCTTCTAGAAGGTATGGGCTCTATATATCTTGTCTAATAAAGGGATCAACCAGTAAATTTAAGGAATATAAATTTGCCTCTGAGTAATAGATTTTTGGGTTTTAGGGTATATGTAAGCAACCATCTACTTCAATTGCATTTACTGTGATTAAAGTAGTTGGTTATTTATAGATTTGCGTTTCTGAGATTCAGAATTATCTGTGACACTTTGTAGTTGTGACAAGAAGCAGAGAAACTCTGTAAATGATTTATTTGTCAAAGCATCAAAACTAAAATGAATATGAGGTGCTTGTGCCCATCACTTTTACTTAAATATTGTTGGATGTGAGAGGTATACAATACACTTTCCCACTGTATTTTGAAAATCACAGTTAGATTTTGATTTTGTCATACATTTTCACAGATTGCATCATCAGAGAAAATACACCCAGTCATTTTGCGGTGAAAACATGTAAGCATCTCATTCATAATGTAATTCAGGAGGTATAATCATACTGTCATTTTTTTATGTGTGTGTTTAATGGTATCTATTCAGTTGACTTCAGAAATTTTCTAACCTTCCTCACTAAAACTTGCAAGCTAATTAACACAGGTCTCTTAAAGAAGGAAAATAAAACATCTTTTAGGAAACGGTAATAGACCCATATAAACATACTTCAAATGTGCAGTGATTTTCTCCAAACTATTGAAAGTAATGGGACCTGTTAATAAGGGTTAGTATTTAAGAAAGACTATATTCTATGAAATTACATGCTTTATTATTATAGGATGTAATGGAATTTTCTAATCTATTAATAGAAGTTAATCTTCTGATAAAAATTTTAAATCAAGAACTGAATTTACCCACAAAAATTTAAAAAATTTGAAAGAAAATTGACCAATTTATCATTTTTTAAGTGAATTGGACACTGATATTTGAAGGTGAGCTCTTTTAGGGGAAAAAATAAGTGGGTTGTGTTTTTAAGTCATGGTTTAGTGGTAGGTAGTTATTGTAAATAGGCCATCTGGTTTTACTTTTGAGTGTCTTTAATTTTGGTGGTAGTATTTCCTTTCTCTAAAAAAAAAAAGTGTGTGTGTGTGTGTGTGTGTGTGTATATGTATGTATTTGACACAGGGTCTCTTACTCTGTCGCCCAGACTACAGTGCAGTGGCGCAGTCACAGCTTACTGCAGCCTTGACCTCCTGGGCTCAAGTGATCCTCCCACCTCAGCCCTCTGAGTATCTGGGACTACAGGCGCACACTACTGCACCCAGCTAATGTTTAAAATTTTTGCTTTTTTAAAAAGTTATGGTCTCACTTTTTGCCCAGCCTGGTTTGAACTCCTGAGTTCAAGCAGTCCTTGAGCCTTGGCCTCTCAAAACTTCTGGGATTATAGGCATGAGCTGCTGCACCTAGCCAAATAAAAAATCTCATTTCACAGGGTACATTCATTCAATCTTTTTCTTTTCAAAATCCAACACAACTCTGAAATAGAGATTTCTTCTTTTTCTTTAATACTCTGTGGATATTTTCCAAGTGGAAAAAGTGGTGAATTTGCTTTCCCATTACACATATTTTAGATGAGGCCTCTTGTACATATTGAGAGTATATTTGTTCTCAAATGACTTTAAATGTTTTGTCAACATTTTTTTTTTATTGGTAAACCAAAGAGTTTGCTGGGTTTTAGACAATTTATTTTGATAGGATTGTTACAGTGTGTTGTGTGTTCTTTCAGCTTTGATTCATTTCAGTATTAGAGGTCAGATTCAAGTCTTCTATCTAGTGTTGTTTCAGGCTTTAGCCAGAATATTTTTTAATGGTTTATGCTGTTCATTAACTTACTGTTTCTTGAAATTTGCTTTCTAATAGAATGATGCCAATGGGTGGAATGATGCCACCTGGACCAGGAATACCACCTCTGATGCCTGGAATGCCACCAGGTATATGTTAGATAATTTCATTTTAATATGATGTACAGGCTTTATTTCTAAGTTTTTTTAGACGTCTGTGGGCATTAGTATAATGAAATTTAAAAATTTTTGAAAGTTGCAAGTTCCTGTGAGAAGTGTTATATGGACCCTTTTTTAAAAAATGTATTTTGGTAGATATCTCGGCTCACTGCAACCTCTGCCTCACAGGTTCAGGCGATTCTTCTGCCTCAGCCTCCTGAGTAGCTGGGATTACAGGCGCCTGCTACCACACCTGGCTAATTTTTGTGTATTTAGTAGAGACGGGGTTTTACCATGTTGACCAGGTTGGTCTTGAACTTCTGACCTCAGGTGATCCACCCACCTTGGCCTCCCAAAGTGCTGGGATTACAGGTGTGAGCCACCACGCCTGGCTGGCCCTTTCTTGAAGTTTGAAATAGATGATAGGTTTCAAAGCAGCCAAAGTGAGTCACGGCCTATGTGCTGAATCTCACATACTTAGAGCGCTTGTATTTGTTAGGAATGTTTTAGACAAGTAATAGAGAAATCCAACAAACTTTTTTTTTTTTTTTTTTTTTTTTTTTTGAGATGGAATCTCGCTCTGTCACCCAGGCTGGAGCATGATCTCGGCTCACTGCAACCTCTGCTTCCGGGGTTCAAGTGATTCTCCTGCCTCAGCCTCCCGAGTAGCTGGGAGTACAGGCGCCCACTACCACGCCTGGCTCATTTTTGTATTTTTAGTAGAGATGGGGTTTCGCCATGTCGGCCAGCTGGTCTCAAACTCCTGACCTCAGGTTATCCGCCTGCCTTGGCCTCCCGAAGTGCTGGGATTACAGGCGTGAGCCACTGTGCCCAGCCCCAACAAACTGTATTAAACGGTGTAGGCATTCATTGTCTCAGTCAACAAAAAAGTGGTAGATTCAGTGGCTCAATGATATTTATTAACCCATGCTTTTTTTGACTTTGCTCACCTTAGCTTTTTTTCCTCAGAAATGTCATTTGGTTATAAGACAGCTCAGACAAGAAGGGGTGTCGGTTGTAGTGCACTCTCCATTTTCTTTTCTTCTTTTTTTTTTTTGAGACAGGGTGTTGGTCTGATACTCGTGCTGATGTGCCGTGGCACGATCATAGCTCACTGCAGCCGCAGCCTCCCAAAGTGCTGGGATTACAGGTGTGAGTGAGCCTCAGCACCTGGCCTCCTTTTTCTTCTATTTGGAACCAAAATAACTTTCCCAGAAGCTCTTTAGCTCCTTACGTATTATGCTGTGAGGGAACCTGGGAAATTAAGTATATAGAATTTGGCCTATAAAGCAGGAAATACAGCACAAGGAAAGGGATTTGGTTGGCCAGCAAGATGTGCCACACGAGGCTATTAGTTGTTTTTTTTTCTTTTTTTTTTTTTTGAGATGGAGTTTTGCTCTGTTGCCCAGGCTGGAGAGCAGTGGTGTGATTTCAGCTCACCACAACATCCGCCTCCTGGGTTCAAGCGATTTTCTCCTGCCTCAGCCTCCTGAGTAGCTGGGATTACAGGAGTGTGCCACCCCACCCGACAAATTGTTGTATTTTTAATAGAGATGGGGTTTCACCATGTTGGTCAGGCTGGTCTCGAACTCCTGATCTCGTGATCCATCTGCCTCGGCCTCCCAAAGTGCTGGGATTATAGTCGTGAGCCACTGTGCCCGGCCCTAGCCTGCGTTTTATGTTGGTGTGTTTGCAATCCATAGCATATTTAGAGTACTGAAATGATAGTTGATGTAAATGGACACAGGAAAAATAAAGCATCAACAAACTATGAATAATTGCCAGGCAGTTCCATATACATTATGTTGTGGTACATATTTAGGTATTTAAAAGAATACAGAATAATAATTGATGTTCATTTGAGAATGTGAAGTCATTAAAAGTTTTGTCATGTTGAGGAAGTTTAAAGTATGTAGTAGTGATGTGTTTAACTTTGGAAAAGTTTTTATTGTTCATGATATTTGATTCATCAGTTTTTACTGTAATTTGCACTAGGGTTCAGGGAGTATTTAAATATCTGTCTTGTAGCTGATTGAAATAATTCTTTTATATATTGCAAGAAGTTTGCTAAATCAGTAGGACCAGTAAGCATAATTGCCAAATGTTTTGCCCATGCAGCAGGGTCTAGTGTTATCTTCCACTTCGTAAAATTCTGAAGCAGTACAAAGGAAGGGAAAATTTAAGGTAAGAATGTTGCATGGGGCAAATGCCTAAGTTCCTTGGATTTAGTCGAGTCATTGAGCAGTTAATTGTTAATAACTTTGTAGTATAGAAGCGTTTTTTTCCACACTAAATTTTTCAGTGACTCAATTTCCCCAAACATTTCTTCTCTGCAGGTATGCCCCCACCTGTTCCACGTCCTGGAATTCCTCCAATGACTCAAGCACAGGCTGTTTCAGCGCCAGGTATTCTTAATAGACCACCTGCACCAACAGCAACTGTACCTGCCCCACAGCCTCCAGTTACTAAGCCTCTTTTCCCCAGTGCTGGACAGGTAAGGTGAAAATCCTGAAAAGGAGTGCACTTATATTTAAAGATAAAGTACAGTTGTTTACAGAAGTCTTTGAAATTTTCATAGGTCAATTTTTTTGTTTATAATATTTTTAATATTATTTATTAAATATACTAAAAGGTGGCTTATCCACTTCCATGTTTACACACTGATTTCCTCTACCCATAAAAGGTTGAACGGAGCCAAAGTTAGTATGTTACTTTTTCATAGCTGTGAACCCTATTTATTCTTAGTTTTTTTTTTTTTTTTTTTAAGCTAATGAAAGTTTAGTATCTGGAGCGTTTAGAAGTTTTCCTTTACTGACTAAACTGAATGGAAGGACACCAAAGTCAAAGATTAGCATTCTTAAGACGGTAGCAAATCATTTGTCAGGCTCTGCCTCTAGTACGGAACAGTGATGAGCTACAATGCCGCACTTGTGCTAAAATGGCGTAATTTAATGGCTTTTGACCTAGGCACACTGGTATTTCTTACTGGTCTTTTTTCAAAGCTTTTAAAAGTCTTTTTTCCAGAGCATAAGTGAAAGATGCTTCTGTTCTATATGGTATACACATGATGGTTAACACCTTTGCTTTTTTTCCTAGTTTCATTGAGAAGCAGATTCAGATTTAATTTATTCAGAATTTAGATCGGGATGTATGTTTATTCATTTTCTTTTTTAGATTATCCCTTAGATTTTTTTAAATTGCTTTTTTCTGTTTGTGGGTGCTAAATTAAAAGCATTTTCTTTAAGTGCCTTTTGTTAAGCACATTAACCTAGCTTTTATGGTGGGTGGAAATTTTATGTATTGAGAGATGTAAAACTTTTGGCAAAAATCTTTTGTAGAGAATCATTGATACAGAATTGGATTGAAGTGTCAGTATTTGTACATCGTTATTCTCAGTTTCAGGTATCATTCTTGAAATAATGCAAAACAGTAGTTTTAGAAAAGAAACTAGTTAACTAGGTTTTATTGATTTAGAATTAAAATTTTGAGGCTCATACTTTAATTTTGTTTATTGTAAATGCATTAACTGCCTGCCTTTTAAAATAAGTGACATTTGATTGCATTAAATTTTGCATTTACAAATATGCAATCTACTAAAAAGTCTACCACATGGCTTATTTTGACCCATTTGTTTGGAGACTTTTCATTGTTTCCTTTCTTTTATGCTACAGATGGGGACACCTGTCACAAGCTCAAGTACAGCTTCATCCAATTCAGAAAGTCTGTCTGCATCTTCTAAAGCTCTGTTTCCTAGCACAGCACAAGTACGCAGGAAGTTGCAGTTTAAAATTGTTAAAATGGCTTTATAACTTAACCCTTTGGACCCTACTTAAAAAATGAATATTTTTCCAAAAATATACTGTGTTTACTTTTTTAAAGCAAAATTAATGCTATATAAGTCAAATGGTATTTAAAAATTTGAATTCATACTAAACAAAACTACCCCGAACTCCTGTGGTTCTAAAGGGTTAAAAGCATGTAAGCAGTAAATGCATTATAGTGGCCAATGGTTAGCCTGATGCATGATTAAGCTATTTTGATTTAATGCTGTTTAATGCATCACATTTAATGTAAGAAAATTTAATACTGCTTTGGTTCTAAAGTTGGCCTAGTCTACATGTTTTAGATGTGTGGTATTATGAAAAGTAACATATTTGTTACTGATAACTTGCTACTTTAAAAGATCCTGCTAAATTAACTCCTTTGTCCATGATAATTATCCAGCCATTGTTAATTTGGAGGGGATTATATATATATATATATATATATATATATATATATATATATATATAAAGAATACTACTAAAGGATGTATTTTTATTGTGTCACCATTTACACTGTTCATGTTATAGTTAGTAACGAGTTTAAACTCATATTCTGTAGTTTTTTTTTTAGCTGTTTGATAGATTAATAACTAATTAATAGAACATTAAAAATAGAACACATGCTATTCTAAGATACTGTATTTCAGCAATCTGGAATAAATACAAAGCATTGTAAATTTAATTTTTGGTGAGGAGGTAGAAGACATCTAACAAGTTAAATATGCAGTCTTATTTCCACTGCTGTGTTGTGGGTGTGACTTTAACCTAGCATCTTTTGATATTTTTATGGGTTATCTTGAATTTTGTGGAATGTTTATCACATTAACTTTGTATTAATTTCATTTAAAGTTTGGTCCTTTATTTAATGTTGATGCCTTGTTTTAAGTTAAACTGTTGTAGATATAGTTAATTTAAGGTTTTGAAGTTTCGTTGATGAAGTATTGTATTTTACAGGCTCAGGCAGCTGTCCAAGGACCTGTTGGTACAGATTTCAAACCCTTAAATAGTACCCCTGCAACAACTACAGAACCCCCAAAGCCTACATTCCCTGCTTATACACAGTCTACAGCTTCAACAACTAGTACAACAAATAGTACTGCAGCTAAACCAGCGGCTTCAATAACAAGTAAGCCTGCTACACTTACAACAACTAGTGCAACCAGTAAGTTGATCCATCCAGATGAGGATATATCCCTGGTAAGTTGCTTTTAGTTTTCTACGAGCAGCATTTGATTTAAAGCCATTATAGCAGTTCGTCCCTTTAAAATAAGTGTTCATTTGTACTCAGATGGTCTGTGATCTGGTTTAATGCTCACTAAGTGGTTTTTGCCATTCTGATTCTTAAGAAATCATAAAATACTTAAAGTGGACAGATATTGCATGTTTTGGTCTTAGATGGTTTCTCTCCCCTTCCTCCAGACTGTTTCTAAAAGAAGACAGTAAGTCAGGTTCTTAACTCTCTTAAAAATCATTTTAGTTAAACATAAGTTTGCATATGTTAATTGAATAAACGTTAAGTGTGAAGTAGAATCTGCAGATCCCTTAAGTCCCATATAAATGAATGAATTTTGATACAAAGTTAATGTTTAGAATGTTGATAATGGCCAGGTGTGGTGGCTCACGCCTATAATTCCAGCACTTTGGGAGGCCAAGACAGGCAGATCACTTGATCAGGAGTTCAAGACCAGCCTGGCCAACATGGTGAAACCTCATCCATACAAAAATTAGCAGTGTGTAGTGGCGGGCACCTGTAATCCCAGCTACTCGGGAGGCTGAGGCGGGATCATCAGTTGAACTTGGGAGGCGGAGGTTGCGTTGAGCCAAGATTGCACCACTGCACTCCAGCCTGGGCAACAGAGCAAGACTCCATCTCAAAAAAAAAAAAAGAAAAAAATGGAATGTTGGCCGGGCGCGCAGTGGCTCACACCGGTAATCCCAGCACTTTGGGAGGCCGAGGCGGGTGGATCACCTGAGGGTCGGGAGTTCGAGACCAGCCTGACCATTGTGGAGAAACCCCATCTCTCCTAAAAATACAGAATTAGCCGGGCGTGGCGGTGCATGCCTGTAATCCCAGCTACTCCGGAGGCTGAGGCAGGAGAATTTCTTGAACCCGGGAGGCGGAGGTTGTGGTGAGCTGAGACCAGGCCATTGCACTCCAGCCTGGACAATGAGTGAAACCCCGTCTCAAAAAAAAAAAGAATGTTAATAACAATACTTCATTAGATAGTTTCTTGTTGAAGCAATTTGTAATTCCCGGAAAGTTGTTAGCCATGCTTCAAGTTTACAAATAGGTGAAGTTTTAAGGTATCTAGAGTTTAAGTAGTTGGATTGGTTTGTCTGGCAAAAGTAAATAGTTGGGATGTAAGGGTAAATTTTTGAAAATTACTCTTAACGTTGTAAGATTTTAGATGCATGCCTTTATGCTTGGTGAGCCTCTGCATTCGAGTATTTAGCCCTGCGCTTATTTTTATTCCCAGGAAGAGAGAAGGGCACAGTTACCTAAGTATCAACGTAATCTTCCTCGGCCAGGACAGGCCCCCATCGGTAATCCACCAGTTGGACCAATTGGAGGTATGATGCCACCACAGCCAGGCATCCCACAGCAACAAGGAATGAGACCCCCAATGCCACCTCATGGTATTCCTCTTTTTATGTTTTTCATATTTAGTGGATTTTCTAAGTTCACGCATAAAATATTAAATTTATCTGCAGCATACGTTGCACTTAAAAGTACAATGCGTTAACAATCTATTTTTTTGTGTTTGAAATTCTTGATTTTAGGTCAGTATGGTGGTCATCATCAAGGCATGCCAGGATACCTTCCTGGTGCTATGCCCCCGTATGGGCAGGGACCGCCAATGGTGCCCCCTTACCAGGGTGGGCCTCCTCGACCTCCGATGGGAATGAGACCTCCTGTAATGTCGCAAGGTGGCCGTTACTGATCTTACTTCATCCAGTCTAATAGGTTTGGAGATTAAACCTTTTCTCAACTTGTGCTGTTTATATAGCCAAGCTTCCGTCAATAAGGCTTCATTGTGACTTTAACAAACATTATCTTCCCACATACCAGGAACTATTGGACATTTATTTTACATGGGAAAAATTATTTGGAATAATAAAGCAGGAACTTTTCCTGAAGTTGCAATTTATACTGTATGGCTTCTTTTTCATGTTTCATCTAGGTTTTTAGAAGTGAAGTATAGTAAATTTGGTTCGTTAAATTGTGAAGGCGCTGGAATTACATGAACATACCACCCTAGTAAAGGCAAGTTCTGTAAGCTTACATTGCTATTTGTAAAGTTTGCCTTCACAGCATTTCAGATGCTGTTGGACTTCATGTCCCCAACCTAGCTTGGTGAGGGCTGTAACTGTTTCCAAGTACTTGTACATTGGAAGTCTGAATGTGTAACAATATTTAATGTATTTAGAGTTCCTCATGTTGCAGGGTTTAAGAAATCTGACCCACCAAGGTCATGTGACTTTTCTGTACTGTTAAACTTCATTGTAATAAAATGAGAGAAAAATTTATGCCTTTTTATTCATAACCCAGCTGTGGACCACTGCCTGAAAGGTTTGTACAGATGCATGCCACAGTAGATGTCCACATAATAAAATTCATAGTTACCAATGCAGTTTTGATATATCATTGGATTCTGTCTTTGAGTTGTAGGTTATTTCTTAGCTGCATGTTTTAAACTGAATTTGCATAGAGTTGTATGTTAATGTTTCAGTTAAGAGAAAAACTTAAGATACATGAGTCATTACATAATGGGTATGAAATCTTTATAATCACCCTTCCACCCTCTATGGTGTCAGTACACATCACGTGTCATAGATACTTAAAATGTAAATGTTAACACTTTTCCTTCCTGCTGAGATGTTTAGAGCCTAGTGCCAGACCCATTCATTTCCTTTTGATTATTTTTGAGACTCAGTACTGCATGGACCTCAGAAGCTTTTCAGGTGCAAACTTCTAGAAGCTTAGGTGCATGCAGTAATAGCTTCTTGTGCTGTTAATGGGTTATTATATATTATTCTAAGTGTAATGCTGAGAATCTAAATGTGTCTCTGTTGGGATGGTTAACAGATGAATTGGCAATTTTTATTATGTTCCTGGAAGATTACATTATTCATTTGAGTACCTTCTGTTATTAAGCCTAGGTAGCCTTACTGTGCAACTTTTTATTTATCCTTGGAAATTTTGAATGTTGTGTTCTTACAGAGAGCTTTTCTGTAGAGATGACTGCTATTCAATATTTTGTGTTGCAACCTCTTAAAATAATAGCTCTTGTTGACCTTTTTGGGATCTGTTTTTCTGATCTTTTGCAGGGTAGTTTTATGATTTTTTAGGCATCAAATAACCTATGCAAAGTATTAATATAATGAACTCAAGTTGAGTTTTTCTCATTATAAAGTTAAGACTTCTAAGAAAATGGTAACATTTCTTTATAACTTTCCTGTGAAGGTATAGATAAAACACATGAAGTCTGAAGTTGTATGGAAAAAAGGGCTTTAACTTTGAAGGAAAATATATTGAAAAGTGATTTAGCCATCACAAAAGAGTTCGTATTTATGTGACAGATGAAAGTCATACCTTTAAGCAAAACATTGCAAGTATTATAAAGCTGAATGCTATTTTAACTCACATTGGCTGGGTGCAGTGGCTCACGCCTGTAATCCCAGCCCTCTGGAAGGCTGAGATGGGAGGATTGCTTGAGTCCAGGAGTTTGAGACCAGCCTGGCCAACATGGCAAAACCCCATCTGTACAAAACATTTAAAAATTAGCCAGGCGCGTTAGTGTGTGTCTGTGGTCCCAGCTGCTCAAGAGGCTGAGGAAGGAGGTTCTTCCTCCTTCCGAGGCTGCGGTGAGCTATGTTCACTCCAGCCTGGGCAACAGAGCGAGACTCTGTCAAAAAATAAATTAAAATATCTGATTATCTGGCTTCAATGATTTTGGCTCCTGTGCTTGTGGTACCATAGTGGTACAAAAATTTTCATAGTTTGAAAATAAAACAGGTATTTTGCCAGTAATGTATTTCTTTCTGCCAGCAGCCAAGTCCCAAACCACTTTCCCCTCTGAACCTCTGCTTACCTAAATGGTTTCAAAATTAATACATGCTGCTTTGATTTGGCAGCACACTTAATATACTGCTGAAGGAAAACTTGTGTTGAAAGTCTTTAAGATAAAAATGGTGTGATAGGCCGGGCGCAGTGGCTCACGCCTGTAATCCCAGCACTTTGGGAGGCCCAGGCGGGTGGATCATGAGGTCAGGAGATGGAGACCATCCTGGCTAACACGGTGAAACCCCGTTTCTACTAAAAATACAAAAAATTAGCTGGGCGTAGTTGCGGATGCCTGTAGTCCCAACTACTCTGGAGACCGAGGCAGGAGAATGGCGTGAACCCGGGAGGCATAGCTTGCAGTGAGCGGAGATCACACCACTGCACTCTAGCCTGGACGACAGATTGAGACTCCGTCTCAAAAAAAAAAAATGCTGTGATTAAATTTAGAATAATTAAGTAAGGGGTGCTCTCCCAAATTCTCAGGAATTTCATGTATACGGTTATTGACAAACTGCAATAGGGTTAGTAGACCTGTTTCAGAAATTATGTGAAGCTTTATTTGCATTTTATGCAAAGAAGGTTGATACTTTGTAGCAAGGTTTTTTGCTCTCTGTATAGGTCTGATGGGCAAAAATGGAACTTTTAAATATGGGATAGAATTCTAATTAAAAATTAATTGAAAGTGTTAGGCATTGGCAGATAAAACTTAAGCTCATGAGTTCCTGAGTTTGTAGCTATAGGCTCAGAGGTGGTGTACCCATTTAATATATTTGAAGTGTAATTTTTGCATGCATCCAAACGTAATTAAGCTTCTAGAAAATACCTTTTTTCTAAATGCTTCTGGGGTCCATAGTGTGGTTGAATTATGAGTGGAGCAAATTATATTCATATAATTAACTCTGACTCAACCTTCCTTAAGTAGTAGATGAAGTTGAGTCAAAGTGGATGCCAACTGCCCTCACAGAAGACAACTTTTGGGACTTGATAATTCAGGCAGGCATTGTGATTGTCATAATTAAGGAAGCTGTAAGGTTAGTAGGGCTGGCAACTTTGGCTCTACCTTACATCCACCCCTTTTAGAAAAACAAGAAAACATTTTGTCTGGCACTAGTTTCTGTTGTATAAGTTTTCATACTGTTTAACAAGACCACAGCAGGTAAGGATTAATTTTTGAGTGGCTGCTGGAATTACTTGATTTGAATACTTAGTATTTTAGTAGTGTCTCACACATTTGCCATTAGGTATGAATAAAATATTCCTACTGTACTCCTATTCCACTAAGTTACATTTTGAACTTAGACTCACCTTAATTAAACTTAATTAATTGGGGAGGGGGATTCCCCAACAAAAAGAAGTACGGGCTCAGAGTGGAATTGTAGTGGACAATAGTTAAAAACAAAGCTGCTCCTTTTGCTTGCTTGATCATTGGGATTTTTAAAAAAAAAAATTTTAATGCATGTCTTTTAAATTAATTGGGAACTGTTTTTCTAAAATTAAAATTTTCTTCTTCCTATAGCCCTGCCATAGGACAGGCTGAGGCTGAGTCTCAGTGTTGCCCTGTTCAGTCTGAGGCAAGTGGGATTTATTTTATTCCTTATAGGGGCTTTCACAGCTTTATGGCTGTTGGATATTTATGTCCCCAAACTTGCAGCAAGTTTGGTGAAGGCCCCTAAATTTAATTAAACTTAGGATTTTTATACTCTTTTGGCAGAGAAGGCTCTATATTAATATTCACGTTTGACTGTGGTGTTAATAAACATAAGTATTTCATATGCAATTTTATGTAATTTGCTGTGTGTTACATAATTAACAGCTTCAGTAAAGCTTGTGTTCCTATATTGAACTTCAATAAATTGACAAAATTTGATATTTTTGATTGGAGGCAAGAAATGTTTCATTCAAGTTTTTTACTTTCACTTCTAGGAAAATCTTACTGGTTTTATTTTCTCCATAAACTATTAAATTTAACCTCAAGGATAAGTTTAATCATTGGAAATGCCACTGGATACTGAAATGTGCCTTCTCTTTTTTGAGACGGAGTTTCACTCTTATCACCCAGGATGGAGTGCAGTGGTGCGATCTCGGTTCACTGCAACCTCTGCCTCCCGGATTCAAGTGATTCTCCTGCCTCAGCCTCCCGAGTAGCTGGGATTATAGGCTCCCGCCACCACATCTGGCTATTTTTTCAATATTTTTCAGTAGGGATGGGGTTTTGCCGTGTTGGCCAGGCTGGTCTCAAACTCCTGACCTCAGGTGATCCACCCATCTCAGCCTCCCAGAGTGCTGGAGTAGCAGGTGTGAGCCACCGCGCCTGGCCAAAATCTGCATTCTTTTTTTTTTTTTTTTTTTTTTTTTGAGACTGTCTCGCTGTGTCACCCAGGCCAGAGTGCAGTAGCACGATCTCAGCTCACTACAACCTCCACCTCCTGGATTCAAGCGATTCTCCTGTCTCAGCCTCCCGAGTAGCTGGGACTACAGGTGCTTGCCACCACACCCGGCTAATTTTTTGTATTTTTAGTAGAGACGGGGTTTCACCGTGTTAGCCAGGATGGTCTCGATCTCCTGACTTTGCGATCCCCCTGCCTCGGCCTCCCAAAGTGCTGGGATTACAGGCGTGGGCCACCGCGCTTGGCCAAAATCTGCATTCTTAATCACAAACTTACGCATTGAATGTTAAGGCTAAAAGGTCATCTGGAAATGCTTAATTTTAAAATATTTTCAAGCCTCACCACATTAGAGCAAATGTTAATGTAGAGCCCTGTAAAGGTGGGAAGGTGGTGTCTATGTGTGTGCTTGTGTATGTGGGGGTATAGACCATATAGTTGATATAACAACAGAATTTGGGTGTTACAGACCTTTCAGCATGGATGGATTACTAATTTTCAGGTATCGAAACTGAAATTTGATACCTGATCCTGTGGTAAAGTATGTTAAACTATGGTTTTGGAGTGATTATTTTGAGGTTCATTTTCAGCCTCACTGAACAGTGTTTTACGCACATGTGAAAAGTATCCACATTTGTTTCCAACTAAAATTTGCTTTTATTTGGTGAGAAAAGTTGTGTGCGTGTGTTTGTTGTAGGGAATAATTAGGGAATTGGAAGAGAGGCCAAAAACAAACCTGAATTACTTTTGTTTCTTGTGTTTGAGCCACGATTCTATCCAGATAGCAGTTTACTCTGAGCAGTAACAATGAACAAGCAGTATAGCATTTAGCAAACCTGGAATTGTTTGTATATGGTTTTCATTCTTGGAAGCATAAAGAAAAAATATGCATTAAATGAATTGTAAATTTTGACTTGTTAAATAACATGTTTTTCACTATAACTAATAGGATTTTAATATTTAAAGAATTTTGTTGCTTCCATGACAAAATATCCCATTGGACTATTTTATAACCTCAGTAATCAACATTTAAGAGTCCTTAATTGGAGATCTGTTTTCTCTATTACCTACCATCCTGCAATATGCTGAAATCTTTCTAAGTTGCTTATCTTAATTCTAATGGTGATAATTGAAAAAAGTGTGCTGGAAATACAGGCTCTTATCTGGTTGAGTACTGGGGGTGGGAAGGATTTAGTAATGTCATAATCTGTTGAAGGTAATATCTATAGATAACTAAGATAGTTCCTTTTTTTTTGTAGTTCTGTGACTCAGACAAATAAGATTTTGAGAATTATGTAGTTTTTAGGTGTCTGTAACATCCACTAGTAAAACTTGGCAAATGAAAGAAAATTGTGAAGTCACCACTTTAACTGAGTCAAAATTTTGTTTGAATAAGCTGATGAA
Organism: Homo sapiens; assembly: GCF_000001405.40. NCBI lineage: Eukaryota > Metazoa > Chordata > Mammalia > Primates > Hominidae > Homo > Homo sapiens. Next base: position 32,375,671 of record NC_000017.11, read on the forward strand.
AATAGACATGTACCCTAGAAGTAGATACTCTAAAATTATACAGACATGAATGTCTTTTTTAAAAGGTTGTCATTATTGACCTAATATTGAGTAATCTTTCTGCGTTATTCCAAATTGAAATTTGTTTGCTCTTCATTGTAACTTTTATGTAAAAGTCCTTTAAAAGGGGATTCAATTATAAGGCTATTTGACTATAGGGCAGATTTTTATAAGTAAACATTCCCCCAATTCCACTTATGCTAACTGTCTCATGACAGTAAAGTTTACTCCTTTTTAGAAACCCTTTCTCAGTATTTTAATTTCTGTCATTGAATCATTTAAATAATAACCTTTTGTTTTTATAGCAAAGAAATCATCTGACTTTTCTGTGTGATGTTTCTTGGCAAAATAAGCACTTGATGTATGGTCATGTACATAATGGATATTCATTAATTTTGTGATTAGTGCTGAGTTTTCTAAACTACTATCTTAAGCTCTTAGGCACCCTATTATGGATCTAATTCAAACCAATATGTAGGAAATGGAGAAAGTAGGACTTCAGTTTGCGCTTCCCAATAACTTTAAATATATCCACCTTTTCCAAGTGTTTAAGCCCTAAAACATCTATCTTTATTTTTTTACCTGGCATTTTTGTTAGAAAATAGATTACGTTTTAAAGTAACATTAAAAAAATTCTTCAGTAAGATAATTGCTTTTAATAAGTATATTTTTCTTGCTCTTGGCTCTATACATTTTTGCATAATATTTTAGTCTTGAAAAGCTTTTCATTTTCTTAACTCTGGAAAATAATAGTTTGGAACTAAATTAGTTTGAGAAATCTGAATCATCTCTCTTTAAATCTGTTCAGTTAGTCTCATGTATTCTCAGGGGAAAATGTCTTTATTTTACTAAGCGGAAGTAGTAGTCATATTGAGGCAGAAATTTGTAGCCCAAACAAGGTAGGTCTTCGCTGAAACTAATTTGAACTATTCCTATTTGAAGCAAATTGAACACTATTATAAATCTAGACTGGCTAATTAGATGGAAACTTTGATGGTTAGGTTCTTTAAGAGGCATACAATCCGTTATGAGAATGTTTATGTTTATGTTTTAATTTTTATCAAAATAACCTCAGAGGAGGTACATGTGAGTAAACTGTCTTAATGGTTGATTACTTGGAACCCACCCATTAATTCTAAATGATGTAATGGTCTATAAGGTAGTAATCTGGCACAGCTTCAGTAATGTGTGCTGTGTTTGTAAAAAGGTGAAGTACTTTATTGGCATTTTCTAAGCCCTCTGACATTGTTAGTGTCTGGGTTGGTTGGTTTGCATTTTACTATTATGGTGGAATCTGTGTTCCTTCACCATTGGTTAAGTCTGAGGAACTAACAGTGAAATTCATTGATGGCCAACTTGGATAAAAATGAAGAATGATATTTTCCCAGTTTACTACACATGGACCAATAGTGATTATTTGGGAGAGAACACTGGGTAGTATTGTTTGACTTAAGAACCTTAAATATATTGAAAAGTAATGGCATTCTTGCTCATGATTTGCATTTGTTAGTGAGGTCTCACCATAGTATTTTAATGTAGCTTCTTATTAAAATTTTATTCATAAATAGTTTAGCAGTCACAGAGGTGAAAAAAAAAAGATTTGCACCATCATATCCGAGTCTTTACTAATAAAATGAGGCTGCTTAAGTACCCAAGTGGAGCAAGGGAAGAGTTACTACAGTTACTGTAAGTCTGAGTTAGAAAAAATACAGAGCATCTAGTTATTGAGCAAAGCCCCCTTTTACCTGTTCGCTTATTCAAAGAGAAACAATAGAATTTGCTTCTCAGTACATGTTTTTAAAATTGAGAATCTCTGATGTGACAAAATCAATTTTTACAAAAGTTGAATTAAAAACTTTTAAAAATTGCTTGTCTTTGGGGGTATGTCTACATATTCGTTTAAATTTAGAAATTCCCACATGTTTAAGATATATGCCCATCCCCTTTTTAGAGTAATCAAAATTTCTATCACAGTTCACATACTGGAATACATAGTAAAATTGAGATGTGTCCAAGAGATTTTCAATGTTAATTAGCTCATTCTAAATAGCCAATATAAGGTAACTTCTGTTTAAAAAAAAAAAAAACTAGGGAAAAGTTTTAAATGTATTAGTATCAGGCTCTGAGGAAATTTAATGCACATTGACTTTTTAAACTATGGATTGAACTCCTCAGTTTAATACAATTTGTGTTTTTGTTAACTAGCAGCAGAATTTCAGCATTTGCTACTTACTGGTAGAGAAGAAAAATCCCACAGCCCTGCCAGTACAGGTTAGTTTAATCTGTAAGTACCTGATGTTCCTATTTTTTTCAAACATATCCATATAACTCACACAAGGAAGAAAGCTGTGCGGTTACTTAAATGTTAGTATAACTAATAATAGATCCATTGGACACTTTAAACACTCAGTACTTGGGCCAAAGTAGATCTAGGTTTGCTAACCCCAGTTGTAATAAAGGTGTAATACTGCTCCTTTGTTATCTCCTTGTGGTTCAACCTAAGTAGATACATTGTACATAAAAGGAAAAGACAGTTTCAGTTGGCTATGCCCTTGTTGATAGATGATATGGAGTCCAGGGCTTTGGGTCCAGGGTCTTTTACTTAAGCTATTTCATGGTGGTTCTCTCATTCACCTTTTAACTTTTTACATTATGAATCAACCTAAGAAAAAAGGCAAGTTTCCTCACATCTAGAAATGATAAATGGTGTACAGTCATAAGCTAGAATATGTTTTTATAATGCTTTTTTGTTCTTTTAGCAACACTTGTAAATACAAGTACTCCTCTATTTTTGTTCTTTTTTTGTAAACTATAACGTATCCCGTTGGTGTACCAGTGAGTTCATTTTACTGTAAACTAAGAATAACATACCTTTTTAATACTGAAAGTTGACTACTCATCAAGAAATGTAGCTAGATTCTTTATGTAACACTTTTGAGGGGCAGTGGGGACATAATGGGTTGTGGAAAATGTGTTTTAACATTTTTATTTTTTTTTTATTCTACCCGAGTTCATTGTTGTTTGAACCATCCTCTAAAGATTTCCTTTAACCTCTAAATGTTGTGCTTTTAGGTTGATAACAAATGTAAAGCACTGAGGAGGGAGGAATAAAGCATACAAGTTAATTTCTAATTTTCGCAAGCCTGAACCATCCTAATCTGATAGTAGGATGTATGGCTTCTTCCTTTTCACCTTGTGTGATGTTTAATTTGAGACGATCTAGCCATAAAACTAGTAATCTTGAATTCCTCTTGAGCTGGATGGTGATTAGCCATTGTGAAAACAGATTATATGGAAATTGTGCATATTGCTAAATTTTAAAACATGGATTTATCAACTGATAATAAAATATATCTTACAAGATAACCACTTGTTTTTTAATGTAAAATTGCACAAGGGCTTAAGTTTCATTGCCTTTCACAGTTTAATCTGTATATGAAATGGTGTAGATACAGTGGAAATGGTTTTCCTTAAAACCATCTCTTTAAAGCTGCCTTTCTGGTGAGTACTGTTTTATACTTTTATATATTATAATTTTATCTTCTAAAATTAACTGAAATAGGACACTTTGATTAAAGAGGTGAGCACTCTGAATTTCTACATCTTTGGATATTACTTGAATCAAGAATATTAGAAAATTATTTTACCACCTGGCATTTCCCTTTTAATTTGCTAGTTCACTTTTTTCTGACCTTCACTTAACAGACTATAAATACAAAAACTTTGAACACATAAATTATTTCATTTTGGTGAGATGGAATAAATGTTTAAAATTAGTATTTAAGAAAGTTCTTAAACATTTTTTTTAGTTGGCAGCCAAAAGATTTTTCTTAGTGCTTTGGAGACATTGCATAGGTGTAAAATTAAGATACCAGAACTTCATTCTGTTCTTGTTGAAGCTGTTGTTGTGGTGATTCATGAGCAGTAAGCTGGAGTTAGAGTGGAAGAAGGGTTTACCAAAATTCTTCCTGCAGACTAGTTGCTTACAGGGTTTCTTTGAGAGGCTTAAAAATTTCAAAAGTATTATTTAAGCCACTCTAACCCTGCATGAAAAATTGGAGTTAGAAATACTGATTTCTGAGACCACGTATACCAGTGAAAATTAGCTTCTGAGTAAATTTCTAATTTATGCCCTGCTTTATTTAGCCTCGCTATATGTAACACATGGATTATTTTTTCCCTCTAGTTTTTAACTATATCCTAGATTAAAACCAGCATATGCTAAGAATGTTTTTACATTCTGTTTCCTCCTGTGATCTTTCTGAACCAATAATAAACAGTCAACTGTGATGCTTTTTAGTATGAACAATGATAGTTTTCTAAAATCTGAAAATCAATACCTGAGTATGTGATGTGGCAATGCATTCTTCTAGATAAGCACTAAACAAAGTATGGACCCTCAATTTATGTCTTTAAGATTTAAAGTGAAGTAAATTTCTAAGGAACTGTGTCCTTTCCTAGCAGGAATAAACAGTGAAAATTTGGTAAGTATTTAACTTGAAGTGCATGTAATAGTGATGAGAGTAAGTAGCCAAATTTCCGTAATATAAGGTAATGTTTAAAAGTGAGCAATAATTATTGCATCTCTTTTGCGACTTCATGTAGATGTGATTAACATTTTTTACAAATTTGCCTGCATAAAGATTAAATTGGAACATACCTTACTCCTTTGTCTGGTTTTTTTATTTTGTATGGTGCTTTAAATACTAATTTTATATTTCAAGCTTTTTGCAGGGTAGAAATAAGTGGCTGTTAAAGAAAATATCTTCAAGAAGGATTATTTCAGTGTCCCTTTTTAAAACTCGATGATGGCTTTCAGTTTATTTAAGTCTTCTGTTTTTCAGCTCCAGTTAAAACTGACAATAGGCAGCTATCAAAAATGGAAAAAATCTTGTGCTCTTTCTGGAATATTAGAGGAATCAGTTAATAATAGTAAAGTGGTATTAACCCAATACTTGATTTGCAGTTTTTAAAGCAGTTTTTAAATTGAGAGAAAAGGGGCTGGGCCCAGCTGAGGCGGGTGGATCTCCTGAGGTCAGGAGTTTGAGACCAGCCTGGCCAACATAGTGAAACCCCGTCTCTACTAAAAATACAAAAATCAGCCGGGTGTGGTGGGACGTGCCTGTAACCCCAGCTACTCTGGAGGCTGAGGCAGGAAAATCGCTTGAACCCAGGGGGAGGAGGTTGCAGTGAGCCGAGATGGCGCCGTTGCACTCCAGCTTGGGTGACAGAGCGAGACTCCGTCTCAAAAAAAAAAAGAAAAAAAGAAAAAGTGATAAGATTTGGGAGTCTATTCCCTGGGATGTTCTATTAATAATAAAGTGATAATAAATGAAGGTTAAAGTCAAGTGTTCAATTACTACACCAGGAAAGATTGATTATTTCTGAGGAAAAGGTCCATTTATTTCCAAACTAGTCTGTAGTGGTTTAGAGTAAGCATTATTTTATGAAGTGGTACAAGATTGCAAAGGTTAGTAAAGGGACCTGTCTGTCAGGTCAATCTTCGGTCTTCACTTTTACTGGCAAGGGATTATGTGAAGAGTAAGTCATACAAGGGATATGATTGTAAGGAGGTCCTGAACAAAGCATGATAAATGTTAGTCCATGTGTATTATTAAATGGTCTAAAGAAAAATCATGACTGATCGCATAATTTTTAATGTAAGTAAATGAGCTCACTAAGGGTAATTAAATACTAGCTTTTAAAATTTAAAGTTCTCACGAATATTAGTGCATCTTGTCACTTTGATTTGTCACCTGGTTAAATAGCTGGAAGCTTGTGCAAATGAAAAATGAAATGGAAGACTACATTTGTATATATATCTGTATAATTTTTGTTTACTAGTAGGTTCAGAGAGAGATCTGAGATGTTCCTTAACATGTAGCCATGTAATTAGAACTCACAAGGGGCATTGAAATGTTTTTCTTTTTCAGATAGTCTGGGGCTATTTACTTATTTTAAGTAAGCCAAGTCTACCATTTGAAAAATGGTGCTTTATTTCCATATCTGAAGCCTGAAGTTATTTTTTAGTTTGTTTTCATCTAAAAGTGGAAAGATTTTTGCTTCTGCGTTATTAAGAGCCTCTTTGTTTGGAGGAGATGGTTATCTCCTTCACTCATTAACCTTTGAGTGCTTGTTATCTACAAAGATGAATAAAATCTTTCATTTATTATTTATGATACTTGTCTGAGCCCATTTTTTAAATTTGTATCCAGAACAGTTATATATTAATAAGGTATTATGATATGCATCAGTTGTCCTGAGCAGTTTTTGTTGTATCCTGGGAACTGTAAGGAATAATTATTAAATACAGAATGTCTACGGGGAAAAGGGGTAAAAGAGCACGCTTAGTGTGCATATTTTGTATGTGATAGTTGGGTAGGTAGATGAGCCAGAAGAAACAGTGATTTAGAGTGAGCATAAAACTAGATCTTGCAACCAAATCCTTGCTTTTCTATTATTTATTAGTTATATGACCTGGAACAAATTACTTTTCAAATGGTAGTTATAAGTTTCATAGGTTTGTGAGAAACAAGTAAATATGTGTAGAAGAATTTGGCCTGGCAACTTTGTAAGTGCTCAGTATTTTCTGTATGTTTACTTGAAAGAACTAACACACTATACATTTGTGCTAACCTTGTTAGACCACAGGCAATGGTGGGAGCAGACAGTTATTGCAAATCAAAAAATTTCATTTAGCACATATATATGAATGCCCACAGTGTGCTTTGATATTATCCTTTGTACATAGTAGAGAGGAAGTGCATCTGAGTAGAGACTTTGGAACTGAGGATTTAAGAAGCCAGCCTTTGCACAAAGTCTCATTGAGTAACAGTGTTTTGGGTAGTAGGTGTGCAGAAACCATGAGATGGGAAACATAACATCTTGAACAAAAAATGAGGTTTGAATGGTGGGTGGGATGGGTGCGTGTGCATGTAAGGTGAGTGGAGATGGGAGAGAGAGAGAGGCCAAGTCTCACAATGGACCATGGTTTGAATGTCATTCTAATGGAAATCTTTTGAAGAACTTGGAGCTGGTGAGTAATACATGGTTTATGATTAACAGATTATCCTAAGTTGGTTGGCAGTGGGGCAGGGTGGGTTGGTGGGCAGTATGAGGATCAGTTAGAAGGCAAGAAGAACCTGGCCCCAAACATCTCAAGAGTAACTGATGTAATGACTTACTGAATAGTCATGGGAGAAGTTAGAAGATGCTAACCTTGAATGTGTGAAACACAGGAAAAGGCAAAAAGCAAAATATTGATGCTGGGTACAGTGACTTATGCCTGTAAACTCAGCAACTGAGGCTGAGTTGGGAGGATTGCGTCAGGCCATGAGTTCAAGGCTGCAGTGAACCATGATGGTGCCACTGCACTCGCTGGTGCCCGGGCAACAGTGAGACCCCCAACTCAAAAAGGAAACATTGGAAATACAGTGGGTTGGTTTGGGGGATTTTTTGTTTTTTTTTGTTTTTGTTATTTATTTGTTTGGACGCTGTTTAGGCTCCACCTAATCTGTAAGACTTATTTAGGAAATGTTTGTTGGAGATCGAGTAAGACATTGAGAGGCAAAAAATAAGTTTCTTCAAGAGTCTAAGAAGGATACATCAGTAACAAAGTGAAAATGCCCTCAAAGGACGTAAAATTTGGAGAAAGCAAATTCCATCTATGTGATCTCAGGATGGTGGCATTTGAAGTAGGTCTTGGATTGTTAGGATTTGGGCAAATTGGAAAAAAACGTGTTAGAAAAGAGATGGGAAAACCCAACAGTATGAGGCTTATGAAGGAAAGTTCTAAAGAATGAGGTCATTGGAGTCTAAAGTGTAAAGTTCCTTGAATACCACATTAGGCATATACATTTTCTCTAGGAGTTGGGGTGTCTTGGGATTCTTGGCATAAAAACAACATTAACTGCCTGGGTGTGGTGGCTCACACCTGTAATCCCAGCACTTTAAGAGGCTTAGGTGGGCAGATTACAAGGTCAGGAGTTCAGAACCAGCCTGGCCAACGTGGTGAAACCCTGTCTCTACTAAAAATACAAAAGTTAGCCGGGCGTGGTGGCAGGTGCCTGTAATCCCAGCTACTCGGGAGGCTGAGGCAGGAGAATCGCTTGAACCCGGAAGGCAGAGGTTGCAGTGACCCAAGGTCGTGCCACTGCACTCCAGCCTGGACAAGGAGTGGGACTCCGTCTCAAAAAACAACAACAAAAAAACATCGACTAGAGCAGTGGCTGTGGTTTTGGACCCAGTGTGTCTTCAGAAGCACCCAGGGTATCATTATAGGCTGCCACTATTTCCTGGTACCACAGGATATTTCCATATCACTACCATCTGGGTGACAGGGAATAATAAAATTTAGAAACTGTAACTGGGCCGGACAGCTATTGACTTGGTGAGTTGAAACTAGAACTATCTTATGTTCAGTAAGGCCAGTTTAAAGTGTTTTGGAAGCCTTATATATCTGAGGCCATTGTACTTCTTGGTCACTTTACAAACTAAGTTTCTTAATTTTTTACTATTCCCCACAATTATAGGACATTGTTCTGCTCAGAAACCTTTGTTATCACCACATAACTTGTATTTTGTAGTAACAGAACACCCCTCTTTCTGAATTCTTCATGGAACTTTCCTGAAAGCTGGTTCTGAGTCTCTACCAATGTATATTCATACATTGTGCATGTATTATAACCATGTACAATGGAAGTGAGCAATGTGTAACCATATGTCTCAGTATTTGCTAGGATCATGATGCTATGAAGCAATTGATAGTCACCCTTTTCACTTATTCCCCTTGCTATTCCACATCACTGCTTTTCCTCATCCGTCGATGCCATAAACAGTTTGTCTGATGGCTTTCTGATTCATGAAGATGGTAAAAGCCAAGGCCCTCAACCTACCATATCTATAAAATCTGTATTTGCATCCTTTTTTATTACATTGTACTAGGCATCCATTAACAGCTCTCCTCTTTTGCTATGCTCTGGAATCCAACTTTTGCCATTGTAGTGGTCTCCTTGTTCGTTCTTGTGTTTCTTCAGCTTCCTATCCTGTTTTTGTTTTTGTTTCTGTTTTTTTTTTTTTTTTTTTTTTTTTGGGGGAGGCCCAGGCTGGAGTGCAGTGGCGCAATTTCGGCTCACTGCCACCTCCGCCTCCCGAGTCCAAACGGTTCTCCTGCCTCAGGCTCTCGAGTAGCTGGGACTACAGGTGTGTGCCATCACACCTGGCTAATTTTTTGTATGTTTAGTAGAGACAGGGTTTCACCGTGTTAGCCAGGAGGGTCTCGATCTCCTGACCCTGAGATCCACCCGCCTCGGCCTACCAAAGTGCTGGGATTACAGGCGTGAGCCACCGCATCCGGCCCGTTTCTCATTCTGTTAATGACTCCTTTTTCCTAGGATAAAATTTGGATAAAATAGGAGTCAAGACTGAGGCTCAGGTTTTACCTCTGAAAACTCTTGGCTCAAAGACCCTTAATAATCTGACTCCTGCTTATCTTTCCAAAATAATTTCTTGCCGTTCTCCCTTGGTACTTGGCTTAAACTCTCAACACCCTCTCTGCCCCTTAGTACTTTGACTTGTGTAACTTCCACTTCCTCACATCTGCCAAATACTAGTTTAGAGTTAATTCCCTCTTACAAATCCCTGATCCTCTGTGATGACCTTCGTATGTGCTTTCATTGCATTATGTACTTACCATCAATTTGTGTGTTTATACTGGACTGCAACCTCGGACGCAGGACTGTGTCTTGTTCATTTCATTCCTAAAACTTAGCACGTTGCACGACACTTAAAAAGAGGCGCTTAGTAATTGCTGGGTTAAATTGAGTTGCTAGTAATGGATTTATTATTATTATTATTATTATTATTATTATTATTATTATTATTATTATTATTATTATTTTGAAATGGAGTCTTGCTGTCACCCAGGCTGGAGTGCAGTGGCGCAATCTCGGCTCACCACAACCTCCACCTCCCAGGTTAAAGCGATTCTCCTGCCTCAGTCTCTTCAGTAGCTGGGATTACAGGTGCACACCACCACATCTGGCTAATTTTTATATTGTTTGTTTGTTTTTGAGATGGAGTCTCACCCTGTTGCCCAGGCTAGAGTGCAGTGGCGCAGTCTCGGCTCACTGCAACCTCCACGTCCTGGGTTCAAGCGATTCTCCTGCCCCAGCCTCCCGAGTAGCTGGGATTATAGGTAAACCCCACCATGCTGGGCTAATTTTTGTAATTTTTTAGTAGAGACGGGGTTTCACCATGTTGGTCAGGCTGGTCTCGAACTCCTGACCTCATGATCTGCCCACCTCGGCCTCCCAAAGTGCTGGGATTATAGGCATGAGCCACCATGCCTGGCAGGGTTAATTTATTTCATCAAAACAGACTAAAGGTTTAGAGAGATGTGCCTTTATTTGAATATTGTGCAGTTTAAACCTGACTCAGTCATGCTGTCCTTTTGAGCAGGATCTTTAGAACAGATACTTGTGATTGGCTAAAGAATAACCTCTGACAATAGCAAAGGTCTCTTGGACAGAGCTGTTAAAACAAAACAATGAAATCTGTATTTGTTTAAGATTAGAAGGATTTTTGAAAAGTAACTTTTCCTGCGGCATGTCTGCTAGAATAAAAGGTTCTCGTTTTATTAATGGCGAAAGAATAGCTTTAGTTTGGAATAGAGGTAGGCTAGACCAGTGATTGCAAACTGAAACACCTACGAGAACCAGATAGGTTATAGAAATGAGTGAAACAAGCCAATTGGGGAGTGGGGAACTCGTGACCCTTACAAATGAGGCTCATGCTGGGTGCATTGCCTGGCCACAGTGGCCAGCTTTCAGTTTTTTTCTAGAGAAGTTAGATCTCATAGTTATTTAAAGAGAATTTAAACACTGTGCTAATCACACCTGCAGGACAGTTTTTCTTGTAGATCACCAGTGTGGGATTTTTTTTGATGAAAGCTGATGTTTGCAGAAATTTATATCAACAGGAGGAAAGCAAGATAATCCCAGAGAGGAAGGTTTGATGATGGACAAGAGGTAGATGATGGAGTATGATGTTGGGGAACAAGCCACTGAATAGACTGGTGCAGTTGAACCAGTAATTGGCTATTGTGATCGAGCTGCAGGTTGTCGGTGTATATAATTATATAAATTAGTGTTTGGCATCAATATTTCAGTTCCTAGATGGGCTTTTGGGAAATGCAGTATCCCAAGGGACTGAGATCACAAAAGTAAAATTTCAGAACAATCAATGAACATTTTTGGATGGGGAGGGACCTATCTTGAATATAGTCATAATAGGTGACTAAGTTTATTACTGTGGGGTTTGAAAGAGGTTATTTTACCTATGATTCATAGTGCTTGGCACCTAGTAGGCAGTAAGTGTTTGTTACATTGAGTAAGTATATCTCTGTGATGCCATCCTCAAATCAAAGAAAGCTATGTCTGATAGCTGTCAGGGTGTTGGCAAAGCATACTTTAGTCCTCAGTTTCTCAGTAAATAGTGGTGAGACAAAAAGGTAAAATATTTAACTCCAGTAGTTCATAATTACCAAGAGTATATAATCTTTTACCTGCTTTCTGGAAATTTGTACAAAGTCCATACTGTTCCTTTTCTTAAAAGTACGTTTTCTTTATGTTTAAAGTGTTGCATGTTACTTTTAAAAATCTAAGGCCAGGCGTGGTGGCTCATTCCTGTAATCCCAGCACTTTGGGAGGCCGAGGCAGGTGGATGACTTGAGGTCAGGAGTCCAAGACCAGCCTGACCAACATGGTGAAACCCCATCTTTACTAAAAAAATACAAAAATTAGCCGGGCATGGTGGTGCGTACCTGGTCCCAGCTAGTGCAGAGGCTGAAGTGGGAGAATCTCTTTGAGCCCAGATCGCTCCACTGCACTCTAGCCTGGGTGACAGAGTGAGACTCTTGTCTCAAAATAAATATAAATAAAAATCTAATGTGGATTAAACGAAAGAAATTGTTTTCTGCTCTACTCCCGGCTACAGTCCCCAGGAAGAACTAGATTTGTCCCTTGTTATCTGAAGACTGGTTCCAGGACTTCCCTTTGATACTAAAATCTGCAGATTCTCAAGTCCCTGATATGAAAATGACATAGTATGTGGATATTACCTATGCACATCCTCCCATATACTTTAAATCATCTCTAAATTACCTACAATTTTTTTTTTTTTTTTTTTAATGAGACAGGGTCTCACACCCATCATCCAGGCCCAGGCCGGAGTGCAGTGGCCTATTCACAGCTCACTGTGGCCTTGACTTCCCAGCTCAGATGATCCACGTCAGCCGCCTGAGGAGCTGAAATTACAGGCACACACCACCATGCCTGGCTAATTTTTTGTATTTTTAGTAAAAATGAGATTTCGCCATGGTGCCAAGGCTGGTCTCGAACTCCTGGGCTTAAGTGATCTGCCAGCCTCAGCCTCCCAAAGTTCTGGGATTATAGGTGTCAGCCACCGCATCCAGCCCTGTAATACTTTTTTTTTTTTTTTTTTCCCAGACAGTGTCTTGCTCTGTCTCCAGGCTGGAGTGCAGTCACGCGATCTCGGCTCACTGCAACCTACATCTCCCAGGTTCAAGCGGTTCTCCTGCCTTAGTCTCCCACGTAGCTGGGAACACAGGCACGTGCCACCACGCTTGGCTAATTTTTGTATTTTTAGTTGAGATGGGGTTTCACCATGTTGGCCAGGATGGTCTTGATCTCTTGACTTCGTGATCCGCCTGCCGCGGCCTCTCAAAGTGCTGGGATTACACGCATGAACCACTGCACCCGGCCTAATACAATGTAATTTATAAGATAGACTGATACCAACAGCTAATAAATAATAGAACAGTTATAACAACATACTGTAATAAAAGTTATGTGAATGTGGTCTCTCTTTCTCTCTGAAAATATGATACTGTACTCATCTGTTTTCAGACTGCAGCTGACCATGGGTAACTGAAACCATGGAAAGCCAAATCTCAGATAAGGGAGAACTACTGTACAGACACTTTTTTATTGACCTCATCTAGGCAGCCTCAGTTTTGTTTTGTTTGCTTTTTGAGATGGAGTCTCCCTCTGTCCCCCAGGATGGAGTGCAGTGGCATGATCTTGGCTCACTGTAACCTCCACCTCCCGGGTTCAAACGATTCTCCTGCCTCGGCCTCCTGAGCATCTGGGATTACAGGAAGTTTATTTCTATCTTTATCCAGATTGCTGGTTTTGCAATGCCTCTTTGCACAAGACTTTCTCTGGCTCACTTTGTTATGTTCCCTCTAGAATGAGGCTCTGGTAAGAAACATCCCTGTTTGCTACCCTAGTAGTGGAAAAACCCTAGTCCTGGAAACCCAAGACACCTGAATTGGTTCTTCCCAGCTCCCCCTCAAGAGAGGGAGACACTTTTAGCTTGTATTTTGGTTTACGGGTTAAAAGTTTTATATTAGGATCAGAATGATTGCATCTGGTTTGAAGACTGAAATTTCTTTGGACAGGGTCTTGCTCTGTCACCCAGGCTGGAGTGCAGTGGTGTGATCACAGCTCACCGCAGCCTTGACCTCCTGGACTCAAGCAATCCTCTCTCAGCCTCCCAGAGTGCTGGGATTACAGGTGTGAGCCATACACCTGGGCCTAAGAGTTGAATTTTTAAAACCTACTTAAAATTACTGTCTTTGTAAAACCGTATGAAATTAGAACCAGAAGTTGCCTTAAAGATCTAGTCTAATCAGTCTAATCTCATTTTGTAGGGAGAAGATTTGCTTGTAATACCTGTAGGATATGGCAAAGTAGAACATGTAACCCTGGCCACATTGGCTCATATATGTGATCCCAGCACTTTGGGAGGCCGAGGCAGGCGGATTGCTTGAGCCCAGGAGTTTGAGACCAGCCTGGCCAACATGGCAAAACCCCATCTCTAAAAAAAAAAAAAAAAAATTAAAAATGAGCAAGGCATGGTGGTGCGCAACTGTAGTCCCAGGTACTTGAGAGGCTGAGGTGGGAGGATCATCTTAACCCCGGGGAGATGGAGGCTAAAATGAGCTGTGTTCACACCACTGTACCCCAGCCTGGGCAACAGAATAAGACGCTGTTTCAAACAAAAATGTGTAACTCAAAAACAGCAAAATGCTTAGTTCTTTGTAAATGCAACATTTTAGGCTACTGTTTATTTGCCAATAGAACTTTTTTTTCTCTCTCTCTCCTTATTTGTAAACTTAGCTATATATGTTTCTTACTCTTTGGTCTTGTTTACTTCAAAATCTTTTTAGAAGTTGAGGAGATTGGGAGGCCCAGGCAGGTGGATGGCTTGAGCTCAGGAGTTTGAAACCAGCTTGGGCAACATGGCGAAACTCCATCTCTACAAAAAAAATACAAAAATTAGCTGGGCATGATGGTGTGCATCTGTAGTTCCAGCTTCTTGGGAGGCTGGGATGAGAGGATCACTTAAGCCTGGGAGGTCGAGGCTGTAGTGAGCTGAGATCACACCACTGAACTTCAGCCTGGGCGACAGAGTGAGACAGCCAAAATAGGGGGAAAAAAAAAAGGTGGAGGACAGAGGCATCCTAAGGTGATGGGACATTTTTCTTTTAATTTTAATTTTAATTTTTTTTTTTTTGAGACGGAGTCTCATTCTGTCACCCAGGCTGGAGTGCAGAGGTGCGATCTCGACTCACTGCAACCTCCGCCTCCCGGGTTCAAGCAATTCTCTGCCTCAGCCTCTCGAGTAGCTGGGATTACAGGCGCCCACCACCAAGTCCGGCTACTTTTTTGTATTTTTAGTAGAGACGGGGTTTCACCATCTTGGCCAGGCTGGTCTTGAACTCCTGACATTGTGATCCACCCGCCTCACCCTCCCGAAGTGCTGGGATTACAGGCATGAGCCATCGTGACTGGCTTAATTTTTATTTTTTTTTACTCATGTACATGAATCAATTTTTATTTCTTTTTACTGAAGTGACATTTTTCATCTTTATACTGCGGATTTGTAATTCAGATTTCTAAAATATTTTAATCATCAAAGACAATTGTTTCTTTTTTTTAATTTTTTTTTGAGACGAAGTCTCACTCTGTTGCCCAAGTTGGAGTGCAGTGGCATGATCTTGGCTCATTGCAACCTCCACCTCCCCGGTTCAAGTGATTCTCCTGTCTCAGCCTCCTGAGTAACTGGAACTACAGGCGTGTGCCACCATGCCCAGCAAATGTTTATATTTTTAGTAGAGACGGGGTTTCACTATGTTGGCCAGGCTGGTCTTGAACTCCTGGCCTCGTGATCCATCTGCCTCAGCCTCCCACAGTGCTGGGATTACAGGCATGAGCCACTGTGCCCGGCCAAAGACAATTATTATTAATTTATGTATTTATGTATTTATTTATTTATTTATTTATTTATTTTGAGACAGAGTCTTGCTCTGTTGCCCAGGCGGGAGTGCAGTGGCGCAATTTCGGCTCACTGCAAGCTCTGCCTCCCGGGTTCACACTATTGTCCCGGCTCAGCCTACAGAATAGCTGGGACTACAGGCACCTGCCACCACGCCCAGCTGATTTTTTGTATTTTTAGTAGAGACGGGGTTTCATCGTGTTAGCCAGGATGGTCTCGATCTCCTGACCTCGTGATCTGCCTGCCTCAGCCTTCCAAAGTGCTGGGATTACAGGCGTGAGCCACCATGCCCGGCCCAAAGACAACTATTAATCCCATTTCATCTTAGAACTTTTTCTTAAATTTTCATGCATTAGGGTTTTCTCAAGAATGTACTGTCCTCCTGAAAACTCTTATTTGCCTATATATTATACTTTACATCTTCAACTCATTTACTAATAAGTTGTTAGATTTAACCCAATGTCTTCCTTGTAATTTCCTTCTCTCCAGCACAACTAGTGTACTTATGTTTTCTTGATGTTAATGAAGATTGGTAAAGGGTACCCGGTACAATTTTAAAAATTTAAGTGAACCCAGCTGATATATTTGCCTTAATTTTATTGCTGACAGACTACATCTAAATATGTGAAAGAAAAAAAGTGATACTCATAACTTCAGAGGTTTGAAATGTATTGAAGATTGTGTTCATTTAAGTTTAATTGTTCCAGTTTACTCACTGGAACACCTGTAATCCCAGCACTTTGGGAGGCCGAGGTGGGTGGATCACCTTAGGTCAGGAGTTCAAGACCAGCTTGGCCAACAACATGGTGAAACCCCACCTCTACTAAAAATACAAAAAAAAAAAAATTAGCTGGGCGTGTTCGTGCACACCTGTAATCCCAGCTACTCGGGAGGCTGAGGCACAAGAATCGCTTGAACCGGGGAGGCGAAGGTTGCGGTGAGCCAAGATCACGCCGCTGCACTCCAGCCTGGGTGAACAGAGTGAGACTGTCTTTTTTTGTTTTGTTTTGTTATGGAGTCTCAGTCTGTTGCCAGGCTGGAGTACAGTGGCGCAATCTTGGTTCATTGCAACCTCCGACTCCCTGGTTCAAGCGATTCTCCTGCCTCAGCCTCCCAAGTAGCTGGGATTACGGGCATGCGCCACCGCTCCCAGCTAATTTTTATATATATATATTATTAATAGAGACGGAGTTTCACCATTTTGGCCAGGATGGTCTCGATCTCCTGACCCCGTGATCTGCCCTGTCAGCCTCTCAAAGTGCTGGGATTACAGGCATGAGCCACCTCACCTGGCATGAGACTCTCTCTTAAAAAAAAAAAAAAAAGAAAAAAAAATTGCTCTGGGCGAGGTGGCTCACGCCTGTAATCCCAGCACTTTGGGAGGCTGAGGCCGAAGGATTACCTGAGGTCAGGAGTTCAAGACCAGCCTGGCCAACATGGTGAAACCTCATGTTGTCTCTACTAAAAATACAAAAATTAGCTGGGTGTGGGGGCAGGCGCCTGTAATCCCCGGTACTCTGGAGGCTGAGCCAGGAGAATCGCTTGAACCCGGAGGCAGAGGTTGCAGTGATCCAAGATCGTACCACTGCACTCCAGCATGGGGAACAGAGCGATAATCTGTCTGAAAAAAAAAAATGGAATAATACAAAATTATACTAAGATTCATTCATGTTATTTTTTGTGGCTGCAGTGCATTCATTTCCACTATATAGTATTTCATTGTCTGATGTACCAGAATTTATCCACTCTCTTTTTGATGCATGTTTGGATTTGCAGTCTTTTGCTTTATGAAAAGTGCTGCTGTAAAAATTATTATTATCTGTCTCCTGATGCATATGTGAAAGGGTTTTTCTAGGAGTGAAATTGCTGGATAATATGTAAATAATAAACATAAGAAAATGTCAAATTCTTTTCCAAAGTAGTTAATCAAGTTATACTCCACCAGCAGTGTATAAGGAGTTCTCATTGATCCATATCTTCTCCAACATTTAGGTTTCTCACAGTTTTACATTTTTTTGCCAGTGAAATGTACATAAAATGTATCTTATGGTTTAATCTTTGTTTTTTTTTAACTCAGTCTTTCTGCTTTTATTCTTTATTCTCTATTGAAAATAATTTGGTTTAGATTTAGACTTAGATTGATAAAATTAAAAAAAAAAAGAATTTGGGCTGGGTGTGTTGGCTCACTCCTGTCATCTCAGCACTGGGGGAGACTCAGATGGGTGCATCACTTGAGCTCAGGAGTTCAAGACCAGCCTGGGCAACATGGTGAAAACCCATCTTTATTAAAAAATACAAAAAAATTAGCGTAGCATGGTGGTTCATGCCCATGGTCCCAGCTATGGGGGAGGCTGAGGTGGGAGGATGGCTTCAGCCCAGAAGGTCAAGGTTGCAGTGAGCCAAGATTGTACCACTGCACTCCAGCCTGGGCAAAACAGCCAGACCCTGTCTCAAAAAAAAAAGTTATTTTTTTTTTGTTGTTCTGATTACAAAATTAGCACAAATATATTCATTTTCAACCAATATTATGGGCTATAACATGTTTCAGGGTCCTAGGGAAATACATTAGGTAAACAAAACAGACGAGCCCTTCCCCTCATAGAGCTTCCATTCTAGTTTTGGAGATTAACATTAAACAAAGAAAATAACTTAATTTCAGATACTGATAAAGTGCCATGAAGACAAAAAAACAGAGTAAAATAATAGTGGTTGGTGGAGTTGGGACTCCTTTAGGTTAGAGGAAGGCCTTTCTGAGGAATTGAATGATGTGTGAGCTGTATCTAAGTGATCGAAAGGAGCCAGCCATGTGGAGAAGGCACAGGACGAGTGTCTTAGGCAGTAGGAGCAGGAATTCTAAAGGTCAAGAGATGGGGAACAAACTGGTCAAAATTAAAGAATAAGAAGAAAGCAAGGCAGGCACACTGGAGCATGCCTGTAATCCCAGTTACTTGGGAGGCAGAGGTGGGAGGATCACTTAAGCCCAGGAGTCAAGACCAGTCTGGGCAACATAGCAAGATCCCATGTCAGAGGAAAAAAATGTGTATAAAAGAAAGCAGGCCAGGCGCGGTGGCTCACGCCTGTAATTCCAGCAGCTTGGGAGGCCGGGGCAGGCAGGTCACCTGAGGTCAGGAGTTGGAGACCAGCCTGACCAACATGGAGAAACCCCATCTCTAATACAAAGTTAGCCAGGCATGTTGGTGCATGCCTGTAATCCCAGCTACTCGGGAAGCTGAGGCAGGAGAATCGCTTGAACCCAGGAGGCAGAGGTTGCAGTGAGCCTAGATCACGCCATTGCACTCCAGCCTGGGAAACGAGCGAAAACTCCATCTCAAAAAAAAAAAAAAAAAATCAGAACTCACCCTTAATCCAACCATCCAGAGATAAGCATATTAACATTTTTTTTTGTTTATTTGTTTTTTGAGATGGAGTTTTGCTCTTGTTGCCCAGGCTGGAGTGCAATGGTGCAATCTCGGCTCACCACAACCTCCGCCTCCCGGGTTCAAGCGATTCCTCTGCCTCAGCCTCCCAAGTAGCTGGGACTACAGGTGCACACCACCATGCCTGGCGAATGTTTTGTATTTTTAGTAGAGTCGGGGTTTCACTGTGTTGGCCAGGATGGTCTCAATCTCTTGACTTCATGATCCGCCCGCCTTGACCTCCCAAAGTGCTGGGATTACAGGTGTGAGCCACTGTGCCCGGCCACCATGTAAACATTTTGATGCAAGTTCTTTTTTTTTTTTTTTTTTTTTTTTTTTTTTTTTTTTTTTCTGAAATGGGATTCTTGCTCTGTTGCCCAGGCTAGAGTTGCGATGGTGTGATCTGAGCTCACTGCAACCTCCACCTCTCAGGGTCAAGCAATCCTCCTGAGTAGCTGGGATTACAGGTGCGCAGCCACGCTCAGCTAATTTTTGTATTCTTAATAGAGACGGGGTTTCACCATGTTAGCCAGGCTAGTTTCCAACTCCTTACCTCATGATTGGTCCACCTCAGCCTCCCAAAATGCTGGGATTACAGGCGCGAGCCACCATACCCAGCCACTGACAAGTTCTTGCACACGTTTCTCTATGCGTCTTTGGTATTTCCCCCTATTTTCTGGTGAGTTAAATGGTAGGGTGTCTTTTTATTTTATTCATGGTTACTTTTTTGTAGTAATATTAAATAATATTACGTGAATGTTGTATGAAAGTTTATTGTGGCTTTATTCATGAATTGTAACATTTACCTTCTGCTTTGTAGCCACAATTACTATTATTATGCTTATTTTTCTTTACAAGTCTAAATATTAACTGTTAGTCCTTTCACCTCACAAATTCCAAATCAAAAGTATTTTTTTCTTATTAAATAAAGAAGTTGGTTGCCTGGATGATATCTTCAGGTATATTTTTCTTACGTTTATGTAAAATACATAGAACAAAATTTACCATCTTAATCATTTTTTTAAAATTTATTTATTTATTTTTTCGAGACGGAGTCTTGCTCTGTCGCCAAGGCTGGAGTGCAGTGGCGCAATCTTGACTCACCACAACCTCCGCCTCCTGGGTTCAAGCGATTCTCCTGCCTCAGCCTCCTGAGTAGCTGAGATTACAAGCGCCCACCATCACGCCCAGCTAATTTTTATATTTTTAGTAGAGACAGGGTTTCGCCAGACTGGTCTCGAACTGCTGACCTCAGGTGATCTGCCCATTCCAGTGAATCCACAGAAAATTTTAGGATGCTGGCAGGCAAGTGATTGAAATTTTGTGAAGTCTTTTCTTTTATCTTTCTTTTATTTTTTGTATGTGGCAAGAGCTTCTGAGAAATTCATTTCCTCTATCAGAATTTGGCTCTTCCTTGCTTCCACGACTCTGCTATTTATTTGCCCCTGTTATAATACATATATAGTAAAGGGAGTAAAACAAATTTAAAATAAAAAACGTATTAAATTATAAAATATATTCCTATTTTTATAAAATGTAGAAAGGATATATGACTTCTGATTGAGATGTTAAAGTGAGCTCAACTTCAACACAATTCCTCTGCCTCAAACACGTAGCAATAAATAAATGTTGAAAAAGGAAAAACATATGACTAAAAATAGAAGAGAGGCCAGGCACGTTGGCTCACACCTGTAATCCTAGCACCTTGGGAGGCTGAGGCAGGTGGATCACCTGAGGTCAAGGGTTTGAGACCAGCCTGGCCAACATGGCAAAACCTTGTCTCTACTAAAAATTAGCTGGGTGTAGTGGCATATACCTGTAATCCCAGCTACTCGGGAGGCTGAGGCAAGAGAATCGCTTGAACCCATGAGGCGGAGGTTGCAGTGAGCCGCGATTGTGCCACTGCACCAGAGCCTGGGCGACAGGGTGAGACTCAATCTCAAAAAAAAAAAAAAAAAAAAAAAAAAAAAGAGAAAGCTCTAGTGGCATGTGAGGCTCACAGTGAGACTCCGGCTCTGAGTGGAGAATCAGTGTTTGCTGGGACTTTGACCTCTTTCTGTAAAACAGATCCTTAGGAGAACTCCATGGCAGAGATGCCTGGAGCTGGGAGTATCCCTCAAAGCCAGGGCCTGGGATGGGCATTAGCTTGTGAAAGCAGGCTGATAAAAGGGTTGACTGTCTGTCTGGGACTGTTGCTTTGTAAGAAAGTGGGCCTAGTGAGGGCAAGGGAGAAAAACATGACTTTTTGACCAAAAACAGCAAAGTAGCCTGTCTGCTCAAGTGACTGAATCTGTAATATTAGTGTATCAGCACAGAAGATTTGAAACACTATGAAGCCCTAGATCTTAATTGAAGGCTCTGGAGGAACAGGTGGAGCCAACTGCACATCTTCTAGATAAAGTAGAGTAAGAGAAAGAAAAGGGAGAGATTTAAAAAGTAAGAAGGTGGCCGGGCATGGTGGCTCACGCCTGTAATCCCAGCACTTTGGGAGGCTTGAGGTGGGCGGATCACAAGGTCAGGAGATCAAGACCATCCTGGCTAACACAGTGAAACTCCATCTCTTACTAAAAATACAAAAATTTAGCCGGGCGTGGTGGCGCCTGTAGTCCCAGCTACTTGGGAGGCTGAGGCAGGAGAATGGCATGAACCCAGGAGGCGGAGCTTGCAGTGAGCCGAGATCATGCCACTGCACTCCAACCTGGGTGACAGAGCGAGACTCCATCTCAAAAAAAAAAAAAAAAGACAAAACCTTAACTTTTCATTCAAAGACACTAAAAAACTTAAGAAAGGAATGACAGATCACATTTGAGAAGATAATCACTGAACATCTAGATTTCAGACCGGGACGGTGGCTCACACCTGTAATCCCAGCACTTTGGGAGGTCGAGGCGGGTGGATTGCTTGTGCCCAGGAGTTTGAGACCAGCCTGGGCAACATGACGAAACCCTATCTCTACAAAAAATTAGCAGGATATTGTGGTGCTTGCCTGTAGTCCCAGCTATCCAAAAGGCTGAGGTGGGAGGATCACATAAGCCTGGTGGTTGAAGCTGCAGTGAGCCAAGATTGCACCACTGCACTCCAGCCTGTGTGACACAGTGAGACCCTGTCTCAAAAAAAAAAAAAAAAAAAAAAATTATTCAAGGTTATGCCTCTACAAGAAGAAAAGTTAATCCAGAAGGAAAGTGTGGGCATCAAGAAGCAAAAGGTAGTTTCTATAGTGGGAGGAGTGGTTGACTTAAAGTAATGTGACCATAGGAATTAATTTAACAGGTCAGTAAGTTTAAATTATTTATTGACTCTAAACCCTTTTTTGTGATGGAAGGCCAAAATAATTTTTTTTTTTTTTGAGACAGGGTCTCACTCTGCAATGGCATGATCATGGCTCACTGCAGCCTCAACCTCTGGGGCTTGAGTGATCCTCCTGCCTCAGCCTCCTGAGTAACTGGGACTACAGGCATGCTGCACCACACCTGGCTAATTTTGTTTTATTTTTTCTTTTTGGTAGAAATGGGGTTTTGCCATGTTGCTCAGGCTGGTCTCGAACTCCTGGCCTCAAGCAATCCTCCTGCTTTGGCCTCTCAAAGTGCTGGGTTTAGAGGTGTGAGCCACTATCCCTGGCCTGAAATGATTTTTTTTTTTTTGGAGACAGGTTCTCACTCTCACCCAAGCTGGCATGCAGTGGCACGATATTGGCTCACTGCAACCTCTGCCTCCTGGGTTCAAGTGATTATCCTACCTCAGCCTCTCAAGTAGCTGGAATTACAGGCATGCACAACCACATCTGGCTAATTTTTGTATTTTTAGTAGAGACGGGGTCTCACCATGTTGGCCAAGCTGGTCTTGAACTCCTGACCTCAAATGATCCATCTGACTTGGCCTTCTAAAGTGCTGGGATTACAGGTGTGAACCACTATGCCTGGCCCCAAAATAAAAATTTATTTATTTTTGTTTTTGTTTTTCCCAAAATAAAAATTTAAATCAAGACAAAAATGTAACGAGTGGCGTTATTTGTACATTTTTGCAGATCTCTTTAATGTTTGTCTTAATAGAAGTCAGCTAGATTCTCATATATGCTTCTGTGTTCAGTATGTTGCAGTGTTTTCTGGGTTGAAGTACCCAAAGAAAATCCAACCTCACACAGACAAGTAGTTGGGAAAGGGATTATTTTAATCGCTTTTTCACTTGAAAGCTTAAATGTTTTCTGTTACAACAAATACTGAGTTGTTTTTCTTGAAGTGACAGGGTTACTTCATTTTTGAGGAAATGTCTGCCACATACCCACATCTGTAGATCCGTGGTTGTCTATCAGTTCTTGCAAATAAAAATGGTGCTCCCTGAGAAAAGTAGCTAGTTCAGCCCAACTCAAAGAATTGCACAAATGTCTTTCCATGAGACAACTCTTGTACTTCTGTGTGTGGAAGTGTTTTATGCATGCTTCCCATGTTATCACTCACAGTTTTTAAAAGATGTGTATTCATGGGTCAAGGATTTATAAAATTAACAATTTTTATTCTGTCATCTGGGGCAATCTTAAGTGAAACTGGCTTTTTCTGTGAGTGCATGATGAAGAATACAGTGACTACTGGGACAGTTTGATAACACTGCCTAGATTCATACTAAGACACCAGCTCTTTTACCCATCATCAGTTTTGTACCATTAATGCAAATGTCAATCAATTGAGAACAATTTGTAGTATTATTATAAAAATAGCTTTAACCTTTCAGACCCTTGAAAGGGCCTTGGGGAACATACTCTGAGAAGTGCTGCCCTAAATAGTAATAGAGAGGATCTGTCCAATGGTGTGCTAAGAATCTCTTCACATTCCCCAGGAAGAGAGACATAGCTGCAGACATTTAGAGTAGACATAAAGTTAAGTGTGTTGCTTTAAAATCAAGAGTAACTACTAAAAAAAACCCAGACACATCTATAGTTTTCAAATTAGCACGGCTAAAAAAAGGGAATACAGAAATCAATTCAATAGAAGAAAGGAAGAGACTCAGAAAAAGGGATAACATCTTGTGTGTGATGGCTCATGCCTATAATCCCAGCTGAGGTAGGAGGACCTGGGCAACACATAGTGAGACCCTGTCTCTACAAAAAATATAAAAAATTAACCAGATGTGCTGGTGTACACCTAAAGTCCCAGCTGCTTGGGAGGCTGAGATGGGAGGTTTGCTTGAGCCCAGGAGATTGAAGCTGCAGTGAGCTGCGATTGTGCCAGTACATTCCAGCCTGGATGACAGAGACCTTGTCTCTTTTTAATGAAACAATGGGCAAAAGAAGTTCAAGAAAGGAAATTAGAAACCAATCTCATGAGTATAAAAAAAAAAAAAAAGGAAGAGAAGTAAAATTCTTACAAATTTGGCAGTGTACTAAAATAATGTATGAGGCTGGGTGCAGTGACTCACACCTGTAATCCCAGCACTTTGGGAGGCCAAGGCAGGTGGGTCTTCTGAGGTCTGGAGTTCGATATCAGCCTGGCCAACATGAGAAAACCCCGTCTCTACTAAAAATACAAAAAATTGGCTGGGCATAATCCCAGCTACTCGGGAGGCTGAAGCAGGACAATCGCTTGAACCCAGGAGGTGGAGGTTGCAGTGAGCCGAGATCGTGCCATTGCACTTCAACCTGGGCAATAAGAGTGAAACTGTCCCAAAATACATAAATAATAAAATAATATACAATAGACAAGGAGGATTTATTCTGGAATGCAATAATTTCTTTTTTTTTTTTTAGGGACAGAGTCTTGCTCTATTGCCCAGGCTGGAATGCAGTGGCAAGGCCTTTGCTTACTGCAGTCTCAACCTCCTGGGCTCAAGCTATCCTCCCACTACCTCAGCCTCTCCAGGAGCTGGGACTACAGGCACATACCACCCACTAACAATTATCACCTGGCTAATTATTGAATTTTTGTATAATTTTTTGTAGAGACAAGGTCTCACTTTGTTAACCAGGCTGGTCTTGAATTCCTGGACTAAAGTGATCCTCTTGCCTTGGCTTCTCAAAGTGTTGGGATTATAGGCATGAACCACTGCACCCAGTCCAAGAATTTAATTCTTTGAAAATATTTACACTTTTTTGCTCAAAATTCTCCTATGGCAAAAATACAGAGTTCTGCCCTGAGGGCCTTTGCACCTCTGGTTCCTTCAGCCTAGCATGGACTTTCTTTTTTTTTCAGAGACAGACTCTCATTCTGTCACCCAGGCTGGAGTGCAGTGGTGTAGTCACAGCTCATTGCAGCCTTGAACTCCTAGACTCAAGTGATCCTCCTTCCTC
The DNA here is from genome assembly GCF_000001405.40 of Homo sapiens. Lineage (NCBI taxonomy): Eukaryota > Metazoa > Chordata > Mammalia > Primates > Hominidae > Homo > Homo sapiens. The sequence goes on from NC_000017.11 coordinate 32,400,763, forward strand.
ACCCTCCCAAATTGCTGGGATTACACACATGAACCACCATTCCTGACCTTGTACTTTGTTTTTTTTTTTTTTGGAGTCTCGCTCTGTCACCCAGGCTGGAGTGCAGTGGTGCGATCTCAGCTCACTTGCAACCTCCACCTCCTGGGTTCAAACAGTTCTCCTGCCTTAGCCTCCCAAATAGCTGGGACTACAGGCGTGCACCACCACGTCTGGTTAATTTTTGTATTTTTAGTGGAGACAAGGTTTCACTGTATTGGCCAGGCTGGTCTCCAACTCGTGACCTCAGGTGATCCACCCACCTCAGCCTCCCAAAGTGCTGGGATTACAGGAGTGAGCCACTGAGCCTGGCCTATCTATCTATCTATCTATCTATCTATCTATCTATCTATCTATCTATTTATTTTTGAGATGGAGTCTCACTCTGTCACCCAGGCTGGAGTGCAGTGGTGTGATCTCAGCTCACTGTGATTTCCACCTCCTGGATTCAAGCAATTCTCCTCCCTCAGCCTCCCAAGTAGCTGGGACTACAGGTGTGCACTACCATGCCTGGTTAATTTTTGTATTTTTAGTAGAGACAGGGTTTCACTATGTTGGCCAGACTGGTCTCGAACTCCTGACCTCAGGTGATTCACCCACCTCAGCCTCCCAAAGTGCTGGGATTACAGGCGTGAGCCACCACGCCCAACCCTTATACATCTTTTATTGCAAACTTAGTTATAAACAAAGTAGAAGTATTTATTTTTATTTTATTTTGAGATAGAGTTTCACTCTTGTTGCTCAGGCTGGAGTGCAATAGCGTGATCTTGGCTCACGGCAACCTCTGCCTCCTGGGTTCAAGTGATTCTTCTGCCTCAGCCTCCTGAGCAGCTGGTATTACAGGTGCCCACCACAACACCCAGCTAATTTTTTGTATTTTTAGTAGAGATGGGGTTTCACCATGTTGACTAGGCTGGTCTTGAACTCCTGACCTCAGGTAATCCACTGGCCTCAGCCTCCCAAAGTGCTGGAATTATAGGCGTGAGCCACCACACCAGGCCTATTTATTTATTTATTTATTTTGAGATGGTGTCTCAATCTTTTGCCCAGGCTGGAGTGCAGTGGCATGATCTTGTCTCACTACAACCTCTGCCTCCCAGGTTCAAGCGATTCTCCTGCCTCAGCCTCCTGAGTAGCTGGGACTACAGGCATGCACCCCCGTGCCTGGCTAATTTTTGTGTTTTTAGTAGAGACTACGTTGGCCAGGCTGGCCTCGAACTCCTGACCTCATGATCCACCCACCTTGGCCTCCCTAAGTGTTGGGATTACAGGTGTGAGTCACCGCGCCCAGTCAATATTTATTTATTTATTTACTTACTTACTTAACATAGAGACAGGATCTTGCTCTGTCATCCAGGCTAGAGTGCAGTGATGCCATCCCATCATAGCTCACTGCAGCCTCAAACTCCTGAACTCAAGTAATCCTCCTGCCTCAGCCTCCCCAGTAGCTGGGACTACAGGCGTGTGCCACCATGCCTAAGTTTTAAATTTTTTTGTAGAGACGGGGGTCTCACCTTGTTGCCCAGGCTGGTCTCACACTCCTGGGTTCAAACAATCCTTCCATCTCAGCCTTCCAAAGTGCCTGGATTACAGATGTGAGCCACCGCGCCCGGCCTACTCAAAGTCCTATCTGGGAAAATGCTATCTGGTGGTAATGTGTAATTTTCAATTTTTAAAAAAAATTGGTTCTGTAATAGTCTTTTAGGCCCTTCCCCTTTGTATAAAGATGTATTTATAAGTAAATGAATTATGAAATTGGTTCATTTCCATCTTTTTAAAAGGTAGTCAAAAATAATTGTCAGATGCAATGAGATATTGGATGAGCTGCATAGGTAAGATATAAGCAGTGTACAAAGTGGGATAAAAATGCCACTTTACATACTTTTTTTTTTTTTTTGAGACAGAGTTTTATTCTTATTGCCCAGGATGAAGTGCAGTGGCGCGATCTCAGCTCACTGCAACTTCCACCTTCCAGTTTCAAGCAATTCTTCTGCCCTAGCCTCTTGAGTAGCTGGGATTACAGGCATGTGCCACCATGCCTGGCTAATTTTTTTTGTATTTTTATTGGAGACGGGGTTTCACCATGTTGGCCAGGCTGTCTGGAGCTCCTGACTTCAGGTGATCTGCCGACTTCGACCTCCCAAAATACTGGGATTATAGGCGTGAGCCACCACACCCAGTCCACTTTTCATACTTTCTAAAACAATATTTAGGGATTTTTGTGTTAGCCACTCTCCTATCTCATTTCTCCAATTGAAGTAATGCATAAATCTTCCATTCTCTTTTTTCTCTCATTCATGGATAGAATGAATGTCTATAATGAAAAGAGCTTCTTATCAATAGCCCTCTCAGATTTGTTCTGAATTTTGCCAAATATTTGTATAACTCTGCAAAAGACTTTCTTTCCCTGCCTTCTCCTTTAGAGGGAAAAACAAACTGTAGGTGTGACAGCTTACCTCCTAGCATTGTTGTGAGGTTTGGCTGGCACAAGATAAAGTGCTGTGTAATTACTCTGAAATGTTTGTAATTAATAAAGAAATGAATTGTAGGCACTTTGTCAGTAGAAACCACTGTGATTTGGAAACGCAATGTTTCAATAATAAAGACTATAAAATTTAAAAAAGAAAAAAATTAATTCTCTCCAAATTATAAATTAAATGGTATACCTAATGACTTTCCTTAGAACTTGAAAAGCTTAACCCAAAATTTATATGAAAAGGCAAGAGCCTGGAATGGTTAAGACAACGTTAAAGAAGAAGAAGAATGTGAGACTTACCCTTATAGAGACCGCAATTAACCATAAAGCCATAGATGTTCTCAAGCCTAGTATAGCGCCTGACACACAGTAGTTAATGAATGTTTGCTCAGTAGACTGATGGGTGGAACAATGAGTTGCTTGGGGGTCAGGATTAACTCTGGAAGTGGTAGTTGTGGGAAGGGTTGAACCTGAAGATTAGGGCGACTCAGAACTGCAAAGACCAGGGAAGTTGGGTTCTGAGAAGGGGCAGGACAGAGAGCTGACTAATTTGTTTCATTTGTCTACACATACCCTTAAGCAAATTTTATCTTGTACAGTTTGAGTATGGGGTTTATGTTTTCTTAAAATTCAGCAAGCCTTTAACAGGAATGTACTCAGTATTAAGTGTGGTGTCAGATTGGCTGCAGTGTAGGAAAGCTTTTATTCCATGGGAAAGAAGTCCATGATTTTTGGAGCTATCTATTATGCAGTTATGTTGCTATAGATTTAGTTATTTGGATCTCATGATTGAAATAGTATTTTAAATTGGGGACATCTTTTGTTTGGGAGAGGTTGTTTAGAAATGACAGGTGAAGAATAAAATTATTAGAGTAAAATTTGGCCATATGTGACATGGGCATTAATGATCCAATGATTTATATATGCCAGTAATAGAATTTACAAAGGACAGCCAATGGTGAGATGCTGTTCTCTGGTGGCATTCTGGTAATAACCAGCTCTCGTATGGTGCTTGATAGTTTCCAAAGTACTTTTGCATACCTTATGTTATTTGTGCCTCCAAGGTATGTAAAGGAGGTTTATTTCAATTCAGTGATCGTTTATTGAGCATGTTTTGTGCCAAGTTTTGTACTAGATCTTGGGAAACCAGCAATGAGGCAAAGAACTTGACTCCAAGTTAACATAGACAGGTAACACTGGGATACACGCACAACCAGGAGTTTAAGTTTGGAAACAATAATTAAGGAGGGAGACATATGATTAGGATGTGGTAATGGTAGGTTGTGATGGCTTTCCTAGGCTTTGTTATATTTTTTGTTTCAAGGAAGAATTGTGTGTTTTACACCACTTTGAAACTATCTTTCACAATTTACATAGCTGATAATATACTTTTTTTTTTTTAAAGCAGTCTAGCTCTGTTGCCCAGGCCGCAGTGCAGTGGCACCATCTCAGCTCACTGCAATCTCTGCCTGCCGGGCTCAAGCGATTCTCCTGCCTCAGCCTCCCAAGTAGCTGGGACTATAGGCGCGTGCTACCATGCCTGGCTAATTTTTGTATTTCTAGTAGAGACGAGTTTCACCATGTTGGCCAGGCTGATCTCAAACTCCCTACCTCAAGTGATCTGCTGCTTTGGCCTCCCAAAGTGCTGGGATTACAGGCATGAGCCACTGCGCCCAAACATCTGATGATATACTTTGTTGTTGTTGTTGTTGAGACAACGTCTTGCTCTGTCGCCCAGGTTGGAGTGGTGTGATTTCAGCTCACTGCAACCTCCACTTTCCGGGTTCAAATGATTTTCCTGCCTTAGCCTTCTGAGTAGCTGGGACTACAGACACGTACCACCACACCTGGCTAAATTTTTGTAGTTTTAGTAGAGATGGGGTCTCACCATGTTGGCCAGGCTGGTCTCGAACTCCTGACCTCAGGTGATCCATCCTCCTCGGCCTCCCAATGTGCTGGGATTACAGGCATGAGCCACCACGCCCTGATGATATACTTTTGAAAATTATATTACATTTTCTACAGTTACACTGTCTTTCCTCTGAAAAATCTGGGTGATCTGTTAGAACATTTGATCTAAGCTACACTCCTTGATAATGTATTTGTCGAAGGAATGATTAATTTATGTGCATAATTTAGTCCTTTGCATACAAAATGCAATTTTGTTTATTAGAAATATTTTAGATAATGCTTTGTAGGATTTTTGTGTTATTTTTAGGTCTGAAAAAGATGAAGAATAAAACATGGCAAGTCTAGAGGGAGGCACTGCTTGAAGTGCGTGAAACAAATCAAGCATCAACAAAAATAGAAGCCCTTGAGATGAAGAACAGAAAATCTGTGATTATTATCATTATTAGCTTTACAGGGATGTTGAAGTGATCAGGATATCAATGACATAATTAAGTGGTATTATATTTTTAAAATTTGAGAAATAAGGAAACCATTGCTTTAGGATATGTCTCTTATGTACTCAGAAAAGCTTGCTTTTGTAAGTTAAGCCTCAATGATGAATAAATAGTGCATTTGTGGCTGGGCGTGGTAGCTCATGCCTGCAATCCCAGCACTTTGGGAGGTTGAGGCAGACAGATCACCTGAGGTCAGGAGTTTGAGACAAGGCTGGCCAACATGGTGAAACCCTGTTTCTACTAGAAATACAAAAAATAAGCCAGACATGGTGGTGCACACCTGTAGTCCCAGCTACTCGGGAAGCTGAGGCAGGAGAATCACTTGAACCCAGGAGGCAGAGGTTGCAGTGAGTCGAGATTGCACCACTGCACTCCAGCCTGGGCGACAGAGTGAGACTCCATCTAAAAAAAAAAAAATAGTGCATTTGTATTAATTACATGGATACAATTCTGTATACCAAAGAAAAATATCCACATTTACTGCAGATTCTTTTGTAGGCTGTGTAGAATTTCTTACTTTAGGCCGGGTGTGGTAGCTCACACCTGTAATCCCAGCACTTTGGGAGGCCAAGGCAGGCGGATCAGAAGGTCAGGAGATTGAGACCACCTTGGCCAACATGGTGAAACCCTGTCTCTACTAAAATACAAAAAATTAGCCGGGCATGGTGGCGTGTGCCTGTAATACCAGCTACTTGGGAGGCTGAGGCAGGGAACTCACTTGAACCCGGGAGGCGGAACTTGCAGTGAGCTGAGATCGCGCCACTGCACTCCAGCCTGGCGACAGAGCAAGATTCCGTCTCAAAAAAAAAAAAAAAAAAAAGAATTTCTTACTCATATGAACTTGACCCTGTAAACACTATAAGAAAAACTTCTTTGCTACAGGTTGATTTTCTTTTGGAATGGGATCCCTTTATTCTGATAATTGATTCTAACAGAAGACTTCTACTCAATGTGATAATGGAATGATTTGGAGCAACTCTACTATCAAATCAGGGAAAGCTAGCCTCCAGGGTGATCCAGAGGTTCTGCTGTCACCTTACAAACCCAAGACAAGATTTTTCACCAGGACTGGGCTTTGGATAACATATACGTTCCATAACAATACCTCGAAGGAGGCATGTGTTTACATGGCCTAGTGATTTTCTCTGGTTGCTTTTGTGGAATTCAGATGCTGATTTTATCAGTGACTAACCATGACATGTGGGGACATTGTAAGATAATTGGTAAGTTTTGGAAAATCTCACAGTGGCTGGGTAATTCGATTTCCTTTTTGTGCAGGATTTGGGGATGAGAATGGCATTCTTTTCTTCTTCTTCTAAAAGCTGGAATCTTGCTATGTTGCCCTGGCTGGACTCGAACTCCTGTGCTCAAGCAGTCTTCCTGCCTTGGCCTCTGAGTAGCTAGAACTATAGGAGCATACCACTGCTCCTGGTGAAAGTGGCCAGGAGTTGAAATAACAGAAATTTTGTTGGCAGAGTGATTTGTGCTGTCTCTAGCAGAATAACACTGAGCGAGTAACTTGACCTCTCTGAATTTCAGTTTCTTTATTTGTGAAAAGAAACTAATATTGGCCAGGTGCAGTGGCTCACACCTGTAATCCCAGCACTTTGGGAGGCCAAGGCAGGAGGATCCCTTCAGCCCAGAAGTTCAAGATTGGCCTGGGCAACATAGCTAGATCCCATCTCTAAAAAAAGTAAAAAATAAGTCAAGCATGGTGGTGTGTGCTCGTGGTCCCAGCTACTTGGGAGGCTGAGGTGGGAGAATTGCTTGAGCCTGGGAGGTTGTGGCTGCAGTGAGCCATGATTTTGCCACTGCACACAGCCTGGGCAACAGAGCGAGACCCTGTCTCAGAAAAAAAGCCCACAAACTGATATTACTTTATAGGGTCTTGTGAAAATAAAGCATTAGCATGGTGCCTAGCATACAATAAATATAATTATTCTATTATCAATAATATAAACATGGAGGGCGATTATTAGCTCATTTGCTCCTCAAAGGTATGTAACTCAATAAAGATGCATTCTCTTCTAATATTAAGTTTCCATTGTTAATACAGAAATCGTCCAGGTGTGGTGGTTCATGCCAGTAATCTCAGCACTTGGGAGGCTGAAGTAGGTAGAGAGAGCAGTTCAATTTTCTTTTCTCCCTGCAGGTGCTGCTGTCAAGCTTGAATGAAAGGTATCTCATGGGTGGGCGCGTGGCTCATGCCTGCAATCCCAGCACTTCGGGAGGCCAAGACAGGCAGATCGCTTGAGCTCAAGAGTTTGAGACCAGCCTGGACAAAACCCCATCCCTGTAAAAAATACAAAAATTAGCTGGGTGTGGTGGCGCACGCTTATAGTCCCAGCTACTCAGGAGGCTGAAGTGGGAGGATCGCTTGAGCCTGGGAGGCAAAGGCTTGCAGTGAGCCCAGATTGCACCACTGCACTCTAGCCTGGGTGACAGAGTGAGACCATGTCTCAAAAAAAAAAAAAAAAAAAACCAGACACATTTCGATAGAAACATTACTGCATAAGGTATTAAAATTATGTGTTAACATTTGATCACCAAAGGAAATATAAGCATTATTGCATTCTATCTTTTAGTATTGTTAAATTTCTTTATTTAGTCGATGTTGTATTAAAGTTAAATAAATGCATCCTTGTTTCTATTGCTTTTTGTTTTTATACTAGAAGTTGTTATTCAGGAAGAATAGAGACCAGGCTATATTTGTAAGTGTTGTGAAAGAAATCTTATAAAAGATAAACTAAGATTAGGCAGTATTAGGTAGATGCAAAAGCATCAGAATGCATAAGATGAGTAGGATACAAAGTGTAGTTGAAAAGCCTTGGCTGGGCACAGTGGCTCATGCCTGTAGTCCCAGCACTTTGGGAGGCCAAGGTGGGAGGATCCCTAGAGTCCAGGAGTTTGAGACTGGCCCAGGCAACATAGTGAGACCCCCATCTCTTGAAAAAAAGAAAAAGAAAAAAAAAAAGGAAAGCCTTATGTCTCAGAGCTAAGTGTCTGTTTTTAAACAAATGTAGCCTTAGATGTCCTGAAAAAATCTGTCAAGGTAAATTTGGTTTGGGGTAGAGGTCAGGGAGCACTTGCAGATGGGATAGAGAGAATTTGGAAAACGAGCAGGGTTCCAAAGTACTGAGCAATTTTCAGGAGGAGTATAAAAGCCTAGGGGATAATTCCTATGCATCTGCATAGGGAATTTATTTGATAGCTATATTTTCAGGACCTGTTGACATTTTATTCATCCTTAAAGGCCTCTTTCAGTTGCCATTTCCCCTGAAGTCTTCTCAGTTTTTCTACTAGCTAATAAGAACCCATTTCTCTCTCTTTTTTTTTCTTTTTCTTTTTTCTTTTTTTAGACAGAGTCTCGCTCTGTCGCCCAGGCTGGAGTGCAGTGGTGCGATGTCGGCTCTCCCAACCCCCGCCTTCCGGGTTTAAGCAATTCTCTGCCTCAGCCTCCTGAGTAGCTAGGATTACAGGTGCGTGCCACCATACCTGGCTAATTTTTGTATTTTTTAGTAGAGATGGGGTTTCACCATCTTGGCCAGGCTGGTCTTGAACTCCTGACCTCAGGTGATCTGCCCACCTAGGCCTCCCAAAGTGCGGGGATTACAGGGATGAGCCACCACGCCTAGCCAAGAACCATTTTCTCTTCAGACAAAAGGAACTGTTGTTTGGGGTAGCATTTTATTTATACTTATAAAATGTTATGTTACAGTTTGTGTTGTTACATGAATGTATTTGTCTCTTAAATCATGGTATAGTGTGAAGAAAATGAGTTCTCAGGCTGGAAATATCTGTATTTGAGTACTAGCTCTGACCTTTCCAACAATGTGTCTTTTTGTCATATAATGTTTATTTTCATAGGGTTGTTGGGAGGATTAAATGAAATTATATCTGTAAAGTACCTTTTATAATCTGCTAATCTGCAGGTCATAATCTAATGGTATAGAATTTTTGTTCTGTACTCTTTGATAAGAATTCTAAGGAGGTGGTTTGGAAAGAGAAATTTACAGATACCAGATGAAATCCAAAACCCAGGTATATAAGGAGTCATATGCAAGATCTCTGTCTGTTAATCTGCCTCATGAAAATGACGAACCAGGAGAATCTATGGGACAGTAGGAAAAGCTGCCAGTCACTCAGATGATAATAACATTTACCTTATACATTTATAATGGAAATCCTGCCACTGTTTACACCAGAAACAGTTTCTTTTTTTTTTTTTAATTTTATTATTATTATACTTAAAGTTTTAGGGTACATGTGCACAACGTGCAGGTTTGTTACATACGTATACATGTGCCATGTTGGTGTGCTGCACCCATTAAGTCATCATTTATCATTAGGTATATCTCCTAATGCTATCCCTCCCCCCTCCCCCCGCCCCACAACAGTCCCCGATGTGTGATGTTCCCCCGCTTCCTGTGTCCATGTGTTCTCATTGTTCAATTCCCACCTATGAGTGAGAACATGCGGTGTTTTGTTTTTTGTCCTTGTGATAGTTTGCTGAGAATGATGGTTTCCAGTTTCATCCATGTCCCTATAAAGGACATGAACTCATCATTTTTTATGGCTGCATAGTATTCCATGGTGTATATGTGCCACATTTTCTTAATCCAGTCTACACCAGAAACAGTTTCTATTGAGAAAATGGATTTTAATAGAAAATTCTCATTTAAAATTTGGGCAGATATCTGTATTGTTGAGTTAACCAAATGAGAAGAGAAAAATCCTTACAACGTAGCTTGTCATTTGCCTGACTTGATGCAGACTGCTTTGCTTAGTAATCATGCAGCACTATCAAGACTGTGTACATAATGTCAGGATCCATCTACATAAGATGTAGTATGGACTGATGCCAAGTGAGCCTGGGGTGGAAATCAGAACTGGATGCAAATCCTGATGTTATCCGAGAACAGGCACCTGTTACATAGGCTGTGTTACTGTGGCAAAGGTAATGGTAAAACACAGACTGGCCAGAAGCATTGTGTACAATGAGACCTTGCAACTTTGTGTATATTAGTATGTGGGGGGATGTGAATTATTAAAGACATTTAAAACTGACTGAATCAGCAACCTCTAATCTATAAAAAAAAATTCCAGACGTCCAGCCGGGCACGTTCTCGTGCCTATAATCTTAGTGCTTTGGGAAGCTGAGGCAGGAGGATCACTTGAGGCCAGGAGTTTGAGACCAGCTTGGGCAACATAGTGAGACCCCTGTCTCTACAATAAAAGTAAACAACTTAGCTGGGCATAATGGCATGTGCCTGTAGTCCCAGCTACTCAAGAGGTGGAGATGGGAGGATCACTTGAGCCCAGGAGTTTGAGGCTGCAGTCAGCCGTGACTGCACCACCATACTCCAGCCTGGGTGACAGAGCGAGATCTTGTCTTAAAACAAAACAAAACAAAACCCAGACTTCCTATAATTCCTAAAAATAAATGTGGGTTTGAGAGGCCTACCTTGAAATGTACAAGATCCTGGCCAGACTTCACCTATCTAACAATATGCTAGTAACTATTTGTTGACATGTCTTAAAGAAATGTTCATCAGGGCCTCAGAAAGCAAGGCAGAGAACAGGTCCCTGAAATTTACTAGCTTGCACCAAACCATCAGATAAAGATAGGTTAATATTTGACAGAAAAAACTCTTCAAAAAGAGACAGTGAAATACTCTTGAGATGAATCCAGGTATTAAAAAGTTCAGGAAAAAAAATTGTCTCTGGAAAAAAAAAGAATCAAGGAGAGACCAGGTGCGGTGGCTCATACCTGTAATCCCAGCACTTTGGGAGGCCAAAGCAGGAAGGTCACTTGAGCCCAGGAGTTTGAGACCAGCCTTGGGCAACATAGTGAGACCCCATCTCTAAAATTATGTAAATAAAAATATAAAAATAAAAAAGAGAAAGCAAATAACCCCAAAATAACTTTTATTTTTGTTTTTTATTTTATTATTTTTATTTTTTTTGATACTGAGTCTCACTCTGTCGCCCAGGTTGGAGTGCAGTGGCACGATCTCAGCTCACTGCAACCTCTGCCTCCCGAGTTCAAGTGATTCTCCTGCCTCAGCCTCCCAAGTAGCTGGGATTACACATACAGGTACGTGCCACCATGCCCGGCTAATTTTTATATTTTTAGTAGAGACAGGGTTTCACCATGTTGGCAAGGCTGGTCTCGAACTCCTGACTTCAACTGATCTGCCCACCTTGGCCTCCGTAAGTGCTAGGATTACAGGCGTGAGCCACCGTGCCCAGCCAACTTTTATTTTAATAATAGAGATGCAATCTCACTGTGTTGCCCAGGTTGGTCTTGAACTTCTGAGTTCAAGGGATCCTCCCACCTCAGCCTCCCAAAGTGCAAGGATTACAGGCATAAGCCACTGTGCCTGGCCAAAATAACTATTTTAATATTAAGTTAAAAATAGTACGGACCAGGCACAGTGGCTCATGCCTGTAATCCCAGCACTATGAGAGGTTGAGGTGGGCTGATCACGAGGTCAGGAGTTTGAGACCAGCCTGGCCAACATGGTGAAACCCCATCTCTACTAAAAATATTTAAAAAAAAAAAATTAGCCGGGCGTGGTGGTAGGCACCTGTAATCCCAGCTACTGGGGAGGTTGAGGCAGGAGAATCACTTGAACTTGGGAGGCAGAGGTTGCAGTGAGCCGAGATTGCTCACTGCACTTCACTTCACTCACTGCACTGCACTTCAGCCTGGGTGATAAGAGCGAAACTCCGTCTCAAAAAAAAAAAAAAAAAAGTAAAAGGCTGGGCACGGTGGTTCACACCTGTAATCCCAGCACTTTGGGAGGCTGAGGCAGGTGGATCACCTGAGTTCAGGAGTTTGAGACCAGCTTGGCCAACGTGGTGAAACCCCGTCTCTACTAAAAATATAAAAATTAGCCAGGCATGGTATCACTTGCCTGTAATCCCAGCTACGCAGGAGGCTGAGGCAGGAGAATCACTTGAACCCAGGAGGCAGAGGTTGCAGTTAGCCAAGACTGCACCACTGCACTCCAGCTTGGGCGACAGAGCAAGACTCTGTCTTAAAAAAAAAAAATAGTACAGTAGGGAAATTATAGTTAACAATAATTTATTGTATAGCCTAGGCAACATAGCAAGACCCTGTCTCTACAAAAAACAATTTTTTTAATTAGCTGCGTGTGCTGGTGCACACCTGTAGAGAGGCTGAGACAGGAGGATCACTTGGGCCCAGGAGTTTGAGGTTACAGTGAGCTATAACTGTATTATGCCACTGCACTCCAGCCTGGGTGACAGAGCAAGACCCTGTCTCTAAAAAAACAAAATAAAAAATAATTTATGGTATATTTCAGAATAGCTAGAAAAGAATTGTAATGTTTCTAGCACAATGTTTGTGGTAATGGATATCCCAATTACCCTGATTTGATCATTATACATTGCATACAGGTGTCAAAATATCACATGTACCCCAAAAATATGTACAACTATGATGTATCAATTTAAAAAAGGAAAACATTCCAAACATCTCTCCCTCTATGTGTATATACAGATAGGAAGACGGATGGAGAGATGAATGAACAATAAAATATATAAAGGAAATCATACATGATACATTTTAGGGACAGTTTTATAAGTATTTGATGTATTTGAAGATCAGCTGTTAGCTCTCATCGACACTGACTGTCAGTAGATTTTTGAAGGTAGTAACAGATACATAGGTAACCAAAGTATAGAGAGCTTGTTTAGTGAATCTTCATCCTTATTATGTTTTCTAGATGACCACACAGGTATACACTATGGGATAGTCCTTATCTTTTGGCCCAGACAGCTATGTTGAACTTGGTATCAATGTGCACATCTGGAGTCCCCATCTCCTTCATGGTGAATTTCTGGATCTCTAAGTGCCTCCTGAGGAGCTTGCTTTGCTTTTTTTTTTTTTTTTTTTTTTTTTTTTGAGATGGAGTCTCACTCTATTGCCCAGGCTGGAGTGCAGTAGTGTGATGTCGGCTCACTGCAACCTCCACTTCCTGGGTTCAAGTGAGTCTTCTGCCTCAGCCTTCCAAGTAGCTGGGACTACAGGTGCACACCACTGTGCCTAGCTAAAATTTTTAAAATTTTTTTTAGAGATGGAGTTTCACTATGTTGGCCAGGCTGGTCTCCAACTCCTGACCTCGTGATCTGCCCTCCTTGGCCTCCCAAAGTGCTGAGATTACAGGTGTGAGCCACCGCGTTCAGCCCCAGGGCTTGCTTTTTGAAGCCCACTCCACGGAGGCACCTGTGAATACTGATGGTGTATTCTCGGGTTACCACCTGGTAGATGCAGAATGGCCTGTTCTTTTTGCCACCCTTTTCAGGAACCATTCTGCCAGGCCCAAATTGGAAAGCTTACATGATAATTTTTAACAAAAATAATATTTTATTGGTGGTCATCTGAGTACATTTTGCAGTTTTCCTCCTTTTCTCCAAACTCTAGAAATGACAGGAAGAAAGAATTTAATGTATTCATAGAAGCATTTGAAAACAAGACGAATTCTCTTATGAGAAATTCTCTACTAAAATTAGATGGGAGTGAATTGAAGAGGGTAATGGCAGTCCAGTGTATATGTGGGAACTCAACTCATAGTACTACCTCAAGAAGTGGGAGCTCTATTCTCACATTGCCGGTAGTGGAAACTGGAAGCAAGATGAAGACTCATTATGGGAGCTGGTACAGTGCAGACCCATTCTCCCTGTACCCACCCTGGCCTCCCATCTGTAAGTCATGCATCTGCAACAACTATCTCCAGACAGGAGCAGCGTCTCAGAGGTAGAGCAATGCCTCAAGTGGCTGACAATACCAGGGAGAAATAAGGAGCGCTTAAGCCTGGAAAACTAGCTGTGGAGGCGTCTTTTCTTGTATCATACTCTACACATCTTCCAGTCTTACTGAAAAACACATGGAGTGTAAGTTCCAACAATCAAATCTGTACCTCCTTCAACTACACCCTAACTCCAAGGCCAGTTACTTTCTCAAGTCAAGAAAGTTTCATTCTAATAGGAATCTCAGTGGAAAAAACTGCACTTATGGTAAAGAATTTTCACATACTTGAGTACTCTTTGAAACAGAGTTTAAAGAAAACATCTTCACTTGAGGAAACAGCTAACAGAATTGGAACAGACCTTTAGAAATAGCATAATACTGTCAGCTGGGTGCAGTGGGTCACGCCTGTAATCCCAGCACTTTGGGAAGCCGAGGCAGATGGATCACCTGAGGTTAGGAGTTCATGACCAGCCTGGCCAACATGGTGAAACCCCTTCTCTACTAAAATTACAAAAAAAAAAAAAAAAAAAATTTAGCCGGGCGTGGTGGTGGGCACCTGTAATCCCAGCTACTCAGGAGGCTGAGGCAGGAGAATCGCTTGAACCTGGGAGGCAGAGGTTGCAGTGAGCCGAGTTCACACCATTGCACTCCAGCCCGGGCAACAAGAGTGAAACTCCACCTCAAAAAAGAGAAGAAAAGAAAAAGCATAATACTGTCAAAGAGATGCACAGATATTGTATCCATGAAGCAAGAATGGGCGTTATAAAAAAAAGGAACCAAATTGGAGATCTTGAAAATGAAAAATGTAATTTTTAAAATAAAATAATAAATGCTGATTACAAAGTGGATACACTGAAGAGTGAATTAGTGAGCTAGATGTTTGGACAGGGAAATTCTCCCAGAATGCAGTAGGAAAGGAAAGGAGAAGGATGGACATACGAAGGAAAATTTAGGAGACATGGAGGGAAGATCCAGAAATGCTAACATCAGTCTAATAGGAGTGCTAGACATTGCAGAAAAAGGAGGGGAGATATGGACAGTGTTCCTTGTTACTTCTGCAACTGTCATTCTGTAACCCCTCTTCCTTGCTGGCCATCCTGTCTCCCGCTATAGAGGCTGAAAATGTACACAAATTGCTTTTCCAGCCACCTTTGTAGCTGCTGCATGGATGGATAACCCAGTCCCAATCAATGGGATCTGACAGGAATTCTGCTAGGCAATTTCTGTGAAAGGTACTTCTCCACAATACCAAGAGGAGCATAAGGAAAAACTGCTTTCCTGTGTTCGGATGTGCTATCTGGAGCTGCAGTGGCCATCCTGCAACCTGAAGGGAACAAAAGCCATTCTGAGAAGGCAGAACAGAAAGATGATTCTTGAATCCTCACATACTTTTTTTTTTTTTTTTTTTTTTTTTTTTGAGACAAAGTCTCACTTTGTTGCCCAGGCTGGAGTGCAATGGCACAGGCAGCAATGGCACAGTCTTGGCTCACTGCAACCTCTGCCGCCCGGGATCAAGAGAATCTCCTGCCTCAGCCTTCTGAGTAACTGGGATTACAGGCTTCTGCTGGCACGCCCAGCTAATTTGTGTATTTTTAGTAGAGACAGGGTTTCACCATATTGGCCAGGCTGGTCTCCAACTCCTGACCTCAAGTGATCCACTTGCCTCAGCCTCCCAAAGTGCTGGGATTACAGGCGTGAGCTGCCGCACCTGGCCATAATTTTGTTTTTTTAATAGAGACAGGGGTTTCACCATGTTGGCCAGGCTGGTCTCGAACTCTTGACCTCAAGTGATCCGCTTGCCTCGGCCTCCTAAAGTGTTGGGATTACAGGTGTGAGCCACGGCACCTGGCCCTCATATACTTTAGATATTTGACAATGCAAATACCTTCTTCGATTCTCCTGTTACCTAGCAAATTTGTATATGTGATGTCTTTCATGGGTAGAAATAATTTTGATGTAATCAAATTTTTATTTGTTTTTCTGTATGGTTTGTACTTTAGAAGTTTTAAAAATTTCTTCCTTGTCTCTAAATCAGAAAGTTCATCCTACATTTTATTCAGTTAACTTTATAGTTTTTCTTTCACATTTCACTCCTTACTTCATCTGGAATTCACCTTTATATATGTTAGGTCGCATTCTAGTTTTATTTTCCTCCATATAGTGAATCAGTTTTTCCAGCATCACCTAATAAATGATCTCTTCTTTCCCCATTGATTTGTGATGCTTTCTTTATTTTACATCAAGTTCCCATATAGAAATGAGTCCTTCTCTGAATTCTCTACTTTGTTCCGTTGGCATGTCGCACCGATGCCTTATCATTATGGCCTTGCAGTATGTCTTAATATTTGATAGAGCAAGCCTCCCTTTCTCCATTTACACTAAAACAAAATTTTAAGTTACTTTTAATTTTTTTGTAGAGATGTGGTCTCACTATGTTGCCCAGGCTGGTCTTGAACTCCTGGGTTCAAGTGATCCTCCTGCCTTGGTCTCCCAAAGTACTGGGATTAGAAGTGTGAGCCACCACACCTAGCCTTACCCTTGTTTTTAAAGATTATCTAATCCACCAATGAACCTTTCTCCTTCGTATACATTGTAGAATATTTTATTGTTTTATTTTATTTATTTGTTTGTTTTTTGAGATAGGATCTCACTCTGTTGCCCAGGCTAGAGTGCAGTGGTGCTATTATGGCTCACTGCAGCCTCAACCTCCCAGGCTCAAGTGATCCTCTCACTTCAGCTTCCTGAATGTCTGGCACTATAGGCATGCACCACCACACCTGGATAATTTTTGTATTTTTTGTAGAGATGGGTTTTTGCCATGTTGCCCAGGCTGTTCGCAAACTCTTGGGCTCAAGTGATCCTCCTGCCTTGGCCTCCCAAAGTGTTGGGATTGCAGGTGTGAATCACTGCGCCTGCCCATGAGGTATCTTTAATTCAAGCCTGATAGCAGCAGCTGCAGGGAGGCAAGAAAATTGAACTGCTGTCTCTACCCAGAAATTTGATATAGTATTTATACTTTGGAGGGAAAATGAAAGGAAATGCATATGTAAGGTAATTGAGACCATTTATAACTTAAATGATGAATAACAGACATATGTTATCAATCAACTGATGCTTTTTTTTTTTTTTTTTTTGAGACATGGCCTCGCTCTGTCACCCAGGCTGAAGTGCAATGGTGTGATCTCAGCTCACTGCAGCCTCGACCTCCCAGGCTCAAGTTATTCTCCCATCTCAACTTTTCAAGTAGCTAGGATCACAGGCACTCCACCACACCCAGCTAATTTTTTTATTTTTGGTAGAGACAGGGTTTCGCAGGTTTGCCCAGGCTGGTCTTGAACTTCTGGGCTCAAGCGATCCACCTGCCTCAGCCTCCCAAAGTGCTGGGATTACAGACATAAGCCACCATGCCTGGCATTTTATGCAATTCTTTAAAATATGTTTTATGAGCTTTGGATAGTGAGCACAGTCCCCAGTCGGTAGTTTTTTAGCCTTTGTCCTCATCCTTCTCCCTCCCCCTGTAGGAGTCCCCAGTGTTTATTGTTCCATCTTTATGTCCATGTGTTCCCAATGTTTAGCACCCACTTATAAGTGAGAACATGTGGCATTTGTGGCATTTGGTTTTTTGTTCGTGTGTTAATTACCTTAGGATAATGGCCTCCAGCTGTATCCATGTTGCTGCAAAGGACAGGATTTTTTTTTTTTTTTTTTTTTTTTTTTTTTTTTTTTTTTGAGAGACAGAGTCTCACTCTGTCGCCCAGGCGGTGGCTCAATCTTGGCTCACTGCAACCTCCACCTCCTGGATTCATGCGATTCTCCCGCCTCAGCTTCCCAAGTGGCTGGGACTACAGGTTTGCACCACTACGCCCAGCTAATACTTTGTATTTTTTTGGTAGAGACGGGGTTTCACTGTATGTTGGCCAGGCTGGTCTCGAACTCCTGACCTCAGGTGATCCGCCTGCCTCAGCCTCCCAAAGTAGCTGGGATTACAGGTGTGAGCCACCATGCCCAACCAATTTCATTCTTTTTTTATGGCTGTATAGTATTCCATGGTAAAAACAGTAATTTTTAAAAAGGCTCAGCTTGGATTAATTACACACATATACCAAAGTTCAGCTATATGATGTTTATAAAAGACACGTGTAAAACAACATAGAAAACCTAAATATTAAGAAATGAAAAATGATAACATCAGACAAATAGTAACCAAAGGACATTGGGAGTAGCAATTGAATACCAGACAAAATAGGATGTGAAAAAAAATTAAGGGAGCATTTTATTTTGATAAAAGGAAGAATCTACCTAAAATAAATTAGCAATCATAGAAATAGTCTCACACTATTAGTATTAAGGAAACATAAAACAACAAGATACTATTGCACTTTTTTTTTTTTTTTAGCTACTTTGTTAACTGAAACTATTGCCCTTTAGATTGCCCAAAATGTCAAGTACGGGCAAAGATGTGGAGAAAATGATAAGCTCTCACAACTCTTGAGATAGGGATAGGGTATATTGATATAGAGTCATTTGGAAGAGCAATTTGGCAGTATCTAATAAAATGAAAATGAATGCCTGGGTGCAGTGGCTTACGCTTGTAATCCCAGCACTTTGGGAGGCCGAGGCAGGCAGATCACTTGAGGTCAGGAGTTTGAAACCAGCCTGGCCAACATGGTGAAATATTGTCTCTACTAAAAACACAAAAATTAGCCAGGTGTGGTGGCATGTGCCTGAAATCCCAGCTACTCAGGAGGCTGAGGCAGGAGAATCGCTTGAACCCAGGAGGCAGAGGTTGCAGTGAGCTGAGATCGCACCACTGCACTCCAACCTGGGTGACAGAGCGAGACTCTGTCTCAAAAAATAAAAAAGAAAACAAATGTGTTTTTATAATTAAATGCTTATATTTCTGGGTATACTGAGAAACTTTTAGATGCATACAAGAATGATCATGGTAGCATTGTTTGGAAGTGCAAAAAATCAAAGAGTAATAATCTCAGTGTCCGTTAATAGAATGGATAAATAAATGCGGACTAATCATACAGTGGTATATACACAGTTAATAGGGATGAATTAACTCTATATGCAGTTCACTCAACAATACAGAATGAAAAAAAGCAAGATGCAGTACAATATATTTGGTATGGTACCATTGTGTAAAGAAAAAAGCATTATTCACACATAGCAATATTATATATCATTGCTGATAATAAATATCTATCTGTCTATATATCTCTAAATACCAAAAAAGCTAGATGGAAAAGGTTTTGCTCTGCATTGGAGGGATGGGAGTGGGAATGGTGTTTAAAGGGAATATTAGCTTTCTTTATAATATTTTGTTTTTTAAAAAAATCAAATTTGGCTGAGCATAATGGCTCATGCCTGAAATCTCAGCACTTTGGGAGGCTGAGGCAGGCGGATCACTTGAGGTCAGGAATTTGAGACCAACCTGGCCAACACGGTGAAACACCATCTGGCATGCGCCTCTAGTCCCAGCTACTTGGGAGGCTGAGGTAGGGGAATCGCTGGAACCAGGGAGGTGGAGGTTGCAGTGAGCCGAGATCATGCCACTGCACTCCAGCCTGGGTGACAGAGCAAGACTCTCTCTCAAAAAAAAAAAAAAAATGACATTTATAATTGTTAATTCTGAATGATGGGAATGTAGGTGTTTATTTTATAATTCCTACTACTTTTTTTTTTTTTTTTTTTTGAGACAGAGTCTTGCTCTGTTGCCAAGGCTGGAGTGCAGTGGCACGATAATTCATTGCAGCCTTGAACTCCTGGGCTCAAGTAATCGTCCCACCTTGACCTCTCAAGTAGTTGGGACTACAGGCATAGCCACCATGCCTGGCTAATTTTTTTAAAAATTTTCCTTTTTTTAAAATTTTTTTTAAAAATTTTTTATTTTTTGTAGAAATGGAATCTTGCTATGTTGCTCAGGTTGGTCTTGAACTCTTGGCCTCCCCAAATGCTGGGATTACAGGTGACAGCCACTTTGCCCCACCTAATTCCAACTACTTCTTTCCCTTTAATGTTTTTTCTTGGAAATTGACAACTAAAAAAAAAAAAAAGGAAATTAAAGTAAAATGGAAGAAATGGTTAAACATTAGTAAATATTTTTCATCTAAGAGCTATTATTTCTCAGTCTATCTCTTCAAAGTTAAGAAAAAAGATATGAAAATCACTAAGTAGTAGAATCATTATATGTTTTAGCTACATGTTTTATTATTGGACACTTTTGTTAACATCTTACTATGGAAAGATGAAGAAATTGAAGTTAACACTCAGCTTCCTATCTTCTCTCCTCATCCCATTGCTTTTGGTAGTTATATTATCTGTTGAGGTTTATAGCATTTACATTAGGTCCTGTGTAGTCTTAGTTCTATATTCAGGTGGAATCACTGCTCACCACCAGAAGTACTTTCCCATTACTGATTTATTTGTATTGATTAATTATTAAATTAGATTTTGTTTCTTTCTTTTTTTTTTTTTTTTTTTAGAAAAGCTCTTTGTCTTAAATTCCTTGGATTTTTTTCATGTTGAGACTATCTCTTTTTCTTATATTTGAACAACATCTTGACTGGGTATCATTTTCTTGGGCCACATTTTGTCTCTGAAATTTGTGGCATGTTTCATGTTTTTCTGGCATTGAACCTTGCCTCAGAGAGGTCTGAGATAAGTCCAATTCCCAACTCTGCTTCACCCCTTTTAGGCAACTTGCTTTATTGTCTGGTTGGTTGTGTTCAAGGAATTCTTTCTTTAACTTTAATGTTTAGTGACTTAACTGGGATAGAGATCAGTAGCTACCATGCTGTGTCAGTTTTTTTTTTTTTCTTGGAACATGGTGTGTTATTTCCATCTGTAACTAATTTCCTTATTTATTAAAGAGAAATTTGAAAGATTATTTCTTTGAATAATTTTCTCATTTTCCTGTTTTATTCATAAAGTCCTTTACTTCAGGGACATTAGTTAACTTTATAACAGATGCCATGTTCTTCATACCTATTGTCTTCTCTCTTATTCCTTTGTTTTCATCGTCTCCTTTCTCAGCTTTCATCATCTTTTATCTTTTTCTTTCTTTTTTTTTTTTTTGGGACGGAGTCTTGCTCTGTTACCAGGCTGGAGTGCAGTGGTGCGATCTCGGCTCACTGCAACCTCCGCCTCCTGGGTTCAAGTGATTCTCCTGCCTCAGCCTCCCCGAGTAGCTGGGACTACAGGCGCATGCCACCACGCCCGGCTAATTTATTGTATTTTTAGTAGAGATGGGGGTTTCACCATATTAGCCAGGATGGCCTCAATCTCCTGACCTCGTGATCCGTCCACCTTGGCCTCCCAAAGTGCTGGGATTACAGGCATGAGCCACCGTGCCCAGCCCTCATCATCTTTATTTTTAACCTTTGTGATATGTTCATGTGTTTCCTTAAGTTGTCTTATTTATTAGTTTTTTAATGATGCTGTTTTGATCCTGTCTGTTTCCTTGTCTCTTCAGTCTTCCTCTTCATCTCAAGTTGTCTTATCGTATTGTCTTTGGGCCTTTTTTAAAAAGAGAATTCATGGCCAGGCGCAGTGGCTCATGCCTGTAATCCCAGCACTTTGGGAGGCCGAGGTGGGTAGATCACCTGAGGTCAGGAGTTCGAGACCAGCCTGGCAAACCTGGTGAAACTCCATCTCTACTAAAAAGACAAAAATTAGCTGGGCGTGGCAGTGGGCACCTGTAATCCCAGCTACTCGGGAGGCTGAGGCAGGAGAATAACTTGAACCCTGGAGGCAGATGTTGCAGTGAGCTGAGATCATGCCATTGCACTCCAGCCTGGGTGACAGAGCGAGACTCCATCTCAAAAAAAAAAAAAGAAAGATAATCGATTCTATTATTAGACTGTTGTATAAAACAAATCGTTTGTGGTAATTTCCTTTCATTTCTTGAGTTATGCTATCTTCCAGAACGAGGTTAGTTATTGAAGGTTTGGAAAGGTCTTTATTTTCCCTCATGCCTGACTGGTAGAGGATCAAATTCTAAGCTGAAAACAGAGTTTTATTTATTTTTATTTATTTATTTTTTTGAGACAGGGTCTCACTCTGTAGATCCTGTACAGAGGCTGTAGTGTAGTGGCACAGTCACGGCTCACTGCAGCCTTGACCTCCTGGGCTCAAGTGATCCTCCCACCTCACTCTCCTGAGTAGCTGGGACTACAGGCGCAAGCCACCATTCCCAGCTAATTTTTGTATTTTTTGTAGAGACAGGTTTTCGCCATGTTGCCTAGGTTGGTCTAGGACTGCTGGGCTCAAGCGATCTGCTTGCCTTGGCCTCCTAAAGTGCTGAGACTGCAGGCATGAGCCGCTGCACCCGGCCACTGAAAACAATAGTTTAATTTTTATTATATTTATAGATATTTTTCAGCAACCATACTTTTTATTTCCAAGATCTCTTTCTTGTTCTCTGCTTGTTCCTTTTCTATAGCAGACTATATTTTGTTAAACTGATTAAATATATTCCTAAAAACTTTCTGAGTATACTTTCTGAAATTTGGAATTTCAAAATAGTTCCTTTCCATTAAATTCTGTTTGTTTACTTTGGTTCTGCTCTGTTTGCTTTGCTGTTTCATCAAATGTCTGGGAGTTCTTGGCTGTCCATTCCTATTTAAGAATATAGGCATGTAGTATGGACCATCTATACTGTCTTGTAGGTAATCTGTTTCTCTAGTATAGGCTCACTCCAGGATGGGTAAGCTGGCTTAGGTTTCTTTCTACAAGGGTGGTATATGTCAAGTGGTAGGCACAGAATGCACAGAGAAGGAGCAGTCTGGGAGGTTAGGTCCTCTGAAATTCCAAGATGAGACAGGTTCCCACTGTTAGGGCCAGCACTCACTCTAGAAGACCTACTGTATCCAGGCAGATCATTATTTTCTGAGACAGAGTCTTGCTCTGTTGCCCAGGCTGGAGTGCAATGGCACAATCTCGGCTCACTAAAACCTCCACCGCCTGGGTTCAAGCAATTCTCCTGTCTCAGCCTCCTGAGTAGCTGGGACTACAGGCGCATGCCACAAAGCCCAGCTAATTTTTGTATTTTTAATAGAGATGGGGTTTCACCATATTGGTCAGGCTGGTTTCGAACTCCTGACCTCAGGTGATCCACCTGCCTCGGCCTCCCAAAGTGTTGGGATTACAGACTTGAGCCACCGCCCTCAGCCAGATCATTCTTTTTAATCTTTGCTTATCTGATGTGCAAAACAGTCAGAAGCTTTTATGATTAAGAAAGAATAAAATTAAATGGACTAACCATTTTTGAGAAACTAAAAAATGAACAACAAAATAAATGAAAGGAAAATAAAAATAAGTAAAGGCTGGGCGCGGTGGCTCACACCTGTAATCCCAGCACTTTGGGAGGCCAAGGCAGGTGGATCACGAGGTCAGGAGATCGAGACCATCCTGGCTAACAATGGTGAAACCCCATCTCTATTAAAAAATACAAAAAATTAGCCAGGCATGGTGGCGGGTGCCTGTAGTCCCAGCTACTCGGGAGGCTGAGGCAGGATAATGGCGTGAACCCAGGAAAAAAAAAAAGAGAAAGAAGTGAAGATCAGCTGGGTGTGGTGGCTCGTGCTTCCACTTTGGGAGGCTGAGGTGAGAGGATTGCTTGAGCTCAGGACTTTGAGGCCAGCTTGGGCAACACTGGGAGAAACAGCCTCTATAACAAAAAATAAATCAAAAAAATTAGCTGAGTGTGATGGTGCATACCTGCAGTCACAGCTACTTGGGAGGCTGAGGTGGGAGGATCGCTTGAGCCTGGGAGTTGGAAGTTGCAGTGAGCCAAGAACGCACCACCACACACTGCATTCCAGCTTGTGTGACAGACCAGGACCCTGTCTTGGAAAAAAAAAAACAACAGTAAAGATTAAAGCAGAAATTAGTGAATAAAACCCAGAAAACAATCAAATTAATGACAAATCTAAGAACTTGTCTTTTAAAATAGCATTGAAATAGAAAAATCTCTATTAAGATAAATATAAAGAAGCAAATTAAATACAAAGAAGCATTAAATATATTGCATTAGTAATGAGACAAATGAATGTGATCAGATTTCATGGAGGTTTAAAACATTCAAGATAATCTTTTAAATTTAATTTTTTAATTATTATTAAATTTTTTTTTTATAGAGATGAG
The DNA here is from genome assembly GCF_000001405.40 of Homo sapiens. Lineage (NCBI taxonomy): Eukaryota > Metazoa > Chordata > Mammalia > Primates > Hominidae > Homo > Homo sapiens. The sequence goes on from NC_000017.11 coordinate 32,424,611, forward strand.
GTCTGGCTGGGTGTGGCAGCTCACGCCTGTAATCCCAGCACTTTGGGAGGCCGAGGCGGGTGGATCACCCGAGGTTGGGAGTTTGACACTAGCCTGGCCAATGTGGTAAAACCCTGTCTCTACTAAAAATACAGAATTAGCTGGGTGTGATGGCACACACCTGTAGTCCCAGCTACTCAGGAGGCTGAGACAGGAGAATCGCTTGAGCTTGGGAGGTGGGGATTGCAGTGAGCCGAGATCATGCCACTGCACTACAGCCTGGGTGACGAGTGAGACTCTGTCATAAAATAAAATAAAATAATAAAATAAAATAAAATAAAATAAAAAATATAAGGTTTTGCTGTGTTTCCCAGGCTGGTCTTGAACTCCTGGGCTCAAGAGATGCTCCCACTTAGGCCTCCTAAAGTGCTGGGATTACAGGTGTGAGCCACCATGCCCAGCCTCAAGAGAATCTTGTGCTAATAATTCTGAAACTCATAATGAAATAAATATTTTAGGAAGGTGTATATTACCAAAATTTAGTCAAGAAGTAGGAAAAGTAACTGGACGCAGTGGCTTATGCCTGTAATCCAGCACTTTGGGAGGCTGAGGCAGGAGAATCACTTGAGGCTAGGAGTTTGAGACCAGCCTGGGCAACATAGTGAGATCCACATCTAAAAAAAAAAAAAAAAAAAAAAAAGAAGAAGAAGAAGAAGAAGAAGAAGTAAAAAAGGTGATAGGCGGGATGCAGTGGCTTATTCCTATAATCCCAGCACTTTGGTTTGGGAGGCTGAGGTGGGCAGATCATGAGATCAGGAGTTCGAGACCAGCCTGGCCAACATGATGAAAACCTGTCTCTACTAAAAATACAAAAATTAGCTGAGCGTGGTGGTACGCGCCTGTAATCCCAGCTGCTCAGGAGGCTGAGGCAGGAGAATCGCTTGAACCTGGGAGGTGGAGGTTGCAGTGAGCAAAGATCGCGCCACTGCACTCCAGCCTGGGCAACAAGAGCAAAACTCCATCTCAAAAAATAAATAAATAAATAAATAAATAAATAAATAAATAAATGTGATAAAAGTTGGTAGAAAAGTGAGAAATTATCCTAAGACTCTCCCTACTCCAACTAGAATTGGGCTGGTTCTATAGAGTTTTATGGGCAAGCTCTAATTGTGATACTTTACTTCCTATCTGAATATTGCCACACCTCTAACAAAACATCCATAGTATTTACTTCTTTCTATTCAGTTCTCTGGTAAATTAGATAAGAAAAGGCAGATGTTGTAAACTTGTACTATCTATCTACCTACTCAACAGATGCTAATAGGTGTCAAGCCTTGCCCCAAGAGCTGGTAACAAAGATGAACGAAAGATCCACAACTTAAAAATATTAAGATATATTTATATCATTTATATCAAAGATATATTTATACCATTTCATTTGGGGGCAGCAAGTTCCTCTTTTATTATTATATCCCTGCTGGTGAGAAATAACCCCATTTGTATCTTATGGTGAATATGATCTCTGATTATGTTAAATACTTAGAAGGCCCGGCATGACGGCTCATGCCTGTAATTCCAGAACTTTGGGAGGCCAGGGCGGGCAGATAACCTGAGGTCAGGAGTTCAAAACCACCTGGCCAACATGGCGAAAATCCATCTCTACAAAAAATATGAAAATTAGCCAGGCGTAGTGGCACATGCCTATAATCCCAGCTACTCGTGAAGCTGAGGCAGGAGAATCCCTTGAACCCGGGAGGCAGAGGATGCAGTGAGCTGAGATCATGCCACTTGCACTCCAGCCTGGGTGATAGAGCGAGACTTCATCTAAAAAAAAAATAAAAAATTGTGCACCTGTAGTCCCAGCTACTCAGGAGGCTGAGGCAGGAGAATCGCTTGAACCCGGGAGGCAGAAGTTGCAGTGAGCTGAGATCGCGCCACTGCACTCCAGCCTGAGCAATGGAGCAAGACTCCATCTCCAAAAAAATAAATAAATGAATAAATAAAAATAACATAAAAAATAAATAAAAATTAAGAAACCACAACAAATACTCAGAGATAGAGGATGTTGGTGGGCTTAAGAGGAGGAAAAATCTAGTACTAGGAATGTTGTGGAAGTGGTGGCTATTTTTTGATTTTTTATTTTTATTTACATATACTTTTTGAGACAGAATATCTCTCTGTTGCCCAGGCTGGTGTGCAATGGCACGATCTCGACTCACCGCAACCTCTGCCTCCCAGGTTCAAGCGATTCTCCTGTCTCAGCCTCCCGAGTAGCTGGGTTACAGGTGCCTGAGTGGTGGCTGTTTTAAAGGAATTGGTTTCAAGTTTTTACAATTGTGAACTCCATCAATAAAAACGGGGGGGTATATATCCCCCATTATATGTATATCTGTTTATTCATAAATAATATTAATGTATCATATTTAATTTATATAAATTAAATTATAAGTAATACTCCATGTGTTAAATTAATTATATATTAATTATAAAACGAATAAAATACATTTTAAAGTTAAAGATGAAAAATAATATTTTAAAATCAATTTTTTTTTCTTTATTTTAGAGATGGGTTCTCACTATGTTGGCTAGATTTGTCTTGAACTGCTGACCTCAAGCAATCCTCCTGCCTCAGCCTCCCAAAGTTCTAGGATTACAGGTGCGAGCCACCATGCCCGGCTAATTTTGGTATTCTTAGTAGAGACAAGGTTTTGCCATGTTGGCCAGACTGGTCTCGAACTCCTGATCTCAGGTGATCTGCCCTCCTTGGCCTCACAAAGCGCTGGGATTACAAGCGTGAGCCACCACACCTGGCCCATAATTGTCTTTCTAATTGAGTAGAATATAGGGGCCAAGGACTTCACATTGTTTCTGTATTCCCAGTACCTAGATTAGTACCTGGAAAATAGTAGGGGCTCAATAAATATCTGATAAATGAATGAATATTAAGAATGATAGGCTGGGCATGGTGGCTCACGCTTGTAATTCCAGCACTTTGGGAGGCTGAGTTGGGTGGATTACCCTCAGGAGTTCAAGACCAGCATGGCCAACATGGTGAAACCCCATCTGTACTAAAAATACAAAAATTAGCCAGGTGTGGTGGTCTGTGCCTGTACTCTCAGATACTCGGGAGGCTGAGGCGGGAGAATTGCTTGAACTTGGGAGGTAGAGGTTGGAGTGAGCCAAGATCATGCGACTGCACTGCAGCCTAGGTGACAAGAGTGAGACTTTGTCTCAGAAAAAAAAAAAAAAGGAAGGAAGGAAGAAAGAAAGAAAGAAAGATTGGCTGATACCAGGCAGGAGGATCTCTCAAGCCCAGGAGTTCAAGACCAGCCTGGGCAACATAGTGAGACTTTAAAAACAAAAGAATGATAGGTTGGGCATGGTGGCTCACACCTATAATCCCAGAGCTTCGGGAGGCCAAGCTGGAAGGATCACTCGAGGCCAGGAGTAGTTCAAGACCAGTCTGGGCAACACATAGTGAGTCCCTGTGTTAAAAAGGCTGGGCACAGTGGCTTATGCCTGTAATCCCAGCACTTTGGGAGGCCGAGGTGGGTGGATCATGAGGTCAAGAGTTTGAGACCAGCCTGGCCAACATGGTGAAACCCCGTCTCTACTAAGAATACAAAAATTAGCCAGGGGTGGTGGCATGTGACTGTAATCCCAGCTACTCGGGAGGCTGAGGCAGGAGAATCGCTTGAACCCAGCAGGCAGAGGTTGCAGTGAGCTGAGATCGTGCCACTGCACTCCAGCCTGGGTGACAGAGCAAGACTTTGTCTCAAAAAAAAAAAAAAGAAAAGAAAAGATAAAGGAAAAAAAGGAATCATAGTTAAAAAGCAAAGAAAAAAAGTGTAAGATCAGAGCAGTAAGCATGAGTGTATATTTCAGCAGCCCTGGTTGGAGGAGGGATGGTGATATGGTTTGGCTTTGTGTCCCTGTCCAAATCTAAGGTCTAATTGTAATCCCCCGTGTTGGAGGAGGGGCCTGATGGGAGGTGATTGGATCATGGGGCAGCTTCTAATGGTTTAGCACCATCCCTCTAGGGCTGCTTGTTTAAATGCATGTAGCACCTCTCCCACTCACCTCTCTGTTGCTGGTCATGTGAATATGTGCTTGCTTCCCCTTTGCTTTCTGCTATGATTGCAAGTTTCCTGAGGCCTCCCCAGAAGCAAAAGCTTGTACAGCCCACAGAACGATGAACCGATTAAATCTCTTTTCTTTATAAATTACCCAGTCTCAGGTAGTTCTTTATAGCAGTGTTAGAATGGACTAATACAGAAAATTGGTACCAGAGAAGTGGGGCATTGCTATAAACATACCTGAAAATGTGGAAGTGACTTTGGGACTGGGTAATGGGCAGAGGTTGGAACAGTTTGGAGAGCTCAGAAGAAGACAGGAAGATGAGGGAAAGTTTGGAACTTCCTAGAGACTTACTGAATGGTTGTGACCAAAATGCTGATAGTGATATGGACAATGATGTCCAGGCCAAGGTGGTCTCAGATGCAGATGAGGAACTTACTGGAAACTGGAGTGAAGGTCACTCTTGCTATGCTTTAGCAAAGAGACTGGTGGCATTGTGCCCCTGCTCTAGGGATCTGTTGAACTTTGAACTTGAGAGAGATGATTTAGGCTATCTGGTGGAAGAAATTTCTAAGTAGTAAAGCATTTAACAGTGGGTGCTTCTAACAGTGTATGCTTATATGCATGTGCAAAGAGATTATCTGAAACTGGAATTTATATTTAAAAGAGAAGCAGAGCATAAATTTTGGAAAATTTGCAGCCCAGCTGTGTGGTAGAAAAGAAAAACCCATTTTCTGGGGAAGAATTCAAGCAGGTTGCAGAAATTTGAATAAGTGAAGAGGAGCCAAATGTTAATAGCCAAGACAATGGGGAAAATGCCTCCAAGGCACTTCAGAGACCTTCGTGGCAGCCCCTCCCATCACAGGCCTGGAGGCCTGGGCTGAAGGCCCTGCTGCTGTGTGAAGCCTTGAAACCTGGCACCCTGCATCGTGATCACTCAGCTCCAGCCATGGCTAAAAGGGGCCGAGGTACAGCTCAGCCATTGTTTCAGAGGATGCAAGCTAAAAGCCTTAGTGGCTTCCATGTGGTATTAAGCCTGCATGTGTGCAGAGGGCAAGAATTGAGGCTTCGGAGCTTCCACCTACATTTCAGATGGAAACACCTGGATGTCCAGGCAGAAGTCTGCTGCAGGGGTGGAGCCCTCATGGAGACCCTCTACTAGGGCAATGCAGAGGGGAAATATGGGGTTGGAGTCCCCACACAAGAGTCCCCACTGGGCACTGCCTAGTGGAGCTGTGAGAAGAAGGCCACCACCTTCCAGACCCCAGAATGGTAGATCCATGAATGGCTCACACTGTGCACCTGGAAAAGCCACAGGCACTCAACATCAGCCCATGAAAGCACCTGCAGGGTCTGTGCCCTGCAAGGTTACAGATATACAACTGTCTAAGGCCTTGGGAGCCCACCCCTTGCATCAGTGTGGACTGGATGTGACACATAGAGTCAAAGGAGATTATTTTGGAGCTTTAAGGTTTAATGACTGCCCTGCTGGGTTTTGGACTTGCATGGGGCGTATAGCCCCTTTGTTTTGGCTGAATTCTTTCTCTTAGAATGGGTGTATTTACCCAAGGCCTATATCCCCATTGTATCTTGAAAGCAACTAACTTGATTACTTGTTTTTGACTTTACAAGCTCGTCGGTGGAAGGGAAGTCTTGCCTTGTCTCAGATGAGACTTTGGACTTGGACTTTTGAGTTAATGCTAGAATGAGTTAAGACTTTGAGGGACTGTTAGGAAGGCATGATTTTGTTTTGAAATGTGAGAAGGACATGAGATTTGTGAGGGGCCAGGGGCAGAATGATATGGTTTGGCTCTGTGTCCTTGCCCTAATCTCATGTCTAATTATAATCCTCAGTGTTGAAGGAGGGGCCTGGTGGAAGGTGATTGGATCATGGGGGCAGTTTCTAATGGTTTAGCACCATCCCCTTAGTGCTGCTTGTTTAAAAGTGTGTAGCACCTCCTCCACCCCCCTCTCTTCTGCCAGCCATGTGAAGATGTGCTTGCTTCCCCTTTGCCTTCCACTATGATTGTAAGTTTTCTGAGGCCTCTCCAGAAGCAGAAACCTGTACCGCCCACAGAACCATGAGCTGATTAAACCTCTTATCTTTTTTCTTCTTTTTCCCCTGAGAGGAGTCTCACTCTGTCACTCAGGCTGGAGTTCAGTGGTGCGATCTCAACTTACTGCAACCTCTGCCTCCCAGGTTCAAGTGATTCTCGTGCCTCAGCCAACTGAGTAGCGGGGATTACAGGCACCCACCACCATGCCTGGCTAATTTTTGTATTTTTAGTAGAGATGGGGTTTTGCCATGTTGGCCAGGCTGGTCTCGAACTCCTGACCTCAGGTGATCCACCCACCTTGGCCTCCCAAAGTGCTGGGATTACAGGCATGAGCTACTGTGCCTGGCCTAAATCTCTTTTCCTTATAAATTACCCAGTCTTAGGTAGTTCATTTTGGCAGTGTGATAACAGACTAATGCAGATGGAATTTATCTTCTGATAATCTTGGGGCTTGGATTTTAAACCACACATAGGGAAAGAGACAAGAGCTTTAGCTTGGTCAACATGGAAATTGAAACTAAGATACCTATCTAAAGCCAGGATGCTCAAAGGGCTGTCCCTTCAATGAAAGAGGTAGCCAGGAAAAAAAAAAAAAAAAGCTATCCCCTGTATCCCCTGACACAGGCAGCCAACAAGGAAACATATTTGTTTCAGCCTGGGTAGAAAAATAAATAAAAATCTGCTCTGGTAAATTGTAACTTTATGACTTTCTCATTTGGGAATTGTATTAGGCTGTTTTTGTGTTGCTACAAAGAAATACCAGAGGCCAGGTGTAGTGGCTTACACCTATAATCCCAGCACTTTGGAAGGCCAAGGCAGGTGGATCACTTGAGGTCAGGAGTTTGAGACCAGCCTGGCCAACATGGCAAAACCCCATCTCTACTAAAACTACAAAAAAATTAGCCGAGTATGGTGGCTCATGCCTGTAATCCCAGCTACTCGGGAGGCTGAGGGACAAGAATCGCTTGAGCCCAGGAGGCAGGGGTTGCAGTGAGCCGAGATTGCACTACTGCACTCCAGCATGGGCGACAGAGCGAGACTCTGTCTCAAAAAAGTAAAAGAAAAAGAAATACCTGAGACTGAATAATTTATCAGAAATGAGGTTTAATTGGCTCATGGTTCTGCAGCTGCACAGGAAGCCATGTGGCATCTGCTTTTGGGGAAGCTTCAGGAAGCTTCTAATCATGGCAGAAGGCAAAGTGGGAGCAGGCACATCACGTGGTGAAAGCAGGAGCAAGAGAGAGCAAGGTGCCACACTTTTATTTTATATATATATATATATATATATATATACATATATATATATGTACACACACATATATATATACACACACACACATATATATATATATATATATTTTTTTTTTTTTTTTTTTTTTTGAGATAGAGTCTCGCTCTGTCACCAGGCTGGAGTACAGTGGTGTGATCTTGGCTCACTGCAACCTCTGCCTCCTGGGTTCAAGTGATTCTCCTGCCTCAGCCTCATGAGTAGCTAGGACTACTGGCGTGCACCACCATACCCAGCTAATTTTTATATTTTTAGTAGAAGACAGGGTTTCATCATGTTGGCCAGGATGGTCTCGATCTCTTGACCTCGTGATCTGCCCGCCTTGGCCTCCCAAAGTGCTGGGATTACAGGTGTGAGCCACTGCACCCAGCCTGTTGTTTTTATATATTTTTTATTTTATATTTTTCAGACTGCTCAGCCTCTTGAGTAGCTAGGATTATAGGTGCCCACCACCATGCCTGGCCAATTTTTGTAGTTTTACTAGAGATGGGGTTTCACCATGTTGGCCAGGCTGATCTCGAACTCTTGGCCTCAAGTGATTCGCCCACCTTGGCCTCCCAAAGTGCTGTGATTACAGGTGTGAGCCACCATGCCCAGCCAAGGTGCCACACTTTTAAACAGCCAGGTCTTGAGAGAAGTCACTTGCTATCATGAGGACAGCACCAAGGGATGGTACTAAACCATTCATAAGAAATCAACCCCCATGATCCAATCACCTCCCTCCAGGCACCACCCCCAATACTGGGAATTACAATTCAACATGAGATTTGGGCAGAGACACACGTTCAAACTATATCAGGGATTAAATCATATTATCTTTGTAGTGGAGAAATTCCCCAAACTCTGTAAACTAACATCAATGTAGTCATGAACACATAATATTGAGATGTGATTGCAGAAGTGAACTCAACCCAGATCTCCTAGCAATAACAAAGATAAAACCCAGTTGAAGATGAGCTCATAATCCATAATTACAAATACAGGAGAAAACAATCCTGGAGGAGGGAGAGTCAGCAGACACAACAAACTGCAGGACCAGGCTCCCATGAATAGCAATAATGATCAGATACAGATTAGAGACTTTGTTTTAAAGAATGAAAAACACAAAAGACGGAACCCAAAGCATAAGCAAATAATATGATACTTTGAAAAAAGTCAGCTTTAGAGAAGGACCAAACCAATCTTGTAAAAATTAAAAAATAGGTTTTATTTATTTTTTTCTTAAAATTTTCATTATTTTCTCTGGGCACGGTGGCTCACGCCTGTAATCCCAGCACTAGGGGAGGCCGAGGCGGGCAGATCACCTGAGGTTGGGAATTCGAGACCAACCTGACCAACCTGGAGAAACCCCGTCTCTACTAAAAATACAAAATTAGCTGGGCATGGTGGCTCATGCCTGTAATCTCAGCTACTCGGGAGGCTGAGTCAGGAGAATCGCTTGAACCTGGGAGGCAGAGGTTGCAGTGAGCCGAGATCACCCCATTGCACTCCTACCTGGGCAACAAGAGCGAAACTCCATCTCAAAAAAAAAATTACTAATTATTTATGAGTAACAAAAGCCCAATATGTGTTAAATTAAATAATTTTTTTGAAAAATAGCTATTTTTCACATAGTAAGACTCACAAAAAATAACTATTTTTCTAAACAACAAGAAAAATTCATTAGTGAGAAGAGTCCCAACTGCTTTACTTTTTTGAGACAGTCTTGCTGTGTTGCCCAGGCTGGAGTGCAGTGGCGTGATCTCGTCTCACTGCAACCTCCGCCTCCCCAGTTCACGCCATTCTTCTGCCTCAGCCTCCCGAGTAGCTGGGACTACAGGCGCCCACCACCACGCCCGGCTAATTTTTTGTATTTTTAGTAGAGACGGGATTTCACCATGTTAGCCAGGATGGTCTCGATCTCCTGACCTCGTGATCCGCCTGCCTCGGCCTCCCAAAGTGCTGGGATTACAGGCGTGAGCCACCGTGCCCGGCCATGCTTTACATTTTTGCAAGTATCTTTAATGTCTGACGGTAGATGAAAGCTAGATTCTCTTATCTACTTCTTTATTCAGCCTGTTATAATATCACACCAGATAGCTGCTCAAAAATTCCTCTGGACACTCATGAGAAAATGAGAGTGCAAAAGATAAATTATGTCTTAGTATTATAACAATAGCTTTGACCTAGGATACTCTTCAAAGGCTCTTGAAGACCCCCAGACCATACTTTGAGAACCACTGCTCTAGACGAATGTCATCATTTTACAAATAAGGACCCTGGACCTCAGAGAGAGTAAATGAGAAATCCAACATCACACAGCCTGTCAATAGTAGGATACAGACATTAGATGGTTTGTCTCACTTCTCTGGGTTTAGGTTCTCAGTTGGAAACCTGGGAAATACACCCTAATGGCCTGTCCCATTCCCTGTAAGTTGCAAAGACTATCACAATGTATTACCCCCAATCCACTTTTTAAAAATAAATTAATAATTTTAAAAATAATTTAAATTAATAAATCAACAAACTTGGTAAATTTTGCAACAGGCATACTGTGTTTGAATCTAAACTACAATATTTGAATTCTGATTTCTATTTGAACAGAACACTAAGGCAAATTCGACTGCATCCTATTCCATGCAAGCTAGTAATGACAAACTGCACAGTAAATATCACAGGTAAATATGGAAAGCAGATTACCCATAATATCAGTATTTATCATATATCCTGTGTCTGAAATATAATTCAATTATACATATTTCAGAAAAATGTTATCAAGTACTAGCTGAAAGGGTGGTGGGTACATTAAGAGACTGCAAATAAACTGGTGATCACAAGAACTTTTTTAGATAAAATGGAGTTGCACCGAAATGTAGATATTTTTCATTCCCTAACCTGACCTTATTTTTGTCTTTTAAAGAAAATCAAGAAATCTTCTTGGCCACCTAGAGATGATTTCCTTTGTATCCTACCAGATGGTTCAGATCTTCTTTAAATGGAACATAGTTTTGTTCTTTTAAAGAACACAGGGCCCAGAAGGAGGAAATTGTTCCCAGGGAACCCACTCCCAACTTTCATTTTTTTCAGGCTCTACATTCTTTGGTTCTGAATCATGAGTCACGTCCACTTCTCCTTTCATTAATACAGTAACATAATGGTAATTCTTCTCAGTGAAAGAATTCACAACTGAGGCAAAGCGAACATTTTTCAGGTGAAGAGCTTCTTCCCAGGTTTCCCTTTGAGCACATTCTTCCCAGTTCTTACTGAACTCCAAAATGACCCCCAGAAAGCTGAAAACTGCTGGCTCCAAATGACCCTTTCCTCCTCCCCAGGAGGACACAACACGGATGCTTGCAGCTGGTCACCACAACTCAGACTCTGACTCTGGGCGGCCGCCCCTGCGGCTTCATGTTGGCTGTCATAGTGCAAGCAGGAGGACCAAAAAATATGTTTTAAGTTGGTTAACACTAAAGTTGAGTGAATGGGCTGGGCGCGATGGCTCACGCCTGTAATCCCAGCACTTTGGGAGGCCAAGGCAGGCGGATCACTTGAGGTCAGGAGTACGAAACCAGCCTGGCCAACATGGTGAAACCCCATCTCTACTAAAAATACAAAAAAAAACCCCAACAACAACAACAACAACAAAATAGGCATGGTGGCGTGCGCTTGTAGTACCAGCTGCTCAGGGTACTGAGGCCAGAGAATCGCTTGAACCCGGGAGGCAGAGGTTGCAGTGAGCTGAGATTGCACCACTGCACTCCAGCCTGGGCAACAGAGCGAGACTCTGTCTGGAAAACAAAGCAAAACAAGTTTAGTGGATGGATTAAGTAGCAGATTAGAAAGAGCTGATGATATAATCCAGTAACTATTAAATGAAATTAAGAAAATTCCTTGTAAGGTAGTATGGAGAGACAAGGAGATAGAAAATATAAAAGATATGGAAAAGAGATGCAGATAGTTTTACACAGTCCAATAGAAATATAATATGAGATACATACATGCATAATTTAAATTTTCTAGTACCAACCTAACAGAAAGTAAAAAGAAACACATGAAATTAATCCAAAATATTATTTCATTGTGTAATATAAAGTCACGAATAAATATTTTATATTCTTTTTTTCCTACTGTCTTTGAAACCCAGTGTGTATTTTGCACTTATACCACACGCAGCTCAGTTTGGACTAGCTAGTGCTCAACAGCCATATGTGGCTAGTGACTATTATACTGGACAATGCAGATCTAACTTACATGTAATAAGATTTCCAAGATAGAAGGGAGACAGAGAAGGCAATATTTGAAGAGATAATGGCAGATAATTTTCCAGGATTACTGGGAGGCAGGAATCCTGAGATTCAGGAAAGCTGGTGCATCCTGATCAGGATGTAAATATTTTGTAGTGAAGCTGATAAAAGCTGAAAACAAAAAATTTGTTAAAATTAACTACAGGGAAAAGATGGATTACCTACAAAGGAACTTCGATTAGACTGAAGACAGTCACCTTTAAAATGTTGACTGAAAAGTTACAATGTAGGAATTTTATACCCACTTGAACTATCAATAAAGAGTGAGAGTAAAATAAAGTCAAAGACAAGGTTATCACTAACAGACTTTCACTAAAAGAGAACTGTAATACAATTCAAATACGATAAGGTGTCTGGAGGTCTGGGGAGATGTGGCAGTATGTGAGAGAAGGGTTCCCCAAAAGAGATAAAAATATAATGTACATTTTCCTTGTTTTTTACTATTTTTCCCCCTCTCCAGAGCTCGAATGGTAATGAATGCATAGTTATGGAGTCAGCACTAGTGTAGAACTGCAAGCCTTAACTCCTTGTCATAGCGTTAGGGAAGCAGGAGCCTAGGAGAGCCAGAATAAGGTCATTTTAAAATCAACTCCATCTTTTTTTTTTTTGAGACGGAATCTCCCTCTTGTTGCCCAGGCTGGAGTGCAGTGGCCCAATCTCAGCTCACTGCAACCTCTGCCTCCTGGGTTCAAGCGATTCTCCTGCCTCAGCCTCCTGGGTAGCTGGGATTACAGGCACCTGCCACCATGCCCGGCTAATTTTTCTACTTTTAGTAGAGATGGGGTTTTGCCATGTTGGCCAGGTTGGTCTCGAACTCCTGACCTCAGGTGATCTGCCCGCCTCAGCCTCCCAAGGTATTGGGATTACAGGTGTGAACCACCTCACCCGGCCAATCAACTCCATCTTAAAACCAGCAAGACACACCATGCGCAGTGGCTCACTCCTGTAATCCCAGCACATTGGGAGGCTGGACTGGGCAGATCACCTGAGATCAGGACTTCAAGACCAGCCTGGCCAACATGGTGAAACCCTGTCTTTACTAAAAATACAAAAATTAGGCCCAGTGTGATGGTGGGCACCTTTAATCCCAGCTACTCGGGAGGCTGAGGCAGAAGAATCGCTTGAACCTTGGAGGCGGGGGTTGCAGTGAGCCAAGATCGCACCACTGCACTCCAGCCTGGGCAACAGGAGCGAAACTCCGTTTCAAAAAAAAAATTAGCTGGGTGTGGTGGTGCACACCTGTAATCCCAGCTACTTGGGAGGCTGAGGCAGGAGAATCGCTTGAACCCAGAAGGCAGAGGTTGCAGTGAGCCGAGATTGCACCATTGCACTCCAGCCTGGGCAACAAGAGTGAGACTCTGAAGAAAAAAAAAACTAGCATGACCCATGGTCATAAGATGTTTATAGTTGAGGAAACAACCTAAAGATTACCTGCAAGGACAGACTTCTACAAAAACAGAAAAGCCCAGATGTCCCAATACCCATAACAAGATTTGCTTTCAAGATAATTATGCTTTTTTTTAAAGATAGTTATGCTTTGATGTACTCACACAGTAGAATGTCAAGGATAGGTTTCTTTAAATCAATACCATAATAAATTTGGTCATGCTGTCTGCCCATCCGCATGTAGGCACAGCTTAGTTTAGTCTTTGTATAGACAAAGATCCCTATAGAAGAAAAACTTAAAGACTATGTGTTCCTCCACTTGCTTTCCAAGGACACTCTATTCTATAATGGAGTAGCTTTCAATAAACTATCTCTTCTCACTGCACTCCGATTCTCCTTGAATTCTTCCCAGTGCGAGAGCCAAGAACCTTCTCTTGGGGTCTGGACCAAGACTCCTTTTTCCAGTAACAATAGGGTAGGAGAGAGAGGAGAAGGAGGAGCATATATGCTTGTATTGGCAGGATAGTACATCATAGTATTCCTCTATTTGCTCAACTTTGGGATACAAAATGTTTAGAAAGATCGGTGAACAATCAAGAGCTATATAGAAAAAAATTGTTTTGGAATATAGAGTAGCATAGGGAAAATTAGGGCTGTGTAGCATGTTTGGGGGTGGCATGAGGACAGAAAGAAGCGTGACAGGGAGGGGAGGGAGACGAGACTGAGGGTGAGGAAGCTTAAGATGGGAACTAGAACTGACAATTGATCACCACTCTATTACTATGAAAATTACCTGTTGGGCTGCGGGCAGTGGCTGATGCCTGTAATCCCAGCACTTTGGGAGGCCGAGGTGGGTGGATCACCTGAGGTTGGGAGTTTAAGACCAGCCTGACCAACATGGAGTAACCCCGTCTCTATTAAAAATACAAAATCAGTCGGGTGTGGTGGTGGGCGCCTGTGATCTCAGGTACTCGGGAGGCTGAAGCAGGAGAATTGCTTGAACCTGGGAGGCGGAGGTTGAGGTGAGCCGAGATCACGCCATTGCACTCCAGCCCAGGCAACAAGAACAAACACCGTCTCCTAAAAAAAATAAAATAAAATAAAAGGGAAATAGAACTGACAATTGATCACCACTCTATTACTATGAAAATTATCTATTAAAGATTCATTTAGCCCTCCAACTGGGCTCCCTGAGGAAGGGGAGTAGTGGGTGCTAATCAGCTAATTTAATCAGCGACTTAATTGCAATTTTAATAACTGCCACTGATTGAATACTTATATATGTGTCAGTAATAGCACTGAAGTGTTCTAGTGTCTTTAAAAATTTAAACTTCAAAGCTGGGCACAGTGGTGTGTACCTGTAGTTCTGGCTAGTTGGGAGACTAAGGCAGGAGGATGTCTTGAATCCAGGAGTTGCCTTGGCAACATAGCAAGACCTTGTCTCTTAAAAAAAATAAATTTCAACAAATCTGTGAAGTAAAATTTTAAAATTGTGGTGAAATATGAATAACATCAAATTTACCATTTTAACCATTTAAAATTGTACAGTTCTGGCCTGGCGCGGTGGCTCACCCATGTAATCCCAGCACTTTGGGAGGCCAAGGCAGGCAGATCACTTGAGGTCAGAAGTTCGTGACTAGCCTGGCCAACATGGTGAAACCCTGTCTCTACTAAAAATGCAAAAATTAGCAGAGCGTGGTGGTGGGTGCCTGTAGTCCCAGCTACTCAGGAGGCCGAGGCATGAGAATCTCTTGAACCCAGGAGGCAGAAGTTACAGTGAGCCGAGATCACACCACTGCACTCCAGCCTGGGTGACAATATGAGACTCCATCTCAAAAAAAACCCAAAAAACAAAAAACAAAACAAAACAAAAAAAAGTTATGTGGCATTAAATACAATCACATTATTGTACAACCATTAAGTAAAATCAATTTTTAAAGTAGTTTTACTGATGATCAAACTTTGTATCAGATAGTTAAGTAATTTGACTATTAGTTGGTAGCAGAGATAATATTGAGCTCCATGTTTGTCTGACTTCAAATTCTGCGCTCATTTTCTATAGCATGTAGTCCTGCAACCTTTTGGAGGGAGATGAGATTCAAACAAGTGAAACAGGCTGGGCATAGTGGCTCATGCCTGTCATCCCAGCACTTTGGGAGGTCAAGGTGGGAGGAATCCCTTGAGGCCAGGAGTTTGAGACCAGCCTGGGCAACATAGCAAGACCTTGTCTCTCAAAAAAAGAAAAATCAGCTGGGTGAGGCATGGTGGCTGACGCCTGTAATCCCAGCACTTTGGGAGGCCGAGGTGGGCAGATTACGAGGTCAGCAGATCGAGGCCATCCTGGCTAACACGGTGAAACCCTCTCTCTACTAAAAATACAAAAAATTAGCTGGGCGTGGTGGCGGGCGCCTGTAGTCCAAGCTACTCAGGAGGCTGAGGCAGGAGAATGGTATGAACCCAGGAGGCGGAGGTTGCAGCGAGCAGAGATCGCACCACTGCACTCCAGCCTGGACAAGAGAGCAAGACTCCATCTCAAAAAAAAAAAAAAAAATCAGCCCGGCATTGTAGGGCATCCCTATAGTCCCAGCTACTCAGGAGGCTGAGGTAGGAGGATCACTTGAGCCCAGGAGTTCAAGGCTACAGTGAGCTATGATCATGCCACTGCTCTCCAGCCTAGGCAACAGAGCATGACTCTGTCTCTAAAATCCTTTTTTTTTTTGAGACGAAGTCTTGCTCTGTTGCCCAGGCTGGAGTGCAGTGGTCTGATCTCGGCTCACTGTAACCTCCACCTCCCGGGTTCAAGTGATTCTCCCGCCTCAGCCTCCTGAGTAGCTGGGATTACAAGTGCCTGCCACCATGTCCAGCTAATTTTTGTATTTTTAGTAGAGACGGGTTTTTGCCATGTTGGCCAGGCAGGTCTTGAACTCTGACCTCAGGTGATCCACCCACCTCAGCCTCCCAAAGTGCTGGGATTACAGGTGTAAGCCACTGTGCCCAGCCTGTGTCTAAAAAACTTAAAATTAAAAAAAAAAAGTAAAAATAAAATTTACATTAAAAAAATTTAAAAATTGACGTAATAAAATCACAGACTGTGTTAAATGCTAGGAAGGAAATAGAATGATGTGATGGTTACTAGATTGAAGGCATAAGAGATTACTTATGATGGGATTGCACAGAAGGCCACTTTGTGGAAATGACCTTTGAGCTGAAACCTTTGAGGGGAAAATATAAAGGCTTTGAAGTGAGAAGGAACGTGGCATGTTAGAGTCAAAAAAAAAAAAAAAAGAAAAAAAAAAGAAAAGGTCAGCTGAGCAAAGTGTGTAAGGGGCAAAGTGATAAGAGTCGAAGTTGGAGAAGTAGGCAGGCGCCAGATTATGCGACACTTTGTGGACCACAGTAAGGAGGATGCTAACCAGACTCTCACAAGGCCAGAGCATTAGAGATATACAGAGGAGGTACAAAGAATCTCAAAGTGGGGAAGAATGGCATAGTAAGAGGGTGAGTGTGACACTGAGAATGTCACATTTCTGAGAATGACTTTCATTTTAGTAATACTTACATTTAGGGACATTGTTAACCTGTGGATGCAATCAATGACAGGTGACTACTACACAGTAGTTTGTGATCCCTATAATATAGAGTCTCAGTATTATGTAATGAAGATGGCCTCCCAAAGTGCTGGAATTACAGGTGGTGAGCTAGATTTTATTATCCCTGTTTTGTAGATGAGAAAACCAAAGATCAGAGAAATTAAGAAACATGTTAAAGTCATCAGCTACTAAGTGGCTAGCCTAGTTGAAGGCAAATATTGGATTTTCCTTCCTTTGCCCTGGAGATGCCATGGGAAAATCTCATAAATCTCTCTCTCTCTCTCTCTTTTTTTTGAGACAGAGTCCCACTCTGTCACCCAGGCTGGAGTGCAGTGGGGTGATCTTGGCTCACTGCAACCTCCACTTCCTGGGTTCAAGAAATTCTCCTGCCTCAGCCTCCTGACTAGCTGGGATTACAGGCACACACCACCATGCCTGGCTAATTTTTTTGTACTTTCAGTAGAGACGGGGTTTTGCCATGTTGGCCAGGCTGGTCTCAAACTCCTGACCTCGTGATCCGCCCGCCTCAGCCTCCCAAAGTGCTGAGATTACAGGCATGAACCACTGCACCTGGCCCCTAAATCTCTTTTATGCCATTTATAATGATTGAAAGTCCAGTCTAGCCTAAAGCAAAACTTTAATTTCATATCTAACTTAAAGCTTTTCCCCTGTCTCTAAGTCTCAGGCAGTTGAAAATTTGTGTTTGGTCTGCAGTTTCACTCTTTTCATTCTCCACCCTCTCACTCTGCTGTTTCTGGGTTTCCTCCAGGGTGGAGGAGGTTTTGGTGAAAGCAGAGAAGTAGGAGGAATTAAAAGAGGTCAAGGTCTCTTCTCTTACATGACTGATGACGTCAGAGGCAGAGACCCAGGTGCTGGTTCTTTCTCGTTGGGAGCATTTATGTATTCTTGTGTTCTTTGGAGGATCTACCTGTGGATCTCAAGACTCCCATCAGTGACTGCCTCCTGAAGTCCACACTTCCATCAACTTATTTCTGGGTCTCCTTACACTAGCATACGGTCCTACTGAATAGGTTCCTTTAAGAAGGTCCCGGATGATCTACCTTTTCAGCATCCTCTTGGCTCATAAGAACCTTGCCATGTCAAACACAGGGAGTGGAAGCTACCCTATTGTTGCCTTTTCTCCCTGTCCTATTGTAGAGTGTGCCAGCCAGCTTCCCTAATTCAGAATTCTGCAGGCTAGAAGTGGGTGCCCATCTTCATGAATGTGCACACATGCCAAACTCCTCAAGAGACATGTCTAGTTCATCTCAAAACTTTCACCATGATGATCACACAGGGATGGGCTCATAAGTTTCCACAGTCAGCAAGACTCACTAGCTTGGGAGAAAGATCTGGCAGACACTCCTAGTCTTTTACAGTGGGGGTCCCCAACCCTGGGCCAAGGACCACTACTGGTCAGTGGCCTGTTAGGAATCAGGCCTCACAGCAGGAGGTGAGCGGCTGGGGAGCCAGCATTACTGCCTGAGCTCCGCCCCCTGTCAGATCAGCTGCAGCATTATATTCTCATAGGAGGCAAACCCTATTGTGAACTGAGCATGCCAGGGATTTAGGTTGCCTGCTCCTTATGAGAATCTAATGCCTGATGATCTGAGGTGGAACGGTTTCATCCCAAAACCATCCCCCCTCCTCACATCCGTGGAAAAATTGTCTTCCACAAAACTGGTCCCTGGTGCCAAAAATGTTGGGGTCCACTGTTTTATGGTACTCCCTCTTTGTAGTGAGGCCAGCACTCTATCCTCTCCTATGATTTCTTCTAAAGCCTCCCACCTCAGCCTCCCAAGTAGCTGAGACTACAGGCGTGCGCCACCATGCCCGGATAATTTTTGTATTTTTAGTAGAGTCGGGGGTCTATGTTGCCCAGGCTAGTCTCAAACTCCTGGGCTCAAGCGATATGCCCACCTCGCCCTCCCAAAGTGCTGGGATTACAGGCATGAGCCACCGCGCCTTGCTAGAAGCCATTTAATCCAACTCTCCATCAAAGTCATGAATCCTGTTTACAACAACCTGATGAGATGTCAACTACTTTTCACGTGAACACACCCAGGAATTAGGAAGGCATTCCCTAACCGGCAGCTCTTATCTCTCCCAATCACGATTTGAGCTTCACCAAATAACTCAAACCCCTGTTTCCTCACATATTAAAGGGGAGTAAATATCTGCTTTACAGAACATTGTTGGGAGAATAAAAGGAGATAGAGGAATATAAATGGCCTAATCCACTTACAGAGGAGGGTGTGCAATGTTAGTCCCCTTTTTGCCTCCTTTTATGGGACAGCACATTCCATTTTTGGATCGTCATCACCTAGAGAAAGGTCTTCCTTAATACTGAATTGTCTTTGTATCCTTTTAGCACCTTTCTTAAGTTTAACCCTAAGTGGTCTCATAGAATGTCATTTTTCCGTCCACACGACGTCTTCACTGATATCTGTGACTTTAGTTGAAGGGGCTGAAGATATTGGGAAGAATAATTCAATTTTTTCCTTCCTCCGTCCCTCCCTCCCTCCCTTCCTTCCTTCCTTTTTTTTTTTTTTTCTTTGAGCTGGGGAGCTGGGTGAGGCTTCTGTGGATTCCCAAGAGGTATTTGTGGCGTGAATGGAGCAAAGGTGATGTTTCACTTCATCACGTCCAGCACTGTCCCAAGGTTAAATGGGCGCGTGAGGACAGTTTTCTCCGGTCCTGGCGGGTTTGCCCACCTGCCGGCCAGCGTTCTGCGGGAGTCAAGCCTGGAAAGCGTGTGTGCGGCGCACAGGCGTCAGACACTGGAACGCATTCGAATGGTGCTATTCTTTGCCACATAGCGAGCACTTTATAAGGTCACTTATCGTCCCGAATGAATGGTTAAATCGTGGAAGCCGCAAAGAAAGCCACGCAGCTTTGACTCAATACCTAGCCCAGTACTCAGGAACCCCTCTCAGGGGTGCGCGAGCGGGGCCGGAATCAAGAAGCCTCTTTTGGGGTGGGCGGGGACCGATCTAGAGCTCCCACTGCGGGGCACCGCCTCTTTTCCTCGCCGGCCGCCCGCTAGGAGGCGCTGGGGAGCTTGCAGCCCACCTGCGAGGCGGTCCCGCTCTCCCCACCCCTCAGCCCGCGCCCGGCGGAGAGACTACAACTCCCGGAGTGCTCTGGGAACGGAGCCACGGGAGCTACAGGCGGAGGGACCCGAGGGCGGGCTTTCCGGGTGTGTGTTTCCGGCGTCGGCGGCCGCGGCCGGGGACGGTGTGAGAGCGGTAAGATGGCGGCGGCGGCGGTGGTGGAGTTCCAGAGAGCCCAGTCTCTACTCAGCACCGACCGGGAGGCCTCCATCGACATCCTCCACTCCATCGGTAAAGGTCGCCGCGCCGCCTCCCCGGCCCCGCCGGCCCAGCTCGGCTTATGTCGGTCGGCGGCAGCGGAGAGGGGCCCGGCTAGCCGGCTCTGATGCTGCTGACTCACTGTGTGAGGGGGGCCGGGCCGGGGGCGCAGGCCGCTCGGAGCTCCCCAGAGCCTCCCAGGTCTCACTCTTGTGGGAGGGCTTGAGGCAATCCCCGGGTCCCCTCGCCGGCTGCTGACTCACGGGGGGCTCAGCGTAGGGTGGGAGAGTGGGCCGAGCCGGGCCCCCGGGGATCCCTCCCTAGCCATGTCCCCGGCTCTGGCCCGCACGAGCTGGTCTGGGACCCGGAGCAGTGCCGGCCGGCGTGCTTGTCACGGACTGGTCCTAGAGTCTCTACTTGAAAGGCCTTGGCGAAACCAGCTCTGGACAGGCATTTCCCGCCGTTGTAATCAGCACAGCCTGCTCCGGGTGGGAGCGCGAGCGCTTGCTCTTCTCTGGGAGTTTCCTTCCACGGGACGCTGGGAGCTGCTACTCCTCAGCCCCACGGCAGAAAGCTCCACTAAGAGGAGGGTCTCTTTCAGAATGTGGGAAATTCAGGGGTGACACACACCTCAGATTGGCATTTGGTTTGTGGAGGTGGCCGAGACGCTCATCTGCTCTGTGTAGGGTGTAAGAGTGAGGTGTTGGAGCGGGACCGCCTGGCTAGAGGAGGTGACTAATCTTTCCAGACTGCCTGTAGGGGTTGGAAGTGAGTTAAGGGAGTTAGTTGTCAGCCGCGGAGTTCAGGGAATTCTTTGGAACGGGTCGGCTGCATGTTGCCGGAAAAATTAAAATTTCTTAACGCTGTAATAACGATGGTCTTACACCTACACACAACAGGAAAACTGAAATGGGAATCCCAGCCAGTCGCTTCCGGCAGCTTTCTGTTGGGATTCAAGTGTGAACAGAAATTTATTACGACAGAAGAAGACGTTAATGTTCACTCATAAAGGATTCAATTAGGGCTTGGACTAGCTCTTCACTGCACATGTAATGGCATCTTTGTAGTGTAGTTTGGGAAGATCTGAATTGGCTCAACAAGTAGTATGAGAATGCACCTGTATGTGGGACTTGCAAGATGTTGGCATTTGACTTAGTGTGTTGAATTTTGGTATTCCAGACCTGCACGGAGAAAGGACAATGACAAGATCTTGATACTTTATCATTGGGGATACTAGAGAAGGAGAGGAAGTGGGCGTCAAGGTGTATCTTTGAATGATATTGGTAAAAGGTGTTTCATTTTAAAAGTTCTGATCTTAGGTCAGTTACTTCTACGGAACCAGAGTCATCTCAATCACCGTTACATGGATATTTTATTCTGAGTACACACTATTATTTAGAACTAATGTGAGGAGCATGAATTTTAATAGTCTGTGTCTAGTGTCTAATATTTTTTCTTTCATAAAGTAGAAATTACGTCAAATATTACAATTAGAGTATTTCCTGTTGGCCCACTATTCTAGGGGAGAGTTCCCTGAAAGCTTCACTGTTAGAGCAAGCTTGAGTCATGGTGGTTGACGGCCTTACTTTTTCTGGACTCCATCATGGTTTTTGTCAAGTCATGATGCTTTGTAAGAGTAGTAGTAACTAGTGATGATCACTACAAACTTGGAGAGGCTATTCCATGTTTGAATGTTAAAATAGTTATTAACTGTTGAAAATAGGACAGATAGCACAAAGTTATTTTAACAGACCTCAATGCATTAAAAAGCAGCAGTCTCCCCTAAGTGTAGCTGTGCAGGATCTGGGGCTTTGATAGAGTTGTTTTTCTTGAATGGCTTTATAGACCTGCTTATCCCTAACACACCCATCAGCTGAGGCTTTGCACAGACCTAAAGTTTATTGAAACGCTTTTGACTTACAGGCATCAGTAACTTGGTCAATTGATTTTAGTTTGTGGCATAAACGCACAGGCATGTTTAATATCTTCCCATAAAATAGTGACTGGAACAGATCTTGGCACCATAAGTATGAAGGATTTGTTTTGTTTTAATTTCACTTTAACCAAGTGACCACAACAGAAACTTAGTGTATGTAGGTAAGCAAAATTCTGCTGGGTAGAATGAAAAGGCACATTTAAAATCAAAGAGAAGAATCCTTTTTTTATGATTTACATGGAGCATATTCTACGTATATATGATCTTTTTTTTTTCCTGGCTTAGAGTTTTTTTTTTTTTTTTAACTCTAGAATTTGTCTTTTGGTAAATATGTTTGAGTTTGTAATGGATCTTATGAGGGTGAAATTTCCCTCAGTCTTCATTTTTTGGTCAGAATTTTAAGAGGGTTTGCATTTTCCTCTCCCAGTGAAGCGTGACATTCAGGAAAACGATGAAGAGGCAGTGCAAGTCAAAGAGCAGAGCATCCTGGAACTGGGATCTCTCCTGGCAAAGACTGGACAAGCTGCAGGTAAGTGCTACACATGGATTGTATCTGAAATGCTCAGTGAAATTCCTGTCTTTTGTTGGAGTGAAGAATCATGGGACTGATCCACAAACTGAATTCAGCTTTATTTTCTTGGCAACTTGTTGAGCTTCAGTTTTTTAGCAGGCAATTAAGTGGCCTTTAAACTCACTTCTTTCCTGGTAGTTTAGTTTTGCAAATGAGAGACAATCTTATTTTTGTTGGGATATAGTGATTTCTGATTTGTTTCTGGTTTTTGAATTCTCACTGTATTCCCTTACATAGAGGCAGCAACAGTCTTCAATAATTTCACTGAGCAACTCTGATGTATTTAAGATAGATAACAACTTTAAGCGCCTGATTTAAAAATGACAAAGGATTTTGTATCCAAGTGACTCACTGTCATTTTTTTTTGATAGATTCAGAATGAGAATGAATAAGACATTAAATGGAGCCTTCCCAAGACTTCTGCATTCATACCTAGGACTTTGTGCACATCATTGCTCAAACATTCTAGTTGTAATTGAACCATTGACTGATTAGATTTGACATAATATTCTGATGATGGGTGTGTCCTTGGAATGAGAAGGGAGTCCTTTTGATCAGGAAGGACCTTTTACCAGTAAAGTGGTAATAGTATTTAGAGAGAAGTCTGTTTAAACTTAAATGGGTGATTTTTGTCAAGTTTAAAGTGAATTTAGAGCTTATTTGATTAGATTGGATTAAGATCTGGTAAGTGACCTCATGAATTATTTTCCCTAAAATTATGTTGTTCAAGAGAATGATGGGGGTTAGTTAGCACAACTTCTTCAACTTGAGAACTAAAGATTTTTTTTTTCTTTTTCTTTTTTTTTTTTTGAGACGGGGTCTTGCTGTGTCACCCGGGTTGGAGTGCAGTGGTGCGATCTTGGCTCACTGCAACCTCCGCCTCCTGGGTTCAAGCGATTCTCCTTCCTCAGCCTCCGGAATAGCTGGAATTACAGGCACGCGCCACCAAGCCTGGCTAATTTTTGTATTTTTAATAGAGACGAGGTTTCACTGTGTTGATCAGGCTGGTCTTGAACTCCTGACCTCATGGTCCACCCACCTCGGCCTCCGAAAGTGCTGGGATTCCAGGTGTGAGCCATTGTGCCCGGCCAGTGATTTTTTTCAATTAAAGATAACTAACTTATTAATTATTAGGCTCAGTCTATAGAGCTGAATAAAGATGTATGAAATTGTGAGGATGTGTTTACATGGGCCTTATATCTTACTTAAAACATCATTAAGTAGCTATAAAAAGAACCATCCATAATGGTTTTTGAGTGCTATGAACTTTTTTTTTTTTAATTATTATTATTTTTGAGACAGAGTTTTGCTCTTGTTGCCCAGGCTGGAGTGCAAATGGTGCGATCTCGGCTCACTGCAACCTCTGCCTCCCAGGTTCAAGCGATTCTACTATCTCAGCCTCCCGAGTAGCTGGGATTGCCAGCATGCGCCACTATGCCCGGCTAATTTTGTATTTTTTTTTTTAGTAGAGGCGAGGTTTCACCATGTTGGTCAGGCTGGTCTTGAACTCCTGACCTCAGGTGATCTACCTGCCTTGGCCTCCCAAAATGATGGGATTACAGGTGTGAGCCACTGCACCTGGCCAAGTGGTTACTCTTCTAAACACATACATGGTTTAACTTAATTGAATCCTCGAAACAACTTGAAGTAGGTTTTGTTACCATTTTACACATGAGGATACTGAGCACAGAAAAGTTAAATAACTTAACAAAGCTCATTCAACTAATAACTGGTAGACCTAGGATTTGAGCTCATGTAGTCTTACTTCAGAGCCCATATAGCCACATGACATCATGGTTATTGCTTTCCTATAACTGTCTACTTAAATGAATTATCATTGGTGGGTGGTGTCTTTTCATCTTAGGCTGACTTCCTTCCTATTTAACATACATAAGGATTCCACTTGTCTGTCAGTTAATTTGAGCTTGGGGGGTTCCAAAACAGTTTTGATAATTACTCCATGCAAAATATAATAAGGTAATTTTTCTGAATTATAAAGCCAACTGAAGTGATGTGAAAATTTTTTTTGTTGTTAGCCAGGCGTGATGGCTCATGCCTGTAATCCCAGCACTTTGGTAGGCTGAGGTAGGAGGATCCCTTGAGCCCAGGAATTTGAGACCAGCTCTGGCAACATAATGAGACCCTGTCTCTACAAAAAATAGAAAAATTAGCTGGGTGTGGTGTTATGTGCCTGTAGTCCCAGCTACTCTGGAGGCTGAGGTGGGAGGATTGCTTGAGCCGAGGAGGTTGAGGCTGTAGTGAGCTATGGTCACACTGCCGTGCTCTAGCCTGGGTGACAGAGCAAGACCCTGTCTCAAAAAAAGATTTTTTTGTTGTTGAAATATCCAAATTTCTACTTTCCTCCAGTGGCATGAATTAAGAACAGTGTGTGGTATATAGTCAATACTTAAGTAATTTTCATCCAAAAATGTTACTGTTTTGCTTGAAATTCCTATTTTATATGTATTCTCCCCTTATTTCTTGCCCTTCCTGCCTTGTGACCTGAGAAGTTTAGAAGTGTACTGCTAAAGCTATTGGAATTTAATAGATGAATTATAAGAACTTTCAAAAACATTTCCATGTTACTTATTGTTTTCTAAGAAAGTTTGATGA
The DNA here is from genome assembly GCF_000001405.40 of Homo sapiens. Lineage (NCBI taxonomy): Eukaryota > Metazoa > Chordata > Mammalia > Primates > Hominidae > Homo > Homo sapiens. The sequence goes on from NC_000017.11 coordinate 32,449,702, forward strand.
GTATAGGTATACACAATGGGAACTCTAAGGAAGTGTTGAGGCCTACATATATTTAGCTGTCTTTGCTATTAATGATATGTTTGTATTGTTTGCTCCTGAGAACAGAAAATATGTCTGTTCCATTAATGTTCAGTTTTTTTATGCATTTAATAAATGCATAGCATTGTGCTAAGTATTCTACTCAAAAATTTAAGATAGGATCCCTGGCCAACAAAAATCACTTGGGGATTACCAAATAAAACAATGTCTGATGTGTAATTGTGATTGCAAGTAGTGTTAGTAGTGTTGAGCATCATCAGACATGATGCCTTGGCTCAGGATTTCATAGCCTAAAACTTCTAAAAGGAATCTGTTGAGTTCTGTGAGGTCCTGCCTCAGGCTCCCAAGTGGCTGGAACTACAGGCGCCCACCACCACCCCCGGTTAATTTCTGTATTTTTAGTAGAGGCGGAGTTTCATCATGTTGTCCAGGCTGATCTTGGGCTCCTGACCTCAAATGATCCACCCACCTCAGCCTTTCAAAGTGTTGTGATTATAGGCATGAGCCACTGTGCCTGGCCTTTTTTTTTTTTGAGACCGAGTTTCATTCTGTTGCCCAGGCTGGAGTGCAGTGGTGTGATCTCGGCTCACTGCAACTTCTGCCTCCTGGGTTCAAGCAATTCTCGGGCCTCAGCCTCCCCAAGTAGCTGGGACTACAGGCGTGAGCCACCATGCTCGGCTAATTTTTTTTTTTTTTTTTTTCTTTTAGTAGAGACGAGGTTTCACCATGTTGGCCAGGCTGGTCTTGGACTCCTGACCTCAGGTGATCCACCCGCCTTGGCCTCCCAAAGTGCTGGGATTCCAGGTGTGAGCCACCGCGCCCAGCCAAGTTCTGTGAGGTTCTGACAAGGAAAATCTGGTCATATAATTACAGATAATCCCAGTAAGAATAGGAGGAAGTCAGTATGATTTTATGGGACTTAAAAAAAAATTAACTCAGTATGTATGAAAGTGGAAGGAAACAGGAAATACAAACAAGAATGAATATAAAACAGTAGTAGACTAAAACAGATGATGAACTGAGTCTGAAAAATGCAGGTGGGCACAGTGGCTCACACCTGTAATCCCAGGACTTTGGGAAGCTGAGGTGGGAGGATTGCTTGAAGCCAGGAGTTATGTGGACCAGTTTGGACCACACAGCAAAGACCCTATCTCTGTTAAAAAAAATTTTTTTTTTTTAAAGCAGCATGGGTAACATAAGGAGACCACATATCTACAAAAAAGATAAAAAAATTGACTGGGTGTGGTGGTGCGTGCCTGTGTCCCAGGTACTTGGGAAACAGAGGCAGGAGGATCACTTGAGCCTGGGAAGTCAAGGCTGCAGTGAGCCACAATTGTGCCATTGTACTACAGCCTGGGTGACTGAGTGAGGCTCTTTCTCAAAAAAAAAAAAAAAGAAAAAAGAAAAAGACATGTAGGGGGACAACTAAGAGATCATTTGCTTCTTTCGGCGTAAGAAGGATAACACTCAGTGCTTAGAGAAAATATTGTAAGGCTAGCAGGTGTTAGAAAGGCACACTGCTTAGCTCATATTTCACTTCTGCCTTTTCTAGGAAGGAAAATGATTTTCAAACTGCAAAAGATAGAAATAACAGCAGAAAGAGATAATTAATGGTAGGTGAGAGAAGACAGAGCAGATAGTCTCTGTAAATAAGTTCAGGTCTCTAGGCTCTAACAGTTTCTTTTATTATCAAAAAAATAGTTTTAGCAGATATAACTATAGAGCCATATATTATTCTGAGAAAAATCATGGAGAGGTATAAGGAAGATGAGGCAAATGTTATCCTGCCTTTCAAGAGGGTAATGCAAAGAATAGATGTATTCACTGTGTGCTGCACATTGAAATAAAGAAATTAAAAATAAAGAGTAGACACTATACATGGTCATCAGTGGTAGAGTTCTGGGACAGATTATTTGATAAGGAGATAGTAATCTCTTAAAAAAAAGTGGATTTATTGTGAACAGATTATTCCAAATTCACCTTAGTTCTCTCTGTTTTGTTTTGTTTTGTTTTTTTGAGACAGAGTCTCACTTTGTCACCCAAGCTGGAGTGCAGTGGCACAACCTTGGCTCACTGCAGCCTCGACCTCCTGGGCTCAAGCAGTGCTCTTGCCTCAGCCCGCCAAGTAACTGGGACTACAGGCCTTCACCACCATGCCTGGCTAATTTTTGTAGAGAGGGGGTTTCGCCATATTGCCCAGGCTGGTCTTAAACTCCTGGGCTCAAGCAGTCTGCCTGTCTTGGCCTTCCAAAGTGCTAGGATTATAGGTGTGAGCCACTGCACCCAGCCTAGTTCTCTTTTTGGTTAGCTTTATCAGACCCATAGATTTTCAGGGGTCTGCATGCCACCTGTTTTTGTAAATAAAGTTTTATTGGAACAAAGCCACGCCCATTTGTTTCCACATTGTGTGTGACTGGCTGAGTTCAGGACCTGCTACTAAGACCATATAACCTGTGAAGCCAAAAAAATTTACTATCTGGCTCTTCACAGAAAAAGTTTGCCAGCCTCTGGATTAGAGGAATGATATAGACTGTATATCTGATGTAAGCAGGGTAGTTGAACATTTGCCATAATATTAATATCACAGGTACAGGTTATGAATTTACAATGGGCTGAATAACTGTATCCAAAACATGTTAATAAATGGATCATTTGTCAACCTGAAGGGAAGTCTTCAGGCATTGTGTCATGAGGATCTGTCCTTGTTTTTCTGGTCAGCATCTGGAATCATGGTTAAAGCCATTTCAGAAGGGATGCTTATTTTTGTAGATGACTCAGTACAGTTAGAAGACAGAATTAAAATTCACAGTTATTGCCAAAGCCAGGAAGATTAAATTCAGTTGCGATAAGGATTAAATTATATACTTAAAGTATTTTTCAAAACAGAGGAAGTTGGGGGAATTACCTGTTTTGACAGTAGTCTATTAAAAAGAACTTTAATGGGCTCAGTCTGAACAAAGAGAGGTGTTAGAAAAAGCAAAACATGCTATCTTGTGTTACATATCATGGCCAGATCAAGAGAATTAAATTGCCTCCTGGTCTACTGTCAGACCCTACCTGGAGCAATCGTTTTCATTTCTGGGTACCACAAAATACCACAAGTAGTACCTTTACAAAGTAGAGTTTGTTCAGAGGAGAGCAACTAAGTTACCTAGAAACAAGGACTTCGGAGGAACAGTTGAAATAGCCAAAGATGTTAAGCTTGGATAAAGGGAAAATTAGGGAAATGTAAATGATAATTATCTTTAAGTATTTAAAGCCATGTGAAAGAAGGTATAGATTTGTGTTTTGTGTTTCAAAAAGGAATAATTTGTTTTGGCCAACATTGGAATAGGCTGCTTTGTGAACATTTCTGTGACTAGAAATCATTCAGAATTGTTCAGGCACAGGAGGAAATTCTGTGGGAGAAGGGACATTGCTTCAGACTACTTTTAAAAAGCTATCATTACATAATATAATTGAAATAAATGCAAAAGGAATTTGAGGGGGAGAATCACTGTAGACTGGAGTTACATGGGAAACTCAATAGGACTTCAGATGGACCTAAAAGGATATATAAGGTTTATATAGACTGAGAAGATGGCAAGACATTTCAGATGGGATTATGGCATTAGTGCCTCTTGAAAGCAGGAGTATATACTGTAGTCTTGTGCAGAGGTGAATGAGGTGGCAGAATGGCGAAAAGTTTTAAACATTGGGAATCAAAGGTCATTACTGGGGAGTGAAGGGAAAAGATGAACTTTTCTACTCTATATCAAGTTCTTAAGTACCGGACACAGTCCCATGCATTCTCTGACTATTCAGGCAGATGAGGATTTCAGGGCCTTGAATTAGCATTCTCTGGAGGGTGAGGTTTGCTTGCCCTGAATTAGAGTTCTCAGGAGGGTGAGTCTGCAATTGGAGAATATTAAAGAGGCAGTGGCACTAAAGTAATTTTAACCTACATTCCAAAATACCTCCTTAGTTGTTGAGTTGAACCATTCTCTAATTTTTACTATTTGACAAGCATATCTCTAGTTTATTGTTTCAAAAGATGTTTCTTTAGAGTTCATATACTGCCCTCTTCTATATAGTGGGGGAAAAGCTCTGTGATGGATCCCTTTTTTGGTCATAGTTTAAGACTTAGGTTTTGAAGATTAATGAGGAATTTAAAAGAGATATAGCAGCACTTTAAGGGCAAAACACTCTTCTATGTGAAAAGTTTATTCAGAAGAGTGCCAGGGAAGTGACAATGCAGAAAGGCTAAACTGGGGAGCACTGCAGAAAGACAGGAAAAAGGAATCTGGAGTAGAAAATCTCTGTCTAAGGGGAACAGCTGAAGCAGACTTGGAAGTTAGAAAAAAATTACCCCTATGACCTGATCATATTTATTGGTTGTGAGGAAGTAATTTTGTGAAGGTGGCAGGGACACAGCATATTTCATGTTCTAGAAAACTGGTTTTTGAGATTATGAATACTTTGCTGTTTATCTTTCATTAAGATGGATAAATGAAGCAGAGACATGAGCTTTTCCTGCAACTTCATAGTAATCCAGTGGCTGAGTAGGGAACAGAATGCAAATTTGGTATATGATGTTAACTTATTTTTGCTATTCTGCTATTTGCTAGGAATGCTTTAAACTCCTAGTAAGTTTCACTTAGACTGATTCCAGTGATGTAAGTACCGATTTTTATGACGTTGGGTCAGTTTCTTAAGTGGGTATTTTGTCTCAAATGTTGATGTTTACTCCTCTTTTTGAATTGCCTTTCCTACAGAGCTTGGAGGACTCCTGAAGTATGTACGACCCTTCTTGAATTCCATCAGCAAGGCTAAAGCAGCTCGCCTGGTCCGATCTCTTCTTGATCTGTTTCTTGATATGGAAGCAGCTACAGGGCAGGAGGTAAGTGATATTAATGACAGAAAGTAGACAATATGGAGAAAAGTTTGTTTCCAAGAAAGAAATGCCTACCTGCACTTTAGTACTAATGTGGAAGGGAAAACTGGGAGGACAGCGCAGGACTTATCATGTCAGTTTCTCTTTGTTACAGGGCATTTGATACTTTGGGTCTGTTCCATGCTTTGCTTTGTAAGTGGAGATTGTCAGTGGTCCCTGGAATCCTCATTACATCAGGGTCACAAACTGATTCTTGTCTTTGAGGTATTGTATTGCCACACCTTTGTAATGTTTTCTGTGTCTGTGGTACCTTTCATCTTGTGTCACAAAGCTCCTTCTGAGCACTAATTAAGTCTTGTGGTATTCCTTCTTAGCATGTTTTGTACTGCATATATGCCTTTATTGAGGGGTGAGCATCCATCCATTTGTGTCTCATTGTGCAGAAGTGACTCTGGTGTTCCTGTATGTGTCCCACAAGTTCAGACTAGACCCTGAGCTGTATTAAAGAGTGCTTCTCAGTAATCACTGAATCTTCCAACCTTCTCAAAGATAACTGTATTTTCTGCAATTCAGGAAGAGACGCATACCAAAATTAAACATCATTCTGTAAAAAGTGGCAGATTGAAGCAGGGTATATTGTCATTGCTTGAATCTGTTTGTAGGAAGAATATAGTTGTTGTTTTTCTTATGGATATATTGATCAGTACTCATTGAGTGCCTGCTACGTGTTAGGCACTGTTTTAGGTATTGGGGATACAGTTGTAAAAACACAGTCACTGTTGTCATGAGGATTATTTTTTAACGGGGAACGCAGGCAATAAACAAATGTAAAATGGCAGATAATATAAGGGCAGAATTGCTAGTTGGTTATATGTCTGATTGTTTGCTGTAGCCTCTGTGGGCGTGAAAGGTATGAAAGGCCATAGTAGCATATTGAATAAATGGGAATTTCAGAAACCTAGGACACATGGATCCTACTTTGGAATCATACCTTTTGTAAAATCTGGCTTTAATGATTCTTTGAATCCTGATTTAAACACTATATACTAACTTTATTTGTAGAAAATTCATTTGTAGAGTAGTCTTCAGATTTATGTCTCTGGCAAAACTGTTTGATGATAGTATATAAAAAGTTAGATGGCTATTTTGAATTAAAGTGTCAGTTATTTTAATGAAAAAATTAAAAGTTATTTAGGGTATTAGTCTTATCTAACTTTTTTTAAAAATTGTACTTTAAAAAACTCATGAGTCCGGGTGCGGTGGCTCACGCCTGTAATCCCAGCACTTTGGGAGGCCAAGGCAGGTGGATCACGAGGTCAGGAGATTGAGACCATCCTGGCTAACATGGTGAAACCCCGTTTCTACTAAAAATAAAAAAAAATTAGCCAGGTGTGGTGGTGGGCGCCTGTAGTCCCAGCTACTTGGGAGGCTGAGGCAGGAGAATGGCGTGAACCCGGGAGGCGGAGCTTGCAGTGAGCCGAGATCACGCCATTGCACTCCAGCCTGGGTGACAGAGCGAGACTCTGTCTCAAAAAAAAAAAAAAAAAAAAAATCATGAAAGTGATACCATTCTTTGTTTGAAATAGAGTACCTTAAAATAGACTGATCAGTAAATGTTAATTTGAAACTGACTGATAAATGTTACTTGGAAGTTTTTGGGCAGAAAAGTTAATTATGGAAGCTGCTCCTTTTTGCACACTGAAGTTTCTGAAATTATCCATCCCCATAACCTAGAGCTCACTCAGCGGATAGAACAGCATTTATTTTTTTTTATTGGTGACAGAGTTTCACTCTTGTTGCCCAGGCTGGAGTGCAATGGCGTGATCGTGGCTCACTGCAACCCCCGCCTCCCGGGTTCAAGGGATTCTCCTGCCTCAGCCTTCTGAGTAGCTGGGACTACAAACATGCATCACCATGCCTGGCTATTTTTTTTTGAGACGGAGTCTCGCTCTGTCGCCCAGGCTGGAGTGCAGTGGCACGATCTCGGCTCACTGCAAGCTCCGCCTCCTGGATTCATGCCATTCTCCTGCCTCAGCCTCCCCAGTAGCTGGGACTACAGGCGCCCGCCACCACGCCTGGCTAAGTTTTTGTAATTTTTTAGGAGAGATGGGGTTTCACAGTGTTAGTCAGGATGGTCTTGATCTCCTGACCTCGTGATCTGCCTGCCTCGGCCTCCCAAAATGCTGGGATTACCGGCGTGAGCCACCGTGCCTGGCCCTAATTTTGTATTTTTAGTAGAGACGGGGTTTCACCATGTTGGTCAGGCTGGTTTTGAACTCCTGACCTCAGATGATCCACCCGCCTTGGCCTCCCAAAGTGCTGGGATTACAGGCGTGAGCCACTGTGCCTGACTTGCATTTATTTAATGATCATTTCTCCTGTTCCTTTGTGGAAATCCATTCAAGTGCTCTGCTATAGTTCGCTAGTAGGATTTCCTGGCCTTTGTCATATGGCTCCCTGACTGGTTAGGCGCTCCCTTAACTGTGGTTATATGTTGTCATTGTTCATTGCACATTACATTTATATAAAGTAAAGACCTTTCTTCCTTTCCTTAGGGTGAAAGGAAACACTTTTAGGCATTGTATCATTTTATCATCAGTGTCATTTTACTTTTTAGTAAAGGCTGTTTTTGTTTTCGTTTTTTGAGACAGCCTTGCTCTGTTGCCCAGGCTGGAGTGCAGTGACACAATCTTGGCTCACTGCAGCCTCAACCTCCTGGAGTCAAGTGATCCTCTTGCTTCAGCCTCCTGAGTAGCTGGAACTACAGGCATGCACCACCACACTCGGCTAATTTTTGTATTTTTGTAGAGATGAGGTTTTGCCATGTTGCCCAGGCTGGTCTTAAACTCCTAGTCTCAAATGATCTGCCTGCCTTGCCCTTCCAAGTCCTGGGATTACAGGCGTGCAGCACTACGCCCGGCTAAGGCTGATTTTTTTGATGGTTAGCAGCTTTGCTTTTATCATGAACCAGAGTCTTATTCCACTAAGTAGGACCTCTTTTGGTAATTTTTGTGGATTATAGGTTATTTGCTTGTTTTGGAGCAAATTGTGAATCATCCAGACTGTCTCACCTGCACCTCAGACTCAATATGGGCAACCTCAACATCCAGCCATTTGTTAAATTTTGTCAATTCAGCTTTCTTCATTGTCTGCTTCTCCACCTCTTTTGTATTTGTTCTCTCTCTCTCTTTTTTTTTTTTTCCCCGAGATGGAGTCTTGCTCTGTCACCCAGGCTGGAGTGCAGTGTTGCGATCTTGGCTCACTGCAACCTCTGCCTCCTGGGTTCAAGCAATTCTCCTGCCTCAGCCTCCCAAGTAGCTGGGATTACAGGTGCCCGCCACTGCACCTGGCTAATTTTTGTATTTTTAGTAGAGACGGAGTTTCACCATGTTGGCCAGGCTGGTCTCGAACTCCTGACCTTGTGATCTGCCGGCCTCAGCCTCCCAGAGTACTGGGATTATAGGCGTGAGCTACTGCGCCCAGCTGTGGTCTCTCTTTACAACTACCATCTAGTTTGGTTCTTAATTTTTTTTTACTTGGACTACTGTAAAAGCCTCATTCCATCATTGTCAGAGATACCTTACCAAATAGCCCTCTGATAATTTTATTCCTCTCCCTCTTCTCCCACAACTCAAACCTTCAGTGGCTTTCCATTGCCTGCAGAATTAGATAATTAATGGTTTTCTATAATACAACCTACTGCAACCTACTGCAGTAGTCTAATCTCCCAGGACTCTACTAAGCATATCAAATATGTCAGCCATGTTGGATCCCTGGCTGTTTGCTGAACAAGCCTGTATAACCCTCATGCTGTACCTTTCTCTTCCATAGTCTTATCTCAAGTTCTACCTCCTCTGAACTCTTTCCTTCCTGACTTTAATGTGGTTTTAACTCTTTCAGTGACTCACATTGTATTTTGTACATGCTCTGAGTATTCTGCCTTGTATGACAGTGGCTTTACACTTGCCTTGTCTCCTTTACTGTAATACAATCTCACTCAGGTGAAGCACTATGTGCCTTGCAGTACCACAGAGCCTTCCTCATTCCCAGTACAGTTCAAATTCCTTAACCATGGCTACCTCTGACCACATCCACTATACTAGTCTCCTTTTACTTTCTTTACAGCTGTAATTACTGGCCTTATTGCCTTATGCTTCAAACTGTCTGGGGTTGGGACATTCATATACATATGGATTGCTGTCAGCTTGATCTTAACAGGATTTTTTTTCTTTACACTGTTTCAAGTCTTTGCTCACATCTTACCTCCTCAGAGACTTTCCTTGATCACCCTATCTTTGTTTCCTTTTTAACAATATTTATTTTTTACAAAAATTAGCCAGGTGTGGTGGTGCATGCCTGTAATCCCAGGTACTCAGGTGGCTGAGGCACAAGAATCACTTGAATCCAGGAGGTAGAGGTTCCAGTGAGCCAAGATCGTGCCACTGCACTCCAGCCCGGGCAAGAGTAAGAAGAGTGAGAGTGTCTCAAAAAAAAAAAAATACATATATATATATATATATATATATGTATTTTTTTTTTTGCTTATATACTCTTAAGTTGTATCCCTAGCCCTTAGAGTACTTTGGCTTGAAGAAGCTGCATACCTATTTGTCAAAGGAATGTATGGACTGTGCCTGTGCCTTCCCTATGGTAGATGTGCAGTGGTATGCTCACAGCTCACTGCAGCCTCAACTTCCTGGGCTCAGGTGATTCTCCCACCTCAGCCTCCCAAATAACTGGGAGTACAGGTACACACCACGACGCCTGGCTAATTTTGTTTGTTTGTTTGTTTGTTTGTATTTTTAGTAGAGATGGGATTTTGCTATGTTGCTCAGGCTGGTCTCAAACTTCTGGGCTCAAGTGATCCTCTGGACTCGGCCTCCCAAAGTGCTGGGATTACAGATGTGAGACACCATGCCCAGCCAGGAAATACTTTGTTGAATTAAGATCTGAGTTTATTGAATTGAAATGTAAGCATGGGGTGTTGTTACTACATTCGTTTAGGTAACTCAAGGTCTCTGACTTGGGGAAATAGGATATAATTTTTATTCTTAGTTCTTTTTTCTTTTTGAGATGGAGTCTTACTCTGTCTCCCAGGCTGGAGTGCAGTGGTGTGATCTTGGCTCACTACAACTTCTGCCTCCCGGGTTCAAGTGATTCTCCTGCCTTAGCCTCCTGAGTAGCTGGGATTATAGTAGAGATGGGCTTTTGCCATGTTGGCCAGGGTGGTCTTGAACTTCTGACCTCAGGTGATCCGCCTGTCTTGGCCTCCCAAAGTGCCTGGTTTATAGGTGTGAGCCACCACACCCGGCCTTGTTCTTAGTTCTTTTAAAATTTTTTGACTGGGTGTTGGGAAAGAATAGACAAGCAAGTCATAGGTGGGAAAGAATAGACAAGCAAGACATACCATGGCTATCATGGTAGTATTGAGGCCTGAGGCAAAATGGGAAGTTTTATTTATTTGAAATGGGGGTCTTGGTCTGTGGCCCACGTTGGGGTGCAGGGTGCAATCGTAGTTCACTGTAACCTTGAACATCTGGGCTCAAGCATTTCTCCTGCCTCAGCCTCCCAAGTTGCTGGGACTGCAGATGTGCACCACTACACCTGGCTAATTAAAACAATTTTTTTGTAGAGATAGGGTCTTGCTATGTTGCCCAGGCTGGTCTCAAACTCCTGGCCTCAAGTGATCTGCTTGCCTCAGCCTCCCAAAGTGCCTGGATTACGGATGTGAGTCACTGTGCCTGGTTTAAATAAGACGTTTTAGAATACTGTTAAGACAGCTAGAATTTTGTGTTAAGGAGTTTGGTACTGAGAATATGAGGGAGGGGATTTCCCTTGCTTTTTTCTATTTGAGGACTAACTATAAGACAGATATATCTGGTCAGGCATGGTGGCTCACGCCTGTGGTCCCAGCACTTTGGGAGGCCGAGTGGGCGGATTGTGAGGTTAGGAGATCGAGACTATCCTGGCTAACACGGTGAAACCTTGTCTCTACTAAAAATACAAAAAATTAGCCAGGTGTGGTGGCGGGCGCCTGAAGTCCCAGCTACTGGGGAGGCTGAGGCAGGAGAATGGCGTGAACCCGGGAGGCGGAGCTTGCAGTGAGCGCCACTGCACTCCAGCCTGGGTGAGACACTGTCTCAAAAAAAAAAAAAAAGACAGATATATCTAGAGAACCATCTTCAGCTTGCTATTCCCAAAGTTGGTATGATTCAGGTTATGATCTGTTCATTTAAATGCAAGGTTTGGAGCCTAGAAAGTGAGGGCATGTGAGTCGGGGAGTGAGAGAGTGAGGATGGGTTGGTTGGCAAGGGCTGGGGAGTGGAAAAGTAAGGTGAAGAGGAGGGAAGGAAGACTGAACCAGACTCTTGCCAAATAGTGAACTCAACTTTCCTTCCAGGGATCTCTGGGGAGTAGCCTATGGGCAACTTTTCTGGTATAGTCTACCCAATTGAAACACAATAGCACTTTTTCTTTTTTTTGAGACGGAGTCTCGCACCGTCGCCCGGGCTGGAGTGCAATGGCATGATCTCGGCTCACTGCAACTTCTGCCTCCCAGGTTCATGTGATTCTCCTGCCTCAGCCTCCCGAGTAGCTGGGATTACAGGTGCACACCACCACACCCTGCTAATTTTTTGTATTTTTCGTAGAGATGGGGTTTCACTGTGTTGGCCAGACTGGTCTCGAACCCCTGACCTCGTGATCCGCCCGCTTTGGCCTCCCAAAGTGCTGGGATTACAGGCATGAGCCACTGTGCCCGACCCACAATAGCACGTTTTAAGAAACCTCTCTACTAAAAATACGAAAGTTAGCTGAGCATGGTGGCAGGCGCCTGCAATCCCAGCTACTCAGGAGGCTGAGGCAGGAGAAGTGCTTGAACCCAGGAGGTGGAGGTTGCAGTGACCTGAGATTGCGCCATTGCACTCCAGCCTGGGCATCAAGAGTGAGACTCTGTCTCAAAAGAAAAGAAAAAAAAAAAGGAAAAGGAAAAGAAAAAAAGAAAAAAGATATCCAGTTCGTGTAAAAAAAAAAAAATCCTTGCTGTAGGAGAAACATCTATGATGACCTTAACTTAAGGCTGGGTTAAGATAGGTAGAGTGCTGGAGTTAGGCACAAGTTCTGGTGCCAGCAGCAGATATATGTGATAGTCCAGATATTAACCGATTAGTAGTCCTTAGGTGAATTCATCTTATACAATTGTGATATAGCTTGCTTTTATTTTAGTTTTTCGTTCTGTCTTATTTTTAGAAAATTTTTATGAGGTCAGTTGAGTTTAGAGTTGGAGATTAGGTAGCCACCAGGGGGCTCCAATGAGGAGTTACAAAGGTTTTGCTGGTTCTCTTACTGGCAAATCCTCTGATGTTACCCGTCAGTTCACCTTAGGTGAATCACTTAGTGTCTGGACTATCAGGGAAATGGAGGCAGGTGAATTGCAGGAGTATAATTCATTGTTTCTTAATTAGAGATATACTTTCAATGACCAAGCTCTATTCTAGACTAATGAATCAACAGCCCAGGCATTCTTTTTTTTTGGTAGATGAGTGTGGTAAATGGTTTATTGAAATAAAACTTACAGAGGAATATTTCTAAGTCCTAGGTATTCATTTTTGTGTCCTTTGAAAAAACTCCCTGGGTAAAACTGTGGGGGGCACTTCTTACCCTTTGAAGTCATGTAGAACTAAACACTTATATTTCCTTTGCTAAGACTATTCAGAGAAATATTTTCAGTTCCATTTATATTAGAAATCTTACTTTGAATTTAGCTTTTCAGAATATAACTCAAAACTCTGCAATTGTGATAAAGCTTGCTTTTATTTTAGTTTTTGGTTCTGTCTTATTTTTAGGTAATTTTTATGAGGTCAGTTGAGTTTAGAGTTGGAGATTAGGTAGCCACCAGGGGGCTCCAGTGAGGAGTTGTAAAGGTTTTGTTGGTTCTCTTCCTGGTGAATCCTCTGAATACTGTGTAATGTTATCTATTAATTTATTTACAGAGCTAGAATTTAGGATCTAAAAGTAGAAGATCCTGTCAATTTGGATTATGTCCCTATAGTTTTTCCTTCTTACAGCATTTCTTTTCTTTTCTTTTTTTTGAGACGGAGTTTCACTCTTGTTGCCCAGGCTGGAGTGCAATGGTGCGATCTCGGCTCACCGCAACCTCCACCTCCCAGGTTCAAGGGATTATTCTACCTCAGCCTCCCGAGTAGCTGGGATTACGATCATGAGCCACCATACCTGGCTAATTTCTTCTATTTTTAGTAAAGACAGGATTTCTCCATGTTGGTCAGGCTGGTCTTGAACTCCCGACCTCAGGTGATCCACCTGCCTTGGCCTCCCAGATTGCTGGGATTACAGGCATGAGCCACTGCGCCTGGCCAGCATTTCTTAAGAGAACTTTGGATTTATATAAAAACCTGTTGTATTAGCAATTAGTTCTCTGGAGAGCTCAGTTTCTCATTTCATTTCTTTTGCTCTTATGCTCTAGTTAGCAACCTTAATATAAAACTTGCAGTAACCAAAGTGATAGAAGATCTTCAGTACTTAATATTTACTTTGTCAAAGCTAGCATGTCAGGGATACCTGATGGCGTGCTAGACTGTCTAGCATTGAGTGCTGCTTTAAGTCAGTTACTTTGCACCTTACCTCACTACTTAGGTGGCAGATAGTAGTAGGGGTTCAGAGTGCCTTTAAATAAAGCTTAAAAGCGCTTTTACGTGTTAGGCTAATTCTAATTTCTTTTTTTTTTAATTAAAAAAATTTTTTTTAAGACTAGTCAAAGTGCAGTAGTGAGAAGCAGGGAAAGAGTAGATCAGGAGCTCAATCTGTAACTGACTGTGAACAATCGAGATTACTCATTACCTTCAGACCAGCTTTTATCCCCTTTAATGCAAGCTAGGTTACTGTACCTGTTTGCTTTAAGAGTGATGATGAATTGATTAGTTGCACTGCTTAGAATCTGAAAGGGAAAAAGCCAGCTGGACCTTTTGAGTCTTAAAAGCAACTGCTAGGAATGAGGCATTAGTGCTTAGGATGAGAATTTCTCCCCTTTATTACCTGTGTATTATACATTACCATTACTATTTCTAACCAGGGAGAAATCTGTGCTTTAAAAATTCCTAATCTGTCATAGAAATCTACATTCCAGGTCTATACATGTTGTTTGGAAGTTCTTGGTCTCTCCTCAGTAGGTAGGAGTCTTGAAGATAGAGCTCTTTTCCTAAAAAACATAATCTAAGCACAAAAATATTTTATGTGTAAAAAGCCAAGTTGATGCTCCATTATGATATAACTATTACACATTGAGATACTGTGGATCAGACACTAAATAGAGCAACATGGATAATATGTAAGGAGGGAATTTAAGCTGTTCTCCAAAGCATGGTTTGTGGGAAGAATTTGAGGACATAATGTTGCATGTACTGTCTCTCCTTATTGCAGGTCGAGCTGTGTTTAGAGTGCATCGAATGGGCCAAGTCAGAGAAAAGAACTTTCTTACGCCAAGCTTTGGAGGTAGGTTTTACATTAGTACTCATTTCAGGTCTCTAAGCATGAGACAGAGGGTGAATGTAAGCAGTACCATCCTTATCAAAAGTATCTTCAGCAACTTTGTAATTACCTAGATACCGAAAGATTATTGATGGTAGCCCCACTTATGATAATTGCTCTGATTGAAGTTTTGAGACAGATTTGCTACTTGGCTCAGAGTAGTAAGCAACAACATGGTAAAGTTAACAGTCATTTGCTGGCTATAATAGGAGACAATACATTGGCTAGATCGTCTCTTATGCTGAATTTGATGCTATCATCAGAAATTGCATATTTAACAGTAACAGTTCTGTGACTGTCAATCTTTGATTTCTTTCTGTGGCTTTTTCCCCCCCCTTCAATCAATGCCTTTTCTCTTTCCTAGGCAAGACTGGTGTCTTTGTACTTTGATACCAAGAGGTACCAGGAAGCATTGCATTTGGGTAAGTAAGCTGGTAATAAGTCATCTCAGCTAGCTAAATGAATGTATTCTAAACCACCTGGCTACTCTTACTAATTACCTGTTAATAATTTATATTCTACTGACTTCTAAGAAGGATTTAAAGTAGCTTACAGTTCTGCATTTGTCATGGGAAAATGTCATTTGAAAGTTTAAAAAACTAGCTAGAGTTAATCTGTCAAATTTAGAGGACAAATGGGTAGTTTTAAGTTTACTTGAATTTGGAGCAGTAAAATCAATTCCATTTTAATAACTGAAATTTAAAAAAAGTGTATCTATATTTTGCATATAGTACTCTGTTAAATTTCAGATTTAGGTTTTTAAAGGCAAATGTTTGGCTTACTGTCCTATTTACTATATCTGCTTATATACTTAAAATCTATTTTAAAAATCAAGAAATTAATTGGGTACAAATATATTTGGAAGCTGGAGTGGCTAACTGAAGCCTTTTTCCTGTGTGGCCTTTAAACACCTTGAAATCTTCTCTGCTTTTTTTTTTTAATCTATCTATCTATCTATTTATTATTATTATTATTATTTTTTGAGACAGAGTCTTACTCTGTTGCCCAGGCTGGAGTGCAGCAGTGTGATCTCAGCTCGCTGCAACCTCTGCCTTTCAGGTTCAAGCGATTCTCCTGCTTTAGCCTCCTGAGTAGCTGGGACTGCAGGCATGTGCCTGGCTAATTTTTGTATTTTTAGTAGAGATGGGGTTTTGCTGTGTTGGCCATGCTGGTCTCAAACTACTGACCTCAAGTGATCTGCCTGCCTTAGCCTCCCAAAGTGCTAGGATTACAGGCATGAGCCACCGTGTCCGGCCACTGCTTGCTTTTTATGAGTGGGTAGATCTGGACTATTTTTTCCGAACAAAAGAACATGGCTCTTATGATCTATTAGGTTGAAGAGTTTCCAATATTCAATTTTTGGACTGCAAAAGTGGCAATTTCATATGGTTCAAATAGGAGCATTTAAAAAATAACTTTAATAAGATATGGTTCACTTACCATAAAATTCACTTTTAAAGTGTATAATCCAGTGGTTTTCAGTGTATTCACTAAGTTGTACAACCATCACCACTACTTAATTTCAGAAAGTTTTCAGCTGGGCGTGGTGGCTCATGCCTGTAATCCCAGCACTTTGGAAGGCCAAGGCAGGCAGATTGCCTGAGCTCAGGAGTTGGAGACCAGCCTAGGCAACATGGTGAAACCCCGTCTCTACTAAAAATACAAAAAATTTGCAGGACATGGTGGTGCACACCTGTAATCCCAGCTACTTGTTAGGCTGAGGCAGAAGAATCATTTGAACCCGGGAGGTGGAGGTTGCAGTGAGCCAAGATTATGCCACTGTACTCCAGCCTGGGCAACAGAGCGAGACTCTGTCTCCAAAAAAAGAAAAAAATTTCAGAACTTTTTTTTTTCTTTGAGATGGAGTCTCACTCTGTCGTCCAGGCTGGAGTGCAGGGGTGTGATGTTGGCTCACTGCAACCTCCGTCTCCTGTGTTCAAGCGATTCTCCTGTCTCGGCCTCCCGAATAGCAGAGATTACAGGCACCTGTCACCATGCCTGGCTAATTTTTGTATCTTTTAGTAGAGATGGGGTTTCACCATTTTGGTCAGGCTGGTCTCAAACTCCTGACCTCAAATGATCTGCCTGCCTTGGCCTCCCAAAGTACTGGGATTACAGGTGTGAGCTACCGTGCCTGGCCTCAGAACATTTTTATCACCCCAGAAAGAAACTTCCTATTCATTAGCAGCCCTGGGCGATTACTAAGCTATTTGTATCTTTGTAGATTTGTCTGTTCTGGGTATTTCTTAAAAATGAAATGATACAATATTTGTTTCTCTGTGATTGTCTTCTTTCACGTAGCATTATGTTTTCAGGGTTTATGTTGTAGCATGTGTCAGTACTTCATTCCTTTTTATTGCTGAATAATAGTCAATTGTAAGGATATATCACATGTGTTTATCCATTCATCAGTTGATGGACACTTGTGTTGTTTCTACATTTTAGCTCTTAAGAATACTGCTATGAACAGGTTTTATGTGGACATGTTCTTCTGGGTATATACCTAGAAGTGGAATTATACTGTGTCATGTGGTAACTGATTAGCTGTTTAAGGAGCTGCTAAGTAAGCTGTTTTCCAAAGTGGCTGCACCATTTTACATTCTCTTTAACATTGTATGAGGGTTCCAATTTTTCCATATCCTTACCAACACTTGTTATTTTTTAATTTTAGCCATCCTAAATAGCATTTCATTATGTTTTTGTTTTGCATCTCCCTAATGACTGATGATGCTGAGCATATTTTCATGTGCTTTTTGCTCCTTCGTATGTCTTGTTTTTTTGTTTGTTTGTTTGTTTGTTTTTTCTTTTGAGACAGTCTTTCTTTGTTACCCAGGCTGGAGTGCAGTGGCGTGATCTTGGCTCACTGCAACCTCCACCTCCTGGGTTCAAGCAATTCTCCTGCCTCAGCCTCCCAAGTACCTGGGATTATGGGCACGCACCACCATGCTCGGCTAATTTTTGTATTCTTAGTAGAGACGGGTTTTCACCATGTTGGCCAGCCTGGTCTCGAACTCTTGACTTAGTGATCTGCCCGCCTTGGCCTCCCAAAGTTCTAGGATTACAGGCGTGAGCCACCATGCCCGGCCTTTTTTTTTTTTTTTTTTTTCTTGAGACACTCTTGCTCTGTCTCCCAGGCTGGAGTGCGGTGGCACGATCTCGGCTCACTGCAACCTCCACCTCCCGGGTTCAAGTGATTCTCCTGCCTCAGCCTCCCGAGTAGCTGAGATTATAGGCGTGCACCACCATGTCCAGCTAGTTTGTATATTTTTAATAGAGACGGGGTTTCACCATGTTAGCCAGGCTGGTGTCGAACTCCTAACCTCAGGTGATGTGCCCGCCTTGGCCTCCCAAAGTGCTGGGATTACAGGCTTGAGCCACTGCGCCCGGCCTCCTTTATATGTATGTCTTCAGATAAATATTCAGATCCTTTGCTTATTTTTTAATTGGTTATTTGTGTTTTTATTTTTTAGAAACAGGGTCTCACTCTGTCACCCAACCTGGATGGAGTACAGTGGTGCAGTCATAGCTCACTGCAGCCTGGAAATCCTGGGCTCCAGCAATCCTCCTGCCTCAGTCTCCTGAGTAGCTAGGACTATAGGCGTGTGCCACCACACCCAGCTCTTGTTTTTATTTTTTATTCTGAAGTTCTTTTCTTTTTTTTAAGTTTGTTTTAATGTCGGGTACATGTGCAGGTTTGTTACATAGGTAAACTTGCGTCATGCAGTTTGTTGTTCAGATTTTTTGGTGCTCAGGTGTTAAGCCTGGTACCTATTAGTTATTTTTCTTGATCCTTTTCCTCCTCCCACCCTCTGATAGGCCTTAGTGTGTGGTGTTCCCCTCCGCGTTCAGGTATTCTCATCATTTAGCTCCCACTTACAAGTGAGAACATGTGGTATTTGGTTTTCTCTTCCTATTTTAGTTTGCTAAGGATAATAGCCTCCAGCTCCATTCATGTTCCTGCAGAGGACGTGATCTCGTTCTTTTTTATGGCTGCATAGTATTCTGTGGTGTATATGTACATTTTCTTTATTCAGTCTGCCGTTGATGGGCATTTAGGTTTATTTTTTATTCTGTATACAAGTCCCTTACCAGATACATGATTTGCAATTTTTTTTTCTTTGTTCTGTGGGTTGTTTTTTTCCTTCGATGACGTCCTTTGAAGTACATTTTAATTTTGATGAAGTTCTGTTACCTGTTTTTTGTTGTTGCTTATGCTTTTGGTGTTACATCTAAGAAACCATTGCCAAATCCAAAGCCACAGGGATTTATTTCTGTTTTCTTCTAGAAGTTTTATAGGTTTCACTCTTAAATTTATGTCTTTGATCCATTTTGAGTCAATTTATGTATATGGTGTAAGTCTGTTTGAATTTGATATTCTAGTTTGAGATGGGGGAGTCAGGGAAGAAGGTATATTTGGAGAACATTGGTATATCTAGAACTCTTTACTTCCTTCATCAACCTAGTGCCCCAGTGTTTCTTATATAGCCTTGTGATTGCTAGACAAGAAGAGAGCGAGATTGTGTCTTTCTGAACTGGATAACTAGATTTAGCATTTTATAGGTAGAGATTCCCACTGTATTTAAATCTTAGGAGTAAGCTCATAGGACTGTTGGCTCTAATATTGTCCTTAGGAAGCAGAAAACTTCAAAGAGGTGTGTTTTTCTCTTGGAAGATAGCACATTAGTGGAAAATTTAATTATTGCATGGGGTCTAGAGGTAACCTTTTTTGAGTTCAGGAATTTTTTTTTTTTTTTAATCCTGAGTGTTATGAGGGTGGGAGAGTGAGCTATTATTAGGTATTAAGCTGATGGCTATAAAGGAGAATGTCTTTTCCTTTTTCAGGTTCTCAGCTGCTGCGGGAGTTGAAAAAGATGGACGACAAAGCTCTTTTGGTGGAAGTACAGCTTTTAGAAAGCAAAACATACCATGCCCTGAGCAACCTGCCGAAAGCCCGAGCTGCCTTAACTTCTGCTCGAACCACAGCAAATGCCATCTACTGCCCCCCTAAATTGCAGGCCACCTTGGACATGCAGTCGGGTAACAGACGTAGCTATTCCTGGGATGTGTTTTCTTAAAGCTCATCTTATTTTATAGGTGGAAGGAATGGGGGTTGGGGCTGGAGAATAAAATTGGCTGATTTGGCTCTAGCTTCTTCAGAGAACCAGTTAGAAAGCTACCTTTCTAACTAGCTGCTCCCCTCCTGTTAACTGCCTAAAATGTATTAAGAACATACCTATCTGTGGTTGACCAGGCAATCTGACTTTTAGAACCAAACTTAGAAAGGTCGCACGTAGAAGACTCCCTTAGCTCTTAGCCACTTACTCAGAATAGTAGCATTTTCCTTTGGGATTGGCCTACCCCAAGTCTGTTGACTCTTGGAGATCTTTGTAAAGTTGGTTGACTTTTCCAAAGGGCCTCAAATCAGGGCTGAGGAATGATAACCCAATTTCAGCTGAGTGTGGTATGTAGTTTTCCGATGGAGTGCGTGAATGTGAGGCTGGGAAGCCATGGATTGGCAGGTGGAATACTTTCTTTTGTATTCAGCAGTTTTTTTTTTTACTGGAGGCGTCATTATTGAAGGAATGTTGGAATTGGAAGCAGAAGACGAGTTTAAGTGCTTGTGTTACCTCTCATCTGTAAAAGATAATGCCTACTCGACTCATCTGTCAGGGATGTACTGATCTAGGATCAGGCTTTCCTAGGTTGACATTTTGTTCTGCTGCTTTCTAGTATGTGACTTTGGGCAAGTTACTTAATTTATGTTTAGCTCATCTGTAAAATGGTAATAATTGGCACATGATAGAGCCTCATTAATGTTTGTGTTGAATGAGTGACAGTCTAGTTTTTTGTTTTGTTTTTACTTTTTTTTTTTTTGAGACAGGGTCTCACTCTGTTGCCCAGGTTGGAGCACAGTGGTGCAGTCACAGCTTACCACAGCCTCAACTTCCTGGGCTCAAGTGATCCTCCTATCTCAGTCTCTTGAGTAGCTGGGACTACAGGAGCGCGACACCATGCCAAGCTAACTTTTTGTAGAGATAGGGTTTCGCCATGTTGCCCAGACTGGTCTTGAACTCCTGGGCTCAAGCAATTTTCCCACCTTGGCCTCTCAAAGTGCTGGGATTATAGGCATGAGCCACCATGCCTGGCCTTTGTTTCTGTTTTTTTTTTTGAGATGGGGTCTTGTTTTGTTCAGCCACCCAGGCTGGAATGCAGTGGCGCAATCTTGGCTCACTGCATCCACTGTCTCCTGGGTTCAAGCGATTCTCCTGTCTCAGCCTCCCGAGTAGCTGGGATTACAGGCACCTGCCATCATGCCCAGCTAATTTTTGTATTTTAGTAGAGATGGGGTTTCACCATGTTGGCCAGGCTGGCTGCACGCCTCTGCCTCCCAAAGTGCTAGGATTATAGGCATGAGCCACTGTGCCTGGCCTGTTTCTGTTTTTAACAATAAACCTCATGTGCCAGCCATGACACTCAGAGTGCTGATATGGCCCCTGTTAACTAATGTGTTTGGCAAAGCAGTATACCAGTTCTTGGGCCTTATTTTATTTATTTGTTTTTTAACCATACATATTTTTGGGTCTGGCTTATTCTCTCTCTATACTGGGAGATGTGGAAAAATGGAGATGTGTCTCATTTAGTTTAGCAGCATTAATGGTTTGTTGGGTTGTTGAAGGGGCTTTCCTTAGCTACAGAGAAGAGCAGATATTCCTTGAGGCCTCTATACTTAACAGTAGTAGAAAAAGGATCTGATTCCCACAAACCCAAAGTGGGAGGTTTTTTGAGTAGGCTGGAAGGACGCATCACTCAATAAATGGTGAAGTCAGAAGGTTCCTGCTGGTATTGAGTTCTTTGGATCATGTGTCAGCAGCGTCATCCTTTGACTCTAGTGTGCTAAATACTTTCTACATGTATCTCGATGTGAAAGATGTTGGGAAGCAGTTGTGGTAAACAAATGGATGGGGCTGAGGTCTGTAACTTCTTAAAGGGCTGGGGCAGAGTTAGAGCTAATATACACAAATAGAGAATTTTAGGGTTTAGATGCCTCCCAAGCTTGGAAAGAACTAATTTTTATGTTATCCCAAGTGATAGCATAGGTTGGCAGTAGTAGCAGGTTCAATCAAAGTTAAGCTCATTGGGAGCAACTCAACTTCTAAGCAATAGGGGATTGGTTAGGTCAACTATGGTATATCAGTCTGAAGAAATACTGCTTAGCCATGTATAATTAAGTTCATGGATTTGGCATTATGTGAAAGCTGTACACTGAGTGCATTTAGGCAAAAGCACATCCACAAATGATAAATATTTGAAATGAAAATATAAGATGTTGGATTCCCTCTCCCATGCCCCATGACAGTTGCATAAATATAAAACTATCAGGCTTAGAAAAGCTATCTTAAAGTAGTTAATATTATTAGAACAGGTCATTCAGGCAGTCTAGAGATGTTTAGGTCAACTCCCTGACCTGTGAATGTGATGTCATGGAGGGTAAACATGGCCTTTTCCTGTGGCTCCAAAAGATAGCAGGACTGGAATGGTGGTGAGAAGCATGGAAGAAAGATGGTACAGTATGTGTTTTTCAGGTCCCTTTTAAGTTGAGTCTCTAACTCCTTTGGGAACTTATATTGGCAATATGACATTGAGCTGGGAGGTCAGAGACTTGGATTCTCATCTTCTAATCTCAGCTGTCAAATTGCTGACTATGGTGACTTTGGGCAGGTTTTTTTTTTTTTAGACGGTCTCACTTTTTCACCCATGCTGCAGTGCATTTTTGCTATCACAGCTCCCATCGCTATCATCAGCCTCCCAGGCTCACGTGATCCTCCTACCTCAGTCTCATGAGTAAGTAGCTGGGGCTACAGGCATGTGCCACCACGCCTGGCTAATTTTTTGTAGAGATGGGGTTTCACCCTGTTGCCTAGGCTGGTCTTGAGCTCCTAGGTTCAGGTGATCCACCTGCCTTGGCCTCCCAAAGTG
The DNA here is from genome assembly GCF_000001405.40 of Homo sapiens. NCBI lineage: Eukaryota > Metazoa > Chordata > Mammalia > Primates > Hominidae > Homo > Homo sapiens. Next base: position 32,472,134 of record NC_000017.11, read on the forward strand.
TTGAGATTACAGATGTGAGCCACTGTGCCTGGCAGAGCAGGTTCTTTATCCTTTCCTGACCTCATCAGTAGGTTGGTGGAGTTGACGTAGAGTTTTTTTTTTTTTTTGAGACAGTGTCTTGCTCTGTTGCCCAGGCTGGAGTGCAGTGACGTGACCTCGGCTCACTGCAACCTCTACCTCCTGGATTCAAGTGATTCTCCTGCCTCAGCCACCTGAGTAGCTGGGATTACAGGCATGTACCACCAAGGCCGGCTAATTTTTGTATTTTTAGTAGAGATGGCGTTTTGCCTTGTTGGCCAAGCTGATCTCGATCTCCTGACCCTCAAGTGATCTGGCTGCCTTGGCCTCCCAAAGTGCTGGGATTATAGACGTTAGAGTTTACAGACGTGAGCCACTGTGCCTGACCTCTTTTTTTTTTTTTTAAGACGGAGTCTCACTCTGTCGCCCAAGTTGGAGTGCTGTGGCGTGATCTCAGCTCACTGCAACCTCCACCTCCTGGGTTCAAGAGATTCTCCTGCCTCAGCCTCCCAAGTAGCTGGGATTACAGGTGCCCGCCACCATGCCTGGCTGGTTTAGTATTTTTAGTAGAGACAGGTTTTTACCATGTTGGCCAGGCTGGTCTTGAAATCCTGACCTCAGATGACCCTCCTGCTTCTGCCTCCCAAAGTGCTGGGATTACAGGCATGAGCCACCATGCCCGGCCTTTTTCTTTTTTTTTTTTTTTTTTAAGAGACAAGGTCGGCTGGGTGTGGTGGCTCACACCTGTAATCCCAGCACTTTGGGAAGCCGAGGCGGGTGGATCACTTGAGGTCAGGAGTTCAAGACTAGCCTGGCGAACATACGGTGAAACCAGTCTCTACTAAAAATACAAAAAATTAGCCGGGCGTGGTAGTGGGTGCCTGTAATCCCAGCTACTTGGGAGGCTGAGGCAGGAGAATTGCTTGAACCCACGAGGCGGAGGTTGCCGTGAGCTGAGATTGCGCCATTGCACTCCAGCCTCAGTGACAGAGTGAGACTCGGCTCAAAAAAAAAAATAAAGAGACAACATCTAACTCTGTTACTTAGGCTCAAACTCTTGGGCTCAAGCTATCCTCCTGCCTCAGCCTCTCAAAAGTGCCGAGATTACAGGAGTGAACCCCTGCACCTGGCTTTTTTTTTTTGAGACGGAAGTTTGCCCTTGTTGCCCAGGCTGGAGTGCAGTGGCGCAATCTCGGCTCACCGCAACCTCCGCTTCCTGGGTTGAAGTGATTCTCCTTCCTCAGCCTCCCGAGTAGCAGGGATTACAGGCATGCGCTACCACACCCAGCTAATTTTTTTTGTAATTTTAGTAGAGATGGGATTTGTCCATGTTGGTCAGTCTGATCTTGAGCTCCTGACCTCAGGTGATCCGCCTGCCTCAGCCTCCCAAAGTGCTGGGATTATAGGCGTGAGCTGAAACCGTGCCCAGCATTTTTTTTTTTTTCAAGAGATGGGGTCTTACTATGTTACTCAGGCTTGTCTCGAACTCCTGGGCTCACATGATCCTCCCATCTCAGCCTCCCAAAGTGTGGATTTACAGGTGTGAGCCACCGTGCCCATTTAGGTAGATGTCTAAGCTGCCTCCCAGCTCTGATCTTTTATGGCTCTATTATTTTATATGTTCTTATTCCTTTCTTTTCAATGCCCAGGTATTATCCATGCAGCAGAAGAGAAGGACTGGAAAACTGCGTACTCATACTTCTATGAGGCATTTGAGGGTTATGACTCCATCGACAGCCCCAAGGCCATCACATCTCTGAAGTACATGTTGCTGTGCAAAATCATGCTCAACACGTAGGTGCACCTTAACTCTGGACTACAAGAACTCAGATCCTTCAGCAAGTCTGTTTGCCATGGCAGAGATGGCCTGAGCAGGGAGTTTGGCCAGTTACAGAAACAGCAGCAGCTGCGGCCTCTAGGGCTGGCTAAGGTAGAGCGGGAGGATCAAAAGTGGTCCAGAAAACTTTCGCTTGCTAGTCTTTCAGAATCAGGCAGACATTTTAGAAATCCCCTTCCCAGCTCCTCTTGGAGAATTCTCCTCATCCTTTAAATATTCTGTCCTCATAGGTGCAGAGCACAGGACAGAGGGTCAGGAAATAGCTTACAGATCAGCCAGTAACAGCCAACTGAGCCACCCAGAATGAGGAAGGAAGGGTTAAGGAGAGGTTTGAAAAAGTGGACAACAAAAGTATGACAGACCTACTTATAAAGAAGTCTACAGAATTATTCAATTCTTTTGGGAATAAATGAAATATTGACTAAGAACTCTCTCTGGATCTTTGGATTACATAAGGGCTATGTTTTAATAATACCTGTTACACTGGGATTTGACTTAAACTTATAGTTCTGCTTGTTGTGTCTATTGCTTTTGGTAGGTTCAGTTCAGCTTTCTAACATTGGAGTTTTTCTACTCTTCAGGCTGAGCTGTGACCCAGAGTGGAGAAAACCTAGCTTTTGCAATGTGATGGGCATATGGGTTTAGGGGTTGGGCTGATTGTCTGTGTGGGCAGAGTCTTTATTACAATGGAATTCTGTTAAAAAGAAATTTGCCCAAACCTTCCTTTAGAAGCATAACATCTGCAGCAATTGACCAAGTATGTCTTTTTTTCTAGCCCAGAAGATGTCCAGGCTTTGGTGAGCGGGAAGCTTGCACTTCGGTATGCAGGGAGGCAGGTAGGGACTCCCTTGACTGCAGTTCTGCTCACTCTGAGACCAGCATGTTTTCAGAGTCACAACGTTTGATGAGACCAGCACTCTTCAGATCTTCATACTACTCTCTTCCTTCTGCCCCACTCACTTCCTTCCCTTAAGCCCATTCAGTGTGTTTCCCAGACTGTTAAATTCTTGGCCTGGAAAGTCAGCGTTTGGTGCTCTTATGGACATCACGTTGTTTGAGGGACTTAGGGAACTGAACTGTAGCATTTGCAGTGAGTTAGTTTGCATTTGGCTTTGACCAGAAGATTTATCTACCACGAGTCTGAGTTGTGAATTTAACATAGGCAGGGTATGAAATCTTAGATTCTCCAGGTTAGGAGCCTGGTAAGGTCTGGTGCATATGTGCTTTAGAGAGGTCTGATTGCTTGGTGCAGAAACTAGGTTTTGAGATTTACTTCTGTGCTTCTCAGATCAGTACCTTTCTACTCGTGCTTTGAATTTTGGGTGTGGTGCAAAAAGAGGCCCTTTTTTTTTTTTTGTTACCTTAATGCCCAAGTAGGTATGAGTGTGACTTCTGAGAGCAGACAGTTAGGACCTACGCAAAGATGACGTCTAGACTGTCTCCTCTTTGTATTTTGCTTGATTATCACTAGTAAAGTAAGTGTAATCTTTCTGGATTTCAACTGCAGTGGTCTCTAAACACAGACTGATTGGCTGTCTATATAATCTCACTGTATCTCTGGAGGAGTGGCCACATAGATGATTTCTTCCCTCTCTACAAGTGGCCCTAATTGGCTTTTTTTTTTTTTTTGAGTTGGAGTCTCATTCTTTCATTCAGGCTGGAGTGCAGTGGCGTATCTCGGCTCACTGCATCCTCCTCCTCCCAGTTTGAAGTGATTCTCCTGTCTCAGCCTCCCGAGTAGCTGGGATTACAGGCATCCGCCACTATGCCCGGCTAATTTTTTGTAGTAGAGACAGGGTTTTGCCATCTTGGCCAGGCTGTCCCAAACTCCTAACCTCAAGTGATCCGCCCACCTCAACCTCCAAAAGTGCTGGGATTGTAGGTGTGAGCCACTGCATCCAGCCACGCATCTTCCAGTATAGTAATAACCGGTACTCTTGAGGTCAAAACCAGGAGCTGACCTGAAACTTTTGCTGATAAAAAGCCAATTAGGGGCTGGACGTGGTGGCTCATGCCTGTAATCCCAGCACTTTGGGCGGCTGAGGTGGGCGGATCACTTGAGGTCAGCAGTTTGAGAGCAGCCTGGCCAATGTGGCAAAATCCCAGCTCTATTAAAAATACAAAAATTAGCCGGGCATGGTAGTGCATTGGTGGCTGTAATCCCAGCTACTCAGGAGGCTGAGGCAGGAGAATCACTTCAAACGGGGAGTGGAAGTTGCAGTAAGCCAAGATAGCACCACTGTACTCTAACCTGGGCGACAGAGTGAGACTCTGTCTTAAAAAATAATAAATAAGAAAGATGCACTACTCTCACTATAACTAGAGTTGAGGAGACAGGCTCAGGGACATCCAAGTGTTCAGGGCAAGGTCAGGTAGCTAATCAATGGTGGAGCTAGACTTTGAATTAGGGTCATTGGCTCTAAGTTCCAGGCTTTTCTCATTTTGACACTTTTTTCTGTCTATAGGACAAATGCTGGAGACAAACACACTAATGATTAGCCTTGCACCATGTAGTCTACTGTATAAGACACACTGTTCTTATATAAGCATGTAGGCTGATAAAAGAGCAGCTTCTCTTAGTCCCTTGCGCCTTTGATGTTAGCTTTTAAGCAGGAGATAGGCTAATCTCCCAGAAAGATGAGTGTTGCAGATTTTTTGCTGAGTGGAGACTTAATAGCTTGGTCAGGTGCCTTTTTTAACCATGTTAGAAGTTGTTCTCAACTATTGATTATACCTTCATCACTCTGTGGGGTCTTAACATTTGGTGTAATATGTTAATGCCGCAACCTTTTTTTGAGACGGATTCTTTTTCTATCACCCAGCTGCAGTGCAGTGGCATGATCTTGGCTCACTGCAACCTCTGCCTCCTGGGTTCTAGCAATTCTCCTGCCTCAGCCTCCCAAGTAGCTGGGATTACAGGCGTCCACCACTATGCCCGGCTAAGTAGAGAAGGGAGTTTCACCATGTTGGCCAGGCTGGTCTCGAACTCCTGAACCTCAAGTGATCTGCCCACCTCGGCCTCCCAAAGTGGTGGGATTACAGGTGTGAGCCACTGTGCCTGGCCTTGATGCCTCAGTGTTAATGAGGTAGACCTTGTTCAGTGCCTTGTTCCAAACCTAGCAGAATGAATCTTGATAAAGCACAGATATAATAGGGTCTAAGGGCAAGAAGGAGTTTGGGTGGATGTGGCGATAACAAGCCTTGGAGGAAGGGAGAAGAAATCACAGTTCTCTTGTCATTTTTCCTTTTAGCTTGTCATCTCTAGAGAATGCTATATTAGGGTCGGTCTGTTTGGAAAATTTCTGTTTCCTAGTATTATTAAGTCATTTCAGGTTTCAAAGGGAAACAGGTTGGCATATAGTGGTATTCAGTACTTGCGGCTCTTCTTCCCGGGCGTCTGAAGAAGAACGATGGTGGGGCGGGTTCTTCCTTTTGGCAGAAGTTGTGTGGACACAGCATACTGCTTATGAGACTTGGGTAAATGTTAGTGTGCAGAATAAATCGCTTTCATGGTTTGTCTCTTTATTCTCAGACAGAAGCATTAAAATGCGTGGCTCAGGCTAGCAAGAACAGATCACTGGCAGATTTTGAAAAGGTGAGTATGATATTGGGTTGGTATGGAATGTGAGTGGAAGAGAGGGACGTTTAAGTACTTCAAAACACACTTTTAAAAATAATTATAGTTTCAAAAGAAGTTGCAAATGATTCCATGTATCCTTCACCTAGGACAGTATTAAAACCAGGAAATAGTTAAGCACTTTGTACAATGAAACTTACTGAGTTGATATAAAATATATATTATTTATACATAATACCTTTCTATTTCAAAAGTTCTTTCTGTCCTTTTTTCACTTTGATTTTTCACAACACACCTATTTATTATCTGCATTTTATGGTTAAGGGAACTGGGATTCAGGAGGACACTCAAAGTCACACAGCATAGGGTCAGAGTTTGACTCTAGGCCTAGTGCTTGTTCCACATGACACAGTTGTAGGCATTCCTTCAGCTCCAGAAATGCCAGGTCTGCTCCTCTGTGGACAGAAGGGAAGTCTTGATGTGCGTACTTGGACCCAAAGAAACGTCCTCAGGGTGATGATCTAGGCTTTCTTTAACCCTGGTGCATTTTGCTCATTGTTTGGGAGTTTTGAAAAGGGAGAAAAGCCTGTCTGGGCATTAGGGTGAGAATTATATAGTCTTTCCTGAACCTCTCTCCTTTTAGTCTGAGTATAATGATCAACTTAATAAAAACAAAACCTAGATCCAGAGAGAAAAACTTAGTGTGGATGGAGACTAGACCATGTGGCTTTGACTGTCCCTGAGATTCACCATCTTCCTGGAGGGCTCTTGCCAATTCCTATTGCGTCTTACTTGGCATGATTCGCCTGCTTCCCTTAACACCTTGTAGCACAGCTGACATGAGGCTGGGATGTTGAGACCATTACTGATGGTCCAGTAAATCACACACATGAATACTTGGTCTAGATCATTTTATCCCAATGTCTGAGATGTTTGATGGGACACTTTTATTCCAAATAGTTCCTTGGAAGAAGGATTCTGTGATTAGATATTTGGGAAATACTAGGGCTAAACAAAATACTAGGGCTAATAATAATTAAAACACCTAATTTTGCTTAATCATTGCAGAGCCATGTTATGCTGATGGTCCTCATAAAACTCCCAAGAGCTAGTTGTGGAATTCAGCATTTCCTATTCTTTAACCTCAATGTTCTTTTTTTCCCCCCCATGGAGACCCTATTTATTCTGTAGAATACATGCTGAGAAATGCTTGTGTAGCTAATTTGGTTCATGAGCTGAGTTGCTCTTGGGGCTTACATGGTTTGAGCTGTTCACCTGAAGCCTGCAGACAGAAAGATGGTCCCTAGGGTGACTCCACCTTTTTGTTCTATTTTGTATTTTTTTTTTCTCTTAGAGACTACCATAAAATAGCATTTTTAAAAATTTATTTTTAGAGATGGAGGCTCTCTGTGTTGCCCAAGCTGGACTTGAACTCTTGGGCTCCAGCAGTCCTCCCACATGAGCCTCCCGAGTGACTGGGACTCCAGGTGCGTGCCACCAAGCCAAACTTCCCTTTCAGTTCTTGACATTCCTTTTCTGCTTTGTATCATGCATCTCCCCAGATCTCCCCTAACTTCATTCAACCATGTAGTTTTATAAGGGCCAGCAGACTATCTAGGAAGCAGGAGTAGCATGACTTTAAAGTGATTCTCTGTGCCAATCTCTGCAACTGGTTCCTTTGGCAGGCTCTGACAGATTACCGGGCAGAGCTCCGGGATGACCCAATCATCAGCACACACTTGGCCAAGTTGTATGATAACTTACTAGAACAGAATCTGATCCGAGTCATTGAGCCTTTTTCCAGAGTACAGGTGAGAACCCTCTGGGGACTCCATTTCTGGCCAGGCATTCTCACTGTAGCCACCTCCCTTCCACACCTGTCCAGAATGGGAACTCACTTCTAGGGGTGTGCCTGGTGGGCAAGAGGCCACCAAGAGCTTGGGCCTCTGTTGATAAAATGAACAAAAATCGAGGAGAGAGATGCTGTGGGTAGAGGCATGTGGGTTGCCCCTGCATGTGTTCTGAGCAGTTTCCTCCTCGCTTTTAGTCACTGCATGTGTTGTACCTGTTTTCTGTATTGGGTGTGTGGGATAAGAGTCTGTTTATTGTGTGTAGCAGTGAAGGGCAGGCAGATGGGCAGAGAACAAGAGACTTAAGCACGGCCAAGGAGGGTCTTACATTAGAATTTTGAGAAATACAGCAGTTCTCCCCCTGTTCCCTCCCTTCTCTTATTGGAGGCAAAAGTAAAACTTTCAGTGTTGGTGTCTCTCTGCCTTTCCTTTTAGATTGAACACATATCTAGTCTCATCAAACTCTCCAAGGTAAGGAGTCTTAAGGCCATCTGCAGGGAGGAATGGGACGGGGTGGCGAGGAGGGGTGGCACATGCACCTGATTGGCCTCATTGGAAAGCTCCCCAGCTTCTCAGTGGGGAATGGGCAGTGTGGACTAGAGTAGGAGTTGCATTGTTGCTATTTTGTTTTCAGTCCATTTGGCCTAAGACCCCTCCAACAAAGCTACTGTGTCAGGGTGATCTCTGACTAGTGGATACTGGTCCCTTTAATCATGTGCTTTGATTTTAGGCCGACGTGGAAAGGAAATTATCACAGATGATTCTTGACAAGAAATTTCATGGTAAGTAACAGTCACACAGGCAAGGGGGCTGGTGGTGGTGATGAGATGGTTGAAGAAGTTTATTTTCAAAGAAGATGTTCTATTTGTTTCCCCCGATGGTTCACCCTGGGGTCCTGGCCCCTCTTCCCTGTGATGAGAATGTGTAATAAGCATGTGTACATGGAATAGGGAGATGAATTCTATTTCCCTTCTTTTCTGGACACAGTGAGTCAACTAGGGAGTGGGCTGCTTCACAAACACTTTTGTGTCTAACCTCATCTTTTACCTGGGTTGCCCTTGTGTTTCTTGCAGGGATTTTGGACCAGGGGGAGGGTGTCCTGATTATTTTCGATGAACCCCCAGTAGATAAAACTTACGAAGCTGCTCTGGAAACAATTCAGAACATGAGCAAAGTAGTGGATTCCCTCTACAACAAAGCCAAGAAACTGACATAGGTGAGTGCTGGCTTCAGGACCCCAGGGCTGGGCAGCTCTGTCTTCTGCGTGTCGAGACTGAAAACCTCCTCCTGGTGTCCTCATGGCTTCCTGATTGACACTGCTCTGTCTTCTCTTGCAGAGTTGGATCTGTAGCGGTCCTTTGGAGAGTGTGTGTGGCGGGAGAGTGAAACCTTGGGGGAAAATGCTAGGAGATTCTTTTTTCTTTTTGTTCTACTTTTCGCTCGGAAAGTTTTTAAATCCTCATTTGGTGCATCTGTATTCCAGCCAATAGGTGTGCCAGTTTTCATGTAATCTTTACTGGCCCAACTTGGGAGTGGGGAAATTGCTTAAAAAAAAAGAAAAAGAAAAAAAAAAAGATTATTCTAAATAAAAGGAAAAAGGCTTACACTACCTAAAGCTGTGCTCTCTGCCTCCTGGGAGAGGGCCGCAAAGCCAGGCACCCCGCCAACCACTGGGGGTCCTAATCCACCTGCTGGGCATCACCTCTCCTCCTCCTCAGAATTGGGTGTTTGCTGACCATCAAAAGCAATGACTTTTTATTCTGTTTGTACTGAACCAAAACAAACAACTGTGTATAGACTGCTGTTTTCTTTTTTATTTGAAATGAGGCATTTTGGTGTTCTTTCCCCTACCATACGGCCTGTCTGCCCTTCCCTCCCCACATTGGCTCCAGCAGAGTAGCCGAAGGTCCTGCCGCCGCCGCCACCACCACCACCACTGCAGCAACAACAGCAGCAGCAGCAGCAGCGCCTGCATAGCTCCACTCTGACCTGTGAAGGAATGGGGATGAGGCCAGGAGCTAGTGTCTACCACGGCCACACAGGGAGCAGTGTGGGCCCTTAGCCCCCAAGGGGCCTGCTATGCATGTGGCTTTTTTTTTTTTTTTAAACACAGTAAACTAGATTAGTCGTCAGTGTTTTAATTGCCCCTCTTCTCCTCTCCTGCATTCCTCTCCTCTCTTCTTTCCTCTCTGTCCCTTCTCTTTCCCCTCTCAACCAGGAGACCATCATGTCTCTCTGCCTTCCTCCTCTCCCCTCCAGGGGAGTCAGGCTGTCTGTGAAAGCCATGAGCTTCTCTCCCTCTCCCACTCCTCCTCTCCTACTTTCAGATGGATTTATTCCTTTTTTAAACAATGAACATCGGAAATGAGACTGTGGGGTGTGGTTTCTCTCTCTCTTTTTTTTTTAATTTTCTTTGTTGGGTTTTTGAGCAACCTCATGTCCCCTTCCCAGGGAGCTTTTTAATTTACCTCTTAGAACTCAAGTGGATGGGAAGTAGAGCACTATGTGTCAGTATGCTTTGTTTTCTGACACGATTACACAGCGAGGCTTTAATGCCATTTGGGTAGGTGAGCTTCTGCACTTCTGTTGTGCTGAACTGTATTTTCTTCTCTCATCTCCTCTTTGTCTTTTTCTCTTTTCCTCTCCTTCCTGCCTTCTTCTGCTGGCCTCCTTTTCTCTTTCTTTACCTTCCTTGGATTATCCTTCCAGGTTTTCATAATAAATTTATATTTTGTAAAAGGATTTTGTTGTACCAGGTTTTGCATCCTCACTGAATCTGACTGGCTTTTATTTTCCTCTCCAAAATCAGGTTTTTGTTCTCAACATCTTTCCCCATCATGTCTAGTCACTGTTTTGGTTTTGGCACCATCAGTATCAAATGTACAAACGGTTCTTGCTAACCAACACCAGGTATATCTGATGTTCAGATGAGTTCCAATAAAAATAATTTTTTTTTTTTTCAAAAGGTGTCTTTTTCTTGAGTGCTGGAGGGCTTCCAAGCAAGTCCAGACAGCTCTGTGTGGCCCCACACTAGTCTAGCTCTCATCTGGCCAAAGCTGTTATCTCATTTGTGTAATGGGAGTCCTTAAGGTAAATTTGGGGTCCAAACTTGGAGGGCTTTGGGGGCAAGAAAGTTGGTGTGTGAGTTCTGAGGTTGGAAATGAGTTCAGGTGTCTTCTTCCAGGGCAGCATGGTCCAGTGAGCACATGTAAGTTTGGGCAGTAGATCCTCTGAGCCTACTTTCTCTTCTACTCAGTGAGGATGCTGCTTCCTTGGCAGGTGATTGTGATGTGAAGCTTAGTAAGTCATAGACGTGCAGGTGTCTGGAGAGTCCTGACATGCAGTTGTGGTTTCGTTTCCTTTTGGAATCTTCAAAGGCAGCGATTTTCATATTGCCTCACACCCTGGCGGGGGCGGGGGGCTCTGGGACCACTGGGGGACCTGCTAAATCCTCTTCAGTCTGAGCAGTTCAGCCATTGTCAGTTTTAGTATTGTGTCTCTGTATTTCACTTGCAGAAAGAGCTTTGCTTCTATAAAGGACTTTAAAAAGTACTCCAAAGAGATCTAGTTTTGGAGTAGAGGGGAGATGTTTTCTCAAACTTAGGGCAGTCCTGAGATGCTCAGGCAGTAGCCCTTTTCTCAGTTCCCTTTGCGGGTCTTGGTCAGATGATGCCCTCTAGACCCGTGCTGTCCAATATGTAGCCGCTAGCCATGTGCAGCTGTCAGGCCCTTGCAACGTGGCTGGTTCGAGCTGTGATACACTGCAAGTGTAAACACAAACCAGACTTCGAAGGCTTAGTATGATAACAAAAGAAAAGGAGTGTAAAATATGTCAATAACTTTTTTATATATGTGTTGAAATATTTTGGGTATTGGGTTAAATAAAATATATTATTAAAATTCACCTGTTTCCCTTTTACTTGTGTAATGTGGCTGCTAGAAAATATAAAGTTACCTATGTGGCTTCTATCTGGACAGCGCAGCTCTAGACCTCCAGGACCAGCAGTTGTGTCACTGCCTCCTCTCCCAGGCCTCTCATGACCTGAGTCCAGGCACAGCTGGGAAGGTCAGCTGGCCGGTGGGCTGGCCTGGGCCCGGCTCCCTCACCTCCCTTCTGGGCTCCAGCCTTCATGGTGCCAGGACTTTCTTGTGTGTTAATGAGACTCTACTGGAGTTGGGAGCAGAGGCTCTGGTCCCCTGCTGTGTGCTAGTTATGTAATCTGTGCTGCTCAGAAGGGCCACTAGATGCTGCTCTGTGATCCCTGAAAGAACAAAGCCGACTTCCTCAGGAGTAAGGGCTCAGGCCTGCTCTATTTGGAACCCTTCTTGGAAGCTGTAGCTGGCCCCCGCCTTGACCTCCCTCCCTCGGGATGCTATGGGAAGTGGGGCATGCAGGAAGAGTGGACTCTCCGGCAGTCCACGGGCAGCCCAGCCCAGCAGGGAAGCTAACAAGCAGGCTGGCCCTTCAGGCAGCTAGAGATAGGCAATAGGCTAAGTAGGCTGATTGATGGGGGTGGGATTTGGAAATCTTCCCTGCAGTTCTATGATGAAGGCAGCTAGGAAGAAAACAGCTCTGCCTCATTCAACTGGGTCTGCCTTCTGGGTCCTTGGTTCTGCCATTTCTGGCAGTTGACTGTCCTTTCTTCCTTGCTTCCAGTTGGAGCAGTGATAGGAACTGGGGGTGGGGAGGTGGTGGTGGGTTGAATGAAAAGAGGAGCTCTGTGGTGTCTGAAAACCAGCATAACAGGCATGGCCTGGGTGATAGGAGCTCCTGGAGACCCCTCCCTTAGTCGCAGCAGCAAGTGGGCTGCCAGTGCCATCCCATTCCTGCTGTGCTGCAACTGTGACTTTGCCTTGGGCAAGTGTGAGGAGGCTGGTGTTCTGCCGAGAGCTCTGTTTGAAGGTGCTAGGGAAAGGCTGGCTGGACAAAGGTGAGAAGACACAGGGTATGGCCTGGCTTGAAAAGGCCCATGCAGAGGCATGCTGCTGCAGAGTGGGAAGCAGGGTAGTGGGGTGAGCTTGGTCCGCCTCCCCGTGAATTGGAATAGCTAGAATTGAGATTGAGAGTTAAAGGTAACAGAGTGGGCCCAGGTTTTTCTAGGGGGTGGATTTTTCTTTTTTTAGCCGAAGTGTCACTCTGTCACCCAGGCTGGAATGCAGTGGCACAATCTCAGCTCACTGCAACCTCTGCCTCCCGGGTTCAAGCTATTCTCCTGCCTCAGCCTCCCGAGTAGCTGGGATTATAGGCACCCGCCACCACGCCCAGCTAATTTTTTTAGTAGAGACGGGTTTCACCATGTTGGCCAGGCTGGTCTCAAACTCCTGACCTCAGGTGATCCGCCCGCCTTGGCCTCTGAAACTGCTGGACACAGTGTGGCCATCACGCCTGGCCGGGGTGGATTATAGGCTTCAAAATTTGGACATATTTTGGGAAGTGGAAAACATTTAACCTTGGCTCAACACTAGAATCTGAAGGGGGGCACAGAGCCAACTCAGGAGCTAGAGGCTCCAAGTAAGGGCTGAGGAAAAGAGGCTGGGGTTCGGCTTTCCTTTGAGAAGGAAAAGGGACACTTGGTCAGGGTCTCGAAGCAAATCGTTTCTTCTGGCTTTTTTTTTTTTTTTTTTTTTTTTTTTGAGATGGAGTTTCGCTCTTGTTGCCCAGGCTGGAGTGCAATGGTGCAATCTCGGCCCACTGCAACCTCTGTCTCCCAGGTTCAAGCGATTCTCCTGCCTCAGCCTCCTGAGTAGCTGAGATTACAGGTGCCTGCCACCACGCCTGGCTAATTTTTTTTGTATTTTTAGTAGAGACGGGGTTTCACCATGTTGGCTAGGCTGGTCTCGAACTCCTGACCTCAGGTGATCCACCCGCCTCGGCCTCCCAAAATACTGGGATTACAAGCATGAGCCACTGCGTCGGCCTCTTCTGGCTTCTTACTGTTACATGCAGGAGGGTTGAGGACAGCTCCATTTGAAGAGCAGGTAGGCTTGTACACTGAGGAACATTCACAGGGAGGGGCGCACTGAGCTGGGGGCCTGCCTTCCTCTTCTGAGTTCCCATAACAGCTGTTGTGGATGTTCTGAAAGGCTGTGGACAAAGTAGCCCTCTGGGTACAGAGCAATGCATTTTCCACTGTATGCCTTGCCCCCCAAGGTTCCTAAAGCCTGGAATTCCTATTGACAGAAATCTGAGTGGCACATAAACAAAACCCAGCACTTTCTGCCTTGATTGCACCATTTTGAATGATGCCAGATTCCCTTTCTGTTCCCCCTAGGACAGTTGACAGGGCTGGTGAAAGCCTAGTCGGCTGGAGTGGTCAGGTAACTGGGTGGCATCCTCTCCTCTGGAGAGCCACTCCCTCATCTCTAGGTCCAGAGATAATCTGGATTAAGACAGGGCTTAAGTTTCCTGTTTCCCAGGTTTGTGGTCAGTTTTGACTCGATCTCCAGAAACAAGGTAAAATAGTAAATGAACAACAGCCTTTGTGAAGGATCTGGATTCACATCTGACAGGAACAGCTTTCAGAAACAGAATTTTACTCAATTTCGCTAGCATCAAGTTCTCAAATTATACATACTTAGAATTGAAAACGTTTAAGAGGGTCAGAAAGCTGGCCGGAGGGGCAGTTGCTTCAGCTTTAATATGACAAATAAGAGGGCGAGTGGGAACTTAGAGGTCATATTTGTGACGGGCTCAGGCTTGGCTACGGGCCACGCTTCTCTGGCTTGGATCTCTGAGGCCCACTTCGGCCGCGGTCATCTACCCATGATGAGGGAACGGAGGCCCCGGAGGGGTGGCCAGAACCGATTGGACTGTCCACTCGAGGTGCGCGTGGCACTCGGGAGGCCTCAGTAAAGGCGTCGCCTCTCCCCGCCCAGGGCCTTCTTCCCCGCGCTCCCTGGCTGCTTTCCACAGGGACGGGGATGTCAGGTGGAAGGAGGGAGCTCCGGACCCTGGCCTCGGCGGAGGGCTCCTCACCAGGCCAGGGCGGCAGCCTCAGAGAGGGCGGGCCGCGCGCTGCCAGGGCAGGGACTCGGCCGAGAGTGCCCCCGCGGCCGGCAGCTGCGGGCGCCGCGGCGGGAACAAAGGCAGCACGTGTCTGGGCGGGACGCGGGCGGGGTCGGCCCTCGGCTCCGCCCTGCTCGGCGCCCGCCCCGCGTCGGCAGAGTTGGGTTGCGCGGGCGCCGAGGACTCTCCGGCGGCCGGGCTGCTGTTGGGCGGCGGCGCGGAGCGGGCGGCGAGCTGTGCGGGAGGGGCGGCCCCGAGGGGCGGGGCGGGCCGACGCCGCGTGTCCCGCCGCAGCCGCGGAGTCCGGCTCCTAGATGGGGCCCGGCGCGTAGAGGTGCCTCCCGCTCGTTGCCGCGTCCTACCCGCACCGTGCGCGGCTCGAGCTGAGGACACCAACGGCCGCGACTCCCCGGCGAGACCAGGCCGGAGCGTGGACGGCGCGCGCGCCCCGCGAGGGAGGGCGCTGAGGCGCGCGCCGGAAGCGGGAGCGGGAGCGGGAGCGCGGCGGCGGCGGCGAAGGTGCGGGCGGCCGAGCGGGGGGCGGGGCTGCGGTGCCTGCAGAACCTTGGACAGAAGCTCCCTAGCTGCCGCCGCCGCCGCCGCCGCCGTCGCCGCCGCCGAGCGCGAGCCCAGCCGATCCCCGCCGAGCGCCCCCGAGCGCCGCCGAGCGCCGGGACCGCGGCGGCGGGGCCGCGGCGCGCATTGCGGAGGGCGCGGAGCGCAGGAGCTGCCGCCTGCCGGGTAAGCCTGCGCTGGGCGGCCGTCCTTGGCCCTGGGGAGCGGAGACCGGGGTCGCGCCCGTGCGGGGTGTCCAGGCGGGGGTCCTCGGCCGCCTCCGTCGGCGACCGGGCCCCTCCCGGCTGCGCCTGGGGACCGCAGCGGCGGCGGCGGGCGGGGGTGCTGCAGTGGAGGCGGCGAGGCTGCGTCGCGGGGGCGCGGGTAGGGCCCGGGACTGGGGCGGCGGGGTGCGCCGAGGCGCGGGGCGGAGGGGCGCAGGGGCGCAGGGGCGCGGCGCGGAGCCCAGCCTGGCGCTAAGAACCATCTTGTTTTCCAGGCAGATCCAAGGGGGCAGCACGCTTCCCGGGAGCGCCCCCGCCTCCTCTCCGGGGCCGCCGCAGGCTCGGTGAGCGGTTTTATCCCTCCGGCCGGCAGGCTGGGCGCGCAGGGGCGCGAGCCCCCGCCCGGCGCGCAGCAGCACCATGGGCACGGTGCTGTCCCTGTCTCCCAGCTACCGGAAGGCCACGCTGTTTGAGGATGGCGCGGCCACCGTGGGCCACTATACGGCCGTACAGAACAGCAAGAACGCCAAGGACAAGAACCTGAAGCGCCACTCCATCATCTCCGTGCTGCCTTGGAAGAGAATCGTGGCCGTGTCGGCCAAGAAGAAGAACTCCAAGAAGGTGCAGCCCAACAGCAGCTACCAGAACAACATCACGCACCTCAACAATGAGAACCTGAAGAAGTCGCTGTCGTGCGCCAACCTGTCCACATTCGCCCAGCCCCCACCGGCCCAGCCGCCTGCACCCCCGGCCAGCCAGCTCTCGGGTTCCCAGACCGGGGGCTCCTCCTCAGTCAAGAAAGCCCCTCACCCTGCCGTCACCTCCGCAGGGACGCCCAAACGGGTCATCGTCCAGGCGTCCACCAGTGAGCTGCTTCGCTGCCTGGGTGAGTTTCTCTGCCGCCGGTGCTACCGCCTGAAGCACCTGTCCCCCACGGACCCCGTGCTCTGGCTGCGCAGCGTGGACCGCTCGCTGCTTCTGCAGGGCTGGCAGGACCAGGGCTTCATCACGCCGGCCAACGTGGTCTTCCTCTACATGCTCTGCAGGGATGTTATCTCCTCCGAGGTGGGCTCGGATCACGAGCTCCAGGCCGTCCTGCTGACATGCCTGTACCTCTCCTACTCCTACATGGGCAACGAGATCTCCTACCCGCTCAAGCCCTTCCTGGTGGAGAGCTGCAAGGAGGCCTTTTGGGACCGTTGCCTCTCTGTCATCAACCTCATGAGCTCAAAGATGCTGCAGATAAATGCCGACCCACACTACTTCACACAGGTCTTCTCCGACCTGAAGAACGAGAGCGGCCAGGAGGACAAGAAGCGGCTCCTCCTAGGCCTGGATCGGTGAGCACTGTAGCCTGCGTCATGGCTCAAGGATTCAATGCATTTTTAAGAATTTATTATTAAATCAGTTTTGTGTACAGTATGTGTCTAGCAAAGCCACCAAGGGCCTCACCTTTCCCACAGTCTCTCCCTGGGGTTTTTTTCATCCCTGCCAAGAACTCTGGGCACTTTTGAACTCACGAGCCTTGCGCAAAACCCAGAAGATGTATTCAGAGCCACCCAGGCCACTGACCTCCCACTTTGGGGAACTCAAAGGACTGACCTGCCCCTGCCGCCTGTGCCCTTGCTGGGTCCAGGGTAGGCAAGGCTGCCGGCTGCACCCTGTATGGAGCTAGAGAGGGGCCTCTGGCTGCCTGGCCCAGGGAGGAATTGGGGTTTCTGGTTGGAGGCCCTTTTCTGGCTCCTGTGTGGAGTTATTCACTCTCCCAGAGGCTCCTGGAGCCAGCCACCCTAACTGAGCTGCCAGTGGGGTCGTGAGGCAAGATCCCCGCCACCCGGGGACATCTTCAATCTAGGCGAGGCGAAGCTGAGCGGGTCTAGTGGAAAGATTGTGTCTGGTCGTTTGACCACACACCGCCCTGATTTGCTGTTTTCTTTTTTTAGGGAGAAGGGCTTTTCTTTAGTGGAGAAATGGAACTCGCCCCCCTACCCCCTTGTCTGCTGCTCCCAGCCACGTTGGTGGTATTGGCCGATGAGCTGGTTTGACTCATTAATTTCTCTCAATTTGGGTCCCAGCTAAAGAGGTGGGGTGAAGCTGGGGACAGCTTTCCTGGGTGAGTTTTTCTTTTGAATAATGTAGTGCAGTCACCCTGTGGCAAATGCCAGGACAGCTGCAGGTGCCCATTAGCAACGCCTGCCTTCTGGGCAAGGTGAGGGATGCCATACCTTGAGACCAAGCCGGTGCCCACCTAAGGGCTAAGGCCTCTTGCTGGTGCACATGACATTTGTCCTGCAGAGCTGGGGGGAAGGCGATGTGGTGACCCCACCCCCACCCGTTAATTTAAAGCTGTTTCTAAACAGTTGAGTTTCTTCTAAAGAGGAAGCCTTGCCCAGCAAGGACCAGTGAGACAGCCGGATCTTGGAGACAATTACAAGACGGGGAGTGAGACTCCTGATTGCTCTGGAAGCCTGCTGATTTCTACAACTGATCATTTGCAGCTGCTGGTTTTGGTTTCCACCTTACCCTACTGGCTGTAAAAACACAAATGTGTACTTTATTGATTTTCTTTCTAATTCTCCCGCATTGGTGGCTTGGGACTTGGGAGAGGGAGCAAGCCTTCCTCCATGGCCCATCACTCGGCTGTGGAGAACAAAGACCAATGTGAAGACACTACAGAGGATTCTGTCTTCCAGGCCCAGTCCACTGGGGAGTGCTGGAATGGGGACCTGGGGTGGGGAGGCAGAGGGTCACTTTACATAGGATTAAGTTCGAGGTGGCTACCGATTTCAGCACATGCACTACTGAAATTTACACAAAAAGAAAGCTGTGAAATTGAAGTCCCAATTTAAGAGTCCTGAGGCAGAACCTGGTGGCTGGAGGCATTCCCAGAGGTGGGGAAGAGAGCCTGCCCGGCCGGAGAACATCTGCCTTGCTGCACCTGAGGCCCAGCAGAGCCGTTCCTGGGACTGTCAGATAATCGGTGCAGCGGTGGAAGGAGCCTGCGGCTGCTGGCACAGACTTCACACAGCACCTCCTCTCTGCTGGGTTTCCACACAGCCTGTCTTCAGATCCTGCTGCCGCGTGCGACCAGAGGTGGGAGGCCCCTGGTGGCATGGAAGAGGGAGGGTCAGTGCCAAGTCTCAGGAGGAGGGCGCATGTGTGTATCACCCTCAGCTGGCGGAACCTGGCTGCGAACTGTGCAGTTACGTTGCATCCACAGGATTCCAGTTGCGTGTCTGTTTCCTTCTCTTTCTCCGTATTTATTTTTTTATTCTTCGGAGGAGGTGGACATTTCGGAAGTGGTGGGGACTAAGGGAAGAACTCTCTAGTTCCCTCAGTGTGAAGCCTGTCGTGTTCTCTCCCCTTGCACTGGTCATCAGTATTGTGTAAAGGAACAACTGATATACTTGAGTGTGCAAGCAAAGAACCCATTTGCCATGCTGCTATGAAGACTACTTTTAGATCAACAATAAAAAAAAACCTACAAAAAAACCTTTATTCTTTAATTGTTGCTTTTACGGTGATATTGTGCATGCAAACCAGGAGCATTTTGTGTCTTAAGAAAAATAATCTTAGAACAGATGGCTGTGAAAATTACACCCATGCACAGAACAAGCCACAGGAATAATAGTTCAGGATTTGGTTTTTCTCTTTTTCTTGTAAACCTGGAGGGTTGATATATTCTTTCCATGCAGTTATTAGAACTTAGTTTTGTTCCAACAGTTAAACTTGCAATGAAAAGAAAATGTGCCATTTTTTTCACTCAGAATTATTCATAGCTGTATATTTGAAACTGCTAATTACACACGTGTGATGTATGTTGGTTTTTTAGTGCAATTTCTTCTGTAGCTATTCTTTGACCAAACTGTGGGTATTGTTAATATTAATTTATATTTGTCTCATTTTGTATGTATGTGTAGTGTGTTTGTGAGTATGTGTGGTTTATAATCTGACAAAGTCATGAAGCTCAGTTTGGCTGTAATTTAATTCCCCTTCCCTTATTTTTATTTATTTTTGTACTGTGCTGATTCAATAAAATGCACTGACCATCCATTACAGAGACCTCTTTTTGTGGGCAGGCTGGGGCCCCCTTTACTAAATGATTCATGCACTCAGAACATAATTGGATTTGTGTTATTGGGGAGGGGAGGACAGAGTTGGGGGCGAGGGCTTAACACACTAAGGTGATTAAGAAGGAAGCACAGGTTAAGTCAGCTTTGGTTTAGCGTCGGCCGAGGTGAGGGCAGCTGTTTCCCAAAGGCTCCCGTGGCAGAGCTGGGTGACTGGAACCTCCGGCCAAGGAGGGTCAGGCCCAAGCATGGCCTGGTGAGGTCTGGCCGGGTGGGTCCTGCAGGGGCTCTGGACCCTAGACTCCCTGTGTCGAGGTGTGACTCTGAAGCTGCTGCTCCCACGTATTCTTGGGCTTGGCTCTGCTCTGTGCTCCCTTCCCCCGGGGTCTCCCAGGCCAGCAGGGGTGGGCTGGCGTCCACATGGGCCAACCCTGCAGGTTTAGCTCCATGCGGGTTTCCAGGAGGGAGAAATCCAGCCCTGTGGCTCCCAGGGAAGCAGCCACTCCAGCCCATAATTGCGGCAAGGGTGGGGTTCCTACCAGCTCTATCTGTACCTGTCCTGACTGCCAGCCTGAGGCCTGCACGTGCCACCAGCGTCAGCCTCAGGAAGAGGGTTATGGGGATGCTGGATGTGGCCCTCCCCAGGCCCTGCACCCTGCGGTCTGAAGCTGCTCCTGAGTACTAGGAAAGTCTTTCTTGTCCTCAAGTTGTAGCTTGGGAGCTGTCAGCCTTGTGATCAAGGCCACTTGCTTTCCACAAAGCAACTGCCTTCGTCTGAGTTACAGAAGCCACCGCTGCGTGTTCTTTTCTGCCAATGACCAGTGACCGGAAGCACCCTGGCTGCAGGACCCTTGGGTGCTGGCCATGCCCTGTTGCTCCCTCAGGGCCTTGCTCCCTTCCCCAGGAGGAGCTGCTGCTTCCTCTCACTCTCCCTGCCGCCCCCACACTTCCTCCCAGCACCTTTCACTCCGCTGGCCTGGCCTGTCCCCAGTCTGCTGCTGTAGGTCTCTGAGCCTTTCCTTTCTACATACGTGCTTCTATTGCAGTAAACATATTCCCTGGCACTAAGCAGTGTGCTTCCAGCTGCCAGCGCACAGGCCTCAAGATGGCAGGAGAAAGTGCTGGGACTCAACCCCACGGCCTCCTTCCCTCCTCACACCTCCGGTCCACAGCTTGCTTCTTGCTCACTTTTTGTTCAAAAGCCTCAGGCAAATCATCCTCCATTTTACATGATTTGTGCTTAATTCTCCCTTCTATCCTCCCAGATAATGGTTGACTTTATTTAAGCAAAAATTTCACCAAGTTTTCAGTGACAGATAAGCAGAACACCTTTAAAAATAAGATTTAATGCTTTATTGCTCTTGATGGCAAATCAAAATATGCTTTAGAAATAAAGTTAATTTACTGGAAAATAGGAGTTTTTGCACCAAACCATAAAATTGCATTTCATTACATCAAGAGAACCCCCTCATTGTCTACAATCATGCCCGCTTCCTTTCCCCTCAGCGCCCGGGACACGTGACCGAGATCATACCCTAAATTCCTGATCCTTTTGCAGTTGCCACATACTGTGGCTTTTAGTACATCATAAAAAAGTGCTTGTCCTGTGGCCTCAGCTGGGAGGCCCTGGCGCTGGGGCTAAGGGGCCCAAGGCACCATCCAAAGGCTGGGAGGAAAGAACCCAAACCCAGGCCCTCCTCCTGCCCTCCAGCCTTTGACAGGCAACTCATTTGGCATGATCTGTTTTGGTGTGTTTAAAACATACATTTGCATGTGTCTAGTGTAAAGCAACAAGTTTGAGGAAATAAGTGGAAGGAGAGAGGAAGTTCCAGTTAGATGGTTCCACTAGTGTCTACTGGTAATTGGCAAAACTATGAGTGTTGCTAATCTGGGCTGAGGGCACCTCTGCCTGTGCAGGCAGCTGACCAGGCTTGGAGAATGAGAAAGGGTTCCCAAGGACAGGATGCCAGCGGGATTCTTTGTTGCAAACTGCACACAGTGCAATTTTTGGGAAGCAGGGATGGGGAGTGGGCATGAGACCGGGTTGTTGGGACCACTCTGGGGTCAGGCCCTGGGTGAGGCACAGGAGGCTGCACACAGGCACTTGGTGGGTTCTGCCGGGTCAGGGTGGGAAGGCAGGAGAAGTGTCTGTGGCAGGACGGGAAGAAGCTTCAGTACATCCCTCTCTTGCACCTCTGCCCACTCCACCTGAGGCGTTGGCTCCCTCCCCCTCATCCTCTCACCACATGCCTGAGGCGTAGGCTCCCCTCATCCTCTCACCGCATGGGGCATTTGCTCCCAGCCTCTACTTCCCTCAAGGCCTTCTCAGCAGCTGGGGCTCAGTGGGGAAGGTGGTCTCAGAAGGCCCCTGAAGCATACGTGCTTTTGCTGGGCAGAAACTGGCAAGCTGGCAGTGCTCCCTGGCACCAGTTTCACGGGCGCAGGCCCCAAGGGGCCGTGTAGAGGGCGGGGTGGGCATCCTGGCCTGGCCTGCAGTGCCAGGACCCCACGCTGTGCTGCTGCCCCGCTTCCTGCTTCCCGTCATCCCGTGTCTTGACCCCGCCCTTGCTGTTTCTCTGAGTAGGAAACGCAGCGGGAGGTGGTCCAGAGGGAAAGCGGCCGACCCTGAGGGCTGCCCTCACCCTGGCAGCTCCCCGTTCTCATTAGGGTTCCTGACCCAAGTGTGGTGACAGCAGGTATCTGATTAGCAACCCTGCAAACGGTGAAAGTATCTATAAGAGGACCACAGCCACAGGCTGCGAGTTAAGTAAGATGATCCTTGGAGCATGCCACACTGTCCTCTCCAGAGCGGTGGTCAGAGGCCCTGGTGGGGGCCTTGGTGGCAAAGGGAGTCTCCCAGGGGAGAACCTGGGAAGGATGGACTCACTCTGCTGGATGGGCTGTTCCGCTCCTGCCACTGGCTCCTGGCTGAGGGGCTGGCCCTGTGGGTGACTCTGCTCACCCAGTGGCTTTGGCTGGCGGCTGGGAGTTGGGTTGGGGTGGGTCCGCCGAACTCTGAGCAGAGCCTCCCTGAGCTGGGTCCCCAGGGCTGGCTCACCTTGGGCAAGAGAGGTGGCTATGGGGCTCCCGCAGAGTGGGGTCCTGCATCCCCACCCCTTCCCTCTGCAGGGTCAGCAGCAGGGAGGACACCTGTCCAGGTGCTCTGACTTGACCTGGCCACGGGGCATCCGCACCAACTAAAGGCACCATCCAGTTGCCTCTGGGGTGAGATTGGTCTGGACGTCAGCCCAGGGGTCTGGGCGGGGCACCAGGGTCTTTGGCTTATTGAACAGGGACCGTGGACAGTAAGGACAGAGGAAGATGATACCAAAGGCAGAAAACCAGGAAGGAAATCTTACAGGGGCGGGGCTCCTCTGGGAGGGGCCCTCGCAGCAGGTTTCTAGCGGGCATGGGTTGGGAGGCAGCAGCTGGACTGGGACCCAGGACTCGGAGTGTGGCCGGGCTCCGGGCCAGGCCTCCGCGGGGCGTCAGTTCCCGGGCACGCTGAGGATGAAGCCCGAGCGATTCTTGGTGAAGTCGGGCTGGGGCTGGTTGAGCCGCGTCTCCACGGAGACGGTGCACTTCTTCCCGTGCAGGCTGCACTGTACTGGGTTGGTGACGTTCACTTGAAGGTGGCGCTTCTCACTGCAGGAACCAAAAACACCAGACGGGCAGTTAGCAGGCAGCATGAGAACAGGGCACCTGCCCGGCAGCTCCCGGCCACCATTGGCTCCGGCGCAGCCTGCTTCCTCCACAAGTGCCAGGAGGATGCCTGAAGGGCCCCAGAGAGGCCGAGGCAAGGCGAGTGTGGCACTAGCTGGGCCTCCAACCACAGCCTCGGCACCATGGCAGGGCCCTTGGCTCCCATGCCAGCGCATGGGACTGGACAGTGGAGGGCCATGTGGTTGAACAGACGCCACCAGGTCTCTGGCTGGGGCTGAGGACCAAGCCCCTGGGTCCTTCGGTGTACCAGGGCTGGGGTTCTGACTCTGACACTAATCCATCCTGCGGGAGACCCGTGCCACATGCCCCAGTGAGAGAGAGAGAGAGAGATGTCTCCTGCTCCTGGCTGGTCCCTGCCTGTCACACCCCGGCTGGTGGAAGTGGGCCTGACTTGGGTTTCCCCAAGCGAGAGGCTGCTCTCATCTGGAGCTGGGCCGCTTGGCTGGTTGCCACCCTGGAGGCTGCAGAACAGTGCAGCCGGTGCCCCACCGGGGGCTGCAGGGAACCCTGTGCAGCAGGAAGCCCCGCTGGCCTGGGAGCACATGAAGGCGGCTTCAGCCGGGCGTCCGGCCGGGCTCCAGGTCGGGTGCAGAGGCGGAAGCTGTGCTCTTCCTGCTGGACAGAGCCCGAGCCCGAGCCCTTCCTCCAGCTCCTCACACGACGCTGAACATGCTAAGAAGCTGCTGCTGGTTTTAAAAGCAGAGACACTTGTCGCGATAGGCTGGCACCCCAATGTTTGCTCACACAGGCAGCACAATCCCACGCTGTACCTCAGCTTGTGCCTTGTCAGCTCTGAGCTGGGAGGGGAGAGGAGAAAGGAGGAAGCCTCCTGACCTCGGAGCCTCCAGTCAGGACTGGCTGGCTCTGCTCCGTATGCCGAAAGCCCTGGGAATTTTTCACTGCTCTCGGGATGGCGTCTGGGGCGTGGGCAGGTTGGTCCCGCTTTGAACGCTCTGCTGGACTTACGGAGCTGCTCTTAGTGCTGGGCAGTGAACGCCAAGCTGTCGTGTCCACACGGCCAGGGGAACGCCAGGGCCAAGGCCAGCATGCGCTGAGCTTCTGCCCAGCCTGGAGTCGCCTTCACCAGGCCATGAGCACGTGAGGCACTTTCTAAGCACTGGTTGCCCGGGAGGCGCAACTGCTCAGACGCCGAGGCAGCTCAAAGGGCTCCGACGTGCGGTGGCTCCACGGGGTCAGCGTGCCCAGAGTAATGGGTGTCACTAGAGCACCTGGCCCAGCACACGCTTTCTGAGGACACCTGGTGGGCGCGCCCCACAGCAGGCCCCAAAGTTTCAGAGGTAAGTGCGGGGTGCTCAGGGGCTCTCCTCATGGCTGTCTCCCCCCTGCTTTCTCACGGACACAGGAAGAGACCCCGGTTGTCACTTGTGGGCATTACGTATCTAATACTTAATGTCTTGTCAGCTGCAGCTAAAACCTGAGCTTAGACAGCTATTTTTAACCAGACTTGGACATAAAAATAGCAGAGCCCAGCAGAGGCCGTGACTCAGGCCCTCTTCTACTCTTGTGGGCACCAGGGCCGCTCTGCAGGGCTCATGTGCAGCCCTTGGCGGCGGGGTCCAGGTGGGGCCCCTGCAGCCCTCGTGCTGGACCAGATGCCTCCAGGACCAGGCTGGTCCCTGAGCTGGGGTGGCCTCCCTGCCTCCCCTCTGTCAACCTGGTATGGCGTTGGGTCCCTCTCACTGGACTCTTGTCCTCTGGGAGCCTCCCTCCTGACCCTGGCAGCGGCCTCCCCCTGCTCGCCCTCCTGGAGGGCCTGTGCCCTTCCCTGTGCAGGGAGTCCAGACTCTGCCCTCGCCCTTCCCTGGGGAACTGCATGTACACAGTGGGTTCCAGAATCACCTGGTGACTCAGTCTGAGGGAATGGGCTCTAAACAGGCCACGCTCCACGTCAGCTCAAAAAAATTAAGAGACAGAAAATGGGAACCATTAGTTCACCCTCACCCTCTCGTGTTCAGACAATCGGGGCATGCTCCTCCGTGCAGGGCTCTCCTGACTCCCGCTCAGCAGGGTGGCCCCTGCCTCCACCCTCCCTGCTTCCTCTGGGCTCCGTGTATCTCCAGGATATGCTCTACAGCCTTGATGCCGGGGTTCGGGCTGGTGGGAAAATGGGGAGGAGCAAATGACTGCTATAAAATGGCACGGGTGCAGTGGCTCATGCTTGTAATCCCAATACTCTGGGAGGCAGAGGAGGGAGGATCAATTGAGGCCAGGAGTTCAAGACCAGCCTGGGCAACATAGCCTATAGCCCAGGAGCCCATCGCTCCTCTCTACAAAAAATAAAAAAACAAACCAATGAGCCTGGTGTGGTGGCCTGTGCTTGTAATCCTAGTTCCCTGGGAGGCTGAGGCAGGAGGATCGCCTGAGCCCGGGAATTCAAGGCTGTGATGAGCTATGATGATGCCACTGCATTCCAGCCTGGGCAACAGAGTGAGACCTTGTCTCTAAATAAATAAATAAATCGGCACCCAGGATATCATCCTCAGGGAGTTGTTGTAGAATAAAAAATGCAGCAGGAACCACTGCTCCAGATTGCTGCTTCCCACACGGGCTGGGCTGAAACCTTTTCCTCCTGCCCTCTGTTGTCCCTGTCAGTAGGTCCTGTGGAGTACTTGCTGCCTGGGGGAGGCCCTTCCTCAGGGAGTGTCCAGCAGAGGGAAGAGCAGACCACGCTCTGGAAGGTCCAAGCCGATCATGCACGAGTCAACAGTGCTCCCACTGCCGGGCCAGCCCCTCTTCCCCACCCGAGGCCACCACTCTGCTGAAATGAAGGTTCTTGAATAGCAAGAAGGAAGGCAGAAGTTGGACACTGGATCCTTCTGGGTTGTGGATGTGGATGAGCTAGCTGTGGGCCCCTTTCCCTCTCCCTGTCCTACTTCTGCTGTGCCAGCCCCACAGCTGCTCAGTCCCCTCCCTGGTGGTGGGTACTGTCCCGGGACAGCCAGTTGGTCCTCTCCTTCCCGTTGGCAATTCTGGCTTTCCGGCATTCCACACCACCGGCCCAGCCCCTGGGGCTTGGCGGAGGCAGTGTTCCTGCTAGCTCTTCTCTTTGGGCGGAGGAGCCCCAGCACCGCAGGAGATGGGAGGCAGTGCAGAGACTCGCCTGAGTGCTGAGGGTGGCGGGGCCTGTCTCTGTCCCCTCTCGGGGACCTGTCCCTCTCCTGGACCACGGATATTGATCTGAGGCAAACATCTAATTCCCACTTCCCCAGAACATCCCCCAACTGAACAAAAATCAGTGACACTTCAGGAAAGAAAAGGTGGTATTTAGTGGCGGTCCCCACACTGCCCCTCCCAGGACTGTTTTCTAAGCCCACGTGAGATCTCTCCTGATCCCTTTGAGGTCTTAATACAAGAGCCGGGCCTACGGGTGGGAGAGTCTGGATTCTGTCCTGGCCTTGCCATGCTTCCTGGCTTCATGACCTTGTTCAAGTCACTTAAACCTCTGTCTGGCTTTTACAACCATCAAACCATCTACCCTCCAGGTGCTCCACAAGGACTGACTCCACCCCGGGCACTGTGTCGGCACTGGAAACATGAAACCCGAGCTGGGAGCCAGACAGGGGTTCTTCCTGAGAGCCTGGGAAGCCGCCTGCCCTCGTGGAATTTACGGTCTAAGGAGTGATGCACGTGAGGCACTTTGAAAGATGTGAAGGACTGTGTGTAAAACATGTGCCAATTTCTCGCTTCGCAGAAGGAATTTCCACTGCTTTCTCAGTTAAGTGTCAAGAACCTCCAAAAGAGATGGTTCAAGAGAGCTATATTATTGAATCAGATTATGTTCTTTACACATTTTAGCATAGCTCACAAAACCATATGAATGTTTCTGTTTTGAATATTCTCTTCCTAAATGTTTTACATCCTGTGGGGAGGGGCTTGGATTCTGATTCTGTGTTTAAATCCTACAAGCAGGCCGGGTGCGTAGCTCACACCTATAATCCCTGCACTTTGGGAGGCTGAGGCGGGCAGATCATGAGGTCAGGAGTTTGAGACCAGCCTGACCAACATAGTGAAACCCCGTCTCTATTGAAAATACGAAAATTAGCCGGGTGTGGTGGTGGGTGCCTGTAGTTCCAGCTACTCGGGAGGCTGAGGCAGGAGAATTGCTTGAACCAGAGAGTTGGAGATTGCAGTGCCGCTGCACTCCAGCCTGGGCAACAGAGCGAGACTCCCTCTCAAACAAAATAAAACAAAAAACATCCTACAAGTGTCAAGCATGGTGGTGCACACCTGTAGTCCCAGCTACTCTGGAGGCTGAGGTGGGAGGATCACTTGAGCCCAGTTCAAGACCAGCCTAGGCAACATAGTGAGACCCTGTCTCTAAAAATAAAATTAAAAAGGCGGCCGGGTGCAGTTGCTCACGCCTGTAATCCCAGCAATTTGGGAGGCAGAGGCAGGTGGATCATGAGGTCAGGAGATCGAGACCATCCTGGCCAACATGGTGAAACCCAGTCTCTACTAAAAATACAAAAATTAGCTGGGTGTGGTGGTGCATGCCTGTAATCCCAGCTACTCGGGAGGCTGAGGCAGGAGAATCGCTTGAACCTGGGAGGCTGAGGTTGCAGTGAGCCAAGATCATGCCACTGCACTCCAGCCTGGGTGACAGGGCAAGACTCTGTCTCCAAAAATAAAAAAATAAAAAAAAATAAACAAATAAAAATAAAAAGCCAAGTATGGTGGCTCACACCTGTAATCCCAGCACTTTGGGAGGCGGAAGCCGGCAGATTGCTTGAGCTCAGAGGTTCAAGACCAGCCTGGGCAACATGGTGAATTACTGTCTCTACAAAAAAAAAAATTAAAAAGTAGCTGGGTGTGGTGGCATGGGCCTGTAGTCCTAGCTACTTGGGAGACTGAGGTGGAAGAATCGCTGGAGCCTGGGAGGCGGAGGCTGCAGTGAGCCGAGACTGAGCCACCACACTCCAGCCTGAGTGACAGAGCAAGACCCCATCTTTGAAAAATAAAAAATAAAATAAAAATAAAAAATAAACAACCCTACAAGTTTAATGGAGCATTCACACCACATGTACTGGTCTCCACTTTCAGAATGCAAGGTCCTGGCGGGGAGGGGAGGCGTCTTACACAGCTGCATGCGTGGTGCTGCCCTGCACACAGGAGATGCTCCCAGGTGCTGATGGGCAACACTGGCTGGGCCACAGGTTCTGGACGTGCTGGGGCCGCGTAAGGCTGCAGGCCTCAGTCCATCTGCTGTGTAAATGGCTCTCTCCCAGTAACACAACTTCATCTGCTCACTTCATCAACTTCGCACACTCACTGCAGCCTCATGAATGAGGAAGACAATGGGCACAACTGGTCAAGAGCCTCCTGGGATGGAGACTCACCCAGTCCATGAAGTTCCTTCTAAACACAAAGTGGCCAGATACCTGTGAACCAGACCTGGGAAGGAGGTCTGCTCCTTAGCAGAGAGATACTCTGTTTTGCCGCCTTAAGTGACAGTTGCCTGGGTTACTACTTTTTTCCTTGGCACAGACCTGGGCAGCCCTGGCCTGCCTGACTCCCAGCCTGTTTGTGTGGTGCTGCTGTGACGTTTGGGCAGAAGAGGGGGTTGAGTGACTACGTGTGTTGAGCTCACCACCGAACAACAAGGGCAAGAAGAACCAGCCTTCTGCTCTGAAGTTCGGCTGAGCACTGCCCAGCTGACGCCATCTACACACTGCCATCAGCAGATAACGAAGTCAGAAAATGTGGATTGAGGGGCCAGGCGCAGTGGCTCACGCCGGTAATCCCAGCACTTTGGGAGGCCGAGGTGGGTGGATCATGAGGTCAGGAGATCGAGACCATCCTGGCCAACATGGTGAAACCCCATCTCTACTAGAAATACACAAAAAAATTAGCCGGGCATGGTGGTGGGCACCTGTAGTCCCAGCTACTCGGGAGGCTGAGGCAGGAGAATGGCGTGAACCTGGGAGGCGGAGCTTGTAGTGAGTCAAGATCGTGCCACTGCACTCCAGCATGGGTGACAGAGTGAGACTCCATCTCAAAAAAAAAAAAAAAGAAAATGTGGATTGAGGTTGGCGGCTCCTCAGAAAGTTAAACATTGAACTGCCATATCACCCAGCGATTCCACTCCTGGGTATATACCCAAAAGAACTGAGAACAGACAAAAGCTTATACATGAATGTTCATGGCAGCACTGTTTACCAAAGGTAGCAACAGCCTTGTGATGTGATGATGGTGATGATGATGATGATATGATGAGGTGTCATCCACAGTTCCTAGCTCGTATCTCCCATAACCATTGTTAGTCTTTTGTTATAACGTTGGGGTGCTTTAGGCCTCAGAAGCCTCAGAAGCAGCCCTCAGGAAACAAAATCTCTCTCGCTGACTTTCTCCTGCCCAAGTCAGTTCTCTAATCTGATTGTGAGCCCTAACACCCTCATTCCCGAGGGGGTCCTGCCCAACACCTTGGAGGAAGGAATGCTGCACAGAGAGGCCAGGAAAGATCTGAATGGACAGGCCTTGGTGGGTTTAGATCAGTCCCTTTTTGGCCAATCTCATTTCGACACAGTTGTCCATGCTTCAATCATGGACAGCCAATGGAGTCTCCATAAAAAACTCAAGAAGGATGGGTTTGGAGCTTCTGGAGAGCTGGACACATGGAGGCTGACGGGAAGGCGGAGAAGAATCCAGCACGTACCGGGAGGCATCCCAGTCCGCGAGGACAGACGAGCCTCTGCTTCTTGGGACCCTTCCACACCTTGCCCTGTCTGTCTCTTTATCTGCTGTTTATCTGCATCCTTTAGAATATCCTTCTTAATAAATTGGTAAATGTAAGGAAGTGTTTCCCTGAGTTCTGTGAGCAAATTAATTGAACCCAAAGAGGAGGTCCTGGGAACTCCAACTGGAAGCTGGTTGGTCAGAAGTTCCAGAGACCCTGACTTGCAACTGGTGTCTAGGGGTGGTGTGGGGGCTGGTCTGAGCCCTCAACCTGTGGGATCTGACACCATCTCCAGGTAGATGATGTCGGAATTGAATCGGAGGACACCCAGCTGGTGACCACTGGTAGGTGTGTGGCGAAAACCTCCATACCTTTGGTCACAGAAGTCTTCTTCTGTGTTGATGACTGTGGTGGTGGTGTGAGAGCAGAGGAAACAGTTTGATAGAGACTTTTCCTACATAAACCCAAATGTGCATCAGTGGATGAATGAATAAACAAAATGTGGTACATCCATTCAATGAAATATTATTGAGCAACAGAAAGGAATAAAGTATTAGCACATGTTACAACAAGATGAACCTTGAACCTTGAAACATGATGCTAAGTGAAAGGTGGCAGACAACAGGCTACATATTGTATAACTACATTTATATGAAATAGCCAGAAGAGGCAAAGCCACGGAGGCAGAAACCAGTTAGTGGCTGCCAAGGGCTGCGGGGAGTGGGGGCGTGGAGGGACTGCTTAGAGGGCATAGGGTCTCCTTTTGGGGTGATGAAAATATTCCGGAACTAGGTAGAGGTGATGGTCTTGTAACATTGTGAATGTACTAAATGTGACTAATAATATGTTTTATGTTATGTGTATTTTACCACAATAATTTTTTTTTAAAATGTGGATTGACCTAAATGAAAAATTAGAATTTGCCTTCAAACCATGTTTTCTCTCCTCATCTCAAGTTTAGCCAAAATAATTTTAAGACTAATAAGAGATTTCTTGTGCTGATCCTGGAGACAGAGCAGAGAAAGGCCTGGGCAGGAGACGGAGTAGACGCTTGGGGTCAGTGACTTCTTTCTTGTTTGAACTTCGCCACACTCTGGAAATCCAACTAGAGCCAGAATTCTTTCCTTATTTTTTAAAGAAAAGGAAACATCGTACAGATGGAGGCAGGGCGTCTCCCTCTGAGGGTGCGCCAAGCCAAAGGACAGCTGCCGAGGGAGGCTGGCTGCATTGGGGAGGGATATTTTTTTTCCCTCCCCATCCTCTGTTACAGGATTTAATGGCCAGCAAACTGTGGAATTCGGGGACTTTCATCTCGTTTCATCTGTTTCAAGCCATCATTGCAGGCAAATGGCCTTTATCAAATTACTTTCCTTCATTTTTCATTTAGACTCTTGTCTTCTGCTCTTAGAGAAACCCGTGAGTAAATGCAAGACTTGATCTATGGAATGAACAAACATGTTCCCTGTGCTACCTGTGCCTTCGCAGGCCCTGCACAAAGTGGGACAGGCCACTCCTGTCCAGAAGGTGAATCAGCCCAGAAAACATCCCCTCCCATCCAGGCCCCTGGTCAGCTGGGCAGTGCAGGGTTTTAGGTCAAAGCCAACCAGGAAAGCGGGTCCTGGGAGGTTGCAGGCAGCCCTGGCTCAGCTGGGATTAGGAGACTGTCATTCGCCGACCTGCCCTGCCCCTGCAGAAGCCAGGCAGGACTTGAAGAAATCAGTGAGTCACTTTTCCTCTCAATGGCATTCCCTGTGAGAGTGGGGGTGATCCAGGTTCTAACAAATGCACTTCAAGGGAAAATGCAGTGGAAGTGGGGTGCAGTGCAGTCACTTGGTGAGAACATTTTTCTGGGTGCAGCAAGGAGTGTCTGAGAATATTGTGAGGCTAATGCAATGTTCTCTCAAGTTTGGTAACAGGATGTGGTAGGAGGAACACAGCCTTGCACCAAGCAGAGACAGGTGCTTTTCAAAGTGATAGTAAATGCATTAAGTGCTTCATGAGAAACTCTAGAGTCACAGAGACAGGCCGTCCTCCATCTGGATGTCACTAGGACATAATGCATGCTCTCTGGCTCACACTGAGGACAACAGCTACTGACTGGAGCATCAGGAGCTCATGACTGCAGCTGTTTACTCTGTGTTTCAGTTCCTTCAAGAAGTAAATCCCCCTGCTGATGTCAAACCACACAGGGAATCTCTTTCAAAATCTTGCTTTAGGAAATGCCACTTCTGTTTATGTCAGGGTCGAATGGACACTTTTACCACAGTCACCTATAAGGTGAGGCTATGATTTCAGCAACCAGGCCAAGTCCAGGAGTGGTGGCGTGGTGCTTCCTGGCATACTGAGTCCTTTCTGGGTCTGCAGCTGGTGAGGAATGGGGCAAAACCATTTGTATTTGGAAAGTAAAACCTTTCTCTTGTCATGAACCAACTGGGTCATATCTGGGTGTTGTCGGCAGCCAGCATGCCCTGAGACCTCACCCAAGCCTGCTGTCTGCCTCTCCACAGCACTGAACTGACCTGGCTCCCAGGCCCGGGGGCGTGATCCACACTCACCCTGCTTGTGTCCCCAACAGGACTGCCACCACCCTCCCAGCCTGGGCTGCCCCTCCCCCATGGCACTCTCCTCATGCTGCCAACACCCATTCTTCCCTTCCCTGCCCACGTTCTCTTTGCAGTGACTCATGGAGCGCCCAGGGTGGAAGGGGCACTGTCCAGAGAAGGACAAATGCGGTGAGGATGACCCGGGCCCAAGCTCGTGGATGCTAGTGCTTTGTAGGAAGCACCTGCTGCATGGAGGAGGGTCACTGACCCTGGGTGGCTGGGGTGGGTGGGCTTCCCAGAGGAGGCGACACACAGACTGATACCGCAAGAATAAGTGGGACTCCTGCGGGAGCTGTTTTGGCTTTGCTTTCTCACTCCTTAAATACTGCTTCATCTTCGGCCCCTTTCATTTTATACATTATTTCACAGTGGCATCACTCATGCCTGTGGTTTCAATGACAATGATCCAGTCCGTGTCCCCTCTCTTAGCATGAGGTCCATGCATGTCTTTTCAGCCACTTCCTAGACAAATCCCCGGAATGCTCTGCAGACAGCTGAGTCTTCACATGGCCAATGCTGAGATCATCCTCTTGGCCCCCTCCCTCAAAGTGCTTCCCTCCTCCCATCAAGCCTATGCAGTGAGAGGTGTCGTCTGCACGGTCACTGAGGCCAGAGAGCTGGCAGGCAGCCCCGCTCCCGCTCCTTCTCCACTGCCGACAGTCTCTGAGTTCTACTGATTGCACTTTTTGTCTGTGTCCCCTGCCGAGGCCTCAGCCCAGACCCTTTTCTCTCCTTCCTGGTTACTGTCATAGCCCGGACTGGCTTCTCTGCCTTGGGTCTGCCCCAGCACAGGGGCAGACTGTGTGATGTCCTCCACACAGTCATCAGAGAGATCTTTTAAGGGCTCAAAAGACCCTGCGGCTCCCCTGCCAATAGCTCTGCCATCGTCCCCAGAGCTTTCGAGGACCCTCCACCATCGGCGCCAACCCCAGCTGAGCTGGGTGCTCGTCTGCAGGCCTCTGCTCCATCTCAGCCTGAGCATGAGGCTCTGCTGTGCTGCTTCCAGCAGCAGGGACAGGGCTGATGAGCCTGGCCCTTGCAAGCATCTTCCTGTGCCGAATACAATTCCACAGACAGAGGATTTAAAATCCAAGTGGAGGTGACAGGAAAGAAAGGAAAACCTCCAGGTATCAGAAGAAAGGAGGGGGTGTGAAGACAGTATGGGAGGAAGGTCAGGCTGGGGCTCAGCTCTGGGAAGTGCCAGCCTGAACAGGAGTCACGCCCGGGTCCACATGCAAGGGAATGAGGACCGAGGCCCTGCATGTGGCAGGGCCTTCCGCAGGCTGCCCCGTCTGTGAACAGGACACCAGAAGAAGTCTGCCTTCCAGCCTGGCAAAGTGGCAAGGAACCTCTGGGTGGGAAAACAAATCAACAAACAAATTGTCAGTAAAAAACAGAAACCTCACACTTTCCTTTCTCTTGACCTCTTGAAAAAAGCAAATCCACTGCAGCTCACCAAAGGCAAAGAGAAAACCTTAAGAATACCCAGAGAGAAAAGACACGTTACTTGCAAAAGAACATCTAATGCAGGGAGATAATGAAAATACAGACTCTTCAAAGGGCTGAAGGAAAAAAACCGTCCACCTAGAATTCTATCCCCAAACTGTCATCTGAGAGCAAGGGCAAAACAAACGCTTTCTCAGACAGGCTGGACGAGGTCGCTCACGCCTGTAATCCTAGCACTTTGGGAGGCCAAGGTGGGAGGACCGCTTTAAGCCAGAAGTTTGAGACCAGTGTGGGTAACATAATGAGACCCCATCTCTAAGAAAAAGAAATTAAATAAGACAAGACTTTTTCAGACAACAAGTGCTCTGAGAGCTGGCCTATCTTGGCTGTCTTGTAAAGAATTGCTGCGAGACACCTCATTAGGAAAGAGACTGAATCTAGAAGGAAAGAGCAGAGCATGAGGTACAATGAGGAGCAAATAAACAGGTCACCATATAAGCAAACCCAAATACACATTCACTATACGAAACAATAAAAATGACTCATTTGGGGGGTTAAAACACTGTTGAACTAAAATCCTGGATAACAGCAGCATGAAAGGTGGGGTGGTGGTCCCAGGAAAGCATTCAAAGGTCCATGTCTCATTTGGGAGGAGGGTAGGGAGACTCATGAACTTGAGGCTCCCTTCAGGCAAGCACAGTGCAAAAAAATTATAATAATGGGAAACAGATACAGTAGACTGTGATGTACAACTCTCAGAGCAGTAGAAGGGAGGGTATAAAACAAATCTGATCCATCAGATAGAAGGCAGGAAAGGGGAACAAAAGTAGCAAAGAAGAAACACGGGAACAAGAAGGCACAAACTAATAATGGAATAAATACATTTAAATATATAAATGAGCACAGTAAACCTAGATGTGCAAACCTCTGGCTAAAAGGGATTTCTCAGATTTAATTTAAAAATGCAGTTATATGCTACTTGTAACAGATGCCATTTAAATCATGATGACAGTTTAGGTAGGGAATATGATACATAAATCAAATACTAATCAAAAGAAAGCTGGGGAAAAGCATTGCTGGAGAAAAAGCTCATTAGAGACCGGGTGCAGTGGCTCATGCCTGTAATCCCAGCACTTTGGGAGGGTGAGGTGGGAGGGTCACTTGATCCCAGGAGTTTGAGGCTGTAATGGGCTATGATTGTGCCATTGCACTCCAGGCCAAGCAACAGAGTGAGACCCTGTCTCAGGAAAATTAAAAAAAAGTTCATTAGATAATTGTTTTGTTTATTTATTAAGGAACAGTTTACCAAGAAGATGCTCTCATACATATGATTTACAAAGATAAAATAACAAGTCCACAATCATAGTAAAAGTAAAAATAGGCTGGGTGTGGTAGCTCATTCCTATAATCCCAGCAATTTGGGAGGCTGAGGCAGATATGGACTGCTTGAGCCCAGAAGTTCAAGACCCACTTGGGTAGCAGAATGAGACCCTGTCTTTACAAAAAATAAAAAAAAAACTAGCCAGGTGTGGTGGCAGACGCCTATAGTTCCAGCTACTCGGGAGGCTGAGGTGGGAAGATTGTTTGAGCCTGGGAGGTTGAGGCTGCAGTGAGCTGTGATTGTGCCACTGCACTCCAATCTGGGTGACAGAGCGAGACCCTATCTCAAAAAAACTCCCCCAAAAACAAAAAACTTGGGTGTATGTGTGTGTATTCATTACATTCAACAATTAGAGAACACACATTCTTCTAAAGTACACACAGAACACATACTAGACCACAGAAGAAAGTTCAATAACAACCTGTGAATTAGCATCACATAGAAACCATCTTCTGTGTCTACAGTGCAGTAAAATTAGAAATCAAATAAAAGGAGAATAAAATAACAATATAACAATAGTACTATGGACTGAATTGTGTCCCCTCCAATTCCTTATATGGAAGACCTAGCCTTCAACACCACAGTATTGTGAGATCTGGGCTTTACAGAGGTCATTAAGGTTAAATGAGGTCATAGGAGCAGGGCCTTGATCTGACAGAAAGAAGAGAAACCAGGGTGCTTGCTTTCTCTCTCCCCACCACGTGAGGACTCAGAAAGAAGGTGGCAGTCTGCAACCCTTGAAGAGAGCCCTCACCAGAACCCAACCATGCTGGACTTTTTTTTTTTTTTTTTTTTTTGAGACGGAGTCTCGCTCTGTCGCCCAGGCTAGAGGGCAATGGCGCGATCTTGGCTCACTGCATCCTCTGCCTCCTGGGTTCAAGTGATTCTCCTGCCTCAGCCTCCTGAGTAGCTGGGATTACAGGCATGTGCCACCATGCCCAGGCAATTTTTGTATTTTTAGTACAGACGGGGTGTCATCATGTTGGCCAGGCTGGTCTTGAACTCCTGACCTCATAATCTGCCCGCCTTGGCCTCCCAAAGTGCTGGGATTCCAGGTGTGAGCCACTGCACCCAGCACCATGCTGGACTTTTATCTGGGACTTCTAGTCTCCAGAACTGTGAGAAAATACATTTCTGTTGTTCAAGCCACCCAGTCTATGGTATCTTTTTTTTTTGAGACAGAGTCTTGCTCTGTCACCCAGGCTGGAGTACAGTGGTGCCATCTCTGCTTACTGCAACCTCCGCTTCCCTGGTTCAAGCAATTCTCCTGCCTCAGACTGCCGAGTAGCTGGAATTAACAGGCGCACACCACCACGCCCAGCTAATTTTTGTATTTTTACTAGAGACGGAATTTTGGTATGTTGGCCAGGCTGCTCTTGAACTCATGACCTCCAGTGGTCCACCTGCCTTGGCCTCCCAAAGTACCAGGATTACAGGTGTGAGCCACCTCCCCTGGCCAGTCTATGGTATCTTGTTATGGCAGCCTGAGCAGACTAAGACAAATAGTCAAACAGTATACAGTGCTTACTAAGTGCCTTACAGATATCAATTCACGGACTTACTACAGCACGAGGTGAATTTCCTTTTCAGAAGAGGAAATGAGAAGGCCCAAAGAGCCTAAGGACCTGCCTGCCCGAAGTGATAGAGTAGAGGCAGGATTTGAACCCAGGCAATCCAGGCCATAGTCCAAGTCTTAACCTCTATGCATCCTGCCCCTAAAAAGCACATCATTAGCCGTGGTCCCTGTTTGCTGTGTGCTTCTGAGCAGAGTGATGAGCTGAGCACTTTCATGTCCCTATCAACAGCTCCTCGTGCAGTGTCTGATACAAAATAGGAGTTCCATAAATGTCTATAGAAAGAATGAATTTTTATAAAATGACATGATTAAGAAAGCAGCTGGGGCTAATGTCAACACAAGACATGTCTTCAACTGGGAGACATGAGGCTGGCCTCACCCATCTTCACAGCAGGGTTGTTAAGAAGTGAGGCAAGTGAGGCGGAGCCATCGGTGGGCTGGGGTTGAACACAAAGGGTCAGGTGGGGTACATGTCCCGGCCTGGTATCCTGCTCCGTGTAAGGGGCTGTTTATGTGTCAAGTGTGATGAAAACATATGAAGAGGCACTAGGGACACTCACTGTTCAAGGGGTGCCTTTTGGGAACTGAAGAACCCTCTTGCAAAGTGAGTCATTACCTTGCTTTGTAAACCCAAACATCCCTGTATTAGCTGCTGCCTCCCCACTGCTAATGAAGTTTTCAGTGAAATAAAAACATTTGGTAGGATGGAAAACATTTGGACTGATGGGCTTTGGAAGCACATATGCAAGGTTAGAGAAGCTCCGGGAATTGTATCGATAAACATGTTGCCATTTTTATGTCCTGAGGTTTAATGGAGACGAGCAGACACTGCACTGGCTCCATGCAGATTTCTCAGTAATAGCTTCAGAAATGTGGGCAGATATTTCTTTTTTTCTTTCTTTTTTTTTTTGAGACAGAGTCTTGCTCTGTCACCAGGCTGGAGTGCAGTGGTGCGATCGATTCCGGCTCACTGCAACCTCCGCCTCCCAGGTTCAGGCAATTCCCCTGCCTCAGCCTCCTGAGTAGCTGGGACTATAGGCGTGCGCCACCACACCCAGCTAATTTTTGTATTTTTAGTAGAGACGGGGTTTCACCATGTTGGCCAGGATGGTCTCGATCTCCTGACCTCATGATCTGCCCGCCTCGGCC
Source organism: Homo sapiens (assembly GCF_000001405.40). Taxonomy (NCBI): domain Eukaryota; kingdom Metazoa; phylum Chordata; class Mammalia; order Primates; family Hominidae; genus Homo; species Homo sapiens. The sequence goes on from NC_000017.11 coordinate 32,509,843, forward strand.
TCCCAAAGTATGTGGGCAGATATTTCTAGTGAAATATATGGGCCTGGAGCTCCTCAGCAGCATGCCTGCGGAGTTGTAAAGGGGTCTTAGATTGGGAGGAGAAGGTTGAAATTCACTGTCATCCATTTATTTATTAAGAATTTACTAGGCACTGTATTAAACATTTTACATACTTAATTTCATTTAATCCTTATCAAAGCTGTCATTATGGGGCACTGTCATTCTGTTCACTTTATAGATGAGGGTGCAGAAGCGTAGAAAGCTCAAGCAACTTCTTGCAGCTGGAAGGTGAGGCTAGGACCTGGCCCAGGGCAACTGTCTCCTCAACAGCATTTGCGCCTCCATTCCATTTAGTTTCCACCCTAAAATGCTGTTCTAGCTCTTGCGTGGAGCATAGCCTCTGCAGCATGGAATTCTTTAATACCAGGTGCTTCTGAGTCAGAGGAAAAGGCACTTTGAACCTCCTGTAACGATGCTGAGGTTTGGACATTCTGACCCAGCCCCTGACCCCCTCCCTGCACAGGCACTTTCACCACTTGTAAGTTTTTCTTGCTGGGCATAGCGCCTTTCACTCCTTGGCCTTTGTCTGGCCAGAAGACATTGATGTTTCCAGGCATAGATGATTCCAGGCTGCTAAAGAAAGAGGCACTCTCCTGGTGCTTGGAGAATTTGTATGCATTTTTTACTATTCTCCAGCACACATCTTTGTCTTGACTTTCCAGCTGCAGTCCCTGAGGAGTACTCCATGGAGACTCCTGGTTTCCGTTTTTGTCAACCAAAAGCTTCGTATGCTTTGTGCCTCAGCAGGCTTCCCCTGGCAAGGTGGGCCAGGCAGGGACTCGGTGCACTGGAGGTGGCCTGATGGCTCCCGGGAGAGGCCTGGCGACCCCTGCGTCGGTTCTCTCTTTTGCTTCCCCTCCACCAACATCAGACTTGGAGGTGTTGAGGAAGCTCCATTTTGCTTTGTCTATTTGGAATCTGTACTCTTTAAAGGCTGCATTCCTCTGACCCTGCCAAAATGCCCAAATTAATACTTTATGCCAGGCATAATGAAACCTTTCAAAACCAGAGTTAAAGAACAAAACTATACCCACAGCTCCCTCAAGTATGAGGGAAGAAAAAAAAAAAAAAAGAAACAGAATACCACCAAACCAAACCAAAGCCCCATCACAAAACAAATGAGACAGCAGTTGTGAGCAGAGGGCTGGGGCCACCTCAGTGGGACGCCTGGGCCAGCATCTGACCCTCAAGAGGGAAGTGGGCTCTGGAGCCTTGAGACCCTCCCACATCAATCAGAGGACATCTGTCCTTTCCTCCCCTTCTCTTCACGTCTCTTCCTTCTTCTACCTCCCCTACTCTCCTTAAACTTCTCTCGCTCACTCTGTTTTTTTTTTTGGAAACAGGGTCTTGCTGCTCTGTTGCTCAGGCTGGAGTGTTGTGGCATGATCATAGTTCACTGCAGCCTCAAACGCCCGAGCTCAAGCAATCCTTCCATTTCAGCCACCTGAGATGCTGGGACTACAGGTGTGTGCTACCATGCCTGGCTAATTTTTTAAATTTCCTGTAGAGATGGGGTCTCACTAGGTTGCCCAGCCTGGTCTTGCCCAGGCTGGTTTGGCCTCCCAAAGTGCTGAGATTACAGGCCAGAGCAACCATATCCAGCTCCCCCCGCGAACTTCTCATCTCTTGATGCTCTTGCTCTAATGTCTGTAGGGCTTTATTTTACATGTTTGAAAGAGGTTTTCGCCTTTGCTGTATTGAACTTTTTTTTTTTTTTGGACATCTTTGCTATTTCCTGCTTATATTTCTGTTCTCCTCTCTTGACACTTCTATTAACAGCATTTCCAAAGTTAGCACCATCTGTGAACACCAATGTTTATTTTCTATTCACATCATTAATGAAGGTGCTAAATAAGACTGGACTGAACATGCACCAGCACCCACACCTTCCTCTGAACAGACGATTTTTAGTGGTTTGTCGGGAACGCCATTATATATTTGCTTATTCAGCTCACCATTATCAAGAAGCATTTAAATTTATATTTGTGTGTAGCTGTGGGTCACTGGATAGAGGAGTTAACAGGATCCCAGTCCCTGCCACCTGAGAATCGAACATTGAAAGCACTTAGCACCTACACACAAACACACTGGGGACATATATATTAAAAAGAGAGCTGGCTGGGTGTGGCAGCTCATGTCTGTAATCCCAGCACTTTGGGAGGCCGAGGTGGGCGGATCACCTGAGGTCAGGTGTTCGAGACCAGACGGACCAACATGGTGAAACCCCATCTCTACTAAAAATACAAAATTAGCCAGGTGTGGTGGTGCATGCCTGTAATCCCAGCTACTTGGGAGGCTGAGGCAGGCGAATCACTTGAACCCAGGAGGCAGAGGTTGCAGTGAGCAGAGATGGCGCCACTGCCTTCCAGCCTGGGCGACAAGAGTGAAACTCTTATCTCATAAAAAAAAAAAAAAGAGCCATCATGAAACATCTGCATCTTCTGGGATGCAAGATAAATAATAAAAAGGCCTCAGTTCTCAAAAAAGCTCAGAGCCTGGGGAAGGAGGCTTCCTGAGCTACTGTATCAGGTGCAACAGAGTCAGCATCACAGAAGGTCTAGAGGGCACTAAGCAGGCCCAGGGTGGAGGGAGGTGCCCAGGACTTCTGCCTGCTCCCTGCAAGGGTGTGGCCTCTTAGGCTGTGTCCTGGCTTTGCGTGGCTTTGCTATGCACATGCATCACTGGAATAAACTAGGCTCTCAGCACTGGGTCCACAGCATGTCAGGATTTCTCATCCTCGTGCTACTCCCCACAGATAGGGATGAAGACAGAGCCACTGAACAGGGTGCCAAGGGAGACAGCCTGGTGTACCAGGGCTGAAGGTGACTCACCTGCTCAGCCAGTGTCTCTCCTTCCTTTAATAACGTCCCTCAAGCTCTACCTGTCCTTTCTCCCTGAAGCCTAACTGGGCTTCTCCAGCCACAGTGGTCTCCAAGACCCTACAGACAAGAAGGCGATGAGCTGCCCTTTGGAGGATGAGGAGGACTTGACAATGAGTTCAAGATGAGTGGGGGCTACATTTCAGGCACCTTGAAGCCTGGCCACACCCAGCCAAGGATTCTTGAAGACAGAAAATAGATAATACTTTGTTTTCTTCAGTGTGCTTACCACTAACTGAAATTGACTTGTTTGATACTTAGTTGGTTAACTGTCCGTCTCCTATAGCTTCTATCCCCTGCCCAAAGGTAAGCTCCATGGGAAGGGGGACCTTGTCTGTATCCCCCGTACCTAAAAGAGGGTGTGGTATACAGTAGGTGCTTAATAAAGAGCCAATACATGAAATTGATAGAGATAAACTAGGAGGTATGGCAGATAGACTGTTGACTGATGGGGGCATTTTGAGGTAGGATGACCAATTAGGAAACTGTAAGTCAAGGCAGAAAGAGCTGTGATCATGAGAGGGCAAGAGTGGGGTCCCGCTGGAGAGACGCTTAGGAGTGAGAACGTGGCGACTGGCTGAATGTGGGTGATAAGAGGGAGACTCTACCATGTCTTCAGGTTTTGAGCTCATGTGATGGAGAAGGAGGTGGAAAGAGAGAATGAGTTTGTTTTTTGGACAGTGTTGAGTTTGACTTCCTCTGGAAAAGGATGCAAAGGGTTTCACTATATACCATGTAGACCCAGGAGTACACAGGGCTCAGTGCTCTCTCTCCCTTAAAGGAATAGATGTAATCCAGCAAGGTAGATCATATGTCAAAACAGTTTATCATGTATCAAAATTGTTTCACAAAACCTATTTTTGTAAGAAAATTCTATTATAAAATCAGCACTTACAATATTACAGTGATGCTGTGCTATATTAAGTGACAGCAAATAAAGTCTAGAATTTGAAAATTTAGAGTTGAAATGGTAAGCCTGCCCGCACAGCTGTGTCTCAGCAACCTGGCTGTCATTCTCACCCACCCCAAACGCCTTAAGATTTCTTTCTTTCTTTTTTTTTTTTTTGTAGACAGGATCTTGCTCTGTTGCCCAGGCTGGAGTATAGGGTGTGAGCATGGCTCACTGCAGCCTTCTGGGACTACAGGCATACACCACCATGCTAATTAAAAAAATTTTTTTGGCCGGGCATGGTGGCTCATGTCTGTAATCCCAGCACTTTGGGAGGTTGAGGCGGGTAGATCATGAGGTCAGGAGTTCAAGACCAGCCTGGCCAAGATAGTGAAACTCCGTCTCTACTAAAAATACAAAAATTGGCCAGGCATAGTGGCATGTGCCTGTAATCCTAGTTACTCGGGAGGCTGAGGCAGGGAGCTGCTTAAATCCACAGGTAGAGATTGTAGTCAGCTGAGATTGTGCCACTGCACTCCAGCCTGGGCGACAGAGCAAGACTTTGTCTCAAAAAAAAAAAAAAAAAAAAAAAAAAAAAAAATCGTAGAGACAGGGTTTTCCTATGTTGCCCTGGCTGGTCTTGAACTCCTGGGCTCAAGCCATCCTTCCACACTGGCTTCCCGAAGTGCTGGGATTACAGGTGTAAGCCACCGCGGATGCCCAAGATTTCTATCTTTTTATTCAATGTTAGTCTTTTATTTAAAAAATATTTTTCACACTATTATTTCCAGCAATCTTTATCTGAAAATGTCCAAACTTTAAAAAACACTATTCTTAGAAGCAATAGTGCAAATTATAAAGGGGAAAGGAGGGAAAGTCTAATCCTTGCTTTGCAAATAGCAGGTCACACTCTCCAAAATCGTGGTGACCTATAAAAATTTGGAAACTAGTCAATGTCCAACAACAATGGGTAAATTATAGTTAGTTTGAATCACGATGAGGGGCTGTTAGTACATCACATTGCTTGCTGAGCTTGAAAAAAGGGATTTTTCTCAGATACTGATCGTTCTTTTAGAAGTTTAGTTATAACACATCCGGGAGTCAGACATTCCAGCTGGCAGCAGCAGCAGGAAAGAGATGCGGACAGGGGCCTTCCAGGTTCCCTGTATTTCTAGGAATGTTGCTTAATCAAAAGAGGAGACAATGGAGGCATAGTGGGAAGAATACAAGGTTTGGAATCAATAGTTTAGGGTTCAAATCTAGCTGTCTGGCTCTGGGCAGTTACTTAATCCTTTTAAACTCAGTTTCCTTAACTGGGATAATGAACAGGGATAATGTTCTTTTTTCTAGAGAGTTAAAGGAGAAAATATATGCACAGTGGCTAGTGCCATGCCTGGCATCGAGTAAGTGCCCCATTAATGTTTGTTAATGGAGTAAGCGCTTGAATGGAGGAGGCTGTTAGAGTGGAATGCTGGTTAGACGAATGAAACCAGGGCTGAAAGGACCTTTGCCCAGCCTCTCAAGGCCTCTGTCCCTGACCACGGATATTCCCCTAAGAAGCAACTATGCCACCTTCCAGGGCAAAAAGGCTTGTCGATTCCAGAAGGACTTTTTAACTTGTTATTCAGTATTTTTAAATTCCCTCCTCCTGTCTTTTCTTTGACATAGAGTCTCGCCCAGTCCCCCAGCCATGGCCTACTGCAGTCTTCACCTCCTGGTGAAGTCATCTTCCTGCCTTAGCCTCCTATATAGCTGGGACCACAAGTATGTGCCTCCATGCCCGGCTAATTTTTTGATTTTTTGTAGAGACAGGGTCTCGCTTTGTTGCCCAGGCTTGTCTTAAACTCCTAGGCTCAAGCAATCCTCTTGCCTCAGCCTCCCAAAGTGTTGGTATTACAGGTGTGAGCCACTGTGCCCAGCCTTAAATCCCATTTTTAAGGACAAAGGATAATGCTTTCTTCTTGGGGCTGACGACATAGTTCTTTTTGGATATTTTCCATCACACTGTCACTGAACCTTGCTCCCATCCAGGCAACTATAATCCACAGTGAAGAATATTTGATTAAGTAGCAGGTGGTGGGGGATTTTTGTTCTGAGGGGAATTCAAAGAAGTTAAAACAGAGGCAGCTATCTCATAAACCAAGCCCAGAACACGGAGATGAAAAGAAACAAATTGCCCACTTTCTACCACCTGTTTGAGAACAGAAAGATTTACACTCACTTATGTCAGCTAAAAAAATGTACCCTTGTCTCATTGCGGTAAAAGAGCCTCCACTGCTCAGATGCTTCTGATGGAAAGTCTACCCCCTGCTCCGATACACACTTTCATGCTGGTAATGACAGAGGCAAAGCAGGCCTTTCTATCAATATGTTCTGCACACTTCCTAGCAGCTTTGCTTTTTCTATTCTGCATTTGCTATTTTAAGCGAGTACATAATGCATCAATTTTCAGACTCTTACTCAATGCCATTGCTACAGAACTGAGAACTCAGTAATCTTGTCAGGCAGAGCAGAACAATATTCCAACAGATGAAACATTCCATGCAGCCTTATTTCCCTTTTCCTGGGATGGGGCATCTATTTCTGGCCTATAATGAGAGATGAACCAGTGGCCATGGTCCAGTGCCTCTTGCCCTGGAATCCCACATCACAGAAACCACTCACCATGCTGCTGCTGGTAGACACATGAAAGGCCCTGTGGGGGTCTCAAGTTCATTTGACTGCTCTCTTATTTTTTATTTTAAGTTCCCAGAAATGGGTTGTTTTGATCCAGGCTGGAGCTTGCTGGCTGGGAAAGTGTGGGTTCTCTCAGGCCACATTTCCCCTTTTCCTGCCTGCCATGAAGAGTCCCCATTTTCTCTGGAATCACCAATTGGATTTGAGAGCCCCAGAGGAACCTTTGTCTCCCTGCCCCCAGTCTCGTAGAAGATTTAAATGTGAAGTGTCTCCACATGGCTTCTTGCCAAATTTGGCTTGCCCTTGAGCGCAGACACACTTCCAATAGAAGGCCAATTGCATCTGATACCTCAGTGGGCAGTTTAGGCAAATTTCCCTGCTGTGTGTGTTTACAGCTTTAGTGGCTTCTAATACAGGCCTTATTTACTGCCTGCATTGTTACCTGGGAGAGAGAGAGCAGAATGGATCTGCTGCTACTTGCTACACCATTTGGCTTGTAAGTGGATTAAATAGACACATTTTCCCAAGATTTACTCCACATACCTGGCTGGTGTAAATGGGCTGGGCCACTTCCACCATCCTCTCCAGTTCCTGCTCCTTTTATCTTATATCCATTAACAATGGCACAACAAATTAGCGTGGGTGCATAGTGATTCCATTGGAAGGTGAACAATTCAATAAAAACGACACCACTGCTTTCTAAAGAACTAATTTATAGCATCGAAGGATTCAGCTATCCCAATGGGGACCTTGAATTACTGGCCCAACTTTATTGGCATGAAAACAATCAAACCAAATACATTCTTCCTCTGGAGCTGGAAGTCAGACACCCTGGGTAATATTTAGGTCACTGCTGCCCAGGCAAATCTGAAAAATGGTTTGTGCCCTGATTAGGCAGTTACACATTTGTTTTAAATGACTGTCACAGGATGGGATCCGGAGGCATTTTAAGGCAAAGAGAAGTCATATGAGCAGTACTGAAACAATCTGAAGTGGGCTGAAGCAAACAGCCTCTTTGTCTAGCCTCAAGTGTATCAGTGTCAGCTTTACAGCTGAAATGGAATCTTTGGGTTTGGTGAGTGTGTCCCCACTTCCTCTTGTCTGTCTCTGGGAGCCCATAGAGCAAAGATTCTCAACCTTGATTGCACGTTAAGCTTATGAAAAATACTGGCCCTAGCAGTGGTCAGGCTCCAACCCCAGAGACTCTGCTTCAATTGGTCTGCCTGTGGACCCCTGAATGTCGCGTTGTTAAAGCTCCCTGGGTGATTTTCCTGTGCACCACCGCTTTAAACCGTTTAAGCATCACCCTCCCTGGGAACGACCGGAAGAAGAGCTGGCCCCGCTTTGCTTCAGATAAATGCTCCAATTAGCTGCCTGGGAACTGGCCTAGCACATGATAGGATTCCCCTTACATACAATTTAATTGATTTATCACACTTTTTATTATGACAATTTTTAAACATATACTAGAAAGAAGAATTACAAGAATGATTTGGAACAACATTCTAGAAGTGCCTGTGAAGGAGCGGCTGAGCCCCCAAGGGTCACAGAGCTCAGAGGAGGATGTGGAGATGGGCACCCCTCCTGCCACCCCGGCTCTCCCTCTGGACAGCACCTGGCCCGCCACTCTGCCATCACCCTCTGGACAGCACCTGGCCCGCCACTCTGCCATCACCCTCTGGACAGCACCTGGCCCGCCACTCTGCCATCACCCTCTGGACAGCACCTGGCCTGCCACTCTGCCATCACCCTCTGGACAGCACCTGGCCTGCCACTCTGTCATCACCCTCTGGACAGCACCTGGTCCACCACTCCGCCATCACCCTCTTTCTTGTCCCCTTCTCATTTCTTTCGTCAACAAACATTGGCTAAAGCCTGTGTGTCAGCCCTTGTGGAACAGTGATGCATAAGCCAGGTCTTGCTCCTGCCCTCATGGAGCTCAGAGCCTGGTGTGGAAGACTCTTGTAAACATGAGTTGCACACTCATTACTGTTTATTCATAATTCTGCGAAGAGCTCTCGCGGTAAAAGTACAGACTGCAATGGAATCGTGACGGGAAACCTAATCTATCTTATTTACTCTCGGGGGAGTCAGTGAACACTTTCTTGAAGAAGTGATATTAAAAACATTTGATTTTAAAGAGTGAATAAGAAATGCACATGGTATGATATTCACAGGTCCCAAAGCATTTAGAGGGAAAGCGTGTTTCCTTCCACCCCTATCACCTGGCCTCGGTTTCCCTCCTCATGAGCAACCACAGTCCCACTTAGGGTGTATCAGTCAACACTAAGACTGGCACACACTAAGAGGGTATCGGCTAGAATATGAGCCAATCTGATGTTTGACGCCACTGCCACTAGAGCTGCTATGTTGCTCCAGGACAAAGAGGGTTCTGGGTTAGGGCCATTACTGTGGCCAAATCCCCAGCACTCTTCATCACCAGGTGACCGTGAATGCTAACAGCAGCACATTTTGCTCACAGAATCCCCTCCCCCCGAATAACGACTTCAACTCTCAGAGGTCCTGGAAATTCTGCTTTCGGCCTCGCAATGCCATCGAGCTGCAGAACTCGGCGGCCGACAGGTTCTCTGCGGCCCGGGTAGGGGATGTGCGCCCCGCCTCGCTGCAGGGAAGGCCGAGCAAGCCAGGCCAAGAGGGCACTGGACGTCGAGTCTCACCTCCTTTTCCTCCCGTCTCCTCCCTCTCACCAAGTGACACCGCTCCCTCTCAAACGGAAGGAAGGGGAAGAGGTCCGTGGGGAATCTCTTGGGTCCTTAAAGGGGGCGGCTGTCATGTCTCCTAGCTCTGCTATGCGCGGTACAGGCCGGCTAGAGGCCAGCGAGGCCGCCCAGGTGAGGGAAGCAAGTTCCTGTGCGGCGCTTCAGCCCGGCACCGCTTTTGGAAACACTGGTTTCATGCCAGGCACTGGGCAGGCCGGGTGGGGGTGGCGGCGAGGCCTGTCCTCGCGGCCCCGGGCACCTGCAGCGGGAGCGGAGCGCAGGAAGGGCGGCTGCCGGGGAATCCGGGGCGACAAAGGAAAGGCGGGAGGGGGAGGACGCAGGGAAGCAGGGAGGAGGGGAGGCGGAGGAGACAAAGGGAATCTGCACCCGCCGGGTGGGCTCTGGCGGCGGCGGCGGGGGCGGAGGCTGCGGCTTCGAGCGCGACGCGGTCGCCAAGGCAACGCCGGCCCCAGCGCCCGCGGCTGAAACGAAGCCGCTGCCCGAGCCCGAGCGCCAGCGCACACGCCCTCCTTGCAGCCCCCCGCAGCCCCGGCCGGCCGCGCTTCTCCGCCTCGCCGCCGACAGCCCCTCCCAGCCCGCCTGCCCGCCCTCCTTCCGGCTGTTTTTGTTTGTCTGTCTTTCCCGAGAAGGTGATGATTTGGGGCTTAGATCATCTGCTGGCATATTGATGAGCTCACTGCGTTGCTGAAAAGGAAGGGGATGGGGACTTGGGTCAGCTAAGGGTACAGGATCAATATAAGACAAAAACATTAAGAATATAAGACAAAAACATTGAACAATGGAGATGTGGGTAAACAGCAGGCTTTTTTTTTTTAAAAAAAAAAACCAGGGCGATGTCTTAGCCAGAAATAGTTAAGAAGGGAGGAGAAAGGGCTACCCCCGCAGCCATGTGAAATAGGATTAGTGGAAACCCTGAAGACTCAGGCCCACAGGAGCCATACTGCAGCAGTTTGCTTTACGTGACACTTTTCCTGCTCAGATTCCTGCTCCAGAAAAAGAAAATCAATCTGTGCACCTTTTTCTTTTTCTTATTCAAAGCCCAAACTCATGGTATCATCTCTTAAACTGTATTTCAGCACGAACAGGGAAAGGCTCATGAGACTGTACTCTGTGAGGGTGGAAACCGGTCTGAACCATCCCTGTAACTGCTGAGCCCCGGGACCTGCCGCACACTAGCTGAGGGTGATGGACCCTGCCGCTGTGCACAAAGTCCACACAGAGGACTTCCCGAGGTCAGCCTCCGGAAAGCAATAGCGACTGGGCCCAGAAACATCCTGTTAGCACGAATGCCTTGCTATGAAGTCACACAAAGAGCCAAGGGGTGTGGCTGGGGAGGTTTTGAAAACTCAGCGAATAGCAAAACGGGGGCAGGAACATAGGTCTTTTTATCCATCAGGCAAAGTCCCACCTTTATGACATATCTGTCCTGGGTCTGGAGCACCATGCTTTGTGAGATTATAATAGAGAGGCATGTCGATGAATAATAGGCGTGTGACAGGTTGGTGTGGGCTGGCAGGGAGCTGCCTCCCGACTGCCCTGCTCGCGCTGCTGTGGGGCTCCCCCGATACAGGTCATGGGTCTGACTGGAGTGCCATTTCCTAACCACTCTTCTGTTCATCTAGACATGATGCTACGTCCATCCTAAGAGTCATATGTGTTCTTTGGTTATCCTAGAAGCCACTGTGGTATCCCAGGGCCTTGACACAGCCACTGACAGAAAAATGATGAATAAAAATAATACGCGTGAACTGCTGTTATTCCTGCATTCCAGAATTCAAACTGCACCATATTCAAAGGTGACTGACAAAGTTCATCTTCTTTGCAGGCGGTATTGGGAATGGCAGGGGGTGGAAATCAATCAGGGAATGGTAGGACTCAGCTGCTGAGAACATAGGGCGGGGAATCGCGCCCCTTTGTTCAGCAAAATCTAGAGATAACACACAATGTTTCCATTGGCTTACCCAAAAGATCAGACCTCAGTTTGGAAGGTTAGAAGTCTAGAACTGGGCCTTGAGAAAAGATCCGACCTTGAGTTCAGCTTTAAGCAAGAACACATCTAAAATCTTCTGGCCAGCAGGCTGTCTACTGATTTCCTAAAGACCCCTCCCTCAGGGCCAGATGGCCTGCCTCCCTCCGCTGCCTACTCCAGTATTCTTCCATCCTGAACCATGACAACCAACCTACTCCTTAGAAACACACCTAAAATAGGGAAGAGAAGGCTCAAAAAACGCATATTGTCTCTCATAGCACTCATGAGTGCTATGATAGTGAAGAGTAAAGCAGTCTTTCTGTAGAGGCAGACTTCATGTGATGAAGGCCTGTAAATTCCCGCATAATCAGGAACAAACTGAAAAGAACAGTGAGGAGGTTAAGGAGGAATTTTCAGTTCCTCATACAAATTGCTCCTGTGTTTAGTAGCCATAGCGTCAAGGAATATTTAAATATAGATGCTAGTGAAATTCATGATCAATAATTTAAAATGTTTCGGGAAAACATTAATTTGCTGAGATGTGGGTGGTGAGTACTTCTTGGTCCATAGAACCCTAGCCAGCCAACCTGGATTAAATAAATAAATCTCAGGGCCAGGTGCGGTGGCGCACGCCCATAATCTCAGCACTTTGGGAGGCCAAGGCAGGCAGATCATGAAGTCAGGAGTTCAAGACCAGCCTGACTAACATGGTGAAAACTCTTCTCTACTAAAAATAAAAAAATTAGGCCAGGCGCGGTGGCTCACGCCTGTAATCCCCGCACTTTGGGAGGCCGAGGTGGGGGAATCATGAAGTCAGAAGTTCAAGACCAGCCTGGCCAAGATGGTGAAACCCTGTCTCTACCAAAAATACAAAAATTAGCCAGGTGCAGTGGCAGGCGCCTGTAATCCCAGCTACTCAGGAGGCTGAGGCAGGAGAATTGCTTGAACCCAGCGGGCAGAAGTTGCAGTGGGCTGAGATCATGCCATTGCACTCCAGCCTGGGCGACAGAGTGAGACTCTGTCTCAAAAAAAAAAAAAAAAAAAAAAAAAGCAAAACTCAGTTTCTCTGAAATATTCCAAATATTCAGGTCGAATAAAATTTACATATCCTCTAGGAGCAAATAATTAAAATTAATCAAGCAAAACATTAACTAAAAATGATAGAGGTATGAAATAAATTCTCTTCATGGATTATGACATAATTTGCTATCCCTGCTTCCATCTCACCACTAAAGGCCTGATGCTGTGGCCTAATGCTGAGTTGAAACCACAGAGTTCAGGGTTATAATGAAAGCCTTTTCACCAAAAATGGGTCCCCCATTGGTGGTCAGAATGAAAGAATTTTGTCCCAAACTACTCTAGTTTCTTGAAGGCCTTAAGTTCTAGCTGCTGACTTACAATGAGTTAAAGCATTATAGTGGCTGGAAGGGATGCATAGTGAACATATTAGGAAGACATGATGCACTGTTTCCTAAATAGACAGCAGAGTTCCCAGGGGATGAGGCACAGAGCACTGAGAGGTGATGCTAAGGTGGGGAGGGACTGGAGGAGGCTAGGATGGCCTGGCACAAAGCAGGAGGGTGAGCTAAGGGGCAGTATGAGGACCCTAATGACATGAAGAACACGGAAAAACGAGTGGGGTAGAGGAGTCACACAGCCAGCTTTTGCTCATTACCCACTGAGGAGGGCCAGTGCTGCCTGTGGACTCCATTAGGAGCATCATGTGGCTGTCAGGCTCCTCAGTCTTAGTGTCCCCCATGTCTTTTTTTTTTTTTTTTGAGATGGAGTCTCGCTCTGTCGCCCAGGCTGGAGTGCAGTGGTGCGATCTCGGCTCACTGCAAGCTCCGCCTCCTGGGTTCACGCCATTCTCCTGCCTCAGCCTCCCGAGTAGCTGGGACTACAGGTGCCTGCCACCATGCCCGGCTAGTTTTTTGTATTTTAGTAGAGACGGGGTTTCACCATGTTAGCCAGGATGGTCTCGATCTCCTGACCTTGTGATCTGCCCACCTTGGCCTCCCAAAGTGCTGGGATTACAGGCGTGAGCAACCACGCCTGGCCCCCCATGCCTCTTAGACAGCAGTGCAACTAACGCCACTGCCTTTGCCTGCCTACCACATGGGAGGAAAGAGGATCAGGTAGGACTCAGGGCTTGCCAGTGGACAGCAAGAGAAGGAAGGGAAAAGAGATGGGAAGGCAGGTGGGGGAGGGGAAAGAGAAGAAAGGTATTTAGCACAGGGGTGGGCTTTGGCTCTGACCCAACTTCCTTTTACAGACAAGAAACCAGGCCCAAAGAGGTTATGAATTGTCAAGAGCACTTAGGGGTGGAAGTGAAACTCTCACCTTGGGCTTCACATTTCCGATTCAGTGTTCATTCATCGAGTCCATGAGAGAAAAGGAAAGGGCAGAAGTGCGAAATGTCACGAATAGCGAAAGAGCATGATGCAAATGAGAAACAGAAAAGCTCTCCACAGGAGACTTAGAAGACTACAAAAATCATTCCATTCAGTCTCATGACAAAACAGTGCCCGAGGAGCTTTACAATCGAGTGCCAGTCCTAGCCTGGGCAACATGGAGAAACCCTATCTCTACAAAAGATTACCCAGGCATGGTGGTGTGCACTTATAGTCCCAGCTACTTAGGAGGCTGAGTCCCTGAGCCTGGGAAGTTGAGGCTGCAGTGAACGGTGATTGTACCACTGCACTCCAGCCTGGGCAACAGAAAAAGACCCTGTCTCAAAAAAAAAAAAAAAAAAAAAAGAGTGCCAACCCTGGAGTGAGAGTGGTCGGGGCAAATCCCATCTTCTCCCAACAACCAGTAAGCCGTGGGGCAAACTTCTTAACCTCTCCAAGCCTCAGTTTCCTCAGCCATGAAATGGGGATGACGATAGTATTATTTTCATACAGACTTTGTGAAGATCAAAAGATAATGATCCATGGCAAAGAGTTCTCTCAGCACAGTGCCTGGAGCACAGTGCCGTGCGTAATCAGCATGTGCTGCTGCTATTATGATTGCCACAGAGCTGCTACAACCAGGGTAAACTAGTTTTCTTACAAGAAAAATGGAATAAAAAAGTTGTTGGTGCTTTTCTATGTTTGGGAAAGCATATCTGTTTTCTCTGGGGCTGAATGAATATATGCATCGTTTTGAATTTCCCACAGTAAAAAAAGCATCATTTTGCTTTTGTCTTTGGTGGAGCATGCTTCCTTCCGACGTCAACTCACTCTTCCCTCTATTGGTGAGAAAGTCTCAGTCTCAGTCTTAGTTTCACAACTAAAACACTCTCTGCGCTAACAAGCTCAGGCGTAGGATGGAAAAAATGAACTTACATTTCATTACTTTTTCTTTTTTTTTCTTTGGACAGGGTCACGCTCTGTCACCCAGGCTGGAGTGCGGTGGCACCATCATAGCTCACTGCAGCCTCAAACTTCTGGGTTCAAGCAATCCTCCTGTGTCAGCCTCCAGAGTAGCTGGGACCACACAGGTGGGTGCCATCATGCCTGATTAATTCTTTTTTTTTTTTTTTTTTTGAGACAGTCTCGCTCTTTTGCTCAGGCTGGAGTGCAGTGGCATGATCTCGGCTCACTGCAACCTCCGCCTCTGGGTTCAAGCGATTCTCCTGCCTCAGCCTCCTGAGTAGCTGGGATTACAGGTGCCCACCACCATGCCTGGCTGATTTTTGTATTTTTAGTAGAGATGGGGTTTCACCATGTTGGTTAGGCTGGTCTTGAACTCCTGACCTTGTGATTCACCCACCTTGGCCTCCCAAAGTGCTGGGATTACAATCGTGAGCCACTGCGCCTGGCCTTGACTAATTCTTTTAATTTTTAGTAGAGATAAGGTCTCGCTATGTTGCCCAGGTTGGTCTTAAACTCCTGGGCTCAAGCAGTCCTCCTGCACTGGCCTCCCAAAGTGCTAGGATTATAGGCATGAGCCACCACACCTAGCCTACATCTCGTTACTTTTGTTTTCCTTAGGAAGTCAACTGTATTTGGATTATAGCTGAATTAGGAATTCTCAATCTGCAAGCATTCAGGGGCCAACATACTTTTCTTACCATCTGTCAAATGGGCACCGTTAGCTTCAATCATTCATAGGAGTGGGGAACTACAGGCTCCTGGTAGGATTTATTTGGCTGTCAGTTGATAGTCCTCTGACCACTGCTCCAACGGTTTCAAGACAAACCTCCCCTCTCTCCTTCCCCACGTGGATTTCTGTGGCTATCTCACTGAGAGACCTGATCCTGAAGAGTTTTACATTCCTGGCTATTTTAAGCCTCACTAACTGTTCAAATGAGGTCGCCACATGGCATGCAGCTGTGGGAAGCAGCTGCTGTGGTTTGATTTCTAGTCAGTATGTCTTGACATTTCTTATCAAGTGATTTCTAAAATTCCTTGGGTTTTTTTTTTTTCAGGTAATAACCAAGAACTTTTTTTTTTCTTGGGATATAATAAGGTGTGACATCAGAGTTGTGCATCTGATAACCTGCTCCTCGCTGGGGACAGTTCCAGAACCCTGCTAGACTTGATCTTAGCCAAAAGGCCGAGAAGCGATCAGAACCCTGCTAGAAAGGAACATTTATTTCAACTTTCAGGACCCAACTCTCTCTGCCCCAGAAATATCAGTTCTGGGGCCGAGAGACACTGCAGCGGCCCTCCCTGCAGTTTCTAATTGGAGCCCATCCTGGAGTCTCAGATGCCACAGAAGAAAGTAGAGAGAACTGGGCAGCTTGCTGGGCTCCCTGGCGCTACCTTCAGTGACAATAGCTAACATGGAGGAGAGGCAGGGTCACTCAGCCCGAGGAGAAACTGGACCTCCCAACTCCCCACCTACCTGCCCTTCTCGCTAGGTCATTCAGCTATTTGTCTCCTAGTTCACCCTCATACACCTGTTTGCCACGATGGTTTTGCCTTTAGGCTTTTGCACACGCTATTCCCCACCTGGAAGACTCTTGGTCTCTTTTCCAGATCAACTTCTATTTGTCATTTTTTCCTCAATATTGGCATCACTTTTAGGAGCCTTTCCGATCTTCCAAGAAAGGTTTAACTGCCCCTTTGACGTATATCCCCTATTAATGTACTTAACACATTGCATTGTAATCCCGTCTACTCATCTGGTTCCCCCACCAGATTGTAAACCCTGGGCAGGGTCTGGGTTCTGTTCACTGTTTTATCCCCACTTCTGGCTCAGCACATAATAGCTCCTCTGTAAATATCAGCTCTATATTGTTTCGAACTCAACAAGAACTCCCTCTCTTCCTTTCCCTCCAATATATTTCTTAGATTACATCAAATTATTTGCCCTTCAATAGCCTCTAAGTCTTCTATTTTAACGTATCAAATATCTATTCAAATAAAGTCCTTTGTCAGTTATGAGTTTGAAAAAATCTTCAAGTGTGCATATATGTATGAAAATGTGGCACTACAGACTCCTAGATGGTGTCTGTGCCTAAGATTAATACCTAAATACAAAGTGAACATCTTACCCGGATAACTGAAAGGAGCTAGAGACTCTTTATCTAGATCTTGGTACTTCCTCTTCATAAAGCCTTCTTTTTTTTTTTTTTGTGGGCTGGTAAGTATGGACCCCTATTTTCAAGGTATAGTTATTATTTTTTGAGACAGAATCTTGCTGTGTTGCCCAGGCTGGGGTGCAGGTGCACAATCATGGCTCACTGCAGCCCCGACCTCCTGAGCTCCAGCAGTTCTCCCGCTTCAGCTTCCCAAAGTGCTGGGACTAGAGGCGTGAGCTACCGTGCCCAGCCAAGGCATAGTTATTCTTGACAAGGAGGTAGAATAGGTTTCCAACCATGAAACATCTTCCATGGACCATCTGGAACTGTTTTTCATTTTCTTTCAAGAGAATCCTTCTTACAGTAGAGAGGAAGTTTACAGTTACATAAAATCTCCACTAACATTCCTCCTCCCCAGTCCCAACCTTCTGCCTAAGCAGATAGGAACTAACACCAAGAGCAGCAATTATCAGCCATCCCATACAGTGCTGCTTGGTTTCTCTACAAACACTTTTCGTAAGACCACAGTGGGGTCTTTCCCCGGCCCGCCATCACCAGTGAAGGGGGACAGCACATGCCTCTCGGAACTGCAAGGCAGGATTTGGCCTGGGATCCAACTTTCTGCTTTAAAAATGGCCACATGAACAAGGTCACCATCCAGAGAGGGGACTTCAGAAGAACAAGGAAGGCATGTGAAGCTGTGCCTGGCGCTGCCAAACCCACCCTGCATGCTGGCGAGAGGACTGGTTGATGGCAGCTAACCACAGTAAGGAGGAGTCCATGTGGCTGTCCAAGGAGTGTCCAGCCTGTTGAGGCACTGCCAGGCCCTGTGGACTGTAAGCCAAGGATGTGCTTTCTGTTCTCACTAACTTTAAATTCTAGAGATATCCTGACAGAGGGGCAGAAGCAAGACATTTCCTGCGCTTGTCAAAGCTACATAAAAGTAGCCAGGTTTGGTGGCTCACACCTATAATCCTAGCACTTTGGAAGGCTGAGATGGGAGGATCGCTTGAGCCCAGGAGTTTCAGACCGGCCTGGGCAACATAGTGAGACCCCGTCTATACTAAAAATAAGATAAAAAAAATAGCTGGGTATGGTGGTATGTGCCTGTAGTCCCAGCTACTCAGGAGGCTGAGGTGGGAGGACTGCTTAAGCCCAGGAGATCAAGTCTGTAGTGAGCTGTGACTGTGCTACTGCATTCCAGCCTGGGCAACAAAGAGAGACTCTATAAAAATAAAACAAAACAATAAAAGCTACATAAAAGCAAAACAACTTTTTTTTTTTTTTTTTTGAGGCAGAGTCTTGCTCTGTCGCCCAGGCTAGACTGCAGTGGCACGATCTTGGCTCATTGCAATCTCTGCCTCTCGGGTTCAAGCAATTCTCCTGCCTCAGCCTCCTGAGTAGCTGGAATTACAGGCGCCCGCCACCAGGCCTGGCTAATTTTTGTATTTTTCTTACAGACAGGGTTTCACCATGTTGGCCAGGCTGGTCTCGAACTCCTGACCTTGTGATCCACATACCTCAGCCTCCCAAAGTGCTGGGATTACAGGCGTGAGCCACTGCGCCCGGCTGACTTGATTCTTATGGTGGTAAAATTGGCCCATTTGGGTTCTACCCCACTTAAGGCTTGCCCTCTTCTGCCCCACTGGGCCAGTGGTTTTGGGGAAGAAGGTATCCAGTACCTTGATCAGAGGCGATGTCTAGCCTCCTCTGCCCTTTGGAGAGCTGGTAGCAAGGCACTGAGGAATTACTGCTTTGCAGGTGGGAGAGGGTGAGATGGGTAGGAAGTGCATGGCAGAGCTGGGAAGCTGGCTCCTCAGAACTGGGAAGTTGAAAGAAGCAGAGCCAGCTCTTGAGTAGAACTTAGGGGTGTGTATATGTGTGTGTGCGTATGTGTGTGTGTGTGTATGTGTGTCGGGGGAATTACTGGGAAGGGTAGTGTGTGATGCTGAATATGCCCTCCCACCCCCAAATATCCACATCCTAATCCCTGGAACCTGTGAATGTTACCGTACGTGGCAAAAAGGCCTGCAGATGGGATTATGTAAGGCTGCTGAGATGGGGAGATTATCCTGGATTATCCAGGTGGACCCTAGATACAATCACAAGTATTCTTTTAAAAGAGAGGCAGAGGGAGATCTGACACAGACAGGAGGAGGAGGAGGAGGCAGTGTGATCCTGGAGGCACAGATCAGGGTGAAGCAGTCACAAACCAAGGAGTGCCGGCAGCTCCCAGAGGCCGGAGGGGTGGAGGAGTGGATTCTCCCTGAGAGCCTCCAGAGGGAACAGGCCCTGCCCAACGCCCTCGTTCTGGCCCAGTGAAATGAATGTGGACTGCTGGCCTTAATAACTGTGAGAAAAAAACATGTCTGTGGTTTAAAGCCACCAAATCTGTGGTAATTTGTTACAGCGGCAATAGGAAACTGACATAGATCGGTAGATGGTGTCCTCGGATGAGACTTCTGGTTTACTTCCTGTAGGCATTAGATGGTGGGACTCCTAAGTGAGAAGAACAAGTGTTGCACATCATTACATGCAATGTGCAGGAGCAGTATCAAAATTCTGCATGTGCGCGTGCACACACACACACAGCCCAACCCACCCCTCACTTGGATCTGAATCTGTGTCTGTTGTTAACTAGCTTGTACTTCAACAGGGAGCTGTGAATTGAGCAGGAGGATCATGAGACAAGCTGCCCCAGGTAGTCTGGCAGGGTCTCAGAAGGCATCACAGAACATAGCAGAGGCTATAGCAGGAAGCAGGTGAGGTGTCCCTCCAGAGACGTGAGCTGCCTGGACAGAGAGGAGGGAAGAAACCCACCAGAAAAGGGGCGGGTGGGGAGGGCAGGACCTGTTTTGCAGTTGTAAGTTTCTCCCTTAAGAAGAATACAGAGTAAGGGATGCTAGACCCTTTTCTGTTTCATCTGAAAACACTTTCCACAGGGGTAAACTCTATAATCGTGTGTGTGTGTGTCTCTAATGCAGGGGCAATGAGCTGCTGGGTGTGCTTTGTGGATGTGGCCAGGATGGGCTCAGGGGGTGCTGCTTTCAGGTGGGTGAGACTCACATGGACATATGTGGGTGGGCAGGTGCCTTTTGCTTAAGGAATGGCATCAGGCCCAGGATGCTAATGTGTTTCTATGGGCTGTCTGAGAGAAGACAGGGAAGGGGCACAGGCGGTGAGAGATTTCCCGGATGAGACATGAACACTCCTCTCCACGATCATGGCTGCCTTCCAAGAGGCTCTCCAGGGACAGCGCTCCTCACCGTGGGGGAGGCCCCGTGCTGACTCCCAACGCGTAAACAAACACGGGGAGCCAGGCAGTCTTCCCACTGTACCTGGGCTCCACAACCTCAAAGGCTCCCAGCTGTATCTCCACTTGAACAATAGCGTTTTAAACTCCTTGGTTCATTACCAGTCTGCATCACCTATTCAGCATTCACAAGGTATACAGCACTAGAGGAGGTTTCGTGGAGCTCTGTGGTAAAAGTAGATGGCAGAGTCTCAGTTCTCCAGGGACAATGAGACAAATATAAATTAAAAAACATAGGTGACAGTTATCTAAGGCATGTGACACCAAGGACAGGCAAGGAGCCCGATCTGTGTTCATCGAGCCGCTCCATTACACTCTGTCTGTGGTCTTGGGAAAATCACAGAACCTCTCTAAGCCTTTTTGTCCATCTATAAAATAGGCTTAATACATTTAAAAATGGCTTAGAAGATTTTGAGAATTAAATGAGATAATGTACGTGAAAGCCCTTTAAAACTATAATAATTGCATCTCAACAAATGCTGTAATGTAGAACATAGGGAAATATTTTAAAATTACATGATGAGAAGAGAAAAAATTACAGACTAAGTGCTAGTCTAATTCCAAGAATATAATAATTTCATTGTGGTGCATCAGGACACTCTGGGACAAGAATGAAAGACATCATTCAAGACAAAAGAAAGGCTTAGTGCAGTAGCTCACGCCTGTAATCCCTGCACTTTGGGAGGCCGAGGTGGGAGGATCACTTGAGTCCAGGAGTTTGAGATCAGCCTGGGCTACATGGTGAAACCCCATCACTATATGAAATGCAAAAATCAGCCAGGTGTGGTGGTGCATGCCTGTAGTCCCAGCTACTTGGGAGGCTGAGGCGGGAGGATCTTTTGAGCCTAGGAGTTTGAGGTTGTAGTGAGCTATGATGATGCCACTGCACCCCAGCCTGGGCAACAGAGTGAGACCCTGTTGCTAAAAATAATTTTTTTTTTTTAATAAAAGAGTATCTCACCATTGAGTATAATTGACATTGGTTTCTGTCTGCTCCCTTCTTTTAGTTCTCTGTCCTCACTCCCTTTGGAGAACTGATCCTCCCTCACTGCAACTCACCATTGAGTATAATTGACATTGGTTTCTGTCTGCTCCCTTCTTTTAGTTCTCTGTCCTCACTCCCTTTGGAGAACTGATCCTCCCTCACTGCAACCCAGGGTGGTGCTGCCCAGCATAGGCCGACACTCCCCAGCCTTGAGGATGGGCATGTGATCTACCAATCCCAGGACCTGCTCCCTCTCCTCCATGCCTTGGCCTGGGTACAGGGCATGAGAACCAAATTGGGCCAATCAGAGACTTCCGTTGGGATTCATATATTTTGAAGTCAGATAGGCTTTCTCTTTCTTTCAGGATGCTAAGCTGACATAATGGAAGTCTGGAGCTGCCTGTGACCAAGGTTTCCCCTGTGTAGAAGCCTACTGTCGGAAAAAATGAGGCCAGCACACAGAGACTGAGAGGAGTGGAGAAAGAGAGCTGGGTTGGGAGGAGAAGAAAAGGATCTTGATGGTGATCACGTCCTTGGTTCTAGTGCTTAAAGTCCCCAGGGTCCTGCAACTCTCTGAGTTCCTTCTAGGACATTCAATTTTGGGATTAAATTGGTCACTTCATCAGAAAGAGTTCTGATTTATATAGTAAGCTTACTCTGCAATACCAAATAAAACTTGATGGAAGGCAAATAAGAATGTTGTTGGAAAAAGATTCTATAAAGGCCATTGCTTTTCCTGAAAAAATGGCATCAGCTCTGCATTCAGACATTAATCCCCAATTTTCTAAACCTGGCTCAAGGCATTAACCTTTTGTGTGCATCAAACAAAAATGGCCATGTGCATGCATAATGATGGATAGCGGAGAAGCATTCAGTGAAGGCTTGGCTAGATTATTCTAACACCTGAAAGCATGATCAGCATGGGGAAGTGCATTCAAAATATATACAGGCAATCATGCTGAAATGTAGAGAAAAGTGATTGGGACAACATTTAAGCTTCTAGAGTATTATGTGTCACTTTTTATGTTCAATATTGTTTGCTTACAGAGCAGGAAAATTTCATGTCTCAACACTAGTATCAGGAATCATACAATGGCACTCACTCTTAATGGCTACATCATCATCTGGCTGCAAACCACCATGACCAAGTAGCCAATCTGTTGGGAAGTGGCAGCTAATCCTTTGTGCTACAGGATAAGGACATTCTCAAGGTCCTGCACTGTGCCATCCCTGGCTCCAATGTGGCTGCTGAGAATTCAGCTGACAATTTCCAATTTAAGCGGTGAGAAGTCAGTTCTTTAAAACAAGTATCAGACCAAGGAAGGATAAAAACAGCCCCCTCTGTGAATTATTTTCTGATTTGCACCTTTCTTTTACCTTTCAACCAGAAATGATCTGCTTTCTTTTGAACTTCTACACAAGTTTATATCTGCCGCCTCAAGCAGGCTTACTCAATGACACCAATTCAGAAATTAAAATATTCTTTGTAGCAGAATAAACAGTGTAGTGTCAACGTCTCATGGTGACCCACGGCCTTAAAAGAGGTGCCCTTAGTCGGGCGAATATTAAAAGTAGAAGAAGGGGCCGGACACAGTGGCTCATGCCTGTAATCCCAGCACTTTGGGAGGCTGAGGTGGGTGGATCATGAGGTCAGGAGATCGAGACCATCCTGGCTAACAAGGTGAAACCCCGTCTCTACTAAAAATACAAAAAATTAGCCGGGCGTGGTGGCGGCGCCTGTAGTCCCAGCTACTCGGGAGGCTGAGGCAGGAGAATGGCGTGAACCTGGGAGGCGGAGCTTGGAGTAAGCCGAGATTGCCACTGCACTCCAGCCTGGGCGACAGAGTGAGACTCCGTCTCAAAAAAAAAAAAAAAAAAAACCAAACGAGTGCACGAGGCTGATATGCTCATTTTACCACAGCAGGGCTGAGGCCCTCCACTCCCATTGTTTGGTGCAAAACAACTCTATTTGGCTTTATCTACACTAAGGTTATTTTGTTTGGTGGTTACAAAATGAATGACAGCAGGTCCTCTTCAAGAAGTCAGACTTGATCATCCCATCTTACTTCCCTGGGTTTTTCAAATCATTGAATTCTGTCAATAGTTGGTTTTCTGCCAACTATTGAATAAGATCATGATGGCTTTATGACACTCTCTCACATGGCTTTCAAGGCACAGCGTGTTCTGGTCTTCCTACTCTTTTACCATTCCTTTTGTCTCCTCTACCCTCTTCTTCCATTCGCAGGACTTCTCTATATATTTTTTAGATCTATGGCAAAATGAAACTTTATTTTGTAAATTGATACTCAGGTAATTCCATATGCTGATAACTCCCAAATCTATACCTCTAGCCCATTTTAATTCCAAACCTTATATTCAGCTGCCTCTTAGATATTTGCCCTTGGATAAGAGACAGCTGGGTTCATGGCCACCCATCACCCAAGCCAGAAGCCTGAGGGCCCTCCATGATGTCACCTCCTTCCCACTCCACAGCAATCCATCACCAAATCCTGAAGATTTTACCTCCAAAACCTGTTTCAAACCCACCTTCTCTTCTTTCCTCCCTTACTACACTTCACTACTCAGACTCATCAGATCTCACCTGAAGCATTTTAACAGCTGCTGCCTGCCACCCACTCTTCAAGCTGCAACCAGAATGATCTTACTAAAGCACACGTCTCTAAGCCATAAATCTGATTTCCTGCTTGAAACTCTCTTTTAGCTCCTCAATTCTCTCACGAAAAAGACCAAGCTCCTCTGGGTGTCTCTGTGATCCGCTGACCTCTCCAGCTCCCAGGCCTCCTGCTCCTTCCCAGCTCTCCAGGCTCCAGCCCTACTCCACTGTTTTCAGTTCCACCATGTGCTGAGCTCTCTGCTCCCTCCTGGCTTTCATACTTGCTCTTCCATTGGATAACACACACTTTCTTCTTTGCCCGTACCCTATTTGAAGTTACCCTAAAAAAATATGAAGTGTTACAAATATTTATTATAAAGATGCTCATCATAGCATAAATTAAAATTAAAAATGGGAAATTATCAAAATGCCCAATAAACAAAAATTTTTAAATGACTGCATAAAGTTTTCTGTTAATAGGAAATTACTTGTAGTATATTAAATGAGAAAATCAACTTGTGAAACCTGCTTTCTATCATGACTTCATAGCTACTTAAATAGGATAGTAATAGTAATTTCTGCACGGCAAAATTATAGCTGACTTAAATTTTTTCTTTATAAAGTAATTTTTTAAAGTTTTCCAACATTTCCCCATCCATATGCAATAATTACTTTTATTACATTTTTAAAATTAATTAATTAATTTAGAGATGGGGTCTCTCTCTGTCACCAAGGCTGGAGTGCCGTGGTGTGATCATAGCTCACTGCAGCATTGAATTTCTGGGCTCAAGTGATTCTCCTGCCTCATCCTCCTGAGTATCTGGAACTACAGGCATGTGCCACCATACCCACCTAATTTTTTAATTTTTTATTTTTATAGAGATAAGGTCTTGCTATGTTGCCCAGGCTGGTCTTGAAGTCCTGGCCTCAAGTGATTCTCCCATCTCAGCTTCATAAAGTGTTGGGTTTACAGGTATGAGCCACTGCGCCCAGCTGGAAAAATATATTTTAAAAGAAGAACACCCCTAAGCAAGGTAATGAGGGCACATATAGACACACAGCAAAGATTCTATTTCTCAAGGAGGAATGTTTTATTTGGAAAGTTTAAATCCTTAATGGGTATGAGATCTAGAGGCTTATCAGTGAGTCCTATAATAATCTGTTGCAAAGGGCGAAGTACAAAAAACAGCTGAAGAGTGCGGCGGAAGCTTCTGCTGATGTTTCTCTGACAAATGCTGGGGCTAATATTAATTCCTTGTTTTTGGGATGTGTGCTTCCATTACTGAAGAAATCCCCCCCTTTTTCTCTTTACACCCCGTAGATGTGAGACCAGCTGGAGGGCCACAAGAAGGAATGGAATTGAGTGAGCGAAGTACAGTTAAATAAATCTTAAAAACCCCCAGCTGCTGTGCTTCAGTCAACAGGGAACAAGAGGTGCCATTTTAGTCAATCTGTGTGCCCAACTACGTATAGAGAATGGAAAGTTAACACACAAACGTTTTGTTCTTTAGAAAAATGAAAATCATTCGGCTAAGTCCATACAGATATATCTAGTGGCCAGTTGTGAGAAGTCAATCCTTGCAAAGTAATACAAGACATTTGGTGTGGACCTGAGAATATTAAATTTAAGGACAGTTTTCCACCAAATCAAGCATGTATGTTATTTCTATTAGAGGTTCTTTTTCAGTCTTAATTAAATTAAAAGTTTAATCTGTAAACCGTTAGAAGTGAATGGCATACTTTGGGAAAATGAGGCCAAACTTTTAGCTTATGTGAAAATATTTTAAAGCATAAAACTGAAAATGCAACATCTTTTGCTCACTTAAGTATAATTGCAGATTAAATTTTCACTTTATGACCTAGTACATAGCACTTGCAACGTAAACCATGTAATAATAATTAAAAACACACTTTTTGAAACATAGGCTTCAATCTCTTTGAAGAGAGATTCAATACATTTGAAGAGAGAAACAATACATTGTACTTGTGGCCGGGCGCGGTGGCTCACGCCTATAATCCCAGCACTTTGGGAGGCCAAGGTGGACGGATCACAAGGTCAGGAGTTCAAGACCAGCCTGGCCAACATGGTGAAACCCCATCTCTACTAAAAACACACACAAAAAATTAGCTGGGTGTGGTGGTGGGCACCTGTAATCCCAGCTACTCAGGAGGCTGAGGCAGGAGAATCGCTTGAACCCAGGAAGCGGAGCTTGCAGTGAGCCAAGATTGTGCCACTGCACTCCAGTCTGGGGGACAGAGCAAGACTCCATCTCAACAAAACAAAACAAAACAAAACAAAAATCGTACTTATAGAATATTTATACAAAACTCAATAGCGTTTAGATAATATCTTTGAGGATCTCAGGGTGTTTTACCTGCAGAAATAAGACTGTAGTAACTTGAGGGAGAAGGGCAAATTTCTTTTTTAAGCTTAACTCTATTCCTGCAGAGAGTGTTTGTACTCAAAGCCATGAGAGGCAGCGCATAGCTGCAGACTGGAAGAGTGCAGACAGACAAGAGTTATGGGTCTCCCAGGATACAGACTCTTTTTTTTGTTTTTTGTTTTTCTTTTTGAGATGGAGTCTTGCTCTGTTGCCCAGGCTGGAGTGCAGTGATATGATCTTGGCTCACTGCAACCTCCGCCTCCTGGGTTCAAGAGATTCTCCTGCCTCAGCCTCCCGGAGTAGCTGGGATTTACAGGTGCAAGCCATCACACCTGGCTAATCTTTGTATTTTTAGTAGAGACAGGGTTTCACCATGTTGGCCAGGCTGGTCTCGAACTCCTGACCTCAAGTGATCCATCCACCTCGGCCTCCCAAAGTGCTGGGATTGCAGGCATGAGCCACTGTGCCTGGCCCCAGGATACAGACTCTAATTCTATTATTTTCTAGGTCTAAAAAAGGAAACCTATATTAAATCACAAGTCATATCTTGAAGAGGGAAAACTAAAAGAAGATTCTATTGTATCAGGTCATTTTAAACCCGAAACTAACTTTTATTATCATGGCCGAATTAGTGGGTTCTTACTGGTTTAGATATTAAAACGAATCATAAATATGGCTGTTTGGCTTATATGAGTTATAGATCTTATGTGCTGGCTTAAATTCCTAAGTTTTCAAGTGGATAATTCTAAAGACAACGCCAATTAATTAGTTTCCCAGAATTAGATTTAAGCTGGGAAATTAATGATAGTATGAATAAGAAAATATTATGCATTATATTTTTCATTTTAAAGTTTGAAATTATTTCTTAGAATCGGATCTGGGTCACGGCTGTAGAATTTTCCATTCGATATCCTTAAACATTGGCAACATTCCAAAAATTGTTACTGATTCCTTTTAAGCTTTATTACCCAGGATTTCATTTTGGTGGTTAGGAAAAAAGTTCCATGAATTGCATCCTTTCACAGTTAGAAATCCAAGAGTTCACACTTCTTGTCAGCAGGAAGTGGAGGTTGGGAAGAGTTCTATTTTTGGAGTTGAAAGGCCACCTTTGACCCAGAAAATGTGTGGTTGGATGAAAGACGTTTCTCTGTTCTGTCTTACTTGATTTGCCCAAGGAATGGAGAAACATCTAAGAGTGCAACTTCAGCAGACTTGTTTCCTCCTAGGGCCGGAAGATGACCTATATTAATGACATCTAAAGAATTTTAGATTTTCAAGTGTTTTTTCAGTCCCGTGTGGCCCATGTTACAGTCATTTCAATTTAGAGTATTCAAAACCTTCCAAATTGAAATATTCATAGTGTCCCAAGATATGAGGGCCACGATTTATTCTTCTATATCAGGGGCTGGGAAACTAAGACCCAGGGCCAAATCTGGTTGCCTGTTTTTGTAAATAAAGTTTTACTGGAACACAGCCATGTCCATTCATTTCCATATTGTCCGTGGCTGCTTTTGTGACACAATGGAAGAGCCGAGTACTTGTTACAGGGACCATATGGTCTGCAAAGCCTAAGATATTTATTATCTGGCTCTTTACAGAAAAAAGTTTGCTGACTCCAGGTTTAGATGATAAGGAATTGAAGAGAAGGTCTACAGATAGAGTGATGTCAAAGAGCAGGGGCTACACATGCCAGTATCATAAATGTTTAGTTTTTAGGGTCTAATTGCTTTTTATAATTAGCCTAAGACTTGACAAACAACATTTAAATACTCCAATTATGAAATGACCAGTTTGAACTGAGGGTTGTCCATTAGCATAGCGGTCCATAGAGAGAGAAATGAATCCATAAGAAGGAAATGTCATCCTAGTACGCTACCTGGCTCTGAAGGAAACAATGCTTACAAAATCATAGTAATATAAATGTCAGTTATTGGGTTTTGGCTTTAGAATCAATCACCAAAGTGGAAAACAATATAAATATTAATATTAACAATGTAAAAGTAAAGCTATAGTTGTCAAAAGTTCAGAGAGGGACATGGAGCAGTAAGGAGAAAATCTGGGCCACTTATATCTTCATTTGACATGGTGAGTCAAGGGGGTCTGAAGTTGATGGAGCATGAAAAAAATTTCTTGTATATTTTTGTATTTCACTGTTTCTAAGGCCCCATTTTTTTCAACCTGTAATGTCTTTGAACTGGGAAGCTCCTTACTCTTCATGATACTGTAGAAGTATAATTGGCAGTGCTGTTTTTCCTTAGTGGAATAGAAAATAATGGTGCATCTTATAGTAGATGGCATCTTAGATTTGATGATTACAGTATTTTGAGTTGCAATAGTAACTGACAGTAAGCTAAAGATAATGGAAAAACGAGTAAAAATTGGGAGGGAGTAGTCAAAGGCATCTAAGTAAAATAAATCATCTTTTTTTTTTTTTTTAGAGACAGGGTCTAGCTCTGTTGCTCAGGCTGGAGTGCAGTGGCGTGCATGATCATAGCTCACTGTAACCTTGAGCTCCTGGGCTCAAGTGATCCTCCTGCCTTAGCTTCCTGAGTAGCTGGGACTACAGGTATGCAACACTGCACCTGGATAATTATTATTATTATTATTATTTTTTTTTTTGTAGAGATGGGGTCTTGCTGTGTTGTCCAGGCTGGTCTTGAACTCCTGGACTCAAGTGATCCTTGAGGCTTGGTGTCCAAAAGCATTGGGATTATAGGCATGAGCCACCATGCCTGCCCTAAACTACCATCTTTTATAGTCAAAGGTCAATAGATGATGTCCACATGTATGTTCACTGCAGTACTATTCACAATAGCAAAGACATGGAATCAACCCAAATGACCATCAATGATAGACCGGATAAAGAAAATGTGATATATATACACCATGGAATACTATGCAGCCGTAAAAACGAATGAGATCATGTCCTTTGCAGGAACATGGGTGGAGCTGGAAGCCATAATCCTCAGCAAACTAACACAGGAACAGAAAACCAAACACCGCATGTTCTTGCTCATAAGTGAGAGCTGCTGAACAATGAGAACACATGGACACAGGGAGGGGAACATCACACACAAGAGGCCGGTTGTGGGTGGGGGTTGGGGGAGAGAGAGAGAGTCAGGATAAATAGCTAATGCATGCTGGGCTTAATACCTAGGTGATAGGTTGACTGGTGCAGCAAACCACCATGGCACATGTTTACCTACGTAACAAACCTGCACATCCTGCACATGTATCCTGGAACTTAAAATAAATAAATAAATAAAATAGATGATGTTCAAATATGACTTTTTTTAAAGGCCTGGCTCTGTGGCTCATGCCTGTAATGCCAGCACTTTGGGAGGCCGAGGCAGGAGGATCGTTTGAGCCCAGGTGTTCAAGACCAGCCGAGGTGACGTAGGAAGACCCTGTCTCTACACACACACACACACACACACACACACACACACACACACACACACACAGAGCAGCATGTTATCTTTTCATTTAAAACCCTTTCACTTTGATTTTTTTAAAAACCATACTGTATTAGTTTCTTATGGCTGCTGTAAAAAATTACCATAAACTTAGCGGCTTAAAACAACAGGAAATTACTTTTTTACAGTTCTGGAGTCCAAAAGTCTGAAATCAAAGTGTGAGCAGGGCCATGTTCCCTCCAGAGCCTCTAGGGTTCTCTGTCTCTTCCAGCTTCGGGTGGCTGCCAGCACTCCTTGACTTGTGGCTTCATCATTGTAGTCTCTGCCTCTGTCTTCCCACTGCCTTCTCTGTGAGTGTTAAATCTCCCTCTACCTTTCTTTTATAAGGATTTATTAGTGCCACGTAGGGCTCACCTGAATAATCCAGGATAATCTAATTTCGAGATTCTTAATTAAATCTGCAAAGAGCCTTTTTCCAAATAAGATAATATTCACAGGTTCTAGGGATTAGAACATGAACATCTCTTTGGGAATCATCATTAGCCTGCCACACATGTATAAGCATTAGTTTGATTTTTAAAAATGAGAAGTTTTAGGTCATTCTACAACTTTAAGTCCTTCAGTCACTTTCCATAACTCACAGAATCAAGTTCAAATAATGTATTGGTTAAAAATACGGTCTCTAAACCAAAAGCACAAGCAACAAAAGAAAATATAGATAAACTGAATTTCGTCAAGATCAAAAACTTTTGTGCTTCAAAGGATACTGCCAAAAAAAAGAAAAGAGGCCGGACACAGTGGCTCATGCCTGTAATCCCAGCACTTTGGGAGTCTGAGGCAGGCGGATCATCTGAGGTCAGTAGTTCAAAACCAATCTGCCAACATGATGAAACCCCGTCTCCACTAAAAGTACAAATTAGCCAAGTGTAGTAATCCCAACTACTCGGGAGGCTGAGGCAGGAGAATTGCTTGAACTCAGGAGGGAGAGGTTGCAGCGAGCCGAGATCGCGTCACTGTACTCCAGTCTAGGTGACAGAGAGAGACTATCTCAAAAAAAAAAAAAAAAAAAAGTAAAGTGAAAAGAAAACCCACAGAATAGAAAAAAACTTTGCAAATCATATATCTGATAAGGAACTTGTATCTAGACTACATAAAGAACTCTTAGAACTCAATAATAAAAAGACAGCCCAGTTGAAAAGTAGACAAAGGATCTAAATAGATATTTTTAAAAGAAGATATACAAATAGCCAATAAGCACATGAAAACATACTTTACACCTTTAGTTATCAGGGAAATGCAAATCAAAACTACACTGAGATACCTTTTCATATCGATTAGGATGACTATAATCAAAAAGACAGATAATGGCCATGCATGGTGGCTCACTCCTGTAATCCCAGCACTTTGGGAGGCTGAGGTGGGCGGATCACTTGAGGTCAGGAGTTCGAGACCAGCCTGGACAACATGGTGAAACCCCGTCTCTACTAAAAATACAAAAATTAACTAGGCATGGTGGTGTGGGCCTGTAATCCCAGCTACTCAGGAGGCTGAGGCAGGAGAATTGCTTGAACCTGTAAGGCAGAGGTTGTAGTGAGCCGAGATTGTGCCACTGCACTCCAGCCTGGGTGACAGAGTGACTTCGTCTCAAAAAAAAAAAAAAAAAAAAAGACAGTAAGTGTTGGCAAGGAATGGAGAAATTAGAAGCTTCATACGCTGCTGGTAGAAATACAGTGGTCACCTGCTTTGGGAAATGGTTTGGCAGTTCCTCAAAAAGTTAAAGATATGGTTTACTATATGACTCAAATATTTAACTCAAGAAAAATGAAATCATGTCCATACAAAAACTTATATCCACAAGTTCAAAGCAGCATTATTCATAATAGCCAAAAAGTGGAAACAACTGAAATGTTTATCCACTGACAAACAGGTGAATACAATGTGGTCTATCTATACAGTGGAATATTATTTGGCAATAAAAGGGAATGAAGTCCTGATACATGCTACAACATGGATGAACCTTGAAAATGTTACGCCAAGAGGAAGAAGCTGGTCACAAAGGACCACATATTATATAATCCTGTTGATATGAAATGTCCAGTGTAGGCAAAGCTACAGGGGCAGAAAGTAGATTAGTGATTGCCTAGAGTTGGGTGGGGACTTTCAGAGAATGGGGGTGACTGCCAAAGGGTTTTCATTTATGATAATTATTTCTAAATTGATTATGGTCATAGTTGCACAACTCTGAATATACTAGAAACCTTTGAATTGCATACTTCAAGTGAGTGAATTGTATGGTATGTGAATTTATATCACAATAAAGCTCTTTAGATAGTTAGCTAGAAAGTATCTAGAATCAGAGAGTGGTCCAGTCCCAGCTCCAAGAGAATGTGCAGGTGGATTAAAGCAAAAATTCATGTAAAACTTTTGCACAGGACCTGGCACGCAGTAGGTACTCGATGTGTGCATTCTTATTATTCACCTGGCATTTGAAGCTTCCTAGGACTAGGCCCCTGCCTATCTCTAACCTCCTTTTCATCCCTGTAACTCTCCTCCAGGGTGCTTCCCCGCCCCACCCCCTTAGGCAGGTATACTTAACTCTTTGCCTTCCCTGAAACAGCTTCAGCACATCCTGCTTTTACTGTAATACTCTCTTTTCCTCCCCTAACTTCACCCGGCTAATTCCTCTCTTCTTCCTCCTCCGTGTTTCCTCAGCTGTAGCTCTTTCCAGGAAGCTCCCCCAAGGGCTCTGAGACTGTCCTTCCCTCTCCACCAGGTTTGCAGCTCCTTCTAGGAACCCCTGGCTCCCAGAACACACATCTATGACAGCACTTACCCTTCTCAGAGGTATTTGTCTGTGTGCCTCATGTCTTATTCACCTTTTACATTCAGTGACTTGCACAGTGAAAAAGAGTAAGAAATCGAAGTGCCAAATAACCACCGGGCCGACAGAGGATTATCATGGCACCAGCAGTTATAACAAAAAAAGAAAAGAAAGCATTTTCCACTTCTCTATCCAGACTGAAGAACCTCTCTGTTTTCTGGGGCTGAGGAGCCTGGCACACTGCTATTGTGCCTTATCTTAAATGCATATGTGTGCAGACCTGCCCTGCTTCTGCCTCCGTGGTGCGACAGGGAGGGGTGGCCCACTGGCTGTCTTGTGACACTGGTGAAGTCCTATTTCAGCTGTGGTTTTGTCAGTTTATTAACACTTTATTGATCCTCATGTCCAAACATGTGTA
Organism: Homo sapiens; assembly: GCF_000001405.40. Lineage (NCBI taxonomy): Eukaryota > Metazoa > Chordata > Mammalia > Primates > Hominidae > Homo > Homo sapiens. Next base: position 32,542,517 of record NC_000017.11, read on the forward strand.
TTAATGAGAAGGGACGTCCAAAGAGCAAAAGCAGTATGCTGTTCACACCCGGCAGCATGTGAAAACTGCATTTGCAAACCCTGTAGGAGGTAACGCTAAAAAAAAAAAAAAAAGCCAACAGTTAGGGGACAAGAAGGAATGACTAGTTGCTAAATATTTCCCGTATCAATGGTATTTCAGGAATATCTAAATATTTCCTGATCAATATATGAATGACTAGTTTCTAAATATTTCCTGTATAAGCACAGTCCAGTGAGGCCTGTGGGAAGCTGCCCTCCAACCCTTAGAAGTAGTGAGTTCCCTAACCCCAGAGGTATCCAAGCAAGGGTGGGACACTTTGGGGAGCATAGCCTACAGAGGAAGCTGGATTTCATGATCATTAGCTCCACTCCGACCCTGGGATTCAATGATTATAAATTACGTATCTGGGCCGGGCACGGTGGCTCACACCTGTAATCCCGGCACTTTGGAAGGCCGAGGCAGGTGGATCACGAGGTCAGGAGATCGAGACCATCCTGGCTAACACGGTGAAACCCCGTCTCTACTAAAAACACAAAAAATTAGCCAGGCATGGTGGCGGGCGCCTGTAGTCCCAGCTACTCGGGAGGCTGAGGCAGGAGAATGGCATGAACCTGGGAGGCGGAGCTTGCAGTGAGCCAAGATCATGCCACTGCACTCCAGCCTGGGCGACAGAGCGAGACTCTGTCTCAAAAAAAAATGAATAAATAAACAAATTACATATCTGATTATTTGGTGAGTCATTTAAAATGTGAGGGCCGGCTGGGTGTGGTGGCTCACACCTGTAATCCCAGCACTATGGGAGGCCGTGGCGGGCAGATCACGAGGTTAGGAGATCGAGACCATCCTGGCTAACACGGTGAAACCCTGTCTCTACTAAAAATACAAAAAATTAGTCGGGCGTGGTGGCGGGCCCCTGTAGTCCCAGCTTCTCGGGAGGCTGAGGCAGGAGAATGGTGTGAACCCAGGAGGCGGAGCTTGCAGTGAGCCGAGATCATGCCACTGCACTCCAGCCTGCGCAACATCAAGACTCTGTCTCAAAAACAAACAAATAAATAAATAAATAAAAAATAAAAATAAAAATAAATAAATAAATAAAATGTGAGGGCTGCCATGCTGTACTACTCCAGGGTGCCCTTCATGTCAAAGTCTAGGCGAGTGGCACCTGTGGAGTGTGCCTAGCACAGATCTTGTAGCCCTAAGAGGTGGCATGCTAAGTCCTGACTAGATAATCCCATGCATATTAAAGCAATACTTAAATCTTGCTTTTTTTTTTGAGATGGAGTCTCGCTCTGTCACCCAGGCTGGATTGCAATGGCATAGTCTCTGCTCACTGCAACCTCCGCCTCCCAGGCTCAAGCAATTCTCCTGCCTCAGCCTCCCTAGTAGCTGGGACTATAGGCGTGTGCCACCACACCTGGCTAATTTTTGTATTTTTAGTAGAGACGGGGTTTCACTATGTTGGCCAGGCTGGTCTTGACCTCCCGACCTCAAGTGATCCACCCGCCTTGGCCTCCCAAAGTGCTGGGACTACAGGTGTGAGCCACCGCGCCTGGCCAAATCTTGCTTTTTTTTTTTTGAGACAGGGTCTCACTCTGTTGCCCACACTGGAGTGCAGTGGCATGACCACTGCTCACTGCAGCCTTGACCTCCCGCACTCAGGTGATCCTCCCGCCTCAGCCTCCCAAGTAGCTGAGACTACAGGTGTGCACTACCATACCCAGCTAATTAAAAAAAAAAAAAATTTGTAGAGACACTGTCTCACTATGTTGCCCAGGCTGGTCTTGAACTCCTAGGTTCAAGCGATCTTCCTGTCTTGGCCTCCCAAAGTGCTGAGATTACAGGCATGAGCCACTGTGCCCAGCCTAAAGCTTGCTAAGTTTTATATGACACTAGCTTTTCTTTTAAAAATTCTACTGTCCAAATTGTACACATGATTAATGAAATAGTGGTATATTTTAAAGGAATCTCCAAAAATGAGTAGGATTGGGGTGGTAAAAGTTCTGTTGCTGACCACGTCTTATGAAGGTACTCTTAGAGAATACTAGCAATCTTCTCTCTTCCCCATTGTTAGAAAGACAAGGATAGAACAACACCTCTCAGGGATCCTGGGAAAATATGCTAGATGTTTTGGAAAGTAGGTATACTTGCATATAGAAAAATAAGAGGCAACTATGTGTTCTTTGCAAGTATCACATCAGTCAGGCAGTTGCTTTCCTTATTTTTATTAAAAGAGAAAATGATCAACACTTGTTCATGCATACACATATACACACACACTCATACTTACAACCTTTACTATGTATGCTTTTCTAAGCATAATATATATATGGCCAAATTAGTCAAATTCCCCATTTTATTAGTTGATCTGGTAAAATATTTGATAAAATGCATATTTTTAGTTCTCTGTGACTTCTCTTTCTCCAAGTTTTCTCTGTTTCCTATATCTGGGCACAGACCTTGTCCACCTGCCTTGCGTATTGATATGGAGTCTCTGCTTAGTGTAGGGGAGCAAGGGGAGGAGGCATCTCTTCCCCTTACAAGGTCTTTGTTCCATCTTGCCCCTCTCTGGCCTCTCCCGCTGAATGCCTGTGGCCCCGAGTCTGCATCTCTCTTTGGGCAGAGTGCGCAAGACACAAACCAAGGAGTCAGACTCGAGTTGGAGTCCTAACTCTGCACTTCCCAGCTGTGGGCACCTCTGGCTTACACAGCCTCTCCAGGGCTCAGTTTCCTCATATAAAAAATGGGAGCAATGCTCATCTCATGGGGTTATACAGGGTAAGTGAGAAAACGTATGTAAAGCATGTGGCTCAGTGGCAGCACCCAGGAAACATCAGTAAACAGTGGCATATTATTCTCCTGTTTTAGGCTTCCTTCTGAATGTAGTCAGTCCCCATTATTAGATCGTAAACCCTTTGAGGGATCAAATATTTATTGAACTAATGGGGAAAGGAACGTGAGAGGAGTGGAATACCATTCCACCTCTTATTAGGAAGACACTCACAGAGAATCATGACCGCTGTCTTACTTCTGTCCCTAACTGGTCCCTAGTTAATTGATCAGCCTAAGGCTACATTGTTCTACCAGCCATATGGTAGACTTTAATTAGTGAAGATAGTAAAGCATGAAAGGTCAATTATTATACATTCTTATTGTGATACATAACCTCTCAGCTTAAATTTTATATGCAATTCGCCACATGAATGACATCTCCAATTTCTGAAGTATCCAGGTGATTTTTTTTTTTTTTGGGGTTCCACATAAGTGTCAATCTCTACAATACTGAAGAACAGAAAGTAGGATGAAATGCTTTCTCCCTTTCCTCTGTACACAATAAGAATTTAAGGTCTGTTTCTTTTTCTCGGTGTCTTTTCTAAAGGACTTGGGGTACTTGGGAGTATGCATCTGAAGCCCTGAGCTAAACTCCTGTGATATGAATTTTATTGGGTTTGAACCAGGGAAAGCTTCTAGTGGAGACTCATATGATTCTTTCACACTCTTGGAATAACAGCCACTGAGGCCTTGCCAGACCACGTGGCTGCAGATTCACAGTCTGGGTCGCCTTCCCTTCACACACCCGCCCTGGAGCACCCAGGCTGCCTTTGTAACGGCCCTGAGCTGTTAATGGTTCTGATGCTGCACCCGGTAGAAATGGCTCCCTCACTATGGACTTAGCCACTTTGAGGGCTGAACAGTAGCTCATCCACTCTCTGGTTTTCCTTTGGAATTCAGTAATGAACTCATTAAATCACCAACTTGTTGTGACAGGAAGTCATTCAGATGCTGATGCTATTGCCATGGAAACCATCCCTCTGCGAGGAGCTCTGTCTGTCTTTGTCGAGGAGCACTCCAGCTCCATAATTACTGTCACCCCCAAATAACACAGAGCCATCACGACTGTGAGCAAGTCCAGAAGCAGGGGCACACAGAAAACCTATTTTGCTTTCAGATGATGAATCCTTGTTGGTTTTAGTATTTTTAGCACACATTTCTCTTCTGTGCCGGTTGTCTTTTTAATTCCTATGTGCTGGCTGCTTTCCAGCACCTTTCCTAGAGAAGCAGAAAAAGGATTTGTGGGGGGCATGGCTGCCAAGGATATTCATTTAAAAAGAACCTACTGTTTCCCCAAACCCCTGTGCTCCCAAATATGAAAATATGAGTTCTCCTGCCTTTTAGTTGAGACTCCAAGAAAGGAATCTCAAATTCAATTAGTTTACAGCCTATAAAATGCAAAGGTAGTACTGCAAATCAGTAATGCCCAGATGCAAATTCAGAGGTGCACCTCAAAGTGATGTTTGCTTTATTTTGTTTGGGTTATCTAGGCTATCACTGAGCTCCATTATTGAAGGCTGGCCAAGTCACAAAAATAAGAACCTTTTTTTTTTTTTTTTAGAGACAGGGTCTTGCTTTGTCACCAGGCTGGAGTGTACAGTGGCACAATCACAGCCCACTACAGCCTCAAATTCCTGAGCTCCAGTGATCCTCCTTCCTCAGCCTTCTGAGTAGCTGGAACTACATCACCGTGCCCAGCTAATTAAACATTTTTTTTTTTGTAAAGACAGCATCTTACTATGTTTCCCAGGCTAGTCTCAAATTCCTGGCTTCAAGCAAATCCTCCCACCTCTACCTCCCAAAGTGTTGGCATTACAGGTGTGGGCCATTGTGCCGGCACGAGAACTCATCTAACTCAAAGCAGCAATCAAGTCTTTTTTCATATATGTTACAGCACATGGTATATTGTGAATATTCAAAGATAACCAGCACCTAATGAGTACCTGCCAGACACAGCGGCAGGCAATTTACATTATGTTTCATGATTTAAATTAATCTGCATAAAAATCCCATGGGACAGGTATTTTTATCCCAGTTTTACAGCTAAGGAATGTGAGGCTCTAAGTTAGGTAAATTAAATAAATGCCACGCTTTTCCATATGCATAGTCATTAACATGTCACACTTCATGTGTCCATAGGCATAAAGGTGACTTCTGCTGCCGCAGAATCACAGAAGCTCAGATTAGGAAAGGTTGTTCATAATTGTCTTGTCCAACCAACCAACCGCTTCTGCAGCATCCCAAGTGATTGTCTGATCTCAGCCTGAGTATTTCCAGTGATAGAGAATTCACTATAGTAGCTCAGCGCAGTGGGTCACTCCTATAATCCTAGCACTTTGGGAGGCCAAGGCAGGCCGATCACTTGAGGCCAGGAGATCGAGACCAGCCTGGCCAACATGGCGAAACCCTGAATCTACTAAAAAACCTACAAAAATTAGCCGGGCGTGGTGGTGCATGCCTGTAGTCTCAGCTACATGGGAAGCTGAGGTGGGAGAATCACTTGAACCTGGGAGGCAGAGGTTGCAGTGAGCTGAGATTGTGGCACTGCACTCCAGCCTGGGTGAAGGAGCAAGACCGTGTCTTAAAAAAAAAAAAAAATTCACTACGGAGAGTGGTCCATTTTGGACAGCCCAGTTCTTAATTTCCTTAGTTTGTTCTTAACATGACGAGAGAGCACTCATCATTGCAGTTGCTATAGAACCCTAAGCCCTTTCTTTCTGGGTTTGTCACCTGCTGAAGAAATTTGGCTCTGGCCAAAAGTTTGTCCTCTAGGCAGGGCATGGTGGCATGCCTGTCATTCCAGCACTTTGGGTGGCTGAGGTGGGCAGATTGCTTGAGCCCAGGAGTTGGAGACCAGCCTGGGCAACAAGGCTGGTCTTTTATATTTTTTGTCTCTACAAAAAATACAAAAAATTAACTGGGCATGGTGGTGCACGTATATAGTCCCAGCTACTGGGAGGCTGAGGTGGGAGAATGGCTTGATCCGAGGAGAAGGAGGTTGCAATGAGCCAAGATCGCGCCACTGCACTCCAGCCTGGGTGACAGAGCGAGACCTGTCTCAAGAAAAAAAAAAAAAAGTTTATCCTCTAGGATTATCTAGGTATAGAAGGCAGAGGAGGGAAAATGAGAAGGGGCCTAATAAGAAGGAGTTAGAGCTAGGTTAAGAGCTGTCTGAGCTCCTCAAGAAGACCTCAGCAGGTCACTGGCTCTATGAGCATTTGGCAACGTGGGGAAAAATCCTGTTTTCCAGTGCCAGTGGGAAGTCACTGTGTTGCATGGGACACCAATGAGGGGAGACCTGACTTCTTATTCAGTACCACTTTAAATTCTTTTTAAATTATTTTTTGGTCTTTTTTTTTTTTTTTGAGATGGAGTCTCACTGTGTTGCCCAGGCTGGAGTACAGTGGCATGATCTTGGCTCTCTGCAACCTCTGCCTCCCGGGTTCAAGCAATACTCCTGCCTCAGCCTCCCAAGTAGCTGGGATTACAGGTGTGCACCACCGCGCCTAGCTAATTTTTGTATTTTTAGTAGAGATGGGGTCTCACCATGTTGGCCAAGCTTGTCTTGAATTCCTGACCTCAAATGATCCACCTGCCTCGGCCTCCAAAGTGTTGGGATTACAGGCGTGAGCCACCGCGCCTGGCCGACTTTTAATTATTTTTATATATATCTGTATACACATACATTTACACTGAAAAAATATATGTTACACAAAATGCATAATCCTTTTTGTTTGTTTGTTTGAGACAGGGTCTTGTTCTGTTGTCCAGGCTGGAGTTCAGTGGTGCCATCTCAGCTCACTGCAATCTCTGTCTCTTGGGCTCAAGTGAGCCTCCCACCTCAGCCTCCAGAGCAGCTAGGACTACAGGCACACAGCACCACACCCAGCTAATTTTGTTCATTATTTTTGTAGAGACAAGGTCTCACTATTTTGCCCAGACTTGTCTTAAACTCCTGGGCTCAAGTGATCCACCCAGCTCAGTCTCCCAAAGTGCTGGGATTACAGGTGTGAGCCACTGCACCCTCCCTCTTAATCGTTTGTTACAAATATAAACGTTAAAGATAAGTAGTGAGCAGGAATCCCTGGGCCACCTTCTGAAAATGTTAGCGAGGTCATAGGAGGGGCATAGCACTGACTTTCTAATTTACGAAGCTCTGTTTTCCGTAGTGTTAATGTCACTTCTGTTTGTGGGAATTATAAGTTTAAATGCACATAGCTAACGTTTGGAGAGGGTCTGCCATGAGTTGGATGCCATGCTAGGAGGGTTACACTCATAAATGGTCATTTGCCTCTGCTTCAGTCTGGGAACTACTTGGTGGCAAGGTGTGTGGTCTATGCAAATACCAATGACCTGAATGACTTTTGTCAAGTCTCTTCAATCCCAGAGCCTCATTTTCCTCATCTGTCACATGAAGGACACGTTAATTGCATTAACTATCTTATGGAAGTATTGCGAAATAGGAGTAAAATGCAGTGTGAAAGCCTTTTGTATCCTCACAGACACACCCAGGATCAATACTTTGCATCTTTCAATCCAATGAAGTTGACACTCAGTATTATCCATCACAAAAAGCATAAAACTATAAAGTTCTATGGAATGTGCCTAATTTAGTGTTCTATGATAGTGAATACTTAACGGAATGAAAAGATCAGTATTAATAATATGTTAGGTCAAATCTCCTTTACAATGAATCCCATGAAAACAAAATGATTTTCAAGCTTTGAGCTATAATTTTTTTTTTTTTTTTTGAGATGGAGTCTAACTCTGTTGCCCAGGCTGGAGGGCAGCGGTGTAATCTCAGCTCACTGCAACCCCTGCCTTGCTGGTTCAAGTGATTCTCGTGCCTCAGCCTTCCAAGTAGCTGGGATTACAGGTGTGCACCACCATGGCCGGCTAATTTTTGTATTTTTAGTAGAGACGGAGTTTCACTGTGTTGGCCAGGCTGGTCTCGAACTCCTGATCTTAGGTGATCTGCCTGCCTTGGCCTCCCAAAGTGCCGGGATTACTGCGCCCAGCCTGAGCTATGCTTTGTTACAAGAAATATGCCATATAAAATTTTTTCAATACTACAGAGTTGCAATTTTTTTTTGGTGTTCACTGTCTCATGATCTAACCTGTTGCAAAGATTAAAGCAAAATTTTCCACAGCTAATCACAGAGGATTAGTAAGGCCTCTATAATACCACACATTAAAAATGAGGAAATCACAAACTGAGTCCCATGTCTTCATTCTTTGTAGATTTGTTTTCTAGGTAATTAAAAAGGTACTTGCGAATATACTCTGCCTACTTCTAAAAAGTATTTGGGGATAGCCTATAATAATAGAAATAGGAGTAATAAAAGTGGGCCACGCACTGTGGCTCAGGCCTGAAATCCCAGCACTTTTGGAGGCTGAGGAGGGAGGACAGCTTGAGCCCAGGAGTTGGAGACCAGCCTGGGTAATGTAGTGAGATGCTGTTTTTACAAAAAATTTAAAAATTAGCTAGGTTTCAGCTACTTGGGTGGCTGAGGTGGGAGGATCACTTGAGCCTGGAAGGTTGAGGTTACAGGGAGCTATGATTGTACCATTGCCTTCCAGCCCTAGGCAACAGAGTGTCAAAAAAAAGAGAAAGAAATGATAATAGTGAAATAATTTTAGAATATTTTCATCCAATTTACAGCCATTTCTTAATATTATCAGCGAAACAGAATTAATCTAGAGTTAGAAATGAGATCTATAGTTTCTGACACTGAAAGTATTTTATTCACTATAACTAAACATTGAGTGGCTGGTAGCTGATAATGAATGACTTCTAGGGGTGGGGAGCCTGTAGAATTGTCCCAAACTATAGGACTCAAAGACAATGAACATAAATGTAATTAAGAAGTGGATTAGATCAAGAGGCAGTGCATGCTCAGATCATACATTTTGCTTCTGTTTGGATGTAACAGCCAGCCTTATGCAGAATATATTAAGAAAACCACACAAAAGGGAAATGAGTCACTTACAAAAGACCAGAAAAGCTTAGGCTAACCGGCTAGACAAGACTTGGCCATGTCTTTTTCTGCCTTGGTTTCACTTGTATATCCTGAAAGCACCACCTTGTCTGAATCACAGGAGAGAAAAATGTTTTTGGCAAATATACATTGGACACGTCCAGCTTTACTTTTGCTCTTTCTCTATGTCCCCCCACCCACCATCCCACTGCCACACACACACACACACACACACACACACGCATCCAGGTGGCTTTGGAATGTATGTGGCTTTTCCCTTCGGGAGTCTCACCTTCATAATTATGTTTGACCTGGACTAACATTAAAACATTTTGCTCTTCCCGAGAACACACCAATCAGCACGCGGTTCCATTTTCTCATGGATCATGACCCATTATCCTTTCTATTTTCTGCTGGAATGAAAGTTCCATGGCACAGGAACACCGTCTATATCTTGCTCACTTCCTGTACAGAGCCTGGCACATTGTTGGTACTCAATAAATATTTCTTGATTGAATAAATATTTTCAGTCTCTCCTCCAGTGGCTATCTGCTTTGTCCTTAGCCTAGAAGCATGTTCAAATCTCCTCCAGTAAACAAAAGACCAAAAAGTCCACCTGTTCTTCCCTATCCCTCCACTGCTACCAAATGCCTTGAAGTTAAAATAAACTATCCATAGCTAATGTCTTCTCCCTCATCGTACTTTGCAGTCAAGCTTTACTTATGCACTGTTTTTTGTTTTGTTTCGTTTGGACAGGGTCTTGCTTTGTTGCCTAGGCAGAGGGGCATTGGCGTAATCATGGCTCACTGCAGCCTCAGCCTCCTGGACTCAAGCAATCCTCCCACCTCAGCCTCCTGAGTAGCTGGGACTAGAGGCACACACTACCACACCTGGCTAATTTTTGTATTTTTTGTAGAGATGGGGGTCTTACTATATTGCCCAGGCTGGTCTTGAACTCCTGGGTTCAAATAATTGGCCCACCTGGGCCTCCCACAGTGCTGGTATTACAGGCATGAGCCACAGCCTGGCCTGCATTGCTCACTCTTTAACCTTTGTAATCCATCCATCCATCCACCCATCCATCCATCCATCCATCCATCCATCCATCCATCCATCCATTCATCCATCCCTCCCCTCCTTGTCTCCCTCCCAACCATCTGTTCATCTGTTCACCTCCCCTTTTTTGCCCTCCTTCCTTTTATCCATCCATCCACTCTTTCATCTCCCACCTTCCTCCTTCTGTCCTTTGCTTCTGTAAATGTATACACCAATGCTTACTATGTCCTAGGTACTGTGCTGGGTACTAGAGAGAGGATGTTTAAGAACAGTCACTGCAGTGGAAATGCTCTTGCTCCAATGGAAGATACAGATGTGGAAACTGAAGCTTCTTAAACCGGGACACGATTATTTCCCTTGGATGTGCATCAGGGTGCTATAGTAAGCGAAACCACAGAACGAAGATGGAGAAACTTGCTGGAGACTAAGCTTTACTCCATGTAAGTAACTGGAAACACCTGACACCCAAGTAAATTAAAACCAACATTTAGAATGACAGCATGAAAAACAGCATCAACCATTACCAAAACACAGGCCTTTAAAGAAGCATGCCAGGCTGGGCACAGTGACTCACGCCCATAATCCCAGCACTCTGGGAGGCTGAGGCAGGAGGACTGCTTGAGTCCAGGAGTTCAGGGCCAGTATGGGCAATATAGTGAGATGCCATTCTCTAAGACAAAAAAAAAAAAACAAAAAACAAAACAAAAAAAAAAACAAAAAAACCAGCAGCATGTCATAGGCTGTGTTGGGATATGTCCCTGGTGAATGTTGAGTTAACTCTTCCCTGTTGCTGGGGGAACTCCTTAGAGGAGCCTGAAAAGCACTGAGAAGTAGAAAACTACTACACAAGGTGGCATGCTAGCTAGAGAGATGAACTATAGTGCCAAGGGACCTCTGAGAAATTCACAACAGTGTTGAGTGAATTTTGCAGAAGGCTGAATAGGACTGCCTTTACAGAGGAGGCGATATTTGAAGTGGTTCCTGAAAGAGGAGTGGCTCACCAGGAAGAGCAGGGGAGAGTATTGTGGGTGGAGGAAGCAGTGTGTGCAATTACCAGGGCTGCGAATGGACCTGACATAGAATAGGAAAGAGTCTAGCAGAAAGAATCAGCTCCTCTTCTAGCAGCTGAAAAAGGACGTGGGTTTTGATGGCACAATGAAGGGCCTAGGTATCTTGCTAGAAAGTTCCAAAGCTGAAGACCATTCCCTCTCCTTGAAACTCTTTTTCTCTCGGCACTGCTGTCATTCTGCTTCTCCTACTTCTTTGACAAGTTCTTCTTAGTCCTGTTTACTTATTTCTCCTCCTCAACACCCCTTTCCCACCTTTGGAATGTTATGTTCCTGAGAGTTCCTTATTGGCCATGTTTTTCTTCTTCTTCTCCACACATGGCTTGTTTCATTCACTCCCACCACTTCAACTTCCTTTAAGCTGGCTTCCCAATCCACACTCCCCAGTACAGACTCCTGGGGTCCAGGCTCCCCGTTCTCACTGCTTAGATATTTCCACCTGAACTGAACTATATCCTTTTAAAATAAGTACGTTCTAACATGTCTGTGTCATCTTCCATGCTCTTCCCCTCCTTTCTATGGCTCTGCCTCTGCCTCCCATAGTTGTTATGGTCTAGGCTAATGGAACCGTGATCTACCAACTCACCTAAATAAAATACCTGAGTCACCAGTTACTCTGCTCATCACCTACAGCCATTCAGTTGCCTGCCCTCCTGAGCCTCTGTTCAATATGTTCTTTCCTTTAAAACTCCACTGGGATTCTCAACTGAGCTGAGAGTCCCTGCCCCTGCCCCTGCCCCTGCCCCTGCCCCTACCTGAGGTTGAGAATCACTGCACATAGTGAGAGCTACTCCTGATGGGTGTACTCTGTACAATTAGACTGTGTGGGGGCAGGAAAGGGTTGGAATCACTGCCATGGCCAGATCCCTCTTGGGCAACTGCAACACCTAGTTAATTGGTCTCCCTGATACCAGTTCCTTCCCCTCTGGAACCTTCTCCACACTTCTTCAGTTATCTTTGAAATACAGAAATCTGATTAAAGATGACAAATTATTGAAATTTATAATATAAAAATTATTAAAATTTGTAAAAGTACTGAAGAATGGGAAGGATATATAAGTGAATATTTACCTGATCTTTCAGTGGGGAAAAGCATTCATGTAAAGGCTAAAGGAAAGGACAGAATTGACCACATACAAATGCAAAACTTTTGTTGAAAAAAGAATGCAGAAAGACAGACTGGGAAAGTATCTGCAAGTAGTGTAAATGGTCTTAATATATAAAAAGCTCCTAAAAATTAGTAACCAAATCATAAACACACCAAAAGAAAAAAAATCAGCAAAGGATATGAATAATCCATGAAACACGTACAAATCACAGGTAGACCCATGGCAGAAAACGTTCAATTTCATTTAAGAAATGCAGACTGAAACAATGGATATACGAAGTTTTTTCCTTTTCAAACGGGCCAATTAAATCTAGTGCAAAGTGAGTAGCTTGGTAAGTGAAGTATGCTCACACTTGGCTGGTAGGAGCATAACATGGTACAAGCTTTTAGGAAGCTAATCTAGAAAAATGTACGAAAAGCCTTAAAAAATATACACTTTTTGACCCCGCAACTCTGTCTCTAGGAATTCCTAAGGAAACAATTACGGATATGAATAAATACATCATTTTAAGGATAATTATCACAGCACTGTTTGTAAGGCTGAAAATTAGAAACATTCTAGGTGCTCAATCGCAGGGCTTGTCGAATAAATGTACGAATTTAGCACAAATTTCCTGTGTCACTGTTCCTTTCCAGCACAGCCTTTAACACCTGTGTGGTTAGCATGAAATACCACACAGATATTACAAGCTGTGCTGGAAAAGAACAGTGACACAGGAAAACATTTTCAGAATGTTTGCTCTATATTGTTAAGTGAAATCACAATTATAAGATAGAATGTACAGAAGAATCTCATATTTGTAAAACTATACACAGATCTATATGCAAAGAAGATATAAAAATGTGAACAATGGTTTGAATGTGTGCTTCCAGTTTTTTTTAATGTACTTGTGTATATTTTCTAAAATTTCTACAAATAGAGTTACTTTGTTGTCAGAAAAAATATTTTTAAGTGGAAACACAAAATCCTCCTCTGTTCTGGCTGCCTGTTGTCTGTTGCATAAAACCAAAATCTCTTGACCTGGTATCCTAGGCTTGTCGCAATCTGCCTCCTCCTTGGCTTTCCAGCCTGCTTTTCCCGCTCGTCCCGGCTAGAATCCTGTATCCGTGGCACATCCACCAACACCCATGCCATTCCAGACCCTTGCCCACAATAGCCACACCCCTCCTCACACCACGTGCAAAGCCGTGGCTAATGGTCTGTTCCTCCAACTCCTGGCCAGCTTTCAATTCCTCAAGCATACTAAGTTCTTTTCTGCCTCAGGGCCTTTGCACCAACTATTCTTCCTGACTGGGTTGGTCTTCACAGTTCCTGTTCATCTTCCGAGCCTGAGCTGAAGTGTCACCTCTTCATTTGGCCTTCTCCCACCACTCTATGAAAAGAGGGCACCTCGTTTTCTGCCTCAGAGCCCTGCTTATTCCTCCTTAGCACTTATCATATCGAATTATTTTTACTCATTTGTTTACTTGGGTTTTGTGTGTTTGCCCCACTGGAATGTAAGGTTGAGAACAGGGAGTGTGATGTGTCTAACCCAGGGCCTTGCACATGGCAGGTGCACGTAGTTATTTACGGAATGGGCAAACAGTGGGAAGACCAACTGCTTTGTAAAGCCTTTCTATGTGCTGCCATGGGACTCCCAATGGGGGAGACTCATCTCTACCAATCTTCTCTTACCTATATTTTTCTAACTTAATGCAGTTCTTTCTTTACAGCTGTTGCCTGCCATGGACTGTAGGTGCTCTGACACAGACTGGATAGAGCAGCCAAGGCCTGGCCCACTGCAGGTGGTCAACAAGTGGGTGCTCTGAATGAATGGGTGAGTGGGGCTCCTGAGGGCTCGAAGTGGGTGGAGGAAGCCATTCTAGAATTGAACAGTTGCTACAGGTCACACAGATGATGAAACACTGCCTACAGGCCAGCTTCAGCTCACACAAGCCCACTGTAAACCGTGCAGACACAGGGTTTATGGCCACAATTTTTTTTTTTTTTTTTAAGATGGGATCTTGCTATGTGGCTCAGGCTGGTCTTGAACTCCTGGGCTCAAGAGATCCTCCCACCTCAGCCTCCCAAAGTGTCTGGATTGTAGGCATGAGCCACTGCACTCAGCCAAAATGTTTAACTACATATAAAACTGGATTTTAGCAACAAGTTAGTTAGCAACTTATTCTTGAGCTTCACATTTAAAAAATGAACATCACATTTAACATTAAGACCATGGGAATTAAATGAAGACAAAATAGGAATATTATAGTGTTTTGGGTCTGTGAGAAAATGATTTGTGCTAAACTCCCTAACCTAAGGAATTTACAGGCTCTTTGTGGAACCTGAAACTTGATGATGTTTGTTTCCTTTACAATGTGGCTTGGTGAGACCTCTAGGAAGAGATCTCACATATTTTACAGACAAATGATGCAGGGAAATCACCCCAATTAAAGCAGTTTAAACTATGATGAATGTAGAGAATGGCCAGCAGCTTGTGGGACACCCTGCAGTTATCATTCAGTGAAATGATGTGTGCCTTTCACTCGGCAGGCTTAGTTTATCCATTTTTTTTTTTTTGAGATGGTGTTTCACTCTTGTTGTCCAGGCTGGAGTTCAGTGGCGTGATCTCGGCTCACTGCAACCTCTGCCTTCCGGTTTCAAGCTGTTCTCCTGCCTCAGCCTCCTGAGTAGCTGGGATTACAGATGCCCGCTACCACGCCCGGCTAATTTTTTTTATTTTTAGTAGAGATGGGGTTTCACCATGTTGGCCTCGAACTCCTGACTTCGTGATCCACCTGCCTTGGCCTCCCAAAGTGCTGGGATTACAGGTGTGAGCCACTGTGCCCGGCCTAGTTCATCTTTAGTAAAGGTGGCCAAACTGGGTGGGGCTTGAGATGCTCTGGTGCTCTAGTTCAGGAGTCGGCAAACTTCCTTTTTTTTCTTTTTCTTCTTTTTTTGAGACAAGGTCTTGCTCTGTCACTCAGGCCAGAGTGCAGTGGCAGGATCTTGGGTCACTTCAGTCTCAACCTCACAGGTTCAAGCGATCCTCCCGTTACCCACCCTCACCCCCATCCAGTAGCTGGGACTACAGGAGCACGCCACCATGCCTAAATTTTGTATTTTTTGCAGAGATGGGGTTTCGCTCAGCAAAGTCTTTCTATAAGAGGAAAGATGGTAAATATTTCAGCTTTGCAGGTCATACAGTCTGCACTGTAACTATGTAATTTGGACATAATTATATAATGTTTTGTGACACCTGAAAATTATATAAAATTCAAATTGTGTTTATAAATAACATTTTATGGGAACACAGCCACGCTCATTCATTTATGTCCACACTCCACAGCCATGTCCACATTTATTGAAACTGTGGACGTAAATGAATGGGCATGGCTGTGTTCCCATAAAATGTTATTTATAGACACAATTTGAATTTTACATAATTTTCAGGTGTTACAAAATATTAAACCTCTCTTGAGTTTTTATCCCCTTAAACATATAAAAATGCAAAGTCATCTTGGGGGTGGGCCAGATTCTATTGTGGATCAAAGTTTGTCAACCTCAGGTCTAGTTTAAAACAGTTTGTCTGTGTGGGAAACCATGGGATGATAAAAAGAAACACTCTGAGAGGCAGGGCCCTCCTTGATCTCAAGAGTAAGTTCCAACCCTTGAGTGCCTAGGCCCAATGGAAACAATTTATTTCTGAGCACAGCCAGGCTGGAGATGGGCAGCAGACAGTTAACACTGAACAGAAGATGGAGCAGCAAGGAAACAAGGCTTTGCTCTCAGAAGAGAAGAGTGTTCTTTGAAGTTTGATTAAAAGTGTTTTACTTCACACCTTATGGAAGCACATTACATTGTGCTTTTTCACTGCAGGATGAACAGAAAATCAGTAATGCACTGCTATCATCACATGCTCACACCTGTGGTTTGAAAACAGCAAACAAACCACTCTCCATGCAAGGGCGCATTGTCAGATAACACAACCGCTGAGAATAAGAGCCCAGAAATGTTCTTTCTTTTCAAGAGAACCAGGCTTCCTCCACAGTTCTCCCTGGTTTTGCTATAGAATGAATTCCCAGGGAGATGAGAGGATATAGAGGTCATTAACACGCTCCGTCTCTTCTGCCCCTCTCATTTTCTATTTTAAAATGTGCTTCCGTTTTAAATATTTTACTTCCTCTGCTTTGAATAATACCAGTACCCTACATCTGACAGGGAGTATAGTCTTGGGACAAGACACTGAGGCGGGGAGTAGATGCTGGAGCCAGACTGTCTGAGCTCTGGTCCATTACTATAATAATTAGCTGTGGTCCTGAGAAAGCCACTGAACCCTTCCATGCCTCAGTTTCTCCAGCTATAAATGGCAGTAATAATAGGGCCCACCTTCTAGAGTTACTGTGAGGCTTATATGAGCTAACATATGCATGGTGCTTTCAATATAGCCTAGCACAGACTAAGGACTAGACAAATGTTAACTATTTTTATTATCTGCATGTGTTTAATAAGTATCTCAGAACGTGTGCTTGTGTGTGTGCAATATGAACCAAATTGTCTTTCAAGGGCTTCTAAATTACTGAATTGGATCTTGAATTTCCTGAACTTTACTTGTTGGGGCATGTTCTTTAAAGAAAAGCTTGTATAAAAAAGGGTTTGTAATCCATATACAATAGGGATCTCAACTGTTTTCTGAAGCGCAATTTATTTTTCTCATATACTTTTCTTAAATTAAGTTTAGCTTAATGTTGCCTCCTTACATATTTTAAGTTTGGACTAAAGGTTTCTCCACACATAATGACCTGTAACCTAACTGGATGTGTGAGCAGACCATAATCTACTCTTGAAACTCGGAGCTGAGTCTCACTCAATCACTTGAGTTTCAGCTGAGTTTCAGCCAATCACAGGTGTTCAGCTGTTCAAGCCAAGGTCAAATAAGGCACATGCTCAGCTGTAGCCAATCCAGCTGCTTCTGTAGTTTACTTCTGTTTTGTATACTCACTTTCTTTTTCTGTCCATAAACATTATCTGACCATGTGGCAGCCCCAGAGTTGTTCTCAATCTATTCTGGTTCCGGAGGCTGCCTGATTTGTGAATCATTCTTTGCTCAATTAAACTCTGTTAAATTTAATTTGCCTAAATTGAACACTTCTGGCACTTTGTTACCATTATCTTTTTATCACATTTCATCATTTCCATCCTAATACGTTTTACTATCTTTAACTTCTCTTTTTATTGATATCTATCATTAATTTTTTGTAATTTAAATCAATTATATCCATTCCCAGCCACAGACCTTTAAATGAAGTATTTCTTGACTCTTCAGTGTCACTGTCTGTATTTGTCAATGCTATGGTATTGTAATGCAGTGACACAGTAGTTATCCTATAGAAACCCTCATCCAACTGCATAAAAAGTGTGCCAGGTGTGGTGGCTCACGCCTGTAATCCCAGCACTTTGGGAGGCCAAGGCGGGCAGATCACGAGGTCAGGAGTTCAAGACCAGCCTGACCAACATGGTGAAACCCCCATCTCTACTAAAAATACAAAATTAGCCAGGTGTGGTGGCATGTGCCTGTAATCCCAGCTACTCAGGAGGATGAGGCAGGAGAACTGCTTGAACCTGGGAGGCGGAGGTTGCAGTGAGCCGAGATTGCACCACTGCACTGCAGCCTGGGCGACAGAATGAGACTCCATCTCAAAAAAAAAGGAAAAAGTGTTTGTGACAAGCTGTATATGCCTGATGTTAAAATACTAAACTATTCTGAAGAATAAGCTAGTCTCTTCTTTTTTGCATAAATATGGTAATTGATTCATATGACTATGGCAGGTTATCAGAGACACAGTTTCTGGAGTTTAAGTAATACTGAGATGAAGCCAAAAGAGACAGTAGTAGTCCACAAAAGTTACTGCAAGAAAGAAATGTATGTTATGGAGATATTTAAGTAAAAAAAAAGTAATACCCAGAGACAACATATATATATATATATATATATATATATATATATATATATATATATATAACTTTTATACCTAAAGTTAAAAATTCTGACTCAAGATTAGCCGGTGAATCTTTTTTTTTTGAGATGGAGTCTTGCTCTGTCACCCAGCCTGGAGGGCAGTTGCAAAATCTCAACTCTCTGCAACCTCCGCCTCTCGGGTTCAAGTGATTCTCCTGCCTCAGCCTACTGAGTAGCTGGGATTACAGGCGTGTGCCGTCATTCCTAGTTAATTTTTGTATTTTTAGTAGAGACGGGGTTTCATCGTGTTGTTCAGGCTGGTTTCAAATTCCCGATCTCGTGATCTGCCCGCCTTGGCCTCCCAAAGTGCGAGGATTACAGGCATGAGCCACTATGCGTGGCTTTTTTTTTTTTTTTTGAGAGTCTTGCTCTTGCTGCCCAGGCTGGAGTGCAATGGTGTGATCTCGATTCACTGCTACCTCTGCCTCCTGGGTTCAAGTGATTCTCCTGCCTCAACCTCCTGAGTAGCTAGGATTACAGGCACCTGCCACCACGCCCGGCTAATTTTTGTATTTTTAGTAGAGACAGGGTTTCACCATGTTGGCCAGGCTAGTCTCGAACTCCTGACCTCAGGTGATCCACCCGCCTCAACCTCCCAAAGTCTGGCATTACAGGTGTGAGCCACAAAGCCCAGTCTAGCTGGTGAATCTTTCAAAGAGAGGTATGTTTTTGAAAATGTGTAAGAGTAAACCGGCACTTATAACATCCATCACTCAGTCCCATTACAAATTCTACATTTGTAAGTTCTTTTTTTGCTTCAATTTTTTTCCAACTCTCTCCTTTTTTTTTAATTCTAAAATTCATACATGTTTATTGTAGAAAATTTGGAAAGTGGCTGGGTGTGGTGGCTCATGCCTGTAATCCTAGCACTTTGAGAGGCCAAGGCAGGCGGATCATGAGGTCAGGAGATCAAGAACATCCTGGCCAACATGGTGAAACCTCGTCTCTACTAAAAATACAAAAAAATTAGCTGGGCGTGGTGGTGCGTGCCTGTAGTCCCAGCTACTTGGGAGGCTGAGGCAGGAGAATCGCTTGAACCCAGGAGGAGGAGGTTGCAGTGAGCCGAGATCCCGCCACTGCACTCCAGTCTGGAGACAGAGGGAGGCTCTGTCTCAAAAAAAAAAAAAAAAAAAGAAAACTTGGAAAGTGACAAAAAGCTATAAAGAAATCAAATTTTATCCATAATACCATCTCATCATCTAGAGAGAGAACCACTGTTAATATTTTGACATATTAACATAGAAATATTATATTTTACGTATCCTTTTAGTAATTAACTTTTGCTATAAAGAGTTAAAAATTTTCTGTGATTATCAAGCAATATGTCCTCATTGAAGTAAAGCTGGAAAACACAGAAAAGTTCAAAGCAGTAAAAACAAAAGCAGTCAGCATAAACCATTTTGGCATATTTTCTTCTCTCTCTTTTTTTTTTGGAGACAGGGGTCTTGCTGTGTCACCCAGGCTGGAGTACAGTGGCACAATCACAGCTCACTGCAGTCTTGGCCTCCTGGGTTTAAGCCACTCTCCCACCTCAGCCACCCGAGGAGCTGGGACTACAGGTGCATGCCACCACGCTGGGCTAAGTAAGTTTTTGTATTTTTTTGTAGAAACGGGTATTGCCACGTTGCCCAGGCTGATACGCTCGTTCTTTCAATGAACATTTTTTTTGAAATTGTGACCACAATCAGAATATAATATTACACACATAAAAAAACTTATTTTATCATAAGCACTTTCCTTTGACATCAAAAAGTTTGTAAAGGTAAGCTGCAAAATATTTCATTTCATTCTTTAATCATTTAGACTGTTTCCAGTTTTTTACTATTTATAAATAACTTATTTATGGATCTTTACATATAAAATTGTGCCCATATTTCTGATTATTTTCTTAGGATATTTCTTTCCTTTTAAATTTTTAATTTTTTTGAGATAGGGTCTTGCTCTGTTGCCCAGGCTGGAATGCAATGGTGTGATCAAGGCTCACTGCAGCCTTGACCTCCTGGGCTCAAGTGATTCTTCTACCTCAGCCTCATGAGTAGCTAGGACTACAGGTGCGTGCCACCAGGCCCAGCTAATTTTGAAACTTTTTGTAGAGACGAGGTTCTGCTATGTTGCCCAGGCTGGCCTCAAGTGATCCTCCTGCCTCACCTCCCAAAGTGCTGGGATTATAGGCGTGCGCCACCATGCCCGGACAGGATATTTCTTAAAAGGAGATTGTTAGGGAAAATGATGTGAGCATTAAAATATTAGTAATGTTATTTTTTCCCTTTAATTCTAAATGTACAACATAACCCTAGAAATAATTATGATTAACATTTTATGGTATTTCCTTTGTCTTTTTAAAGGGAGGGGCATTTGAAAGACAGTTCATACTTTCAAATGGTTTTCTAGATTTATATCAATTACCTCTCAGCAGCAATATATCAATGCAGAACCTTACTGCATTCTCGTGAATGTAGACTATTATCAAAATAAATTATACTGACTTGAAGGAAAAATCGTATCTCATTGTTTTGTTAAGACATCTTTGATTATTAATGAAGTTGAGCTTCTGTTTTTCTAAATGTTAACTATTTATATATGTTGTTATTTTCCGTTTTCTTTGCAATTACAGCTCTTTTTTTCTTCTCTCTTTTTTTTTTTTTTTTTTTTTGAGACAGAGTCTTGCTCTGTTGCCCAGGCTGGAGCGTAGTGGCACAATCCTGGCTCACAGCAACCTCCGTCTCCCGGGTTCCAGCGATTCTTTTGCCTCAGCCTCCTGAGTAGCTGGGATTACAGACACGCACCACTGTGCCCAGCTAATTTTTTTTTTTCATTTTTAGTAGAGATGGGGTTTCAAACCATGTTGGCCAGGCTAGTCTCGAACTCCTGATCTCAAGTGATTCACCCACCTCAGCCTCCAAAAGTGCTGGGATTACAGGCGTGTGCCACCGCACCCAGCCTGCAATTACGGTGATTTCTAAATATATAAATGCATTGATGGAGGATGAGATTGATCTGTGTGTGCTTCAGCACCTGCATCTTAACGTCAGTGGGAGAACTATAATTGCAATGAAAACGGACAATAAAAAGACATACAAATAGTTAACAAACATTTGGAAAAACAGAAGTTCAACTTCATTTCAAATGGAGCCATCAACAGTACACTGAGTTCTACTTCATGAGAAGGAGCTGAACAGTCGCGTGGCTTCCTCATTCCTCACCCTGTCCCTTTGCTGCACACGTGGCATTCAATCACACCTCAAACTGCTACATATTGGTTTAAGATAAGCTATTAAAACATTTGACTTAGCGTATTTAGTTTCTTAAACCCCTTTTGATTCAGTATGATGCTGATCTTGGTTTACTACAATTCTTGCTGGGCTAAAGGCTGCAAGGGAATATGCAAGTAGCAGGAGACAGTGAGATCGATCCATCAATTGATTAAAATCTCTTTGCTGAAATTTATCTGTAGGGGTCCAGAAGCCACTTTGCTGCCTCCAGCCTGCCCATGGACAATTAGCAGATAATGTACAGAAGTATTTCTGCTTTGCAATAGTGGCTTCCAAAGACCCTTGTGGAGTCCCTGGCCTGCAGGTGCTGGAGCCCTGCCTGGGGGCAGTAAGCAGAGCCCAGGCTAACCTGGGAATGGATCCTCATGCCCTCTGCTTCTTCCCCTTCATGAGTTGATCCATATGGGCTGAGAAGGGGGCTGTCAACTAGTAGGCAGATTTTCTTTACCCTCCCTCTGAAGTTTCTAATTACTCACACAAGTCTGGATGTGAAGCTGACATCAGCTTCCTTCACAGTGTCACCTGGGAAAATCTTGGTCAGCATGTGGTCCCTTTCCTTTCTAAGCCGACACCCTCTACTTAGCAATTATGAAGTGGCTTTACAGTCAGTGCTGGAGCATAGTGTACAGCCCAGGGTGAACCCTACACCATCCCTTCCCTTAACCAGAGCCTACTGACCTACCTGCTTTCCTTCCTTCCCTCTTTCGGTATTTATTTAGTGTTTCCTGTGCTAGGTGCTAGGGATGAGTCAAATATATTTATGACATGGTCCCTGTTCTCAATGAACTTGTGGTTTAATGGGGGAGATGGACTAAGTAGACAGACGACTACAAAGTAAGTGGCAAAGCAGCAGTGAGCACAAGACATAACAAAGAGCTGGAAGCCCTTCCACATAGCTGCACCTTTAACCCTGACTCTAAGGCATCAACTGAGGCTCCAAGCCATGTGGTGTTTACAGGGAAGAGTATAGGAACAAATCCCCATCAGGCCTGTCTGCATTTTGTGGTCACTGTTACAAAGGTCAATCTGTGTTAATTCTAGAAACAGCATACCCCCCATCTCACAATTACGTTAAACAGTCCATCACCCTTGATGATAACTCTTCCTGCTTCATAATGCATATAACTAGACATCATTTCATTATAAAGAAAAAGAAAATACTTTTTTTCTTTTTGGAGATGGCTTCTTGCTCTGTCACCCAGGCTGGAGTGTAGTGGCGCAATCTCAGCTCACTGCAACCTCTGCCTCCCAGGTTCAAGCGATTCTCTTGCCTCAGCTTCTGGAGTAGCTGGGACTACAGGTGTTCACCACCACATCCAGCTAATTTTTGTATTTTTAGTACAGACAGGGTTTCACCATGTTGGCCAGACTGGCCTCCAACTTCTGACCTCAGGTGATCCTCCTGCCTCGGCCTCCCAAAGTGCTGGGATTATAGGCGTGAGCCACCACACCCAGCCTGAAGAAAATACCTTCATGTGCAAAAACTGCTCCTTTAAGATAGGGTTCTTCCTTGTAGCAACGAAAGGCACCCTGGCACTGCTCACTTTTATGATGCAGCTCCCACCTCCATCCCCCTAAAACCTCACCTCTGGACCCTGGAGATATGACCTGGTGAAAGTGGCTGCTCAGATTCTGGAATCTATTCAGCCCTTAGCCCTCGATCATCTGCTTTGTCACCTCTGCTCTCAGGAGTGGCCAGTCTTCATATGGCCGGTGACATAATTGCTAAGTAGGCTGCTGTGAATGCCCATCTACTCAGGACTGAACTGAGCTAGGTCATGGCCATCAGTAAACATTATCAAGTAATGACTTTGTTACCACTGGCATCTGAACAGGAAGTCCAGATCTGAAGGTCAATTCCACACACCTGTTTCAGAGTGTGTGTGTTTTTTTTTTGAGACAGAGTCTCCATCTGTGGCTCAGGCTGGAGTGCAGTGGCGAGATCTTGCCTCACTGCAACCCCTCCCAGGTTCAAGTGATTCTCCTGCCTCAGCCTCCCAAGTAGCTGGGACTACAGGTGCGTGCCACCAGGTGTGGCTAATTTTTTTTTGTATTTTTCATAGAAACAGGGTTTCGCCATGTTGGCCAGGCTGGTCTTGAACTCCTGACCTCAGGCGATCCACCCACCTCAGCCTCCCAAAGTGCTGGGATTACAGATGTGAGCCACCGCACCCGGCCTTCAGAGTGTGTTTCTAGCTAAGATTGAATATATGCAGTGATAAGAAATCCATCTACAGCTTCCTATATATTCATTCAACACATAGTTCCTGTGCTTCTAGACGGGGAGGTAGACACAGTCCTCCCCTCATGTGCTCCTTATAACCCCCTGAAAGTGACAGATGTTAAATAAAAAAAAAGTATACGAAAAGGAAGTACAACTGTGGTGTTATGAAGGAGAAAACCAGAGTGCTAGAAGACGACACTAACATGAGGACTTAGACTTGTTTGAGGAGAGGGTCAGGAAAAGGCTTCCTTGGGAAAGTAGCATTTAAGCTGAAACCTGGAAGATGCACGGGGGCTTGGGGAAGAGGTTAGGAACAGCATTCCTGGCACAGGGCACGGCACCGGAGCTGTCTCTGAGGTAGGCAGTGAGGGGCTTTCCTTGAGGAAGCCAAGGAAAGCTGCTGTGGCCTGCAGGTGAGCCTGCAGGTAAGTGCAGGAAAATGCAGAGTGAGGAGGTGGGGCCACATCGTGTAGGCTGTGGGAGTGACCTCAGACCTGATCTTGAGTAGCCACTGAAGGAGGGGAGTGATATGATTGGAAAGTCAACTGAGTCCAACCACAGTTGGGAAAACATTTTTTGACTCGTGTCATTGGAACCAAATAGAATCAATTAATAGTAGTAACATGACAGTAGTTACGGTTGTTGTCCGAATCACAGGGAGTGCTAGAACTTAATTAGTTATCTGTTTGAAGCCTCAAACACAAACTTCCAAAGCTTTAAAAAGCAACTTGTAAAAGCTTCCCTCTTTGGTCTTTCTCTTTTAAGCTTCTTTTTAACCAAATCAGGCAGGCACTGTGTACCAAGCCTCTGAGACACATCTGTGTGATCTTTCCAACAGAGGAATGGGAGCCTCTGCATCCAAGGTGGGGAGCGGCAGAGCTGGGACTGAGGGCAGAACGGTTGATTCCAAAGCCCGTGCTCCATCCATGTTCACAGAATGGAGGAAATCAAAAAGGAGCAGATGATGCGGCTGCAGGCTTCTGGGATATTAACAGGACAAAGCTACTGAGAAAACAGGGGTTTCTGGCTGAAGGTAGAGGATGCTGGGAAAGGGCAACAAATGAAGGGGTGGCAGAAGTCAATAAATTGAGCAGGAAATGAAAAAAGAAGAGCTGAATTAGAGCATTTGTCTAAGCATCCTGAGGACAGGAACCTTGTTTATCCTGTTCATGGCTATATCCCTAGGGCAGAGAACACGACTCAGCAAGTGACATGTGCTCAAGAAATAGATGCTGACTCAGCGAATGAATGTATTTAAACAGAACCTATTCTGTAATAATCACTATGACAACAGTTAATAAAATCAGCCACCGTCAACTAAGCACCTACATGTGCCACACCTGTGCTGGGGGTTTGGCTAGGTTAACACAAACCCAACCACCAGGTACAGCAGGTGTTGTCGTCACAATCCTGGGAAGGAAATAAGGTACACAAAGGTTAAGTAACGTCTGATGTCTCTTGTCTAGTAAGTAGCAGGGATGGACTTAAACACAGACCAATCTCACTCCAAACCTTGTACTCTTTCTCTGCCCTGTGCTGTGTTGCTTCTCAAGCATGAACATGCTAAGAACTTGGGCTTCAGTCATGGCCAGTCCCTTCAGGATGACTTGGCCACTGTAGGGTCTCATTCTTTCATCATTCTTAGTCATCAAGTCCAAGTAGCCCTGGAAGAAGGGAGCATATGTGCACAGAAGGACACCTACAGGAAGCATCTTACCAAAAGTGCCTTGCATCATTGAGGCTGTGTCCGGGTAGTTCAGTGGTGCTAACGAGGCCACTGCTACAGGTTCAGTCTCCACGTCCAATTAACTCAGCTTTGTGCCTTGGAGACTACACCCCAATCCATCTCAGAGGTGCATTCAGTAGTTTCAGGAAAGATGGCTGGGAAGTGTGGGTGGCTTGGTGAAACCTATTTGCAAGACTAGCAAAACAATGCAAAAGGTATGCTGCAATAATGGTGAGCGGCAGCTTCCTAGAAAAAGGTCACGCAAACTTCTGCACCAAACCTGGGTGATCAGAGCTCCTCTGCAACATTAAGTCCTTTTTCCCAAAAGAGTCTTGAGATTTTTTCCCCCAGGTATTTATCAGAATCCTCTTTATCTTTCTGCGTTATTACAAAAAAAAAAAAAAAAGGCTGGTGTCAGGCAGCTAGCATTATTTCTGAAAATTACTGAGAACTTAAAAGACATTCAGAACATCTATGCAACTTGACACAGTTCAAAAAATTGTCATTGGAAACAGAGACAATCTTATAACCAACATTTAGGCAAGTCCATGTTTAGAATATGGTTAGTTTTCAAGGCAAGTATGTTTCATTCTACTTCTGTCTGTATGGAGAGATTCCGTCTCTAGTCTCATCCCTTTGCAAACTGTTTTTCTCATGGCTGCTGGAGTTATCTTTCCAGGACACATATCTGATTCATTCATTTGCTTTATATAACCTATCAACCCCCTTTGCACAGCTGTATAAGTCAGGTGTTTGTGGGACTTATCATCTATCTGGGACACTCTTGAGAGTTAAAGGACGCAGCTCTATTGATGATTATGTTGGAGCAACAGACATAAACCTTGGGAAACTGGGATCTGTGGTCACCTCACATGGAATAGAAGGTCCTTGGCAATCTGAACTGAACCCACATTTTCTGACTCTTCCCCACCCAGATCAGCCTCTGAGAGGGATCTGCCCTTTCCGTGCTTTCTGTCCCAGACCTCAGCCCTTCCAGCTTCTCTTCTGGAAGAGTGAGTGCACACACCTCCAGAGCAGCTCGAAGTGCAGTTGCACCTACTCACTGGAATTACAGGTCCAGCCTCTATGCTCCTATGCATCTTGACTGGACACAGTCATCATTTGTTTTTATGTGTATTGCCCTCTCTAGACTGGGAACTCCTTGAGGTTGGGGGGTTTAAGTCATCCTTGTGGCCACCCCCAATATGTAGAGGAGTGTTTTGTACATCCTTCGTGTTCAGAAACTGTCAGTTGATAATAAATAAATCCCACGACTAGATAATCTGGTGCCTTTTAAATAAATACATTGAGGTCTGTGTTATAAATAGATGTTTATGACTAAAATGTTTTATGGCAGAGCTGCTGACTGTCCTGGTGTCATAGAAACTTCAGCTGATTTCCATGTGAGTGTATGGAAGAAGTAATATATGAGCAATCTATTTTCTCTGGGTGAAGACAGCAATGGGCATATTTCACTTCCATTGTTAATTGGGGATAGTATTGCTCTAGGCCAAGACACTAAGTCAGCTAAGCGCTGACTAATCGAGGAAGTGTTTGCAGGTGCACTGGGCCCAAGGACACACAGGCCTCTTGTACTTTAACTTACATGTGGTGTTCTCAGACCTGCATGACCAATTCTGCAATAGTATCTGCCACAGAAAAGACACTGTGTGAAATTCTTGTGCAGCTCTTCCCCATCTAACCTGTTCCTCACAATGGTGAACACCCAGGGGAAGTGAAAGGAAGTGCCCCAGACTGAGACTGGGAACCGTCACCTCCCACTGGATGAGCAATGGGAGACGCCCAGGAGTGTGAATTCCCTGCCTCCATAATGCCTTTTCTCTCCCAAAGCATTAGTCTTGGAGAGATGAGCAATGATTGGTAACTCTCCTCTCTAGTTAAATCTGAATTTCCAGTTGCTTTACAGACTGAGAAAGTAAATGCAACACAGTAGTCATCCTGCTCCGAGAGCTTTTGAACTGTTGCTGATCTTTAGCACGTATAACTTGAATATATTAAAGAGCCAGAAAATAAGATCCGGGAATAAAGGAGAGATAAAAGGTCAGAGGATGAGTGTGTGAAGGTATCACAGGGCAAGTCACTAGATGGGGACAGCTGCTTCCCACAGTCTCTGAGAACTAGAAGAAACCACAGCAGATGCAGTTTTGGTTAGAAATAGGACCAAGTTTCCTGAGCAGGATGTTTAAGATCATTAAATAAATCACCAAGGGAACTGTGGAATATATTCCTCTGCTGGTCTTTACAAACAGAGCAGTAACTGAGCAATTAGGGATGAGTTCTGTTTAAGTCTGACCACTGTGCTGAATTGGCTGGAATCTCTAAGTTCCTTCCAGCCTCAGAGTCTCACGATGCCTCACCCTCACCAATTGCCTGTAAGAGACAGTGGAACCCAGAACCAGAGGGCCCTCAAGGAGTTATCATGTAATCAGTCTCTGACAGTCAAAAATTTGTCCTTACATTTAATCAAACTTCCTTGGTTGTAGAATGGGTACAGGATAGTTTCCTCCTATCAACCCTCATGCATGGTAAGCCAAGGTTACCACATTAAAAAAAATTTTTTTTTTTGAGACAGAGTCTCGCTGTGTCGCCCAGGCTGGAGTGCAGTGGCATGATCTTGGCTCACTGCAAGCTCCGCCTTCCAGGTTCATGCCATTCTCCTGCCTCAGCCTCCAAGTAGCTGGGACTACAGGCACCCGCCACATTTTTTTGTATTTTTAGTAGAGACGGGGTTTCACTGTGTTAGCCAGGATGGTCTCGATCTCCTGACCTTGTGATCTGCCTGCCTGGGCCTCCCAAAGTGCTGGGATTACAGGCGTGAGCCACTGCGCCTGGCCGGTTATTACACTTTTTAAGGCTCTTCTAACAAACATTCTTCATGCTTTCAAAGCTCCTTTCAAAGCGACTCTTGTAAAGTTCACAAACCTCTAAAAACTCAGTGACATCCCAGTTTGATATGATTGATCTGCACAGATGGATTCTACAATGCCAAGTTCTGGGTTCTAAGACAGGAAACTTAACACAACATTCATGTTTCTAACATGCATATCCTAAAGGTGTCTATTAATACTATAGATATGAATCTAAGTCACCAAGCACACATGTCTGTTGTCGGGAATAGAAGGTAAGAGAAAGAAGTGACAGATTAGTTCCACTTGAGGCTATGGAAAGGGCTGGCTCCCATGAGGAAAAGTGCTGGAGGGGGAGTGCTGGGCAAAAGGGGACTCAGAAGTCACAAGATGGGTGGGTGGAGGGAAAAGTAAATACAAATGCACAGAAGGGCCCTTGGAAGAGAGACCTTAAAGGGTGTTTCTACCACTGGTGCTAGAGTAGGTGAATCAGTGGGAAGTATCTGTGGGGCTTGCTGGGCTAAGAGGATGCAGGGTAGCCAGGAGGGAAGAGGAGATGTGGGGGAGTGGGGCGTGGAAGCAGGCAAACGAACGGGTAAAGAAAACCTCATTGGTTGGTAAATGGTCAAAAACTGACCACACTCTTCTGGTTTTTAACCCTGGCAACCCCGCCTCTGGCCCTCCCTCCACTGGAAGTTTCCAAGCATCTGTTCCTGCTGCTGCCTTTCTTCTGCTCCCCTGGGCTGTTCCCTGTATCAAGCCTTTCCTCCTTTCCTGGAACTTGCAATTCCACTAAATTTGCCATATGGCCTAGAAAAACTGTAAATTCTGGTGGGGTCGCGTTGATAATTCCTTGTTCTCCAGAAGGTAGCAGAGGACCGAGAATTGGGTTTAAATTAAAAGGGTGGAAACTTCTATAAGTCAAGAAAGGAAGTAGCCATTTCTTTGGACACTTGGTAGCATATCCACTGCCACTTTCTAGCATATTTTAAAATGAAAACTTCTTGGTGGTATATTGAAGAAATAAGACTTTCAAACTCTCTCTCCCCTGTTCAATTAATTTTGGGAAATCAAAAATCACTTCCTTTTCACATCCAGAAAATCTGATTTTGTCGAGGCAATTAAGAATATTACCATTTTACTCTAGCAAAGTAACCCATGCAGAGGACTGAAGAAAATGAAAAGCAACAGTCCCTTAACCCACTGCTGGTTCTTTTGTGCTTGCTTTAAATTGCTTCTACTTTTAGCTCTTTTTATGGTGAACTCCAAACACTAAATAACAGGCTGATATTACCTTTCTGAATTTATCAACTTCAATTTATCTGAAATTATCAACTTGATATATATCCACTGACTTCCTTTTACAACAGACCTAGGTTCATATCACTAATAACCCCTGCTCTCCTCCTCATCTGTAATTTCATCAATAGTTGTATTACTTCTTGACCACATTAAATAATATATGTATCCTTTATTTTTGTTCCATCAACAAGAAACTCTCTCTGTATTTCCCATTTTCTAAGGTGCTGATGCCAGTATCTCCACCTTCCTTCCAGCACTTTTACTCCCCCTCGCCCACCTCCCACCAGCTATACTTCTACACCAGAGGCTGAGGCTGCTTCCTTTGTGACATCTCCAACACTGATCTCTGGATTTTACCTCCCAAAGATGCTCTTTTCCCAAGTACCCCACTCTCAGCCAGTGCTACTCCATCTACCCAGATGCTCCAGCCACAAACAAATCCTCTCTTTCCCTTTCGCCCACATAAGTCCTGTCATTTCTACCTCCAAATATATTTCACCATCTCCATGGCTAAAATGTTAGTACAAGCCACTGTCTTCTAATTTTAGGACCAGCCACCCTCTTGTCTTGCTATAATCCACCCTCCACAAAATGGCCAGAGTGATTTTTCAGAAATATAAGTCAGACCACATCACCCCCTTTGCTAAAAAAACCTCTTATTAAAATCCCCTTATCATTATCCACGAGGCCTTCAATGATCTGGCCTGGGTGATCTCTAACTTCCATCTCCTATACTCTTCCCTTCATTCACTCTGCTCCAGCAACACAGGCACTTATCGTTCCACTGTCACAGGCTAATTTCCATTTTAGGGCCTTTACTTTTCTGCTTGGTGACATCTCAGATCTTCTCCTTCTTCTCGTCATTCAAATCCTAACTGAAGGGTCACTCTCTGACAGGCTTTCCATGTTAGCAAAAGCAACCTCTTCTCCCTAGCTATGCTCTTTCATGTTACCCTATTTCAGCGTCTTCACAGCACTCCAGACATTATCTTGTTTGTACTTTCTTAGCGTTCATACCCCTTTCTAGAATAAGAGCCCTTTAAGAACTGTTTTGTTCACTGCCTGTATCCCAATCACCTTCTATGCGTGGCACATACAAGGCATTGAAAAAATACTGACTATTATCAACTCGGTGTTCTGTAGCCTTAATTAAGGCTTCTATACTTTGGTTAAGATTAATTCTAAAAGTTGGAAATCAAAGAATGTTTTATTTCTGCAAACCTATAATTATTATTCACTATTTAAATAATGTCCCCAAATATGTTCTATTTTCTTGCTTGGAACTTACAATTGTTTTTTCTCTTCCATGGTCTAGAATTGAATAAAATCCCTTGAATCCCCGCATTTCACAGGTACCAATCATCAGAGCCCCGTGTCTTCTTGCTCTGTCAGTCTGTACCACAGCTGCCACTCTATTTCTCTCTTGATTTGGATCTGCTACCTTTGACTCTCATGTCTTCTTCTTTCCTGTTTTATTACCTTACTTTGCTGGAATATATCCTCAGGAAACTTCACAGGAAAGGGTGTGTGTGAAAGGCTCTGACTGTGCTGTTTTTCTTCTTTTTTTTTTTTGAGGGAAGGTTTTGGTCTGTTACCGAGGCTGGAGTGCAGTGGTGTGATCACCGCACACTGCAGCCTCGAACTCCTGGGCTCAAGCAATCCTCCCACCTCAGCCTCCTGAGTAGATGGGATGACAGGCATGTGCCACCACTTTCGGCTAATTTATTTATTTTTTATTTTTTAGAGACAGGGCCTTCTTATATTCCCCAGGCTGGTCTTGAACTCCTGGCCTCAAGCCATCCTTCCACCTCAGTCTCCTAAAGTGCTGGGATTACAAGTGTGAGCCACTGTGCCCGGTCTCTGACCATATTTTATCCCTTGTTTATTTTTTATTATTATTTTTTGAGACGGAGTCTCGCTCTTTCACCCAGGCTGGAGTGCAGTGGCGCAATCTCGACTCACTGCAGGCTCCGCCCCCCAGGGTTCACGCCATTCTCCTGCCTCAGCCTCCTGCGTAGCTGGGACTACAGGCGCCCGCCACCTCGCCCGGCTAATTTTTTGTATTTTTACTAGAGACAGGGTTTCACCGTGTTAGCCAGGATGGTCTCGATCTCCTGACCTCGTGATCCGTCCGCCTCAGCCTCCCAAAGTGCTGGGATTACAGGTGTGAGCCACTGCGCCCGGCCCCCTTGTTTATTTTTAACTTTATACCTGACTGATACTTTGGCTGGGAATAGAATTATAGGTGGACAATACTTATCTCTCCGTACTTTACAGAAGCTTGTCTTTTAGCATCTAGTATAAGTGAAGAGAATTCACATACATGTGCACAGTTGTATCACTACTAGCAAAGACTATCCAGATTGATGCACCCAAGATGAAATTTTGTAAAGCTAGCTAATTTAAATTAAGTGGGTTAGTCTGAATTATAGTATGTTGAGTAAAGAAATTCTGTTTTCTTTCTTTCAAATGTAAATAGCGTCTCCACAAATTCTTCTCCAAATCAGGCTAATTGTCTTTCTGCAAGTCTTCTTTTCCTAATCATTTTCTTAGTAAACTTCTTATTCACAGCATTTAATTCTCCTTCATGCTGCTCATCACCATTGTACTTGCTTTCAATTATTCATTTGAAAATTCAGTGTGGTAAGAAATAGTATCTTGCTTATTGCTGTATCTTTGGCACCTAACTTATGTAGAAAGAGAGCCTGGCACTTCTGAGTGTGGGCTCACTATACAGATTGAGAAAACAAAAGTAAAGGTACACGAGGTGCAGCTGAAGCCCTCTCAAAGTCAAGAAGCATATCCCTGGTGAGCTGTGTAGGCTCCCTAGTCCTAACATCTAAAACAGTGGTTTGCAGGGATCATGAGCTTTGAAGTCAGAAAAACTGGGTTTGAATCTGTCTGTGCTCGCCACTTGCTAGCTGTATGACCCTGGACAAGTCATTTATATGCTCTGAACTCTGGGTTCTTCATATGTAAAATGAGGATAAATATGTCTACCTTGTAATACAGTGACTTTGAAGGATAAATAAGACAGTTTATGTAAAGTTACTGACATAATCGTGGGAGCTGATGGGAAGTATCGGAAGTATTATTGTTATTAATAAAAGCAATGAAATGTTGATATACAGAAATCAAACCTAAAGCACTAATTTTGATGAAAGAATCCCAAATTTATGTACTGTTTCACATAATACTAAGCATGATAAAAAACATTCTAGAGTAAAACTCAAATTATTAGCAGGTATTTAAATAAAGCTACTTTTGGCCCAGCCAAACGTTCTTCCTACTTTCTGTAGCTCCAATCCGAGGACCTTTGATTTACCTTGTCTGTATATAGCTCAATCCATTAAAAAATCATTAGGCAGCAGCCTCAGGCTACAAAGCCTTACATTTGATTTCTTTTGCATCCTTTAATTTACTGATGAAAATTTTGAAAGAGTAAAATTGAAATTAGTGAGGCTTTATTG
Source organism: Homo sapiens (assembly GCF_000001405.40). NCBI lineage: Eukaryota > Metazoa > Chordata > Mammalia > Primates > Hominidae > Homo > Homo sapiens. Next base: position 32,575,436 of record NC_000017.11, read on the forward strand.
AAAGTTCATTACATCCACAATAAATTTTGCTTGGTTAAATAAAATTTTCCATGTGGTGTGATTATATAGTACAAGGAAAGAGATTTTCTGGGGTGACTTATGGATACCCACCTTATTATCTTAGTCCTATCAGATGCATAGTGAGTTCTCTATCTGCTCCTTTTTCCACTTTATGCAGCGAATCCCATGGACTTCACCCCCCATTCCCTCTGGGGTGTGTTTCTCCTAACTTTGTTTTCACTCCATTATGTTTCAATGGCTCCTGCTTCTTCTCTTTGGAGTTTGCCTGGATCCTGCCCATCAGAGAGATGACTGCTAGATTGATGGGTCAGAAATACATCCATCATACAGACTCCAGAATTACCAAGATGATTCTTTGCTCAACTACCTGTAGTGGCAATCAACCTGCCGGGGATAGCATTCCATGGCAACAGAAAAGAAAACATGGGCTTTTAAAAGGTAGGTTCCTAGTATGCTTGTTGTTGAGGGAGAATCTTTTTGTTTTGGTGTGTGTCAATCAATGCCCTCATCTAAGAGATGTGACAACAGTGAAGATGCAAAACCACAGGAACCTCAAAACCACTAAAAGCTGTATATTTGACTCCTTTTTACCTATTAAAGGGAATCCATTAGTAGACTTCAAGAACAAAATCAGAGTAAAATTAGTTCACTCTTAGGTAGATCAGGGGTGAGTCAGGAGAAGAAAGAGGAAGCATGTCAAAATATCTACTATCCCAAAGAACTTTGGAGAACTTGCCAGCTTGCTACTCTGCCCCACTTGCTATTTAGGTTCTAAGCACTATGACTGATGGCAAGTTTGTAAACTACAAGGTTTTATATTTAAAGGAACCTGGGTCTCCTGACCTTATTTCTCTATCTAAGAAGCAACAAAGGACAGCATATTTAGGAATCTGCATTAGAATCAACTACCAAGGACAATTTCTGAGGACAATTGTGACTATCTAACTGTAATCTCTTATAAAAGGACGGTGACAAGGTTTTTAAAGCAGTACAAAACTCTAAAGAGAATTCTGTGATACATATCAATAATGTATCACATACTATTCAGGATATCAAAATAACCTTAATTGGACTAAATCATATGATGGTAGTCCATGTGCCTAAGAAATGTGTTTCTGTGGTAACATTCATATTTTGTTAATCTAATATCAGCTTTGATTTACTACTGCCTCTTTTTAAAAAGGGTCATTTATTTATGAATGAGTGAATGAATGAATGAGACAAGGTCTTGCTCTGTCACCCAGGCTGAAGTGCAGTGGCATGATCATAGCTCCCGGCAGCCTTGACCTTCCCAGGCTTAAGTGATCCTCTCGCCTCAGGCTCTCAAGTAGCTAGGACTACAGGCACATGCCACCATGCCCAGCTAATTTTTTATTTTTAAATTTTTATTTATCTTTTTTTCAAATAGAGATGAGGTCTCGCTTTGTTGCCCAGGCTGCTCTTGAACTTCTGGGCTCAAAAGATCTTCCTGCTTTGGCCTCCCAAAGTGCTAGGATTAAAAGTGTGAGGTAGGCTGGGCATGGTGGCTCACGCCTGTAATCCTAGCACTTTGGGAGGGCGAGGCAGGTGGATTGCCTGAGCTCAGGAGTTTGCGACCAGCCTGGGCAACAGGATGAAACCCTGTCTCTATTACAATACAAAAAAATTAGCCTGGTGTGGCAGTGGGTGCCTGTAATGCCAGCTACTCAGGAGGGTGAGACAGGAGAATCACTTGAACCCGGGAGGCGGAGCTTGCAGTGAGCCGACATCGCACCATTGCACTCCAGCCTGGGCGACAGAGTGGGACTCAGTCTCAGGAAAAAAAAAAAAAAGCATGAGGTACCGTACCCGGCCTAATTTTTTATTTTGTGTTTTTTGTAGAGACTGGGTCTTGCTACATTGCCAGGGCTGGTCGTGAACTCCTGGGCTCAAGTGATCCTCCCACCTCAGCCTCCCAAAGTGCTGGGACTATAGGTGTGAGCCACCACACCCTGCCAGGATAAGTGATTTAGAACAGAGATAATATATAATGTCTAATGATTAATCAACATTTGTCAGGTGCTGAGATGTTTATTTTTATACCTTTCCTTTTGCAGAAAGGATGCTTTTAGGTTTGAGTTCTGCTCTTCTGAACAGATGGCTATCATTTAACTAACAGCAATACTGAGCTTTTTTTACCAAGGACTCATAGTCTAGTCACAAAAAAAAAAGAATGTGATTTAGCTTTCACTAGTAAGAGTTGAAAATAGAGCATAAATAAGAATCCAACAGACAGAACTTTCAAGATTCAGATACATATTTCTTTTTTTTTTTTTTCTTTTGAGACGGAGTCTTGCTCTGTCACCCAGGCTGGAGTGCAGTGGCACGATCTCGGCTCACTGCAAGCTCTGCCTCCTGGGTTTATGCCATTCTCCTGCCTCAGCCTCCTGAGTAGCTGGGACTACAGGCACCCGCCACCACGCCTGGCTAATTTTTTTGTATTTTTAGTAGAGACAGGATTTCACTGTGTTAGCCAGGATGGTCTCGATCTCCTGACCTCGTGATCCGCCCATCTCGGCCTCCCAAAGCGCTGGGATTACAGGCGTGAGCCACCGCGCCCAGCCTCAGAAACATATTTCAAAGAGACCTTAGAGGTAGCTATTAGAATGCCCAGGTTTATAAAACATAAGAGATGGCTGGCACAAACTGCATATAAGAGAATAGCAGAATACAGCTTTGAAACCTCATATACATAAAATAAGTTATGTGGTAAAAATATTTCCCTTTGTTAATGGTCCTAAGTTCTTTTATTCAACCCACCAGAGGTCCAATAAATTGCCATCAAATCATAGAGGGTCACATAGGTAATGGGCCCCAAGGGGCATGGCATATCAGATTCCCTATGTGTATAAGGTTAGGAAACTATACCCCATCTTCTCAGGATCAAACACCCACATTTACAAGGTTACTACTTTCACCTGATAGAATAATAACTTCAGAACCCTGCTCATCTGGGAATCAGCACTAGCTGGCCGAGTTTAGGACATACCCACAGTTAGATTTTCAGGTTCTCACCTACAGAACAGATCCTCGGAACTGGGTTTCCTGAACTTGTGCAGTATGAAAAATTAGCTTTTGAGTTTGAAATAACAGAATTTGTAATAGAAAGAGATAATACTCTAAAGATCAGACTATACTTCCATTTAATCTTTTTATTAATTTTAGCATGCAATTTGGCTTTTACCCTCAATGCTTTTACAAAAGGTGCTTTCAAAGGTCACCAAATCAAAGGGACTGCTCTAGGGCTAGGTCTCCTTTAATGCGGAGGCATTTGACCTTGTTGTCTTCTTTCTGGGAGAGTACTTCCCCTAAGTCTCCTCCTGCCTTTTGACCTCCCATTTATTACATGTAGGAATTGCCTAGGGGTCCATCCTGGCCCCTTTTCACTCTACATGTTTCCTTGATGACTTCCTCCTGCTTTGGCGTAACTTCAGACTCATTTACATTCCCTTCAAGTTCCTTGACAATCTGGTCATATCTACATACCTTTCTGGTAGTTCTTGCCACTCCTCTCAACACAATCTCTGATCTTGCCACTCTGGACTACTCACTGTTTTCAGAACAGTGGCAATGTTTTTTATTTTTTATTTTCTTTTCCCTTTTTCTTTTTTTGAGATAGGGTCTTGCTCTGTCACCCAGGCGAGAGTGCGGTGGAATGGTCACAGCTCACTACAGCCTCAGCCTCCTGGGCTGAAGCAATCCTTCCCTGCCTCAGCCTGAGTAGCTGGGACTACAGGTGTGTGCCACTATACCCAGGTAATTTTTAAATTTTTTTGTAGAGACAGGGTCTCACCATGTTGCTCAGGCTGATCTCAAACTGCTGGACTCAAGTGATCCTCCTGCCTTGGTCTCCCAAAGTGCTGGGACTACAGGCATGGGCAACCACGTCCAGCCCAATGTATTTTCAAATAGTTCCTTTATGTATTTGTTCGTGCTGTTTTCTTCTATACACAATTCATGGCCCTGTCTCACCTGAACATCCCTCCCTATACTCCAGATTCTAGTCACTTTTATTAAGGCATGCTTTATTAAGGCATCACTGACATACAATAAACTCCACATATTTAAGGTATACAATTTGACAGGTTTTGAAATATATATTATACCTGTGAAACCATCACTGCACTCAAACTATCCATTACTCCCCAAAGGTTTCTTGTGCTGCTTTGTAATTCCTACTTCCTTCCCCTCCCTATCCACTCTCCATCCCAACAATGACTGACCTACTTCCTGCTCCTATGGTTTGTATTTTCTAGAGTTGTATATAAATGGATAAACTTTTCAGGTTGGCTTCTTTCACCAGGCAAAATTATTTTGAAATTCATCCATGTTGTAGTATCAATAGCTCATTCTTTTTATTACCGAGTAGTAGTTCACTGTATGGATATAACAGTTTGCTTATCCATCTTCCAATGCTAATGGACATTTGGGTTATTCCCGGTTTTTGGCTATTACAAATAATTTGATGTGAACATTTGTGTATGTCTTTATATGGATAAATGTGTTTATTTCCCCTAGATAAATATCTAGGAGTGGAGTGGCTGGAATATGTGGCAGGGATATGTTTAGCTTAAAACACTGCCAAACTGTTCCCACCATGATAATATAAAATGACAATACAAATTATTCAATTAATACAATTATCCAAAATGGACAAACCAGTTATCCAAAAATTATGCAATAGAGTTAAATCCTATCTTAAGGGGAAAACATTCAGTCTTTCACCATTAAATATGATATTTGCTTTAGATTTTTTCACAGATGTACTTTACCAGGTTGTAGAAGTCCACTTCTATTGTTAGTCTGCTAAGAGGATTTTTTTTTTTTTTTTTTTTTTTTTTTTTTTTTTTTACCAGAAATGGATGCCGGATTTTAAATGCTTTTTCTGCAACCACTGAGATTGTTTTTTTTTTTCAGTTTGTTTATCTGGTGAATTTTTTTTTTTTTTTTTTTGAGTCAGAGTCTCACTCTGTCACCCAGGCTGGAGTGCAGTGGTGCCATCTCAGCTCACTGCAACCTCTGCCTCCCAGGTTCAAGCGATTCTCCTGCCTCAGCCTCCTGAGTAGCTGGGACTACAGGCGCCCGCCACCAGGCCCAGCTAATTTTTTGTATTTTTAGTAGAGACGGGATTTCACCATATTGGCCAGGCTGGTCTCGAACTCCTGACCTCGTGATCTGCCTGCCTTGGGCTCCCAAAGTGCTGGGATTACAGGTGTGAGCCACTGCTCCCGGACTATCTGGTGAATTTCATATATTGATTATTGGATGTTAAACCAACCTTGCATGCCTGGGATAAATCCCACTTGGTCACAATGTATTATCCTTTTTATATATTGTTGGATTTGATTAGTTATTTTATAAAATGCTAAATTGGATGCACTAAATATTGCTTATAATTCCTAAATCTATGCTCTTAATGGACATTGGTCTGTAGTTTTCTTTTCCTGTATTATCTTTGTCTGGTTTGGTATGAGGCGAAGGCTGGCCTCAGAATGAGCTGGAAAGCATTATCTCCTTTTCAATTTTCTCGAAGAGTTTGTGTAGAACTGGTGATATTTCTTAAATCTATAGTAGAACTCCCCAGTAAAGGCATCTAGATCTGGAGTTTCCCTTGTGGAAAGGTTTTAACTATGAATTAAATTTCTTTAATATACATAGAGCTATTCAGGTTATCTATTTCTTCTTGTGTGAGTTTTGGTAGTTTGTGTCTTTCAAGGAGTCTATTTAATCTAAGCTGTCAAATTTACTGGCATAAAGTTGTATCACATTCTTTTGTTACGCAGTTAATATTGATAGAATTTGTATTGATGTCACATTTTTCATGTTGATATTGGGAATTTGTGTCTTCTGCTTTTCCTCATCAGTCCTACTAGATGTGTATCAATTTTATTTTGGTACTACTGATGTTTGCTATTGTTTTTCTGATTTCCATTTCATTGGTTTCTGTTCTGACCTTTCTTCTGCTTTCTTTGGTTTAATTTGCTCTTATTTTTCTAGTTCCTTCCTTCCTTCCTCCCTCCCTCCCTTCCCTTTTCCTTTTCCTTTTCTCTCTCTCTTCCTTCCTCTCTCTCTCTCTCTTTCCCTCTCCATGCCCCTCTCGCTCTCTTTTTTTTTCCCGACAGGGCCTCACTTTGGCTACCCTGGCTAGAGTGCAGTGGCTCAATCTTGGCTCACTGCAGCCTCAACTTCCTGGGCTCAGGTGTTTCTCCCACCTCAGCCTCCTAACTAGCTGAGAATACAGGTGCACACCATCATACCTGGCTAATTTGTGTGTGTGTGTGTGTGTGTGTGTGTATGTGTGTGTGTTTTGAGATGGAATCTTGCTCTGTCACCCAGGCTGGAGTGTAGTAGAGCGATCTCGGCTCACCGCAACCTCTGCTCCGAGGTTCAAGCAATTCTCTTGCCTCAGCCTCCTGAGTAGTTGGGACTACACGTGTGCACCACCACACCTGGCTAATTTTTGTATTTTTAGTAGAGATGGGGTTTCACCATGTTGGCCAGGCTGGTCTTGAACTCCTGACCTGTCTTGGACAGGTGATCCACCTGCCTTGGCCTCCTCCCAAAGTGCTGGGATTACAGACGTGAGGCACCATGGCTGGCTGATTTTTTTGTAATTTTTTAGTAGAGATAGGGTTTTACCACGTTGCCCAGGCTGGTCTCAAACTCCTGGACTCAAGCAATCCACCTGCCTCGGCCTCCCAGATTGCTGGGATTACAGGCATGAGCCACCCATGCCTGGCTTTTTCTAGTTTCTTGACATAAAAGCTGAGGGCATTGATTTGAGACTTTTAAAATCTACGCATTTTAAAAGAAAAGCATTTTATTGTCCTGTATATTTCCATGTAAGTATTGCTTCAGCAGCATTACATGAATTTTGAAATGTTATTGTTTTCATATTCATGAAGTTCAAAATACTAATGTCTCTTAATTTCCCCTTTGACCTATAAGTTACTTTGGAGTGTGTTATTTGGCTCCCAATTATTTAGGAATTTTTCCAGGGATCTTTTTGCTGTTGATTTCTAATTATGTTTCATTATGGCAGAGATTTTGAATGCTTTTACATAATATTTACTGTAACTGTGACATGACCCAGAATATGGTCTATTCTGGCAAATATGCACTTGAAAAGAATGTGTATTCTGATGCTGTTGGGCAGAATGTTTTATAAATGGTAACTAGTTCAACTCAGTTCAACTCAGTTGATAGTGTTCACATTTTCTATATGCTTACTGATTTTCTATTGACTTGTTCTATCAATTATGGAGACAGAAGAATTGAAATTTCCAAATATAATTGTAGATTTCTCCATTTTCCCTTGTTCGTTTTTGCTTTATACATTTTGAAATTCTTTTAGGGCCATATATATTTAGGTTTGCTATGTTTCCTTCATGAATTCACCCACATTACTTTTACTATTATTTTTAAAACAGATAATTGTTTTTTAAAAAGATTTAATCAACAAGGAAAAAATCTTAAAAATTTGCTTGTGTAGCTAATATTTCTAGTGCTCTTCTGTTATTTTTGGAGATCTATATTTCCATGTAGTATATTTTTATTCTTTCTGAAGGACTTTAACATCTCTTGTACTGTGAGTCTTCTGGGAATAAACTGTTTTATCTTTCTTGTGTCTGAAAAGTCTTTTAATTCACCTTTGTTTTGGAAAGCTATTTTTGCTTGGTATGAAATTGTAGGTAGAGGGGGTTTTCCTTCAGTACTTTAAAGATGTTTCTCTATTGCTCTCTTGCTTGCATTGTTTCCAACGAGAAATCCTCTGTCATCTTATCCTTATTCCTCTGTATATAATGTGTCTTTCTCCTCTAGCAATGTTTATCACTGGCTTTGAGCAATTTGAATGTGATATGCCTTAGTGTAGTTTTCTTCATGATTTTTTTTGTGCCTAGGGTTCATTGAACTTCTTGGATCTAAGGGTTTATATAGTTTTCATCAAATTTGGAAAAATTTCAGCCATTATTTCTTCAAGTATTTTTTCTGTCCTCCTCCTTCCTTCGGGGACTTCGCTTACTAGTCCTTTATATATAGGCCACTTGAAACTGTCCCACAGTTCCCTGATGACTTATTCATTTTTTGAAAATTTATCTTTTCTTTGTGCTTCATTTTGGATAGTTTCTATTGCTATGTCTTTAAATTCACCAATTTTTAGTTCTGTAATATCTAATGTGCTGTTACTCCCAGCCACTGTAGTTTAATATCAGACATCATAGTTTTCATTTCTAAAAGTTCGATTTGAGTCTTTTTCTTTGTTTGTTCTTTGTTTTTTTTTTTGAGGCAAGGTCTTGATCTGTCACCCAGGCTGGAGTGCAGTGGCACAATCAGGGCTCACTGCAGCCTCAACCTCCTGGGCTCAAGTGATCTGCCCGCCCCAACCTCCCAAAGTGTTTGGATTACAGGCATGTGCCACGTGCCCTGCTTATTTGGGTCTTTTTTGATATCTTGCACATCTTTAATTTTTGTTAAAACACAGTTGTAATAATTATTTTAATGTTGTTACTGGTGATTTCTAACATCTGTGGCAGTTCTGGGCTGCCCTCGAACTCCTGGGCTCAAGTGATCCCCCAGCCTCAGCCTCCCAAAGTGCTGGGATTACAGGGGTGAGCCACCATGTCCAGCTGTGTCCTACCTTTTGGGGACCATCTTCATTCTCGTATCCAGAACAAATACTACCTATTTTTTATGATATTTTCCCCAAATCTCGCTTCTATCTAGAGATGTACTTTTACCTCTGTGCTTTAAACCACTTTCTTTATACTTCCACAAACTTATTATACATGATACATTTGTTTCCCTTGATAAGACAATAACCAATGGCAGGAGGTTGGTCTTTGCATCCTTGTGTCTAAAATGTCTGATATGTGACTGAACCTCAAGAAATAGATTTTTCTGGTTTCTATGATGCTGGCCAACCAACACTGACTTTTACATTATTCTTTTACCATCTTAACTATTTTCAAGTATACAGTTCAGTAGTAATATTTCCACTGCCACTGTTGTGAAATAGATCTTCAGAACTTTTTTTTTTTTTTCGAGCCAGGGTCTCACACTGTCATCCAGGCTGGAATAGCTCACTGCAGCCTTGACCTCCTGGCCTCAAGTGATCCTCCTGCCTGCCTCAGCCTTTGGAGTTGGAGTAGCTGGTACTACAGGTGCATGCCACCACACCCTGCTAATTTTTAAATTTTTTTGAAGAGACAAGAGTCTTGCCATGTTGCTCAGCCTGGTCTCAAACTCCTGATCCTCCTGCCTCAGCCTACCAAAGTGCTGGAATTACAGGCATGAGCCATAGCACCTGGCCCAGAACTTTTTCATCTTGCAAAAAGAAATACATATTTTAAAGGAATGAACAAATTTGGAGCTGTCTTTTGATAAACTATGGGACAAAAAAACATTGATTTGCTCAAAGGCCTATAGCTAGCTGGTGGCAGAGTTAGGACTGGAAGCCACATTGTCTGTTTCCTGTCAAATACTCATTCCTAATAGGTCTGTTAATTCAAAGCATATGACAAGCACAGAAGGCCAAGAATTTCCATGCATCAAAGAAGCCTCAGATGTGGAAAGTTACTAATTCTGATGGCATAATTTAGCTAGGCTGCGCTTGGGTTGTTTTCATTTGTCTTGGTTAGCAAGAAATATAATATTCTTTAACAAATTGTTCTCTCATTTTTTTTTCTTTTTTCTGACAAAGAGTTCTCTGAATCATCTGGTTCTGTAAGGTCGCTTTCCTTTTCTATTTTATATCTAAATTTCTTTTCTTCTTATACCCTCAGATTCTTTTCATTTTGTAAATGACATTCTAGGCCTGGTATCTTTCTTCCTAAGACCAGATATAACTCTTTGCTTCATTTAGTAATGATTCTGTCTTACCAGCGATTGTTGCATGGGGATTTTTTCCACTATGAAAATTTTATGTGAATTTACTGGCTACTAGTTGCTTTGTTTCTGTGAGAAAGGGCAGTCTGGCCAGGCACAGTGGCTCATGCCTGTAATCCGAGCACTTTGACAGGCCGAGGTGGGAGGATCACCTGAGGTCAGGAGTTCGAGACCAGTCTGGCCAACATGGTGAAACCTTGTCTCTCCTAAAAATACAAAAATTAGCCAGGTGTGGTAGCGGGCGCCTGTAATCCCAGCTACTCAGGAGGCTGAGGCAAGGGAATCTTTTGAACGTGGGAGGCGGAGGTTGCAGTGAGCTGAGATCGCGCCACTGCACTCCAGCACTCCAGTCTGGGCAACAGAGCAAGAATCCGTCTCAAAATAAAAAAAAAAAAAAAAAGGAAGGGCAGTCTAAAATAAAATAGTCTCGTATTAATGTTTAAATAATTTTTTCTGGTTATACAATTAATACATAACAATTATAGGAAATTCAACATTCCATATTTTTTTGAGACAGCTAAAGACCAAAAATAAAAAATATTAAGTGCAAAAAACTTTTTTTTTGACCATAAATATCATGTCGGCTACTTCTTTTGGTTTCAAATATTGAAGAAAAGGAGGCTTGGAATAATTTCTCTACGTGTCAAGGAGAAGCTAAAGGAAGCAATTGCTATTACCTTTTTAAGACAGGTTAGAGGACGGTCTTTGAATTCAATAGAACAAACCTTTCCCCATTGAACAGAGAAGTCTGGGATTTGCAGAGGGTCTGGTAAGGAATGCATGCCATGGAGAAACACCTGAGCAAACCATAAGAATTCGTTTTCTGAGCCTTTGTCCATGTTCTAAGCTCTAGAAAATACTATGTCCCTCATCCTCTTAAAATTCAGGGGGAAAAATTAATCTGATAGAATGATCTCTTCCTCTCTTCTCTGGTGGTAAGTTTCTCATCTCCACTCTAGTGTTGCCTATAACTGAAAGTATCACAGATTCTAGCATCTTGGGGACAGAATGGGCCCAGAGGCTTTCCTATTCCCTATGTGTGCAAATGACATTTTGAACCCAAAGCAGAATTTTACATTTATATAGTTGTGTGGTTTCTTCTCATTATTCTGGTTTGTCAAGATACTTTGAATCCTAACTTGTCATCAAAATATAAGTTATCCTTCCTGGGTTTTTCTTATTTGCAAATTTGTAAGTATGTCTTCATTCAAGTCATTGTTTAAGAAAAATTGTGTTAGTTTTACCCAATTTCTTCTCACTGAACTTATGCTTTCTTTGGTTGCTTTTTCCCTTCTAAGTACGTATAAACTATGACAATTTTAGAATTTTGCTGAAAATTTATGTCAGGTTCAACAATAATTACATATAATTTTTGCATCTGTGTTCACATTTGCACAAGGAAAACCTTTACCTGCCTTCAGTCTCTTGGCCCTTTTCCACTCTCCATGACTGCTCAAAGATGTCTGAGAGTGAATGGGGGTTCATATGAAGATGCTTTCCAGTGTCTCAGGATGTGAGTCATCTGGCCTGGAGTGTGAATTAATAAAGCATCCAGCAGTCCTCTTTTCCTAGCTGGGCTTTAAATTCCCTCTTGATGCTTGTTCTTCGTTTCAAAAACTTATTTCTTGATGGGTATGATGAAAACAAGTTTCTTTAACATGATACCATTTTCTCTAAACGGTGATGTCTTTCCTACCCTTGTAACAACAAGCAGTGCTCCTCTCTCATTTTTGTTACTAGTTTTTCCAAGACTCATTAGGTTAGGACTCTGTTGGATGCAAGTTACATAAACTCAATTCATAGTGACTTAAGCAAAAAGGAAAAGTTGTTAAGAACTAGGACAATTCACTGAGTAAAAAGTAACTCGCCAGGCCAGGGGCTGTGGCTCACGCCTGTAATTCCAGCACTTTGGGAAGCTGAGGTGAGCGGAACACTTGAGGTCAGGGGTTTGAGACCAGCTTGGCCAACATGGTGAAACCCCGTTTCTACTAAAAATACAAAAATTAGCCAGGCGTGGTGGTGGGCACCTGTAATCCCAGCTACTCGGGAGGCTGAGGCAGAAGAATTGCTTGAACCCAGGAGGTGGGGGTTGCAGTGAGCCAAGATCGTGCCACTGCACTCCAGCCTGGGTGACAAGAGTGAAACTCCGTTTCAAAAAAAAAAAAAAAAAAGTCACTTGCCAAATGGTGAATTCACCAAAAGTCATCTGCTGAATGACTAGTTTGCCAAATTTACCAAATTTGCATATTTAACAAGGCTGAGTTTTGTTTATCCAATTTTTGTTGGACGAACTAGCAGGGTCAATGGAGGCTGTGAATACCTGGGGTTCTTGGGCCTTCAGCCTCTCTCCCACCCTTCAGCCTACCCCTTCTTGGTCCCCTAGTCTTCCCCTCCCTCTGCTCTTCAGCCTCCCTTCCCTGTGGGATTGGCGGCCCAGATGCACTGGGCACAGACTCTCCTTTCTTCCCTTCTCTCCTCTGTTCCAGCTACTTCCAGCTGCAGCAGCAGGGCCAGAAACAAACGGACCATTCCTTAAACTGTTGTTATGAAAACAAAATGAAAATCAATCAATTAGAACTTTGTAGAAATCCTCAAAGGCTATTAATTGCCATCTCACCTAGCTGAATTATATACTTTATATAAAGAGTCAAAAGAAACACATTTTTGGTAAATCTATAAATTTGGTAAATTAGATGAATTAGTCATCTGGCAAATTTGATAGAAGAAAGCTAAATATCAAATGGAAAATAACAAAGAAGATTTCAGAATTTAGGATAAGCTAAAGTCCCCATAGGAAATGCTAAAATCTGTGGATTTTGACAGTTCCTGGTTGGACAGTGTGTAGAGCTACCTTCTAGGAAAAATGTGGATCTGCATGACCTGAAATGTAGGTTGCTTGTTTCTGACAGTCAAGCCCTAGTATCTGGCACTGCTATCTGGGAGGAATCCCTTTAAGGGCACGATGCCTGATAAAAGACACACGTGCTTGCTAGTTCTTTGGAAGCATCTGAAAGAGGGATGTCCTTCTCTGATCGTTCAAAATAAACTCCAAACAGCATACCTGTACATTTGAGTGAAGTCCATTTTTTTCTGCTCCACTTAATAAAAAGACTAAACCAACCCAAGAGCCTTAGTTTTTTTCATCCTGAACATGTATTAAAAAGCTGTTAGAAGGGACATATTCAAGGAGTTTTTTCAAGACTAGTTTTTGGTAACTTCACAAATTTTTATAACTTCCATGAACTGGTATTGGGCAAACTGACTTCTGGTGAACTAATTTTTAAAATCCATTTAAAAAACTGTGGCAAAGGCTGGGCATGGTGGCTCAGCCTGTAATCTCCGAACTTTGGGAGGCCGACACAGGTGGATCTCTTGAGGCCAGGAGTTTAAGACCAGCCTGGCCAACATGGTGAAACCCCATCTCTACTAAAAATTAGCCTGGGCATGGTGGTGGACACCTGCAGTCCCAGCTACTTGGGAGGCTGAGGCAGGAGAATCACTTGAACTCAGGAGGTGGAGGGTGCAGTGAGCTGAGATCCCACCACTGCACTCCAGTCTGGGTGACAGAGCAAAATTTTGCCTCAAAAAACAAACAAACAAACAAATAAAACAAAAAAAAAACCCACAAAAAACAAAAACAAAACTTGTGGCACCCCACTGCCCCTGCAAGAGAATAAAATTCACCCTCCCAACAATTTCCAAGTGTACAGTACAACAGTGTCATATTTGTGAACTGCATATTTGTGAACTGGTTTTTGACAAATTGGCCTGCTTTAGGTCACACAAAATCAACAAACGGCATACAGTCTGATGGCCACAAGGTGGCCGGCCTCGTGGGGAGGCAGACCTGGGGCTTGGATGTTTCAGGTCCTGCTTCACCTTGAGTCCTGCTGCTCCCCGTGGGTTCCCTATGCTCTACGCTGTTCTCTCTTACTGAACCCAACTTCTCACCTTTGGGAACGTGTTGAGCCACAGCTCCCAAATGTTTTGCCTTCATGCATAGAAGAGGCAATGAATTATAAGTCTTCTCTGATCCAAAGCCCAAAAATCTTGAGGGATGGGGAAAGTGGTCCGGGTTGGGTCAGATACTACCTGTGCCCTGTACTCAGCTCTTTCCAGGGAGTAGGGCAATGTAAGGATGTGGTGCCTCTCGTCGGACCATGCAGAAGTGTGACAGGGGAGAGGAAGGTCCCAGAAGAAGGGATTACTGGACAGACCAAACAATAAATGCCTCCACACCCAAGCTCCGCCTCCTCCTCAATTTAACATTTCCGTCATTCACACTGTCCCTTGAGAATCTTCTCTCCCTACGAACAGCTGTAGAACAGGAGGAAGCTTCTTTAACTTCGTGCTTCCTTGCTGACCCTGAAGGTAAAAATCTAGGTCCTTCTCATTCTAGGGATTTTTATTGCTAATTACTAAAGGGGTGGCAAAATAACAATTTCAGGGAAGCTACAAAAGCTAAAGAATTTTGTTATAGTTTTTACTCCATGAGGATTTTTGATTTCTGGTTTTATTACTGAGGTTTAACACCTGCCTTTGTAACTTCTATCTTGCTAGTTCTTTCTCTGTTCAATTAACTCTTTTTGGCATGTGGGGCCCACAGATGTATTACATATCAACTAGTGTTCCTCAAGTTCCCACTTCCCTTAAGTGAAAAATTATTTTGCATTCTTGAGCATGTATAGGCTAGGTGACATCTGTGTCTTCAGGCTTTGTCTTGTTGGGCAGTTTTATATTTTTATACTTACTTCTCCCCATTACTTATATGATAAAGTTCAAATTCATTGGCATGGGCTTTTATAAGCTTCTACTTATTTTTCCAGTCTCATTTCTTGCTACAGCCCCTTTGGTCCCCTGCAATCACTCAACTCTCCAAATGTACCAGCTCCACCAAGTTTTTGCATATTCTCCTCCCTTCTATGGGGAGCATCTCACCTCATCCCCCAGCTCATAACCTCCAACTAGACTTGAAGACCCAACTGGGTGATCATTTGCTCTGCCAGGGATCTCCTGACTCTGGTAGGCAAAGAGGGCTGGTTTATCCCCTGTGTTTCCATGGCCTTTGTCCATGGTTTTATTACAGTACATACCAGGCAGTATAATGTACATGCTGTCTTTTCATGGGATTAAGAGCTGTTTGAAGGGAAAGGACTGGAAAGGACCACAGGGTTCTTCTTGGTATCCCTCCTACCACCCGCAGCCTGACCTGTGATGGGTGCTTAGTGAATGCATGCTGAATGATGGTATAAAAATAGAACAGTGTTTGTGGCAGATAAAACACTTCACTGAGTATATTATGCTTATATAAACTCCTGATTCCAATATAGCTGCTAAGACCTGAAATAAACACATTAAGAGAGCTTTTTAAAAATTGCATTAAGTTAAAGAGTTATATCTGACATTCAATTTAGAAAAAAATTCCAACAGATAGCATGGTATTATTCACTAATCATTTGGTGAATTCATGAATACCTCACAGGAAGATCTCTGTTTTAACATATATTGTAAGGTTTAGAGCTACGGCCTTTAAAAAGTAATATGATTACTCTAAAGGTACAATAGCTACCTGCGGAAATGATGAAAAGATCAGTTTTCCAGTATTTTTGGATTCACTCTTTCAACATAAAAGACAATGATGAACACGTCACAAAGCAAATAAGAATCTTTGATTTGCACAAAAATCCCCAGAAAATCTCCCGTCATCAAGGCAGGTAAAGCTGAGGATGACTGTGCCCCTGCACAACCTCTTGGTGAGCTCTGCCCAAGGGCAGCCGCTTCTCAGTGCAGATGGGCACCGTGCACAGGGAGAGATGGAAAGTCAGTGGATTGCTCACAGTACACAACAGCTGTTACACTTTAACATTGTTTGATTTTTGCCCCAGCTTAGTCACACTGAAAACCTTTTAAGATTTCTCTCTGTACTCTTTTGTGTATAGCAGGTGGGACTGAGTGCATGTAAATAGGTTAAGTTCATTATGTGGAAGCCTGCTCTTTGCAGGTGGAGTTTCCTATCTGGAAGTGGGCAGGTGGGCCCTCACTGCGAACTTCTTAGGGTAATTAAAAACCATTGCTTAGAATGACAGGCGGCTCTTTCTAGGACAAGTGGATGTGGTAAACAGGATCCTGGTTCTGTGTGATTTCTCTGTAATCCTCCACTCAATTCTACTCTCCATTCCTTCTTTACCCCTTTTCTCTGAGCCTCAGCCCTCTTTCCATCCCGCCTTTCTTCACTGGGGCAGTAGGGGATGTTTCTTTTGCACTTGTCAGCAATTTCAAAAACACAAATCTTTGGTGATTTCATCAAAAAAAAAAACAAACCTACTTTCATCGCAATGGCATCAGCAAATTGGCCATATGAAAACATGATGTGCTCCTTCTGGTCATTTTCTATGTCAGTTCATGAAACCAGTGGCCATCAAGCTTGAGCATAGGGATCACCTGGGTAGCTCACTAAGCATGTAGGTTCCTGGAGGGTCTGATTTAGAGGGCCTGGGATGGGCCCGGGGAGCTGCCTTTTGAAAAAACACCTTCAGGTTATTCTAATGCCGATGGAGCCCACACTTTAAGGACCCCTGATAAAGAAAGACTGTCATAGTCTTTTTCATGGCTGCATGCTGCTTAATTGTATGGAAATACCATCAAGTATTTAATCATGTTTGTTTTGATGAACTTTTATATGGTTTCTAAGTTTTCGCAATTAAAAACAATGTGTTTTCTCTTTATTATATCTTGCACACCCTTATGTCAAGGGCTGACTCAATAATCACAGCAAGAGAGCCACTCTGCTATGTACAAAACCCTGACCCAGAAGCAGGTTGTCCAAGAATGGTTTAGCACCAGGTTCCCCAGGAATGTACATGGAATAATTTTATAGCCATCAAAAATCCCCAGTGCTTCACCTTTTTAACCCTCCCTCATCTCCAAACCCCTGGTAACCACAGGCTTTGCCATCTCTATAGTTTTACCTTTTCCAGAATGTCACATAAGTGGAATAATACAGTATGTAGGCCTCTCGGACTGTCTTCTTTCACTTAGCAACATGCACTTAAGATGGATGCATCAATGTTGTTGTGTAGAGTTATTAATTGTTCTTTTGGATTTATCCTTTATTTTACCTAATTCTTCTATGATTTCAGTTTTTACAATTAACTCTTTAGTCAATTTGGTATTTACACCAACAATAATTTTAACAAGCAAAAAATATAAATAAAATTATTTTATATGGTACTACAGTGGTGGATACATGACACTGCATTTGTCAAAATCCATATAGCACCTTAAAAATACCAACCAGGAGGGGAGGGGATGCCAGAATAAGATGGAACTGTGAGAAAACAATCTAGCTGTTACAAATGTTCGATATAACTTATGTAAAGTACAACAATGTAGGGGCAAGGAAAAAGACTTACTGACCTAAGTAATAACTCTGGAAATGACTGGAACCATAAAACTAAAAACAAATAAAACTGTATATACTGTATATAGCACTGAAAAAAACCCCAACAAAACAAAACAATGTGAAACCATTTGTTTTTCTTGCCCAGTACCGTATCACTTCCGCTTCTTTCGGGAAATGCTGGCCCCGTACACTTCGTCCCCAGTCACTCCCACCCCACTCTGCTTCACTCTCTTCCAAAACATGCTCTTCCTCAGGTTTTACTGGAGACTTCCATGTTCTTGGAAGACACCACTTCTCTGGCCAAAGTGACTGTCACTGGGGTAGGTGTCTTACCCATGCCATGACAACCATTACTCTGGCCAGTTATTGAGTCAGTGGGAACATTTCCCTGGGGTTTTAGGACAATAGCCCAGAGAACATTCTCTTAATTTCCCCCTGGTGGCAAGGCTGGAAAAGGAGATATAGAGTTATTTGGAGACATTTCCAGCCATGTGGAAGCCACCACTACAGGAGAGTGAACCTGGCAAGACAAGAGATGTGAAGATGAGAGATGGAGATTGTGACAGCATTTGACTCCTGGATCACAGCTGTTCCTCCTCCAGAGAGCCCCAGTAGCATGCTTTCTGAGGCTCGTTTGTCTGCTAAACACAAATGACAACTTGGTTGGGCATACAATTGTTGCTCTCTAAGCTTTTCTCCTTAGAAGACTAAAGATGTTGCTCCACAGGATTCTGGCATTTACTGCTGCAGTACAGAAGACGGAGGGAATCCTAATTTTTGTTCCTTTGTAAGAGAATCTCATTCCACTCCCAGGTCTGTGTGTTTAATACATACTTTATAATTTCAAGGATTAACTATAAACATAGTTATATATAAAGAAAAGTTATATATATTGGCTGGGCGTTGGGGCTCATGCCTGTAATCCCAGCACTTTGGGAAGTTGAGGCGGGAGGATCATGAGGTCAGGAGTTCGAGACCAGTCTGGCCAACATAGTGAAACCCCATCTCTACTAAAAGCACAAAAAATTAGCCGGGCGTGGTGGAGCATGCCTGTAATCCCAGCTACCTGGGAGGCTGAGGCAGGAAAATTGCATGAACCTGGCAGGCAGAGGTTGCAGTGAGCCGAGATGGTGCCATTGCACTCTAGCCCGGGTGACAGTGCGAGACTCCATCTCAAAAAAACAAAACAAAACCAGTTATATATATTAAAAGCAGACATCTATTCAGTCCTGGTGTTCTTACATAAAGGGGCATATGGACTCTTCGGGGCTCCTTCTTATAGCCCACTTCTTTGTAGCCAAAATCATTTCTCAGCTTTTAAGCTGGAGAATTACATATATTTAGTTAACCCTTGAAATTAAAAAAGGTCATCATGATAACAAAGTAGGCTCTCTGGAACTTCAGAAAAAGTGCATTCAGTACAGACATATTTTCTTTTTGTATGTTTTAAATTACCATATTTTATTGAATATAAGATGCCTTCTCTGTAAGATGTACCCTTATTTTGTATATTGCTAAGAAAGTTAACATGTTGCCCATTATAACAGTAAATTCTGCACACTGAGAGACTTCAAACTTTCCTTTCACATCAATTCTATTTTCTGCAATATCAACTGTGCCATTTTCAGATTTTAATGTTGATTTACATTTTAAAATATCTTTCCTTACTTCATTCAAATAATTGAACACTTTTGTTTGTTTCTCAGCCAGCATCCTCTTCATCTCAGTTTGCCATGTAATCTTGGGCCTGTTTATGTAGAATCTATGCTTTCTTGAATTTTATTCAGAGTATAAGCAGATGGTTTCTGTAACATAAATTTTATATTATTGGCCTTTTCAGAAATAGGCTTTTTCTTTTAGGTCTTATAATATCTATATCTCTCTTACTGTTAATATCTTCCTTTATAGGCCTCCCAACTAAGGAGACATCTATTCAGTTCTGATGTTCTTACATAAAGGGCATATGGATTTTTTGGGGCTCCTTCTTACAGCCCACCTGTTTGTAGCCAAAATCATTTATCAGTTTTTAAGCTGGAGAGCTGGCTTGTGTGCACAGACTCTAGTTGTGGTTGCAAAGTCTTCTACTTATTATGAAACTGCTGATCTGAGTAGGAATTCCTACATCCTGCTTCCTTGTCAGCTCACTGACAAGGAGAGTCTGAAATTATTTCTAGTTCTGTAGTTGTTAAAGAAAAGTGAATGGAAAGCTGCAGCCCCCAGCATTCAACATACTCATGGCTCTTCCAGCCCACAGCCCTTTTAGTTGCTGATTTAATATCTTGAAATGCCTCCTGCCTTCTGTCCCACACATATTACATTGCTTAGCCCTGTAATCCTGGAATCAATCAAGGAAAGAGACATTCATATGGTGGTATGAAGGCTGGCAAGTGGCAGGGATAGCCAGAAGTTGGTTAACGGATATAAAATTACAGCTAGAGAGGAGGAATGAGTTCTAGCATTCTCTAGCACTGCAGGGTGAATATAGAACCCTATTCTGTAATCTTATCTGTAATCGGTCACAATTAACAATTTATTGCATATTTTCAAATAGCTAGAAGAGAGGATTTTCAATATTCCTAATGAAAAGAAATGATAAATGTCTGAGGTGATAGATATGCTAATTACCTTGATTTGATCATTATACCTTGTATACAGGTATCAAAATATCACTGTATCCCATAAATATGTATAATCATTGTGTCAGAAAAATAACTTAAAAAAAGGAAAAGAGGTATTCATAAAGGGAAGGAAACTATCAGAAGAATTTTTCCTTTCTTTCATACAGGAGAAGGATTGAGTTACCATCTTCTGGTGGGCAAGGTGCACCTATCAGTAGGAAGGGCTAGAAGCACCCTACCGCGAGTGGGGCCTATCAGTCAGCAATTCTCTGTTTAACAATGAGTATTCAACAGTTATTTACAGGGAACCTTCTGTGTGCCAGCACTGTTTTGGGCACTAGGGAAACTGCAGGGAACAATATAAATAAAGTCTCTGCTTACATAAAGCTTGTATTCCAGTTGGAATATATACAATACACAAGTAAAGATACAGCATGTCAGGTGGAGTTGACAGCCATGGGGAAAGATTAGGGGGGTTTGGGGACAGGGTGTGGTGGGACAGGGTGAATTGCTATTCTCCAGAGGACAGTCAGGGAAGACCTGGTGAGACGATACATGAGCAGGGGTGAAGGATGCCCCTCTTGGCAGGTCCAGGATTGAATCACATTTCTAGTTTCCAGCACTACAGAAAGGTGTCCTTGCTTCCTGTGTTTTCACGTGTATCTCTATTGGAAGGCAGAGGAAAGTGAATTGTGGCCACTCACTTTTCTGTCCCCCATAAGTCAGGTGCCTTCAATAATTATTTTAAATAGCTCAAATACCCTAAATTTGATGGACCAAAATTTAATCAACCAGTCCTCCACAGCTGGCAATCGACATGGCATACCTTTATTTTGCTTATGGAATATAAACTATTAAAATGAGTGGCCAGGCATTCAAAGAGAGCAGTCTGGGAACATAGATCAAAGGCCATGGAAACGGGTATTCAGGTTTGGGGCAGAGGAGCCTCACTGCAGGTGCAGCAGAAGGCGTGAGCAGCAGCTCTGCTGGACGGGGAGGGCCAGGCGCTGGGACCTTTGGGAGGTGGCCCCATCCTCTGCCTCCTTCACCTCTTGTCATGAGGCCTCACCTCCCCTGGCTCCTCACCTGTACTGCCGCGGCAGTGACAGCAATGTGCAGCCAGCAACTGCTGGCCTGCTTATCGGTATGGGTCTCCCCATGGCTCTAAGTGTGAGTTATAAAGAACATACACAAACTACAACTGAGAAGCTGGTCGAATGTTCAGTTAAATCCAGTAACAGTGCTCCTTTAATTAAGGAGATATTAAAGAAGAACAAGAAGCAGATGGCATTGATTTCTGGCTTGCATCCACAGAAAGAGAACAGGAAAAATAAGAAATTTTAATGCCTGCAATTGGAGTTATACTGAGGTTTCCAGCATCCAGACAGGCAAATGCCTGGACAGCTGCTTAGGGCAGATGGGTCCTTTGACAGCTTAATACTGCAGAGTTTCTGGTGACTTCATAGTTAGGGCAGCCAACGTGAGACCATCTGTTTAGTAGTGGGCAGAAAAGCTCAGTACCAGCAGGTAGCTGCTGCTGAGAATGAAACGCAAACCAAAAGTCAGCCACACTCAAAACCTCTGTAAACCACTGGCACTACAACCACAGAAAAAGAAACCTCACCTTAGGCTAATGTGATATATACAACAAGACCATACAGAAAGATAATATTCCAAGAGGCTATATTTGGGATTGTTTCAATATATTGAAATGCTATGAGAGATTGTTCACTTGGACAGTTCTTCTGTTCTTTTCTACTTTTCTAAGCAGGAAAGCAAAATAATAATGAATTCAGAGAAAACTAGCTGCCACTTATTATTAAAATGAAAAAATTTTAGATCAGTAACACATATATTGGTCGCAGAAGGTTTAACCATGAAAAACAAATAAATCTCCCTTCTACCTCTTTCTCCCTGTACTGAGGTGTCTCAGTTCCCTCTCTAGAGACAAACACTGTTATCTATTTCCTGAATATCTTCCCAGATATAGCCTGTATTATACATAATCATATGTGTGTATACATATCTATCTGTACCTATATCTATACATTGTTTAGTAGGAGAAAAAGGCAAGGTACAGATGGTATGTGTAGCATATCACCATTTTTGTAAAAAAAAAAGTCATAGGAGATATCTATATATCTATCTATATAAATAGAGATATATCTACCTATAATATAGTTATCCAGTGATAGATACGGATATCTTCCGGTTTAACTTCTTGCCAGGTGCTTGTAATCCCAGCACTTTGGGAGGCTGAGGCGGGTGGATCACCTGAGGTCAGGAGTTTAAGACCAGCCTGGCCAAAATGGTGAAACCCCATCTCTACTAAAACTATAAAAATTAGCCATGTTGGCAGGTGCCTGTAATCCCAGCTACTCGGGAGGCTGAGGCAGGAGAATTGCTTGAACCTGGGAAGGTGGAGGTTGCAGTGAGCCAAGATTGTGCCACTGCACTCCAGCCTGGGTGACAGAGCAAAACCCTGTCTCAAAAAAAAAAAAAAAAAAAAAAAAGAAATCTCGTTTCAACTTCTTTACACAAATGGTGGTACGGTACACACACCATTCTGTACCTTGCCCTTTTTTCCTCTTATTTGGAAATGGTTTTATATCAATATAGATAGAATTCTCTTGTTCTTGTATTGGTAGCATTTACAATGAACAAAAGCATATTAATGACTCGGAGAGGTACTGCAGTAAAGAAACCTGTTAGGGCCAGGCACAGTGGCTCACGCTTGTAATCCCAGCACTTTGCGGGGCCAGGGCGGGTGGACTGCTTGAGGCCAGGAGTTCAAAACCAGCCTGGCCAACATGGCCAAATCCCATCTCTACTAAAAACACAAAAATTAGCTGGGCATGGTGACACACGCCTGCAATTCCAGCTACTCAGGAGCCTGAGGCACGAGAAT
Organism: Homo sapiens; assembly: GCF_000001405.40. Taxonomy (NCBI): domain Eukaryota; kingdom Metazoa; phylum Chordata; class Mammalia; order Primates; family Hominidae; genus Homo; species Homo sapiens. The sequence goes on from NC_000017.11 coordinate 32,598,288, forward strand.
TGCTTGAATACATGAAGCGGAGGTTGCAGTGAGCCAAGATTGCACCACTGCACTCCAGCCTGGGTGACACAGCAAGACTCTGTTTCAAAAAAGAAAAAAAAAGAAACCTGTTTGACTTCATTAGCATATCCCAAATGTATTTGACTTTGGGTTTTCCCACCCCATGGTGGAATTTTTGATTTGTGGAATACAGCCTGGACTTGCTGGTATCAGGTGTTTCTGGATGGTGTCTGTTCTGACTGGTCTGTGCTTGAGCCATACTGGTTGTTATATATTCTTAATGTCATCTTTTGGAATATACAGGCATAACCTGGAGATATTTTGGGTTTGGGTGCAGACCACTGCAATAAAGTGAATATCACAATAAAGCAAGTCACACAATTTTTTTTTGGTTTTCCAGTGCATATAAAAGTTATGTTTACATTATACTGTAGTCTATTAAGTTTACAATAGCATCATGTCTAAATACTGTACATATTTTAATTAAAAACAATAAGGAAAGTGTGATTTAAAAAGAACATAAGCAAACTATAACAGAGAAGCCGGTTGAATGTTCAGTTAAATCCAATGAGAGTGCTCCTTTAATTAAGCGGATATTAAAGAAGAACAAAAAATGCTAAAAATACTAATGATCATCTGAGTCTCCAGTGAGTTGTAATCTTTTTGCTGTTGGAGGGTCTTGTCTTGATGTTGACGGCTGCTTACTGATCAGGGTGGTGGTTGCTGATGGCGGGGGTGGCTGTGGCAATTTCTTTAAATAAGATAACCATGAAGTTTGCCACATTCATTGACTCTTGCTTTCATGAAAGATTTCTCTATAGCATGCGGTGCTGTTTGAGAGCATTTTACCCATAATAGGATGTCTTTCAAAATTGGAGTCAATCCTCTCAAACTCTGTCACTGCTTTATCAACTAAGTTTATATAATATTTTAGATGCTTTGTCATCATTTCAACAACGTTAACAGCATCTTCATCAGGTGTAGATTCCATCTTAAGAAACCACTTTCTCTGCTCTTCCATAAGAAGCTACTCCTCATCTATTCAAGTTTTATCATGAGATTGCAGCAATTCAGTCACATCTTCAGGCTCCACTTCCAATTCAAGTTCTCTTGCTATTTCTACCACATCTGCAATAACTTCCTCCAATGAAGTCCTGAACCCCTCAAAGCCATCCATGAGAGTTGGAATCAATGTTTTCCAAACTTCTGTTAGTGTTAATATTTTGACCTCCTCCCATGAATCACAAATGTTCTTAGTGGCATCTAGAATGGTGAATCCTTTTCAGAAGGTTTTCAGTTTACTTTGCCCAGATCCATCAGAGGAATCACTATTTATGGCAGCTGTGGCCTTATGAAATGTTTTTCTTTCATTTTGTTTTTTTTGAGACAGAGTCTCACTCTGTTGCCCATGCTGGAGTGCAGTGGTGTGATCTTGGCTCACTGCAACCTCCGCCTCCCAGGTTCAAGCAATTCTCCTATCTCAGCATCCCAAGTAGCTGGGATTACAGGTATGTGCCACCACGCCTGGCTAATTTTTGTATTTTTAGTAGAGACAGGGTTTCACCATGTTGGCCAGGCTGGTCTCAAACTCCTGACCTCAGGTGATCAGCCCACCTCGGCCTCCAAAAGTGTTGGGATTATAGGCGTGAGCCACTGTGCCTGGCCATGAAATGTGTTTCTTAAATAATCAGGCTTGAAAGTTGAAATTACTCCTTTATCCACGGGCTGCACAATAGATGCTGTGTTTGTAGGCATGGGAACAACATTAATCAAGCCTTGTACATTTCCGTCAGTGCTCTTGGATAACTAGATGTACTGTCAATGCATAGTAATGTTTTGAAAGGAATCTTTTTTTTCTGAGCAGCAGGTCTCAACAGTGGGCTTAAAATATTCAGCAAACTATGCTATAAACAGATGTGCTGTAATCCAGGCCTTGTGTTTCATTTATAGAGCACAGGCAGAGTAGATTTTGTGTAATTTTAAGGGCCCTGGGATTTTTGGAACAGTCAGTGAGCACTGGCTTCAACTTAAAGACACTAGCTGCATTAGCTCCTAACAAAAGAGTCAGCCTGTCCTCTGAAGCTAGGCATTGACCTTCTCCTCTCTAGCTACGGAAGTCCTAGATGGCATCTTCTTCCAGTGTAAGGCTATTTTGTCTGCATTGAAAAATCTGTTGTTTCGTGTAGCCACCTTAATCAATTATCTTAGCTAGATCTTCTGAATAACTTGCCACAGCTTCTCCATCATCACTTGCTGCTTCACCTTGCACTTTTATGTTATGGAGATGTCTTCTTTTCTTAATTCTCATGAACCAACCTCTGTTAGCTTCCACTTTTCGTCTGCAGCTTCCTCACCTCTCTCAGCCTTCAAAGAATTTAAGAGAGTTTAGGGCCTTGCTCTGCATTAGGCTTTGGTTTAAGGGAATGTTGTGGCTGGTTTGATCTTTTATCCAGACCACTCAAACTTTCTCCGTATCAGCAATAAGACTGTTTCACTTTCTTATTATTCATGTATTCACTGCAGTAGCACTTTTAATTTCCTTCAAGAACTTTTCCTTTGCATTCACAACTGGGCTGTTTAATTTAAGAGGCCCAGCTTTTGGCCTATCTCAGCTTTCAACCTGCGTTCCTCACTAAGCTTAATCATTTCTAGCTTTTTCTTTTCCCTTTTTTTTTTTTTTTTGAGACAAGGTCTTGTTCTGTCACCCAGGTTGAAGTGCAGTGGCACGATCATCGCTCACTGCAGCCTTGAATTCAGCCTCTTAAGTAGCTGGGACTACAGACTACAGGTGTGCACCACCATGCTTGACTAACTTTTAAATTTTTTTGTAGAGATGGAGTCTCACTATGTTGCGCAGACCTTGGTCTGGAACTCCTGGCCTCAAGCAATCCTCCCGCTTTAACTTCCCAAAGTGCTGGGGTCGCAGGAATGAGCCATGATACCTGGCTCATTTCTAGTTTTTAAAATAAACTGAGAGATGTGTAACTCTCCCATTCACTTGAACATTTAAAAGCCACTGTAGGGTTATTAACTGACCTAATTTCAATCTTGTTGTATCTCAGGGAATAGGGGAGCCTGAGGAGAGGAAGAGAGATGAGGGAATAGATGGTCAGTGGAGCAGTCAGAACGCACACGACATTGATCAGTTAAGTCTGTTGTCCTACATGGGTACAGTTTGTGGTGCCCTGAAATGATTACAGTAATAACAAAGATCACTGATCAAAGCCCACCATAGCAGTTAATAACAATATAAAGTTTTGAAATATTATGAGAATTATCAAAATTGCTGTGGCAATTTGTTAGCTCCTAACAAAAGAGTCAGCCTGTCCTTTGAAGCTAGGCATTGACCTTCTCCTCTCTAGCTATGAAAGTTCTAGATGGCATCTTCTTCCAGTGTCCAGAGACATAAAGTGAGCATATGCTGTAGGAAAAATGGTGCTAATAGACTTGATCAATGCAGGGTTGCCATAAACCTTCAATTTATAAAAACCACAATATCTGTGAAGTGTAATAATGTCAAGAACAGTAAGACGAGGTATACCTGTACTTTATTAAAGATTGTCTTCAAATGTTTTAGCAAACATAAAATATGTGGGTGTGTACTTGGAGAGGCAGAAATAATGGGTCTGGATTGAATAAAGACTGCAGGAGGTGAAAGAGAGACTAATTTATACTTAGTTGGTTTTTGTTTCAAGATTCATGTGAAAGGAAATGCCAGGAAAGTTCTGGCTTCAACTCATGGTGATGAGGAAAAATTTATTCGAGGACATGCTTTGTCTTGTTTTGTTTTCTTTTTAAATCATGGAATATCTCAAACATCAGTGTATTTTTCATCTAGAAGTTCGATTTGGGTCTTTTTCTTACATCTTCCTTATCTCTAGTTAACTTATAAACATCTGAAATCTAGTTATAATGACTTACAATGTCTGTATCTGCTAATTCTAGTATCTTTGTCTGTTCTGGGTTGGTTTCAAAGGGATGATTCTCCCCCTCATAATGGACTGTATTTTCCTATTTGCATGCCCGTAATCTTTGACTGGATGTCAGACATTGTGAATTTTACCTGTTGGGTATGGATATTTTTGTGTTTTTAGAAATATACATGAGCTTTGTTTCAGGACATAGCTAAGTTACTTGGAAGCAGTTTGATCCTTTTGGGTCTTGCTTTTAAGATTTATTAGGTGGTACCAGAGCAGCATTTATTCTAGGGCCAATTATTCCCCCCTACTGAGGCAAAACCCTTCTGAATACTGTACCCAATTACCCTGTGAATGACGAAGTTCTTTAGTCTGCCTTGTTAGATCAGAAACTACTCCTGGCTCTTTGTGAGGCTGGGCACTGTTCCCTCTGGTCCTCTTAGCTGGTTCTTGCCTCAGCCTTGGGAAGTTTTGAGCCCTTTCCTCCCAACTGCTGACAAGAACACATCTCAGAATGTACTTTAGGGAAATTATCTGGAAGATAAAGAATTGGTCTGAAGTTAATTCCCTCCCGAACCTTTGGATTTCCATAATTAACTCAGGGACAAATAAGATTATGTGCCACAACATCATGCTTATAAAATACAATGTGAATTTCAATGTCATGGCAATGATACGATAGTTGACAATAAAGGAAAATAGCTAGAAAAAATCAAATTAACCTTTTCCCAAAAAGTAAATAGTAAGTTGATGACTAAAACTCTAAGTCAAAATTTCAAGCCTGACTTTTCTGGGGTCTGGGAGGAAAGATTTTATCTCTCATTTCCACTTCACTCTTAATTCATAAGATAGAAACACCAAGAATTAAAAAAAAAAAATCCACCAAAAAATTCCTAGCATCTTGATAGTCTTCTCTTCACATTTATAAATTTTAAAGAAATTAAAAATCCTTACATACATTAAAGATAGAGGACATACGCCTAGAAATGTACCTCAGCATGCATATGCTAGCTAGGAAAAGAAAGCAACTGATGAAATCTACATCCAGGTTCACGTATTTCTGTCACTTGTAGAAGGCACTTAATAGATCAGAATTTGCTAAATAAGCACCCAGATAGAGATAAAATACTTCAATCTCCCAGGCAAAAACTCTTGCATTCATTAGTACTGGTATCCAAATTAAGAGTAACAAATTAAAATTCCTTTAATTTTCTATACTTTGCTATAAATATTAGCAGGAAAATAAGCTTGCTTATTTGAGTTATAGACATTTATTGCAGAGATGCCTTCTTTATGTCTTTTCCTTACATTCTAAACTTTTTTTTTTTTTTTTTTTTTTGAGACAGAGTCTCCTTCTGTTGCCCAGGTTGGAGTGAAGTGGCGGGATCTTGGCTCACAGCAAGCTCCGCCTCCCAGGTTCACGCCATTCTCCTGCCTCAGCCTCCTGAGTAGCTGGGACTACAGGTGCCCGCCACCAAGCCCAGCTAATTTTTTGTATTTTTAGTAGAGACGGGGTTTCACTGTGTTACCCAGGATGGTCTCGATCTGCTGACCTCGTGATCCGCCCGCCTCAGCCTCCCAAAGTGCTGGGATTACAGGCGTGAGCCACTGCGCCTGGCCACATTCTAAACTTTTTAAAATTTTTCTTAGCTTTACATTTATTTGGCAGATGGAAAGGAATTTTCAAAAGTCTATGCATTTATTATTATTTTTGGTAATTACTTTCTTATTTTTTCCCCACAAATGACCATTAAGTATTATTTTACTTACAGCATGTAAAAGCATTTAATGATAGAAAATATTTAAAGATCTACTTTGATCTAGAATGTAAGGTGTAATAACATAAAATAAATGGTCTGTGCAGCCCACCTCTAAAATTATGCTCTATACATTTATCAGCCAAAATGAATACAATAGAATTAGATATGTGGACATCTGATTCCAAATATGTGTTTGTTGAGAGAAAGAGAAGCCACGTCTAAACTGAAAAAAAAAAACATACTAATAAGGAATACTTGATTAATTTTAGGAACTCAGGAAATGTCTTTTAGGAAGAAAAAGTAACTACACTTGTATCATTTCTTAGTCACTGATTTTGATGAGTGGTCTTCTCCCAGCATCAGGTGGGGTTGGGGAGGTGAAGGCAGCATGCCACAAAGAGAGCACTTGACTTTGGAGAGATACACCCACCCAAATACTCCATGACCCCTTATGGGAAGAGAAATCCAATCTCTGAAACAACTCCAATAAATAACCAGACAAAATCACTCCCCTGCTTAAAATTATCCATTCACTGGTCCCCATCACTCTCAGGACCTGCTCTCTGTTTATATTTATTATATCATTGTTCACCCCCCTGCCCCAGGTATCATCAGGGCTTACTATGAAGTTCTCAGATTATGCCATGTTCCATCATGACTCCATGTTTCTGCAGTGGTCACTGCCTCTCTCAGGAATTCTTGTAGTCTTCATGGACTTGCAAACCATCCCAAATCTGCCTTCTAATTTGCTTATGGTCATAGTGGACACACAAACTGATTATACTTGGGGTAAATGAGAAGCTATGACGAGAAGAATATAAAGTAATTTGTCTATCTTTTGGATTTAATTGCATTTGGATCGACAGTGGAATAAAAATCACCATTTAGGGAAATCTCTCATTGTTGGTTCAGCTGGAGGCTGGAAAAGTAGAGGATCATTCCTAACCTTGAAAGTAAGCTGGGATGCTAATTTTACCTTCTGCGAAACAGATGATTTAAGTTGTCCTTATGGAGAAAAATAGCTCAATACATTAAAATTGGCACAAAACAAGCTCAGTGATAATTACGATTAAAGATTTCATAGATTTAAAACGTGTCTTAGTTACAAAAATCAAACTTTACCTCTTGAAATGATTCACCAGCACTCCAACAAGTTCTCCAATTCGACTCTCATGGGTTGGCTGTTTGCTGAAGAGGCAGACAATGAGGTCTTTGTTGTCTTTCGTATGGAACACTACAAGTTGGTCCTTTCCATTGGAGACACTCAGACCAGTCAACTGCAAAGAGAAAATGCATGGAAAACTATTTGGATCATTCTCAAAAGAATGAATTAAAAAATACATTTTGGAGCTGGGCATGGTGGCATGTGCCTGTAGTCCCAGCTACTTGGGAGGCTGATACAGGATGATCATTTGAGCCCTGGAGTTTGAATCCAGCCTGGACAACATAACGAGACACCATCCCTAAAAACAACAAAACACGTCATACATTTTCTAAGGGTTTTGCTCAGTGACCCCCTGACTTTAATCTTCTATCAGTTTCACGGAACAAGCAGATGGAAGGAAATAATAAAGAGCAGAAATGAACAAAATTTGAAATAGAAAAACAATACAGAAAAATTAATGAAACAGGGATGGTTCTTTCAGAAGATCAATAAAATTGATAAACCTCTAGCCCAAAACAAAAAAAGAAGGAAGAACTTATTGCCAATATCAGGAATGGAAGAGGGGCCATCTCTATAGACCACACAGACATTAAAAGGATAATATTAAAATATTTGGACCAATTCTATACAAAAACTTATTCAACAACTTAGTTAAAACCAAATAATTCTGGCAGGGTGCAGTGGCTCACACCTGTAATCCTAGCACTTTGGGAGGCCAAGGCGGGCGGATTGCCTGAGCTCAGGAGTTCGAGACCAGCCTTGGCAACATGGTGAAACCCCATCTCTACTGAAATACAAAAAAAAAAACACACAAAAAAACATTAGCCGGGCATGGAGGCGTGCGCCTGTAGTCCCAGCTACTTGGGGGGCTGAGGCAGGAGAACTGTTTGAACCCAGGAGGCAGAGGTTGCCGTGAGCTGAGATCATGCCACTGTACTCCACTCCAGCCTGGTGACAGAGTGAGACTCCATCTCAACAACAACAACAAATAATTATTTAAGAGTCACAAAATACTAAAACTCTCCAAGAAGAAATAACTTGAATAATTCTGTATCTGTTGAAGAAATTAGATTTATATTTAAAAACATTTTGAAAAAGAAAATTCTAGTCCCAGATGATTTCAATAGTGAATTCCACCAAACATTTAAAGAAGAAATAACACCAATTCACCATATTTCTTCTAGAAAATAGGAGAGAAGGGAACACTTCCTAACTCACTTTGAAGCTGGCATTATTCTGATATCAAAAATAAACACAACAGTACAAGAAAACTACAAACTGATATCCTTCATCAACACGGATGTAAAAATGGATGTCAAGAAAATATTAGCAAATTAAATCCAACAATACATAAAAATGATAATACAACATGACCAAGTGGAGTTTATCTAAGAAATGCAAGGCTAGTTAGGTATTCAAAAATTAATCAAGGTAATGACAGAATAAAATGACAGGATAACAAAGAAAATCCACAGATTGTATCAAGTGACACAGAAAAAGTACTTGACAAAATTCAACATCTATCCATGATAAAAATTTCTCAGCAAACCAGGATTATAAGGGAACTTAACCTGATAAAATGACATATACAACATGCCACAGCTAACATCATACTTGGTGAAGAAGGACTGAATGTTTTCCCTTAAGATCGGGAGCAATGCAAGGATTTCCACTGTCACTGCAGCTATGCAACATTATACTGGAAGCCCTAGCCAGTGCAGTAAGGCAGGTTAAATAAATTAAAAAGCGGCTGGGTGTGGTGGCTCACGCCTGTAATCCCAGCACTTTGGGAGGCTGAGGTGGGTGGATCACTTGAGGTCAGGGGTTCGAGACCAGCCTGACCAATATGGTGAAACCCTGTATCTACTAAAAATACAAAAATTAGCCAGGTGTGGTGGCAGGCGCCTGTAATCCCAGCTACTCAGGAGGCTGAGGCAGGAGAATCGTGTGAACCCGGGAGGCGGAGGTTGCAGTGAGTTGAGATCGCGTCACTGCACTTCAGCCTGGGCAACAGAGCGAGACTCCATCTCAAAGAAAAAAAAAATTAAAAAGCATACAGATTGAAAAGGAAGAAACACATGTCTCTGTTTTCAGATTACATGATTGCCTACATAGAAAATGCCAAGGATCCACAAAATAGCTCCCAGAACTAATAAGCGCATCTAGTAAGGTCAAAGGATACAAGGCTGACATACAAAAATATTTCTATATTAGCAATGAAAAATTTGAAACAAAAATTGAAAAACAAAACCATCTATAACAACTCCAAAAACAAAAATACTTAGATATAAATCTAACAAAACATCTATCTGTAGGACCTACATGTTGAAAACTACAAAATGTTGAACAAGTTAAATTAAAAGGCTGATGAAAGGAATAAAAGAAAACCTAAATAAATGAAGGAAAATAATATCCTCATGGACTAGAAAACCCAAATTCTTAAGATACCAATTTTTCCCATATTAATCTATAGATTTAATGAAATCCCAACCAAAATCCCAGCAAGATTTTTTGTAGGTATCAACAAGCAGATTCTGAAATATGTATGGAAAAGCAAAAGAACTAGAATAGCCATAACAGTTTTGTAAATGAAGAATAAAGTTGGAGGGCTCATAGAGGCTGATTTTAATGCTTAGTATAAAGCTAGGTTAATCAAGACAATAATTTAGAAAGGAAAAAAAAAACATAGATCAGAAACAGACTCACGTGAATATGGCCAATAATTTTTTCACCAGGGTGCAAAGACAGCTCAATGAAGAAAGGATAATGTGGGCATCTGGATAACTTGGAACATTTGGACACCCCCATGCAAACGGAAATAAAAGTCTACCTAAATCTCACATCTCGTAAACAATTCAGAGTGCACTATAAGATCGAAATGCAAAATGTAAAACTAGAAAACTTTTAGGAGAAAACATAGAAGAAAATCTTTGTGACCTTGGGCTGGCAAATATTTCTTAGAAATGATACCAAAAGCACAATCCATAAAGCAAAAAAATTGATAAATTGAACTTGATCAAATTTAAAACTTTTGCTCTAAGGAAGACACTGGTGGGAGAGTGAAAAGACTAGCCACAGACTGGTAGAAAATATTTGCAAAAATGTATCTGATAAAGGACTTGTATTTAGAATCTATAAAGAGCTCTTAAAACTTGATAGTAAACAACTCAATTAAAAATGATGGATAAAAGATTTGAAATCACTTCACCAAAGAAGGCATAGGGGTGAATAAGCACATGAAAGGGTGCTCAACATCAGCAGCCATTAGGGAAATGCAAACTAAAACTGCAATGGGAACCACTGCAAACCCATCAGAATGGCTAAAATAACAAAACAGCCTACAACAACAAAAGAGTGATAATACTAAATGCTGGTGAGGACACAGAACAAGTGGGACTCACATGCATCATTGGTGAAAATACAAAATGTAAAATGTTACAGCCACTGTGGAAACAGTGGTTGTTAACTCAAAAAATTAAATGGAAAATTACCACATGAGCCAGCAATCTCACTCCTAGGCACATATCCTAGAGAAATAAAAACTTAGCTTCACATGAAAATTTATACATGAATGTTTACAGCAGCTCTACTAATAATTGACAAAAGCTGGAAACGACCCAAATATCCAGCAGCATGTGCACGGATAAACAAACTGTGGTACATTTAAATAATGGAACGCTACTCAGCAATGAACAAACTAATGATACAGATTACTGACATGCAACAACATAGATAAATCTCACAGGCATTATGGTTGAATGAAAGCAGCCAGTCTCAAAAGGTTACAGCCTGTGTGACGCCATTTATATGATATTCTCTAGAAGATAAAAGGATAAGGATGGACAACAGATCAGTAGCTGCCAGGGTTTGGGGTTATGAGGAGTCCGATACAAGGGAGTTTTTGGGGTATGGAACTACTCTGTATCCTGACTGTGGCAGTGGTTACACAAATTTACGCCCATACTAAGACTCAAGAGACCTGTACACCACCACCCATGCACGTAAATTATATTCATTGCCTATAAATTTAAAAAATTGCACACCCTGGCTGTTTTGATCTCTAGATATTCTACTTTGGTCAATAAAGCAGAAGTCAGAGTGATTTCCTCATTCTGTGGTCTGTTCTTCTATTGCATAAAATACCGAAGTGCCACCTCCTGGCTACCACAGGTGCTATCAGCCAGGCGGGCAGGCAGCATGAACAAGGCAACCACTGGGGGATGGCGCAGTGCCACACGGCCTGTGGTAGGGACAGACGTGCAGAAGATGCTGAGAATGTGATCCCTGTTCTTGGGGGATTCACAATCCAGTTGGATCAGAGGAAGAGGTAAGTATTAAATAACTGAAGAAAAACACCTTAACAATTTACAGATTTGCAGTGTCACTTAGTTCCATGCCTATGTTTTACAGATAGAAATTGAGACTGAAGGAGTTCAGCCCGTCTGCAGGCCCGGGAACTAGAACTCAGACCTGCAGACTGATGGGGACTCATGTTCTTTCCATCACACCAGGTTTTTCAAGTATCATGTATAAATGAACATAGAATATTTATATATTCTATAAATAAGTATTCCCATGAATACATTTTCATAGGAGGTGAGTTCTTGGGTTGATTTTAAAGAATGCCAGGGTCAGGGCTTAATGGAGAGAAGGGAAAATATTAAAGAAATTGGAAATCATTCACCAACCAATGTGGATCGTGGGCTTTCTGAGGCCATTGGTAAGAGAATATAGCAAACTCTCTGCCACTTACATGTACTGGATCCAGATGATTTTTATATGATTAAATTAAAAATATCATTTTCATTTTAAAAAAACATTTTATGTCTATCACGCTTCACTCTCATTTCATTATTTTATATGTGAAATTCAAAATTGAATTGATGTAGCACTTCACAGGAGAGCTTGATTAAAGCCTAAAGAAATGAGAATGGTAACAGCAGTAACTCTGCCAGCATATCCCAGGAGCATTAGCTGCAGGGGTTCAGGGAAAAGAGACAGATTCGGCAAAGAACGCTGAAACCACAGGGATAGAGGATCCCTTCCTAGGTGCTACCTGGACCAGAGGACAGGAGCCAATGACTCTGCTCTCGGCCACAACCCCCTCTCAGCGGGTGGGCTTCTCTCCCTCCCCTTCTCTCTCCCTTGCTGTCTAGGTGGCTTTATCTGCTGTGGATGGGAATTCTTCATGTGTACGCCCAGGCCTAGTGGTGTGTCAGTCTCAGAAGAAATGAGGGAAAACAGTACTTAAGTTGCTCTGCTACACAAATAATGAAAGATTAAGTCCCTATTGTTGCCAAAGCAGGACAAACAGCACCCAGAACGTCCCCTTTAGTTCTGGAAGAAAGGATGGTAAGTGGGGATTAGTGTACTAAGGATGACCTGGGTGTTAATCCCAATTCAGCCATGTGATCTTGAGTGACTCATTTAATTTATTGGGGCATCTGTCTCCTTTTCTGCAAAATAAGGATAACATCAGGTGCCTTGTCTACCTTGCAGGGTTGTGGTAAGGATCAAATAGTAGCAACTCTGGAGTACAAAAAGTAAATAAGCAAAAAAACCCTCTGTCTTCGAGGGTCTTACACTCTAAGTGAAAATAAGTCAGCAAAACTTTATCACTGAAAATATAATTTTAAAACCTTACAACACCATGCAAATGGAAGGTATTTTGTGAAACACCTCAGCTGGGGAAGGGGTCACTACCTCATTGCATTTGGGCAGCCATAACACATAGATGCGTTTCTCCGAACAAAAGGGAAACTCCTTATCAAGGCTCCCCCTGCCCCTGTTGCTTCCTTATTTCTCCTAATCTATGAGATTTCTATGCTATGATAAATCTAAGCCTTCCCCTTCTTTGGCCTTGAAGATTTGAACAGGGCAAAAAGAGTCTCTGATTGCAACCCATTTCAATTCTCCCAGCCTCTCCTTACTAAGAAGGACCAAACAGTGAACACAACTAGATAGGTAAAGAGCTGAGCAGTTCTGGAAGAGGAGGCCGGCCTGAGAAATCAGAGCAGATGTCCTCTCCTCCTCTGCAATGGAATGAGCGCTAGAGAGCAGAGCTCACTATACAAGAAAATCTCTAATCCATATTCTCATTTACGAAATCAGCGCAAAACAGACCGATATTAGAAAGAGAAATAATTCGAAAAGACAAATATGATAAATTACATACACAATGGAAGCAGTAACTGAATAGATACTTTAGAAAATTAAAGAATAATAGAAGAAAACATCCCAGTCTTTAGACAGAAAGGAATCACAGGTACCAGCCAAACTTAGAGGATCTTCTGGATGTGTAGCCCAGAGAAGTTTTAGACCTGTAGAATAAAGGAAAAAATCTTCAAGTACCTAGGCATACAAAAATAAGTTATCTACACAGGAAAATAAAATTCAGGTTTATATCCTTTTTTAAAACAGAAAACTTGGCCAAGTGTGGTGGCTTACACCAGTAACCTCGACACTTTGGGAGGCCAAGACGGGAGGATCACTTGAGGTCAGGAGTTTGAGACTGGCCTGGCCAACACGGTGAAACCCCGTCTCTACTAAAAATACAAAAATTAGCTGGTTGTGGTGGAGGGTGCCTATAGTCCCAGCTAATCAGGAGGCTGGGGCAGGAGAATCACTTGTATCTGGGAGGCAGAGGTTGCAGTGAGCCGAGATCATGCCACTGCCCTCCAGCCTGGGCACTGAAGCGAGACTCCGTCTCAAAAACAAAAAGAAAACTCTATTAATTTTGTCACAATTCACAGGAGGAGATAAGTAAATCCATTTTATTCTTGATATCAATTAGGAAAGATCAGCTCAAATATTTAACAGTAATCATTAAGATGAAAAAGGATGTGTAAGGTTCTAACCAGTAGTAAAAAGAGAATAAATAAAACTTGACCAATGCAGCAACAGAAAAAAGAATGAAATAGCGTGGGAGCATAAAAAATAGAAAGCATTTAAATAACACGATTGAATTTAAGAAAAGTTTTTTTGCCAGTTGCTGTAAGAAATGTGAACAGGATACAACTCCTTTATTGGAGGACGAGGGGTTATAGATTTAAGCAAAAAACAAAAATATACCCTGTTTATAAAATTAATTAAGATAAAAGTAGAAGTTTATGAATGAGAACAACATACATAATAAATTAAAGAGCTGGTTCTTTGAACAGACCAAACCCTTGGCAGAGTCTCACCAAGGAAAAAACAGGCAAAACCGCAAATATTTAACATTAGGAATGAGAAAGGGATTTAAGAAAGGGTGTGTTGACTTTCAAAATTATAAGAGGCCAAGAGCAGTTGCTCAAGCCTCTAATCCCAGCACTTTGGGAGACTGAGACAGGAGGATCACTTGAGGCCGGGAGTTCATGACCAGCCTGGGCAACATAGCAAAAACCCCAGCTAAAAAAAAAATTAGCTGGAGCTGGATGTGGTGGTGCGTGCCTGTAGTCCCAGCTACTCAGGAGGCTGAGGCAGGAGGATTGCTTGAGCCTAGGAGTTTGAGGTTACAGTGAGCTGATCACGCCACTGCACTCCAGCCTGGGTGACAGAGTGAGACCCATCTCAAAAAAAAAAAAACAAAAAAAAAAAAAAAAGAAGAAGAAGAAATTAGAAGAGAAAAACTTTTGTAATTGTAATTTCATATTAATGAAATGCATATTTTTTTTTAAAGATGTGGTCTAGCTGTCTTGCCCAGGCTGGAGTGCAGTGGCACGATCTCGGCTCACTGCAGCCTCTACCTCCCAGGCTCAAGCAATCTTCCCACCCCAGCCTCCCATGCAGCTGGGACCACAGGAGCACGTCACCACACCCGGCTAGTTTTTGTATTTTCAGTAGAGACAGGGTTTTGTCATGTTGCCCAGGCTGTCATGAATTCCTAAGCTCAAGTGATCCTCCCACCTTGGCCTCCCAAAGTGCTGGGATTACAGGTGTAAGCCACTGCACCAGGCCTGAAATGCATGATTTTATAGGAAAATATAAATTAGTAAAATTGACTTAAAGAAAGATAAAACAATTAATTTCTATTTATAACTAGCAAAAAGTTTTTTTTTAGATTATCAGAAAAATACTCTTCTAGTTCTTACTAGGCACAGGTTATGTTATAGGCCCAGGTAATTTCTATCATACTTAAATGCTCTACAATATGGAAAAAGAGAAAAATCATACTGACTCATTTTATTTATCCTGCTAGCAAAACCTGCTGAATCTCTCTCTCATACACAAAAACAAACACACCCAGAAATCAATGTAACGTACAAATACAGATGCAAAATCCAAAATAATTAACAAACTGGATGCAACAAGATAAACACCATGACCATGAGCGTATATTCACAAGGGTAAGGGTGGTTCACTAGTAAGAAATACCTCAATATAGGCCAGGTGCAGTGGCTCACGCCTGTAATCCCAGCACTTTTGGAGGCCGAGGTGGGCAGATCACGAGGTCAGGAGATCAAGATCATCCTAGCCAACATGGTGAAACTCTGTCTCTACTAAAAATACAAAAATTAGCTGTGCGTGGTGGTGCGTGCCTGTAATCCCAGCTACTCGGGGGGCTGAGGCAGGAGAATCGCATGAACCAGGAAGGCAGAGATTGCAGTGAGCCGAAATAGTGCCACTGCACTCCAGCACTCCAGCACTCCAGCCTGGGCGACAGAGCAAGATTCCATCTCAAAAAAAAAAAAAAAAAAAAAAAAAGAAATACCTCAATATAACTCAGTTTATTTATTAATAGTTCACATTTATGTATTATCCGTGTGCTTGTCCAACCAGAATGATCTCCTTGGGGTCAGGCTCGCTGGCTTTCACTTTTTTCAGCCAAGTATGAAGTTTTGCATTTGTATTGTTTTTATTTTACAGTATACCATGGTATATAAAACAATACTTCATTTTACAGTAAGATGGTAAATACTCAAATGTATTTATTGCTATTTCATCACTATAATAATGTTTTAATTTTTTTTTTTTTTTTTTTTTTAACTCTGGAGCATCTTTGTTCCAAACTTCCTCCCAGTAGCAGCTGTTCCACAATCTTCTGTCCTGGAGAATCTCTCCTCTTCTTTGGTTACTGCTCTCTACATACACCTCTAAGGGACTTCATTCTTGGTATTCCCCCCACCTCCCTGCCCTTCCATGCCCCCGCCCCCCACACCCCGTCCAAAGCTATGCCTGACACACAAAGAACTTTCATGAAATTGTAGCGGTCACTTAATTTCTGCAGGTGTTTGCTCGTATTTTGACACAGACACTTGGGTTTTTGGATGTACTATTCAACTTCTGTTCTTTGATTAGACTGCAGAGATAATGCTTATGTTCTTTTGATCTCAATTAACAAATTGATTTGGCTGCTCTTTGATGGAGAACATTCTGTTCATTCTGTTTTCCATTCAGAAACTTGGGAGACAGTTTGCTCTGGCTTTTTGCAGGACACCTGGTGACTTTCTTTTCACCTTTCTCTGTTCTGTTCATCTGTCTCTCCTAATCTCCCTCCTTCTCCCTTCCCAGTCCCCCACATCTTGTTCCCTCCTTACTCCTCAACTAGCTATAACTCAGGAAGCTCAGCTGTGTGGGCTCATCATGGAAATGGTGGAAGCTGTGGCATAACTGAGAGTTTATCCCTTTATAAGCAAGCATCTCTTGAAAGCAACAACTTGCTTGAGCCCAGAGCCCTCATGCAAGCAGGCTGATGGTCTTGAGGTGCCATGCCGTGAGGCAGCCAAACCTCTCAGAGGGGTCGTGTGCAGGTGCTCTGGTCAGCAGTCCTGGCTTGAGCTCTGCCAGCCGGGGCCAGACAAGTGAGTGTATGAGGGCTCCAGTGATTCCAACTCTCACTCACCAAGTAACCCCCACCTTCGAATCTTCCTAATGGAGGCCCTAGACATTGTGGAGCAGAGGCATGCTGGCCTCACAGTGCCTCTTTCAAATTCTTTACCAACAGAATCCAAGAACATAATAAAGTAGCGGTCGTTTCATTCCACTAAGTCTGGGGTGGATTGTTACACAGCAATAGTAATTGGAATAAAAATTTGGAACAGGAGTAGGGTGCTCCTATAACATAATCCCAGATAGTTGGCACTGGCTTTGGGAAGTAGGTGGAAGCTGGAAAGGTTCTGAGAGACTGTTGGGGGAATCATGGCAGGCCTTCAAGAGGAGGTCAGTGAGGGCCTGAGGAAAACAGGGAAAAGACTACTTCGAGCCAGAGGAAAGCGGACCTTTGTTAAGGAGAAAATTTGACAACACTGTTGCCTATGGGAAGGCAGAAAATAGAAAATGTACGTAACAAATGTGATGATCTAGATAAGGAGATTTCTAGACAGAATACTGAAAGTGCCATCTGGCTTCTTCTTGCTGTCTATGAAAAAAATGTGAGAGGAGAGAGAGGACCTTAATAAAGAATGGTTCTGCTCTCATGTAAAATTTAGAGGAAACATAAAGAAGCCTGCAATTGCTAGGCTTGAAAATAAAACTGTTTCTTATTCCCAGCTTCTCCAGATGGCAAATGATTCTCAAATTAAGAAATGGTTTCAGGGCAACGGATCAAACCCAGAGTGGGATTGTAAAATCCTTTGTTAAAACCTTAGAAAGATCGAAGGCATCCATAGTATCTTCCAGACAGACTAAACGAGGCTCTAAAGATCTTTAGGGCATGCCTTACAAATTCTATCCGATAAACAACAGGGCTCCTGAATCTTAAGGGTCTTGTCCCACAATAGCTCACGAGGAGCCCAAGGTATGGGAGAGTTTATTTTGCAGAGATTTGTGGGCGTGTTTTTTGTCTAATGGAGTGATTATAAATTGATACACAGTGAAACCATCAAAATTTCAAAGGACTGGACTGAAAGCAACATAGACATGGCAAAATGCAAAGAGGCTCTGGACCTGTGGACAGGAAGCAGCTAAGAAAGCTACTTAGTTGCAAACACAGATGGTCAGTGAGTGTTTTGTGCCCCTCATTCCCCTCCTCTTTGAACAGAAATGTCTGTGGTAGGTATCCCACCCCTAGATCATCACTGCATGTTGGGTATGCGGGGCAGGTAACTTTTCCTTTTAGTTGGTCTTCAGATTGCAGGAACTCTACTTAAGGAACTGTGCCTGGATTGAATTAGATGAGATCCTGGCCCTTGACCTTAAACCTGGTATTATAAGGAGATGAGACTTTTGGGACATCTTGGGAGTGGGTAAGCACATTCTAGTTTATTTTACTTCATTTTTTTGAGTCAGGGTCTCACTCTGTTGCCCAGGCTGGAGTGCAGTGGTGCAATGATGGCTCAAACCTTGAGCTCCTGGGCTCAAGCAGTCCTCTGCCTCAGCCTCCCAAGTAGCTGGGACTACAGGCATGTACCACCACATCTGACTAATTAAAAACTTTTTTTTTTTTTTTTTGGTAGAAATGAGGTCTTGCTGTGTTGCCCAGACTGGTCTTGAATTCCAGGCCTCAAGTGGTCCTCCTGCCTTGGCGTCCTTAAAGTGTTGGGATTACAGGTGTAACCACAGTGGTTGGCTGGTAAGTGCATTTTAAGTAAGAGTAACAAAAATAATTTTTAATCAGCGGGTAGAAAGTGGAGGATTTAAAACAAGTTTGCAAAATTTTTGCCACTCCTCCCATAGAAAGATAGAGGTCTATATCCTCACCCCTTCAATCTAGGCTTACTATATGACTGGCTTTTGACGAATAAAATGCAACAGAATTGGGGCTGTGTGACTTCTGAGGCCTGCTCATAAAAGGCAATGCAGCTTCTGCCTCGTTTAATGGGACACTCATGTTTTGAGCACTAAGTCAGCTCATAAGAAGTCCAACTACCAGCCAGTCGTGGTGGCTCATGCCTGTAATCCCAGCATATTGGGTGGATCACCTGAGGCCAGGTGTTCAAGACCAGGCTGGCCAACATGGCCATTTCTATTAAAAATACAAAAATTAGCTGGGCATGGTGGCGCATGCCTGTAGTTCCAGCTATTCTGGAGGCTGAGGCACGAGAATTGTTGAACCTGGGAGGCGGAGGTTGCATTGAGCTGAGATCACGCCACTGTACTCTAGCCTGGGCAATAGAGTAGACTGTCTCAAAAAAAGTTAATAAAAAAAATAAAGAAGGCTGACTACCTTGAGGCCACCATGTTGTGAGGAAGCCAAGCATCTCCAAAAGGCCTCATAAGGCTCTCCGGTCAGCAGTTTCAGTCTCCGAGTCCTCCCCACTGAGGTGTCAGTCACCTCAGTGAACATGCCTTCAAATGATTCCAGCCCCAGCCCTTAAATCACCCCTAGTCTTTAAGTCTTCCCAGCTAAGGCCTCAGATACTGCAGAGCAGAGAGAAGCCACCTGCTTTGCTCTTTTTTTTGAGACGGAGTTTCGCTGTTGTCTGTTGTTGGCCTGGGCTGGAGTGCAATGGCATGATCTCAGCTCACTGCAACCTCTGCCTCCTGGGTTCCAGCAATCCTCCTGCCTCAGCCTCCTAAGCAGCTGAGATTACAGGCACCCGCCACCATGCCCGGGTAATTTTTATATTTTTAGTAGATATGGGGTTTCACCATGTTGGCCAGGCTGGTCTCGAACTCTTAGCCTCAGGTGATCCACCCGCTTCAGCCTCCCAAAGTGCTGGGATTACAGGCATGAGCCACTGCTCGCGGCCCACCTATTCTGAATCACTGACCCAAGAACATATGACAGTAACAGAGAGAAACCTTAATTTTGTAAATGCATCATAGAAAGAATACATTGTTTGGGATAACTAAGAATTAATTCCTTTATAAACAGACAGTCACTTTCAAAAATTTTTTGTTATTATTTTAACACATCAGATAAACAGTAAAAATACCATATTTATAAATATTTTCCCACTTCATGAAACAGAATAAAATTCTTTTCCTTTCTTAGGGATTCAAAGTTGTTATGGTGAATGTTAATTAGTAAGTATGCTTTAAAACAGATGCATCTTCAGGGCTACTAGGCTCTCTGTGACTGCACGCCTGGATCACATGATCCAAACATCATACCAGTATGTGTGAGCCACATGCTGTTTTAATGGTAAAACAAAACCTATTTCTACAAAACATGAGCTTTGAGCAGTAATGAAAAACTGTCTTGAAACCAGTATAATCGACTTTATTCCCAAGTGCTTGTTGTGAGCCTAGTACTATTGATCAACATTATTCAGGTCAAGGAAAATAATTGTAATCAACTGATTAAAAGGGCTAAGTTTATATCATTGATTGACAAGGGCTTTCAACCCTTGATTTTAACAGCTTGATGAAAGCCACTCAGCAAAACTCTTCAGTAAGTTTCCAACACCAATTCACCTCACTGCACTGAATAAATAAAACATCTCCATATCAAACTTCAATTTCTTCCCAATATTCCACATCCTGACAGGGATCAAGGGCACCATCAAGAAGAACATTTACAACCCACATAATGTTCTCATCACAGTGGATTTGGTACTTAACAAAATTAAATACAAATTCCTCTAGAGAGTGACACACAGGAAGCTGGGCCTCCCATAGCTGCCTCTGTTAATTAATTAATTAATTCTTTTTTTTTTTTTGAGACGGAATCTTGCTCTGTTGCCCAGGCCAGAGTACAATGGCATGATCTCAGCTCACTGCAACCTCCGACTCCCGGGTTTCAGTGATTCTCCTGCCTCAGCCTCCCGAGTAGCTGGGATTACAGGCGACTGCCACCATGCCTGGCTAATTTTTGTATTTTTAGTAGAGACAAGGTTTCACCATGTTGGCCAGGCTGGTCTCAAACTCCAGACTTCAAGTGGTTCACCTGCTTCGGCCTCCCAAAGTGCTGGGATTACAGGCGTGAGTCACTGTGCCTCGCAACTCCTCCATTAATTTAAATGCTTGGTGAATTTTTCCTTTTGTTGCAAGAATCTTGTCTTCTTTTTGTTAAAATCTAAGACAAGCCAGATACTTCCCTGAGTATCTGGCAGTTTGAGTTCCTGGGCTCGTCTTGTAACTTGGAGTTCAGTAGTTTCACGAAAAATTCAATTTTAATCCCAAATAGACTGCTCTGAGGACATAGCTCAAGAAATCACTTCAACAAGTTTTTAATACCAAGCCATCTAGTGGAACTGAACTAAATCTCTGAGTCTTCCTATACTTTCAGTTTTCATATATTGCAGTCATCAATATGCCTGCCTGTGTAAGATGCTGACTTCCTTTTAATTACTGCTTCAGATTTATTGTTTTGGGCTTGGGAATGAGATAATCAAATTCATCACAAGGGTACATAAAGCAAGACAAATGGCCAAGAAGGCGCTCCTTTGGAAAGAACATACAAAGTTTACCACACAAACTCTGTCCCACCTATTTTGACTCTGTCTCATCTATTTGGGAGGTATAAACATCCTCCCATTTTCCTTCTGATTATGGTTCTTTTGGGCCAATGGCTCTCAACCATGGCTATGTATGAGAATCACAGGGAAGACTGTGATACATTTGGTCTGGTTTGTGCTGGGCATCTGCAGTTTGTAAAAGCTCCCCAAGTGATTCAAATTACACGTAACCATTGATTTAGGTAAAACTACTAAATAATTGGGTCCTAGATAGTCAAATTATTATTTTACAAAGCTAATTGTTTTACTAATTGAATCAAGCTCTATATTATCTATTTTAAATTTATTTTTTCCTCTCTCTTAAAATACCAACTTAATTAAGCTGCTTTCCTTATTAGTCTTTAATTGAATTTTTTTGACCCTCTCAGTGCAAAATAAAAAAAGATTATTCACTCATCATTTTAGGCTTATTTTCCTTATCCTATTCTGAGTCGGTGTGCAATAACAACTATTTTAGATATGATGAGTGATTTTGTATTGTATCCTGGTCATTCTGGATATTGTGTTAGGAGACTCTGGATCTTACTTAAATCTTCTCTTTTAGCAGGCTTCCACTAAAAGTGGGCCAGGAGCAGAAGGTGAGGACAAATACTTTACTGCCGGATGGGAGTGGAAGTCCAGGCCCCTCAACATGGCTTCCATTGACACCGCTCTTGTGGGGAGTATGACAGGCGCCTCATAGCCTCCAGGAGTGGGTGGAAACCTAGGCATGTCCCTCTGCTTCCACTGACATACTGAGAGGGGTTGGGTACCTCATTACCCCTAGGCTGGCTCCCCACTGAGCCTCCTTGACACCAGCCCAGCAGGGAAGGGTCAGGAGAGGGGTACCTCTTTACTGCCAGGTGAGGGTGGAGGGCTAGGCTTTTCACTAGGCCTTTGCTGATGAGAGGTGGAGGTATCTGCATATTTTCCCCCTGGTGCTTTTCTGGAGAAGGGTGCTTATTGTCAAAGGATTCTGTTTTGCTAGGTTACCCCTTTCTTGTACTTTTGGCAAGAAAGAGCAGGCTCTTCTCTGTGCCTGCTGGTGTTTCTGGATGGCGGGCTTCTCCAGCAGGCAGTCTGGGATAGAAAGGAGGCAAAAAGAAAAGCCAGGGAACCCCCCCCTGCCAAGTTCCTCCAGAGTCCTGAGGTCCCTAGCTGGTCCACTTTCCTCTCTCCAGCATTCAGAATCTTCTTAAATTTGTTTTATGATATAATGTCTAGGGTTTTTAGCTGTATTCAGTGAGACAGGTAGGGAGAAATGCATCTCTTCCATTTTGTTTAGAACTTGAAGGCCCAACTTCTTATTCTAGATAATGCCCCAAACAAATCAGAAATGTAGTTTCTCCTGCAGTGGTTTCTGATGTAGGGGGAGGAGCCAGGAGGCAAACATCACAGGCTGGAGCACACACTCCTTTTAAGAATTTGAAAAAAGCTACGAGAGCCCATCGCAAACATACACAAGTATTTGCATATACACATTGAGTATACCTTATCCAAAGTGCTTAGAACCAGAAATCTTTTAGAGTTTGCATTTTATTCAGATTTTGGAATAGTTGCATATATAATGAGATATCTTCAGGACGGAACCCAAGTCTAAAATGACATTCATTTATGTTTCCTATAAATCTTATATACATAACCTGAAGGTAATTTTATTTTTCCCTTGGGGACGTTGAATAAGCTGTGCTGTGTGCCTGCGTTTTCACTGTAACCTGTCACATGCGGTCAGATGTGGAATTTTCCACTTGTGGCGTCATATTGGTGCTCAAAAAGTTTTGGAATTTGGAGAGTTTTGGATTTTGGATTAGGGATGCTCAGCCTGTACGTATGAGCCTCCTCAAACGTTTCCTTGTCCTGAAAAGCCATTTCTGCCATATTCTGCACCCTCTCATAGAACTTCATGCTCACCTTTGCTTTTGCATTTAACAAGCTGCACTGTGATTATTTTTGTTTGCATTTGCCTCTCCCACTAAACGACAAGCAGAAGCTGCATCTTCTCGTCCTTATTTCCCTCCTTACCTGCCAGGTAAGTGGTAGATGATAGAATTTATTGAATGTGTGGAAGACAGTAAAAGCTATGGATGGATTAAAAAGGTTCTCCTAGCTTAGAAGACTGATGGTTCCCATGTGTTCCTTATCAAAGCCAACCCTTAATTACAGCCTTAAAAGCTTTATTCTTACTGGTTACCTTGCAGGTACTTTCTCCTTTCTCTCCTCATGCCCCTCCCCAAGCTCTTGTCCACGGCTTCCAAATCCATGTCTCTGCTAAGGACTGAGAATGTCTGTGACCTCCCATATGTTGAAACCCTAATCCCCAGTGTGATGGTATTTGGAGGTGGGGCCTATGGGAGGTAATTAGGTCATGAGGGTGGAGCCCTCATGCTGGGATTAGTGTCTCTATAAGAAAAGACAGGCCAGAACCTGCTTCCTCCTCTCTTCCCCATGTGAGGATACAATGAGAAGGCAGCCAGTCCTCTGTGAACTGAAAGGAAAGCCCTCACCAGAGCTCAAACATGCTGGCACCCTGATCTTGGACTTCCAGCCTCCAGACTGGGAAATAGATTCCTGTTGTTTAAGCCACTCGGTCTGTGGTTTCTTGTTACAGCACCCCATGCTAAGACAGTCTCCATCCTAGGTTGCTCTTTGACTGTGTATTGGGCCTTGCCTCAAATGAAGCCCATTTGAGACTGACCTTTCTCACACTCTGCTACCACATCCCTGCTTCTTTTCCTGTATTTCCCATCTTGGTGAGTCACCAGCACCAAAGCCTGTTGTTCTCGCACATAAACAGGTCTTGAACCCATCTCCCCCTCTTTATGGTCCTTGCTTGAGTACAGGTCCTTGTAATTTCTTAAGCAGCATCTTAACTGCTTTTCCTGTCACCAGTCTTGACCTCTCCAGCTCAACCATCAACACTCATTTATTGAACACCTACTGTATGGCAGGCAGTGTTCTGGGAACAAGAGAGTCCCCGACCCTTCTCCCATGGAGTCTATGTTCTAATGGGGGTGTGGGGGAGCCAGACTGAAAAGAACTCTAATAATGTGACAGGTGGTGATGTGGCCTGTGAAGAAGAATAAAGTGTGTAAAGGCATACAGAGGGATAAGATGGAGCTGAGGGTATCATTCTGAACAAGCCTTTTAAAGTTATATTTGGGCAGAGGCCTGAATGAAGTAAGGAAGCCATTCAGTTATCTGGGAGAACACTCCAGGGGAATGAAAACCGAGATCAAAGATTAGACAGTGAGGGCACTGAAAGCTGACTTCATCCGACTCTGATTTCTACAGGCATGGGATTGCCAGTTTGCAAGGGGGCAAAGAGCAGTTTCTAATTCTAGAGCACCTGACTATGTGATAAGAACGATGCTGAGGACTTTCCACGCATTATTTCATATACCTCATTTTGGGCCTCAACATTCAACTGAGATGGGTGCTACTGTTAAAATGGGGCATGAATTCAACAACCACCCATCTGCTTCCAAATATCCTAACACTTGTGTTGCCAGACCCCACTGGGGTGTGATTTTTCTTTTGTCCTTTACCATTTATGGTGTAATGATCTTTAAATGCAATATAAGATATTTTTACAACTCAACAAGATTTGTGAAAGGCTATCAGAGGGGATGGTAAGGGCGGACATCAGAGGTGGCTCCCAAGAAGCAGAATGGCTGCTCAACAGGAGCCAAAGTAGTAGTTCAGCTAACTCAGGAGAGAGGACCCTGAGCCTGTCAACTTTACTTGTTCCCACTAGATATACCTCTAACCATGGCACACTGTAAAGAGGTCTATGCTTAGATATGGTTCCAATAAAATGAAATCCTTCTAATGTTTATTATATTAAAAAAATCAGATTCCCCCTGTAGTGCAGAACTTCATCGTAACAATTCTGTGTAAAGAAAGTTTGTTCTGGACCTCAGCCAATAACAAAGAAACAAACTCATTTATTTAATGGCTACAGTCCAGGACCAGTATAGGCCACCTCCCAGTGGTATGTGTGTGGTAGTGGTGGGGATGGGGGGTCGTTGCTAAGTGAGACAATATATGCAGAGGTCCACTATAAGGAATGAAAATCATCAAATATAAGGTGATTTCTTTATCTTATACTACTCTTGTTTAAGGAAAATCTTTTGATGAGACTGTCCTCAAACATTAAACCATGGTCAATGACTTAAAGAAAATTTAATTTTTGATACAGATACGCGATCATGAGGCTTTCTAGAAAACACACACTCTCTCCAACTCTGTCTCAGTCCATTTAGGTGGCTATGACAAAATACCATAAACTGGTGGCTTATAAACAACAGAGATTTACTCCTCACGGTTCTGGAAGCTAGAAGTCCGAGATGAGGGTGCTGGTGGCCCTCGTCCAGGTTGCAGACTGCCAACTTCTCGTAGTGTCCTCACATGGCAAAAGGGCGAGGGTCTCTCTGGGGCCTCTTGTATAAGTCGATAATCCCATTATGAGGGTAGAAACCTCCCAAAGGTCCCATCTCCGAGTTCCATCACTTTGGGGGTTAGGATTTTGACATATGAATTTTGGGGGAACACCTTCAGACCTTAGCACTCTGTGTCTCTCTGTCTCTCTCTCACACACATATACGTAAGTGATAAAAAACTCTAATGGCAGAACTGAATTTGGGAGCAAGTCCAACTTTTAACAGATGTTTCCAAGGAGCCAAAACAACAAAAGTGAAAAAATTTGGGGAACAGAATAGATAAGTGGTTCTCATCTCTGGCTGCATAGTGCAGTCACCTAGGAAGCTTTATTTTATTTTTTCTTTAAGTTTTTTTTTTTTTTTTGTAGAGACAGGGTCTTGCTATGTTGGCCAGGCTGGTATTGAACTCCTGGGCTCAAGCGGTCCTCTCACTTTGGCTTCCCAAAGTGCTGGGATTATAGGTGTTAACCATTGCGCCCGGCCGGCCTGGGGAGCTTTAATGCTTGCTGATGCCTAGCTCTACCAGCAGAGATTTGATTTCATGCATCTGGAGTATGACCTGGGTATCAGTAATTTTAAGAACTCTCCAGGCCATTCTAATGTGCAGCTAAAGTTGAGAACCCCTGAGTTAAGACTACTAACATACTAACATTTTTTATTTGGCTTTAAAAGTGAAAACTAAATAAAATAAAAATCAGATCTTCTAAATAGCAGGTTAACAGTAAAACCACTATATTTTTTCTGGCCTTCTTGAGACTGTAGTAGTACCTTTTCTTCTTTGAGGAGGCAGGATTGCAATTGAGAGAAACAAACTGTACAAATAAAAGTATAACGTGGCAGCTCTCTTTAAAGGTGCTGTTTTTTCCCCCCTAAAAGAAATGAAGATATTTTCTTTTTCTTGTTTTCCTTTTTTGTATCTTTTTTTTTTTTTTCTTCTTTGAGACAGAGTCTTGCTCTTGTTGCCCAGGCTGGTATGCAATGGCGCGATCTTGGCTCACTGCAACCTCCGCCTCCCGGGTTCAAGCGATTCTCTTGCCTCAGCCTCCCGAGTAGCTGGGATTACAGGCACCTGCCACTATGTCCAGCTAATTTTTGTATTTTTAGTAGAGATGGGGTTTCACCATGTTGGCCAGGCTGGTCTTGAACTCCTGGACTCAAGTGATCTGCCTGCCTTGACCTCCCAAAATGTTGGGATTACAGGCGTGAGCCACTGTGCCCAGCCCTTTTTTGTATCCTAATGGACCATACCTTCGGAGCTCCTGATATGCAGACCAGGGCCAATACAAACACTCTCATCTTGATTATTCAGTTTCCTGCGGGCATACAAGTCACTAATCCTCAAAAGGTTAAGACAAACTATTTTAGAAAGCTATTATTAATGTAAGAAAGACTTAAATAGATAAATAAAGAAAATGAGAGAGAGAGAGAGAGCAACTTTGGCAATTAAGTTAGGTAGAAAGATACCTAATTTTGTGGCTACCTCTGGCTCTGAGATTAGAAGAACCTGCACTGAAACATTGCGCTAGTGGTCAACTTCTCTGAGAATTTATTTCATCTATAAAATGAGACTTCCTGCCTGGGATTCTTACAGTGATTGAGATATAGTCTGGTTAAATCATTTAAGAAACACCTGGCATGACACATGCGATGAATGTTAGTTCTGTTATTTCTTTCCTCTTAAAACAGGATTTTTTTTTTTTAAATAGGGTCTCGCTCTATTGCCCAGGCTGGAGTGCAATGGTGCGATCTTAGCTTACTGCAACCTCTGCCTCCTGGGCTCAAGCAATTGTCCTTCCTCAGCCTCCTGAGCAGCTGGGACTACTGGTTAATTTTTGTATTTTTTGTAGAGATGGGGTTTCACTATGTTGCCCAGGCTGGTCTCAAACTCCTGAGTGCAGGTGATCTGCCTGCTTCAGCTTCCCAAAGTGTTGGGATTACAGGTGTGAGCCACTGCTCTGGGCCCCAAACAGGATTTTAGTTTCATGTGTTATCTGTCAAAGGGAGGGGCAGGTAGCAGGTGGCTGTTGGAACTGGCCTAGGTCAAACACACTTGGGATTAGGGGCTAGGTCACACACACAAATGATGAAGCCCAGCTCCATTCTTGGTGAGCTTTGTGACCTGGGCAGATTGCTTCACCTTTCTGAGCACCAGTTTTCTCTTCAGAGCAAGGTATTACTGTGCTGTGCACCTACGGGGCTGCCACAGTGAGCAACCTAGGCACTGTGCCGATGGACTGGTGGCTTCCCTGTCTCTCCCACGGGTCCACAAGGCTTGTAGGCAGAGGCTACGTGATGTATGCTCGCACCACCAGTGCCTGCCAAATGCACAGCACATGGGAGGTGCTCCAAAATGTTTACTGAATAAAAGAGAGCTCTGATAAAGACAGCTGTCTAAAGGAAGCCTATTATTGCCGCAGCTTAGTGACATCTATTTCTGCAAATGTAGAGATGTAAAAAATATATACATCTCCGTGTATGGCTTTGTTTTAAAGCCATCTTGCCTCTAGCAATCTGACCTCTGGATAAATTAAGGTGGTACTGTACTAATTTGCTTACACTTTAGTTCTTAAAAGGCATTGTGTTTCTTTAACAACGTTAAATTGGCCCTAGTGGTTGGTGCTTTCAGACGTTGCTTTGAGACATCTTTTACATATGAAATTGAATTTCCAAGTACAGTACTGATGAAAATGGACTCTACTTTGTGCCCAAAAGCAGTGACTTTTGGTACTATAAATCGTTTGCTTATTGGTCAGATTTTTGCACATGTAAGGAAAAACACATTAAAAAAAAGAAAGCAGTTTGCTTAGTAGCGTTTGGCATAAGCAGCTGTCTCTAACCAGTGTAACAAAAGGCGTTTGCTTCTGAACACATGTCAGGAAAACCATCAACGGGGGAGCTCTGAAATTCTGACTTCTTTCTCTCTTATTAACAAAAAAAGAGAGAGAATGTGGCTTAGTCGTCACATTTCTTAGAAGTATTTTAAAACGACGTGGCTCACTCAAATCCAATAATAAAGTCATTGAGTGTTAAAAAGAAATTATAAGAGGCGGGGAAAGAATGTTTCATTGCCAAAGCCATCAGAATAAGAAAAAAATTTCATCTGTATTTTTCTAAATTTCTCTATAATATAGACATTACTTTTTTTCTAAGAAGAGAGGTTTCCAAATATCTAATTTTGCTAAGTGGCTCTCTTTGTTATAACACGCAGAACTATAAACATTGTGCAAGATGTTTAAAATAATACAGCTCCCAGGACTACTGAGAATTAATTAGGAAGGTAAATTTATTACCTAAATAAATTAATAAAGCTGAGTGCCACTCAAGGTCTGACATTAAGGGATTATATACTTTCCATTAAAGAGAACTAATAAATATAGTTGAAAGGATTGAGGGAGGGCCGAGGGAGTGAGTAGGCTAGCGCACACCAGCACAGGCGGTGCCAGACGTCAGCTGACTGTATCCATTGAGGTTACCATGGAAACCCCTTCCTTTGGGACACTGCCATGAGGGTAGGGTGCTTTAGAAATGGTGATGGGGCACAGACCGGCGGGCGGATGGATTTCAGCAGGGTTCACCCTGTACGCATTACAAGGACAATCCATCTTCCAAACGAAATGATATCTTTCTAGCAAGTCACGTCAAATAGAGCAATAAAGCATGAAGTCTGGCATAATTACAGTCCATTTACCTTTACAAAACAGTCACATCGGTTCAGATAATTGTCTCTTTTCTCTCCCCTGCTTGCTTTGTATTCTCCACAGAACGAAAGGAGGTATTTGTGCAATTAATTGGCTGCTTCCTTAGTCATCAAGCCCATACTGATAAAAAGGGACTATATCAAAACAACATTCATGGGCAGATTCAAACATTCTTCAGACCAAACACATCATGACTCAACAACAAAAGAAGGGTAAGAAGAATTCTAGCTGAGGTAAGGTTATATGTTTCGGTTACTGTGCTCTCACTCAAAACTGGCAAACAGATTTTTTGTTTACGCAAATTAAACTCAATCTTGGCAACCTGCTCCATGGATGCTGGTTTGGGAGGACTAATGTCCACATGAACTCTAGTGGCAGAAGTGCATTTATTCAAGCAACATGCTTCAGCCACGGGGAGCAATCTTTCCCACCAATTTACAGTGATCTCTAGTATGATTTTCAAAGAGATTGTGATCAAAGTTTTGGACACAATATTGCTAATTATGTAGGCTATTTCTTGCTTCTGTTTTCCATATCAAGCCTCAGCAACCACAAGTCCCCCAGCTCACAAAACATTCAAATTCTGACCCTACTGTCCCTGTAAAAATTTTAACCTTTGTTAACAATTTTACAACTAATGCTTTAATTCAATATTACATACAAATATACCTGGTGACTCAAAGGGGATGATGCCAATTTGACAATAATGCAGATTCCAGTTGGCTGAAACCCTAACCTTAGTGTGCAATATTTATACATAGAAAGGGGTCACCCGTAACTTAATGTTTCATGTTGTTTACAATTATATGACCATGCCATTTGTGAGAACAGTGTTTGCTGAAAAGAGTCTCAAAAACCTGTCACGATTTCCTGTTTTTATCTTTCCTGTGTGACTAGAACCATCATTAAATGGTAAATTGAATAATTCTCGCTAATGGAAGAGGGGGAAAAAGTGCCAAATTCAGCTTTTAATTATGTTTGCTTAGGCTTACATGAAGATCAAGCTTTGTCTCCTGAAAACAAACCAACTAATGACAAAGAGTGAAGAGATGGTTCTCATAAAGATTAATTGATAATCCAGTGTGTACTGAGTTATATATTTTAGGATAATAGAAAAATACATGATACAACTACATACCTATTAGAATGGCCAAAATAAAAAAAAGACACTATCAAATACTGATGAGGATGGGAAGTAACAGAAACTCATTAATTCCTGGTGGAAATGGAAAATGATACAGCCACTTTGGAAAATACTGGCAGTTCTTACAAAGCTAAATTTAGTCTTATCACAGGATTGAGCAATAGCACTCCTATTTATTCAATAGATTTAAAAACTTGTGTCCATACAAAAAACCTGCTTGCAAATGTTTTTAGTAGCTTTATTCATAGTTGCCAAAAAGTGGAAGCAATCAATAGGTGAATGGAGAAACAAATTACGGCACCTCCATATAATGAACTATTTCTTGACTAAAAAAACAAAATGTGCCAACAAGCCATGGGAAGACATGACGGAACCTTAAAGGCCTACTGCTAAGTGAAAGAAGACAATCTGAAAAGGCTACATTCTGTATGATTCTAATTATATGACATTCTAGAAAAGGCACAACTGTAGAGACAGTAAAATGATAGTGGTTCCCGTAGGTTCAGGGGAAAGAGGGAAAGGAATGAACAGGTTACGCACACAGGATCTTTAGAGCAGTGAAACTGTTCTGTGTGATACTGTAATGGTGGATACATGACACTATACATTTGCCAAAACCTACAGAACTCAACAGCATCAAGAGTGAACCTTTGTGGGCAACTTAAAAAAAATTAGGAGGTTGGGGGGTTTCAGGAAGGAATGCAAAATGTGACAAGAGAATCCACTTATATTAAAAAGTATGGGCCAGGCACAGTGACTCACGCCTGTAATCCCAGCACTTTGGGAGGCCAAGGCAGGTGGGTCATGAGGTCAGGAGTTTAAGACCAGCCTGGCCAAGATGGTGAAACCTCGTCTCTACTAAAAATACAAAAAAAATTAGCCAGGCGTGGTGGCGGGCGCCTGTAATTCCAGCTACTCGGCTGAGGCAGAGAATTGCTTGAATCCGGGAGGCGGAGGTTGCACTGAGCCAAAATTGCGCCACTACACTCCAGCCTGGGTGACAAAGCGAGATTTCATCTCAAGAAAAAAAAAAAAAAAGGTATCAATCTCACTGAAGAGGGCGGAAAGAAAAGGTGCTGACCTAGGTAACTTTGGAAATGAGTGGAGTGTGTAAGACTAAAGGGAAAAGGAAGTGCATGTAGCACTGTACTCTATTTGATAAAGTCGTGCCTCACAGGAGTACAGGTTAACAATTCTGATACTGCTATGCATGGATACTGGAAATGAACAATTAGGTAAATGGACAGTGGATGGTGCAAGCCAGGTTTCTCACTTTTGGACAGGGAATTTAAAGATAAGCGATGGGGGAAGGCTAGAATGACTCATGTGGTCATGGACTAGAGTGAGAGACACTAGTATAAACTCATGTTTAACTTCATATAAAGATGGTCACATATAAAAATATTTATAAAGATGTGTATATACACAGATTATACACATATATTTCTGTCCTGTGCCAGCTGAGAGGACCTAAAAGAAATGAATCCCCGGTAGCAACAAGCACATCTAGTATTCAGATCTGTTTCTTTCTTTTGTAGAGACAGTGTCTCACTATTTTACCCAGGCTGGTCTCAAACTCCTGGGCTCAAGCAATCTTCCCATCTTGGCCTCCCAAAGTGCTGGGATTACAGACGTCCAGCCTAGTAATATTCTAACACAGGATTATGTGATGATTGCACAACTGCATAAATTACTAAAAATAACTATAACTTACAATGGGCAAATTTTATGGTATGTAAATATATTAGTTTGCTAGGGCTGCCATGATAAAGTATCACAGACTAGGTGGCTTAAACAGCAGAAATGTATTTCCTTGAAGTTCTGGAGGCTGGAAGTTTAAAATTAAGATGTTGGTAGAGTTGTTCCTCCTTTTTTTTTTTGAAATGGAGTCTCGCTCTGTTGCCCAGGCTGGAGTGCAGTGGTGTGATCTCGGCTCACCGCAAGCTCCGCCTCCTGGGTTCACATCATCCTCCTGCTTCAGCCTCCCGATTAGCTGGGACTATAGGTGCCTGCCGCCACATCTGGCTATTTTTTTTGTATTTTTAGTAAAGATGGGGTTTCACCTTGTTAGCCAGGATGGTCTCAATCTCCTGACCTCGTGATCCACCCGCCTCAGCCTCTCAAAGTGCTGGGATTACAGGCATGAGCCACCACGCCCTGCCGGTAGAGTTGTTCTTCTGACGGCTTCTCTCCTTGCCTTGTAGATGGCTGTCTTCTCTCTGTCTTCACATGGCCTTCCCTCTGTACCTATGTTGTAATCTCCTCTCATGTGGACACCAGTCATACTGGATTAGGGCCCACTCTTAAGATCCCACTTTAACTTAATTACTACTTTAAAGACCCCATCTCCAAATACAGTCACTTTCTGAGGTACTGGGGGTTTGGACTCTGATATATAAATTTTGGGGGAACACAATTCAGTCTGTAACAGTGAATTATACCTCAAGAAAGCTATTTTAAAAAGTCAATATGATGGGAAAAAAACAGGGTAGGGGTATATGTGAGTGGAAGTGCAGTGTGGACTAAAACAGACCAGAGATGTAACTACCAAGTGCCATATGATGGAATAATTTTACTTCTACATATGTAAATGTGAACCTACACAGAATTCTGTTATTAAAAAAACAGGTTTAAAAGGCAGTCTTTGGCTAGGTGTGGTGTGGCTCATGCCTGTAATTCCAGCACTTTGGGATTTGAGGCTGAGGCAGGAGGATTGGCTGAGGCCAGGAGTTCCAGACCAGCTTGGGCAACGTGAGACCCTGTCTCTACAAAAAAAATTTTCAAAGTTTAGCCAAGAGTAGTGGCGTGCATCTGCAGTCCTAGCTACTTGGAAGGCTGAGGAGACAGGAATGCTTGATCCCAGGAGTTTAAGGCTGCAGTGAGTTATGATTGCACAACTGCACTCCAGCCTGGGCAACAGAGCGAGAACCCGTCTCTTAAAAAAAAAAAAGGTAGTCTGAACAACTGGGGAAATTTAAATATGTACTGAATATTAGATGATATTATGGAAATATTAATATTTTAGATATGAAAATGGTATTGTGGTTATGAAGGAGAATGTCCTTATTCTTCGGAGATGCACACGTGTATTTCAAGGGTGAAGTGTCACAAGACAGAAATAAAACACATATGGCAAAAAATAAGGCCTTAGTGAATATAGGGGTGGGGAACATGGGTGTTCCCTGTGCTATTCTTTCAAACTCTGTTAGTTTGAAATTTTTCATAATAAAAAGTCAGAGGGATAGAATTAGCAGTGAACTCTGAGGGAACAGAATGCTCTTAAGTTAGGAAAGATTTGCTTATCAGAGATTTCCTTTATTCCCTTCCTTCCTTGCTAACTAAAGTAGAAAATATATTCTCCTAAAGCTTGCACCCAATTATAGCTCCTTATAAGTGAGTGAGAAATGGTTAGTGTCTATCTCTGCTCCATAAAGTCTAGAATAACACATAACATAGATTTTGAGTTTTTAAAGTTTGGCATGGAGGAGGCCAAGGAGTCTGGTTATAGCTCACTTCAAATAACAAATGACAAGACCTCTTTTAATAAGAGTAGCAGACTGGAAACCTGGGGCTGAATATGGCCTATAGACATGTTTTTTTTATTTGGCTTGCAAGGCATTTTAAAGTTAGTTCATAATACTTAACAATTAGGAGATTTCACATAAAATGCAGACTTCTGATTTTTCTAGGCATATCCAAAGCTTTGGCCCAGTGGATTCAGGCATGGCCCAAACCTTTTGGAGCGGAGTGGCGGCTGCCGTGTCATGAGGTATATGCTGCATTCGTGTATGTGCCCATCTGACTCCTAAAGGCATTTGACTTCATGAGAAAGAAAACATGCAAACTTAAGTACTATATATATATATATATATATATACACACACACACACACACACACACACACACACACACACACATATATATATATATAAATAGGCAAATAGGAAGCTGTCCTTTCTGACAGAATTCCTTTTACCATCATCCCCCGCTCTTTTTCCCTTCATATGGTTGTGGCAAATGACAGTGTTATGTTGGGAGGAGGTAAGACGGAAAGGAGGGTATCTGGGAATTTATTGTAATTTTTGGGTTCATAATACCTTTGTCCAACAGTAATCAAAACAGTAACTGGCACAAGGATATCTAACAGACCAATAGAACAGAGCAGAGAATCCGGAAGAGGTGTATGGACACTCGGTTTATGACAAATATGGCACTGAAGAGCAATGGAGAAAAATGATCTCCCCCGCACAGAACACAAAAGCACACTTACCACAAATTACTATCTATGTAGTAATTTAAAAACATACTACCAAACTACTCATGGCTTAAAGAGGAACTCACAATGGAAATCACAAAATAATTAAAACTGAACAACAAAGGTAGTATCACACATGTGAAGTTCAGCTCAAGCCATTCTTAAATACAAATTTACAAATTCAATGAATTTTTAAGACTAAATTTAAAAAAAAAACAGTTAAGCCCCCAACTAAAAAGGCTAGAAAAAGAACAACCTAAAGAATGAAGAAGGAAAAAATAAGAGCAGAGGTAAATGAAAAGATAACAAAATCAATAAGAGAGACAGACCTACAGCAAAACTGATCTTGGAAGAAATGAGAAAAAGTACATATAATCAATATTAGGAACACAAAGGAGTATATACCTATAGGTACAATGAAGAGCTCTTCACTCTAGTGTTTCACACATCCCTCTCTTTAAGTACACTGAAATCTCCCCCAGGCTTGAGTGATCATTTAACTAATTTGCTTCACTTTCCTCTTTACTTACATCCTCCTCTTACCCCCTTCATAGATAGCTTGCTTTCTTCTTCTTTTTCTTCTCTTTCTCCTCCCATTTTTATTAGGGTATAACATGCATGCCCTAGAGTGCACAAATCTCAAGTAAACAGCTTGATGAGTTCTTACAAATGTATACATCTGTGAACCCCCCACCAGATCAAGCTATTACACATTTCCAGCCCCCACCCCCATCCCAGAAGGCTCCTTCCTCCCTGCTCGTGTCTCTGTGTCTTTGCTGTTCCTTCTGTCTAAAATACTTTCCACCAAGTACACGTACGGTTCATTCCTTAACTCCTTCAAGTCTTTGCTTAAATGTCAACTTCTCAGTGAGGCCTGGTCACCCTATTTAAACTTACAACACACCTCACACGTTCTATCTTCTTTCCTGATTTTATTTTTTCCCTTATCACCTTCTATGGACTATATCATGTGCGTATGTATATACATACACACACATATACTTTTCCCCATTGGAATGTAAATTCCAAGACTTGCAGAGATTTTGCCTGTTTTGACACCTCTATGTTCCTAATACATATGTGGCTGGCATATAATGAACACTTAGTAATTATCTGAATTGAATGGTTTAGTTATTGAGGGTGTGATGTATAGATGATCTGATGTATAACTGCCTAAAATCCCAAAGAAGGTAATTTCTAGACTGTCATTCTCTCTGACCCAGATGCAATTTAAAATCGCCCATCTCCTGTCTACTCGAGGTCCCTTAAGTCTCTGTTCATTACAACTCAAAACCTAGCAGGAAGAAATGAGCACCAGGATGCTGCAAAAAGCAACTCTCAAGAGGGGGTGTGCAATTGGCTGCAGCATCTCAACAAGGAGGGGCAAAGGAGGATTGCTCCACCCAGTGTGGAAAGCCAGCAGTTCATGGTCTGTACGGAGGAAGATGTTACTTAACCTATCACTGGTGACCCATGGGAGATGGCTGGTGTGCCCATTAAAGTTAGTTGCTGATTTATAGAAGTTCAATGCATTAGGAGATGTAAGGATAGTGGGATTGGATGGGTATTTTTTATAGTGCATTAGGAAAACAACAAATATTGGTCCCATAGTGCGTGGCTGGAGGCAGTTAAGGAAACAGAGGAACCACTTTCTGCTGAAAGCACTCATGAAGACTACGTTCAAGAATGATTAGACAAACTACCAAATTGCAACATCAGCTGAGTTTTCACCCATCCTGGAGATTCATGAGCACAATTTTAGGTCCTGTTTGACAAAGACTGGGATGCTGGCAATTGGAGTGGGAGTAGCTGGGAAGAATCCAAGGACCTAGGATGCCTGGCCAACCTGGCCTATCTGAAGCACTTCTCTTCTGCTCCTTTCTGCTGGGAAAACCCAATGACCCGCCCCAATATTCAGCGTGATCTGTGACCAAGGTCCAAATGTGGCTTGGGCCTAAGGATGACAGTGATAAATAGTGGAGGGAGGAGATCAGTTATACCCCAAAATGAATAGTAGGAATTATCCATGCCATACCAGAAAAAGTAAGGAAAGACTATGCATAGATTTGCAAGCATTCGGCATGAACAAAAGTACCGATCTGGATCACCCAGCATTGGTTGCTATGGCGAGGCCTCATCTGAGACACTGTGTTCAATATGTTACTGCAAGATGAAACTCTAATGGTTTGCTGAGTTGGCTGACTCAGACCTTAGCCTAAAGCTGACCCATGCTGTCTAGCAAGAAAGAAGTAACTGTGAGTAAGAAGATAGACAAAGAGAAAAAGAGAAAGAATGGCAGAAACATAGGCTATGCAAAACTCAGGTTGTGGAGGAGGCTAAACGATAGCAGGGTCCCTTAAAGCTGCCTTAAAACCTGAATGGTAGCATTTCCTGGGTTTCCATGGGATTTGATTCCCTTACTACCCTGGTACCTTTACTAAAATAAAAAATGGGGCCAGGCGTGGTGGCTCATGCCTGTAATCCCAGCGCTTTGAGAGGCCAAGGTGGGCAGATCATGAGGTGAGGAGCTCAAGACCAGCCTGGTGAAACCCCATCTCTACTAAAAATACAAAAAAAATTAGCTGGGCACGGTGGCAGGTGCCTGTAATCTCAGCTACTTGGGAGGCTGAGGCAGGAGAATTGCTTGAACCTAGGAGGCGGAGGTTGCAGTGAGCCGAGATGGCGCCACTGCACTCCAGTCTGGGTGACAGAGCAAGACTCCGTCTCGGGTGGCGGGGGGGTGGAAAGAAACATTACTTAAGACAGAATGCGCTTACAGTCTGTCCTTGGAGCAAGAAAGGACTAACTAAAACAGGAAAGGAGCCTCTATAGAAGGAGAAATGAAAGGTGGAGAATGAGAGAAGTATGGATGCCCTTAGCTATGCCCTGTATGTTTTTATTGACTACTCTTATTTCTGAAAACTTTCCGATTTGATTTTGAAACATGATGTTCCCATAGTTTTTTTCTTTCGTAGAATAATTTAAAAAGTATAGAACTGAAGGGAAATTAGAGCTCATTTAGTCCATTAAAAGAGAGATGAGAAAATGGAGGTCCATAAAGAAATTTCCTTTTTATTCCATTTCCTTCAGTGATTCTCTTTTTCCCACCATTTAACTGTGGATGTTTTTGAATAATCCACCCCCTTTCTCTCTCTCGACTCATAATTTCAGCCTCCAACTATACATGAGTCCACTCTTAAATCTGAAGTGATGAATTCTTTCCCACTCTATACCATCAGACTTCCAACTATCTATGGAAAGTATACTTGTACGTTTCACAAAAACCTCAAATTCAATATGGTTAAAATTGAAATCACTTTCCTTCATCCCCTCCCAGCTTCTCCAACACTATTATTAGCATCATCATGTTTTAAAAAGGTTCTTTATCTTAAACTTTGTTTTTAATTTCAAAATATTTCAATCATACAGAAAAGTATAAATAATAATATAACAAATACTCATGTCCCTATCATCCACACCTAATATTCTGACATATTTGCTTCAGACTTAAAAACAATGACAGGTCTAGTTGGAAGTTCCCCATCACATCGAACTTGCTCCCTCTGAAAAGGTGGCTGCCCTTCTGAAGTTAGTTCCACCCAGAAGCAGACCCTGAGATAAAGGCTGATGAGTATACAGAGTTGATTTGGGAGGTTCAGGCACACTGGCAAGGAAGTGGGGAGAGAAGGCAGCCACCACTGTGGGCAAGTTTACTCCTGCAGGGAAGCTCTAGGAGATGGTGTGAGACAGCCTGGAACTGTCTTGGCCAATGAGTGATGGAGATGGAGTATTTATACCCCACACTTATCACACAATGAGTGCCTAGGCACTTCCAGCCCTCTGTGAGTAAGGGCAAAGCAGGTTTGGCAGCCTGAGGGCAGCTTTTTGACAAAGATGTTGGCTGCTGGAAATCAGGCTGGTATGCACAAATATGGTATGGGAATACGAGACGGTATGGGCAGGGTGTTGACAGCATCTGCAACGGGGTGTATCCATCCCACTGACGTTTTACCTTTACTACTGTAGTTAAACATTGTTAGTTTTTATGATGTCATGATATTATTAATAACAATTAGCAATGATAATGATGAAGATAAAGGGAAACAGTGACTATAAAAACCAGTTGACATGAATAAGGGAAAACAGCTTCGGTTCAAAGAGCTGTTTAACTATTTATTGAATTTATATCATGTGCCTGATGAATCTCCCCTTAATAGAAAGCAAGGAAAAGGAACAAAACACATACCACAATTAATTTTTTTGGTTTCACACTTCTTTAGACTTGGACAAAATATGATTTTCTGCCTCATCTATCTTCATCTCCTACTTCAAGATTGGAGGGTTATTAGGCTTAAACTGTAACTGCAATAGAAGATTATAAGTCTATATATAAGAAGACTATATATAATCAAGAGTGTTTTAGGGCTGGGTGTGGTGGCTTATGCCTGTAATCCCAGCACTTTGGGAGACCACAGCGGGTGGATCACTTGAGGCCAGGAGTTTGAGACCAGCCTGGTCAACTTGGCGAAACCCCTCATCTCTACTAAAAATACAAAATACCTGGGCATGGTGGCGTGCACCTCTAATCCCAGCTACTCAGGAGGCAGAGGCACAAGAATCACCTGAACCTAGGAGGTGGAGGTTGCGGTGACCTGATATCGTGCCACTGCACTCCAGCCTGGGGGACAGAGTCAAACTGTCTAAAAAATAAATAAAATAAAATAAAAAAG
This sequence comes from Homo sapiens, assembly GCF_000001405.40. NCBI lineage: Eukaryota > Metazoa > Chordata > Mammalia > Primates > Hominidae > Homo > Homo sapiens. The sequence goes on from NC_000017.11 coordinate 32,637,696, forward strand.
AGTGTCATATCATTTTAGCCTTAGTTGCAATCTATTGGCCTTTCTATTGAAAGGAAAAAAGGTGTGTGTGTGAGGGGGTTGGGTGAGGGGTGCATAGTGAAGACGGATCTCCACCCCATAGTCTAAATCATTCTAAAGCATTCAGCAAAGCCAGGAATAGTTTGTCTTCCTTGTACCTTATAACTAAAAGGACCCCTGACTTAGCAAAATAAAACTGTAAAACAATATGTTTCCTATTCCCTCTTGCAGCAACCAAAAGGATTTAAAATATTCTCTAAGTAATACTCCTCATAGTTCCCAGTATTAGACAAACACAGTCTTCCTTCTTTAACAACTAACAGAGGAAAATCACCTGACACGTGAAAAGATCCAATATTCCGGTAGGATCTTTCCGAAGAATCAGAATAAACAGTCACTTGTAAAGCAGACTCTATTAAGAAGGACAAATTACAAACAAACAAACTCATATTGCGATTCAAGGAGATACCCACGAAATTTCGTATTTCAAATAAAAAATGATAACGGAATTAGAAAACTGTATGGTTATAGTGAACAATAAAGTGGACTTACACCAAAGATCACACAATCAACAACTAAATATGCACAAAATATATGGTGAAAAGAATTCTGGAAGCAGCATAAATTTTACATTTAAAAGAGAAAAAGTAATATTTTAAGTAATCCCCTACCGATTTTCTACCATTTCCATATAAAAACAAACCTTATGAAAACAAATAAGAAAATGCATTATACGCCAGTGCATTTAAACAGTGGATCAGGAATAGAGAAAGATCACAAAGAATCAGTAGTCCTTACACTTTAAAAAATGTCTGCATTTATCTCTTGGAAACTTTGGATCCTTTTAGAAAACTGTACATTTCTACAAAACATATGACACATAAAATTTCAGGAATTCATGGGCATCCTAAAGCCCCAAAGATTCTAGAACTCAGTCTATTGACCCATTAGTGGTCCATGAGCACCAGGTTAAGAATCTTTATCCAGAGAGAAGCACAGAGGACTTACATTGTATAGAGGGATAGTCTTCATCACCTTGTACTGTTTAGTGGGATCCATTTTATACAGGTGACGGTCAGTGACAAAAATTGCTCTGTCTTCCACCTTACTAAATCGATTTACCTGTAAGAGAACAAACCAATAAACCATAGTATCTCATCAATAAGGAAATCAAGTTGGCTGATTGTGAAGACAAATTCTTTAATAGATGTGAACCATGTATGGCCACTCTACTGGATGCAATAAAGATTTAAAAGGAGTAGCTGTTCCCATACTTGTGGAATTTGGCAATTGAAATTTTACAATTGAACATGGAAAACAAGAAAACCACAGAAGAATTAAAGGACTAAACATATGTAACCCAGACACCATCAAGTAAGTAAAAAGGCAAACCCAGAGAATGGGAGAAAAACTTTGAAAATCATATATCTAAAAAGGGACTTGTATCTGGACTATGTAAAGAACTAATACAATTCAATAACTAAAAGGAAAATAACCCAATTATACAAAGAAATAATATGAAGCCCTTGGTTATAATAAGAATCTGAGACTGGTATATAGGGATAAGACAAATAGGAAACTAATAAGTAAAAATAATTTCATATAATGATATAAAGAAAATAAACTAGATTATGAGATTGGGAGAAATTTTGTGTGTGTGTGTGTGTGTGTGTGTGTGTGTGTGTGTGTGTGTGTGTAGAATGCTACTTTATTAGACAGAGGGTCAGAGAAGATTCACATGTTCAGGTAAATCTTTTCCTAAGAGCAGAATTAACCACAGGATATTTTATAAGTAGTTAGCTACTTAGACTTGGGTAATAAACACATATGTATTTTAAAAAGATGAGGGTCTCACTCTGTCACCCAAGATAGTGTGTAGTGGCTCAAGCAGTGACTCAGTGCAGCCTCAAACTCCTGGGCTCAAGTGATCCTCCTGCCTCCTAAGTTGTTGAGACTGCCAGCATGCGCCACCATGTCCAGCTAGACTTGGATACTAATCAACGTACCTAGCACTAAACATTTTTGAACCACTACGATATCATGTTTTTCAGTAACTAGAAGGAAAAAGAATGCAAACCAAACCAACAAACAGAAAACTTAAAAAGCCCTCCTCAACTAGAAAAGAAGGCATAGTTGTGATCTATATCCTCCATCCCCTCCTTCAAATTCTTATTTCTAAGATGCAAACAAAGAAGTTAGAGATCAATTTGAAAACATGGTTAGCTTCGGTAGGCTATTTAGCTAATGAAATTAAGATTGGCAGGATGGAACATAGCAGGATATATTGCTATAGGGAGGATATAGCAAACTAAAATTTAAATTTTAGTTTGAATTTTATTCAATCTTCTCCCCTTTGCCCCATAGTTTTAGAAATCAGTCAATTCTCTAAGCATTTCCTTAATAACCAAAGCACATTTTTTTCAGTCTTCAACTTGACAAAAATGGTGTCTGTAATTGAGAGTAAAATAGAATCTATATGGTGGAATAATTATTAGCCTTAGTAAATAACTTTACATAGCAACAGCTTTTGCTATTAACAGAGGATTGGCACTTGTCAGAAAACTTGAAACACAGTGAGTGAAGAGCTTCTATAGCAGCATTTTTCTTTCTTTTTTTCTTTTATTATTATACTTTAAGTTTTAGGGTACATGTGCACAATGTGCAGGTTAGTTACATATGTATACATGTGCCATGCTGGTGCGCTGCACCCACTAACTCGTCATCTAGCATTAGGTATATCTCCCAATGCTATCCCTCCCCCCTCCCCCCACCCCACAACAGTCCCCAGAGTGTGATGTTCCCCTTCCTGTGTCCATGTGATCTCATTGTTCAATTCCCACCTATGAGTGAGAATATGTGGTGTTTGGTTTTTTGTTCTTGCGATAGTTTACTGAGAATGATGATTTCCAATTTCATCCATGTCCCTACAAAGGACATGAACTAATCATTTTTTATGGCTGCATAGTATTCCATGGTGTATATGTGCCACATTTTCTTAATCCAGTCTATCATTGTTGGACATTTGGGTTGGTTCCAAGTCTTTATATAGCAGCATTTTTCTAAGCTGTTCAGTTCTAGCCTTATGTGAGGTTTTGTGAAAGTAAGGGTCCATGGACAAGTTGGTTTCAGAAATACTGCAAACCACAGCCTCCACTAGGGATATTCATATCCCATGAATATATATTTTTTCCTTTTTAAAATTTATTTTATTATTTTTTATATATAGATTTTTAAAATTATACTTTAAGTTCTAGGGTACATGTGCACAATGTGCAGGTTTGTTACATATGTATACACCTGCCATGTTGGTGTGCTGCACCCATTAACTCGTCATTTAAATTAGGTATATCTCCTAATGCTATCCCTCCCCCCTCCCCCCACCCCACAACAGGCCCCGGTGTGTGATGTTCCCCTTCCTGTGTCCAAGTGTTCTCATTGTTCCATTCCCACCTATGAGTGAGAACATGTGGTGTTTGCTTTTTTGTCCTTGCGATAGTTTGCTGAGAATGATGGTTTCCAGCTTCATCCATGTCCCTACAAAGGACATGAACTCATCCTTTTTTATGGCTGCATAGTATTCCATGGTGTATATGTGCCACATTTTCTTAATCCAGTCTATCATTGTTGGACATTTGGGTTGGTTCCAAGTCTTTGCTATTGTGAATAGTGCCACAATAAACATACGTGTGCATGTGTCTTTATAGCAGCATGATTTATAATCCTTAGCATATACCCAGTAATGGGATGGCTGGGTCAAATGGTATTTCTAGTTCTAGATCCCTGAGGAATCACCACACTGTCTTCCACAATGGTTGAACTAGTTTACAGTCCAACCAACAGTGTAAAAGTGTTCCTATTTCTCCACATCCTCTCCAGCACCTGTTGTTTCCTGACTTTTTAATGATCGCCATTCTAACTTGTGTGAGATGGCATCTCATTGTGGTTTTGATTTGCATTTCTCTGATGGCCGGTGATGATGAGCATTTTTTCATGTGTGTGTTGGCTGCATAAATGTCTTCTTTTGAGAAGTGTCTGTTCATATCTTTCTCCCACTTGTTGATGGGGTTGCTTTTTTTCTTGTAAATTTGTTTGAGTTCTTTGTAGATTCTGGATATTAGCCCTTTGTCAGATGAGTAGATTGCAAAAATTTTCTCCCATTCTGTAGGTTGCCTGTTCACTCTGATGGTAGTTTCTTTTGCTGTGCAGAAGCTCTTTAGTTTAATTAGATCCCATTTGTCAATTCTGGCTTTTGTTGCCATTGCTTTTGGTGTTTTAGACATGAAGTTCTTGCCCATGCCTATGTCTGAATGTTATTGCCTAGGTTTTCTTCTAGGGTTTTTATGGTTTTAGGTCTAACATTTTAGTCTTTAATCCATCTTGAATTAATTTTTGTATGAGGTGTAAGGAAGGCATCCAGTTTCAGCTTTCTACATATGGCTAGCCAGTTTTCCCAGCACCATTTGTTGAACAGGGAATCCTTTCCCCATTTCTTGTTTTTGTCAGGTTTGTCAAAGATCAGATAGTTGTAGATGTGTGGTATTATTTCTGAGGGCTCTGTTCTGTTCCATTGGTCTATATCTCTGTTTTGGTACCAGTACTATGCTGTTTTGGTTACTGTAGCCTTGTAGTATAGTTTGAAGTCAGGTAGCGTGACGCCTCCAGCTTTGTTCTTTTGGCTTAGGATTGACTTGGCAATGCAGGCTCTTTTTTGGTTCCATATGAACTTTACAGTAGTTTTTTCCAATTCTGTGAAGAAAGTCATTGGTAGCTTGATGGGGATGGCACTGAATCTATAAATTACCTTGGGCAGTATGGCCATTTTCACGATATTGATTCTTCCTATCCATGAGCATGGAATGTTCTTCCATTTGTTTTTGTCCTCTTTTATTTCATTGAGCAGTGGTTTGTTCTCCTTGAAGAGGTCCTTCACAACCCTTGTAAGTTGGATTCCTAGGTATTTTATTCTCTTTGAAGCAATTGTGAATGGGAGTTCACTCATGATTTGGCTCTCTGTCTGTTATTGGTGTATAAGAATGCTTGAGATTTTTGAAGACTGATTTTGCATCCTGAGAGTTTGCTGAAGTTGCTTATCAGCTTAAGGAGATTTTGGGCTGAGACCATGGGGTTTTCTAGATATACAATCATGTCATCTGCAAACAGGGACAATTTGACTTCCTCTTTTCCTAATTGAATACCCTTTATTTCTTTCTCCTGCCTGATTGCCCTGGCCAGAACTTCCAACACTGTTGAATAGGAGTGGTGAGAGAGGGCATCCCTGTCTTGTGCCAGTTTTCAAAGGGAATGCTTCCACTTTTTGCCCATTCAGTATGATATTGGCTGTGGTTTTGTCATAAATAGTTCTTATTATTTTGAGATACGTCCCATCAATACCTAATTTATTTAGAGTGTTTAGCATGAAGCGCTGTTGAATTTTGTCAAAGGCCTTTTCTGCATCTATTGAGATAATCATGTGTTTTTTATCTTTGGTTCTGTTTATATGCTGGATTACGTTTACTGATTTGCATATGTTGAACCAGTCTTGCATCCCAGGGATGAAGACAACTTGATCATGGTGGATAAGCTTTTTGATGTGCTGCTGGACTTGGTTTGCCAGTATTTTATTCAGGATTTTTGCATCGATGTTCATCAGGTATATTGGTCTAAAATTCTCTTTTTTTGTTGTGTCTCTGCCAGGCTTTGGTATCAGGATGATGCTGGCCTCATAAAATAAGTTAGGGAGGATTCCCTCTTTTTCTATTGATTGGAATAGTTTCAGAAGGAATGGTACCAGTTCCTCCTTCTACCTCTGGTAGCATTCAGCTGTGAATCCTGTCTGGTCTTGGACTTTTTTTGGTTGGTAAGCTATTATTGCCTCAATTTCAGATCCTGTTATTGGTCTATTAAGAGATTCACCTTCTTCCTGGTTTAGTCTTGGGAGGGTGTATGTGTCCAGGAATTTATCCATTTCTTCTAGATTTTTTAGTTTATTTGCGTAGAGGTGCTTATGGTATTCTCTGATGGTAGTTTGTATTTCTGTGGGATCGGTGGTGATATCCCCTTTATCATTTTTTATTGTGTCTATTTGATTCTTCTCTCTTTTCTTCTTTATGAGTCTTGCTAGTGGTCTATCAATTTTGTTGATCTTTTCAACAAACCAGCTCCTGGATTCATTGATTTTTTGAAGGGTTTTTTGTGTCTCCATCTCCTTCAGTTCTGCTCTTAGTTATTTCTTGCCTTCTGCTAGCTTTTGAATATGTTTGCTCTTGCTTCTCTAGTTCTTTTAATTGTGATGTTAGGGTGTCAAGTTTAGATCTTTCCTGCTTTCTCTTGTGGGCATTTAGTGCTATAAATTTCCCTCTACACACTGCTTTGAATGTGTCCCAGAGATTCTGGTATGTTGTGTCTTTGTTCTCGTTGGTTTCAAAGAACATCTTTATTTCTGCCTTCATTTCGTTATGTACCCAGTAGTTATTCAGGAGCAGGTTGTTCAGTTTCCATGTAGTTGAGCAGTTTTGAGTGAGTTTCTTAATCCTGCATTCTAGTTTGATTGCACAGGTCTGAGAGACAGTTTGTTATAATTTCTGTTCTTTTACATTTGTTGAGGAGTGCTTTACTTCCAACTATGTGGTCACTTTTGGAATAAGTGCGGCGTGGTGCTGAGAAGAATGTATATTCTGTTGATTTGGGGTGGAGAGTTCTGTAGATGTCTATTAGGTCCGCTTGGTGCAGAGCTGAGTTCAATTCCTGGATATCCTTGTTAACTTTCTGTCTCGTTGATCTGTCCAGTGTTGACAGTGGGGTGTTAAAGTCTCCCATTATTATTGTGTGGGAGTCTAAGTCTCTTTGTAGGTCTCTAAGGACTTGCTTTATGAATCTGGGTGCTCCTATATTGGGTGCATATATATTTAGGACAGTTAGCTCTTCTTGTTGAATTGATCCCTTTACCATTATGTAGTGGCCTTCTTTGTCTCTTTTGATCTTCGTTGGTTTAAGGTCCGTTTTATCAGAGACTAGGATTGCAACCCCTGCCTTTTTTTGTTTTCTATTAGATTGGTAGATCTTCCTCCATCCCTTTATTTTGAGCCTGTGTGTCTCTACATGTAAGATGGGTTTCTTGAATACAGTACCCTGATGGGTCTTGACTCTTTATCCAATTTGCCAGTCTGTGTCTTTTAATTGGAGCATTTTGCATATTTACATTTAAGGTTAATACTGTTATGTGTGAATCTAATCCTGTCATTATGATGTTAGCTGGTTATTTTGCTCATTAGTTGATGCAGTTTCTTCCTAGCATCGATGGCTTTTACAATTTGGCATGTTTTTGCAGTGGCTGGTACCAGTTGTTCCTTTCCATGTTTAGTGCTTCCTTCAGGAGCTCTTGTAGGGCAGGCCTGGTGGTGACAAAATCTCTCAGCATTTGCTTGTCTGTAAAGTATTTTATTTCTCCTTCACTTATGAAGCTTAGTTTGGCTGGATATGAAATTGCGGGTTGAAAATTCTTTTCTTTAAGAATGTTGAATATTGGCCCCCACTCTCTTCTGGCTTGTAGAGTTTCTGCTGAGAGATCAGCTGTTAGTGTGATGGGCTTCCCTTTGTGGGTAACCCGAGGGCTGCCCTTAACATTTTTTCCTTCATTTCAACTTTGGTGAATCTGACAATTATGTGTCTTGGAGTTGCTCTTCTCGAGGAGTATCTTTGTGGCGTTCTCTGTATTTCCTGAATTTGAATGTTGGCCTGCCTTGTTAGGTTGGGGAAGTTCTCCTGGATAATATCCTGCAGAGTGTTTTCCAACTTGGTTACACTCTCCCTGTCACTTTCAGGTGCACCAATCAGACGGAGATTTGGTCTTTTCACACAGTCCCATATTTCTTGGAGGCTTTGTGCGTTTCTTTTTATTTTTTTTTCTTTAAACTTCTCTTCTCACTTCATTTCATTCATTTGATCTTCAATCACTGATACCCTTTCTTCCAGTTGATCGAATCAGTTACTGAAGCTTGTGCATTCGTCATGTAGTTCTCGTGCCATGGTTTTCAGCTCCATCAGGTCCTTTAATGACTTCTCTGCATTGGTTATTCTAGTTAGCCATTCATCTAATCTTTTTTCAAGGTTTTTAACTTCTTTGTGATGGGTTCGAACTTCCTCCTTTAGCTCGGAGAAGTTTGATCATCTGAAGCCTTCTTCTCTCAGCTCGTCAAAGTCATTCTCCATCCAGCTTTGTTCCATTGCTGGTGAGGAGCTGCGTTCCTTTGGAGGAGGAGAGGTGCTCTGATTTTTAGAATTTTCAGTTTTTCTGCTCTGTTTTTTCCCGATCTTTGTGGTTTTATCTACCTTTGGTCTTTGATGATGGTGACGTACAGATGGGGTTTTGGTGTGGAAGTCCTTTCTGTTTGTTAGTTTTCCTTCTAACAGTCAGGATCCCATGAATATATTAAAGGCTGTGAGAATTCTGCACTTAAAGAGCATGTTTAACCCAGTATTTACAAAATACTTTTAACTATGAAACCCTTTTTCAGCACCTACAAATATTCAATAGAACACTGGTTCTGTAAAACTCATGTTGAAGAACACTTACTATCACTTGTATGAATCTTAGAGTTCATAGAGAATATCTAAAATAGGCACCAAATAATAGCTAATCCCAGCTACTTGGGAGGCTGAGGCAAGAGCATTGCTTGAGCCCGGGAGTTTGAGGCTGCAGTCACAGCCTGGGCAACAGAAGAAGACCCTCTCTGTAAAAATATATATATATATAAAAGAAAGGAAACAATAATAAGTAAAAGTCATGCACGTCATCTTTTGTGGAATCATACTGAAAAACATATGAGTGTAGGGCAAAAGAATATGATTTAAAAAACCTGTTACATAATTTCATAAGGTCATTCCAGAGTCAAAACAAGTAGGTCCCATGTCCTTTTATATGTTCCCGAGTTAATCTAAAAACAACAAACGAAAACCTCAAAGCAGCAATTGTATGAAAACACTGTTTGAAAATATTACGTTTTTATATGCAAAAAATGTAATTTCTAAAGAGAACATATCACAAATCTTTACCTTCTGTTTCAGCAGCTTAAATTATCCTCAGAATATGAATTGAGTGGGAAGGACATCAGGTAACAAAGTAAAAGCCTCAGATTGCATAATTTAGCTATATTAAAATGGCAAAGGAAAAAATTCTACATATAGATGTAAATTCCAGACTTATAATTATGGCAAAAAAGCACTCTTTTCTTCCACTTAAATTCATATAGTAATAGAAAAACTAGATTATAGACTCTGTATTAGATAAACCCTCATCTTGTTTCTTCTATTATCCAAAACTAAAATCTTCAACCAAAGAAAAAAATCCCTAGCATTTGTTTTTCCCTAAACACTACAAGTGATCTGTCTATAGGTTTAGTCAGTACCACAGGGGGCCACAGATAAAAGTTTATCTGGAGAGGCAGATAAGGAGAAAACACATCATGGTTGAGAGTAGCTATTTGCAGAAGTCTTTCACCTTAAAGGACATTTTATAATGTGGTTAATGGAAAGTGGCTGTTTCAGAGAGAATCTAAGCATAAAGAAGAGGGCTTTACTGAAATCCTATCAAGTTTACGCTGGCGTAGCCTTGGGATTGAACAGTTTCTAAAGTCGTATTTAAGCTATAGGGTGAACAAAGAGTATTTTGCTTTGAACTTGGAAATACAGGGACATGAATAAGAATGCTTCAGTTTTTAATCCAGCAGGACCCAGGTAAAGACATGTTCTCTGTCAGACATAAAATTGTCATTGCTGGAAAGATAGAGACATCAGGCATTTCTGTAGTAAATGACCTAATTCTTAAAACCATCCAACTGTCTTTGATCAACTGCTCTGATTATTAATTTGATTTTCCAGCTGCTTGATACTAAAGTGTACTAGATAGTGAATATGAGGACTCACTGACATGGTACATTCCTTTGTTATATTTACAAACTGACATTATAGCTTATACATTTTTTTTTTTTTTTTTTGCATGGGTGTGTGAATCTGGTTAGCAAAAGTCTTTTCTTGATAGTCTGATCGACTCTAGGTATACTTATAAAATAGAGTTTCTAAATCTCAGAGTTCAGAACTAAACTCTGGAGTGTGGTAACCCACCCCAAGATACTGCCAGCAGTCTTTCCTTGATGACATTTATTTCATTCTAACTGTAACCAGCTGCTCTCTATTTTGTTAAAAAGCCCCTATCACACTGAGGACTGGGCACGATGGCTCATGCCTGTAATCCCAGCAGTTTGGGAGGCCTAGGTGGGCAGATCACTTGAGGTCAGGAGTTCGAGACCAGCCTGGCCAACATGGTGAAACCCTGCCTATACTAAAAATATAAAAATTAGCCAGGCGTGGTGATGTGCACCTGTAATTCCAGCTACTGGGGAGGCTGAGGCAGGAGAATCGCTTGAACCCAGGAGGCAGAGGTTGCAGTGAGCCAAAATTGCGCCACAGCACCCTAGCCTGGGTGACAGAGTAAGACTGCCTCAAAAAAACAAAACAAAAAACAAAACAAACAAGCCTCTATCACGTTGAGTTGACCTCTTTCTTCTTCCTTATAATGTTCAAACACTGATTGTGATATAATAAGAAATACATATATTTGCTCATCATCCCAGTTCCTGACACAAAGCTCCCAAAACTCTTGTGATTTTATGAGTGATAGAGGTTATAGAATCACCTTTTGTTATGATATTTATTTAGTCTTAGTCCCAGATTCCCAACATAAGAGTTTCTATCTGCTAATCAGATAACTGGTGACTAGGAGCTCCTAGATAGTTTCAGGATTGGGGCTGGTTGCCAGAAAGACCAAGGCATGATTAGAGGGTTGGAACTTTCAGCCCCACCCCTTAACCTTCACGGAGGGGAGAGGGGCTGGAGATTAAGTTAATTACCCATAGCCAATGATTTCATCAACCATGCCTGTGTAATAAAACCTCCATAAACTCAAAATTATGGGGTTTGGAGAGCTTTGGGGGTGGTGCACACATCCACATGCTAAGAAGCCATAATCTTTGCCTTTTAATTGCGGTGTGTTTAGACCATTGACATTTAATGTGATTATCAATACAGTTAGGCCTAAATTTATCATTTTCAATTTGTTTTCTATTTGTCCCATTTGTTCTTTGTTCCCTTTTCCACATTTCTCTGCTTTCTTTTGCATTGAGATTTTTTTTTATAATTTCGTTTCTCTCCTTTGTTGGCTTATTAGTTATAACTTTTTGTATTGCCATTTTAGTGGCTTTTCTAGGATTTACAGAATACGTTTATAACATATCACAGTCTACTGACATTATATCACTTTATGGTATAAAAACCATACGACAGTATATTTCCATTTCCCCCATCTTTGTGCTATTGTTATCATAAATTTTACTTCTACATATATTATAAACTCTACACTACTTTATCACTGTTTCTGTTTAAGTAGCCAATTGTGTTTTTTCATTTAAAAAATTCGGTAAAATACACATAACAAAATTTTCTATTTGGATCATTTTTAAGTGTATAGGTCAATGCTTCATTGGCATTAAGCACATTCACATTGTTGTGCAGCCATCACCACTATCTTTCTCCAGAACTTTCATCATTCCAAACTGAAGCTCTATACCCATTAAACAATAACTCCCCAGTCCTCTCTTTCCCCAACCCCTAGAACTACCATTCTATTTTCTGTCTCTATGAATCAGATCATTCTAGGTACCATATATAACTGGGATCATACAATATTTATCCATGTGTATCTGGTTATTTTTCTTAGTATAATATCAACGTTCACCTTGGTTGTAGCATGTATTTATGGCTTTTTATCCATTGTATGGCTAAACCACATTTTCTTTCTTTCTTTTTTTTTTTTTTTTTTTTTTGAGACAGAGTCTCACTCTGTTGCCCAGGCTGGAGTGCAGTAGTGCGATCTCAGCTCACTGCAACCTCCACCCCCCGGGTTCAAGGGATTCTTGTGCTTCAGCCTCCCGAGCAGCTGGGATTGCAGGCCTGTGCCACCACGTCTGGCTAATTTTTGTATTTTTAGTAGAGACAGGGTTTCACCATGTTGGCCAGGCTGGTCTCAAACTCCTGGCCTCAAGTGATCCACCCGCCTCAGCCTCCCAAAGTGTTGGGATTATGGGTGTGAGCCACCATGCCTGGCCTATACCACATTTTCTTAATTCATTCATCCATCGATGGACATTTCAATTGCTTTCACCTGTTGGTTATTATGAATTATGCTGCCATAAACATTGGTATATAGTCAATTACCTTTTAAAGACATTTAAGTAAGAAAAGACATGTATTTGTCTATGTAGCTACCACTTCACTTGCTCTTCATTCTTTGGTGAATGTCCACATTTTCATATGGTATAATTTTCCTTCTGTCTGGATGACTTCCTTTAACATTTCCTATAGTGTTTATCTTCAGATATGTCTGAAAAAGTCTTTATTTCACTTTGGTTTTTGAAAGATATATTTGCTGGGTATAGAATTCTAAGTTGTTGTTGTTTTTTCACCAGTACTTTAAAGATGTTGCTCCACTGTCTCCTTACTTGCATTGCTTCTGACAAGAAATTGGATGCATACTTTCTTTGTTCCTTCGTGTCTTTTTTCTCTTTATTACTGGTATTGAGCAATTTAGTTACAATTTACCGTAGTATAGTTTACTTCATGTTTCTTGTGCTTAGTGTTTGTTGAGCTTCTTGGATCTGTGCATTTAACATTTCATCAAATTTTGGGGAAATATCAGCTGTTATTTTAAAAAATATTATTTATTTCTCTCCTTCTCTCCTCTCCCTCAGAGACTTCGGCTGCACCTATATTAGGCCACAGGAAGTTATCTAACAGCTTCCTGATGCTTTGTTTTAGCCTTTTATTTTTCTCTCTGTGTTTAATTCTGGGTAGTTTTTATTGCTATATCTTCAAATTCACTAGTTTTCCTTCTGCAAAGACTAATCTGCTGTTAATCCCATTGAGTATGTTTTTTCCTCCCAGAAATTGTATTTTTCATCTTTATAACTTCATGCAGGTCATTAAAAAAATCTTCCATGTGTTTATTTAACATGTTAAATCTTTCCTCTAGCTTTCTGAAGATATGGAATACAATCATAATAATTATTTTAATGACCTTGTCTGTTAATTCTATCATCTATATCAGTTCTGGGTCAGTTTGAATGATTAATTTTTTTTCTCCTTATGAGTTGTAGTCTCTTGTTTTGTATGCTTGGAAACTTTTGAGTGGATGTCATATGTTGTGAATTTTACCTTCTGTGAGCTGGATATTTTTGTATTCCTATAAAAATTTTTTGGCTTTGTTCTGGTTAGGTTACTTGGGAACAGTTTGATTATCTCTGGTTGTGCTTTCAAGATTTATTAGGTAGGATCAGAACAGTGTTTGGTCAAGGGCTAGTTATAACCCCCTACTGAGGCAATCTCTTGTCAGTACTCTATTCGGTGCCTCATAAATCATGAGGTTTTCCAGTCTGGCTGGTGTGAACAGGCACTACTTGCAACCCTGTGTGAGTACTGGGCATTGTTGCCTATAATCCTTTTGGGTTGCTGTTTCCCAGCCTTGAGTTATTTCCTCATATGCACATATGTATGTGCTGATCAGTACTCAGACGAACAGTCAAAGTGAACTCTACAGATCTTCAGAGTTTTCTCTCTGTGCAACTCTCTCCTCTCTGATACTCTGCTCCACAAATTCTAGCTGCCTTAGTCTCTCTCACTGTTGAAAAGCTCTGTCTTTGTCTACTGGGCTCTGCCTGGGCTTCCCCCACTGCTCATCCTGGGACTGGAAAGTCTCTCAAGACAGAAAACTGGCAAATTGCAGGGCTCATCACCTCATTTTTTTCTTCATATTTCAGGGAACATTGTCTTTCCTTGCTTGATGTCCACTGTCTTGAAAACCACTGTTTCACACATTTTGTCCTTTTCTCCCCACATAGATATCTTTTTCCCACTTTTTTTTTTTTTTTTTTTTTAGACGGAGTCTTGTTCTGTCACCCAGCTGGAGTGCAGTGGCACGATCTCGGCTCACTGCAACCTCTGCTTCCCGGGTTCAAGCAATTCTCCTGCCCCAGGCTCCTGAGTAGCTGGGACTACAGGTGCACACCACCAGACCCAGTTAATTTTTTTGTATTTTTAGTAGAGATGGGGTTTCACCATGTTGGCCAGGATGGTCTTGATCGCTTGACCTCATGATCCACCCGCCTCGGCCTTCCAAAGTGGTGGGATTATAGGCATAAGCCACTGCGTCTGGCCTCCCGCTAATTTAATATCAGTGTATATTACTGTGTACATACACAATTGATTAATTACCTATTGATATATATTCACATTTTTTCCAGTTTTTCTGGCTGTTACAATGTACAAACCTGTACATCTCTCTCTCTCTGGGTATTTGTACAGATATATTTGTAGGGTAAATATGGGCTGTGGAATTCTTAGATTAAGTGGTATGAGAATTTTAAATTTTGATAGATATTGCCAAATTGTCCACTCTAAATGACTATATCTTATACTCCGACCAAAAATGTCTTCTTACATCCTTATAAACATTGGTTATTATCAACACTTTAAAGACTGCCAAATTTATAGTTGAAAAATCATATTTCATTATTTTGATCTGAATACTACTGTAATTATTATTTTTTAAAAGATCTGAAATGAAGCACGTGTAAAATCACCTAAACTTGGGCCTTTATTATGAGGTAATTCTTTGATAATTTTCTTAATTCCTCCTTTGTCTATTGCCATATTTATGTTACTGTCTCTTCTTGGATCAACCTAGTTAATATTTTTTAAAAATTATAATTTCATTAATATTTTAAAATGTATTTGGATAATTCTACAAAATACTCTTTTAATGATAATTTCAATTCTTCTGTGTTCTTCTAAACAAGTATTTTAAGGTTTTTTTTTTAAGACTAGCTACGTCCTTTGCCTTCCACTTCCCAACTTCCATTTGCCCAACTGCTATCATCTCCAGGTAAATAGCAGCCCAAGTATCCTGCACCAGACAAGCAAATACATTCATAGCAGGTAACTTTTCCCTCACCTTCCGAATCTCAATATGCCCTACTCCTCTTTTTAAAACTCAGTTCTTCCTCTCCCAAACCCTGTTTTATAGAAATAATGTAGGTATAGGCTGGGCGCGGTGGCTCACGCCTGTAATCCCAGCACTCTGGGAGGCCGAGGCGGGCGGATCACGAGGTCAGGAGATCGAGACCATCCTGGCTAACATGGTGAAACCCCGTCTCTACTAAAGAATACAAAAAATTAGCCGGGCATGGTGGTGGGCGCCTGTAGTCCCAGCTACTCGGGAGGCTAAGGCAGGAGAATGGCATGAACCTGGGAGGCGGAGCTTGCAGTGAGCCGAGATTGCACCACTGCACTCCAGCCTGGGCGACAGAATGAGACTCCGTCTCAAAAAAAAAAAATAAATAAAAGAAATAATGTAGGTATAAAAAGTACTAAATGACAATTAAATATAAAGCAGATATACAGCTGCTATGAAAGATACACATGCAGTGAAATACAAATCCCTGACTTTAAAGAGGTCCCCGCAATCTAGTTTTTTTGTTTTTTTTTTCTAGTTTTAAAAAGAAATTGGCTGGGCATGGTGAGTCAGTCCTGGAATCCCAGCACTTTAGGAGGCTGAGGCAGGTGAATCACCTGAGATCAGGAGTTCGAGACCAGCCTGACCAACATGGTGAAACCCTGTCTCTACTAAAAATATAAAGTTAGCTAGACATGGTGGTGCATGCCTGTAATCCCAGTTACTTGGGAGGCTGAGACAGGAGAATCACTTGAACCTGGGAAGCGGAGGTTGCAGTGAGCCGAGATTACGCCACTGCTGTCCAGCCTGGACAACATGAGTAAAACTCCGTCTCCAAAAAAAAAAAAAAAAAAAAAGGTTATCACTTCCCTTAGGAAGGCTTTATAGCCTAACTGTAAAGTTGTAGTCACCTCAGCCATTCCTACAATGCCTCAGCACAGACAGGTCTAGTGAACTGATGATGAAGCTAGTTATGTACCTACTGTTATGTTTTATTACAGGCTTGCTTAAGTGAGTTTCATCTGAATCAGTCTTTCCTTTCCAAGATGATCTGGTTTAAGCTTGCCTTACCTTACGGACGTGACAGGAAAAGAGGACATTCATGTATTTGTCCTTCCGTTTCAATTCATTAGCAACAGGGACAAAAGTGCCTGAGGTCTGAGGTGTATCTGGCTTCTGAAAGAGAAAGGAAACAAGACAAAATGAGTATGCTTAGCATTTTAGAAGGAAAGGCAATCTTTCAGTGTACTGCTTTATAACTACACTTATATAGTTTCACACATGCACTCTTTATCTCCTCACCCCAGATGGTAAGCTACTAAATGGTTGTTGTAACATCAAAGATCCTATACAAATTTTAAAATAGGGAATGGGAGAGAGGATAAAGTGTAGCTCTGGGAATAATTAATATAAAGGTAGTAATTAAAAAATCGTCACTGAATGATGTAAGGGAAGGTTTAAATGGTCAAAGGCCAGGTTATAGAGTGTATTTAATACATATGGATACAACACACAGAACCCTTTTAAACACGGGAGAAACATCAAATACTGTACATTTAGAAGCAATAAAATGTTTTAGTATCTCATAGAAATTATTTAGTTTCTAAAAGTGTTTTATCCTTTCTGCAAATTCTTTGGAGATATGTACTTCTCTTTTTTAGTAGAGGAAGTAGAAGTAGATTTCACTTTGTTCCCTTGGACTTACTGAAGCAAGATAGTTGCCCTCCCAGGCCCTCTGGAGCCCGAGGTCAGCCCTTTGACCCTTCAACATTTCCACGGCTGCAACCTTTGCCCTGACCTGGGGCAGGTCTGAGGCCGGAATGCTCTTGATGAGCTGGGATGCTCTCCATCTACAAGTAAATAGACAACATGTATTAGACTTTAGAAATGCAATCCCATGCATTCTCTCTCTCTTTTTTTTTTTCTTTTTTGAGTCTCCCTCCATCTCCCAGGCTGGAGTGCATGGCATGATCTCAGCTCACTGCAACCTCTGCCTCCCAGGTTCAAGTGATTCTTCTGCCTCAGCCTCCTGGGTAGCTGGGATTACAGGTGTGTGCCACCATGCCTGGTTAATTTTTGTATTTTTATAAGAGATGGGGTTTCACCATGTTGGCCAGGCTGGTCCTGAACTCCTGACCTCAAGTGATCTGCCTGCCTCGGCCTCCCAAAGTGCTGGGATTACAGGCATGAGCCACCACGCCTGGGCTCCATGCATTCTCAAAAATAACTGAAGCTGTCATTAAGTAGAATGAAATCAAAGCACTGGCATGCTAAAAAAAGTAAAATGCCTCCAAAATACACACAGAAGTTGCTAAAATACATATCATTTTATGTAGACAGATCTTTCCTAAAACTTGCTTTGTTGTTTGTGTGTTTTGAAAGCAACTAGAACTTAGTGATACATGGGCTCTCATAATATTTATATTTAGGGCATAGAAAATTGGATTCATCATTCATTCATTCAACGAAGGTTTTCTAGGTGCCTGCTAAACTCCCAGTGCTGTTGTAGGCAGTGGGGGCACAGTAATAAGCAAAACAAAGGTCCTTTCTGCTAGCTGCTTGTCTTCTGGAGAGAAGTGACAGATAGCAAATATATGAGTAGACATATAGTATGTAGGATGGTGAAGGTAAGGCAAGGAGGACCGGGAGTGTGGAAGATGGAAGGAATGCAGAGTGGGTGTGGTTTATATAGGGTGGTTTATATAGGGTGGTCTGGGCAGGCACCACTGATAAGGATAGATGAGCAGAGACCTACAGGCCGTGAGGGAGCTGGTCATACGGAGACCTGCACCAGAGTGTTCTAGGAAGAGAAGAGAACACAGCAAGTGCAAAGGCTCCGGGATGTGAGCTTGCTTGGTGCGTCAGAGGAGCAGTGTAAGGAGCTGGGAGAGTCAGGGTCAGAATCCACAAAGCCATGAGACCATGATGAGGACTTTGGCCTTTCCTCTGAATGAGATGAGAAGCCATCGGAAGGTTTGGAACAAAGATGGGACATGACCTGACTCATGCTTTAAAAGGGTCATTGTGGTTGCTATAGGCTGGGAACAGGAAGACCTGTTAGATGGCTATTTCCGAAACACACATGCTAGAGTAAGGTGGCTTGGATCAGGGAGGTGGAGGTGGAGGTGGAGGTAAGTGTTGGTTCTGCATATTTCTGAAGGAAGAACAAACAGAATTTGACAATGGATTAGATGTGGGGGCCAGAGAGGATTTAAGGATGACTCCAAAATTTTTTGGCTAAGCAACTGAAAGCTTAAACCAAAAATAACCTGTTCCTGATTGGGAAAAAACAGGTACAAGTTCTCTTATGCGCTTGGCGGCACCCTAGCCCTGCACGATGCTTATATCCTCTCTTCTGCCACAGGAGCTTGAAGTACGGAGGTTGGAAGCAAACAGAGAACTTCCTTTTGATCAGACGAATAATCAAGGCCGGCTGTTCTCAAACTTGTTTCCATAGAATGAGATTTAACTAAAATGGAAAATTCCCACTGAAATAACCAAATAAATATAAAAATAAGGAAACATTTATAACAACACCAGAAAATGGGAATGTCAATAAAGTAGAAAGTGTAATGACTTTCTGGAAGACACAAAGCAGATGGGATCCAGCTGATGGGGAAGCGGCTCACTCAGGGCAGTGCACTCTACTCAGTGGAAGGAGAAAACCCCTCAGAGGGATAGATGAGAATCCTGAAGCCTGAAGTGGCAGGGACTGGTAGCAAGGGCAGGAGATGAAGGATTTTAAGGTGAAAGCTGTGCCTGTTCCCTGCACATGGAATGGCTGGCTGCAGTGAGGCAGGCCACATGTTGGTCAGAGATAGTAGGTTGCCAAAGCAACAACCATGAAGAAGTCATGGCTCAGTAGAATAGTGGAATCCTTTCTTTACTTCCTATGGACAACCAACACTCCAACAAGACAGACTGTCCTAAGATCATTCCAGAAGAGACTAAAAGAGTGACAGACTTAGAGCAGTTGGTGGTCAAAGTCAAGGACGCTGTGACAGGTGGGTCTTACAATACTCAGTGGCTTCCTAAGCAACTTCTCGAATCAGCCCTTGATCTCCAAATTTCATGACTGGTGGAGAGACATCTTTGCTCTGTCTACTGGTCTGTTTCCAGTCTACAAACCTGGTCAGCCTGTCCTGTCTTCACTGCCCACAGTGGCTCAGGACAAGGTCTGTCCCTGACTGACTCCAAAGGCCACAGAAGCACACTGGGGGATTCAGGACCTGACCTATACAACCATGGAGAAAGCCACCCATGCTTCTCATCCTAATCAAGCAAACTGCTGTCTATAAATACGTGTAGCCAACAACAGCTGCAGCCATAAAAATCACCAGCCTCAATGACATGAAAAGGGGACAAAGCCAGGCATGGAGAAAGCTCAATTAAAAAGAATTACTGTGAAGAACAGGAGTGAACTGAAACATGATTAGATGCACATTGAGATTTTAGAAAAACAAACATAAGAATGTTACAATCACAGTAGAATTCTTTAATACATCTCTCTCTGTATTCCACAGATCAAAAAATTCCTGATAGTGCCTAGATCAGGGGTTGGCAAACTATAGCCTGTGCCAAATCTGGCCAATGGTCTGTCTTGGTACTGCCCACAAGCTAAGAATAGTTTTTACATTTTTACATGTTTACCAAAACCAAAACAAAGAAGAATATGTGACAGAGACCATCTGTAGCCTACAAAGCCTAAAATACTTAATATCTGGCTCTTTCAGAAAAAGTTTGCAGAACCCTGGACTAGATGGACACAACTGGCAAGATTCAGTGTGTGTGCGCGTGCGAGTGTGCTTGTGTGCACGCACGTGTGCGTATACAGAACAAATGTAGCAGACCTGTTAGTTTCAAATGCCATTGATTATAAGGCCTGGGAAGGCTGGGACTGTCTTTCACATCTTTCTTGTTTGTCACCATATCCCTGAAACCTAGGTCAGTGCCTGCAACACAGCAGACATTCAGTAAGTATTTGCTGAATGAGTACATTGAATTTTGTACAAAACAATCAATTCTAGACCACAAGTAAAACCTCAAAATCTAAATAGAAGACTGTATAGGCTGTAGTGCAATCTAATCAAAATCAATAACAATCTCCTGCAGCTCTTAAAATCTTACACAGATCTTTATTGGTATGGACAGATCTTCAAGACTTATTTTTGAGTAAAGTCATATAGCCATACATATAATCTTATCTGTGTAAAAAAGGGGAAAAAAATGCTCAAATCATATGTGACTACGTAAAAAGCCTGCCAAGATTGAAAACTAATTATTTATAGTACTATATCTGAGAACTGAAGGTTGAGGTACTTTTGTTTTCAATAATTCTGTATTTTTTCTTCTTATGAGCAATTATTTCTTTTTTTAAAAAAGCATATGAGATATATATTAAAGAGTTTTCTTCCATGCATTTTTCTTTATCTTTTGATACCTTCCATCAATTATATTTCAAGCAAAATCTAAAGAAGATAACATCTGATTTAGCACAGAATTATACATTAGTTCTTGTACATTCAGCATATCAATTAGTTCAAAGTGTTCTTTATGGAGTATCATGATAAAATGACTATATTTGAGAAGAAGTAGCTTAGTTTATGTGACTAGATGGCTGTATCTAAGACAGAACTAAATATATCTGGTGTATACTGGCAATAAATAAGCTCAAAAAGCAAGGAGAAAGGACTTGGAATAACTACACACTCAGATCCAGGGCAGGTTATAAAAAAATAAAGACCAGTTGGAAAGGTACCAAATTTTACTTGGGTTTTTATTTATTTAAAAGACAGCTCGCTCTAAAAACAGTTATTTTCCCCTTTGGCTGCACTTTAAAATCACGTGGGAAACTTTAAAAAAGGACCTCTGCCTGGGCCCCACCCCTCCAGCGCCATTAAACAGGACTCTCTGGTGGTAGGACCTGGGTGCTGGCATATTTCCTAAACTCCTTGTTATTCTAAGGTGCAGCAGAATTGAGAACCACTGCTTTGAAAGGATTAATGGATTTTCTAGTTTGAGTTATGCGTGGTGGTTTTATTTTTAGCTAATAAAAGTAAGTAGAAACAGCATGCTAGTAGCTTATCTTAACTATGGCTTGTGTCCAGGGGTTGTGGCACATTGCTGTCAGCTGCTACAGGAAAAACAAATTGGCAGTTCCTTTATTTTGAGGGGTAAGCAGATGCTCTTTGAAAGCCAAATCTACAAAACTGAAAACATAAGGTAAAGGTAAATGTCATAACAGCAAATAGCTGAGTCAATATCACGGTCTCAGACTTGTGACTTTGCATAGTATTAACTGTGCCACCATAAATGGATGCAGCACACAGCAGCACGTTCTTACCTATTGAAAATCGTCTGCAGGGCCTCCTCAAAACGGCGAAGAACTTTAGGAGGGCTTGGCCACTTCACGTGCTTCCCGTAGTCTCGCATGGTCTTGACGCCATGGAAGCGTCTGGCCACCTCGTGGATGTACGACTTCACTTTGTAGCGCCGGTAGTACCTGATTATTGTCAGAGCTGCCTTGGTTCTTTTGTACCGCATGCGGGCCAGGGTGCCCCGCCACACCTTCACAATAGAGAAAGAAAAAGGAAAACGTTATTGACCGGCTGAGTTGTGGATGGCTTTGATATTATAGCAGCTCCTCTACTTACAAACTCAACCAGGCAACTTGCAAGTGTGCACAAAAATCAGCCAGAGCCAAAGCATGTCAGTTCCACCTGCCACCAACAGATGGCGTGGGGAGTCACATCAGTCATTTTGTTTCAGCTGTCTAGCTGCTCATTATTCTACACTGAAGTGTGTGCTGAGCCTGAAGCTGAGTCCTGTTTTAACTCTACTGTCATGAAAAGAAGAAAGCCAAAATGCAAATATCTTTGGATAAATATTTTAGGAATGCTGAAGGGAAGCGAGATGAGTCAGAACATCATGCCATAAGCATCTATAGTTTTCTTGTGAAACCTAACTTTACATAGATTATACATGCTGGCCACTGGTGTAACGCCACTTTGGATTTACAAACTGATTTACACACAGCCTGTGCACCTCCTCTCCCGCGGCACTATGTAAACTCTCAAAGATTCATGGGTAAAGGGTAAATCAGATTACGTACTAATATCCTGTGAATCTTTGTTAAAAGTTTTTCAGTGCTCACAAATCAATGACACTATATAAACGCCTCAATGCCAACTTCATCCAAGCATGGTAAAGTCAGAGATACTTATTTTTTTTCAGGATCCTTTGTCAGGTACCCATATTTCTCAACTTCTCAAGCAAAAACAAATTTGGTGCGATCTTCAATTAATCACTGGCTCTTCCCCTGTATATCCTCTCCACCACCACTTTACTCCTTCTTCCACAATATGGAAGTGTAAACCCCTTTCTTTCCCTTTCTGCTACCAGTCTCCAAGATGCCAAACAACCCTAGTTGCTTTCTTCGATGAACTCCTTGTACACATCGCCATCATGCCCCAGTATATTTATTGCTGCTACTTAAATAACTGTTCCAACTCTTAGGTTGATTATATTATTTCCCTCCCTAGTCCCTGGCCTTTCAGAGCCAAGATTTTCAACCTCTAGTTCAAAGCCCACAGTATGGGTTCTGCAGACTCCCTCAGGTTTCTTTTATTTCTTCTTAAAAATCCCCGTCTGTGCCCACCAATTCCTCTAAGCAAAACTTGCACAATGCCTCATTTGACTCAGTTGTTTTAGGTTTGTCCTCATGCGGACTCCTAAAGTACACCATGTGCTTGCAGTGTTCTCCCTTTTCAGCCTGCTGCACGATACAGATTTGTTTGCACACTACGTGCAAGAAGATCATCAAGGGACCCCAATGGGTCAAGAAAAACCATAACATTTAAGGGAAACATGACACATGGGCAATTTGTGATGGTAACCTAGAGTTCACATATAAACAGAATGTTTAAAGACAATGAGGCAATAAAAACTAACTCGTCATCTCATGTGGCGTCAGTACAGCAGCCCTTTTTAGTCAAAATGGCTCCCTTCCTTGTAGCCAAATCCACTGTACAGATGGCTTTGTTACGCCTCCACCCAAGTGCAAAAATAAAGCTCCCTTCTTTAGCATCTTGAAAAGCCAAAAAAATACAATTACAGGGTGAAAGTATGTGATTTAATTTCTTAGACAAAACACATTTTTAAGTTTCCTACTGTTTGTTGCTTTTTTCTTTTATTGGGAGGAATTTAAGACTCCTTGGAGCCACATCTATAAAGGATATCAATCTTTAATTTTCAAGAAGTGTTTTATAGAGCTTCCTATTAGAATGTTTTTGGTTAGCTTCTTTAGCAAATTGAAAAAAACATTTTATAAGTAAGTACTTTTTAAGCAGTAATTTATTTCTTTTACAAGAAACCTACTTTATAAAGGGGGTCTTTTCTGACAACCTTTATAATTTCATCTGTGTTGGCTTATTTAGGTTTTTAATAGTTGAAAAAATGAAATAGCACAAAAATGCATATAAAAAAACACACTAGCCCTTCTCTTCATCCTTCTAAACCCACCTCCCTACCTCCAGTCTCAATCAACACAAACTATTTTAGATGCTTCTTCCATATTTACTGTCATATTTATAGATAATATGGCTAGGTGTGGTGGCTCATGCCTATAATCCTAGCACTTTAGGAGGTTGAGGTGGGAGGATCACTTGAGCCTAAGAGTTTGAAACCAGCATGGGCAACATGGTGAAACCCTGTCTCCATCAAAAATACAGAAAAATTAGCCATGTGTGGTGGTGTGCACCTGTAGTCCCAGCTTCTCAGGAGGCTTAGGTGGGAGGATTGCCTGAGTTCAGGAAGTTGAGGCTATAGTGAGCCAAGATTGCACCACTGTACTCCAGCCTGGGCGATGGAAGTGAGACCCTGTCCCAAAAAAAAAAAATACCCCCCCAAAAAACCACGTATATTATGATTTCTTGGTTGATCCTTTTAGACACTATCCAAATCACACAAGATGGAGATTTAGCTCTCTCACCATCATTCTTTCTTCTCATCTACCTTCCCAATCATAGTTAAAGTATGTTTACATTACCTATATTAACTCTATTATATATTGAATAATTTACATATGATATGTATATGTTATATTGCATTGTGTTATATATTACACATATATTTGGTTCATTGCTGTGCTAAGAAGTATGAATGTTCTTTCTTTATTGTGTGTATTTGTTTTTACCTATCATTAGTAACTGCCTTGTTTTTAAAATTTGCTTTATTTACTATAAACCTACTGCTAATTTTTGCCAAATGCTCTTACAGACCCATCAAATGATTAGCAGTAATTTTTTTACTTGTCAGGCACATTAACTGAATCTTTTTCTTTGATATTACCTGTATCCACTGAACAGTTCCCTATCCTGGGGCTTTTTAAACTACTCTTCCACGTTGGATCCGAGTTCTCCCCCACCGCCCCACGCCCAGTAGCTTTCAAGAAAAGGTGTATGGCCAATACATTTCTATTCTCTTAAGTTTCCTTGAAAGTAAAAAGCAGTTGTCTAAAATGTTGTCTGTTTCTTGAGTTATAAAAGCAGAGTAGTTGAGAACAAGCTCTGGACTCAGACTGCCTGTTTTCAAATCCTGGTCCCACTCTTAAGAGCTGCGCAGCGGGACGCGGTGGCTCACGCCTGTAATCTCGGCACTTTGGGAGGCCAAGGTGGGCGGATCACAAGGTCAGGAGTTCCAGACCAGCTTGGCCAACATGGTGAAACCCCGTCTCTACTAAAAAATACAAAAAATTAGGCAAGTGTGGTGGTGCGCGTCTGTAATTCCAGCTACTCGTGAGGCTGAGGCAGGAGAATCGCCTGAACCTGGGAAGGGGAGGCTGCAGTGAGCTGAGATCGCACCATTGCATTGCAGCCTGGGTGACAGAGCGAGACTGTCTCAAAAGAAAAAAAAAAAGAGCTGTGTAAACTTGGGCAAGCTTCCTTCTGTGCCTTAGTTTTCTTAGCTGTAAAATGGGGATAATAATGGTGCTTACCTTGTAGTGTTATGAGGATTAATGGAGTTAATACATACGCAACACTTAAAATAGTGCCTGGTGAGTAGTCAGTGCCCAATAAGCATAGGCTGTTATGACTATTTGAAAGTCTGTTCTTTATTTACCTTTAGTGGGTCGTGCTACTTTCTTTTCTTTTTTTTTTTTTTTTTGAGACAGGGTCTCACTCTGTCACCCAGGCGAGAGTGCAGTGGCGTGATCTTGGCTCACTGCAAGCTCCACCTCCTGGGTTCACGCCATTCTCCTGCCTCAGCCTCCTGAGTAGCTGGGACTATAGGCACCTGCCACCACGCCTGGCTAACTTTTTGTATTTTTAGTAGAGACGGGGTTTCACTGTGTTAGCCAGGATGGTCTCGATCTCCTGACCTTGTGATCCACCCGCCTTGGCTTCCCAAAGTGCTGGGATTACAGGTGTGAGCCACCGCACCCGGCAATTGTGCTACTTTCTTTTTTTGTATGTGCAGATTTTTTGCCTCCGTCACTTGTCAGTGTGACCTGAAAACTGTTTAGTAAATGTTAAGTCATTCTTTCTCAGTCTGCCATTTGCCCCCAAACAGTGCCTGATTTGATATTGTTTTATTCTTCCACCTATAACATGGACTGGTGTCCATGGTTTATACACCTTATCCAGTCATTCAGTTGCCTAAGAGGAGAGGAGAGCATGCAGGGGCTTTAAGTAACTGCTTTACTTCATTCTATGAAATAAATGCATCAGAGGTTTGCTTCAAATCTGGGTTGTATCATAGGCTTTTGGCTTGTTATGGGGCCAAGTGTTCCTTTTTCATGTCTAGTGGAGCTTTTCCTTGGTTCGGCTGTAATAATCATTGCTTGCAGAGGCTTTCCTCATTTTACACCCACTTATTGATATATCAGAGGCAGGAAAGATGGCAAACCTTGCCTACTCTTCTTGCTTGTGAAAGAAGTCTTCTTGATGAAAGAAAGGGTCCCCGATGAAGGTGTGGGGTATTCTAAGCCCTCCCTCTGGTACACCTTTATACTGAATGTAGCACCTTCAAAAGTAGTACGACTTTTCAGAATTTCCTCCTTGTACTTCTCCATGCTCCATTCTTCTCTTTGAAGAACATATCGATTTTTTAAAAGCATCTTCTTTCAATTTGGCCCAAGTTTTCTTTTTTTGGATGACACTTCTCAAAGTTGATGGTATGGAGTTGGAATCTTTTCTTGGTTTCGGGGTTGATGGCATGTTCTTTGTTATTTTTACATTTGATATTTGTTAATCTTACACAATTCTGTGGGAAGGAAATTTTGTGAACCTGCAGTTATATCACCAACTTTATGAGAAGTCCCTTAGGCTCTATTTTTTAACATCAAAGGACAAGCATTGAAAACTACAGAGGAAAATGATTTTACAGGAAAAAATGATTCATGCATTTTCCCTTATAATCTAAGCATATTTGGTTTAAATAGATACGCTTCCATAAAAGTTTGTGTGTATGTGTGGCAGGAGGGTTGTTGGTTGGTTTTCCCACCAAGGGTCTGCAGCTTTGGAATTTAAGGTATAAGACAGATTTTCCTGTTTTCTCTCTTTGTTTAAAGCAGCTTAAACTGTTGAGTTTGTTGAGTCATACAAAGCTTACGTTTGTAAAGGACTGTGCCTGATGACAAAGCCTCAGAAAGCAGAAAATTAAATGTTATATTAAAAAACAAGTGCTTAATACTTATTTGCATATGGCTGAGAGGTTCAACAAACAAGGGAGCCAAAAGGGGCCCTGCTTCAAACAATATTAACACAAAAGTAGAACCAGCCAGACGTTACATGCTTTAGGATATGAGGCCAGAGGAGTGGGAGCTGAAGGACACACACTGGGACCTGCGAGGTGAAGTCAGCAGAGGATATCGGGTAGAGAGCATACTGACAGAGGAGCAAGCAAGGGACCATTTCTCAGAAAAGAGGACAGCGGCAAACAGAGAGGCCTGCTGACAGGGAACGACTCAGGTATAAACAGAGAATGCTGGCATGGCGTTGCACACATCCTTGCAACTGAGGTGCCAATTCTCAACACAGCAGCCAGAGTGATCCTTTTAAGACCAAAGCCAGATCATGTCACTTCTCTGCTCAAACTCTGCAGTGGCTATTTCCCTGAGCAGAAAAGCCAAAGTCCTTCCTATAGCGTTCATGGCCCTATGTGGTCTGACACTGTCTCCTCCCCACCTCATCTCCCGCTGTCCTCTCCCCTGCTCGCTCCCGCCATACTGGCCTCCCTGCTGGACCCTACACAGGCCAGGCATCCTCTTGTCTCAGGGCTTTTGTGCTAGTTGCTCCCTCTGCCTGGAATAATCTGCTCCCAGCCATCAGATGGCTGACTTCCTCATTCTCTGCATCTTTGCTCAGTAGTCACCTTCCCAAGGGAGGCCAGCCCTGGCCTTCTGATTTAAAAGTTCAACTTGTCTCCACCTCCCCGCCCCCCGACCCGCCCAGCACTCTTAATTCTCCTTACCATGCTCTGCTTTTTCTTTTTCCCCCAGCACTCAATCCCTTCCAACATATCACGTAACTTACATATTATGGTGTTATTTATGCTCTCTCCCACTAGAATTTAAGGGCCACTAGGCTGGGGATCTTTGTCTGTTTTGCTCACTGATGTATTTCCACTGTTTGGAACAATGCCAAGGACCTAGTTAATAATATTTGCCGAATGAATGAATGTATTCTACTTCATCTTCCAAGTCTGATATTGAATCTTTCACTTCGGCTGTCACATTTTCCATCTTCAAGAGCTCATCCTTGCTCTTGTAATATTTCTTTTAAAAGCATGTTGCTCTTACTTTATGAATGCAACATCTCATCCCACCTCTG
Source organism: Homo sapiens (assembly GCF_000001405.40). Classification (NCBI taxonomy): domain Eukaryota; kingdom Metazoa; phylum Chordata; class Mammalia; order Primates; family Hominidae; genus Homo; species Homo sapiens. Next base: position 32,665,602 of record NC_000017.11, read on the forward strand.
AGTATATAACTTATGGTTTTATTTTTTGCACTGTTCCTTGTATTGCACCTGTTACCTCTAAATCCCCAGTTTTCCTGTTTGTCTTAGTCTTGGCCTTGCCCAAGGCCTTCCTCAAATGTATAGGGATCGTTGGCCCTCCACTCTCACTGAAGGGTGAACAGCCCTTAGAAGCTCTGTATAAGTGCTTCATGGATGGGGAACTTCACTACAGGGTGATTAGGTTGGGAGTAGCCATCTGTGGGGAACCCCAGAATGTCAGGATCATGAAGTGTTTTCTCTTTCCTGCCAGAATCCTCAGAGTGAAGGGGTCTGGGGTGGGTGGTGGGGGGAATCTTACTCCTCAGTGTCTATACTTTCATTTAATATCCTTGGTCTCAATATGGTACCTGACCCCTCTCCTCCACTAAGCCTGGTGTCCCTAAGTTCAGAACTTCTCTAAATCCTGTTCAATTTACTCAGACAAGAAACTTCTTGCCATCTATCAGAATGAGGCTGAGGTAGTCCCTTAGCTTTGTGTGGTCTGGGGAGAGACCTAGTGTCTAATTCCTCTTTATATAGATTTTAACCAACCTCCTCTGTCAGGGCCACCCCTCATCCCTACCTACAGAGGCACCCAGTCCTTCCCAGTCTAGAATCTTTCTACAGCCCTACAGTCAGAACAAGGCAAACTGTCTTGCCTGTTTGCCTTGTTCTCTGCAGGCACTTGCCTGGGAGTAACGACTCATTTACTTACTTCTAAACTTATGCTGACACCTCTTGTCTTCTGTTGTTTCCACTATGGTACTATTTGTCCTCGTAGGTTTATCCAATTTTTATTCCTTTTCTGCTCTTTTCGAGATGTTAAGAGAGTGGATATAAACACAACTGTCATGTTTAACCAGATGTTTCATAATGCCATCTTAATTCTACCATTTTTTCTTCTGCTGCATACTTCTTCAGCAGTCAGACGTTTCAAAGCAACATCTAACAGTCATTAAACTTTGCAAAAAAAAGTAGGATTCTAGGTTGCACTCTATTAAGAAGTAGGGCAATTATGTATCTTCCGTTTCGTCTCAGAATCAAACACAGGTCAGCTTTCCTTTTTTTCTCCTAGTTCCCCATGTTTTGTTTTGTTTTGTTTTTCAAAATTCTAGTCATTATGGGCATTGGGGGCTCTTTCTGTCTTGTTGTCAATATAAATCACTACTTCACAGCTCCCTGGTACTCTGAATTAGACATTCTCTTGGTTTCCACAAACAGAATTGTTCAACATTTCAGCTCCTAGCTTCTCAGGTCCTCCATGCCTAAGGACAATTTTTAGAAGCATCTTTCTTCCATTTCTATCTTTAAGTTCCCCCTATGGGGATCTTCGAGATGTCCATATTGAGATGAGTCTACATAATGGGGAACTTTGAGAGTCCACATTGAGATAAGTCTACATAACCCATATGGTTATTTGGGCAGAGTTCTGACACCTTACGGTTGTTAAAAAGTTGTGGTAGAGGAGGGTTTATTTATGTAAATAATGAACTCTCGTTGAATGAACTCTGAGCAAATTATAAATATACAAAATTTGGTATGGACACATTCCATCAAATTTAGAATATGACAGTCACATTCAATTTAGGATATTTCATGATTGACTGATGAAGGGTGTGGCTCTAAGAGCTATTTTAAAGGAAGACTCAGAGACAGAAAAATCTTTCTGAATTATTCCTCTTCCATTTCTATAAGGGACAAAATGAATAAAGACTTGATATGCTATTTTTAAAATGCTGGTGCTCATGTTTTTACCGGACTAGCAGGTTAATATGTAACAAGAAGAAAATATAATCCAGTGAATATAATTTATAGGCTATTAGCTTAATTCCTGACACAAAATTCCTTCGTTTTACAGATAAATTAATAATATTTTGGAAGACATACGATAAATCTAAGACACAAAAGAACCAAATCTTTAGTCAATAAACAAATGTAAAAATCATTAAAATGAAGAGCCACACACACACAAAAAGTACATGTGAGTCTGATCATTACAAGCCGTCCTGATGAACTTAACTATTGCAGGTGGTGGTATTGGTATGTGCTTGGTGGAACATAATTTAGAAGTGACCACCCCTGAGCTGTCTTACCTTGGTCTGGGAGACTAACTTGCCGAGTTAATTGACCCATGAACCTTCGTTTAGGACATGCCCATTTTATATATATGGCCTTGTCCAGATTCATTAACCTTGCAATTCTTTAGTGCACACAATTGCTGCCTATTAATGATTTCTTCACTATGATGATGACATGATCTGACAGCCTCCTTATAACTGTAACTTCAAGAAGTAATTGAACCTTTTGGTCAATTACTATCAGAAGAACAGCCCAATATCAACACTATTGAAACCCAAATCGCAATTATTTTGCAGACAAATGAAAATAAAATTACTCCAGATAATAGGTTAAGTAACTCTGACAGATTTTCCAGGATTCAATCTTGTAAACACTCTGTGGAGCTGTAGGAAAGTGACTGCTTTCTTTTGTTTGGTTTTGTTTTCTTAAAAGAGGAGGTAAAAACTTGGTAATTCATCTTGAAAATCTCTCAAGACTATCTAAACTGCATTTTGATGTAGAACTACAGAGTTTTGGTCAAGAGTTTGAGCATCTGAGCAGATCCAAAGTGGTGTCTGGCAATATTTCAGCTTTTTCAGGAGACTCCTACAGCCTCTACCATCTCCAAGTCTACCTCTGTCTGATAGCGAGGTGGCTTACCACCTGGTAAAGAGTACAGGTCAGGCTTTGACCTTGTGTGACAAATGCCCAGCATTCAAAACACACAGTACTCCATCAAAATAATAACACAGTATACATTTGCTTTAGTGGTTTGCAAATAATCTCAATTTTGACTAGTTCTCTAGATTGCCAAAATAGCTGATATTTGAAAGATCCAGCCAAAGGTATACCCTAACATTGATTCCACAGAGTTCTAAAAGTACATTCTGGAACACAGGGCTTTTGGAATGCTCCCCGAAAAAAGGGTTCCAATTTCAATAAGTTTGGAAAAGCTACATACTGCAATTCCCTTTATGGAGATTCATGGTGTACATTAGCACATTAGAAGCTCTGAGAATTTCTTTTTCTTTTTTTTTTTTTTGAGATGGAGTCTCACTCTGTCGCCCAGGCTGGAGTGCAGTGGCGTGATCTCGGCTCACTGCAAGCTCCGCCTCCCAGGTTCATGCCATTCTCTTGCCTCAGCCTCCTGAGTAGCTGGGACTACAGGTGCCCGCCACCACGCCTGGCTAATTTTTTGTATTTTTTAGTAGAGACGCGGTTTTACCATGTTAGCCAGGATGGTCTTGATCTCCTGACCTCATGATCCACCCGCTTTGGCCTCCCAAAGTGCTGGGATTACAGGTGTGAGCCACTGCGCCTGGCCGAAGCTCTGAGAATTTTTATGTAAATCTCCTTTAACAGAATTGAAAAAAACCATAACTGACTACAGATTTCTTTGTACACAGAGTACTAATGTTGAAGGGGATCAGGATATGCCACCCAAAATTATGCCACTTTGGCATAAAGATTATTTTGAGCTAAAGACAACTAAGAAATAGTAGATGTGGGAAAAGCTCTCTGCCCTTCCCCTATCTCCCTGAAAAGGATATATTTCCCATGAGAAAAGTGCCCTCTCCTTGTACTAGGAAGATAAGAACACTCTCACCACCAGAGAGGAAGAGTCCACATCGAGATGAGTCTACATAAATAGGTCTTACTAAAATAGCCTTTATCTTCCATTACTTCCTTTCATGCAGTTCCTAGTCACTTTCTCACAATTTACTGGCCCTAGAATCCCAGATCCCCTATCTCATGTCTAGTCACATTTTATTGCCTTTCTTTAAAATGGTATATAAGACCCTGAGTCTACCACTTCTTTAGGTTTTTCACTTCTTTTCTGTGAAGTTCCTGTGCATATAAAATCCTTACATCAGTAAAAATTGTATGCCTTTTCTCCAGTTAATCTGTCTTTTGTGAGTTAAATTTGCAGGCCCCAGGCACTGAATCTAAGCAGGTAGAGGAAGTGTTTTCCTGCTCTACAATTTCCAAAGAACCAGGTTCTATCCTTTTGGGAAGCAATGAAATCAAACAAAATAAAAGAATTATTCAAATAAGATAAAGAGTAATTATACCAGAAAACCTAGACTATGAAAGCTATTGTGTATAAAGCTTACTTTAATTAAAAGTCAAAGCAGTAACAGAAATGGGGTATTTTATACACATTTTATTTAGCTAATAAGAGGCATACACATTTGTCAGGAAAGACATTTTCTTTTTCTTTTTTCTTTTTTTTCAGGTGGAGTCTCACTCTATCACCCAGGCTGGAGTTGCGGTGGTGTGATCTTGGCTCACTGCAATCTCCATTTCCTGGTTTTAGCGATTCTCTTGTCTCAACCTCCTGAGTAGCCCAGGGTTACAGGTGTGCACCATCATGCCTGGCTAAGTTTTGTCTTTTTTTAGTAGAGACGGGGTTTTGCCATGTAAGCCAGGCTGGTTTCGAATTCCTGACCTCAAGCAATCTGCCCTCATTGGCCTCCCAAAGTGCTGTGATTACAGGTGTGAGCCACTGTGCCTGGCTGAAAGACATTTTCCTAAACCAAGTAAACTCATAGAAAATATCATTGTATCAGTGTGAATTTTCTGATTTTGATAATTATACTATAGTTACAGAAGAGAATGCTCTTGTTTTTAGAAAATATACATGAAATATTTAGGGGTAAAGGGTATTACATGTGCAAATTACTCTCAAATAGTTCCAAAACCAATTGTATATATACACACAAATAGATCTATATACACAGATATACACATATACAGATTGAGAGAGAGAGAGAGAACCAAAGAACAAGCATTGATAGAGGCAGGAGACAGAGAAATCCTAGGCAGACATAGGTGGGTCCCTGGTGCGACCTTACCTTCAAGCCAAAAACAGCTTAAAGCCTGAAGTCCAAGCTACAAGTCAAATCCATGGATGAGACTGAGAACCTGTCTTCCCATTTGGTGTGCTTTCCTTTGATTGATCCCCACCTTTCACCTATTTTACATATACCCTTCCCTGTTTTTACACCATGTCCACTTTCGACTGGTGCCTTTGTTTTAACCATGTTTGCATACTCACAAACCAATTAGCATGCACTCCCTTATCCTGTGCCTATAAAAGCCCCAGACTCAGCCACACTGGAGCGATGATCTGACCCGCCTGTCCCCTCTCTACTGAGAGCTGTTTTGTTGCTCAATAAAATGTTCTGCCTTTACCACCCTTCAATTGTCAGCATGACCTCATTCTTCTTGGATGCAGGACAAGAGCTTAGGACCAGATATTCAGAAAGGCTGTAACACTGACCCTCTGCCTGTGTCAATGGAGAGCAGCCACCCCATAGAAGAGAAGCAGTGGTGGTCCTGAGCTGGCCCAGGGCCATGCCTGTCCCGGAGCTGCAGGCCAGAGTGGGGCAAAAGGCTGATGGAGCTGCTAACACATCCCTGTTTGTTGGGCTGCAGATGGCAGAGCTAAAAGAGCTAATAAGCATATTGTAACACTCCCTTTGGGGCTCTGGAGTCATAGGCACCCCTGCCTGGGCATCACTGCATTCCCCTGGGGGTAATATGCCTGGTTTGGTCATGGACCCTGCATGGAGCTTGCTTCTATGTTGGTGCTTGGAGCGGCCAGCCAGATCCCATACTCGCTCGCCCACGTGCTCCCTCCTGCCAGGGGCTGAGTGCAGTGGGCCAAGTAGACAGGGTGCCCGGGCTGCGAGTCTAGCAAAGGGGCCAAGAAAAATCCTGTGTCAATATGATAAAGCAAATATAGTTAAAATTTTAACATTTGGGCGCTGGGGCGAAAGGCATAAGAATTCTTTATATTATTCTTGCAACTTTTCTGTAAATCTAAAATTATTTCAAAATAAAACAACAGGTATCTTTAAGGGATAGTGGAGAACAACTGCACAATGTATTTTTAACAATTTTACATAAGCAAGAGTGGTCATTATACCTTTTTTAAAAATTTGAATTTTCTTCTAAGGAGTTTGTTGTACTTGTGCTTTCTGAATATTGGTGAGTATATATAAAAATTGAAAATGATGGCAATTTTATGAGTATGTAAATTAGTCTGTGCTAATTTAAAAAACTGGAAACATGTTTAATGGATGCTAAGTTAATTCATATGTTAACCTGCACTGAGTTATATATAAAGGCTGTGCCATGTCGGGCCATATTGGAGCCTGAGGCAAAAGGAAAAAGTTCAATAATATGGATCCCGTCTTTATTTAAAAGTTTGATCTTTTGTTCACCACAGATTTGTTCCATTAATTTCAGATTTTTAAAAATATTGCATGAACATATTATCTATCCTGACCACATTTTTGGTACCGCCTTAAATTTTACATTTGAGTCCTGGCCCTGCATAAGGAAACAAAAATTACAGAACAAACATGATGTGGTATTTGGCAGATTGGAGGAAGGGAAGGGAGTGAGTGCCAGTCATGTGCTGGGCTCTGTGCCAGGGGACACATGCTATCTCATTTTAAGTTTTCCAATAGTCCCAATAGGCAGATGTTTTTAGCATTTTACAAAGGAGGATGTTAAGGTTCAAAGAGAGTGATATACTTTGGATAACACAGTAAATGATAAAACTGTATCTTAGCTCTGTCTGGCTCCAAGAATTGATCATGCCATCTCCTAAATGTATCACACTTAAAGCAGTCTAATGGTATATAAAGCAATAATGCCTATTATTTAATTTTCCCTCTGAGAGACTTGGACTTGCTATAATAATTAACAGGAAGCTTGGTTTCAAACATAATCCAAACTACTACACTACTACATTCTTCATATATACGCAGATAATTCCCAATCATAAAGGTTTTTTTTCGTTTGTTTGTTTTTTTGAGATGGAGTCTTGCTCTGTCACCCAGGCTAGAGTGCAGTGGTGTGATCTCAGCTCACTGCCACCTCCAACTCCTGGGTTCAAGCGATTCTCCTGCCTCAGCCTCTTGAGTAGCTGGGATTATAGGCATGCACCACCACACCCAGCTAATTTTAATATTTTTAGTAGAAATGGGGTTTTGCCACGTTGGCCAGGCAGGTCTCCAACTCCTGACCTCAGGTGATCCACCTGCCTCAGCCTCCCAAAGTGCTTGGATTATAGCCAATCATAAAGTGTTGAATTGAGTGTGATCTCTAATGGCATCAGCACAGTTTTCATTGTGCTGATTGTTAATAGGAGTAGGTTTATAGTATTCCAATAATAATAAAGGGCAGAGATGTGGCCACTGAGAGGAAGTGGGTTTTGTACACTGCAGCTGTTGCACTTAGTAAAAGGCAGAGAGCATGGTTTGTTGCCAAACTATATACATATTGAAAACTTTTGGCTTCGACCATACTTTAAAGAAAAAAAAGTCTCTTTATTGGTTAGTTAAGGCTTTCTTCATTAACTTCTGGTTGACCATTGTAAGGAATTACATAAACATGCTACTTTTTTTTTTTTTTTTTTTTTTTTTTTTTTTTTTTTTGAGACAGAGACTTGCTCTGTTGCCCAGGCTGGAGTGCAGTATCTTGGCTCATTGCAACCTCCACATCCCAGGTTCAAGTGATTCTTGTGCCTCAGCCTCCTGAGTAATTGGGATTACAAGCACGTGCTACCACACCTGGCTAATTTTTTGTATTTTAGTAGAAACGGGGTTTCACCGTGTTGCCCAGGCTGGTCCTGAACTCTTGAGCTCAGGCAATCTGCCTGCCTCGGCCTCCCAAAGTGCTAGGATTACAGGCATGAGCCACTGTGCCCCGCCAACATGCTACATTTTTTAATAAGAGAATGAAATCACAGTTTGGGGAAACAGTTTTGAAGGAAGAAAATATCTGATTTAAAATTTTGGCAATAAAATAAAATAGGAATTGATAGCTGAGCTAAGTCAACTTTGTGCTCATAAACAAAGGATAACTAAAAAGTATTAATGATGAACAAGGCTTCGGAAAAATGTAATACTTAAAATTTGAAGAGCTGGGCATGGAGGCTAATGCCTGTATTCCCAGCTACTTGAGAGGCTGAGGTGGGAAGATTGCTTGAGGCCAAGAGTTACTAGCCTAGGTGATATAGTGATATAGCAAAACTGGATAATTGTTTCCAGTTTCCAGATAATCTTTTGCATATAGGCCCAATGACACATTAGATGCTCATCGATAGTTCTTAATTGTTTTGGGGTAACTGGATTTCCATCCAAGTATCAGTTTTGTGTCAATGTATTAAATTGAAAATATTTTTGTATCTTTACAAAATACTGGTGTTTGGATTATTTTCCCTTCCAGTTTTTCTTGATGTATAATATATTACTGCAATGATTAGAATGGGAAACATCTATGATATTCTAGGAAGAACCAAATATGCCTATGAGATAACTGGGAAACAACTATGACTAATTCCTTAAAAGTAAGATCTGATCAAATGCCACAACAATGTCAACTTCCATGTATGAAGCTTGAATTCCTGAACTCCAAAGTGAGGCTGTTTCAACGTTCTGACGAACAGCTCCTTGACTGGCACTGTGTGGGGGTGGAGTGGAAACGGCCCTACTTTGGAGGAAGAGGCAAGCATTTCCCACCAAGTACTGGGAAATCAGGCAATTCAAACTCTATAGGCTTTGGGTTCTTCACCTGTACACTGAGGATGCAACATTAGATGATTCATAAGAGCATATACCAGCATTCTATCATAACAGCTACTGATAATGAGTAAACATTTTAAAATGTTATTGCAAAGTTTTTTTCTGTTCCAAAGTAGACATGGAACTGATAAACACTATATTTGATTTTCATCTGATGACTGGTATTACCCCAAGAGAAGGGAGAGAACACATCGTTTTACTGGTATGTGCCATGCCTTGTCCTAGACACTTGACATACATTAAGAATAGGTTTTTTTTTTAAAGTACTTATTCTTGACATTTGTTTGTACTGTGCTGCTGTATGTTTCTTACTAATAATTCACCATAAAAAGCAGAAAATATATTTGACACAAGCTTCTTTAAGTCATATATAATATTTTCTTGCTGGCAAATGCTTGGTTTTGGGAAACAGTCATTTTTCAGCCCTATGAAGTCTGCTTCTACAGAGAAACGTAATCCATGTTTCCAGTTTTTGCTAGTAGCCTGGCTCTTGTTGTAGGCATTAACCAGTGCTCTTCAATGCAGCCCTGCATCCCAAAATACATCAGTTTCCAGTGCTCACTATAACAGAGATACTGGGCGAAGATGCTTCCTCAAAGGGGATTTTAGAATGTTGCAGGGAAGGGAATAATCTGGAAAAGGCTCCCATTTACTTAGGGTAAACATCAAACATACTTCTTTTTCATTTTCCTGTCTTAGACTGTAATTGATAGAAGGGGGAATGACAGGATAAGACAATGTATATTTATTAAGGACATACTTTTTCAACAGTACAAGTTTACATAATGCAAGTTGAACATAACACAATTAACTATGAAGACTGTTACTGGTCATAACTCAATTACAAGAAGAAAAAATATATTGCTAAGGGAATACAACTGTGTTATTTGGGTGCATGGTTTATCATAACAGTGGGTATCAGAAATGATCACAGTAATGAGTAGCTCATGTTGGAATAATGTGACACAGAAATAAATGTCACTGTTATAGAGAAAAACCTAGATAAAGTAGAATGCTGGATATACTCCTGTGATGTTGAAGTTTTATATGGTCTTCATAATTAATTAATCATGTTACATTCAACTTGTACATATAACTGTAACTATCTATCACTGATAAAGTATCATACCTACCAGAAACATAATCTTGTGCTTGTATTACCTCATCTATTTCTTCCTAAATGTTTTATAACACAGTATTTGAAAATTGAGGTTTCTTAATTGAGTTATATAATAACAATCAAGTCAGAACACATTTTAAATAAATGTCAACAGGAATATGATTAATTTTTCAATCAACATCTATTACTGTTGAATCTATTATTTTAAAAATAAATTTATATCTTCTTAGTAATTTGTAATTCTTTTGGTGAACTGTGTATTTCTATCTTTTATCCATTTTCTTTGGGTTTCTATTTTATTAATTTGTATGAATTCTTCATAAATTAAGTGAACCATCCTTTTGTCACTGGTGTTTTGTTTTCAGTATGTTGATGATCTCTTGATACTGTTTATGGTATACTGCCATACAGAGGTTGTTTTTAAAAAAGTTTTATGTAGTCAAATGTACTCATTTTTCTTTTATGCCTGTGTACATTTTTATACAAAACTATACAGAATCATACAATGCCTTGCAATGTGTTTTACTTGATATATCAGAAATATTTTCCCATGTGATCAAATATCCTCCTATGATGTGATTCTAAGCATCCTTGCAGTACTCAAATATGAAATTCAGTTAACCAATCCCCTATTGTGAGATATTTCTGATGTTTTCTCTTTTTTTTGGAGTGATATATGCAGTAACATTTTAGTAGTATCCTTGTACATAAATTCAAGCACATGAATGATTCATGGCAAAGTTCTCAAAACAGAATTGCTGTTGTAATCCCTTTGTATTTTCGGCTGCCACACATTAAAGCCCTCATTTCCAAAATCTACCATATAAATAGTTTAAAAGAATTAAATAAATTGATGGGATAATGTAGCTCCGATTAAACTGCTTTAATTAGGGTTATTCAACTTTTAAAAATTCATTAGCTATTTAGATTTTTTCTTTTGTGAATTGTTTCTCTATTTTTTTTTTTTTTTGTCCATAACATGTTCATTACTTTACATAATGATCTGTAAGGGCTTTTTGTATATGAAAATAAACTTTTTATTACATTTACAAAGATTTCTTAGCATTTTGCCTTTTATCATTTCCTGGCCATGGTTACTGGTTCAGGTCAATGAAACAGGAGGAATTTTGCTAGGTGTTTCAGAGAAAAACGTTCTCTCCTGTCTGAGAGAATGTCCAAGGGACTTCTAGAGGCGACTCTCCCTGAACCTAGAACCTGTGGCGGCTGAAATTGTTAGCCGCCACCTCACAACCACAAGGGGGAGCCAGACTTAGAAGGAAGACGACCCAAGAGACGGCTGAATAGAGGTTTCATGTTCTGTGAAATAAATCTGTTACTCTCTATGCCAGTTTGAATTGCATTTTCTGTATTTGCAACTAAACATATTGTGATACAATGATGTTTTATGAAAAATAGAATTTTTTTTTTTTTTGAGACGGAGTCTTGCTCTGTCGCCCAGACTGGAGTGCAGTGGCGCTATCTTGGCTCACTGCAAGCTCCACCTCCCAGGTTCACGCCATTCTCCTGCCTCAGCCTCCTGAGTGGCTGGGACTACAGGCGCCCACCACCATGCCCGGCTAATTTTTTGTATTTTTAGTAGAGATGGGGTTTCACTGTGTTAGCCAGGATGGTCTTGATCTCCTGACTTCGTGATCTGCCCGCTTCGGCCTCCCAAAGTGCTAGGATTACAGGTGTGAGCCACCGTGCCCGGCCAGAAGTTTTAAATTTTTACGCAGGAATATCTAGCAAACTTTGCCTTTGTGAATTCTTTTACTGCTGCTATAGTTAGAAAGGCCTTCCCTACTTTAAAATCAATTACATGCCCATACAATTAATTTATGTTTTTGTTAAAACATTAGGGGAATTGAATCATAATGAGCAGAGAGCCTTTATTTTATAATCACTCCATGAATGGCAGCAGATTCTGCCTATTCCAGTAGATTATCCATAATTAAAAATGTGTGAAATGCCCACTAAAGCTCTGGATTCTTTGAAATACAAACAAGTTTTTGGCTACAGATGATGAAGATGGCAGGAGAAATGTTCCATGTGAGTGGTGTGAATCTAGGTCAGCACCTGGTCAGGCAATAAGAAGGGTTAATATTTGAAATCTTTATATATCTCCTCTGAAACAGAGGTGTAAAAAGTCACTGGGAAGTCATCAGGGGATATATAGATAGATAAATATATATATATATATATATATATATATATATATATATATATGCACACAGACATATAAATACATTACTTGATTGCAAAAGGCATAAAGTATGATGAAAAGGGCATACGGTATAGTTTTTAATATATGTCATAATAAATGAGTGGTTTCATTCGAAGTCAGAAATGCATGTCTTGATTTCAGAAAACAAATCAAGACTGCTTTTCAAACGAACACAAGCATTAGGCTGCCTAAACAGTTATTTCTGTATGTGAACCATGGAAATATTTTAGGATCATCAAAATCTGCCCTTCTTTTTTGTCTTTTTTAATTCATCTCAACTGGCTTATGATCAATATTTCATGGAACTCCTCTATAGCCGCCCTCCAGGTGTCCTTCCAGAAAACCAAAACCTAAACTCCAGCATAGACATAAACCCTGCTGCACTGAACCTTGAAGAAATGGATGTGTAATAGCATCAAAAAGTGACAGAAGATGGACACTATGGTGAAACTGCTTAAAAGGTCTTTCAAATGCTCAAGCTCTTTCTCACAGCCTCCTTATTTATGTATTTCCTGGCTTGAATTCTCCCTCTTTGAACTTTTCCTAGGGTTAAATCCTTCATATCTATAGGTCCCAGCTTAATAGCACCTCCTCAGAGAGGTCTTCCCTGACCATCCTCTCAAAAATATATTTCTTTTTTTTTTTCTTTTATTATACTTTACGTTTTAGGGTACATGTGCACATTGTGCAGGTTAGTTACATATGCATACATGTGCCATGCTGGTGCGCTGCACCCACTAACTCGTCATCTAGCATTAGGTATATCTCCCGATGCTATCCCTCCCCCCTCCCCCCACTCCACCACAGTCCCCAGAGTGTGATATTCCCCTTCCTGTGTCCATGTGATCTCATTGTTCAATTCCCACCTATGAGTGAGAATATGCGGTGTTTGGTTTTTTGTTCTTGCGATAGTTTACTGAGAATGATGATTTCCAATTTCATCCATGTCCCTACAAAGGGCATGAACTCATCATTTTTTATGGCTGCATAGTATTCCATGGTGTATATATGCCACATTTTCTTAATCCAGTCTATCATTGTTGGACATTTGGGTTGGTTCCAAGTCTTTGCTATTGTGAATAATGCCGCAATAAACATACGTGTGCATGTGTCTTTATAGCAGCATGATTTATAGTCATTTGGGTATATACCCAGTAATGGGATGGCTGGGTCAAATGGTATTTCTAGTTCTAGATCCCTGAGGAATTGCCACACTGACTTCCACAATGGTTGAACTACTTTACAGTCCCACCAACAGTGTAAAAGTGTTCCTATTTCTCCACATCCTCTCCAGCACCTGTTGTTTCCTGACTTTTTAATGATTGCCATTCTAACTGGTGTGAGATGGCATCTCATTGTGGTTTTGATTTGCATTTCTCTGATGGCCAGTGATGATGAGCATTTTTTCATGTGTTTTTTGGCTGCATAAATGTCTTCTTTTGAGAAGTGTCTGTTCATGTCCTTCGCCCACTTTTTGATGGGGTTGTTTGTGTTTTTCTTGTAAATTTGTTTGAGTTCAATGTAGATTCTGGATATTAGCCCTTTGTCAGATGAGTAGGTTGCGAAAATTTTCTCCCATTTTGTAGGTTGCCTGTTCACTCTGATGGTAGTTTCTTTTGCTGTGCAGAAGCTCTTTAGTTTAATTAGATCCCATTTGTCAATTTTGTCTTTTGTTGCCATTGCTTTTGGTGTTTTGTACATGAAGTCCTTGCCCACGCCTATGTCCTGAATGGTAATGCCTAGGTTTTCTTCTAGGGTTTTTATGGTTTTAGGTCTAACGTTTAAATCTTTAATCCATCTTGAACTGATTTTTGTATAAGGTGTAAGGAAGGGATCCAGTTTCAGCTTCCTACATATGGCTAGCCAGTTTTCCCAGCACCATTTATTAAATAGGGAATCCTTTCCCCATTGCTTGTTTTTCTCAGGTTTGTCAAAGATCAGATAGTTGTAGGTATGTGGCGTTATTTCTGAGGGCTCTATTCTGTTCCATTGATCTATATCTCTGTTTTGGTACCAGTACCATGCTGTTTTGGTTACTGTAGCCTTGTAGTAGAGTTTGAAGTCAGGTAGTGTGATTCCTCCAGCTTTGTTCTTTTGGCTTAGGATTGACTTGGCAGTGCGGGGTCTTTTTTGGTTCCATATGAACTTTAAAGTAGTTTTTTCCAATTCTGTGAAGAAAGTCGTTGGTAGCTTGATGGGGATGGCATTGAATCTGTAAATGACCTTGGGCAGTATGGCCATTTTCACGATATTGATTCTTCCTACCCATGAACATGGAATGTTCTTCCATTTGTTTGTATCCTCTTTTATTTCCTTGAGCAGTGGTTTGTAGTTCTCCTGGAAGAGGTCCTTCACATCCCTTGTAAGTTGGATTCCTAGGTATTTTATTCTCTTTGAAGCAATTGTGAATGGGAGTTCACTCATGATTTGGCTCTCTGTTTGTCTGTTGTTGGTGTATAAGAATGCTTGTGATTTTTGTACATTGATTTTGTATCCTGAGACTTTGCTGAAGTTGCTTATCAGCTTAAGGAGATTTTGGGCTGAGACGATGGGGTTTTCTAGATAAACAATCATGTCGTCTGCAAACAGGGACAATTTGACTTCCTCTTTTCCTAATTGAATACCCTTTATTTCCTTCTCCTGCCTGATTGCCCTGGCCAGAACTTCCAACACTATGTTGAATAGGAGCGGTGAGAGAGGGCATCCCTGTCTTGTGCCAGTTTTCAAAGGGAATGCTTCCAGTTTTTGCCCATTCAGTATGATATTGGCTGTGGGTTTGTCATAGATAGCTCTTATTATTTTGAAATACGTCCCATCAATACCTAATTTATTGAGAGTTTTTAGCATGAAGGGTTGTTGAATTTTGTCAAAGGCTTTTTCTGCATCTATTGAGATAATCATGTGGTTTTTGTCTTTGGCTCTGTTTATATGCTGGATTACATTTATTGATTTGCGTATATTGAACCAGCCTTGCATCCCAGGGATGAAGCCCACTTGATCATGGTGGATAAACTTTTTGATGTGCTGCTGGATTCGGTTTGCCAGTATTTTATTGAGGATTTTTGCATCAATGTTCATCAAGGATATTGGTCTAAAATTCTCTTTTTTGGTTGTGTCTCTGGTATCAGAATGATACTGGCCTCATAAAATGAGTTAGGGAGGATTCCCTCTTTTTCTATTGATTGGAATCATTTCAGAAGGAATGGTACCAGTTCCTCCTTGTACCTCTGGTAGAATTCGGCTGTGAATCCATCTGGTCCTGGACTCTTTTTGGTTGGTAAACTATTGATTATTGCCACAATTTCAGATCCTGTTACTGGTCTATTCAGAGATTCAACTTCTTCCTGGTTTAGTCTTGGGAGAGTGTATGTGTCGAGGAATTTATCCATTTCTTCTAGATTTTCTAGTTTATTTGTGTAGAGGTGTTTGTAGTATTCTCTGATGGTAGTTTGCATTTCTGTGGGATTGGTGGTGATATCCCCTTTATCATTTTTTATTGTGTCTATTTGATTCTTCTCTCTTTTTTTCTTTATTAGTCTTGCTAGTGGTCTATCAATTTTGTTGCTCTTTTCAAAAAACCAGCTCCTGGATTCATTGATTTTTCGAAGGGTTTTTTATGTCTCTATTTCCTTCAGTTCTGCTCTGATTTTAGTTATTTCTTGCCTTCTGCTAGCTTTTGAATGTGCTTGCTCTTGCTTTTCTAGTTCTTTTAATTGTGATGTTAGGGTGTCAATTTTGGATCTTTCCTGCTTTCTCTTGTGGGCATTTAGTGCTATAAATTTCCCTCTACACACTGCTTTGAATGCATCCCAGAGATTCTGGTATGTTGTGTCTTTGTTCTCGTTGGTTTCAAAGAACATCTTTATTTCTGCCTTCATTTCGTTATGTACCCAGTAGTCATTCAGGAGCAGGTTGTTCAGTTTCCATGTAGTTGAGCGGCTTTGAGTGGGATTCTTAATCCTGAGTTCTAGTTTGATTGCACTGTGGTCTGAGAGAAGTTTGTTATAATTCCTGTTCTTTTACATTTGCTGAGGAGAGCTTTACTTCCAACTATGTGGTCAATTTTGGAATAGGTGTGGTGTGGTGCTGAAAAAAATGTATATTCTGTTGATTTGGGTTGGAGAGTTCTGTAGATGTCTATTAGGTCCGCTTGGTGCAGAGCTGAGTTCAATTCCTGGGTATCCTTGTTGACTTTCTGTCTCGTTGATCTGTCTAATGTTGACAGTGGGGTGTTAAAGTCTCCCATTATTAATGTGTGGGAGTCTAAGTCTCCTTGTAGGTCACTCAGGACTTGCTTTATGAATCTGGGTGCTCCTGTATTGGGTGCATATATATTTAGGATAGTTAGCTCTTCTTGTTGAATTGATCCCTTTACCATTATGTAATGGCCTTCTTTGTCTCTTTTGATCTTTGTTGGTTTAAAGTCTGTTTTATCAGAGACTAGGATTGCAACCCCTGCCTTTTTTTGTTTTCCATTTGCTTGGTAGATCTTCCTCCATCCTTTTATTTTGAGCCTATGTGTGTCTCTGCACGTGAGATGGGTTTCCTGAATACAGCACACTGATGGGTCTTGACTCTTTATCCAATTTGCCAGTCTGTGTCTTTTCATTGGAGCATTTAGTCCATTTACATTTAAAGTTAATATTGTTATGTGTGCATTTGATCCTGTCATTATGATGTTAGCTGATGATTTTGCTCGTTAGTTGATGCAGTTTCTTCCTAGTCTCGATGGTCTTTACATTTTGGCATGATTTTGCAGCGGCTGGTACCGGTTGTTCCTTTCCATGTTTAGTGCTTCCTTCAGGAGCTCTTTTAGGGCAGGCCTGGTGGTGACAAAATCTCTCAGCATTTGCTTGTCTGTAAAGGATTTTATTTCTCCTTCACTTATGAAGCTTAGTTTGGCTGGATATGAAATTGCGGGTTGAAAATTCTTTTTTTTAAGAATGTTGAATATTGGCCCCCACTCTCTTCTGGCTTGTAGGGTTTCTGCCGAGAGATCAGCTGTTAGTCTGATGGGCTTCCCTTTGAGGGTAACCCGACCTTTCTCTCTGGCTGCCCTTAACATTTTTTTCATTTCAACTTTGGTGAATCTGACAATTACGTGTCTTGGAGTTGCTCTTCTCGAGGAGTATCTTTGCGGCGTTCTCTGTATTTCCTGAATCTGAACGTTGGCCTGCCTTGCTAGATTGGGGAAGTTCTCCTGGATAATATCCTGCAGAGTGTTTTCCAACTTGGTTCCATTCTCCCCATCACTTTCAGGTACACCAATCAGACGTAGATTTGGTCTTTTCACATAGTCCCATATTTCTTGGAGGCTTTGCTCATTTCTTTTTATTCTTTTTTCTCTAAACTTCCCTTCTCGCTTCATTTCATTCATTTCATCTTCCATCGCTGATACCCTTTCTTCCAGTTGATCGCATCGGCTCCTGAGGCTTCTGCATTCTTCACGTAGTTCTCGAGCCTTGGTTTTCAGCTCCATCAGCTCCTTTAAGCACTTCTCTGTATTGGTTATTCTAGTTATACATTCTTCTAAATTTTTTTCAAAGTTTTCAACTTCTTTGCCTTTGGTTTGAATGTCCTCCCGTAGCTTAGAGTAATTTGATCGTCTGAAGCCTTCTTCTCTCAGCTCGTCAAAGTCATTCTCCATCCAGCTTTGTTCCGTTGCTGGTGAGGAACTGTGTTCCTTTGGAGGAGGAGAGACGCTCTGTGTTTTAGAGTTTCCAGTTTTTCTGTTCTGTTTTTTCCCCATCTTTGTGGTTTTATCTACTTTTGGTCTCTGATGATGGTGATGTACAGATGGGTTTTCGGTGTGGATGTCCTTTCTGTTTGTTAAGTTTTCCTTCTAACAGACAGGACCCTCAGCTGCAGGTCTGTTGGAATACCCTGCCGTGTGAGGTGTCAGTGTGCCCCTGCTGGGGGGTGCCTCCCAGTTAGGCTGCTCGGGGGTCAGGGGTCAGGGACCCACTTGAGGAGGCAGTCTGCCGGTTCTCAGATCTCCAGCTGCGTGCTGGGAGAACCACTGCTCTCTTCAAAGCTGTCAGACAGGGACATTTAAGTCTGCAGAGGTTACTGCTGTCTTTTTGTTTGTCTGTGCCCTGCCCCCAGAGGTGGAGCCTACAGTGGCAGGCAGGCCTCCTTGAACTGTGGTGGGCTCCACCCAGGAGCTTCCCGGCTGCTTTGTTTACCTAAGCAAGCCTGGGCAATGGCGGGCGCCCCTCCCCCAGCCTCGTTGCCGCCTTGCAGTTTGATCTCAGACTGCTGTGCTAGCAATCAGCGAGACTCCGTGGGCGTAGGACCCTCCGAGCCAGGTGTGGCATATAGTCTCGTGGTGCGCCGTTTTTTAAGCCGGCCTGAAAAGCGCAATATTCGGGTGGGAGTGACCCGATTTCCAGGTGCGTCCGTCACCCCTTTCTTTGACTCGGAAAGGGAACTCCCTGACCCCTTGCGCTTCCCAGGTGAGGCAATGCCTCGCCCTGCTTCGGCTCGCACACGGTGCGCGCACCCACTGGCCTGCGCCCACTGTCTGGCACTCCCTAGTGAGATGAACCCGGTACCTCAGATGGAAATGCAGAAATCACCCGTGTTCTGCGTAGCTCACGCTGGGAGCTGTAGACCGGAGCTGTTCCTATTCGGCCATCTTGGCTCCTCCCCCATCTTTTTAAAAGCCAAAAATGTATTTCCCTTGTCCTCTGAATGCTTGCCTCGCTCAGCATTTTCTTTCCTTCATGACTGTTACACAATTTGTAATTATGTGTTCACTCATGTTTTGTGTGACTAGAATGTGTAATCCATGAGGACAAGGACTATTTTCATTTTATTTATTCCTGTATTTCCAAAGAGTACCTAGCAATAAACACATTTGCTGAAGGAATGATTACTGGCTTGAATAGACTAAATATCTTTATTTGAAGTTTAAAGACTCGCTGATCTGTAAAAAGGCCCTGTGGAAGTGTTACATCCAAGGGCTCAGTAACCTTAGGGTATAAGAGCACTAAAAAGAAACAGCCCATCCTATTACACAACTGTGAGGATGAGCCAAGCAAACTATGAAACATTCAAGGAAGAAAATACATGGCAGCTGTCATGTATTTTCTCAAGTCTGAAGAGAATTTCAAATTCACTGTTGACGGTTGATGGTTCTACAGCAGACTAGCATGAATAAGCATCAACTTGAAAAACTGCTGCCAATTTGCCAATGAACAACTTGATGCATGAAAATGTCTGATTTTCAATGAATTTTCCTTTTACATAAAAATTTCACTGAAAATACAAACTCTTCATCTTAAATCAGCTGGTTCTGTTAGAGTATGAAAATGTGGATGTTCTAAATTAAGTTCCGGCTTCCCTATTCATTCTAGTTACAGGATTTTTTCATGGAAAATTTCTCTTTATCATTTTTTTTTGGAAAAAAAAGTCAATACCTCAATGTCACTGCATTTTATCAAGTGACCAGGGAAAAGGTGCACATCCTTATTCTCTCTCTTAAAGTCAACAAGACCTAGAAAGCAATAAACGCTGTGTGTCATTCATTTTTTCACTGGGCCTGTGAGAATGATATAATTCCTCTATTATTGGAATGAGAGGGAAGAAAAAAAATTAGACTGGGAAATTCTATCAAACTCAAGTATTGTATACTGGTTCTCAAATTAACTCCAAGTAATGCGTAAGGAAACAACTCTTGGTTGGATTATTTAGATGAACTAGATACCCAAGCTCATAGGCCAAAGATGACATGAGAAAATACTGTAATTAATATAGCTTTGGCTTCAAGAAAGCAGCTGGTGAGCAATCTCCAGGTTCACTTCTCATCTTGAGAGGCTATCTAGCAGATATTCTGTTCTTCCAAAGGGGCAGAAAACCCTTGCTTCTTTTTCATAACTCCATGGAATCCACTGTTTAACTATATAATGGCAGGTAGCCTAAAGGAGTCCTGGAGTTTCCATGTCTGTAGAGGTTTTTCCCCTAAATAAAAAATCCTAGAACAGGTTTTCTACGATTATTAGATTCAGGAATATATGTATTTAGCCAGACTAGGCCCACAATAGACAGAGCTCCTTGATTTAACCATCAAATAAGAACTATAGAAAACTGTCCTATTACTAAATAACTTTGCTTTTAATTCTGGATTTTCTTCTTCACCCAAATAAGTACGTTGCTAACTTAGCTTTAAGTTATTGTCATCTACAGAGAACCCCATGCTCGGTTACATTATAGTTGAGCAAATATTCACTTCTGCCTTCTTGACCTCCATGGGTTATCCCATTGATATGACCTGCTTTGGCCAATGCGATATAAATTGGATAAACTGAGCCAAAATTGACCAAACCCTAGATGCATGAGCAACAAATAAATTCTGACTGTTATATCCACCAAGTTTTAGAGTGATGTGGTAGGCTGAACAATGGTCCTTAAAAATTAGCCAAAATAGCCAACTGCAAATCTCTGTGAACGTTACCAGCTTTAAGTTATCATCATCTACAGATCTGTGGAAGGGGGAAAAAAAACACACAAAAAAACAAAAACAAACACACACACACAAAAACTTTGCATATATGATTAAGTTAAGGATTTTGAGATGGGCAGATTATCTGTTTGGACCTTAAATGCAATCATATATATCCTTGTAAAACAGAGGCAGTGGAAAATATGACAACAGAAGAGAAGGCACTGTGACCATGGAGGCAGCCACAAGCCATGGGATGCTGGCAGCTACCAGAAGCTGGGAGAAGCAAGGAATAGATTTTCCCCTGTAACCTTTGGAAGAAATGTGGTCCTGTTGACATTCTGATTTTGGCCCAGTGAAACTGATTTCAAACCTTCCTCCAGAACTGTGAAAGAATAAATTTCTGTGTTTTAAGCTGCCAAGTTTGTGATAATTTTTTTTGCAGCAGCCTTAGGACACTAACGCAGGTGGTCTGTCATGTAACTGTGACAATAGTTAACTATTCCAATGAATGGAAACCCAAACCATTCATTGGCTCATGCCTGTAATCCCAGTACTTTGGGAGGCTGAGACAGGAGGATCATTTGAGTCTAGGAGTTCGAGATCAGCCTGGGCAATAAAGTGAGACCCTGTCTGTACAAAAAATAAAAACAATAGCTGAGGTGGTGGTACACACCTGTAGTCCCAGCTACTTGGGAGGCTGAGGCAGGAGGGATCACCTGAGCCCCAGAGGCTGAGGCTGCAGTGAGCCATAATCACACTACTGCACTTCAGCCTGGGTGATAAGAGTGAGACCCTGTTTCAAAGCGGGAGGGATTGCTTGAGCCCTGGAAGTTGAGGCTGCAGTGCCATAATTGTGCCACTGCACTCCAGGGTGATAAGAGTGAGATCCTGTTTCAAAACACACACACACACACACACACACACACACACACACACACACCAAAAAACAAAGAACAAAAACTAAATACACAGGTACTTACAAAGTGTTCAAATTCTGTCAAATGTATTAACTTATTTAATACAACTATACTATGAGGTGGGTACTATTTTATTTCCCCCTTACCCCCCGCCCGCACCCCAGCCTCCTGAGTAGCTAGTACCACAGGCAAGGGCCAACATGCCTGGCTAATTTTTTTTTTTTTTTTTCTGAGACAGAGTCTCACTCTGTCACCCAGGCTGGAGTGCAGTGGCGCGATCTCAGCTCACTGCAAGCTCCGCCTCCTGGGTTCACGCCATTCTCCTGCCTCAGCCTCCCAAGTAGCTGGGACTCCAGGCACCTGCCACCACGCCCGGCTAATTTTTTGTATTTTTCAGTGGAGACAGGGTTTCACCATGTTAGCCAGGATGGTCTCGATCTCCTGACCTCATGATCCACCCGCCTTGGCCTCCCAAAGTGCTGGGATTACAGGTGTGAGCCACCGTGCCTGGCCTCGCCTGGCTAATTTTTAAAATTTTTTGTAGAGACAGGATCTCACCATGTTGCCCAGGCTGGTCTTGAATTCCTGGGCTCAAGCAATCTTCCTGCTTCAGTCTCCCAAAGTGCTGGGATTACAGGCGTGAGCCACTGTGCCTGGCCCAGTTGGGAATAACTCTAGGGCCTACTGATTACTCCATTTGCTTGGTATTACTAAAGTATCTCATTTAAATGCACATAAATAGCTCTTATATATTCAAAAATATCTTTGCTTTCATACATAACATAGCTAATAAGAAATCTTGTAAATCCAGAAGCAAATTATTACCTAGTATTGAATCATGATAAGTACATTATTGACGAAATGTTACCTAAGACTACTGGGTACAGGGCATGATGCTGGGAGTCCTCTGTGGAACATAATCAAGTACAAGGATTCTGCTGCCCTCCATAATTTATAATCTAGCTGAAGAGATCAGACACATCTGCAAAATTAATAAATGATCTAAGATTTAAACACTGGTTAAAGACTACAAAAAATACAGAATCCACCGGGAATTTCTGAGCTAAAGACTCCTTATAAGTCATCTATTTGAGAGGTTCTCTGCCCCGCCTCTTCCATAGCATAGCTTGGGAGGAACATTCATATGCGCAACACCTTTCTGGGAGCTGTGCAATCCCTGAGATTTGCCTTCCTTGCCCACTCAAGAAAGCACGTATAAATTCCATGGGAATAACCTTGAATCAACTCCTACTTGTAAAATGATTCACAATCTTCAAAACCTTAGTAAAAAATTACCTGCAACACACTTCACACTTGATCATAATAGATATGCCCACACCATCCCTATTGTTTTACAGACAAATGAAGTGAGAATGACCTAAAACCTTACACGAACGTAAATCCTACAATAAAACTAACAGCAGGCACATTGTTCCTGCTTCCCTTTGACTCACTGTCTCATACAGCCACATACAACTGACAAATGGGTTCTGGCAAAGATGTAAAGATGACTTTATTTACAGCGGTCTGGTTGGGAGGACTTTAGTGAGGAGGCAGAATCGAACTTGAAGAACACTGTAAGCAAGGCAAACAGTATGTGTAAAAGTATACATACAGGTGAAAAAGCAGAGATGTTTGAGGGTTCAGTAAAAACAAACAATGTCGTGCTATGGCATCACAGGAGACGTGGTTGGTTGGAGCCAGACTCTGGGAAAGTCTAGTCTTAATTTTGTGGGTGATTGAAGGGTTTTTGAACGGAGACACAACACCATAAAACCTAAGATTGTGATGCTGTGCAGATCCAAGTCAAGGGAGGGAGCCTGGGAGATCACACAGAAGTGGTTTAGGGGCAGAGTACCACAACCATCACCACGGTTCTGCTGATTTTCAAATGGTAATACTCATTTACAGTGCATATGGTCTCTTTGATTTTTGAAGTGTGTGTGTGTGTGTGTGTGTGTGTGTATGTGTGTATGTGTCTGTGTGTGCGTGCATGTAAGAGAGTAGAACAAAGACTGGAATGATATATCCCAAAACGTTAACAGTGATTTTCTTTTGGTGGTGAGATGATGGGTAATATTATTCTCTTCTTTAAATTAAAAATCTTTCACAATGAACATGTATTACCTTATAATAAAAACTGTTACTTAAAATTTTAGGCTGAAATAATGTGATCATAGTTATATGTTGTTTATAATCGATTTAAAGTACAATAAACTCATGAATACAGTACTTTGTTTGTAAACCTGCATTTAAATTATAAATGCTTGATTATATTTTGAGTTCCCCAAGGATACTTGTCACCAACATATTTTCTATGAGTGTTTGGTTTCTTATCCACACAAATACAATACAACCAACTCAGGACAGCTGAGTAGTAAACATCTTATTTTGAAATTGAATTTCTTAAAAATACTGACGCTCATTATAGTACTAAGTTTGAATAGATAGCGATGTTTGACAACATTAAGACTTTAACAAAAACTACTGAATAAAAATAGTCCTAATTTTCCTTAGTTACGAATGATGCCCGCCTAGCCACCAAAAGTATGACTCATCACGTCCTCTTCAGTAAATATAATGGGTGTGTGTGTAGATATTTCCAGAATTAACAATGTGGTTAAAGAGGAATCGCATTGAATATCCTGTTTTGTAACATATATTTTCACTTAACATTTATGAAGAACACTCTTCATTTTGTTAAAATATCGTCATTATTAATGGCTGCATAGTTTTCCTGTCTTTTTTTTTTTGAGATGGAGTCTCGCTCTGTTGCCCAGGCTGGAGTGCAGCAGCACGATCTCAGCTCACTGCAACCTCTGCCTCCTGGGTTCAAGCAATTCTCCTGCCTCAGCCTCCCGAGTAGCTGGGATTACATGTGCCCACCACCACACCCAGCTAATTTTTAATTTTTGTATTTTTAGTAGAGATGGGGTTTCACCACGTTGGTCAGGCTGGCCTTGAACTCCTGACCTCAGGTTATCCACCCGCCACAGTCTCCCAAAGTGTTGGGATTATAGGCATAAGCTACTGCGCCTGGCCCATAGTTTTCTATTGTATAGATACATCATAACTTATATAACTGTTTTCCTGATATATTTTTTACTTATATATAGGTTATGTGTGAGTGTCTGTTACATACATAGAATGTATAAAGATCAAGTTGGGGTATTTGGGGTATCCGTTCCCTTGAGTGTTTATCTTTTTTTTTTTTTTTGAGATGGAGTCTTGCTCTGTCATCCCGGCTGGAGTGCAGTGGCGCGATCTTGGCTCACTGCACCTCCCGGGCTCAAGCAATTCTCCTGCCTCTGCCTCCCAAGTAGCTAGGACTACAGGCACACGCCACCACACCAGCTAATTTTTTGTATTTTAGTAGAGACAGGGTTTCACTGTGTTGCCCAGGCTGGTCGCGAACTCCTGAGCTCAGGCAATCTGCCTGACCCGGCCTCCCAAAGTACTGGGATTACAGGTGTGAGCCACAGCACCTGACCGAGTGTTTATCATTTTTATGTGTCGGCATCTGACATGGTTTGGATGTCTATCCCCTTCGAATCTCCAGTTGAAATTTAATCCCCAGTGTTGGAGGTGGGGCCTGGTAGGAGGGACTGGATCACGGAGCAGATCCCTCATGAATGGCTTAGTGCCATATCCTTTGTGATGAGTGACCTCTTGCTCTGTTAGTTCATGAGATGTCTCCCTCTCTTGCTCCTGCTCTTGCCATGTGATGCCTGCTCCCCCTCTGCCTTCTGCAATGATTGGAAGCTCTTTGAGGGCCTCACCAGGAGCAGATGACCGCACCATGCTTCCTATACAGCCTGCAGAACCATCAGCCAATTAAGCCTCTTTTCCTTATAAATTACCCAGCCACAGGTATTTTTTTAATAGCAACTCAAGAACAGACTAACACCATATCCTTTAAAGTCCTCTTTTCTAGTGACTTTGACTTATACATTATATTGTTGCTAAGTACAGTCGCTCTAGTGGGCTCTCAAACTTTAGTATTTATTTCTCCTCATGCTTGTAACCTCAGCACTTTGGGAGGCTGAGGTAGGAGCATCACTAGAGCCCAGGAGTTCAACACCAGCCCGGGCAAGATAGTCAGAACTCATCTCTTAAAAAAAAATTTAGCCAGATGTTGTGGCACCTGGCTGTAGACCCAGCTACTGGGGAGGCCAACACAGGAGGATTGCTTGAGCCCAGGAGTTCAAGGCTGCAACATATTAGGATCATACCACTGTACTCCAGCCTGGGTGACAGAGCAAGAAGACACTGCCTCAAAAAAAAAAAAAAAAGAACTTATTTCTTCTATCTTACTGTATGTTTGTACTCATAGCCAATCGCTCTTCATCTCCACTAACTTCTTAACATTTAAGAGTCTTCATTATTTCCCACTGTCATGAGAAATGTTGCAAAGAAAATTCTTTTTTTTTTTTTTTTTTTTGAGATGGAGTCTTACTCTGTCGCCCAGGCTGGAGTGCAGTGGTACAATTTCAGCTCACTGCAACCTCTGCCTCCTGGGTTCAAGCGATTCTCCTGCCTCAGCCTCCCGAGTTGCTGGGATTACAGGCGCCTGCCCCTATGCCCGGTTAATTTTTGTATTTTTAGTTGAGACAGGGTTTCACCATGTTGACCAGGCTGGTCTCGAACTCCTGACCTCAGGTGATCCGCCCACCTTGGTCTCCCAAAGTCTGGGATTACAGGTGTGAGCCACCATGCCTGGCCACAAAAAAATTTCTTACAACTAAAGTTTTACATATATTCTTAAGATTTTCCTTAGTATTAATTTCTAGAGGTATAATTGCTGGATTAGAGGCAAATATAATTTTTAGATTTTTTGGAAACACATTGCCAAACTACCCCTCCAGAAAGTTCTCACCAATTTACTCTTATGCCAGTAGTGTACATCCTTAGCAACACTGTGTATGATATTTTGAAAAATCCCGAGTATTTGGTAGGTGAAAATATGGTTGCTGGCCATTTTTCTTCTTCTGTGGTCTGAGTGTCCATATTTTTGTTCAGTTTTCTAGTGAGGTATCTATCTCATTTCTTAGGAGGGACCTTTTGTATATTAAAGGTATTCATAATCTGCAGTTGCTGAAATTTTTAAAAATATAGCTTAAGACTGCTATATAGCTCCTCGTTAATAGAAACTGAATGCTCTAAATATACACATTTCCCAGAACATGTTGAATATTTCATAAACTTTCTGTTTTAGGTTAGCAAAACTTGATAGTCCAAGCAGAATGTGTTTACATGTGCCATGACAAAGAATATGAGCAATTTTTGATACACTTAGATCTCTTGGTAGTAGTTATATACATTTGCTATAGCAAGAAGAGAATAAAATAAACCTCAATACTGTAGGCTTCACACTTAAACCACATGTATGCCATTATGTACCTAACTTGGTAAACAGGATATATTTTGTCACCCATAAAGTTTCTTAGCTCAATGAAATACGTGGCAAAATTACATACTTTAGAAAAGCTGTTTCTTTTCATAAAAGTCTGTTCAAAAAAATCTTTTTTAGGGTGATATTTTACATTAAATGTCAGCATGGTGACTAAGCAGTGAACGGCTATTACAATAAAATATTTTCATCATTGCCTTTAATACTTGTTATCTAATTATTTTTAAAAGGATTAGAGGGAACTTACAAAAAAAGGTATACAGACAACTAAATTACCAAAGTAAGAATAAAAGGACAGCCGGGCAACAGGGGCAGGGTGGTAGGAAGGAAAGGGAGTCAGTTCCACTGAAACTCCCAAACTGAGGATGGTTCCTGGACTTACATATAAATCTGAGCCCTGAGCTTCCTGGCATCTACAGCAAACAGGAAACTTAATGAGTTGCAAGGATTTCATGATTTAATAGGCATTCTTTAATAAGGTTGATAATTAAATACTCCCTCCACCAAAATATGCTCTTTTTATTTTTAAACAAATGTTTTATTGTTGGCAAGGAAGAAAAAAATAATTGCTCAGCAGTAATTCACTGGGATTTTACATGGCTTGGCTGTGCGCATCTTCAGCTACCTCTGTAATACAGTCTTCCTCCAGACAAGCTTTTGATTGTATACATCTTAACTATAAGACCTTTCATTTGAGGTTGGGATAGCAATTCTCATTAAATTGTTCAGAAGTTTTGTAATTTAATTTAAGCATCTATTCACGAAATCACTTCCCCTTCATTAATTAATTCCTTACAAAGAGTCAAATCTCTTGAGCTTGTAGCAATTAAAAAAGAAAAGTGAAATGAATATGTAGCCATTTTTTTTTCCTTCCTTTTTTTCCTATCACCACCTATAGGGGCCAGAAAATGTTGTCATGGAGACAACAGCTGTTGGGTTATGAGTGACAAGTCTCAAGAGAGAAGTGTCTTGGAAAGGGAACACCTCAAGTAAAAAAAAAAAAAAAAGTGGTGAGGGAGAAACCAATGCAAGCTGTTTTACTAAACATAGTGGGGGCTCAATTGAAAGGTGTATTTTAGCTAGCAAAGAATAAAAGTGGTATTTCCCCTCTTTTTTCACCTAACATAGGAAATGTTTTCCTTGCAAAGGCGAACAGATTTCTTTTAAGTAAACCTCAAGCATATGTACATCTCTTGGCATAATTATATTTTAAAATTGAGATTCACACTGATGCGCCAAATTGGTTGCCTTAGTAATGAGATATCACCCAGGCAACGGATTTGCTGCTCTTTCAGGAGAGCAAATCATCTGCTTCCAACTTACAGCAGAGTGGGCTGGGGATGGAGTGGCAATGGTTTCTTATTGGCAGTGTCTGAGAGGAGATAAATAAGAAACAAATTATTTTTGACATGTCACCATTATTTTCCAAATATGCTTTTATCGTTTTATTCACCAAGTAGGTGGGAAGAGAAAAAAGGAGAGTGGGGCCGGGTGTGAGGGAATGTACTGTTGCTTCAATGTTAAGTTGTTGCTGAAGCATTTTTATTGTTCTAAAAGGGCTTTACATTTGCCAATATGTTAAATACTAAATGGACCAGTTATAGGCTTATATTATAAATCGACCAAATTTTTTTCCCCATAGTAAGTTCAGTGACTTGTACATAGTAATGCTATTCTAATAGCGCTGCTTAGTAATATATGTAGGGGTAAGTCTTCAGTGTTTCAACATTTACTAAATGTCTTACGGAAAATTAACGCTTCTTAGTTTCTTCATTACGGACACCTTTTTGCTATACCTATTTTCATTTCCATGATTCACCAACAAATGTTCAAAACACTTTTATTTCCTCGCCGGAGGAGTTTGGCAATTGGTTTTTCTTCTACACTCTGAGCTCATCCTGACCCAACTTTAACATGCCGGTTATTAATAAACCAATGACCTACTAATTGCCAGACTAGGTGGGCACTTTTCAGCCATTATGGTGTTGGACATACCTACTATGTCTGATGCTGTTGACTGTTTCTTCTTATTTAAAATTTGCTCACGCCTGTAATCCCAGCACTTTGGGAGGTCGAGGCGGGTGGATCATGAGGTCAGGAGATCGAGACCATCCTGGCTAACAAGGTGAAACCCTGTCTCTACTAAAAATACAAAAAATTAGCCGGGCGCGGTGGCGGGCGCCTGTAGTCCCAGCTACTCGGGAGGCTGAGGCAGGAGAATGGCGTGAACCCGGGAAGCGGAGCTTGCAGTGAGCCGAGATTGCGCCACTGCAGTCCGCAGTCCGGCCTGGGCGACAGAGCGAGACTCCGTCTCAAAAAAAAAAAAAAAAAAAAAAAAAAATTTGCTACTTCTTTTGTTTCTCTGACTCATATATCCAACTGCTTGCTGGTCATCTCTACTTGAATGCCTCATAGGCACCTCGAACACATCATACCCCACACTACTACCATCTTCCAGATATGCCCCTGCTTCTGTACCTTCTACCTCTATCTCAGTTGTCAGTGATACCAGCTATCCAGGACTCTATGGTGGAAACCTGGGAATCATTGATTCCTGCCTTTCATCAATCTCCTGTCCAATAACTATCATAGTCTGCTAATTATTTCATGGTCTCCTAAATATTTCTCACATTTTTCTGCATCTTAACTACCACTGCTGCAATTTAAGTTCTCATCAGCTTTCCCCTAGATCAGTGGTCTTGAACCTTTTTGACATCAGGGACCAGTTTTGTGGAAGAAAGATTTTCCATGCACCGGCATGGTGGGGGTGGGGGTGGTTTCAGGATGAAACTGTTCTACCTCAGATCATCAGGCATTAGATTCTCATAAAGAGCGCACAGCCTAGATCCCTTGCATGCGCAGTTCACCATAGGCTTCATGCTCCTATGAGAATCCAATGAGCCACTGATCTTACAGGAGGCGGAGCTCAGGTGGTAATGTTTGCTCACTTGCCGCCCACCTGCTGCTGTGCGGCCTGGTTCCTAACAGGCCACAGTCCAGTACCAGTCTGCCACTTGGGGATTGGGGACCCCTGCCTTAGATTACAGCAACAGGCTCTTAATTGGCCATCCTTCCTTGTCTTATTGACTTCTAATGTTTCCTTGACACAGATCTATTTAACAGTCACAAACTGACCACACCACTTCTCTCTTAAACTTCCAGTAGGACTTCCAATGAGTAGGGCAAGAAGGTAGAATAGATAACTTGATATCCCTACTGCTACAACAATGTAACAAATACCCCTATGCACAGCTGAGCTTGTAAGAAAGTAACGGTCATATTCAGGGATCAAAATTTGATTGGCCAAAATTAAAAAATCTGCCAATGTGAATTGTTGATAAGGATGTAGAAGAATAAAAGCTTTCATACATTTCTTGGTGAGCATAAACTGGTACAATTATTTTGGAAAGCAACTGGGCAAACTTTAGTGAACTTAAAAATGTGCAGACTCTACAATCTAGCATTTGCAATCTGGGGTATATACCCAAGAGTAGCAGTTCTCAAAGTGTGGTTGGGGAACCCTGAGCACTGCTGAGACCCTTTACTTTTAGGGGATCTTCAAGATAAAAACTAATTTTCTAAGAATACCAGCAGGTTATTTGCCTTTTAAATTCTCACCCTCTCAGCCTATGATAGAATTTTCCAGAGACTATATCACATGTGATGACATCATCACTCTGATAGCTAATGGAATATGTGCTTGCATATTGTTGCATTTTGTAGAATTTTCTAAGGTAAGCTCTTTAGAATTCTCAAAATTTGAGAATGGCAGCCCCACAGAGACCTATTCACTTGCAGACAAGAGAATATGTACAAAAATGTTCACTGTGGCATTTCACAGAATGACAAAAAACTGAAAAACTGACTATTATTAGGAAATTAACTGTGACTTTTAAATAGTAAAATAACAAGCAAAAGTAAATAAGCCATTAGTACACTTATGGACCTATACAAATTTTAAAAACATTATTCTGAGTGGAAAAAAAAACAACTTGCAGAAGACTATGGACAGTATAATGTGGAAACAGAATATTATACACTATGACAAAAAAAGTATAACCAAATTAGAGGCTGCCAAGCTCAACTAGTAGTTAGTAATGAGGAACCTTGACAGAATGGGAGTTTGTTGATCCAGGTGCTTTAAGAAGACAAGTCCTGAGCTAGCTCTTTACATCTTGTTAGATAAATAAGGAAAGGGTTAGTAAATATTTATATACCTGTTATAAAATTCAAGTTATTCTAAGTTTAATTCTGTCCTTCTACGTGGCACTGCTGCCACATGTGTTTGCTTGCTAGTTACCCATTTGGCTGTTTGCTATGCAGGGCAAGCACTTTCCTGTGATATGGAAAGGCTGTTTTAGTAATTCCAAAGACTAAGACTAGTCTATGTTTGTTACAGAAAACAATATTTGTTTGAATATTTTTGTAGAAAACTTTGCTTTCTACATTTGTCAAAGGAAGTCCATTTTACCCACTAGCTTTAGTGACAGTTAACCCACTATAATGTCAAGTTCCAGCTCTAATTAACTCAATCTGTATAAATGGCTTATGAAATACAGATTAAGATCTGTCCTCCCTGTTAATGTGTTTCCAAGTAAGATGTGAATCTAACAGAGTTAATTAAGATTTTGGCAAACTTCTTCCAGAAAGTGTCCTCTCCCCAGCTCAGGTAGGTGCCTCTTCTCTGAGCCCACCTTGCAGTCACTGCCTACTACCCTAGGGCCTCGTAATTACTCCATTTCACTGGTTTGGGTGCACACATCTGCCCCCTGGCTGGGTTGTCAGCTTCTGGATGGAGCTTTGTCTTGTTCCTTTTCATGTTTCCATTCAGTAATGAATGAACAAATCCACATTTATTACTCATTTTAAAATGCATGTGAGCACCTTTTCCTGCATAGCCACATGTCACAGTGTTGTAAATGCTACCCATTTCTTCTCACAGCATACTGGAAAAATACGGAGTCAATGGCCACCATTCAATCAAAGGTACGCTTTTGTTTCTTTCAACACTCAGTCAAGACCAAGCAGCATATTTTTGACCATAAATATTCCCCATCAATAAAGCAATGAATGGACTAGCATTGGGGGCAACCTCTTTCATTGCCTAGTAGCATACCCCAGCTTCCTGTTTCAGCTGATGCTTTCTTGGTCGCTTTGTAAATGCACCTTTCCCAACCTAGCCATAGCTCGAAAGTCACTTTTTCCAAAACAAACAAAAATCTCTTCTCCTGGAGCATGTATTTTCAGTTAAAAAAAAAAAAAAGTCATCGATCACTTTTTGTTACTATACACGTGTCAAGAGCTGATTCATACATCAACATCAGGGTTTTTTTTCCAATTGTATTACTGTATCTTAGTCCACATACTTGACAGTGAATAACTCAGAAGACATTACCACTTTACCAAGGCTATTTAATAAAGCAATTTTGCAAATTGCATTCTGCTTTCTTTGTGAGCATGATGCACATCACCTTTGAGGACATCCTCTGAACACATCACCTTTGTGACTAGTTTTTCAAACTTTTCAATAGTGTGAGTCATAGCTGTTTCTTGAATGATGCCACTATGGTACAAAAGTGTACAGCAGTCAAAAGAGTGTGTGTGGGAAGCAGGCCTCTTAGGTTCAAATCCCAGCTCTGGTGTTTACCGTGTGTGACCTCTGCCAAGGTCCTTAACCACTCAGTGGCTTTAGCTCCCTTATCTATTAAATGGAAATAATAATGGACACTCATTCACAAGGTTCTTGTAATGACTTAGTTAAATAACCAGAATAGTAAAGTATCCAGAGTAGTGCCTATCACTCAGGAAATACTAGCTACCATATCAGTAGGTTTTGTGTTTTCTTTCTTTTCTCTTTTCTTTTTCCTTCCTTCCTTCTTCCTTCCTTCCTCCCTCCCTTCCCCCCTCTCCCTCCCCCTTCCCTCCTTCCTTCCTTCTTTCCTTCCTTCCTCCCTCCCTCTCTTCCCCCCTCCCCCTCCCCCTTCCCTCCTTCCTTCTTTTCTTTTTTAAGGACAAAAGTAATCAATTTTATATGAGAAATAATTATTTTGCTTTTAGTCTTAGAAATAAAACACTTGATTGGTTTTACAAAGAAGTCAGAGTGCTTTGTTTAGAAATCATATGAAAGCCCCCATCACTTCATGTCTCTATCTGACAGTTTCCTAACAAATAAAACATTAGGCAAATGAATGACAAAACCAATAAAATCCAATTTTCAGATAATGATTCTATTCATACTTTTTCTTTTGGCTGGTTTACAAAATTATCGTACTCACTGAAAATGATTACACTATATTAATCTTTGAGTCTACTTATAATTAACAGTTATTATATTATTCTCAGTTTCAGAATTTACTATTTTCATTATATGTTTATGCTTTAATGAGCCACTTTTAATCCTTCACAAGATCTTTCTTGTGATAAGGGAGCTAAAGCCATAATATAATCCAATAATAAAAAATGCAAAATGCAAATTTAACAAATAAATATAAGAACATATAAATAATATGAAATTGTTAATTTAGACAAACTAAAGACGCCACTCCTTGCCATACATAAGCCACATTTATTTTATTTTAATTTTAATTTTTTTCAAGACAAGTCTTGCTCTGTCGCCCAGGTTGGAGTGCAGTGGTACCATCTTGGCTCACTGCAACCTCTGCCTCCGGGGTTCAAGCAATTCTCCTGCCTCAGCCTGAATAGCTGGGATTACAGGTTTGTGTCATCACGCCCGGCTAATTTTTGTATTTTTAGTAGAGATGGGGTTTCACCATGTTGGCCAGGCTGGTCTCGAACTCCCGACCTCGTGATCCCCCTGCCTCAGTCTCCAAATAAGCACTGGGATTACAGGCATGATCCACCGTGCCCAGCCCATAAGCCACCTTTAAAACATTCAATTTTTAAAGATGAAATGATATGTCACTGAAAATCATAATTAATATTACATATCAAGTTTCTGAAATATATGGGAACAAAACTCCCAAATGACAGAGATAACTGTCAGACTGCCAGGAACCACTCACTGCCTTAGGTGTTGATGCTGCCCTTTGATAAAGATGAGTGTGCTCCTTTCTCAATGCTGTCTCAGCTCTGGGGGTGGCCACGCCTATCCCTAACCATCTGTGAAAAGATAGTTTCCAGTCAACTGGGAACAATGAACAGAAACTATTAATTATTAATTTTATATGGTATGATAACAGTATGAAGTCCTTATCTATAAAGTCCTTATCTGTAGATTGGTATTTAAGGGTGACAAAAGATATCTGGGATGTTCTTTAAAAACTTCAACCAAACCAAAACAAACATACATAAAAGCATGAGGTGGGAATTAGATAAAATAAGAATGACAAAATATTGTTAATTGTTGAATCTGGGTGATGGAAACATGGAGATTCATTAAACTGTTCTTCCTATTTTTGTGAATATTTGCAATTTTCCATAATAAAAATATTAAAAAATAACATATACCTTATTTCACATTATACTCACAAAAAATCACTGTACACCAGGCCCTAAAGTAAACCTCAATAAATTCCAGAAAGTAGAAATGGAACATTTAACATTCTGTGATCATAAAGCAGTGAAACTAAAAAATTAAGAACAAAATTAGAAAAGTAAAGAAAATACACACACAAAACATGTATCACCTGGAAATGATTTAAAAAAATTTTTTTAAACAACTTTCAGGGAAAGAGAAAATGTAAACATAAAAAATAATTAAATAATAATATATCAGGTCCTACAGATCAGCAGTCTCCAACTTTTTGGCACCAAGGACCAATTTCATGGAAGACAGTTTTTCTATGGACTGGGAGGTGGTAGGGGATGGTTTCGGGATGAAACTGTTCCATCAGATCATCAGGCATTAGATTCTCATAAGGAGTGTACAACCTAGATCCCCTGCATGGGCATTTCACACACAACAGGGTTCCTGCTCCTATGAGAATCCAATGCCGCTGCTGATCTGATAGGCCGCGGAGCTTGCTTGCCCTCTGCTCATCTCCTGCTGTGGGGCCCAGTTCCTAACAGGCCACGGACCAGTACCAGTCCGTGGCACAAGGGTTGGGGACCCCTGCTACAGATACAGCAGAAGCAGATCCACAAAAAATTTCACAGTTCATTACTAATAAATGTGAAAGAAAAAACTGAACGAAGTGTTCAACTCCAGAAGTTGGAGAAAGATAAACTGATTGCCTCTGCTCTTTATATTCCAAAAAGGAGAGGAATTGATGAAGATAAAAAAATTAACAAATTAGAAATCAGAAAATGGGCTGGGCACGGTGGCTTACACCTGTAATCCCAGCATTTTGGGAGGCCAAAGCAGGTGGATCACTTGAGGTCAGGAGTTCGAGACCAGCCTGGCCAACATGGTGAAACCCTGTTTCTACTAAAAATACAAAAATTAGCCAGGTATGGTGGTGTGCGCCTGTAATACCAGCTACTTGGGAGGCTGAGGCAGGAGAATCGCTTGAACCCAGGAGGTGGAGGTTGCAGTGAGCTGAGATCACGCCATTGTACTCCAGCTTGGATGACAGAGTAAGACTCCATCTCAAAAAAAAAAAAAAAAGAAAAAAGAAAATAGTAGAATAAATAAATCAGAGGTGATTTTTTGAGGAAAAAATAATACAATACATCATTAACTAAAGCTGATAAAGAAAAAAGATAATAAGCATAAATGAAATTCACAAAATAAGAAATGGTAAGAGGGAATGACTACAGATTCAAAGGAAATGAGAAGAAAATGTAAGAGACTACTTCGTTCAATTCTGTTCAATTAAATTAGAGAATCTGAATGATTTTCTAGGAAAATATAAATTACCAAAATTAATCCCACAAAATAAAAACAGATCAATTATCACAAAGAACTAGAGTAAGCTGTTGAAGAGGTACACTCCAACAAATACCCCCTTCCAGATGGCTTCACAAGGGAGTTTAACCTCAAAAGATTAACTCCAAGGCTATTTAGACTGTTCCAAAATACAGACAAAAAAAGAAAAGTGTCCATTTTATCTTGTTAGGTAAACATCATATTGCTATCAAATTGGTTAGAATTCTCTGTATTGATAATTCAAGAGAAAAAAATGACATAAGCATCTTGATATCTGTTGAAAAGTAATTTGATATAATTCATCTATTCTTGATTTTTAAGGTACATTACTCTTTTTAAAATTTATTTCATTTTTTTTTAGAGACAGGGTCACACTCTGTCACTTAAGCTGAAGTTCGGTGGCGCAATCATGTCTTACTATAGCCTAGAACTCCTGGGCTCAAGTGATCTTCCTGCCTCAGGCTTCTGAGTAGCTGGGACTACAGGTGTGCTCCACTATGCTCAGTTAATATTTTATTTTTATTTTTGTAGAGATGGGGTTTCGCTGTGTTGCCCAGGCTGGTCTCGAACTCCTGGCCTCAAGTAATAGTCCAGCTTTGGCTTCCCAAAGTGCTAGGATTACAGGGGTGAACCCCCATGCCCTGCCAAAGTACAGTACTCTTAACACAACTGGAATAGATGACTACCTTAGCATGTCTGCATGTTCAAATGTATCTATGTCAACCAGTATCAATCAAAAGTAGAAACCACTAGAAACATTTCCCTTAAGTGCAGGAATATTTCAAGGCTGTCTAACATCATTGCTTAAGGAAAGCTCACAAGCAGGCTACACAGCAGCCTGGCTCCTCCCCATAACATGCCTGCCAGTTTGAGGACAGTGGCCCAGGAGAAGTACAGCTAATCCTGATATAAGAACAGAAAAAAATTTTCCCATGAACCAGCACAAAAATGATGCTGAGTTTTACATGCTTCTGTTATTTCCTTTCCCACTATTATACTTGTGTGCATATATGTACGTGGTGTGCCTGTTATTTGTATATACATTATGCCTGCACTGATTTATTGATAAAATCACATACCCTATTTTTGAATATTTTCATAATATTAGTTTGCTAGGGGAATGTCAAATGTTTATTATTTTGAATTAAGAAAAGATCCCTAACTACCCTATAATTCCACTTTGAATTCCACATAAAATTAGAAACAATCATATAATTTTAGCCTATATCTTGAATATTTTATTTCACTAGCTTGAGGCTTTTTTTTCCCTGTTCTTGGCTTTATCTTTTTCATATCTTTTTCTCTTTCACGTCTTTCCACAGACTTTCTTCTCCACTCATTCCTTTGTCCCTCCTCGCCCCCCAGTGCTATTCTGCTTTTGGAATTGCATCAATTTTGCAATGATTTAATAATCAAATTACTATCATCCTCTAATTAGGAATCTACCAGATAGGCAAAAATACATTCTGGGGACTGAATGCATCTGAATATTTATAGCAAGTATTTCTATTATTTCCTATAAAGACATGTCTGTAGTTTCACACAACTACAATGGAAGACTGCCAACTGACTTCAAATTCAAGCTTGACTGTGGACCCCACAGTTCACTGTATCATGGATGCTACAAGCTGCGAGCCACAATTAGGCCTGAAATAAAAACTGGAAAACTCATAGCATGGAACATGGAGCAGGTAAGGGGTAGCATAATTTAAATTTCCAAAGAGTTGACAGTTCTTGCTGCTGTAGAATTCATAAGCTGTAACTGTGATGCTAAGTTACCTACAAATTGCTCAGAGGAAAATGATTAGAGTCTTAAGATATTACCATTTTGAGAAATAA
Organism: Homo sapiens; assembly: GCF_000001405.40. Lineage (NCBI taxonomy): Eukaryota > Metazoa > Chordata > Mammalia > Primates > Hominidae > Homo > Homo sapiens. The sequence continues at coordinate 32,703,060 of NC_000017.11, forward strand.
TTTATATGTTTAGTAGCCTTCAGTGAGTGACAGAGGAAAGGCCTTGCCCTCTTAACTACACTGGAAGAGCTGTTTCCATTCCTAGAGCTACAATCAAAGCTATGCAATCTGAAATGGTCCAACTATGTGACACAGTGAGCAATTAAGATCTCTGTCTATAATTAATTATAGATGCCCTTTAAAAAAGGCCAAATCCCCCAAATAAAAACAATTCACAAAGGCACCTATTTGTGTTATAGGTGGGTCAAGAAATCTATTCTTTCAATTTATCTACCTGTCCAAATTTGTTGTTAATGGACACAAAAGACAAACTTTCTCAATTCTTTTCTATCTCCCTTTGAGAATCCATTCTTAACATAACTTTATATATAAATTTTGATCCCTTTTGCTTGTTTTTTTTTTTTGAGATAGGGGTCTTGCTATATTGCCAAGGGTGGTATTGAACTCCTGTGCTAAAGTGATCCTCCTGCCTTAGCCTCCTGGGTAGGTGAGATTACAGGTGCATGCTACCGTGCCTGGCTATTGACGATTTTGATCTTGCCCTATGATTCCCTAGAATGAGAACATAACTATAAACTATATATCTACCAAAAAAGAAAGGAAGTTTTTTGAAGGTTTTCATATCCCATTCCTCTTCCGAGACAACAAAATATTTTAGTCTGAATGGTTACAGAATATTAGAGGATTATAAATCTTTGTTATGCATTTGGTACATTGTTTTCATTAAAATTTGGCTAATTGTTAATTATTAGTTAAAAGTTAAAACTACAGTCTTCTTTCAGGATTTCCCCAGCCATGCAACAAATAAGTGTCCTATTTTCTGGGAATTAATGAATATGACACATAGAAGATGAATGATAAATCCCAAACCAGAAAGGCCCAGGTTGAAGAAGAAAAAAAGCTAAAATAACAAAATCAGTGTGGACAGATTTATCTCATAATACGCTAAATCACTGTATACTTCAACTCAGCTCCATCCACGTGTTTGCTGCTGAAATGACAACATAGTTTACTGATTTCTTAGCACCTCCTTTCTTAAAGCTGTAATTTTGAAAACTTATATAGTTTCTTCAGTGCCTTCTAGAAACACCATCTTAGTGATTTCTCATTCAAATGTGATATAAGGAACACACACACAAACTCAAATGTAGAGGGTATATGGGTAAGTGAATCAAATGTGCATTATGAAAGGTAGAGAAGAATGACCTTTATAAAAATCTCACTGGCTACATTGATTCATTTCTTTTAATGGGTATAGTATAACTGGGGCTTTTTATAAAACACATTTTTCAATATTCAGACAAAACATTCAGGTTTTCAGTCATTCACAAAGAGTGCTCTAAAAAATGAAAATAACCAGTGCATCAGTGAGACAAACTCCTTCCCACATTAGTTGGTGGGAACATAAATTGGTACAATCTTTCTAGGGGCCATTTGAAAATGGGTATAGAAAACCTTAACAGTGTACATCTTTTAAACCAACAATTTCGTGTCTGAGAATTTATTCCAACAAAATAATCAAGGATATTTAGAAATAGTCAATGGTAGTAGTAGCAGCACTAGTAGTAATAACAGCAGCTAACATTCACTGAATTGTTAGTACTTGTCAAGCACTGCTCTAGGTAAACGGGGATGTGCACTGTAATGAGACCTGTGAGAGTGAAGAATTGGAAACGCCTAAATGCCTGGTAATAGTAGACTGATTGAGGAAATGCAGATTGAGGAATCCTATGAAGGACTAAGTCAGCTATTACAAATATGCAATAAATGTGTAGAGAGTAAAGATATAACAAAAAAGTATTACACAACAGTGATGTAACAATTTAAATTTGCATTTAATATAAAATAACATATTTTAAATAATATAAAATTATATTTTTTCATTTTTCAACATGAACTTGTATTGCTATAAATTATCCACTATAAAATCAATAAAACAGTTTTTGCAATCTAGATGGTTATTTCTTTAAAAAAAGAGATCTTTCTACTCATTTCACAAATTCCTTACAATATCAAATACACGACTGAGTACTGTTGACCCTTAAACAGCACAGATTTGAACTACGTGGGTCCACTCATACAGATTTTTTTTTTTCACCCCAATGCAGATAGAAAATACAATATTCACAGGATGTGAAACCTGTGTATACAGCGGGCTGACTGTATACTAAGAGGAACAATATGCACTAAACAGATTATCTGTAATTCTTTTTTTTTTGAGATGGAGTCTCACTCTGTCCCCCAGGCTGGAGTGCAGTGGCACGATCTCAGCTCACTGCAAGCTCCACCTCCCAGGTTCACGCCATTCTCCTGTCTCAGCCTCCTGAGTAGCTGGGACTACAGGAGTCCACCACCATGCCCGGCTAATTTTTTGTACTTTTTTTTAGTAGAGACGGGGTTTCACCATGTTAGCCAGGATGGTCTAGAACTCCTGACCTCGTGATCCGCCCGCCTTGGCCTCCCAAAGTGCTGGGATTACAGGCATGGGCCACCACACGTGGCCGATTATCTGTAATTCTTGATACTGAGTAGTTAATGGTTTAGATGATGATAGTGGAAGACTATACATTTTTTTATGCATCGGAAAGTAACACAGTTTGTATCTCTCTAAGAACGATAAATTTTGGAGGTTCTGGTTTTAGTTAATGATATGGTTTGGCTGTGTCCCCACCCAAATCTCATCTTGAATTGTAGCTCCCATAATTCCCACATGTTGTGGGAGGGACCCAAGTGGGAGGTAATTGAGTCATAGGGGCAGTTTCCCCCATACTGTTCTCATGGTAGTGAATAAGTCTCATGAGATCTGATGGTTTTATAAGAGAAAATCTGTTTCACTTGGCTCTCATCTCTCTCTTTGCCGGCCACCATGTTAAGACATGCCTTTCACCTTCTGCCATGATTGTGAGGCCTCCCAAGTCATGTGGAACTGTGAGTCAATTAAACCTCTTTCCTTTATAAATTACCCAGTCTTGGGTATGTCTTTATTAGCAGCATGAGAACAGACTAATACAGTCAACATTCTTGACTGAACCTTCTACAACTTACCAATAAATCTCTAATTTTTTGGAGACAGAGTCTCACTCTGTCATCCAGGCTGGAGTGCAGTGGCACAATCTCAGGTCACTGCAACTTCTGCCTCCAGGTTCAAGCAATTCTCGTTCTTCAGCCTCCTGAGTAGCTGGGATTATAGGTGCACGCTACCACAGCAGGTTAATTTTTGTATTTTTAGTAGAGATGGGGTTTTGCCATAGTTGGCCAGGCTGGTTTTGAACTCCTGGCCTCAAGTGATCTGCCCACCTCAGCCTCCCAAAGTGCTGGGATTATAGGCATGAGCCATTGCACCTGGCCTAAATCTCTATTATGGCACAGAAAAGGTATGAAAATACACTTAAAGCCAGGTTCTCAGATATTAAAATCTATTATGCTGTACTATAACAAAAACAGCATGGTACTGCCATAGGAATTGACTGTAGAATAAAATGGTGAGTCCTGAAATACATTCATGAATGTATGGAAGATTAACACTGAACAAAGGTGGAATTTCAATTTAGTGGAAAAAATAGAAATGTTTAAATAAAATTAAAACAGCTAGTTATTCGCCTGGGACAAAATCATGTACAAAAATAAATTCCAGATCTATACATTTTTTTTTGTTAAGATGGAGTCTCACTCTGTTGCCCAGGCTGGAGTGTAGTGGCGCGATCTCAGCTCACTGCAAGCTCCGCCTCCCGGGTTCACGCCATTCTCCTGTTTCAGCCTCCTGAGTAGCTGGGACTATAGGCACCTGCCACCATGCCTGGCTAATTTTTTGTATTTTTAGTAGAGACGGGGTTTCACCGTGTTAGCCAGGATGGGCCCGATCTCCTGACCTTGTGATCCACCCGCCTCGGCCCCCCAAAGTGCTGGGATTACAGGTGTGAGCCACTGCGCCCAGCCTCCCAGATCCATAATTTTTTTTTTAAGAAACCCAGATGCTATGAAGAAAAAGACAAATTTCATTATATTGAGAGTGAAAATTTTCACATCGAAGAGTTTACGATTAACAGAGTCAAATGACAACTCTAACAAAAATAACTGTAATACATAATATTAATGCATATTATATACAGATAGCTCCCACAAATTCATAGGAAAAGGATGAACAACCCAATATAAAAATGGGCCAAGAATATCAATAAGTCACAAGAGAGGCAATCCAAAAAGCCAATAAGCACACACTCAAGGGTAGTCATGGAAATTAAAAAATGTAGAAATAAGGTATTATTTCTTATTGATCAGAAGGGAAAAAATTAAAAAGCCTGGTAAAAGCCACTGTGGTCAAAAATTTAGAGAAAAGAGTTCACTTGCATTGTGGGTTGAAATATGATTTCTTAAGATTAAAACCATATATACTCTTCAACTTAACAATCTCACTCCTGGGAATTCAGCGCATAGAAATGAAGGCACCAGTATGGAAGGCTACATGTATAAAGATGTCTATTAAAGTTTAGGGAAGACTAATGGGGGTCCCCATAAAAGAGTTTACATAGCAGGCCTGAGACTACTATGCTTACAGTGGTCTGTCTGTTGGTCCTTGGCTGGTGTCTGGGAACTTGCTGGTCAACAGCTCCCTACGTTGATACAAAACTTTCCCTAAGTAATAAGATTGGTTTACTGTGTTTAAACTATGTTTATACAAATAATGTAGATTGTGCTGAATATCTGATTTCCCTTCTGAGAATCTGGAATTTTGGTACATGATAGGCAGAAGGTGCCTAATGACCAGTTCCTGGTAAAAACTTTTGAGTACTGAGTCTCTAAGGAGCTCCCCTGGTAGACAACACTTGGCATGTGTTGACACAGCTCATTGCTGGAGGAATTGAGTGCATCTGGTGCCACTCTACTGGGAGAAGACTCTTGGAAGCCTGCTCCTGGTTTCCTCTGGATCTCACTCCTTGTGCATTTTCCCTTTGCTGATTTTGCTTTGATCCTCTCGCTGTAATAAATTCTACTCATCAGTACAACACTATGCTGAGTCCTGTGAATCCTTCTAGTGAATCATCAAAACAGGATAGTCTTGAGGACTCTCGACATAGGGGGTGAGAAGAAATGTGGGCAGAGAGGAAAAATGTGGGGAAAAAAGATAGTACAAAGTACTGCAGAAAAAGATAAAGTTGATCATAGAAATACACTCATATGAACTATGATCTTCTTTATATTATTTTAGATATGTTTGTCTATATGCACAGAAAGATATCAAAAAGGATGGCCACCACAATGTTAATGATGTTACTTCTGGATGGTGGGGTTTTAGGTGACTTTTTCACATTTTCCCTTATATTTTTTGTATGCTTTAAATTTGTTCTTACAATGAGCATAATTTATTTATATTATCAGTATAGCTATTTTTATTTTAAAAGGAAATAAAAATCAATTGTTGGAGATTCTTGTTTAAAATAACAGCTCCTGATACTGTCTCTCCTAACTTCCCATTAAATTTCTATAAGGATACAGAAAAAGTAAAAACACACATCACATGGTTAGGTGACTGATGACCCATTCCGAAAAGCCCAGAGAAATTTCCTCCAATTTTATGGCCTGTGGAGTTGATCCAAAAAAACATAATCAGTAGGTCGCACATAAGATACCCTGGAATGGTCTTCTTGAGCATAGGGAAGGAGACCCTTATATTCCCTACTCCACTGCCTCATGGTGAAGAAATGCGAGATCTGTCTCACAGAGAAGACTGGACAGCTTTCCCTTCACTGCATATGTGATAATTTTTGAAGCCACTGTCCCTTCTCTTTTAGAATCTCTTTCCTAGACAGAGACTAATTTCTCACCAGAAAAAAAGCAGAGGTAGGGACTGGTAATGGCACCCTGCATTTCTAGAAGCACAGTGCTGTCAGAGAGAACCAGGAAAGGAAGAAGCCTAGTGGCTGCAGCCCTAGTAGCACACCTGGAATTACATCTTTTTATATATGAGCTGGGCTCATCTTTGGCTAGCAGAGCTGCCACAGACTGAAGTCTGTGGGACACTGACAATTGTGAAGGAAGTAAACAAACTATCGCTGTAGATTTAAAAAGAGGAATCTACCGGGCACCATGTAGAAAGAAAGTGAGTTCCAGGGTAGAGTGATTATGTAGTTTATCCATACTGGAACACTTTGAGAGTAAAAGGGGTACTATTAATAGTCACAACAGGCAATTGCCATAAACCAGGACTGTCCTAAGCAAACTGAGAGGTATGGTCACCCTGGTTCAGAGTCTAACTCTGAGCTTGAATCAATCAATCTCTTGAATAGGTAGAAAGAAAAAAAGACATAGTAACAGATCTGGGGGCAGAGGAATCTACCAAAAAAACCCTAAAAACAAGCCTACAGGTAAGTACTTGAGATCCAAGGGTAAGGACTCCAGGACTTGAAGACAGAGAAGAACAGATACTTGAAAATAATTTACTATGGCAGAAAACAGAGATCCAACAGAAACATTTACAAGCATTCTTGAGAAATAGAACTGAATGAAAGCAACATTAAAAAAAAATTAATAGAAGGAAAATGTTTTGGGATGAAACAGAATTTAGTATTCCAGTCCAAATGTTTTCCTGAGCTCTAGGCAAAATAAATAAAAAGAAACCAACACTTAGAAACATCTTGGCAACTGGAAGAAAAAATTCATTATTTATACATGATATAATTATTTACCTAGGAAAGCCAACAGAATCAACAAATATAAATCAAGAAAGGTTTTGTTCTAGATTTAGATAAAGCAACATAAATCAATATTATTTCTCTGTACTAACACTGCCATGTAGGAAACATAATAAAAAAATTCACCCCAGCAACAAAAATAATAAAGTATCTAGGAATTAACCATGAATTCATAGGGCCTAAGTCTAAAGTTCAATAAAGATGATTTAAGTAAACCTATATTACACTCTTAATAAGATGATTTAATATTGTAGAAATGTTAATCATTTCAAATTAATCTATATTCAGTTCAATCCTAATAAAAATTATTGAATTTAATAAACTTATGCACTTAAAATGTATACTGCAGAATAAAGGTCTATGTATAGGTTAATCAACCTTAATAAAGAAGTAGAAAAGATAAACTAACCCTCTAACACACTAATATATATAATAAAAGCTGTGTTGCATTAGTGCAAAAACAGGCAAATAGAAAAATGGAACAGAATAGAGCACACAGAGACAGGATGTGTGTGTAAGTGTGAATAAAACTATTCCCTATCTACATACAGGAACTTAATATATAATAAAAGTGGCACTGCAAATCAATGGGAAAAGGGCAGATTGCTTAGTAGATGATATTGAGAAAACTTTCTCACCATATGGAGAAAAATAAAACTAGTTTCCTATATAAAACCATGTATGAAGGTGGATTCTAAATGAATTAAAGACCTAAATGTGAAAGGTAAAACCATACAGTTCATAGAAGAAAATACAGAATATCTTTGTGACTGAGAGACATGAAAAGCCTTCTTAAAGAAAATTCCAAATCACTAACTATAAGGCAAAATATTGAAGACTTTGATTATGTCAAAATTAAGAATTCGGTCCACAAAGCATCTTATGGATAAAGTTCATTAGAATGCTTACAGAATAGGAGAATATATAACATCTAAAGTAAATAAGAGGTTAATGTTTGGAATATTGAAGGCATTTCTGCTAATCAACAAGAAAGTACCAGCTCGAGTAGAAAAACAAAGTATGAATAGACAGTTTACAGGAAAATACAGCAAGCAAAGAAGCATTTAATGAGATAATCAAACTCAAAGGTAATCAGAGAAATACAAAGTAAAACAACAATGAGATATCATTCTATCTATTAATCTGACAAAATTTAGGTAGCTGGAAGATACTGGTAGGGATATGGCACATAGTAACCCTCATATACAGCTGTTGGCGGTGCAAACTGGCTCATGCAAGATAACCTGGCACTATTTATATCAATTAGGTATACACATGCCCTATGACCCAGCAACTTTTCACCTAGGTATATATCCCAAGGACATCCTCACAGAGGTATATGATTTTTCATATAGCTCTACAATTTTTTGCATTATTTTAGTTCATATGGAAGATATGGGAAAGGGTATGGGGGATACAAAGAAATACATGAATTAGTGAATGAAATGAGAAGGGGCCTTGCACAGATCAATGATGACAGGTACAGCACCATCAACTAACGAGCATTGAGTCAGCACTGAGGTCAAGTGGTGGTGAGTAGGTAATGATAGGTGAAGGAGGCAATTTCAAACATGTTGGCAACATTTTTTACTTACAAGATTTAAAAGTCCTTTACGCAGCCGGGCGTGGTGGCTCACGCCTGTAATCCCAGCACTTTGGGAGGCCGAGGTGGGCAGATCACGAGGTCACGAGTTCGAGACCAGCCTGACCAACATGGTGAAACCCTATCTCTACTAAAAACACAAAAATTAGCCAGGTGTGGTGGTGTGCGCCTGTAATCCCAGCTACTCGGGAGGCTGAGGCAGGAGAATCACTTGAACCCTGGAGGTGGAGGTGGCAGTAAGCCAAGATTGTGCCACTGCACTCCAGCCTAGGTGACATAGTGAGACTCCGTCTCGGGGGGGAAAAAAAAAGTCCTTTATGCATTTAAGCTGAAGGAAAAAACACAGTTAACAGTAAAGGACAGAAAGACTGGTTCAGACATCTCTCCAACTTTAAAAACAAAATATCTTCAGAGTTTTGAAGATAAAATAATTTTGAACTTGGGCAAAAATAATTTTGAACTGGGGCAACCAAGTAAGTTTTCCATGTGTGAAGGCAACAGAAAACATTTTAAGATATGCATAGACATAAAACAACATATCTTCCAGGAATATTTCTTGAATTAAAGAAAATATGCAACAAATTTTTAAGAACTTAAAAGCAAAATCTTATCCTTATATATAAAATATAAAATTACCTTTTGTAGAAAGAGGACAATCCTTATGAGCATCTGGGCACGGAGTTCTTCCAAGGTAAACAATGTTCGGGGTGTTCGAATGAAAATTTTGGTCTTCCCATAAGCTACATCATCCTGAAAACCACACCGTTCAATTAGTTTCTTGACAGCCTCTTTGTCTGAAGGAAGGTCATGGTTGGGCCAGGTGAATTCAGAGATCATCTTATACCTGGATGAAAAAAAGAAACAGGGTTAAGGGAGAAAACCATATGGTCATCTCAATAGAAAACTATTCAATAAAATGCAAGACACCTCATAGAAAACCAAATCTTAGCAAACTATCAATAGAATTTCATTAGCCTCATAAGGTATGCAAAAAAGGCTTCAGTAAAATAAAACACTTTAAGATAACAACTCTTACTAAACTAGGTATAGAAGGGACTTCCTCAAGCTCATACAGTCTATTTGCCAAAATCCTACGGCAAATATTGTTCATAAAGGGGTAACCTTAGAAACATTCTTTTTACAAACAGATACAAGAGAAGGGTGGCTCTGTCATGGGTCCTGCTCGGCATTGCTCTGGAGGTCTAGTCGACATAGTGAGACCAAGACATAATTGGTAAATGACTGACAGAAAAACAAAATGGATACTACTTATGTATAATGTAACTTTCCTCAAAGGAAATCAAGCAGATCTCTAGATAAAAAAACTATTATAACTAAAAGAAAATTAAGCAGTGTTGCTGCACATAAGAGCAACACACAAAAATTAATTGCATTTCTACATACGAGCAGTCAACAGCTCCTTGTCATGTGGGCCTCTCATTAAGGCAGCTCACCACACAGCGGCTTGCTTCATGAGTGTGAGTGTGAACAAGACAGAAGTCACAGAGTCACAGTCTTTTGTGGTCTAATCTCAAAAGTGACATCCTATCACTTTTGCCATATTCTACTTTGTCAGAAGCAAATCACTAGGTCTAGCCTACACTCACAGGAAGGGGATTACACAGGGCATGGATACCAGGAGGTAGAGGGCATCTTAGAAGGCTATCACAGAGCTTTTTCCATCATGCAAAGTTGTTTAACACATGTAGTCAAATTTAGTTTTTTTCTTATATTACATCTAAATTTTAAGTCATTGTATGAAAAGCTTTCTTCACTTGGGTTATAGAGTAATGCATTTATGTTTTCTTCTAGTACTTGTATGTTTTCATTTTTCACATTTAGATTTCTGATCATTTAGAGGGTTTTTTTGGTATATGGTGTGAGGTATGGATCTAATTTTATCTTTTAACAAATGGCTGTCTAGCTGTTCCAACACTATTAAAAAGTCCATCTTTCCCCTCTGTGATTAACATGCTGCCTTTATCATATGTGCTTCAGTTTATTTCTGGACTTTCTGGTCTGTTTCATTGCTGTGTCTGTCCATCTGTGCATCACTACCACATGGTTTTAATTATAGAGGATACAAGTACATTTTAATGTTTTTCCTAATTCTTTTCTTTTTTAAAGGTCTTTCTAGTTATTCTGGCACACATATTTTTCCAAATGAACTTCAGAATCAAGTTTTACAGTTCCAGGCAAAAAAACCAGAATTCAGTGAATAAACAATTTTTAAAGACCCAAAGCACCCTTGATAGATTTAGTGAGTTGGAACATTAAATACATTATTATTATTATTATTTTGACACAGAGTCTCGCTCTATCTATGAGTGCAGTGGTGCGATCTCAGCTCACTGCAACCCCCGCCTCCCGGTCCAAGTGATTCTCCTGCCTCAGCCTCCTGAGCAGTTGGGATTACAGGCAACTACCAAGCCCAGCTAATTTTTTTGTTAACAGTAGAGATGGGGTTTTACCATGTTGGCCAGGCTGGTCTTGAACTCCTGACCTCAAGTGATCTGCCCGCCTTGGCCTCTCAAAATGCTGGGATTATAGGCAAGAGCCACTGCACTCAGTGAATCCATTAATTTTTATATGGTGTTGAGTTGTCCTATTCAAGAACAAGAGATGTTTTCCCACTTGATCTAGTCTGCTTTGTGCCTTACATGAATCTTTAAAGTTTTCTCATATGTCTTTTCTTTCTTTTTTTTTTTTAATAATTATTTTATTTTTAAGTTCTGAGGTACATGTGTAGGATGTGCAGGTTTGTTACATAGGCAAATGTGTGCCATGGTGGTTTGCTGTACAAATCAGCCCATTACCTAGGTATTAAGCCCAGCATCCATTAGCTATTCTTCCTGATGATCTCCATTCTCCCACCCCCACCCCAACAGGCCCCAGTGTGTGTTATTCACCCCGATATGTCCACGTGTTCTCATTGTTCAGCTCCCACTTATAAGTGAGAACATGTGCGGTTTGGTTTTCTGTTCCTCTGTTAGTCTGCTGAGGATAGTGGCTTCCAGCTCCATCCATGTCCCTGCAAAGGGCATTACCTCTTTCCTTTTTATGGCTGCATAGTATTCCATGGTGTGTATGTACCACATTTTCTTTATCTAGTCTATCATTTCATTGATGGGCATTTGGGTTGATTCCATGTCTTTGCTATTGTGAATAGTGCTGCAATGAACATACCTGTGCATGTATCCACAAAAACAAGCAATGGGGAAAGGATTCCCTATTTAATAAATGATGCTGGGAGAACTGGCTAGCCATATGCAGAAAATTGAAATTGGATCCCTTTCTTATACCTTATACAAAAACTAACTCAAGGTGGATTAAAGACTTAAATGTAAAACCCAAAACCATAAAAACCCCACAAGAAAATCTAGGCAATACCATTCAGGATACAGGCATGGGCAAAGACTTCATGATGAAATCACCAAAAGTAATTGCAAAAAAAGCAAAAATGACAAATTAAACTAAAGAGCTTCTACACAACAAACGAAATTATCATCAGAGTGAACAGACAACTTACAGAATGGGAGAGAATTTTTGCAATCTATCCATCTGATAAAGGACTAATATCCAGAATCTAAAAGGAAATTAAGCAAATGTACAAGAAAAAAAAAATCAAACAACCCCATTAAAAAGTGGGCAAAGGATATAAACAGACACTTCTCAAAAAAAGACATACATGCGGCCAACATATGAAAAATAGCTCAACATCACTGATCATTAGAGAAATGCAAATCAAAACCACAATGAGATAACATCTCACGTCAGTCAGAATGGCAATTAGTAAAAAGTCAAGAAACAACAAATGCTGGCAAGGTTGCAGAGAAACAGGAACACTTTTATACTATTGGTGGGAATGTAAATTAGTTCAACCATTGTGGAAGACAGTGTGGTGATTCCTCAAAGATTTTGAACCCGAAATGCCATTTGACCCAGCAATCCCCTTACTGGGTATATACCCAAAGGAATATAAATCATTCACAGGGCTTTTCATATTTCTTGTTAAGATAGTAGATATGTAGGAAGCATCTGTTAATTACTCCCTAATTACAGTTAATTACTTCCTTCTTCTTGACATATCTCTTTTCTTAGATTCCATGACAGCATGCTCTCCTTCTGCCTCCCTGGATATATCTTGTCAATCTGATTTTCTGGCTACTCTGGCTACTACTATACCCCCAAATGCAGGCGTGTCCCAAGCCTAAGACCTGGACTTCTTTCTATGTATTCTCTCCCCACATTACCTCATCTAGTCCACTTACTTTTAATAAAACATTCCAAATATAAAAACAAAAATATGTATATTTTATAAGTATATAAAATATAAACATATATTTTCAATTTGTGTGTTATCCCTAGTCTAGCCCTCAGTTATGAGCTTCAGATTTATATATCCAATGTCTATACAGGTCTTGAAGGCATCTTAATTACTCCTTCAGTCTTTCCTACCTCAATCTACCCAGTTACTAAAGCCAGGATCCTGAGAATATTTTTATTCTTTCCCTGCCCTATCATGATTTCTAATCCATCATCAAGTTCTATTGACTCTACCTCCAAAATATATTTAACAATTCTCCTCATCTTTATTGCTTCAATTCAAAGGCAAGCCACCTTCTAGTTTACAACAGACTCCTAAATTATTTTCCATTTCCTTTCCAATCCATTCTGCATACATCAGTCAGAGTAGTTTTCTAAAAAGCTTGAAATCATTTTTGTCTTTGGCTGCTTTCCTTCCTCACTATCCATCAATCATGTTAACTTCTTTGGGGTTCTGTAATGCGGTTGCCTCCTTCCTACTTCAGGGTCTTTGCACATGCTGTTCCCACTGCCCGGAATGCATTTTATCTAGTCCTTGAAAGTCTGGCTCCTTCTCATCCTTTAGTCTTTTCTTGATCTTTGTATATCAACAAACCCTCTACCCCCAATATTCTCTCTAAGGCAACTAGTTTTATTTATTCTTTTCTCACATGATTTATCACAACTTGTAATCATACTGATTTGTGGGTTTATCTGCTTAATGTCAGTCTCCCTCCCTAGTCTGTGGCTAATATGAAGGCAGGGACTTTGTTTTGTTCCCCACTATATACCATGTGCCTATCATGTTGCCTGCCATACTATGAGGCAATAGATATTTGCAGAATGAATGAAAAGAAATCATTTAAAGCCTACTCACTTGCTAGATGGGGGCAGAGATCAAAGCCAAATGAAAAAGTTTTAATATAAAGACAGAGGTAATACCAAACAATGTCACATGAAAAAAAGTGAAATCAGAAACCTCTCAAATTTGTTACACCAAACTATAGTAGGGGTCTACATCTGGGTCATCATATGGGTAGTGCTGGTGTTGTTTGTTTCAGGCACGCTTCAGAAACTGGATTGCTATCCTACAGCCCCACTGCTCAGCTCCCATGGCAGGCAAGAGGCACTCTGCCTTCTTTCATGCCAGCAAACTGCATGACCCTGGTTCTCTGGCAAACCAGCAATCTGAACTTGCTAATTAAAAAGTTGAACTCATCTGCTTTCTGACAAGGAGTTTTACCTCCCTAAAGGACTTTAGTAGCTTTTAAGGTTATCAGCATGTTTTAAATCCTTCTCTCTTTTCTCAGTAAAATAAATGAAAATGAAGAAAAGTCACAAGCAAAAATTCAGGTTCAAACCTAAACTACTTGCAAAAAATCTGCAGAATCTAAAAGCAAAAATTCACTGTAGAAAATATTATCTTTTCTCTCATCATCACTGGATGAGCCACATAAAAGGGGAATAATGTATACTCCTCAAGTGGTTGTCAGTTCCAGTGACTTCCTATATGTGAAATGTTTAAATCAGTATCTAGTACATCCAGTAAACATTTCAAAATATTCACAACTATTATTATAACTCACTTGAAAATTTCAACACATAATTCTTTTCCTGTCTAGTTAATCACGGTCTATAATATCCTTTCCATAAATAGGACAAAATCTTTAATTATCTCTACTTCTCACTCCCATTTTAATTTTTGTTCCAGATTATCACTAAAGACTTCTTCCCCACCCTTACAATCAGTACTTGTTTAGATTTAACAAAAAGTTTTACAGATTTCTTTGCTCAATGTTGCTTTTTTGCATATATCCTGCCACATGTTTCCTTTCTGCATTCATCTTTCTTTTTGCTGAAGTATATCCTCTAGAAGATTTTTCAGAGGGTCTATGAGTAATAAACTTTCTCAAACTAGGTATGCCAGAAAATGCTGTTTATTTTACTCACACTCTTGAATGGTATTTTGACACAGAATACAATTCTAGGCATGAAAGCCCTTTCCTTACACTGTGAAGGCATTTTGCTCCTTCGTCTACTTGATCAAACGTTCATGAGGAACCAGATGTCAGCGTGATTCTCACTCCCCAAAGGCAGTTTGTCTTTTTTTCTTGGGAGCTATAATTATTTTTCTTTAACATTCTAAAAGTGAACAAATGTATTTTTAAGTTTTTAAAAAATTCTTATGCTTGACAATCAGTGTATCCTTTTAATCTGAAGATTCGTCTTTTTTCAGTTCATGCAAATCCCTGGCCACTGTTCGAATAGTGCCTCTCCCCTATTCTTGGTGTTCTTTCCTCTAGTCCTTCTGTTACATGGGTTTTGCTGCTCCTGGATCAACCTTACATGCGGCTAGACCTTTGTTTAATACTTCCCATCTTTTTTTCTTTGTGATGAGATCTGGAACAAGACTTCAGCTTGATCCTCTGGCCCACTAATTTACTTTTTAAAAAAGTTTAGTTTTTAAAAAACATTTTAAAAATTGTGATCAAATTTACATACACTAAAATATACACATTTAAGTATATAATTCAAGTATATAATTCAAGTTCTGACAAACGTGTATACTCATGAAACCGACACCCTGATCAAGATATATCATCTCAGAGAGTTCCCCCATTCTGCTTTCTAGTCTGCCATACAAATAGCTAACCACTATTCTGATTTCTATCACCATAAATTAGTTTTGCCTGCTCTTGAACTTCATATAAAGGGCAGCATAAAGTTGCTACACTTTTCTTCTTAAAATGCCATCTTCTGGCTGGGCGTGGTGGCTCATGCCTATAATCCCAGCACTTTGGGAGGCTGAGGCGGGTGGATCACCTGGGGTCAGGAGGTTGAGACCAGCCTGGCCAACATGGTGAAACTCTGTCTCTATTAAAAATGAAAAAAAAATTAGCTGGGTGTGGTGACGCGCCCCTGTAATCCCAGCTATTTGGGAGGCTGGGGTGGGAGAATCGCTTGAACCCGGGAGGTGGAGCTGCAGTGAGCTGAGATGGCGCCACTGTACTCCAGCTTGGGTGACAGAGCAAGACCCTGTCAAAAAAAGAAAAAAAAAGCCATCTTCTCTTGGCTTCTGTAACATAATCCTCTTCTGGTTTTTCTTCTACCTTATTGGTTGCTGCTTCTCTTATCTTTGCTGGTTCTTTCATGCCAGACCACAAATCTAAACATTGTCATGGACCTCCTCCTCTTCACTATCCAGTCCCGAGACTTTCTATGTAATCTATGTTACCAGTGACTCCAAAATCTCTTATTTGCAGCCTAAACTTCTTTCCAGAACTCCAGGTATGAAAGTCTAATGGCTTAATATTTCTGCCTAGATACTTAGTAGGCATTTCAAAGTGAACATAGAGATGTGTCAAAGTTAACATAGTCAAGAGAATAATCTTGATTCCATCTTTACTCCTGTTCCACATCCTGTTCCTCAAAATTATTTTACCCAATTTTATCTCAGCAAATGGTACTGTGCTTACCTAGATGCTCAAGCCAAAATATAATTTTCATCCTTCATTCCTCTTTATTCCTATTTCATCATATCCAATCCATGAGAGAGTCTTGTCAACTTTATCCCTCAAACATATCCCAAATCTGTCCACTGCTCTCATATCTATAATAGTCCCTTACTGAAGGCACTGTCATCAAGCCCTGTTTCCTGGACTCCTGCAATAGCATCCTTAAACATCTCCTTGCCCTTTTTTTTTTTTTTTTGAGACGGAGTCTCGCTCTGTCACCCAGGCTGGAGTGCAGTGGCATGATCTTGGCTCACTGCAAGCTCCGCCTCCCAGGTTCAGGCCATTCTCCTGCCTCAGCCTCCCCGAGTAGCTGGGACTACAGGCGCCCGCCACCACGCCCGGCTAATTTTTTGTATTTTTAGTAGAGATGGGGTTTCACCTTGTTAGCCAGGATGGTCTAGATCTCCTGACCTCATGATCTGCCCCCCTCAGCCTCCCAAAGTGCTGGGATTACAGATGTGAGCCACTGCGCCTGGCCAACATCTCCTTGCCTTCTATTCACACAGTAGCCACAGTGATTCCTTTAAGACATCCATAAGGTTATGTAATTCCATGCTTAAAATCCACCAATGGTTTTGTTTCTTTGTTTTTTAAATCACGCCTAGCCAAAATCTAAATAGTTTAGTCTGATTACAAAGTTTGACATGATTTGGCTCTTGTCCATCTCTCTGATCTCATCTCACACCACTGTCCTGTCAGTGTCCTCCAACCACAATGGACTACATTTGGCATCTAAAATGCCTCACTTACTACCACAATAGAGCCTTTTCCCTGGCTGTTCCCTCTGCCCCATCTTCTCTTTGCTCTGATCTTTGTATGGCTGGCTGCTTCCTGTCATTGTCAGCTCCTTAGAGACTCTTTTTTGACCAACTAATCTAAAGTATTTTAATTTTCTGCATTTTTCTTATTTATATTTTATGTAAATTTATATTTATTCATTTTTGGGGGGAAAACTATAGTCGAGATTATAGAAAATGTTCAATAAGTGTTTTAAAACAGATGGAATTTAAAGCATTCTTGTGATTCCAAGTTATCAATTATCATTATCATTTTTTTATATGACATGGTATCATTAAGCAACATTATCAACAATAAATTAACAATAGCAACAATATATTACACTTATTGAGTGATTACTTTACGGAGGTACTACTATTCCAAGTGTTTTGTATATATTATCTTATTTAACCCTCTAGCAATGCTTCAAGGTAGTTATTATTATTATCCCCATTTTACACATGAGGAAACAGGCATGAAAAGGGTATGTAATTTGTCCAAAGTCACACAACTGAAAAATGACAGAGCCAGGAATCAAACCAGGCAGACTGATTTCAGGTCCTCCATGCTTAACTCCTTAATATTTTATTATTATGATAATTACTGACACCAGTAATGATAGGCAGTGTTAATTAAATAGCTATGATGTACCAGGAATCTAGGCTTTTTACTTAGGTTAATTTCTCATAACAGTCCTATGAAATGTTATTTTACTTATTTCACAGATGCAAAAACAGGGTCATAGAAGTTAAATTTCTGGCCCATGATCAAGCAGCAAGTAAGTGGCATAATCAGAATTCCACCCACAATGTGATTTCAGATCAGTGCTCTTTCTGCTATGCTATGATGCCAGTATTTCCTCCCAAAAGGCTGAAACTTTTTCATGGTCCATAAACCATGAATTCAGGGACTCATGTTGAAACTGGGAAAGTCTTTCATATTTGTAATTTCCTCAGCTCTTTTGTTCACCCAACAAATATTTATAGATTGCCTAATATGTGCTGATGCACTATTGTACGGGGAGGACTCCCTTATTCTCAGTGAACTAGGCCTCTCTGACGAGTCTATTCTCACCTGTGAAGAAACTTCTCGTATGTCTGGCGGAAGGCAAATCCTGCCCGACGCACTCTCACATTTTCCAGTAGTCCAAGATATTCTACTTGGTGCCGGCAGCGTTCATCATCAAATATCTGTGGAGATTTCTTGTCATTGGGTTTGATGCAACGAACGTAATATGGTTCCTAAAGAAATAAATCAGCAAATGGTAAGTTTCACTGGAGAAAATTTCCCAGCTAGGGACACTAACATGTAATTAGTGTTAATTGTGTCAAGTTAAGCTCAGTGCCTCTAATTTCTCAGGCATACACTTGTGAATAAAGTAGTTATTCTTCCTTTCTCCTTCAATTCAAGGTTAGAAGTTCTCATGCATTCAGCCAAATTTTTGTTTAATTATGTTTTAGGGTTTATTAGGAATAGTAGAAAAGGGATAAAACTAGGAAGTAAATAACAGAGACGTAAAGATCGAGTTTCTGTGTATTTATGAAAACAAGGTTAAAGCAGCTGAAGGAGTAATTCAATAGAAAAAGGCAGCAGCTAACGATGAAAATGGATGGAGAATGTAAAAGGACATTCTTTGTTAATGTTAATATTATGTTAAGGAATGATAGGGACGGACAGCTCTGGTATATAGTAAGTGCTCCTTAAGTGTCAGCCATCATTATTAATATTATTGCATTAGTTTGCACTTTCGGAAAAGAGATTAAACTTCACGGGTAAGTAGAGAAATTCCAAAACCACCTACAGGCATCACTGATTCTATGAAGGAGCTCAGCTAGCAATCCTTCCCTCTGTGCCAATTAAGTTTTATACTACATATTAGATCATAACCCCTTTTAAATATAAAACCATGCTTGGCATAGATCCTGGTACACTGAAGATAATGAATAAATTATCACTGGATGAATCAATGAGGTCAAATGTATCCTACAAGTGTAAAGAATTTCTTTTTCTTCTCTGAATCTGTTATCTATCAGACACACACAGATGCACTTTGATTAAGATACAGAATACTCTGTAGTTAAATTAGGCAGTTTTGAGCTCTGCTGAGGGCTAGAAGTAGAAACGGGTAGTAAATAATTTAAGAAGTAGGAGAGATTTGAAGGATGTAAATTTACTTGCATTTTGAACAGAATAACAGTTTTCAACACCTAAAAAAAGAAACTCCGATAGTACATTTATCATGCTGTCCTACATGGTGAAAGGTAATGCCATTTTTTGCCTTTTTCTAGGCCCTGCTGTATTAGTTTCCTATTGCTGCTATAGCAGATTATCATAAATCTAGTATATTAAAACAACACAGTTTTATTATCTCACATTTCTGGAGGTCAGAAGTCTGAAATAGGTTTAACTGAGTCAAAAGTCAATGTGTCAGCAGGGTTGGTGTTTTTGGGAGCTCCAGAAGAAAACCCATTTTCTCTTATTTTCCAGCTTCTGGAGGCTGCCCACATTCCTTGGCTGGTGGCCCCCTTCCATCTTCAAAGCCAGCAATGGCCAGTTGAGTCTTTTATGATGTCACCTCTTCGTTCTGACTTTTCTGCTTCCCTCCTTCCCACTGAAGGACTCGTGATAGCACTGGGCTCACTTGGGTAATGGAGGATAAGCCCTTATTTTCAAGCCCATTTATTAGTAGCCTTATCTCCATCTGCAACCTTAATTCCACCTTGCCACAGCACATATCATGTTCATAGGTTCTGGGGATTAGGATGTGGACATCTGGGATGACTATGGTATAGTAATAGTAAGAATAAAAAATATTATCTACCAGCCTTTGTTCCTGGTTTCTGGCATAGCGCTTCAAAAACTTATGAAATTTCTTCAGTGACAGGAGTGTCTTAGTTATGATAATGAGGTGACTCATAGCTGGGCATCTAGATAGCTTCAGGATGGGAGCTGGTCACCAGAAAACTCCGTCATGTGCTGGAACTTACAGCTGCCTGACCTCTGGGCAGGTTAGGGGGACTAAAGATTAAGCTTAATCATGTGACCAAAGATTTAGTCAATCATGCCTTTGTGATGAAACGCTGATAAAACAAAAAAAACAAAACCTCAGGACGCTGAGCCTCACAACGGCGTCTTGGTTGGTGAACACATGGATGTACTCAGAGGGTGGTGCACCCTGATTCCAGGGGGACAGAAGCTCCTGCGCTTGGACCCGAGTTCTGTGAATCATTCTAGTGAATTATCAAACCTGAAGAGGGGGGTCATGGGAATCCTCAAATTTATACCCAAGTTATATATAAGGGCAGGTGTTCTGTGGACCTCACTTGCAGCTGGTGTCTGAAGTAAAGGAGAGTCTTATTAGGGACCCTGTCCTTTAATTTTTTAGATTAATGCTAACTCTGGGTAGTTAGTGTAAGAACTGAATTGAATTGTAGGACACTTAGCTGATGTTAGAGAGTTGCTGTTGCTATGCAGAGGCCACTATTCTGCCTAGTACACCTGCCCTTTTTCATCTTGTCATCTGTAGCAGAAGGAAAAACATGACCTCAATATCTTGCACCACCTCCCAGTAAGAGGTGGAGTCTCTACACCACTTCTCGAATCTGGCTTGGCCTGTGACATGCTTTAACCAGTAGAATGCAGCAGAAGCAACACTGGGTTACTTCTGGAAGTCCATCCTCGAGAGGGTCTGCCTGCCCTCTTGGACCACTTCTACCATGTGAAGAAGCCCGGGATTAAAGACTACATGAAGAAAAGATGCTCAGTCATCCAGGCACGCCATTTGAGTGAGCTCATCTTAGCCTATCTCGCCCCAGCTGACTGCAGCTGCTTGGTGAGCCCAGCAGAACTGCCCAGTCAACCCCTGAATCATGACAAAGAACCATTATTTTAAGCACTATATTTTACAGTGATTTGTTATGGATTGATAGATAACTTACACTTCTTCCCTATTCTGGAATACCAACCCTTTCATTAGATATTAAATTTTGGTATATTTTATTATAAAGCACAAGCAGAATCCTACTTTAAAAATAGTGATGTGTGATCAAACGTTCACTAAATCTGTAATGATTTTCAAGTGGAGCATCTATATTGGGGGAACAACTGTAGCTCACTTTAAAAAATGGCTTATAGTAAGTTTTTTAAAAAACTTAATAGGATGGGGAAGTCGGGCGGAGGCACTGTTTACTTAAGGATTTTCTACTAGTTTGCTGGAATAGAATGCCTTTACTTTTTGGTGAATAAACCAAGAAAAGTGGCACTGAGCACAGTAAATGCCAAAATGCTACCAGATTTATCTGCATGTTTGGCACCAGTGTAACAGAATAAGCATTGTACAAAATCAGAACACTTGAGTCTTGGCTGTAAATTCTCTCTGGAACTAATTAGCTAATTTATGAAATGAAGATACGGGGGCTTTCTTTGAGTAATGACAGACTAGGTAATTTAAACTGACACCCGTGCTGAGGGTTAACTAGAATAGGTAAACAAAATAAACAAAACGTTTGCCAGAAGACATGGGAGATCTAACAACACAGTGGAGAATTTACTGGGTCAGAATCCAGGAGAGGAAGAAAACCGTGGAGGAGAACCCAGGTTTGAGGCTGCCTTTTTTTCCTGGGGAAATTTGCCAGTTCCAGAGAAGGTAGATGGGATCTGAGTAGTGATTCTGGCAGCTTCATGGGCCTAGTGGGACAAAGATTAGCGAGCAAGGCCTGAAAAGGAGGGGACACAGGTAAACCCCTCTCACTTTGGGTTAGGATCCCACCAACAGGAATAAGGATGAAGTAGAAGGAGGCAGTCCTTTACAGAGCCCATAATTCAGCTTTGAATCACCTAAGTCCTTGAAATTGGAATAGCTGATTTGGAATACTATTGTTCTTAGGTAACTAAAAGAAGCAAAATTAACTCTTCCCTGAAGAAAAATCACATAAACTTGGGCCTCCAATTATTTCTGCAGATAATTTTGCAAATATAATATTTGGAACAAAATAAAAAGTAACCAGACATGTAAGTAGCCAAGTAAACTGGAATTAGAAACAGCAAAACAAAATAAAAAAATAAACGAACCTGCAGGTATCCAGACACTGGAGTTATCAGATAGAGATATTAAAATAACTATGCTTACCATGTTCAAGGTGACAAAAGACAATAATGAGAATTTTGTATAGAACCAGAAACTATGAAAAAGAACCAAGCCAAATGGAAACCTAGAACTGAAAAATATAATAAAGGAAATTAAGAACTCAGTGGATCAGTACAAGAGTAGATTAGAAGTAGGTGAAGAAGGCCAGGTGTGGTGGCTCATGCCTGTAATCCCAGCCCTTTAGGAGGCCAAGGTGGGTGGATCACTTGAGGTCAGGAGTTTGAGACCAGCCTGGCCAACATGGTGAAACCCCGTTTCTACTAAAAATACAAAAAATTAGCTGGGCATGGTGGCACGCTCCTGTAATCCCAGTTTACTCAGGAGGCTGAGGCAGGAGAATGTCTTGAACCTGGGAGGCAGAGTTTGCAGTGAGCTGAGATCGCGCCACTGCACTCCAGCCTGGGCAACAGAGCGAGACTCCATCTTAAAGAAAAAAAAAAGAAATAGGTGAAGAAAAAAAAAATGAATGTACTAGAAGTTAGGTGAGAAGAAATTTTCTGGAATGAAGCATGGATAGATAAAAAGATGGAAAATAAAGATGGGAGGCTAAGAGGTATAGAAGACACAGTGAGATGGAGTTCTAAAGGAGAGGAGACAGAAGGGACAGAAGAAATATTTGAAAAGAACTTGCTAAAACTGATTAAAAAAAAGGGGAGCTACAAATGGAAGAGATTCTACAAACTACAAGCATATTTAAAAAAAAATCTACACCTAAGCACATCATAGTGAAACTTCTGAAAATCAAAGCAGCCAGAGGGAAAAAAAAGATTACCTTAAGGAGCAACAAAGAGACAGACTGACAGCTAACTTCTCAAAAGAAACTATGAAATCCAGAAGACAAAGGAACACTATCTTTGAAGTGCCAAAAGACACTGCTAACGTAGAATTTTACACTGAGCAAAAATATTCTTCAAGAATGAAAACAGTATAGAAATATTTTTTGGTAAACAAAAACAACATTTGTCACCCTCAGATTTCAAATATAATAGAGTGAGGTTAAGGCAGAAGAAAATGATCCCAGATGGAAGGTCAACAATATAGGGGTTGGGTGCAGTGGCTCACGCCTGTAATCCCAGCACTTTGGGAGGCCAAGGTGGGCAGATAAGTTGAGGTCAGGGGTTTGAGACCAGCCTGGCCAACATGGTGAAACCCCATCTCTACCAAAAAATACAAAAATTAACTGGGTGTGGTGGCGTGCACCTGTAGTCCCAGCTACTTGGGAGGCTGAGGCACAGGAATTGCTTGAACCCAGGAGGTGGAGGTTGCAGTGAGCTGAGATCATGCCAATGCACTCCAGTCTGGGTGACAGAGTGAGACCCTGTCTCAAAAAAAAAAGAAAAGAAAAAGAAAAAAAGTCATGCTTTTCATGAGTAACTTGGCAAAATAAAACCATGATATATTTTAAAAAAATAGGAAGAGAAAAAAGATAAACAAGTGAATAAATAGATATAATAGATGTAAATTACAATCTAAATAGATATATATTATATCTATATCATCTAATAGCTATAACAGATATAATAGATATAGATATTAGATAATATAGATCATATAGGTATAAATAGCTATAGGTAATATAGATACAGATAATATAGATATAACATCTATATCTAATATAATAAATATATTTATATCTAAATAGATATAATAATGTCTTACTGGCTTTAAAAATGTATATGCATGTTATTTTGGTATATAATTAAAATACATGACCAAATATATTTTGGTATATAATTAAAATACATGCATGTTATTTTGGTATATAATTAAAATACATGACCAAAATAGCATACAAGTTAGGAGGAAGGTAAATGGAATTAAATTGGCCTTGTATTTCCTAGGAAGGAGGCAAAAGTACCAAATAACATTAGATTTTTATATTCAAGAATGATATTGCAATAAGTCAAGTAACCACTATAACAGTATTTAAGTAAATCTTCCAAAATAATAAAGAGAATAAATAAAATGATAAAAAATACTTGCAACACCAGTGGAGGGGAAAGAGTATGATCTTAGGTCTAACTAAACATTTTGACTCAGAATACTCATAGGCCACATTTGGCACCAATCTCTTCAAAAGGCCAAGAACACGGTTTGCTAGCAGGTAGCGTCAGTGTCCTTGGAGCAGTCCACACAGCAGTCAAGTGACAGCTTAGGTGTAAGGAGATGAGATCCACATTGGACATGTGTGCGAGGTGAACTTGGCTTAAAAGCCTCATGCCCCACAGGACCAAATATCTCTTAGAACAGCTCAGAAGACATAGCTTCAAGGGTCCAGCAAAGGACAGACCTAATACAGGAGTCACTAAGCTCAGGCAAACCCAAAGTATATAAAACCCACCAGACATCATTCTCCCAAGACAGATGCAATTTACTGACAGGGATAATTCTGACCATAAGTAATGTTGTTAAGTGATACATGTCTTACTAGGTTGCCAGAGGAACAGAGCTAGAAATTTAACTGAGGTTAAGCTGTCAAGGGGAAGGAATAAAGTTTTGTTTACCTTTCTCCCACAATAATCAATCTAAAAGAAATACAGAAAAAAAGAAAATAAATACAGAAGAGTCAAATAGAAGCATTAACAAGATGCCTGATTTAAATGCAACACACACTATATTAAAAGTAAATGAACTAAATGATTTATTCAAAAGACAAAAATTGTCAGACTGGATTAAAAAAATCAAAGCTAACTATATGCTACTTATGAGAGACACACTTGAAACATAAGGATATAGAAAGATTGAAAGTAAAAGGATGAAAAAGATATACCATGCAAACTCTAGCCAAAAGAAAAGCTGGCATAGCTATATTATTCATGCAAAGCAGATTTCAAGGCAAAAAGCAATATGGAAATAGAGATGTTTCATAATGATAAATGACTCAAACACCAGGAAGATATAACAGTTCTAACTTGAATGAGCCTAACAAATTCTCTAAATATTTACACAAAAAATCAAAGGTACAATAAGGACAAGCAGATAAATTCAGAATCAAGGCAGAGTTTAAAACACCTTTCAATGTTTACAAAACAAAGAAGTCAGGAAGAAAATAGAAAAGTTGAACAATATTATTAGCAAACTTGACCTAATGGACTTGTATAGAATATTGAATGCAATTTTTTTTTTTTTTTGAGACAGTCTCACACCGTCACCCAGGCTGGAGTGCAATGGCGTGATCTCAGCTCATTGCAACCTCGGACTCCCGGGTTCACGTGATTCTCCTGCCTCAGCCTCCCGAACAGCTGGGATTACAGGGTGCACACCACCATGCCTGGCTAATTTTTTGTACTTTTAGTAGAGACAGGGTTTCACTATGTTGGCCAGGCTGGTCTTGAACTCCTGATCTTGTGATCTGCCCACCTTGGACTCCCAAAGTGCTGGGATTACAGGCATGAGCCACCGCGCCCGGCTGCAAATTATTTTTTAAAGACAAACAAAACATATACATAAAGCAAATTTAGCAAATTTCTAAAAATTGAAACCACACAGAGTATGTCTTTTGATGAAATAAGACTAAGCTAGAAATCAAGAGCAAAAAGATAATGAGAAAATCCTATATGTTGAAAATTAAGAAAAATACTTCTGAACAACTAAACCTTAGGTCAAAAAGGAAATTACAATGTGATTTGGAAAATATTTTGGACTGAATAATGTATAAAATCATGTAGGCAACGCAATCTTATAAGGCATCATATGAAGAGTATTAATACAACTTTATTAACCAGAAAATAGTTGAATGGACTATTACCAGTACTGAGTGATTACGCATAGGAAGTGGCAATATTGGATGAGACACTAACAACCAACTAAGAAATGGGGGGAAGCCCTTTCATCCTGTTTAGTGATATAAAAGTCTTTGGATAAGGAATATAGTGGGAATACTTTCTCTATATTTAATCAGCATTCTGTCTCAATTTATAAATGCTGCCTCCTCTCTCATTTATAAATATCCAGACTGACTCAGCCTAAGAAATCCTAAATTTGGCAAATTCAGAGTGTCTTATAAAGGTTAAATTGCAAAAGTTAATAGTGATCTTATTCTCTTGAACTTTTTCACCTGTCTCTCCCTATATATTTTACGGGAAAAAAAACACCATTTGTGAAAGTACACCAATCAGTATATAGATTAGCTAGACTACACTATCTAAATATACCTCTATTTAACTTGCTTTGAACACTGTCAAATAGTCATAGCAAATTCAAGTTCATTTAATAATTTACTGACAATCTGTTTTAGTACCTTATTAGGTATTAATACATAAAATTAACAAAACCCATTCTCTAGATTCAAAAGATTTATAATCTGGGTGGGGATACAAGTCATGAACTGAAGGCACTATGGACTCTGTGAAAGTGAGGAGCCAGGGACGTCTACTTCTGGTAATGGAGCACTAGGTAATACTTATCAATCTTCCTGATGAAGTTACTAAAAAAAAGTGCTAGACAAAATATGGGGAAAAGGTTTTGGTAAGTGCATCTCGGAGCTAATAAGATAGTGAGGAAAGACCTGGCCAAAATCAGAAAACTAAAATCAAGTTGAGTGAGCCTACACCTCATGGTTGTTTTTGTCTTAGAAGCTACTGTTGATATGGAAAAGACAGTCATAAGGCTGAACATAGCTTCTGGCTTTCATGGGACTTGGGTACCAAAGTTAGAACCTGGGGTCTTGGATGAGGGACTGTAGTTTGGTCTGGAATCCTGAATAGCTAAACCAGGGAGATAAAGGTGAATGGACGACAGCCCAACACTGAGCTACTACAGGCCCTGAAATGGGATAAAGGTGATCCCAGACTGTCGAACTGATATAAACTTTCAGTTGTTCTATTTCCTTACGGGTGTCACTAATAAATAGCATATATCTGGATTCTTTTTCTTCAGTCTGAATTGGTTTTTATCCATTTACATTCAATGTAATTACTAATATATTTATATTTGTTTCTACCAAATATCCAGCTTTCCCATGTTCTTTTGTTTCTTCTTTTTTATGTTTTTGTTTTGGGGGCAGGGAGGATTCTTTGTTTTTATTGTTTTTTTTTTTCTTTTCCTTCTCTACTAGTTTGGAATTTATAACCTCTATTTTCTACTATTTTCAATGATTATGTTAGAAAATTTTCACATGTATTTTTAACTCATCAGAGTTGAACGTTAAACAATATTTTTATTATTTTTTTCTGAACTAAGGACCTTAAACACTGGAATTACAATTACCTGCTCTTCTAATTGATATGCAATTGTTACTGTGATAACTCTAATCTGTATTTTCCATTCCACAAAATATTATTTTACAGAGTTCATTTACATGCATCTACGTATTTACCAATTCTTTGCTCTTCTTTTCTTTTCGCATTTCAGAGTTTCACTTAGTATACTCTTCCTATTGTCTGATGAATATCTTTTAGAATCTCCTTAAGTGAGGTTGATAAACTCTCTGTTTTTGGTTTTTGTTTTTCAGAAAGATTCTTTATTGTGCCTTTGTTCTGGAAAAAATGTATTCCCTGGGTATAGAATTTGGTTTACGTTTATTTTCTCTCAGCCTAATTGTCATACTTTTGAATCTAATCTGTCTTTTCTCTGGCTGCTTTTAAGATATTTTCTTTGTCTTTAATGTTCTAGGATTTTACTAGGTGTCTATATGCAGATTTCTTTTAATTTTTCTAACTTCAGATTCATTGGGCTTCCTGATTCTGTTAAGTCCTTCAATATTCTTGAAATTCTCAGGAATATTTCTTCAAATATTGTTCTATCCATTTTCTCTTCTATAACTCTGATAAGATACATGTTTGACCACTTTATTTTCTCTTCCACGTGTCTTTTTTTTTTTTTTTTTTTTCAGAGACAGTCTTGCTCTGTCGCCCAGGCGGGAGTGCAGTGGCACAATTTTGGCTCACTGCAACCTCTGCCTCCCGGGTTCAAGCGATTCTCCTTCCTCAGCCTTCTGAGTAGCTGGGATTACATGTGCATGCCACCACACCTGGCTAATTTTTTTGTATTTTTAGTAGAGACAGGGTTTCACTGTGTTAGCCAGAATGGTCTTGATCTCCTGACCTTGTGATCTGCTCGCCTCGGCCTCCCAAAGTGCTGGGATTACAGGCATGAGCCACCAGCCCCCATGTGTCTTAATGTTTCTTTTATATGTTTCATTTCTTAGTCTAAGTGGAATTCTGGATAATCCTTCAGTTCTTATTTTCATTTCACTACTTTCTCTTCAGCTTTATGTAAACTGATGTTAAACCTATCCATTGAATTTTTAATTTTAATTACTTAGTTTTTATTTCTATCAATTGTCTAGTTGCTTGTTCTCTCTCATTTTCTGGCCTTTCATTTCTTGATGTATATTAAGCATTCTCATATTCTCTTTCTGATCATTTCTGTATCAGAAGTTTTCATGAGTCTGAACCTGCTGTTTGTTGTTTAGTTTGCCTTTTACTTATAGTATCTTGTAGTGATTCTTTACTGTGAGCTAATTTTCCTTAGAGCTTTGTGGAAATTCTTTAAGGTCTGGTATTGGTGGCCCATCTGGAGCAGCTGCTGCCATGATGCTGGCTGCAGTGGGGGAGGTGCATCTGGGGTTGTGTGCTCCGTGGAGCTGGCAGTAGCCAGGAACAGGTGGAAGCCCCGCCCCCTTCCAAGTTGGCTGGGTGGGATCATCGCACTTCCTGGGTGCAGCTGTGGCCGCCCAGCTACGGTGCAGGACCCAGGCATCCCTGTGCTCTTGGGGGCTGGGAGCAGGCAGGAGCCCCAACCTCCTGGGTGAAGCCATAACCACCCAGCCATGGCTGTAGACCTGGGTACCTCTGCACTCCCGGGGACATGGGAAGCTCCCCTGCCCCTGTTGGCTTGGATGTGCTGCTCCCAACGTCTGGCCTCTCCCTGGTCTTGGCGCCCACTCTGATTTCAGAGCAAAGTTGAGGCTGAGCCTGGGCACTGTTGCAACCCAGCTGGGTATGCGCACACTTGGGGCAGTGCTGATATGCCAGCCCCCTGCTACCTTGGCCCCCTTCAGACTTTGGATGCCAAAGAGCACAGCGGAAGGCCAACGGGGTGCTGAGGGCAGCTTGGTGTGGGCCTGGAGGCACCCCTTGGCACGAACAGTCTGGACTCTGTGGGTGCTGTGGATGGCAGGTTAATGGTGGCAGGAGGCAGACAGGTGCCTGGGCAGAAAGGGGTGGGTCGCTGGTGAAATCCCACCTTTGGGCCAGGCTGCCAGTTCCATGGTCCAGAGTGAGAACTTATAGTGCTTTTTCCAGGCCTGCCTATGGACCAATCAGCGCACACTTCCCCTCCTCTGAAGCCCATAAAAACCCCAGACTCAGCCAGACTCAGGCAGACAATGGGATAACCTGCCTGTGGAGAGGAGCTACCCACCATGGGTCTCCTCTCTGCTGAGAGCTGAGCAGATGATGGGACGACCTGCCTGCAGAGAGGAGCTAGCTTCATACTGCTGGTCTCCTCTATGCTGAGAGATGAGTAGACAATGGGAGGACCTGACTGCAGAGAGGAGCTACCCACTGAGATTCTCCTCTGAGCTGTTCTGTCACCCAATAAAGCACCTCTTTGCCTTGCTCACCCTCTATTTGTATGCATACCTCATTCTTCCTGGACACAGGACAACAACTCAGAATCCACTGAATGGCAGGGCTAAAAGAGCTGTAACACAAACAGGGCTGAAACATGCCCTTTGCTTGCCACGTTGTGGGTGACGAGGAGTGAAGAGAGAAGGAGAAGAGCTGTGGCCCTTCAGGGAGCCCAGACCTAGGAGCTCCCCAAGCCAGGGCTGATATACTCTTTGGGGCTCTGCAGTTCCTGGTATTTCCAAGCTTCTGGGCACCACTGCATTCCCCAGTGCCAGCCATGGAAGCTGCTTGCAGTATGCCTGGTCCAGCCGCAGCCTCACAGGGAACCAGTGTCTGTGCCGGCACCTGGAGCTGCCCGCTCTGCTGCAGCCTGTGTGCTTGGCTGTGTGCAGTGGCTGGACCTTATGCTCGCTCATTCACACTCCCCTTGCCATTCTGTGCCTGGCTCACCCTTGGCAAGTGTGGAATCCAGGCTGGTAGGGCAAGCTGAGTGCAGCCTGCGAGGCTGAGTAGGTGGAACAAGCCTGGCAGGCTTGAGCAAAACTCAGGCAAAGGCACCACCAGGCACAAAGGTTTCTGGCGAGAAAAGTCACACCCCAAGGATTCTGTGACAGTATGAAGATAGTTTCCTAAGGAAAACAGTTTTACTTGCTTTTTTCAGATGCCTGGGGCAATTATAAGACCTGGACCACCTTTAATCAAATTGTCAGTTTGAGGCTTTTTCAAGCTACCCAGATAGTATGAGTTTGGGTTGCAAACCACCTAAAAGCTCACTTATGATTATAAATTCCCAAGAGAGATTCACACCCCCTCCACCCATGGCTGAGTGCCAAGGACCAAGACAGGCAGTTTTCCTTACTGATAATGGGGAATTACTTCTAGTTCACTCTACATGTAGCCCTTTAAAGACTCACCATTGTGTGTGTGTGTGTGCACAGAATTCCTTATTAGATACCCTACTTTGGGCAGGCCCTGGGCTTCACTTCAAGGACCCAGCCTTGAATAACTATATTCAAAGTTACACACTTCAACAAATCCCCACAGGGTGAGGGGCAGCTTTAGGGGTTTTTTCCTTCACTCAGTTAACTTCTGTATTCACTCAGCTCCTGGCTTGTATATTTCTTACTTTTCGTTAGTTCATGGCTAGATTCAAGATGTTGATTTTTATATTTTATCTAACATTTTAGTTGTTTTCAGTTGGCTTTAGTGGGCACCTCATTCACCATGTTGCCAGAAAATGCATTATTCATATATTTTTGAGGTCTTTACATCTGTGTTTCTAAGTTAAATTGATCTCTAATTTTATTTTCTCATATTAAGCTTGTATTAAGGTAATATTAATCTCATTAAATGAGTTGAGTAGTTGCCTCTCTTCTTCCCACCCTCCAAAACAGTTTCCATATGATAGGGATTAATGGCTCCACAAAGGTTTTATAAAACTGATTTGTAAAACCATCTAGATCTGATGTCCTTGGCAACGTTGGGAAAAGGTGGATTTATCATCAGTTATTCGGATTCTTTAAGGTTACTGATATATTCAGGTTGCCCCATTCTTCTTGAATTAATTTTGATAACTTTTTTTTTCTAGAAAACCATCTACATTTTCAAATTCATTGGCATATAGTTATCCATAATATTCTGATACTTTAAAAAAATCTCCATAATGTCTGCACAGTAATAGCCCTTTTTTTGTTCATAATTTTTTAATTTATCAGCTTTATTAGAGGTCTTATTGATTACTTTTTTGTTCCATTACTTTAAAGTTTTACTATTTTAAAAAATATTTTCTTACTTCTTTCTTCAGGTTTTCTTTGGAGTTCCTTTTCTGGCTTCTTAAGTTGTGCTTAGCTCATTAACTTTTCAGTCTTTCTTGTTATTTTACAAAGGCAACAAATGGATCACTTTAGCAGTATTCTATAAATTCTGACAAATTTTTTGTCATGCACTTCCTAACATTTTATAATTTCCATTGTGATTTCTTCTTCAAACTATGACCTGTTTAGGAGAGTACTTTTAAAGTTCCAAAACATATTACATTTTTTTAATGCTGATTTTTATTTTACTTGCTTTGAAGATGAAAACTGTATCTGTATATGCACTTCTTCAAAATAGTTGAGATGGCTGAGCATGGTGGCTCACATCTGCAATGCCAGCGCTTTAGGAGGCCGAGGTGGGTGGATGACCTGAGATCAGGAGTTCAAGACCAACCTGGTCAACATGGTGAAACCCCATCTGTACTAAAAATACAAAAAAAAAAAAATTTAGCTGGGTGTGGTGGCACACACCTGTAATCCCAGCTACTCAGGAGGCTGAGGTGTGAGAATTGCTTGAACCCAGGAGGCAGAGAGGTTGCAGTGAGCTGAGATCGCACCATGGCACTCCAACCTGGGCAACAAAGCAAGATTCCATCTGAACACACACACACACACACACACACACACACACACACACACACGAACCCAAAATGGTTTCCTTTGTCATCTATTATGTGGTCAATTCTTGTAAATGTTCCATGTATACTTTATTTTATTATTTTTTTGAGATGGAGTCTCGCTCTGTTGCCCAGGCTGGAATGCATTGGCACCATCTTGCTCACTGCTATCTCCACCTCCTGGGTTCAAGTGATTCTCCTGCCTCAGCCTCCCAAGTAGCTGGGACAACAGGCCACCATGCCCAGCTAAGTTTTGTATTTTTATTAGAGACAGGGTTTCACTATGCTGGACAGGCTGGTCTTGAACTCTTGACCTCAAGTGATCCTCCTGCCTTGGCCTCCCAAAGTGCTGGGATTACAGGTATAAGCCGCCATGTCTGGCCTTGATGTATACTTTAAAGGCATATGTATTTCCTATTCTCTGGGTACAGGGTTCCTTTGATCTATTAGATAAAGTTTAAATTTGGTTTTCAAAGCTTCTGCATTCTCACTAACATTTTTGTCTGCTTCATCTATCATTTATCTTTCTGACAGCACTGGTTTAAAATCTCCCACTATGATGGTGGACTTGTCAATTTTTCCTTTAAAATTTTTCAGGTTTTTTTTTTCTTTATAGAATTTACAAGAAGTATGGGTATGTTGTTAGGTACCATGTTAGTTCAACATGGCTTGTCTTGGATAATTTTGATATCACTAGTTTATCTGTATTAATACTTGCTTTCTTAAATTCTATGTTCTTTCACATGAATGTTGCTTTTAACCGTTTTTGGTGAGAGGTGGCTTGATATCTTTCTACGTCTTTGTTTTTGAGCTTTCTGCATAGTGTTATTTATGTGTGTCTCCTCTAAGGAGCATATAGCTGGATTTTCCACCTATCTAGTCTGCTTAGTCTATTTACATTATGATGAATACCAATTATTTAGATTTATTTCTATCATATTATTTTGTTCTAAATGCAACTCTTTTTTTTTTTTTCTGCTGTCCTCTAGAACCTCTCAGTCTGGCTTTACCTTCTTGCCTTCTATTGTACTGATAAGTTGTCTATATTCTTCTGCTTATCTCTGCTCCCTCCCTTCTCCCCTGATCTCCATACACACATGGATTGGGAAGCTGTAGCAGAGATTGCTAGGCTAGTTCCCTACTTTATGTCCAGTATCTTTTTCTTACTTTAAAACAGAATTCTTATTGCTAGCTGAGTGCACTGCTGACCAGAATGAAAATGTCCTTCCCAGCTTCCCTGACAACTCTATATAGCAAATGGGGTGTAGCTAAAGTGTGTCAAACTTCCAGGAAGTCTCTTTAAAAAGGAGGAAGTTCCAGCTGCCATCATGGACCAGGAGGTTGGGTGCCAAGCACTAGGATGGTAGAGCGGAAGGACAGAAAGAACTTGGGTCTCTAATAACTTTGGAGCTGCCATGCCAGTCCTGGGATGCCTTCTTCTATACTTCATTTATAGGAGAGAGTAATAAATGTCTCTCTTATTTAAGCTACTAATTCAGGGATCTGTTTCATTAGAAGGTGAATGCAATTCCTGATACAGAAATTATAGAAGGTTCTGGAATTTTTATTTCTTTACATGGCACATTAACTACCAAGTTTAGAAAACAAAACAATTCTTTTTCTAGTTAATTGACTAACTGTAGTTAACTGAATATTTAAAAGTCTTTCATGAAATTCAGTGTTCAACTGTTTCTTGTGTCCTGTGTCTTCCTTCCAGGTTCACTTTTCTTCTTGCTGGATGAAGCAGGCTGCAGTTGACATGCAAAGAAAAGCTGAGATACAAGAGTGAAGAGTCCTAACGGCATTCCAGCCTCCAGTGCCAGTGTCCTTACCCCTGCCTTTCTGGAGGTTTGATTATATAAGCCAACAAATTGTGCTTATATGCGGTCACTTGAGGCCAAAGAATCCTGACAAAAGGAGATAGAAAGCGACCGCACAGATGTGTTCCTGTGGCATTTGCCTAATTTATCTATAGTGAAGTAACCAGAAACAGTATGGATTCAAATTCTTAGAGAGGAAGTTGATTTTTTAAAAAAAGATAACGAAGAAGAAACTACATAGGAGAAGCACCAGAAGAGAAAGATAAAAATGAAGAAACTAAAAATAACATGGCTCAGAATGCTGCCTAATTTATCAAACTTGCCAACAGCAGCAGTTAGGGGTAGAAATATGTTCTTTAAGGGAAAAAACAGACAAAAGTTATCAAATAGTATTAGTCCTTAAAGAAACAATAAAAAACACAAATAATTGTCAATAATACAACTTTTTTTTTTTTTTTTGAGACAAGGTCCTGCTCTATCACCCAGACTGGAGTGTAGTGGTGTGATCTTGGCTCACTGCAACCTCTGCCTCCCAGGCTCAAGCGATCCTCCCACCTTAGCCTCCAGAGTACCTGGGACCACAGGCATGTGCCACCATGCCTGGCTAATTTTGTAACTTTTTGTAGAGGAGGTCTTATTATATTGCCCAGGCTGGTCTCCAGTGATCCTCCCGCCTCAGCCTCCTGAGTAGCTGGGACTGTGGGTGCATGCCACCATGCCTGGCTAATTTTTTAACTTTTTGCAGAAAGGAGGTCTCACTATATTGTCCAGGCTGGTCTCAAGTGATCCTCCCGCCTTGGCCTCCCAAAGTGCTGGGATTACAGGCATAAGCCACAACACCCAGGCCAATACGTCTTTATATTTCAATTATTTAAAACAGCCTAAGGACAATACTTGCATCCTAAATTTCCTCTTAAAACTCTCTGGCCACTTTGTACTCAAACACAATATATAAATGGTACATTTTACAACTTAATTCAAGACTTTACTTATTTATTTTGGCCAGGTCCTGTTTTCAGCACAGCGCTAAAGTTCCTTTTGCTGGGCATGCTGTGCCTTATATATTTTTCAAATCCAAGATTTTTCCCTTGACCATGACAGTAGAATAAAAAGCTCAAATTCAAGACAGATACTAATCTAGGACACCAACAATCGTTCCACTGAGGTGAGATTTTTAAAAATGCAGGAATAAAAATTCTATTATAACATTCACTTTATACATATTCTTCAATCTACATGATTACCTAAAAAGCAAATCATACATACATTCTTTATAATACATCAAGAGGAAATCTATGAGTTAAAATGGATATTTAGAAAAGAAAATAATTACCTTTGATGCAAGGTTGTCTACTAGAGCAATCATAGAATTCTTAAACAAGGTAGCAGCAGTCAGAGGTCGCTTGGTCACCTCTGTAATGCTCAGTTTGCCTTCAGGCCACATATTCTTGAGCACAGGATTTGAACTGAGAAGCACAGAAAAAACAATTCAAATGTCACATTCAAATAAGCTGGATAAAAACTGATAAGCAATTCTGCTGAAATGTATCCTGAGAATCATAATTGGACTACAGATTCAACTCACAAGGCCTAATTGGAATGATGATTCCATCCAGAAAATTATGCTACAAGAATAATGACTGATACTGCAATGCAAATTGAGATGTTTTTCCAAACTATAGCATATTTTAAAAATTATTTAAACTTCTTTAAAGTGACATCCTTATTATACCTACCTAGGACCCTCAAATGGTCAATATGGCTCTTACAATACATATATAAAACAAATTCATTTTTGTGATGGTTAGAAAATGAGGACAAACCACTAGTAGAAAAATGATCCTCAATGTCACAGCAGAAAACATAAAAGTGGCAATATCTTTGAATTAAAGCAAATAATTTATATATTAATAGAACAGGTAACACTACAGAAAGCCTGCTCTTTAAAAAAAAACACAGGTAGGAATATAAAATAACCATTTTTATATTGTCCCTCGTAAATCCCTTTACTGCAGTTCAAATTGTGAACAAATCTGTAGGTAGCATTGGCAGTTACAATATTTTATTGATGTGACATTAGGACTGTTGCAATCCAAATCTAAAAATGCATTTCAGGCCAATTTTCAGGTTAAAATTGTATATTCATAATTTTGCTCTGTGGAGATATTTTTAAAAACGTGTAGTGATCTCAACTGTCATTTTTTTTCTGGTTTCATTTTGGGTGCTTTTGATGTTAAAGCAGTTGGAACTCAAAATGTTGCTTGCTTCCTAGAAACTTTTATCAGAAAAAAACTTTTCTTAAAAAATTGGGGGTTGAGCAACCCAAATGTCCATCAATGATAGACTGGATTAAGAAAATGTGGCACATATACACCATGGAATACTATGCAGCCATAAAAAAGGATGAGTTCATGTCCTTTGTAGGAACATGGATGAAGCTGGAAACCATCATTCTTAGCAAACTATCGCAAGGACAAAAAACCAAACATCACATGTTCTCACTCATAGGTGGGAATTGAACAATGAGAACACTCGGACAGAGGAAGGGGAACGTCACACACCAAGGCCTGTCATGGGGTGGGGGGAGGGGGAGAGATAGCATTAGGAGATATACCTAATGTAAATGACGAGTTAATGGGTGCAGCACACCAACATGGCGCATGTATACATATGTAACAAACCTGCACGCTGTGCACATGTACCCTAGAACTAAAAGTATAATAAAAAAAAATTGGGGGTTGAGAAGAGAAAATAATTAACATTAGCATTCATTGCTAATTGCTCTTACTACTGCTAACATTTTACCCACTTTTTTTCCCTCATATAAAATTTTAAAAATTGAGTTGGATCCCCAAAGCACTCAGAATATTTCTGTATGTAGGTGCTCAAAATAATAGCTGCAAGATGAAAGAGCAGATGAGCGCAGAGCGAAGAAGACAAATGGTAATGTGTGGATTGACTGGGTCTGTGAACACAGACAGAGCAACACTCCCAGCCCCCACCATCACCAGCAAGCAGTGCCAACTACTGTCAAAGTGGCTACAAAATGCTGCAATAACCTGTGGCTTATGAACCCAGTTTCATTACTTTCTAGTCCTATTCCATAATTTTCCATTTGTACACTTATATCAAAATGACTACATAGATGTATATTGTTTTTCCTTAACTTTTTCATTCTTATCTTTAGCACAGAAATAATTTAAGGCAACGTTCTTAACTTACAGTGCACATGGTGCCTGAATGCCATTCTAACATTTACTGAATAGAATTTTCAGAAAGTAGAAAATTGCACTTTGTGTACTTTGAAAATTTCGACACATGTTAAAAGACTGTGTCTTTTAGTCACTGGTGTTTGGTCTATGCAGTTTCTACTCCAAATTCTTTGTCTACCTTACTCACTGTTGGCCATATTTGGAGACTATTCCTGTACTACACTGTAAAGGTTGGAAATGAAGGAAATAAGATAATACGTTAAATAGCAGAATTGATACAAAATGAATCCAAACAGTTGTAGGGAGTCATTTTAAAGAGAAAGAACTTTCAGGCCAAGTCATGACTGTAATATTTTTGTTTTTCTGAGACAGGGTCTCACTCTGTCACCTAGGCTGGAGTGCAGTGGTGAGATGATAGCTCACTGCAGCCTCGACCTTCCAGGCTCAAGTGATACTCCACTTCAGTCTCCCAAGTAGCTGGGACTACAGGCACGTGCCACCATGCCTGGCTAACTTTTTAATTTTTTGTAGAATGGTCTCCCTATGTTGTCCAGGCTGGTCTCAAACTCCTGGGCTCACGCGATTCTCCCACCTCAGCCTCCCAAAGTGCTGGGATTACAGGTGTCAGCCACCATGCCCAGCCTGAATGTAATATTAACAAAATAGTTTTCAACATATTTTAAATACCAGAACCCTTATCTTAGAAGGGAAGCTCCTCCAGAGACCCAGTATGTATAATAGGTAAGGCAGATCTCATCTGGCTAACAAGACAGCAGTAAAGAGTAAAAGTTTGTGCACTTGGAATGCAAAATGCTTGCTCCCTTCCTCCCTTCATTTACACAGACACACACAGACACAGACACACACATACATGCATGCATACATGTGTGTATATTATCAAGGTCTACAGAACTAGAATCCAAGGAACATTGCTTAAATATAATTATATTGCTGGGTGTAGTGGTGCATGCCTGTACCCCCAGTTACTGGGGAGGCAGAGTTGGGAGAATCACTTGAGCCCAGGAGTTCAGGGTTACAGTGAGCTATGATCACATCACTGTGCTCCAGGCTGGGCGACTGGGATACCACTTCTAAAAAAAAAAAAAAAAAGAAAAGAAAAATCATTATATTAACATATACAAAGAAAAAATGGATTCAAATTTTGGAAGGTTATTAGCCATGGAAGCATCAAATAGTGTCCAGAGATGAAGGTGGCTCATTCCAATACCATCTAGGAGGATGGTTTTATCCAAAAAAAAAAAAAGTCAAGACTTCCCATCTCACAGGCAAGGCCTTTCCTATTATGGAATATACACAATATGCTGCATTTAATAGACTTTCAATCTTTCACCCCTTTGGCAAAACTATTCCTATTGTGAAATGGATTCATCTTAGCCTGATGCCTTTATTTGTTGGGTTTATCTAAGTTCCTTTGTTCTGATTCTGTGCTTACCAGGCAACTAAGTATTCTGGATTCCATGGGTAATAATGAATCAGAGTTCTCACTGCTATTTGACTTCCCAAGCACGTTTTCCAACAGGGAAAAACAGCCTGTTACATGAACACAATTACAGTTGGCTCTCCATATCCATGGCTTCCACATTCAACATATACCATGGATAGAAAATATTTTTCACTTTGGGAGGCCAAGGTGGGCGGATCACGAGGTCAGGAGATCGAGACCATCCTGGCTAACACAGTGAAACCCCGTCTCTACTAAAAATACAAAAAAAATTAGCCGGGCGTGGTGGTGGGCGCCTGTAGTCCCAGCTACTCAGGAGGCTGAGGCAGGAGAATGGCATGAACCTGGGAGGCGGAGCTTGCAGTGAGCCGAGATCGCGCCACTGCACTACAGCCTGGGCGACAGAGTGAGACTCCGTCTCAAAAAAAAAAAAAAAAGTAAATTAAAAAAAAAATTTTTTTTAAAGATGTTTGTGCCTGTGCTAGACATGTACAGACTTTTTTGAGGGGTCATTATTCTCTAAACAATACAACAACTATTTACATAGCACTTACATTTCATTAGGTTTTGTAAGTAATCTAGACATGATTTAAAGTATCTGGGAGGAAGTGTGTAGGTTATATGTAAATACTACACCATTTTATATAAGGGACTTGAACATGTATGGATTTTGGTATCTTCAGTGGAGGAGGGTACCAGATGGAATTAATCCCCCATGGATACTTCGGGACAACTGTATTCCATTCCATGTTACTGTTAGATTTTCCACTAGAAATAAATCCACATGCTGTTTGGTTTCTACACTGGCCTGGAGAGCCTGGGCTATATTAGTTCACCACTGAAAGGTGAAGCTGTTCTCAGCAGCTGAACCTCTGGGCCATGGTACATTCACAAAGTTAACAAACATCACCTCGTGCAGCC
This sequence comes from Homo sapiens, assembly GCF_000001405.40. Taxonomy (NCBI): domain Eukaryota; kingdom Metazoa; phylum Chordata; class Mammalia; order Primates; family Hominidae; genus Homo; species Homo sapiens. The sequence goes on from NC_000017.11 coordinate 32,742,515, forward strand.
TCTTGGTACAGAGACTGGCAACACACCCTGATGGTACTACTGGCCAAATAAGGCTGTTTTTTCTAAGTTGAGCTTTTAACATTTTCTGCACAGAGAAATGCTGGACTCTGTCATTTGTCCCTCAAAATGAATGTACCTTACCTGATAAATTAAGCATTGAAATTCCCTTCTGAAAGTCCCTTTTCCCCATGCCCAGTTCTTCCAAGGATCCTCTCTCACATTCCTGTCTCTGTAACTTTTTACTGATGATAGTGCCATCATTAATCTTGGTGGCTTCAACATCCATACAGATGAATCATTTGATAACAATTCTTGAAAGAACAGTTTAAACACAATGTCTCTATATTCTCATTTCCTGTATTCCCTTGAGCTCACATCAATGAGATATTTGTCTTCAATGCTACATGGAAACCAGTGTTGTCAAGAGTCCCACTGACCTTGGCATTAGCAAATCCAATGGTCAATCTTGGTCCTCTCATCCCTCCTGCTTTTGACAAGATTTGATGTAGTGTATCGTTTTTTTCTTCTTTAAACATTTTTTCTTGGCTTGGCCTCTGTGACACCAGATTCCTTGTTTACTTCCTTCCTCACTGGCATGCTCTCAGTTTCCTTTGCTAGTTCCTCTTTCCTTGTTTGTCTCTACATGTTACAGTGTCTCAGGAATTAGTCTTTTTAACCTCTTCTCTTTTTAAAACTACGCTCACTCCCTAGATACTCTCATCTAGTCTATGGCTTTAAATACAATCAATACACTGATGACTGTGAATTTATATCTCTAGCCCCACCTTTCCCCTGAGATTCAGATGCATAGTTGCAATTGCTGATTTGGCACTTTTAATTGGGTATCCAAAATGCACTTCAGACATAACATATCCAAAACAAAACTCTTAATTTCCCTGAACCAATTAGCGTTTCCTCTTGTCTTCTCCTATCAGGCTCAGGTATCACCTTTGATTTCCGTCTTCCTCTCACACCACACATTGTCTCTACCAGCAAATCTTGTCAACTCTACTTTCAAAATATCACCCAATCTGACCCCTTTTCATTATCTCCATCACTACCACCCAGGCCTCAGCCTGCATTATTATTATTATTATTGTTATTATTATTATTATTATTTTGAGACAGAGTCTCACTCTGTCGCCCAGGCTGGAGTGCAGTGGCGCGATCTCGGCTCACTGCAAGCTCCGCCTCCCAGGTTCATGCCATTCTCCTGCCTCAGCCTCCTGAGTAGCTGGGACTACAGACACTCACCGCCACACCCGGCTAATTTTTTCATATTTTTAGTAGAGACGGGGTTTCACCATGTTAGCCAGGATGGTTTCAATCTCCTGACCTTGTGATCTGCCCGCCTCAGGCTCCCAAAGTGCTGGGATTACAGGTGTGAGCCACTGCGACCAGCCTCAGCCTGCATTATTAAAATCGCCTCCTTTACTGTCTATTTCCATGCTTGTCCCTTACTGTGTGCATTTTACATAGTAGTAGCAGCAGTGATATCTTTAAAACATAAATCACATCACATCACATCATAAATTCCAACGCTTCCCTTCATACTTTCTTCTTATGTGGACTCAGGCTCTTTATGATCCAGGCTCTACCTACCTTTCTAAAGTCACTCTTTCCATCCCTCACTCTGTTTTCAGCCACAATGGCCTTGCTGTCAATACACTCAAGCTCATTCCCACCTTGTGGCCTTGGTACTAGCTTTTCTCTCTGCCTGGAATGCTCTTCCTCCAGCATGGCTCCCTCCTTCACTTAATTCAGGTCTCTGCTGAAATGTCACCTCTATAAGAGGCCTTTTCTGACTACCCTATCTATAATTCCTTCCCAGCCCCTCCTCATCTGTACCCTTCAATCTGTTACCTACTTTATTTTTCTGCACAGCACTTGTCACAAACTGAAAGTTGTTTCCTTGTTTATTAACTGTCACCTTTACTAGACTATAATCTCCATGAGGCCAGGGACTTTGCCTACATTTTTTCACAGCTGTATCCCAGAACATAGAAGAAAGTGTGCCTCAAAGGTACTCAATACATTTTTGATAATCTACTGAGCACTGACTAAGCAGACTTAACAAATGAGTGAATACAGTTCTTTAACCCATAGAAAGATGACCAGGAATCCTCTTTCTTCTTCATGGACCTTCTTTTTAAAGTATCCATACTGGATTTAAACTTGTTATCATTTGCCTAGTTTTATTTTGCCATAACTTTTCCACATTTTGTTGGTTTGTGAGAAGATTCTGTCTGCTCAGTCACTATCAGGGCTCACTGACACTAGATGCCACTCTGATATCAGAGCGGTCTCTTATTTGGGGGTGAAGACACTACAGTGGGAATCTGAGTATGCAAAACTTCTAGCTGGGCCAGATGTCACCTGACACTTCTTCATCACACTGGCCTGGCCTGAGGACTGCTGAGTATACTGGTAGGGGATGCTGGAAGGCTGGCAGCAGTGAGCACAGAAGCTGAGGCAACCCAAGGGAAATCAAAGCACATCATATTATTAGCAGGTCCCTGCCCAAAATTTATAGATTTTATCATCAAGTTAGTTATATGCTATTTATTAAGTCTGATAAAGCAGAACAAGAAAATGTGCCAGAAACTCTTAAAATTGCATATAAATATAACCATGTGCATATATTACATATGTCAATGAGCTTAATCTAGAGTTAATTAATAAAATTTCAATCTTACCTGTTATACATAAGGCGCTTGAAATCTTGAAATAAAGTATCTTTATTTTTGTCAATAAAACCAATGACAGAATAGCTAACAGGGAAAAATCACAGAAAACATGTATCATTTACCAAGCAAGAGCCACATTTAAGTTTTTCCAGGAGGCAACAAGCCTTTCCACCGTTAATTATGCAATCAATAATCTAAAAGCTGATATTGTTCATCTTGTTCTGTATTAAAGGATACCAAATTTACCTACTAAATAGAAGGGAATTTTCATCAGTACTATTATGATTAAGATGATAATTCCCTACTGGTTTATTGCTTACCTCAAGAAGATGACTTTTTAAAAGATAGCTGTATTTATCATCCAGCATTCCTAAGATAAAAGCAAAACAGCAACATACAGGAACTAACAGTCTCATCCGTAGGGAGGTCAAGTGACTTGCCTAAGGTTCACTCAGTGTTGAGGGTAGGATAAAAGATTCCAAGAAGAACTGCAAAGGATGGTAATAATTGGATAAGCAGAGGAGAAAAAGGCAGGCAGATCACACAGGGAAACAGATCAAATGGAGTGACGAAAGCAGGCACATGCATGGTGCTCTGGAGAGAGAATGAGGAGGCCAGTATAGATGGTTTGGAAGGGAGATGAGTAAGGTCTTGAAAGTCCAGCTAAGATTGCAGTTGGTGAGAAGAGTAGGAATAGAATTGTACTACTCCCAGTGACTGGCATGGACTCTAGGAGGAGTGAATTCATTTTTGGGGTTATAAAAGTAATTGACAACTCTGGGTGATTAAGACAGAGGCTAGGAGATTAAGCAAATAGGAACTTTAGACACAGCTACACCTTACAGTTCTGCTCTCGTGCCTGTTTTCTCTCTTGACAATCAGATCAGTATAAGCAATTCTCAGATCTCTAACCCGGATTCCTTGCCTTACATATTTAATCCTGCAAGAAAGTTCCTTCAGGCTGTGCTGCCCATGGGTACTTTAAGGTTACCATACCCAAAATTATTTCCTTGCCTGCCCCGACCTAGGTCTTCTTAATACTTTCAAGTCACTTTTGACTGAACCTTTGTGATTTGATCTCAAGCTACTCTTCCAGATAGTTCTACTTCTCTGTGCTACAAAAAAGGATACACTCCAATCAGATGGACCTAGTTGCTATTTCCTGAATATTTTGTAGCACCCTTCCCACTTCTTCCTATAAGAATAATTCCTAGCATTCAAAGACCAGCATCAGCCTTCCTGGGTTTATCACACAAACCTGGAAGTATTTCCTTACTCTAAATTCCAAATGAGTAATTGCTATTACTCATATGGCAATTATTTTAGACCACTGTTATTGTATACATGTATATAAATGTTTATGTGTATATATGCGTGTTTTCATGTGTAAAAATAAGAACACATACAACCATACATATATGTATATACGTATGTATCTTACATGGCAGCCAGCTCTTTGTGGGAAGAGACCATACCTTATGAAGTACTGAGCACATAGAAGATACTCAGTAAAAATCCAGAAAAGGATTGAAGAGTTTAAGAAGTGAAGAGGAAGTCTGAGGCATTGAATATCCCTCAAAAGGGTTAGTTGAAGTTCTAGACTAAGAGTCTAGAAACCTAGGTATTGTCTCAGTTCTTCTGTAAATTTGCTATGTGGCATTGCGTAAGAACTTTACTCATTCTGCATAAGTTTCTTCATCTGTAAAATGAAGTGGCTGGTCTAGGTCATCTCTAAGGCCTCTATCCAGCTCTGCATTTGCGTCATTCTGAGTGGTATGAAAGTACCCTGTAAGTGAGGCTTGGATTTTTAGTGGGAGATATTTGTATAGTACTGGATCTTCCCTCTTCAGTATTATGGAACCTGGGAACAGGACCAGAAAAAGTGGAAAATGGTGCCATTCCATCACTAATGGTTAGTTTGACAGATGGTGTGATAATTTTGAGCCATATTATTTTATGGTCCTAGAATTTTGATTTAAATCAGGAACAGCTATTAAAATTTCTTCAAACATCATTTCAGCATTTATAGAGAAGATCATTTACCTTTTTTTGTTTAATCTCTTCCTGCAATGGATTACATGTAAAGAATTCCTAATGTAAAAACTAAGAAAAAGAGTTCTTTAAACAATAAGATGAGGAGCAGTGTTCAGTGGACAGTAAAGGCATAATAAATATAGTAGGCTAAGAAATGCAGCCCCAACAAAAGTTTCATATCAAATTCCCTGGAACCTGGGAATGTTGCCTTATATCATAAAATATGTGATTAATGATCTTGAGAGGAGAAGCTCATCCTACATTATTCAGATGGGCTCTACATACCATATCAAATGTCACTTTAAAATAGAGGCAGAGCGGCCAGGCTCGGTGGCTCATGACTGTAATCCTAGCACTTTGGGAGGCCAAGGCGGGCAGATCAATTGAGGTCAGGAGTTCGAAACCAGCCTGGCCAACATGGTGAAACCCCGTCTCCACTAAAAATACAAAAATTAGCCAGGCGTGGTGGTATGCGCCTGTAATCCCAGCTACTCAGGAGGCTGAGACAGGAGACTTGCTTAGGCCTGGGAGGCGGAGGTTGCAGTGAGCTGAGATCGCACCACTGGACTCCAGCCTGGGTGACAGAGCGAGACTCCATCTCAAAAAAAAGGAAAAAAAAAAAGATAGACACAAAGGGACAGTTAACACAGACACACAAAGAGGAGGGCAATGTGACTGGAGTGATGCAGCTACAAGCCAAGGAATGTCCAGTGCTACTAGAAGCTGGAAAAAGGAACAGACTCCTCTCTACAGGAACCTCCAGAGAGAGTGTGGCCCTGCTGACATCTTGATTTTGAACTTTTGAACTCCAGAACTGTGAAAGAATAAGTTTTTGTTGACTTAAGCCACCGATTGTGGTTAATTTGTTACAGCAGCCCTTGGAACCTAATGTACTAAGGTAGTTATAATTTTTAGTTATACTTTCTGATCAATTTCTACTTTATTGTATTGTTAATAAAAATACGGCTAGTAAGAGTTTTACTTTTTAAAATAATATTTGGAAAATAATGTAGCAAAAATGGTTTTTGCTTATGCAGTTACCCAACTATTTGCAGATCTTCATGTACAGGAGTTATTCTCACCTAGGGGCCTTTTTATGCCTACTGTTTCTTCTACTTGGAAAGCTTTCTCTTTTCTCTCCCCTCTTCCTAATTCATTCCCCTGACTAACCCTCTTTTACTTTTAGGACTCAATTTGGATACCACTTCCTCCAGCAAGACCTCTCTATACCCCTCTCAGTGGGTTAATTATTCCTACCCACTGCTCCTATAATGCCTGTGCTTCTCTAGTTTAACTGTTTCCATTCTTCATTATAGTGACCTTTGATGGACGTACATGCCTATACTCTTCACTAAACTGTTGGTTCTTTAGGGCAAAGACCATCTTATCCATCTTTCTATCCCAGTTCTTAATATACTTCCATGATTTATTGACCCGCCAGCTGATTCTTACTGAACACGAACTATGCCAGGAACTGTACGAAATGTACATGGGCAAGTAGTGTGTGCTCAATAAATGGTTGAAAAGCAAGGAATGAATGAAGCTATGCCATTTTTAAGTTGAACAAATTAAAATATATTGACATATCAAATGACCAAAACATGCAAATGAATATAAAACCAATTTACATTTTTCCTGGTTGTATTTTCTAAAGTGAGGCGGCATGCAAATCATGGTAGGTACCAAGGTAAGATACTCACACTACATCGCCTGCATAATGTCGAATTCGAAAATCTCGATCAAACTCCAGAATTTTGTCTGAGGCACAGAGCTAAGGAATCAAGAAGGATATTATTTTGAAAACAGACATTTTTGCTTTCCTAAAAATATATTCCAGCTTAATATGAAATGATGATAATATCACAAATTATGACATCACATTGTGTGGGGCTTGATTTAAAAATATGGCTTATGTATTATAAAGACTAAACTTTCACTAGAAATCCACACAGCTAGACTACATTTCCTGACCACTCTTACAGCTGGATATGGCCAAGTAACCAAGTTCTGGACAATGGAGGTAAAGTGTGGCTGTTCTAGGCCCAAACTGGTGAAAAGTGAATGATTCCCCTCTGTGCTTTCTTCTCTCCCCCAACTAGTTGGATGCAGAGGGTAGTCCCTAAGGCATGGAATAGTCAGAAGATAGAGGAAGTTTGGGTCCCTGAGAGAGACACAGACTTCTACTATCTTATGACACTTTAATCTTGGCTACAGGCTAGGCATGGTGGCTCAGGCCTGTAATCCCAGCACTTTGGGAGGCTGAGGCAGGCAGATTGCTTGAGACCAGTAGTTCAAGACCAGCCTGGGCAACATGGTGAAACCCCGTCTCTACTAAAAATACAAAAATTAGGCGTGGTGGTATGCATCTGTAGTCCCACCTAGTCGGGAGGCTGAGATGGGAGAATCACCTGACCATGGAAGGCAGAGACTGCAGTGAGCCAAGATTGGGCCACTGTACTCCAGCCTGGGCAATACAGCGAGACCCTGTCTCAAAAACCAAACCAAACCAAACAAAATTTAGCTACTATCTTCATGCAGTCCAGCCTACCCTGACTGATAGAGTTTCTTTCTCCTCCTTAAGGAGGACCATACTGAAGGAGGACTTAAGGAGGACCATACTGAAGGCTTACTAGTTGTTAGGCATACACATCTTATTCAGTCTTCAATGCTGACATATAAGGTACAACAATCTCTCTGTTACACACATGGAAACTGAGGTTCAAAGAGGTTAAGCAATTGGCCCAAGATCACATAGCTAGTAAGTGGTACCCCTGGAAAGGACTCCTGGAATCGAATGTAACATCTGTGCTCTCTTATGTACATGGAGGCCTGGCTCATCTGTCTGCTAAGCTGAGACTCCAGTTCAGGACTATCATTTCACAGAAGATAAAGCTTCTGCAGCTCCTTTTCTCCCTGAAGAGGAATAGTTTATGGGAAGGCAGTTTTTATATGGCTGTGGAGGTCTCTATGACTTTCTACAATCTTCCTTGTTACAGTAGCATCTAGACTTCTTTGTCTGCCCTGTTAAGAATCACTTGGAATCTTATAGTTTCTTAAGCAGACATCTAGGAGAGTCCACAAAAGTTTCCCTGGGGAGGCCAGGCGTGGTGGCTCACGTCTGTAATCCCAGCACTTTGGGAAGCTGAGGCGGGCGGATTCCGAGGTCAGGAGATTGAGACCATCCTGGCTAACACAGTGAAACCCTGTCTCTATGAAAAAAATACAAAAAATTAGCCGGGCGTGGTGGCAGACGCCTGTAGTCCCAGCTACTCGGGAGGCTGAGGCGGGAGAATAGCATGAACCTGGGAGGCAGAGCTTGTAGTGAGCCGAGATCATGCCACTGCACTCCAGCCTGGGCGACAAGAGCAAGACTCTGTCTCAATAAATAAATAAATAAATAAATAAATTTTCCTAGGGAAATATACAAAAACCACTTAGGTTCTAATGTTCGATAACAAATAATCTCAACCTGAAAGGTGTATTCTATTAATTTGACAAGTGAATAATTACAGGAAATTAGAGTCAGACCTCCACGGTTCAAATCTTGCCTCTACCATCTACTCACTCTGACTTCTTTAATAATTACTTATCTCAGAGAGTTGTTCTGAGGATTAAATGAACTATTGAGAACAAAGCATCTACCATACAGAGAGGTCTCCAAAATACTTAGTTCCCCTTTTCTGCTCTCTCTCTTATTAACCCCTTTTACAAACTGTTTTATTTATAAAACCCCTTAAGGAAAAGGACCCAAGAGATGTCTACACTAATGGAACATTCTTACATTTGGATACTGCAAAGTTGCAACTGATCTGAACACAGGAGGTTTTAGATTTTTCTTTATTTTTTTTGGTAATAGCAGTTATGTATTTATCATTTAACTTTTTATATTAATAATTTAAATAATAATTTTATGCTTTATTGGATTATTTGCCTGTCTCTCCATGGTAACTTTAATACGGAAGAAGCAATGTAGTCCCTAAATGAAATAACTGTCACAAGACAGAAACCTCTAATTTAACATGCCAATAAGTCTAGCTAATCAGTAACCCGTAGCAAATGATGATATCCAGCTCAACACACAGAATAGCATGTGTAATAAACAGTTCACAGTGATTAAAATATTTTGATAGTTTGATCATTTCTTTTCTTCATTAGGTAAAAATCCCAAAGAAGAAGACATTTAAAAAATCTCTATCTCAAAGAAATAAAAGGTATTCAAACTGGAAAACAGAAGTCAAATAATTCCTGTTCACTGATAACATGATCTAATACCTAGAAAACCCTAAAGACTTCCAAAAGACTCCTAGACTTGATAAGCAACTTCAGTAAAGTTTCAGGATATAAAATCAATGTACAAAAATAAATAAGCATTTCTATACACGACTGATAACACTGAAGCTAAGAACCAAATCAAGAACTCAATCCCATTTACAATATCCACAAACACTCACACAAAAGAAAACCCTAGGAATATATTTAAACAGGGAAGTGAAAGATCTCTACAAGGAGAACTACAAAACACTGACAAAAGAAGTCATAGATGACACAAAAAAATGAAAAAACATACAATGCTCATGGATTGGAAGAATTAATGTCATTAAAATGCCCATACTGACCAAAGCAATCTAAAAATTCAATGCATTTCCTATCAAATTACCAATGTCATTTTTCACAGAATTAGAAAAACAATCCTAAAGTTCATATAGAACCAAAAAACAGCCCAAATAGCCAAAGCAATTCTAAGCAAAAAGAACAAAACCAGAGGCATCACATTACCCTGTCTTCAAAATTATACTACAAGGCTATTGTAACCAAGACAGCATGGCACTGTTACAAAAATAGACATATAGATCAATGGGACACAACAGAGAGCCCAGAAATAAAGCTGTATACCTACAATCAACTGATCTTTGACAAAGTTGACAAAAATAAACAATGGAGAAAGCATACGCTATTCACTAAGTGGTACTGGGAAAAATAGCTAGCCATATACAGCAGAATGAAATTGGACCCCTGTCTCTCACCATACCCAAAAACTAACTTAAGATGAATTCAAGACTTAAATATAAAACCTGAAGCTATAAAAATCCTAGAAGAAAACCTAGGAAAAACTCTTCTGGACATTGGCCTAGGCAAAGAATTTATGACCAAGACCTCAAAAACAAATGTGACAAAAACAAATGAGACTTAATTAAACTAAAAAGGTTCTGCCCAGCAAAAGAAATAACCAACAGAGTAAACAAACAACCTACACAATCAGAGAAAATATCTGTAAATTATGCCTCCAACAAAGAACTAATATTCAGAATCTACAAGGAACTCAAATAACTAAATAACAAAAAAATCACATAACCCCATTAAAAAGTAGGCAAAGAACATGAACAGGTATTTTTCAAAAGAAGAAATACAAACAGCCAACAAACATTTGAAAAAATGTTCAACATCACTAATCATCAGAGAAATATAAATTGAAACCACAATAAGATATCGTCTTATACCAGTCAGAATGGCTATTACTAAAAATGTCAAAAACAGATGGCATGGATGTGGAGAAAAGGAAATGCTTATACATTGTTGGTGGGAATGTAAATTAATACAACTTCTATGGGAAACAGTATGGAGACTTCTCAAAGAATGTAAACATTTCTTTTAAATGGTAGTTCTAAAAATAGAACTACCATTTGATCTAGCAATTCCACTACCAGGTATAACGAAAAGATATTTGTACTCGTATGTTTACCATAACATTATTCACAATAGCAAAGTCATGGAAACAATCAATCTAAGTGTCTATCGACAAATGATTGGATAGAAAGAAAATGTGATATACATATATATAATGGAATACTATGCAGCCATAAAAAAGAATGAAACCATGTCCTTTGCAGCAACAGGGGTAGAGCTGGAGGCCATTATACTAGGTGAAATAATGTACATTTTCGCTTGTAAGTGGTAGCTAAACAATGCATATGCATGAACACAAAGATGGAAATAAGACACTGGGGACTCCAAAAGCAGGGGGTGAGAGTTGAAAAATTACATATTGGGTACAATGTTCACTATCTGGGTGATAGGTAAGCTAGAGGCCCAAAGTTTACCTTTATGCAATATATCCACGTAACAAACCTGAACATGTACACCTCCCAGATCTAAAATAATAAAAATAAATAAATAAACAAATAAATAATCACTACCTCAGCACTTGTCTTAGGGATACCAAAAGAAAGAGCCACTTGGTCTGAAAGTTGGGAAACCTGGGCTCCCATAAATTTGAAAAAGAAAAAGAAAATCCTCTCCACAGACAAATTACTATTTAGCATTTCATGTCAAATCAGTAGCAAATACTGATGTGGTATGTACAGTTACTCTTACAAATGACATGGCTGGGCGTGGTGGCTCATGCCTGTAATCCCAGCACTTGTGGAGACCCATGTGGGCAGATGAACTGAGGTCAGGAGTTCAAGACCATCCTGGCCAACATGGTGAAACTCCGTCTCTACAAAAACACAAAAATTAGCTGGGCATGATGGCAGGTGCCTGTAATCCCAGCTACTTGGGAGGCTGAGGCAGGAGAATTGCTTGAACTCGGGAGGCGGAGGTTGCAGTGAGCCAAGATTGCACCATGCACTCTAGCCTGGGCAACAGAGTGAGACTCCATCTCAAAAGAAAAAAAAAAAAAAGGAATGATATTATATTTCAAAATATTTGGTTGACACATTTAATTCAGGTATATAAATGGCCAAGGTAGAAGATATCAAAATGAGGTGGATTTGATTTCTCATGTGAGACTCATAGCTAATTTAAATGAAAATTTAAATAAGATTTATTTGACATGATTGGGAACAATTCAATTCAACTTTACAAACACTGATTAAATGTCTACCATCTGGTAGGCACCGTGCTAAGTGAGTCTCCAAACCTGAACTGTGATTATAAAGGGCATTTATAAACTTTCCCTCAAAGATAGGACATTTGCCCATGTAATCATGCCATCTTTAAAAGCATCACTCTAAATTATTTAGGTGACTTCTAACTTTGCCCAGTACTCTGTCCCCAGCACCTAGGATTGCACCTGGAAGATGAGAAGCACTTATTAGGTATTTGTGGTGTAAATAGGGAATGACTGAAGCAGTACCTCTAACCCAAAACCCTAACATGAAAGAGCAGACTGTAGTATCTGAAAGCCAATTTGTAGTAGGGTTACTATCAATCCTCAGTAACAGACCAAGGAGAATATTTTAGAAAAAACTGGCCTAAAATAAATGTCAGCTAGTAATCTATTTCTTGACGATTTGGGCTTTAGCTAGTTAATTGTGGAATTTCTCTGTTCTGATTACATAATTTCAAAGGAGATAAGTTAGAAAATAGACTTTATTCACACTAAAAAATGGCAGTGTCAGAGATTTACATGGAACTCTGGAGAGGCAGAAATGTTTGCCCCCTTTTTCTATGGATGTGAAGGAGCAAGGGCCTGTTTTCCCTTTAGCATATGGTTACTAGACAAGACTATGGGTAGGGAAGTCTCAGGGGCGATGATGATGTGTTCCTCTTCTAACACAAATTTCTTGAACAAATATTAATAGCAAACATATTCCATGCAAATGGAATATTCCATGCAAATGATATGTCCATATCAGCACAAAGGTCTGATAAGCACAATTGTCACCAATTACTACAGATATGTGATCTGTTTATCACTTTTTTAGATCCTGAAAAATGGAGAGTTAAAAGGATACCCATTTATTTAATGAATAAGTTTCTCTGTAATAACTAGAATTACAACTAGAATCTCTCTGTTTTCAAGGAAGTCATATGATCTGAAGAAGTACAGCAGAGTGCACAACACATTTTGTTACTGAGGATTACAGTAAAAAGTCAAGGACAAAAGCTATTTTCCATGCCAGAATTATCAGATGCAGGAGTAAAATTCTAGCACATGAGCAAGGACTCTACATCTATTGGTTACAAATGACATCATGCTTTCTAAAGAATCATGCTCATTTTTCCTGTTTCTACCAAATTGCATAGTCTGGAGCTCCCTCTCCTGGATTAACATGATTTTATCAATTTCTTCATACTATAAACCAGAGAGGCAGAATTTATCCACAGCAACAAATCATTTAATGAATGTTTATGACTTTTCTTTCTTATTAAAGGGGACATTCTTTTATCCCAACATATAAAGTCGTTGAACTCCATCAAACAATAAGGAGAACCTCACAGATAAAAGGAAGAAGGTGTCATTAAACACATTACCTTTCGGCTGGAAAAATGGGCGTGTTTGCCCAATTTACTGTTAAGTGCTTCAAGAAACATTTCATCGGTGACTTTGCCGACATTCATGCAAGCATCATCAAGGATTGCAATGATCCCTTTGTGCTGTTGCTCCACGAGGTCAACAATGATCTGATTGTTGAAGTAGTCAATCTGTAGGACACAGCAAGGAGGGAATTCTGAAGAGAACAGTGACCAGGCCAGGTTAAACCCTGATGCTCCCATTTGTATCAGGAGTTCAGGTAAAACTACTTTGGTGTCAAATGTGTGAATAACATTAAAGAGGTCTTACGCTAAAAAGAGTACACATTCTAACAGAGGTTTATTTTTAAATTTCTTTGTTAACTTTCTATCATGAAATACACCGTCTGAGATTAGTACAGCCCAAGGCAAAGATAATAAGGTAGACACCATTTCTCCCATTACAAACTCATTTTAATCCTGCCTCCAGATCCCACACCCAACCCTACTCCTTCATACCAATCTGCCTGCCATTAACTGTAAGGTCCACCTTCCACAAAGGGCCAACAAATAACCTTAAAGTATTATCTGATATACTACTTCATAATAAAGTTAAGGTACTACACAAAACTTGCAATTTTATAAAAGTAGGGTACAAGTTAAATGTTTAGTTCTAGAAATTTTGTGCAATATGTTCATAACGATGGCTGCAGTTGCCACAAAGTGCCTCGTTTACCTTTAAATACTGTTAATGTGTCACGCATGCAGATGGAAGGGGTGGAACTGTGCACTAAAGTGGGGGCTTTAACTGTAGTGTTTGGCAGAGTTGCCTTCTACCTGCCAGTTCAAAAGTTCTGTTTTCATGCAGAATATATATACTAAAAAATTTCAGTCTTTTAAACAGCCTTACTCTGATTCAGCCTCTTCAGATACTCTTGTGCTGTGCAGTAGTGGCTCTATGTGTAAATGCCATGCACTGAGGGTACACAAAAATATCAACATTATGTGTACAGGATAATGCCTCATCCCAATCAGATGTCCATTTGTCATTGTGTTTGTTAACAACCCTTTATCTCTTAGTGTTAAATAAACTCCACTTAAAACGGAAAAAAAAAAAAAAGAACTTGCATTTTTAGTTACATGACCCTGAATGACTAAAATCCAAAAGAGCATTTCTTTTGGTTTCCCCAAAGTTAAAAAGCTTCAATAGAATTTTGAACAATTTGAAAAAATTCAGTAGAATTTTTACATTTTTCTAGGCATAATATAAAGAATTTAATTCTGAGAAATAAATATCTATAAAAGATAAGAAAAAGCTTTTCCTTTACTTCCACAAGGTGAATGAAGTTATAAATAACTTCTGGCTTTTCAGCAACTATACATGTACAAGGTTTGTCCAACAATCCTCTGCCACACCTGTTTATTCTGACAGCCTGCAATGTACCTATCACTACACACAGAAGGCACACAAAGAAAGGCCAACTCAGGCAAGCTGCACATCTCAAAGAGGGGCAGCTTATGATCACACAGTTTAATCTTGCTATGTCCCATCTTACGCAGGAGTTACCTAAACTGATTGCTGTCTCCATTACCTTCTATAAGGTCTATATACTCATAATAGACCATTCAAGTGACTCATGTATTCCCATTTCATGCTTTAAAATCCAAGGTTTTATGCCAGTTATTTGTACATGGCTTTTAGCTCCATTTCTAGTCTTGCATGTTCTCTTCTGTATCTTATGGACTGAAACCTGTAAACTGGGTAGTTTTTACTTTGTTTTTTATACTTTTCTGATCTGTCTAAACTAAAGTTTCTCAAATAGGGGAATAGGGGGAATTTTGCTCACCAGGGGACATTTGGCAATATCAGGAGACATTTCTAGTCAAAATGGGGTAGGGGTGCTACTGTCATTTGGTGGGTAGAGGCCAGGGGTGCTGCTAAACATCCTACAATGCATAGAACAGCCTCCACAACAAAGAACTATCTGGCACAAAATCTCAGTAGTACTGAGGTGAAGCAGTGTAGGTCTAAATATTTACTTTCATTATGGGCATTTATTACATTTCTAATTAGGGAGAAAAGTTATTTCCATCTTTGGAAAAAAAATCCTAAAAATACTCAAAAAGCAGGAGCTCTATATTAATAGTTGACATCTTAGACTTCGGGACTGTGAAATTAAAGACGAAGTCTTTTGTCCCAGGGACTAAAGAATTACCTTCCCTAAAATCCCAATTATATTATTAAAAGCTATTGGTCTCTGCTAGTAACTTTCAGTTTGTAAGTTTAATACTGCTTCAAACATTGCTTAAACCAGTAGTTTTCAAACTAAGTTCTTCCAGCAACTTGGCATTCCCGTAAGGTTTCCTAAGGGATACCAGGAGCCAGAAGACTTGTGATGGGGTAGCTTAGGGACATGGGGCTCTGGCCTTTCATACCCACTCCAGATAAAACAGCTTTGTGCTTGAGTATCAAGTTCTCAATAGTTAAAATGATTTGCAAACTACAGCATCGAAAGCTTTTAAAAGTGAATGTACCAGATAACCAGACATTATGAACCTCCTGGTGGAAGTTCACACACAGTCTATGAAATGGGCTGTGGAAAAAAACTGACTCTGAATCCAGTCAAGACTCTAGATCTAACAACCAATATACAGGACATACAAGAAACAGAGAAACATATTAAATGGCACCTGAGGAATGCAATTAGCAAAATCCAGACTGTGGGGAACTCCATAACAAATGACTCATTCTCTTCAACACAAGATTGCAAAGAGAGATCATTCAAGGAAAAAAAGAAACATGGAGAAAATCTATAGATATGCAAGAGACCTATCAATCAATCATAATGTAAGAAACTTATTTGGATCCAAATTTAACCTGCAAAACAACAACCAGAAGACAATTAAGGAAATATGAAACATGTATACTGACTGGATATTTTATGATATTAAGGAATTTTTGTTAATGTTTTAGGTATGATAATGGCATTGTGATTATGGTTTTTGTAAAACTCTCTTAGAGAAATACATGGAAATATTTACTGAATAGATACCCAATTGAATAGATGAAATAATGTGATATCTGAAATTTGCTTCAAAATAATCTGGGAGTAGGTGGGTATAGTACAGATGGCATAAGACTGGCAATCAACTGGTACGTGTTAAAGCCAGGTGATGGGTATATAGGGTTTACTGTACTATAGTCTGTCTTCTTAATGTGTGTTTAAAATTTTCCATAATAAAAAATCTTTTAAAAAGAATCACTATGTTTAGAAGTTTGGGGTTTTACCCAGAATAGAGATTCTAATTGTGGGGGGATCTGCCATGTAGTAAGTAACTGTTACCTTGGAGTTAGCCTTCTGCTCCCTCTAGGACAAATAGTTCTTGGTTTATTTAGCGAAAATTTTTTGCATTTTGGGATTCTTAATTCTTTTTGAGATGTTTGGAACAGTCCACTGCATTACTTACCCTGTTGTCAATTATGTCTGTGAAATTTGATATTCTGATTGTGAAAGGATATTTTTGACTAGTACCTTGGAATCACATTTGAATAACAAGTTTTATGATTAAATTTGGTATTAAAAATCCAAGCTTCAGTTATACCGTGTATTATATTATACAACAGTTTCATTCTTAGAAAGCTTCATATACACTTAATTGAACTGAATTAAATTTTAATTGTATTAGGAGAGTTCATTATTTAAGTCAAACTATAGATAATTCTTATATAAAATAGCCCTTTGGTTTATATGCAGATAGGTAAAATTTATGCCAATATACCTGAGCAACTGTTTTATGGTATTCTAACGTTTAACACATGATGGAAGGCAGATACAATTTTGAGGCGGGAAAGCTATTTGTTATATCACTGTCTCTTTATTTCAGAATGAGAGGAAATAGAAAATAGGTAGGAAGGAAGATAAAAGTCATTTAAATATAGTATTTCAAATATTTTTTTGCTGCTATTATATTGGATAACAAAAAACAAATACTGGCTTCATTTCTATTCTCTGGCAAGAGGATGAACAATCATATAAACTCAAACTACAGAAACTTAAAAGTTTTTGTATTTTTCAAGTTTATTCTCAAAATTGCTTAAAAATACAAACTTACAAGAAAAATTACTATGTCTCATTTCTATCATAAACAGAAGGTCTTATCACAGGAAATTTAAAAACCAAACAAGTCATGCCTTTTAGCTTTGATCTCTGTGGTTTGCACTGTGCACCCATTATACTTTCCAGCTATATCTTACCAGATTAGTTTGCCTCTGACAAATACAAAAGTTCCCAAAGATTGATTAGAGTAGAGGTGATAATTGAAGTGTAATACACAAGAAAATGCAAAGTAAAACAAGTATTTTAATGTGTAGGTTTCAGAGAATATAAACAACATTAACTGAAGACAATAAAATACCATATAGTCTACAAAGTAGAAGAGGAGAAAAAGGAGGAAAAAGGGAAGAAGAAACTAGATTCTGAAGCAAAGTTCAGCCAATTTAAGGTATAACTTAATAAAGTATGCTAAACCTAACAGACAGATATAAACCAGTAAGTCCACGTGGTAGCAGCCATAAAGTGAAAACAGGTTTACTGGTTCTAACTCAGGATGTTCTGGGCATCAACAAGGCAGTCTATCAAATTATAGCAATCCCACCTAAAAATGATGAAATTAATTGTATTTACATATCCCAAAAAGGAAAGCTAAGGTTCAGATGTTTCAAATACCCCCAAAAGATCAAGAAATACCTAAAATAAAATTTGACATTATCAATAATATGAGAAACACATGAAGGCATTTTCCATAAGAGTCCACTCACATGTTTCCAGGGGATCCCTTCCCGCTGGTATTCCTCTTGTTCTTGCTTCAGAACCAGCTGAATAAATAGCTGCTGCAGTTTCTCATTGCAGTAATTGATACAGAATTGTTCAAAACTACAAGAAAAGGAATAAATTAAGTTTCAACAAATAGAAAACAGGCAACAAGGTTTTAAGTATCTTTTCCAGTTTACCTGTTGTTGTCAAAGATTTCAAAGCCATAGATATCCAAGACACCAATAACAGTGTTTTTCCCATGGATTGTGGTGTCATAGTTCTTGACCTCAATAATATCATTGATGCGAGTAACGATCCAACAAAAAAGGCGCTCATATATTGCCTGCAAGGAAAATAGCATCATAAATGCTTGCCAATTTGGGAATGAGTCCTCTGTTTGGATTTGTGATCAGTTTTAAATTCCTGTCCACCTTCTCACTGTTTAGCATAGCCATTACTGGCCTCAGCAGAACAAATGAAAATGTAGACTGTCCATTTAAAAAAACCCAAACTACCTGATGTATGCAAAACTAAAGTAAATAGCTTGTATTTTTAAAAGATTATTACCGGTCATTATACCAATTCCAACGACACTCTCCAGGCATGTTTCCCTGCCCGGCTATATCAATAGTTTGCCTGATCCCTTGAATAAGCCAGTTCATTGCTTTATTATTAATTTCATCAACTATAAAGAGTTGAGAGCTAGTGAGTTAATATCTATGATCCACTAAAGCTATATGAATTCTAAAAAATATAAATATTGATTTCTAATGCTAAATGAAGATCTGAGCCAAAGATCAAGGGTTGAAATTCCCTGAGAATCGAACACACATCCAATGCACAAGAACACACACACTAAGCCACACATGGACAAAGGTGCCACACGCTAACACACATTCACATCCCGATACACATGTGCTCTGCAACGTCACATCGTTAGAAAACCTTCCTTAACGTCTCCTGCCAGCTACCCACTCTCTTCACCCATATCCATTACCTCCCCTTTACTCTTCAATCCACTCCAGTCTCCACTTACATCCTATTACTCCATTGAAATGGCTCATCAAAGACTCCCAGCACCTCTACATAGATACTTCTCGTACCTCATATGGACATCTTGCTCTGTCGCTCAGCATCACTCAACCTAGGTTTTCACTGCCTTCTTGGAACACTCTTCTCTCTGGATTTCGGATAATAGCCTTTCTGAATTTTACTCTTTGTTCACTGGATGTTCCTTTTTGGTGACCTTTGGTAGAGTCTCCTCTTCTACCTGACTTGTAAAAGTTGGAGTTCTTCCTGGTCCTCTTCTCTTCACTCTCTAGCACCTTCTAAATCATCTCACCCAGGATTAAATAATACAAATATAATATGACTCCCAAAAGTATTATCCAAATCCAGACTCAGAGAACAGTCTCTGAGCTCCTGACTCAAGAGCTTGACTGTCTACCTGACACTGACTCTTCAATGGCTCACAGCCATCTCAAACTCAAAGGACTCTTGATCTTTCCTCTTCCAACAACTGTTCCTATCCTACTTTTAGCCACAAATAAATAGCACCACTTAGAAATTCACTGATTTATTCAACAAATATTTGCTGAATACTTATTATATATAGTTTGTTAGAGATACAGGTCTAGGCAAACACAAACATAGTCTCAATGTCCAAGAAACTTAGGGAATAGAGTGAAGGAAAAAATTATTCTCTCTGTCTCTCTCACTTGCCCCCCACCTCGCAGATAAACATCCACACTAAAGGAGAGGTACATGGGGTCTTAGGGAAATTTAATCTATGCAGTGCTCAGGAAGGTTAGGGAAGGCCTCTCTGGGAAAGTGATACTTGAGACCAGAAGGATGAGTAAGAGGTAGCCAAGCAAGAGAGGAGAGAAGAGCAGTCCAAGCAGAGGGAACAGATGTGCACAGGCCCTGTGACTGGAAGGAGAAAGGGATCAGGATAATCTGTGAGGACTGAGAGAAGACTAATGTGCTGGGCTGAAGAAAGGGGGGCTGGGTATAGTATAAAATGAGGTGGGAGAGGTGGGCTGGAGCCAGACCATGTTAAAGTATTATTCTTGCTTCTCTCATTCTCCACATAATAGGTCCTATGGATTTTATTTTCTCAACACAGTCCATTTCAAATCATCCTCCTCTCCCCATTTGTACTTTCACTTTTCTGATTCAAGCTGCCCTCATCTCTTTCCTGGATTAACAAAATATCCCCTTAATTGACCTCTTTGCTTCCATTCTTACTCTAGCCCCCATAACATTCTCCATACTAAGGCCAGAGTGATCATTTTAAAAATGCAAACTTGCCAGGTGCAGTGGCTCATGCCTGTAATCCCAACACTCTGGGAAGCTGAGGTGGGCAGATCACCTGAGGTCAGGAGTTTGAGACCAGCCTGGCCAACATGATGAGACCCCATCTCTACTAAAAATACAAAAATTAGCCAGGCATGGTGGCGGGTGCCTGTAATCCTAGCTACTCAGGAGGCTGAGGCAGGAGAATTGCTTGAACCCGGGAGGTGGAGGTTGCAGTGAGCTGAGATCATACCATTGCACTCCAGCCTGGGTGACAGAGAGACACCGTCTCAAAAAAAAAAGAAAAAAAAAAAAAGACAAAAAAACGGCCGGGTGCGGTGGCTCACACCTAATCCCAGCACTTTGGGAGGCCGAGGAGGGTGGATCACAAGGTCAGGAGATGGAGACCATCCTGGCTAACATGGTGAAACCCTGTCTCTACTAAAAATATAAAAAATTAGCTGGGCGTGGTGGCGGTCGCCTGTAGTTCCAGCTACTTGGGAGGCTGAGGCAGGAGAATGGCATGAACCCGGAAGGCAGAGCTTGCAGTGAGCTGAGATTGTGCCACTGCACTCCAGCTTGGGCAACAAAGCGAGACTCCATCTCAAAAAAAAAAAAAGGCAAACTTGATGTCATTGCCCCTCCTTAAAGTCCTCCCTATTGCTCTCCATTGCACTTAGGAAAAATTCAAATTCCCCCAAAACTAAAAACCAAGCCTAAGACTTACAAGAGTAAAAAATGAAATAGACAGTAAACTAATCAACCAGCAAAACAACAACAACGAAAGTTAGACGTGAGAAAATACAACGCTTGCCACACAGATAACAAAGGGTTAAAGTTTATGATATGCTAAG
The DNA here is from genome assembly GCF_000001405.40 of Homo sapiens. NCBI lineage: Eukaryota > Metazoa > Chordata > Mammalia > Primates > Hominidae > Homo > Homo sapiens. The sequence continues at coordinate 32,763,434 of NC_000017.11, forward strand.
AACACTTAGAAATTGACAATAAAAAGATAACAGCTCCAAAGAAAAATGCACAAAAGATATACCCAGGCAATTCTTAGAATATGTTAAAATACTCTACAAAAATATGATAAGATGCTCAAATATACTAGTAATGAAATAAAAGTAACAATAAAATATTACCATGCAGCCATAAAATCAGTAAATTTAAAGTTTAAAATAAATATATGGCAGGTGCGGTGGCTCACGCCTGTAATCCCAGCACTTTGGGAGGCCAAGGCAGGTAGATCGCTTGAGGTCAGGAGTCCGAGACCAGCCTGGTCAACATGGTGAAACCTTGTCTCTACTAAAAATACAAAAATTAGCTGGGCGTGGTGGCACACTCCTGTAATCCCAGCTACTTGGGAGGCTGAGACAGGAGAATCACTTGAACCCGGGAGGTGGAGGTTGCAGTGAGCCAAGATTGTGCCACTGCACTCCAGCCTGGATGGCAGAGCAAGACTCCGTCTCAAAAAATAAAAATAAAATAAGTATACCCTTTGACCTGGCAAGCTCACTCCTGGGAATCCATCCAGCTGAAACAAAAGCACTAGTATATAAGCATAGATGTATAAAGACGTGCAGCATTGTTTGCAGTTGCAAAAAAGGGAAGTAAAGTGGGTGACTTAAGAGTAAGGTGGTTAAATAAATTGTGGTACTATCACTGCAGGCTTAGTACACAGCCCTGGAGGACATTATGCTAAGTGAAATAAGCCAGGCACAAAAAGACAAATATTGTGTGATCTCACCTATATGCAATCTGAAAAAGTCAAACTCATAGAAGCAGAGAATAGAATGGTGATTACCAGAGGCTAGAGGAGCGGGGTGGATGGAGAAAGTGTGAGACGTTAGTCAAAGGGTAAAGTTTCAGTTAGACAGGAAGAATAATTTGTGGTGATCCACTGCAAAGCGTGGTGACTGTTAATAATAATACTAATAATATTGTTTCAAATTGCTAAGAGTGGATTTTAAATGTTCTCACCACAAATAAATGGTAAGTAGGTGAGGTAAGAGGTATGCTAATTAGTCTGATCTGATCATTCCATAATGTGTACATGTCCTGAAATATCCCACTGTACCCATAAACATATACAATTATTGTCAATTAAAAATAAATAAAACTTAAAAAAAATGGATCAGAGCTCAGTCAGTTGACTCTGGCGAAGCATTATTGAGTGAGAGAAGCAGCACGTGAAGCCCTCATGAGCGCCACCCCCAGTCAGCTTCCACTCTTCTCAGAACCTTTTTTGGCAGTGATGCTTACTTACATCTGGGAGTTTTACCGAGGCTTGTATGGCCAGAAAGTATCATTATGGTTTCTAAAAGCCTTAACCCTCTTTCAAGAATGTCTGAATACATGCTCACAGGATTTCACTCAATTTGCAACTGCGATCAACACCAGGTGACATAGGGTCAGTTACACTCTCACCTTGGCAAAGGCGTCTCTGCCGTAGCTGGCCTCTTGTTCTGTGTGCTGCTTGTCAATGATGTCACGGCCTGTGGCCACAGTCCGGTAAAGAAGGGCTTTCTCAACCATATCTGTCTTAGTAGAGAGCAATTCTGCTATGATAGATACTACTTTGCCATTCTCAATAAGAGGCGTGTCACCATCTACTACAAATTTTAAATTTCCCTGTATCAAAAGTGAAAAAAATAACACATTATGAAACATTATGTCAAGGATATATTTGCCAATATAAAATACAATTCAGGTGACCTTGTTTGTACCTATTTTCCTAAATACATTATACATCTCAACATATAAAAACAGTGTTTCATCTACTTTTTCCCTTTCTCCGGACACTCATCTATCTTTTTGCTTTCAGTGTATGTTTTTGATAGATAAAAGTTTTACATTTTTATGTAATCGAATCTATGAATCTTTTGCCTTAGGGTCTCTCTTTCTTTGGTGTCATACTTAGACCATTCCTACTCCAAAGGGTTTATGAGCATTTGATGCTTTCCTCTAATGCTTTTATAGTTTTTGTTTTCCTTAAACTTTTTATTTTATTTATTTATTTATTTTTGAGACAGAGTCTCGCTCTGTCGCCCAGGCTGGAGTGCAAGTGGTGCGATCTTGGCTCACTGCAAGCTCTGCCTCCTGGGTTCACGCCATTCTCCTGCCTCAGCCTCCTGAAGAGCTGGGACTACAGGTGCCTGACACCACGCCCAGCTAATTTTTTGTATTTTTAGTAGAGACAGGGTTTCACCATGTTAGCTAGGATGGTCTCGACCTCCTGACCTCATGATCCACCCACCTCGGCCTCCCAAAGTGCTGGGATTACAGGCGTGAGCCACCGCGCCTGGCCTTTTTCCTTAAACTTTTTAATCCATCCACAATTGATTTTGGTACATGGTATCAAGTAAGAATCTAACTTTATTTTTCACATGATTAGTTGCTCTAACGGGACTTATTGAACAGTCTAGCTTTTTCTGATTTGAAATGTCACCTTTTTTTTGAGACAGGGTCTGTCACCCAGGCTGGAATGCAGTGGTGCACCATGGCTCACTGCAGCCTCAACGTCCCAGGCTTAAGCGATCCTTCCACCCCCAGCCCCTCTAAATAGCTGGGACTACAGATGCGTGCCACCATGCCTGGCTAATTTTTGTATTTTTTGTATAGATGGGGTTTTGCCATGTTGCCCAGGCTGGTCTTGGAACTCCTGGGTTCAAGCAATCTGTCCACCTCAAACTTTCCAAAGTGCTGGGATTACAGGTGTGAGCAACCCCGCCCAGCTGAAATGTCACCTTTTTAATATGTTAAATCTCCTCAAGTGTTTGAGTCTATTTATATTCCACTCATTCAATAAGCAATACATACTTATAACCATCTACCAAATGTCCAGCACATTAACCAATCAGTTGATTAATCTGTTGATCTGGTGCTGAACTTGTGCAAAGTTATAAAGTACTCTAGCTTTTACTATCATTTTAAGTTTGGTAGAACTAGTCATGTTCCCTCTCCTCCCTTACCCTACCCTATACGACACTTCTTTAATATACTTTATTTGATCTTTTTCCAGGTAAATTCTAGAATCAACAGGTCAAGTTAAAAACAAAATAAAGGCCAGGCACAGTGGCTCACGCCTGTAATCCCAGAACTTTGGGAGGCTGAGATGGGCAGATCACGAGGTCAGGAGATCGAGACTGTCCTGGCTATGGTGAAACCCCGTCTCTACTAAAAATAAAAAAAATTAGCCAGGCGTGGTGGCAGGCGCCTGTAGTCCCAGCTACTCAGGAGGCTGAGGCAGGAGAATGGTATGAACTCGGGAGGTGGAGCTTGCAGTGAGCCTAGATTGCACCACTGCACTCCAGCCTGGGTGACAGAGCGAGATTCCATCTCAAAAAGAAAACAAAACAACAAAAAATAAAATTCTTGTTTGGATTCTGAAAAGGACTGCTGCACTGTATTTAAAAACTGATTCAAACAGATGAGACAATTTATAATACTAAAGTCTTCCTAGTCAGGAACATTTATTGTTTATATTGCTATATAATATTTTTCATAAAGATCCTGCACATTTCTGATTCATTTAGAGTTAAATCTTGCTATATTAAGTGAAAAGTAATTTTTATTCCAGATTTGAATCCATGTTGTCATTCTTATTGTAAGATTATATGTTCAGTGTATTTTAAGTATCTCTAATTATATAAATGTTAATGAAAGAAATCTAACACACAGTTCTTCACTTCTAAGTTTGGTGTGGTATAGTGGGAAACAAGTGGCCCAAAAGTGGTCTATGGTGTTGGCTCTGGGATGAGCTGGCTGTGCCTTTGAGGTAGTCATGCCACCCATCAGGGCTATTTCCCAATCTGTAAAATGAGATGATTAAAAATCCAGTTCCGATAACCTATGATTCTATGTTTCAAATGCCACTAGAAATTTATACCACTAGTAGTCACATCACTGCTGAATTCCTTTATCCTTAAAATTAACCAGTTCAAAGTTTGACAATACCAGTAAGACAATCAACTGAAGTAGTAGTCTCCAACCCTATAGTAGCTTGGAAAATCCCTCATAATATTATAAAATGATGGCAAGAACCACAGACATAGTAATTTCTTCAAAATACGTACAAAATTTTCTCTGAATACTTTTTAAATCTACAGGGAAAAAACAAAATCTTCTGAGAAAGCATCCTGTTCTCAGCAGAAGACAATACATTCTGAGAGGTGTCCCTACTCACCAAGTGCAGAATAGCAGCCAAAATCTTATACACTGTTTGGATCTCCTCAGGTTTGAAGCCAATGACTTTCATGGCATCAGCAACAACTCTGAATTCGGCAGCATCATTGATAGAAGACTGGGGATGAAAATGAAAAACTGAAGTTACAGATATTTCCTATGAGCATTAAAATTCAACAATTATAAAACTAAGTTATACCAAGGTTTTGCCTTCATAGTAAATCACTTGAGGGGATGGTGAGTCTCCAGAGAAAATAAAAATGATTTCACGAGTTGCAACATTATTCAGCACGTACAAAGCCCACTTGTGCGTGAAAGCCATCACCTAAAATAAGCACTGTGCCGTTTTCTGGAACCTTCAGTGAGGGAGCAAGTCCTGAGCTGGCTCAGACAAGCTGATCCCCCACTCCATGATCAGTGAAGGCAACAGCATGGATGTGAGATCACAAATGCAAGTGCTGAATGTGGGAGCCTCCAAGATACATGCTTGGCTACTGTTGTTTGTGGCTCTTTGTTCCACAATTGTCTTATTTAGGCTGGCAACAACACTTCACTCTCGTATAATCAGGCGGTTTATTTTCCAGGTGAGGCAAGGCGGGCCCTCAAAAGCAAAACAGCCAGCCTCAGTCATTTAGTAAGCTATTAAATAGTCTGGGACTATAACTTCATTCTTTCACTCACTTGATACGCATTTCACAAGTCAGCTCTACTAACTGGTACAGGCAGCTCAAAGATGAATCGCCTGCCCTTTTAGAGCTGTGGCCATCACATTGGAAATACAAGTGCGTAAACAGAAATTCGCAATAAAGCAATAGTAACTGCTTATATTAGTTTTACCACAGCAGCAGCCGCAGAGGCTTGACCAATTCTTTCCTCAGTAAGTTTCTCCTCTTGTTTGGATACAGAGACCTGGCCTGATGCTCACTTGTTGAGGAAGGGCCCTGGAAGGGGACCTCTCTGCCTGGTGAGTACAAGTTCCTCTAGTGTCCAGGAGACAACCAGGCCAGCCCCTCCTCCTCCTAGGTTTTTGTTTTTACCTTGGACAAGATACTTAACCTCATTGAACCTCAACTTCCTCACAAATAAAATGGGCATAATAACATATATCTTACAGGGTGGTTGTCAGAATTGAATGAAAATTTATATAAAGCACCTCTCTAGCACCAGCATACAAAAAAAAACCACTCAGCAGTATCAGATATTACTATTATTATAAACTGCAACCATGTTGAAGTTGGAAAGTAACTGGATAAAATCTAAATGTCCTACTGTGGGGAACTGTTGGCTGCTTACCTAACAGCCATCCTCTACCCTCATTTCTTTCTTGCCAATCGAACCCTGATTTGTTTACTCCTCTCTAAGTGTGCATGTCCTTTGTGACTGGCATCTACCTAGCCTCAAGAGGTAAATCTTCACTGGTCTAAACTCATCAGAGTGATCTTATTTCCCTTACTAAATGACTGGTTAGCCACAGGCATGGGATGCCATTCTGATCAATACAACATGAGGGAAAGTGTTTATGGGGGATGAGTGGAGGAGGGTTCTTGGGGAGGTTTCCCTAGCTTATAAAGGACATATGCCATGAACATCTCCTTTGCAGGTGACTCCTGGAAATTCTGATGACATTTTGGGACTAAAAGGAAAACCAGCCTAAGAGGACAGAGCTGTCCATGAGTGTGGCAGAGTTGTAAGTTGGGGAAACAACCAAAAAAACACCTGGGTCCCTGACAACATTGTTAAGGCAATGAACTAACTAATTCTGGAATTGTCCTATCTCAGAGTTTCTTGTTATGCTAGATAATTAAGTTTCTTATTGTTTTTGGAGACTTTTAATTGGGTCTTCTCCTACTTGCAACCCAAAATATCTTAACTGTATATGACTCCTGCATTTTAGAACTGGTTAAGATACACACAGTGCAATACTTAATAGTTATAAAAATTATTATATTAATTTATATTTGTTTGCATGGAAAGATTATAATAAAAACAGGTTTATTTAATTAGGATTTATTGTATGATTCCATTTATAAATATAGATGCAAACCATTATCAATAATCATTTCTGTATGGTAAGATTTAGTGTATTTTTGTTTCCTTTTGGTTCATAGTTTAGGTTTTGACTATGATCATTTATTAGTTCTTTGTTTTCTTAGGAAGCAAAAAAAAAAAGGTGGGGAAAGCAGACATGGAAATTTTTGATAAAAAGGGAATCTAAGCTAAATTTAACCTAGAAAAAAGGCTATTAATTTAATACTTGCTTTCTGTGGGGACTCTACACGACTTGGTCAAAAGTAACTTAGTCGATAAGACAATTTGAAAACAAACATTCCCAGTCACTGGCTTTCCAGGTGTTGATTTCACAATTCTTTAAGTGCCTCTGGCTAGTTCTCAGAGAGGTGGAGTGTTGCCCTCTACTGTTTTTTGTTTTTAATTCATTTTCAGCCAAACATCCTGCTCGCTCTCAGATGACCATAAAAGTAAAGTTGTTGTAACCTAAATGTCAAATAATGGAAAATTAATTGCAAAAACCAAAATATCATTAATTTCTATGCACAGCAATAAAAATACAGCTAAACCAATAATGCAGGTATAATTAGCTTATTTTGATTAATAGAATTTTTTAAAGAAATAGCTCCCATATCTTAGATCTTTTTCCTTTACAGTTTCTTTTATTTCTCCCCCAAATATGAAAGCAGTAAGTTTTTGATGTAGAATTTTTTTAAATAAGGAAAAACAGAACACAAATATCCATAATCTCACCCATCTAGAATAAATAATTAATACTGTGATCTATATCCTACCATATCTTATTATATGCATTTATATACCTTCCCTCCTACGAAATAGGATAATAGTGTAACTATTATCAACAAACTATTATTATAATTAGTTGTAAAATTACTAGATGAACTAGAAATAAAATGAACTAGAAATAAAAGAGCAAAAATACGCCTGCATGTAAGTGTATGCAAGTGCTTGCATGCAAGAAAAGAGAAAAAATGGAAAAACTTGAAAGCTGAATAGGAATGCCTCAAAGGTCACAAAATTATTTCTAGGGTACATCAAAATCAACATTTGAACAAACAGTGAGTGGAGAATCAAAGTGCATTTTAATTTTGTCTTACTAACTTGCCTTTGGCCAAATCATATGGAATCTTCTTAGGAGGTAGGCTTCCTAGTCCTATCAATATTTTTATAGTGTGAAAATAAACGGAATAGGGATAGGATTAAAAATTAAAATAAAACATTGAATGTAGGAAAAAACTTCTTTCCTGTCAGATGGTGATAAAATATCATAATTGATTTTAAGCAAAGTTGTTGATTCAAAAATGTGCTGAATCTCTGTCCTTGAGAATTTAAAAAATAGAACAGGATAAAAGAGATGTTTATTTGCCTAAAGATAGCAGGCTTGACCAGATAATTATTGAATGTCTCTTCTAATCCTTTGACTGATTTTCTATTGGAGCAATCTCAAAGAGGAAATTCTCACCTTTAATTGAGCTCCCACATGAATATAGTTGTAGGATGAAAGGGATTTCTGGAGATGTAGAGAGCGTAGCATTTGTTCTGAACCTCCTTGGAGTAGCTGAAAAATATTTAATTAGAAATAAATTGGCCAGACATACATTGAACCAAACATGAACTTAGTGGTAATCTAGCTTTTATTCATTTTCTGGGCTTAATTCACTTATGTCTTCCTGTTTCTAGCTTTGAAGTTTTGCTTGTTTGTTTTTTTAAACATTCAAGGTAAATGGCTTCAATGTCATCAGTTACAGAGAATGTTATGCAGTCATAAAGAAAATTACTCTGAAAATGTCTCATCTCATTTACAATATAACTGGCATAAAAGTTTCTTGCTTTGAATGCCGTCATTTGTAAAACAGGATCCTATGCTCTGTGGTGGTTGCTTGCTTAGCAGCCTCACTATAGACAGGATATAGTTCTGTCTCAGAATTTAGAAAAAGTCAATATTGCTACGGAAGTAAGAAACATCAGCAGACAGTCATATGCTGAATCACACTGGAAACAAACAGCTTTTCCTCATCAATCTGTACCTCTCAGGAAAAGAGGACAGCTGGGGAACCATGATTGTAGTATTGGATAAAGATAAATTTTAATACTTTCACCCAAGTGGGAAGAACACTGGGAAAAAGTTACAGGTTATTGAAATAAACAGAACTCTTTTATATTTGGTAGAAAAATAGCTTATTTAAAACATGGCAAATTGCCAACAGAACCATAAACACAATATTGACAGTGCTTTTATATAGAGCATGTTTTTGGAAGGTATTAGGTTTAAATTCTCTAAATTAAACTGTATGCTTTTGTTTACTTAAAAAGTCTAATTATCAGATTTTAAAAATTGATTTTTAAACTTAATATACCAGAACTTATATATACAAATGAGTAGTGTCTATTAAAGCAGTTACCTAGAAGAAACTGAATTCGACTGAATTGCATCCAATTGTATTGTCACCGTTCAGTTACTTTCTGTTAACCTTGATTTACATTAATTTGGGCTTTAAAAACTTACAATAATATATCATACTTGTTTTCTAAGTGTAAAGACTTGCCAACAGGAAGGCTATTTAAAAGATTTTGCTTTAAAATCTAAAAGCACTCTTGAAAATAAATACTCAAATTTTTTTCTAAACTTGATGGATTAAAAAGGCAATCCTCCCTAGAAGTTATAAATCCAGATTGTTTTTTTAAAAGTAATCATATTGCTTTTAGTGTGTATGAGTGAAACAAACTGAATTTGTATTCTGATCTCTAGAACTCCCAAATATGGAAACAACAGCTTCAATTCAAAATAAAACAAAAATTAATTTAACATTTAGAATGTACCATTTCAAAAGCTTTCACAGTCATTAAAGTGTTATCTGTACTGCAAGAAAATATGGGGGATGCTCACCCAAGGCAGTCATCTGGTTGGCTAAGCTCCTGCCAGCTGGGTGGAACAGTCATGTTCATCCAATCTCTTAAGCAGGTAGGGCAGGGCATGTGGTGCGTGCGTGCGTGCGTGCATGCGTGACATGTTACGGGGCCAATGGAGATGAGTGATGCATAGGACAGGGGAAAGCCCAAGACACAAATACTCATTTCCTGCACAACTGGGCAAATGATCAATTATCTGTATAATGGATTACTAACCTGATAGAAAGAATGAAAGCTTCTTTCTCCTGGCTGTTGCACAATCACTCGAGACTAAGAAAAAACACATTAAAATGGTTAACCCGAAAATGTGCCCCTAAAATAAAACAGGAGCCACTTTCTTAGGGAACTGTCAGGCCTCTGAGCCCAAGCCTGCACGTATACATCCAGATGGCCTGAAGCAACTGAAGAATCACATAAGAAGTGAAAATGGCAGATTCTTGCCTTAACTAATGACATTTGGTGCCGTGACTTGGATCGGGGGAGCTCCCTTGGGAGATCAATCCCCTGTCCTCCTGCTCTTTGCTCTGTGAGAAAGACTGACTTACGACCTCAAGTCCTCAGACCAACCAGCCCAAGGAACATCTCACCAATTTTAAATCAGGTAAGCGGCCTCTTTTTACTCTCTTCTCCAACCTCTCTTACTATCCCTCAACCTCTTTCTCCTTTCAATTTCGGCGCCACCCTTCAATCTCCCCCTTCCCTTAATTTCAGTTCCTTTCCTTTTCTGGTAGAGACAGAGGAGACGTGTTTTATCTGTGAACACAAAACTTCAGCACCGGTCACGGATTCGGGAAGACAGTCTTCCCTTGGTGTTTAATCACTGCAGGGACGCCTGCCTGATTATTCACCCACACTCCATTGGTGTCTGATCACTGTGGGGACACTTGCCTTGATCCTTCACCTTGGTGGCAAGCACCACTTTCCTGGGTGGCAAGTACCAACCCCACCCCACTCCCTACCCCCACCCCCCGACCCCGGCCCATGTCTCTACCCTCTCTTTTCTCTGGGCTTGCCTCCTCCACTATGGTCAACCTTCCACCCTCCATTCCTCCTTCTTCTCCCTTAGCCTGTGTTCTCAAGAACTTAAAACCTCTTCAACTCACACCTGACCTAAAACCTAAACACCTTATTTTCTTCTGCAATACCACTTGACCCCAATACAAACTCAACAATGGTTCCAAACAGCCAGAAAACAGCACTTTAAATTTCTCCATCCTACAAGGTCTAGACAATTATTGTCGTACAATGGGCAAATGATCTGAGATGCCTGACGTCCAGGCATTCTTTTACACATCGGTCCCTCCCTAGTCTCTGCTCCCAATGCGACTTGTCCCATATCTTTCTTCTTTCTCTCCTGTCTGTTCCTTTAGTCTCCACCCCAAGCTCTGAGTCCTCTGAATCCTCCTTTTCTACAGGACCTCTCCCCTCCTCCCCAGGCTGTGCCTTGCCAGGCTGAGCCAGGTCCCAATTCTTCCTCAGCCTGTGCTCTCCCACCCTATAATCCTTTTATCACCTCCCCTCCTCACACCCGATCTGGCTTACAGTTTCGTTCCATGACTAGCCTTCCCCCACCTGCCCAACAATTTCCTCTTAAAGAGGCGGCTGGAGCTAAAGGCATAGTCAAGGTTAATGCTCCTTTTTCTTTATCCGACCTCTCCCAAATCAGTTAAATATCCTAAAGACCCCCATGGATTGTATACTCATCTAAGAATGAGTCTTCTCTATGGGGTTTCCCCTGCAATTCTTTGATAATTCTTTTTATTGCTTAAAACAGAGGTCCCTAAAACTTTCTGAAGAATGAAGCTATTTTGATTTTTTTAACCTGGAGCCTAAAGATGGAATTTGGTGGTTGGGGGTGGGGTAAGAATTAGAAGTGGGGAGAATAGGAAGGAATGCTTAGGGAGGAATATTCTCAACATTCCTTTCCCCAGGGTCTGCTGGCATTTCAAAGAGCAATGCCTTATATCCTGTAATAAAAGTCAGTTGAGCAAGATCAATCCATAGAGACCTCTGCCTTAGATGGTTCCAAAAATACTGCTGTTAGGAGAGGGTTCAAAATATGAGTTCATTCAAAAGGATCCTTTTGATTGAATATGTATTACACATAAAGTGAACTGATGAAACATTCTGGAAAAAGGACTGATAATAATACCTGGCATTTCCTGTCCTTTTTCAACTGACTCTGATAATACATTTATTTCCTTAACAGTCCGACTTCAATATAACAAACAAAAATAAAGATTATACTTCATTATATGGCCATAAAGGATGCTATGGCCTAACTGGGATAGGAAACCCTTAACTGAGAAAACCTGTCGGCTTAGATCTGTATGAATTCAAGGTGGAGACTTGATTTTATAAAGCACAAGCTTAACTGTAAAAATGAACTCTATGTATTCTCTTGCAGTCATGTCCACTGATAATCAAGATTAGTTAAGACACAACCAGCTGGGTGCAGCAGCTCATGCCTGTAATCCCAGCACTTTGGGAGACTGAAGCAGGAGGGCTGCTTGAGCCTAAGAGTTTGAGACCAGCCTGGGCAACACAGGGAGACCCCATCTCTACAAAATAAAAAAAAAATTGCTGGGTATGGTGGGCCATGCCTGTGGTCCCAGCTACTCAGGAGGCTGAGGTGGGAGGATTGCTTGAGCCTGGGGGGTTGAGGCTGCAGTGAGCCATGTTCATGCTACTGCACTCCAGCCTGGATGACAGAGTGAGACTCTGTCTCAAAAAACACAAAACCAAACCAGACACAACCTCTCTGGTGGTCCCAAGAAGAAAATTCTAATTGGAATCCTCTAGAAATTGGGCCTATTTTAAGTTTTTACTGACCAAATACAGTTCGCTTCATAATTAGGATGTAAGATCACAAAATACATATATGTTACTATAAAGCAATGAACAAATAGAAACTAGAAGAAAATGAGATATCAAATTAATTAAAATTAAAATGTATAGAAGATGGTGATGTATAAAAAGGCTAGAACTGATTAGTCTTAGATTGACTTTCGGTTAAACCTTACCCAGAAGCTGGCACACACTCATACCTGTGCCCCCACCCATTCACACGCATAGCTAAATCTATCTACAAAGTCCACAACTTTTTCCAACTTGACAGTGTAAGTGCTAAGAAGAGAAGACAAAAGGAGAATACCTTATCATAAAAAGCTAATGAAGAAGGGAGAATAGGATTTAAAGCTATTTTGAGTCAATAAAATAAATTCTATAAATATAATTTGTTTAAACATTCAGCACTTAAAACATTACCCTCAGAAATTAAGCATATTTTACCTTTTCTAGTAAGTAGTTATTGATATGCCCACCAATAGGGTCACCCTTGAAGTCAAAGTTGATATCCATGTATTTTCCAAACCTGCTTGAGTTGTCATTACGGTTGGTTTTGGCATTTCCAAAAGCTTCCAAAACACAGTTGGACTTAAGCAACATATTCTTCACTCTTTAACACAGATAAATGAAAGTCATTATAAAAACTTATAGAGACTAGAATTTTTTAAAAACTGGATTTTGCTAAACCACATACAAATATTTATACAAAGATGCTAACTCCAGCACTGTTTGCAATATCAAAAAAAAAACAAACAAATTAATGTCCACCAATAGGGATAAAAATAAATTTTTGTTTCCCAATATAATGAAATACTATACAGGTGCTAAAAAGAATGAGGTACATCAATATGTACTCACATGGAAATGTCCAGCATATATTAATGAATATAAAATCAAGTTGTCAAATAACATGCATTGCAGGATCCTTGTGTGTGTATGTGTATGTTCACGTGTGTGTGTGTGTGCATACACATGTATCAGCAAATGCTTAAAAATCTGGAGGGATCAGCACACCTTACTATGGTTATCTAGACAGGAGACTGATGGAATGGGCAAGGTAGGATTTCAGGGAACTTTTACATCTTCAACTTAATTCTGTAATTTTTGTTTTTCATTTTATAAATGTACATATTTTATCTACATAAAGAAAATTTTTAAAAAGATGTGTTCTGAAAAGGGAAAGAATAGGTGATACAGAAAATGATACAATTTTTAAGGCACTTGCTTATAAAACCTGGAATTGTGACATTTTATTGTACTTAGTTATACATCATAAATTTAATCTTCACTAGTTCAGAAATTGCTCATTATTTTCTTTGAAGCTGTATGGAATTTCTCCTTTGTACCAGCCATTTAATGCATTCTTTATTCGACGAATGCTAACTTTCTATACAGCAGTCCCTCCCAATGGATACATTTTAAACTTCATGCTATATCCTTGTTTTCATTCCACTGATAAAATTCTTCTTATACAGGCATACCTGCAGAAATAACTTTGGCCTCTGAAATAACTTGATGTAGAAGATCTACTGTTACTCCCGCTAATACTGGAGAGTTCAACCTTATCGCCTCATAAATGAAAGCATATTTTAAAAATATGTGTGTGGGGGGAAACTGCTTGTGATAAGATATGTTTGTGAAAGACTAGTAAATTTATATATGCCTTACTCTACTATTGTAGGTGTGAAATTAATTTATTTCTCATCTAGTTGCTCTCCTGAGCTCCTAAGGAAATTAAGAAAATTTACACATATCCCTGTCCTTGTCAAACTAGATTGTAAAGTCAGAGTAAGAAGGAGGGATATGTTACAATTAAGAAAAATGCCTCTCCTGGCCCAGCAATGCAGCCCAATATGATGAAAAGAAGAAAGGCTACGCAGGGTAGTGAAGTGTAAGTTCTCTTCTTTTACATCAACCCAATATCCTTTCTTCCTATTTATAAAACTGAAGATTGTTATGTGTAGATGAGGTGGGACTCTTTACTAAATTAGTACTGAGCTTTGAAGTAACCAATTAGGAAAACAGTTTCTCTCTTCAAAAAGGCTGCACCACATAAGAAAGTGAGTCTTGTTGCTTTATAGCTATCATCCATTCATCCCTTAAGTATTTGTTAAGCAAATACTATGTGCCAGCTGCTCCCCTAAATGCTGGGCCCCAGACAGTAGAGATCAGCTTTATTACTCATCTTCCCATGAGCAATAGCACAGTATGGCATGAAATCCTTTTAGAAAATGAATCCTGTTCGGCCGGGCGCGGTGGCACATGCCTGTAATCCTAGCACTTTGGGAGACCGAGGCGGACGGGTCACGAGGTCAGGAGATCGAGACCACAGTGAAACCCCGTCTCTACTAAAAACACAAAAAAATTAGCCGGGCGCAGTGGCCGGTGCCTGTAGTCCCAGCTACTCGGGAAGCTGAGGCAGGAGAATGGCATGAACCCGGGAGGCGGAGCTTGCAGTGAGCTGAGATCGCGCCACTGCACTCCAGCCTGGGCCACAGAGCGAGACTCCATCTCAAAAAAAGAAAAAAAGAAAATGAATCTTGTTCAGAAATTCCACTGTCAGTGGATTCTGAATGTTGTAATGATGATGATGGGAAGGCATGGGTCTGCCTTCCAGAGTCCCACTTCTCTCAGAACACAGTTTTTTAAAAACCCTGATGTGGTGCAAAGAGCAAGGAACCTGTGAGAGTTTGAACAATAAAACCTACCAGTGTAAATTATAACAGCTCTGCTGACCACATTTAAGTCAACAGTAATAAACCAGGATGGGAACACTTTCAACTGTTTCAGAGTAATGATTCTTTTGGTCTCATAATTAGGTAAAGCTTACCATAGTATTATTTTTCTATTAAAAACAAATCTAGAAATGGATACAGTGAAATAAATAAAAGTACAGAGACAATATGCACTTAAGAGAATCAAAGTAGCTTAATCATCAAAAAATGCTCAGCCCATAGGTTTAGACCCCCAAAATGCTCAACCCCTAGAGTTTAGGTCTAGCCAAGTCCATAGAGAAAACAGAGTGCTAAGAATTCCTCCCCATTATTAGAGTGCTCTTACCTTTCAACCTCTGCTCTCTGACTGGGGTTGGTGATGGCCGCAATATACTGCATAATGTACTTACTGGCTTCCGTTTTACCAGCTCCACTTTCCCCTGGGGGGAAAAATTGTTCAGGGCTTAACATAATAATTTAAACCAAGAGTAAGCTAATTTTTAATAGAATAATTTAAAAATCTGATACTGGTGATGCATTTAAAATCCCACATGTTGCACTGTTTCATTTTTTTGCTTTTTTGAGTTATTTCGTCCTGCCTTGATATGGTTAGTGGTTCTAACAGACCTGAATATGATGAAGAAAATAAAACTATTATAAAACTAAAATAATGAGTAGACTACAAATAAAGATTTACTTAGGAAAAAGGTACTGATGTGGTAAACTAAGACTAAAGTTTTAGTACTTGGTAGGGACTCATAAGTCTAGCAGAAATGAAATAAGGTAGTGAGTCAAACAGTGGTTACAACTAAATTCATATAATCTTATTTTCTATAAGAGAATTTCTTTTAATCTTAAAGGGGACAAAATAATTCGTCTAAAAAATTAAGGTTAGAGTAATTTTAGTGAAAAAACAAAACAGCAAGCTCCAGACACAAGGTATCATAGAAAAAGCATGACAATTGGGATAATGCTGGGGGATGGGGAAAAAGGAACCAATTTTGAAGTATCTTCGAAATGTTAAATGCTTATGCCTTCTGACTCAAAAATTCCACTGGTAGAAATTTCTCCTAAGGAAATACTAAAAAATACTAACATAACCAAATAATAATAATGTTCAAAGCTTTTAAAACATTTCTATAGACTGTACTGTAAGTCATGGCTAAAATCTGGAAATTATATATCCATCAGTAGATAACTGGATAAATTATGATTCAATTATTTAAATGGAATACTATACAATTATTAAAAAGAATGCACTAGCTCTATAGAAACACCAATGAAAAGATATTTACTATATATTATTAAATGGAAAAATTAGTTATATAACAGACATAATTCTATATATAATTATATATTTATAATATAATTACACATGCAATTATGACTGTATTTGTTTGCACATCCAGAGAAAATGTATAAAAGGATAAACACTAAACTGTTAACAGCTGTTACTGCTGGAATTTTGGGAAGAATAAGGCACTCAAGGCGAAGAAACGTTTTGCTTTTACTCCACACACTCATATAATTGTTTTTATTCTCCCCTTTAAAACCCAGTAATACTGTTTTTGTGATTTGTTTTAAATAAAACATAGTCCTAGGATATAATTTTCTAACTCCAACACTAAGTTACTTAACTCCTCTGACCTTTAATATTCTTATCTATAAAGTAGAAAAATAACTGTTCTACATACCAGAGAGTTGTTTTGCTCACCAAAATGGAATAATGATTATAAAAGTGTTTCTAAAAGCATAAAACCACCAGTGCAAATGTGAGGTATTATTAGCACCTGAAGAAATTCCCACAATTTGGGAGAGGCCATCCTGGGTCAGTGAACAGATATTTTTCCTGTCCCCATTTCACTACATAAGGGTCCTTGAAGGGCTCCCCTTAACGTAGGCAGTTTGGCTCCAGTCCTCAAACATGTGAGGTGTGTACCCTATCTCGTGCCTATCTCCCCCCTTGTTGGGCTTCAATAACTCAGCCCCTCAGCTCTGAAAGCTTATTTTTGGCCCCCACGCCTCAGTAGGTCCCTCAACACTAGTTCCCAAGCACCAGTCTGATTTTGAGTTGATTCTTCCTTTTCACACCTCAATATTTCATTTTCGTTGGTTTCATTTTGCTATTTAAAATAATTTTGTTACATTTTATCCAGACTTTTATGTGTTTGAGATGGAAACATTTTCCATGTCAGCTCAATCTAACAAATTGGCCAGAAGTCATCCAAGTGTAATATGTATTCATAAATGAACCAAGATTAGAGGATGATCAGAAATGATATAAATAATTTGGTATTTAACGTTCATCACTTTTCTCTCTCCTATAGAATTGCTCAGGCTTCTACCTTTAAAAAAATATTTAATCAATTGTTTGGATTCTTGAGTATCAAACAAATTAAACACATTGTGACTTTGGAAATACAGGGGATCCCCTCCAATTACCTGATATCACAATACAAGTGTCTTTTGATCGCCTCTTCATAGCCTTGTAAGCAGCATCCGCAATAGCAAAAAGGTGAGGCGGTCTCTCATACAGCTCACGGCCTTTATACTGCTCAATTGTGTCTCTTCCATAGATGTTCAACAACTTGTAAGGGTTCACAGAAACGACGACTTCTCCAATGAACGTATAGATGCGCCCTTTTTCAAATCTGTACAGAAGCAAAAGAAAAGGAAGACGTAGCTGTGGTTACAGAGAAATGATGTATCTGTCCTGTGAGTCTCTTATTTCCAAGGAAGTCCAAATATCCTAGGAATGATTTCTGAACTGACGTTTCATTGGCTCTGAGTTAACTTGTAGAGAATGTTTGAGGCTGTGCCCCTTCAGATGCCATTGGTAGAAAAGACCAGTAGGGGTTAAAAGCCAGGCAAGAAGGAAGAATTTAACTTGTTGGAGGCTGGGATTTCCTGTTTCCAAAATACAGAAGGGTAAGAAGATGAAAAAGCTAAAAAGAGTTGAAGACAATCTCAGAGCTCTAGGAGGAAAAGAAATAGAAGTTAAAGTAGATCTTGAAATCCACTTAGTCAGATTTTCAATTTTAAAGAGGACTGTCATATACATTTATTTTTTTCTCCCTCTTGAACCTCACTAAAATGTTAGTAAATTAATATAAACAGTAAAATCCATAACAGAGAGAATGGTGGAGGAGACACTTCTGCTCTAAATCAAACTTATTTTTTTATGACTGCCTAAAGTTCCATGGTGTCGATATATCATTATATATTCAACGATTCCTGTTCCTTCCTGCTTTCTATGAACAATACTGCAGAAAACACTCTTGATACATAATCTTACAGATTGGTGCTTTTACTTCTGTGGTATAGATTCTCAGGAATGGGACAGCTGGTTGAAAGGCATGTGTATTTTTAAAGTATATATAATATGATTCTACCTTTTCCCCATAAAATAGGGTTAAAAATCTAATCATACGTATTTGTATCTGTACACAGATATATTTTATAAATGAGTACATAAGTGTGAAAAAATATAGACAAATACATGTTATATTTTATGCATCATTTTATACACACAGTAGGGTTATGTGGAAGGAGAGAAATAAAGAGGAAGGCCACATGGGCAGGTGAGAAGAGGCCACAGGACAAAAAAAAAAAAAAAAATACAAAGCTTGAGTAGGTATGCTATGACTGCAATTGTGCAACTTTATGTGTCTATTTAAGAAAATTTTTAAATATAAAATTCAGAAAACCCATATATGTCCACTGTTTTTACACAGTAATCCACACATAGAAACATATGTGGCCCAGAGCTTAGATGTTTCCACATAACAAGTGGTTACCACCAACATGCTCTACCAGCTGAGAGATACTGGTAGACATCTCTCTCACGTCCAAGAACTGAACAAAGGGTGTGCCCTGACAGGCAAAATGCTGGTTCACAGACAGCATGTCTCTAAGCACGCTTGCTTCATGGCTGGTGGAGCAGGAGAAATAACTAAGCATTTGGGACCAAAAAGCAAGAACCTTAAATTTCCTTTAAGCTGGAATGAAGGCTGTTGGCTATAATTAGGAATGGAAACAAACAGATGTTGATAATTTCAACAATAAATTCAAACCAAGATTTTTATCAAGTATTTAGAGTATTTTAACAGTTATTAACTACTTCAAGGTTTTCAGTGCATTTTTCTACTATGGGTTTTCTATGTATCCTCTCAGTTGTTAGGAAGTTTACATGGCAGCTAAAAGCACTGATTTCGAGTCCTTTACATCTGGGTTTGAATGCTCACATTGCAAACTCAATAGCAGTGATACCTTGTGAAAGCTACTTAACCTCCATGTGTTTCAGCTTATTCATCTGTAAAATGGTCATAATTATACCCCTCTACCCTCGGACATTGAATAAGTACTTTTTAAAAAAGATCATTAATAGTATGCTTCTGATTATGTTATGCATAAGGGAGATTTTTAAATAACATTTTTGTTTTATAAACATTGCTACTGAAATCACAACAATCCTTACACATGAGGAATGAATGAATTCAATTATCATAATCCAATTCTCTGGCCAGACGCAGTGGCTCTTGCCTATAATCCCAGCACTCTGGGAGGCCAAGGCAGGTGGATTACTTGAGACCAGGAGTTTGAGACCAGCCTGGGCAACATAGTGAAACTCCATCTCTACCAAAAATACAAAATTAGCTCGGCGTGGTGGTGCACACTTATAATCCTAGCTACTTGGGAGGCTGAGGCGGGAGGATCGGTTGAACCTGGGAGGCGGAGGTTGCAGTGAGGCAAGATCGCACCACTGCACTGCAGCCTGGGCAGCAGAGTGAGACTCCATCTTAAAAAAAAAAAAATCCAATTCCCTGACTCAGCTGTCAGTCAACTACAAGTCACAAGCAAAATATCTATATAACAACTGTTCAAAGACTCGCGAAAATAAGCTAAGATTCACTACGCAAGTTTTTCTGGCTTAACCTGCAAATTTGCAGTACATGCTCAAGTATCTCCAAGGAAAAGAATCAAAAGGGCACGATTGTTTAGTTTTGAATAAGCACTGTCCAAACAAAAAAAAAAAATGAAGAAAAGCAGCAGAAGAATGTCTCATGAGCCGGGAACTCTGCAACTAAGAGTCACAGCAAATTATGTATGAGATTAGACTATTTTAAGATTCCATGTTGGTCCAATGATGTACCTTCTTTTTCACTGGATAATTTTTAGAGCCACTAATAGACCATTATGCTCTAAAATAATATTTTATTACAAATAAAATATTTTCTATTAACCTATAGGCACCATGTATAAAATAATTAAATGGCTTGGCACAGTGGCACATGCTTGCAGACCCAGCTATTTGAGATGCTGAGGCAGAAGGATCACTTGAGCCCAGGAGTTTGGGTCCAGCCTGGACAACACAGCAAGATCTCATGTCTTAAGAAAATAATTGAATGCATAACTATTAACTCAAAGATAGTGGCAAATATTAACAGAATATGATATTAAATACAATGCTTCAGCAATTCACAAAACGTTAGAAGCTCATTTTACTTGAAATTCTAAGTTTGGTTATCAAATACAAAACTTTCAATTTGGTTGGGTCTTAAAAATCACCACTAGGTGGTGCCAATATACACCTTAACAGCAACTCAAATTTCAGTTTGCATTGGAAAGCCATAGGGTAGTAAGTAAGCACTAAAGTAATATAGTCGCTTACTCTGTTTGCCTCCAGGAAGAACTACTAATTATCCTAGATGACAAATAGGATGTTATCATCTCTTACAAGAGACCAAGGAAGGTGTTCCTATGACTTCTGTGTGCAAACCTTTCATGACAAACTTTTATAATTATTCAGTATCTACTTTGTGCCAGATACCGGGTCAAACCCTGGGAATTAAAAAAGGAGTGGAGAACAGGAAAGCATTGTACATAAATAACAACAATATAGTATGATAGGTAAGGTAATAAAAGCATGTACTGTAGTGACAAAGATTATCCCAATAAACCACCTTCAGTGAGGAACACTAAGAGTAAGAGCATACAGGGTCTGGCCTCCGGGTTTCTGTTGACTTCCATCTACCAACAACACTTCCACCCACCAAAACCTCCCCTACCACTTCTCTCTGTCTCTGTTGCTCTTGTTCTCATTAATGAGCTAATTACAGTTCCCAAGAGCGCCATGTCTTCATGGTTTTGCCCATGGAGTTCATTCTGCCTCACACCTTTTCCTGGTTCCTTCTTCCCCATGTGCTTGCCAGATTCCCTCTCCTTCTCCAAAAGTCTAAGCACTAGGTCCTCTATGGAGTCACTCTTAATACTCTACCTCCAACGTCAGTTTTATGGTCTTTGCTCTGTTACCTTTTTTTTTTCCTTTTTAGAACTTCCTAAATGGTTAACATAAATTAATAGCAATTGATTTTTTAAACTAGTAAGTTTAAAAATATTTATTAAAAGGGACATATATTTTCACTGGCTTTTAAGTGAAACAAAGAGGTTCTAAAAAGTTCTGAATTAGTGAGTAGTAATGGATAAAATATAAAGGTATAATAATGACATTGGCAAACAATAGTTCACTGTAAAGGAATTCTGAAACCTTTTTTTTAAAGTAGCCTTGTTAATTTGCATGTGTCACTTATATATAGGACAATCTATAGTAGGAAGTCAAGATGAGAGGGGCTCCTTCAGATCAGTCACAGGCAGACTACATGCACAACCCCACAGAAAAGGAAGATACTGTGGGGAGGGGTGGGGTATGGAGAACCGGAAGGTGGTTGGCCCAGTCAGAGTAGAAGGCTGTGTTAAGGAATGCTGGGGAACAGTTGGAAATGTACATGGGGGTCAGATTTGATATGATATGAAAACCAGGCTTAGGGAGTTTACATTTGAGGGAGTTTACATTTGATGTGACTGGAAACAAGGAATCAGTGAAGACTTTTCTAGTTAAAGACATCAATAAGGTGCTCAGTGGGGGGAATGGTAGGAGAAATGAGGAAAGGAAAATTGGAGTTGTTTCACGGGGAAACTGGACAGAATCTTAAAACCTACTGAACATAAGGGACAAAAATATATTTGAGTTAGGCAGAAGAGAAAAAGGAATTTATTTCAGATGACCATATCTCAAATGTACTCCTGAAGCGTCTAAGTTAGATTCACCCACTAACAGAATTCAGTGTTATCCTTGGTTGACTTCTTGAAATATATGGAACCAATTATAATCAGGAAGAAAATTCTCTGTGAATGGTCTACTAGGTATGGTATTAACAAAACCTTATTCGTAAGTATTATTCATTTACTTGAGGAGGAACGTACACTTTCTGAATAGGTGTTGCTTAATCACACTGATTTGGCCTGTCTTCCTTCCTTTTTGAATTTAAATGGAATCTTAAGTTACCATGAACGTTCCTATTTCTCAGGAGAGGTGTCCATCTACCCATGCCATTTTTTTTGGCCTTTCACTATCTCCTTAGACAACTCCAATTTAGGTTCCACTCCTGCACTTCAATAAACCTTGACCAAACTTCCCAAACTGCTAAATTCACTGGTTGGTTTTCTATGCTCATCTTACTTAATTTCTCAGTATTTGACACTGACTCCCATTTCCTCAACACACTCTTCTATTGGCTTCTTTGAGCCACGTTCTCTTCATTTTCCTTCTGCTTCTCTGGTTTTCCTTCTCAGTCTCCTTTGCTGACTCCTCTTTTTCTGCTGATCTCTAAATATTCCAGTTCTCTAGGGTTGAGTCTAGTATCACTTCAAATACCATTCAAGGGTCTTCCATTTAAGGAGGATAAAGTAATGATATCTTGGCCCCCTTTCTACCCTCAGAAAATCAACAAGAATAACAAAAACAGAAAAAGACATCGCCTACAATGAAACAAAAAACTAGCCACAACTCTGAACCACAATCTAGGAAGAAAGATTGTGAAAAGCTATGAAAACTAGACCTAGTTGAGGCAGGTTGCTAAGACTGAATATATGCCTCTCCAAATCTCCGGCACTGGAGTAGAGTTCTCCAGAAGTAGGTTGCAGTTCCTGAGTAGCCAAACCAAAAGTCTTGCTAAGAATGTCAGGGTCTCAGTATGCAGGTGGCTTTGGAACAAAATAAGTCCCATTTGACACTTCTAAGTATATGTAAGGTGAGGTTAAATGAAGAAGTAACTAGAAATTCCTTTTTTTAAAAAAAAACAGGCTGTCATAGTGGTGAGGCAAAAGAGAAAAAGTGCAGTGGCTCTGCAGCAGATGATCTTGATAAATGAAAAGAGGCAATGCTAAATCACCTCCCAGAAGTCTCAGACATACATAGGGAACTTGCTTTCTAGTTAGGCAATCTTCTTGCCATTTCAGGGCAGACAGTTGGTGAGACAGGGAATGAGCAGCAGACCACCAAACTCAGTGCATTTTATCTTTCAACCCAGAATGAACCATACCTACTCAAAGATGACAATCATTAGGCCGGGCGCACTGGCTCACGCCTGGAACCCTAGCATTTTGGGAGGCTGAGGTGAGTGGATCACCTGAGGTCAGGAGTTTGAGACCAGCCTGGCCAACATGGCGAAACGCCGGCTCTACTAAAAATACAAAAATTAGCTGGGAGTGGTGGCGCATACCTGTAATCCCAACTACTTGGGAGGCTGAGGCAGGAGAATCTCTTGAACCCAGGGGGCAGAGGTTGCAGTGAGCTGAGATCGCGCCACTTCACTCCAGCCTGGGTGAAAGAGCAAAACTCCGTCAAAAAAGAAAAAAGACGGTCAGTTGAAGTGAACCAGAATGGGGCACATGATAAGATGTCAGAAGAAAAGAAAAAAAAAGTAGGTAGTGGGTAAAACATCTGACAGGCAAAAGGCAGACCAAGAATACCCCACTCCCCCAAAGAAAACCACAAAGTAGAAAAATTATGAAAGAACATTCTGTATGAAAGCAAAGAATACAAAAAAAAATGTAGCTCTCTAAAATAAGATATCAAAGAAGGCATCATTTAAAAGGAGAAATTGTGTTTAAAATCATTTTTTCAAGAGATAAAAAGCTAGAAGAGCTCAAGAAAAAAACCAGAAGAGAGAAAAAAAATCCACAGTAATAAAGGTCATATTAAAAGACATAAAGAGAATGGACACTGCTGAAAATAGAAGGAGACAGGAAGAAAAGGTGGAGAAAAGTAAGCAAAATAATTTTTTGTATTATCTCATTTATATGTAAAATCTTAAATTTTTTTTACCTCAATAGTTTTTGTGGAACAGGTGGGTTTTGTTTACATGGGTAAGTTCTTTAGGGGTGATTTCCAAGATTTTGGTACACTTGTCACCCAAGCAGCAGTGTACACCGTACCAGGTATGTACTCTTTTTTTTTTTTTTGAGACGGAGTCTCACTTTGTCGCCCAGGCTGGAGTGCAGTGGCATGATCTTGGCTCACTGCAACCTCCACCTCCTGGGTTCAAGCGATTCTCCTGCCTCAACCTCCCAAGTAGCTGGGACTACAGGCGCCCACCACCACGCCTGGCTAATTTTTATATTTTTAGTAGAGACAGGGTTTCACTATGTTGGCCAGGATGGTCTCAATATCTTGACCTCGTGATCTGCCAGCCTCAGCCTCCCAAAGTGCTGGAATTACAGGCGTGAGCCACGGTGCCAGGCCTGGTATGTGGTCTTTTATTCCTCGCCCACCTCCCTCCCTTTCCCCTCAAGTTCCCGAAGTCCATTATATCATTCTTGTGCCTTTGCATCCTCATAGCTTAGCTCCCACTTACAAATGAGAACATATGATATTTGGCTTTCCATTCCTGAGTTACTTCACTTAGAATAATGGCCTCCAGCTCCATTCAAGTTGTTACAAAAGACATTATTTTGTTCCTTTTTATGGCCGAGTAGTATTCCATGGTGTATCTATACCACATTTTCTTTATCCACTCATTGGTTCATGGGCATTTAGGTTGGTTTCATATTTTTGCAATTGCAAATTGTACTGCTATAAACGTGTGTGTGTGTGTGTGTCTGTTTCACTTAATGACCTCTTTTCCTTTGGGTAGATACCCAGTAGTGGGATTACTGAATCAAATGGTAATTCTCCATCCTGTCGTTGTACTGGTGAGTTTACATTCTCACTAGCAGTGTAAAAGTGTTCCCTTTTTCACCATAGCTACGCCAATATCTGTTATTTTTTTATTTTTTACTCTGCTGATTATTTCTTTTGCTGTGCAGAAGCTTTTTAGTTTAAGTAGGTCCCATCTATTTATTTTTTGTTGCATTTGCTTTTGGGGTCTTAGTCATGAATTCGTTGCCCAAGCCAATGTCTAGAAGAGTTTTTCTATGTTATCTTCTATAATTTTTATGCTTTCAGGTCTTAGATTTAAGTCTTTGATCCATCTTGAGTTGATTTTTGCATAAGGACCCAGTTTCATTCTTCTACATGTGGCTTGCCAGTTTTCCCAGCACCATTTACTGAATAGGGTGTCTTTTCCCCAGTTGTCAAAAATCAGTTGGCTGTACTCGACTTTATTTCTGGGTTATCTGTTCTGTTCCATTGGTCTACATGCCTATTTTTATAGCAGTACCATGCTGTTTTGGTAACTATAGCCTTACAGTATAATTTGAAGTCAGGTAATGTCATGCCTTCAGATTTGGTTTTTTTGCTTAGTCTTGCTTTGGGGGTGCAGGCTCTTTTTTGGTTTCATATGAATTTTAGGATTTTTTTTCCAGTTCTGTGAAAAATGATAATGGTATTTTGATAGGAATTGCATTAAATCTATAGATTGCTTTGGGCAGTATGGTCATTTTCACAACACTGATTCTTCCCATTCATAAGCATGGGATATGTTTCCATTTGTTTGTGCCATCTAATATTTCTTTCACAAGTGCTTTGTAGTTTTCCTTGCAATCTTTCACCTCCTTGGTTAAGTATATTCCTAAGTTTTTTTGTTTTTTGTTTTGTTTTGTTTTTTTAGCTGTTGTGAAAGGGACTGAGTTCTTGATTTGATTCTCTACTTGGCCATTGTCAGTATATAGCAGTGCTGCTGATTTGTGTACACTGATTTCATATCCTGAGACTTTACTGAATTTGTTTATCAGATCTAGGAGCTTTTTTGATAAAGGGTCTTAGGGGTTTTCTAGGTATATGATCAGATCTCTGGTGAACAGCAACAGTTCAACTTCCTCTTTTCCAATTTGGATGCTCTTTCTTTCTTTCTCTTGTCTGATTGCTCTGGCCAGGACTTCTAGTACTATGTTGAATAGAAGTGGTGAACGTGGGCATTCTTGTTTTGTTCTAGTTCTCACGGGGAATGCTTTCAACTTTTCCCCATTCAGTATGATGTTGGCTGTGAGTCTGTCACAGATGTGAGGTATCTGATAATGGTGACATTTCAAAACAGTAAATAAATATACCAACAATAAACATCAATAAACAGTGTTAGAAAATGGGCTAGTCACTTGGAAAAATAAAAAACACACATCATTACTGTCATAAGTTGAACTGTATTCTCCCAAAAGATACACTGAAATCCTAACCCCTAGTATCTGTGGATGTAACCTTATCTGGAAATAGGGTTTTTGCAGGTGAAATCAAGTTAGGAGGAGGTCATTAGGGTGGACCTGAAACCAATAAAAGAGAAAAATGCCCCACGAAGGGAGAGACAGGGAGAACACTGTGCAATGACAGAGGCAGAGACTAGAAGAAGAATGCAGCCACAAGTCAAGCCAAGCCAAGGATTGACGACCACTGCCAGCAGCTAGGAAGAGTCCAGGAAGGGTATCTCCCTTGACGGTTTTGGGGGGTATTGCTCTGCTGACACCTTGAATTTGGACTTCTAGTTTTCTGAACTGTGAGACAATACACTTCTTTATTTTAAGCCCCCCTGGTTTGTGGTAATTTGTTACAGTAACCGTAGGAATAAAACTAGTTATACTAAAATAAATTCAATAAAAATGTCTCATTCTTCCTTACAAATAAAGAAATGTAAATCAAATCAACAATAAGATATGCTTCTTCACCTATATAGAGCAAGAGTTTTGATAGTGAACGGTGTTAGCAAAAATATGCAACCTCAGGTATCTTCACTGTCACAGGTATCATCTTAACTGATCTGCTCAAACCACTCTCCATCCGTTCCCCATACAGTAGCAAGTATGATCTTAAAATATAAATCTTATCTTACTCTGCATTCCTAGCCTTAAATCTTTTCAATGGGAAACTTTAATCTCAAGCCAATCTGACACACAGACATTGGTTCATCTCATGCCATCTACCTCTGATTACTGTGTGCACTGGCCTTTATTCATCTAAATTCCCCTATCCCCATCATTCCACACCTGTTTGTTTCCTAAATTTCACACAAGTTCCTTATCCATCAAAATTTCTCTATCCCCCATCATTCCACACCTGTATGTTTCCTTTGTAATACCGGTCACAAGTTGTTTTTTGTTTACTTGTTTATTGTCTACCTGCAAAGGAATAGAGGACATATCTATCTTGTTCATGTTTTATCTTCAGAACGATCTTCTCTTTATGTGGACAACTTCACACAATCTAGATACAAACAGCAACTTTTATTCTAGAAAAATACAATTAAATGGTATCTACTCCAACTCAACTTCTGAGACAGACTTTTCATTGCTGGAGAAGAAGGTCACAGAATATATGGGTCTCAATTGGAATTGGAAGAATCAGTACAAACTCATAGTATATGCAGGGCAAAGAGAGAGAAGAGGGAGAGAGGAAGAAATAGGTATGCACACACACACATTTCCTAACTCTGTCCACTTAGAGAAACAGTAACACCAGATAAAGGCCTGGAAATACCATTTTTCTTAACTAAAAGGACTCAGGGCTCCTTGAAGAAAAGCGGATTCTATCACTGGAACAGGGAAAGTACAAAATGAGCTTGGACTATCTTGTTGAGCCAGAAAGTAGGAAACGCACATGTCAAAAGGACACAGGAGCAAGATGAATGGACTTTCACTGCACCCATCTGGGACCACATGGGCATTAAAATCATGTCAGTAATGAGCTGGGCATGGTGGCTCACACCTGTAATCCCAGCACTTTGGGAGACTGAGGTGGGTGGATCACCTGAAGTCAGGAGTTTGAGACCAGCCTGGCCAACATGGTGAAACCCCATCTCTACCAAAAATACAAAAATTAATTGGGCATGGTGGCACGTGCCTGTAATCTCAGCTACTCGGGAGGCTGAGGCAGGAGAATCGCTTGAACCGAGGAGGCAGAGGTTGCAGTGAGCCGAGATCACACTACTGCATTCCAGCCTGGGCAGCAGAGCGAGACTCCGTCTCAAAAAAAAAAAAAAAAAAAAAAAAGGATATTGTTGGGACAACTGATAAAATCTGAACATCAGCTATGAATTAGAAACCAGAATTGCGTCAAAATTACACTTTCTGATTTTCATCACTGTATTGTGGTTATGTAAGAGAAGATCCTTGTTCTTAAGAAACACACCCTGAATTATTTAATGATAGGGGCCTGATGTCTCCAATTTATTCTCCAATGGTTACAAAAAATAACTACATACATATATAAAAATATACAAAGAGAAATTAAGAAGCAAATAGAGCAAAATGTAAACAACTGATAAAGAACAAAAGGGGGTTTCTTGTAGTATCGTCTACCTTTTTTGTAAATTTGAAATTATATCAAAATTAGAAGTTGATAATAAAAATCCAACTTCTAATCCTCTTTATATAGTTAATTAATTAATTTAGAATAGGCAAGATAGACTCTTAGTAAAAGACTCAAAAGATGTAAATGAATACACAGTGAAAAGTGTTTCTCTCTCCTCTTTCCTATACCTTCCCTCCTCAGAGGCAACCACTGCTGCTGGTTTCCTGTGAATTCATTTAGAAACAGTTTAGTTGTTGTTTTTGAATGAATGGCAATTTTTTTTTCTCTAATTAAAATGTTTATCTTGGCAAAAGTCTCATGTAAGTAGATAGAGAAAAGCCGAGTTTTTTATGGCTTCATAGTATTCCATTTCATGGGTGATTATACAATAATATATTTAATCAGTCCCTATTGGACATTTAGTTTTGTTACTATGAACAATGCAAGTATAAATACAATGGTAGCTATTTCTTTGTGCATATGTGTATGTATATCTGTAGAACGCACATCTAGAATTCAAATTATTAGTTCAAAGGATATAAGCAATTTAAATTTATGAATTATATTGCCAAATTAGTCTCCAAAGAGACTGTACCAATTTAAACTTCTGCTTATAATGTATGAGACTTTCTGTTTCATGGGTGTGGGTTTTTAAACCAACGATACTGGCCTATTTAGAAAGGACAGAGTTTTATTTTCAAAATACACAAAACTTTGACCCCTTTCTACACTTATGCAATGTTCATTAGGTTACTTTCAATAAGGTTCAGCCCACCTTGCCAGTTCTTAGATGAGAATCTCTCCCAAGGGTGAAAGCATCTTGTTTCTGCTTCTCTTGGCAAAAATCATGGTTTCCATGTGATGGAGTCAATTAGTTTTATCCCCTTGTTAGACTGTGTGTTCCTGAGATGGACAGGGACCATATGTTGGAAAGAGTAGGAGCTTTATTTTATTTTTGTTTTTATTTTTCTAGAGACAGGGTCTCGTTCTGTCACTTAGGCTACAGTGCAGTGGTATGACCATAGCTCACTGTAACTTCAAACTCCTGGGCTCAAGTGGTTCTTCTGCCTCAGGCTCCCCAATAGCTGGGACTACAGGTGTACACCACCATGCCTGGCCAATTTTTTGATTTTTCTGTAGAGACAGGTTCTCTCTATGCTGTCCAGGCTGGTCTGGAGCTCCTGGCCACAAATGATCCCCCTACCTTGGTCTCCAATTATGAGCTTTAGAGTCATACAGCACTGGAGCCCTGGGTTTGAACCCTGGCTCTGCCAGTTACTGATTGTGTGCATTTATAAACATCTGAGTAACTAGTAAGTGTCCATGTGCCAGGTACTATGTCAAGAGCACTCAAGCTGTCTTAAAATGATTTGGAAAAGATGCTTTGTTTTGACCTTTTGTTAACACACTGAAGCCTAGAATTGACAACTTGGAAGAGGGCACTTAAGAAGCACCACCACAGTCCACCAGTGCAGCACTCAAGCTCTTGACATAGTACTTGGCACATGGACACTTACTAGTTACTAGAAGAATAAGACATAGTATTATTGTACTCAAAGGCTTATATAAATAGACAATGCTATGCAGTAAGCACAACGATAGAGGGTTTAAAAACTAGGCTTTTTTTTTTTTTTTAAACTTATTCCCTTCTTGTTCTCATTCTCCTCTGTCTCTCAATCTCTCTCTCTGTTCCAGAAAAGATTTAAGGCAATAACAAAGATAGAAAGAATGTCATGGAAGCTTAGAGAAGGATACCTAAACCAGCTTTAGGAGTGGGAGGCTTCAAAGAAGACTTCCTAAAAATTGTATTGCTTGACATTTGAATTATTTATGCAATTATATAATCTCCACATAGACAGTTCTAACCACTTCTTGGTTTACACTTTCTTAAAATGATTTGGAAAAGGATGCTTTATTTTGATCTTTTGTTAACACACTGAAGCCTAGAATTAACAACTTGGAAGACAGCACTTAAGAACCACCACCACAGCCCATCAGTGCAGCATATGGGTATTCCCAGGCCCATCGATAGCAGAGGAAAGGGTGTATTGATTAAGAAGGTGGACTCTGGGATCTGGCTGCAGTTTAGCACTGACTAGCTCTATGATCACGTGGAAGCTGTTTAACCTCCCTGTGCCTCACTTTCTTCAACTGATATAGTACCTTTCCCTCAGAGGATTGTTACAAGAAGTGAGATACTCTGCATAAAGTGCTCAGCACACTAATTAGTACATGGTAACAGCACAATAATACCAAGTCGTATTTTTATTATGAGCAATAGCAGAAGTCATAAGAATGGCAGGAAATATCTTTCTTCCACTTGAGACCCATTGTTCAGCATGCGGCATCAGTGCTATGTTTCTGTTTAACATCACAGTGAGGGTTACTTCTGCTAGCACAGCGAACGGTGATCCAGCTTGGCTTCATGTTTATAAAGCATTCTTCTAGCAGTTCATGGGGACCCTCTAAGGCCAAATGCCTTCAGTAAAATTGCTTAGGCTTACCACAGGACATAAGAACTAGTTAGGACCACAGGTGGTGGATTAAATGACTGACGTTGTGACTTCATTTCTTGGCTTTCTTCTTCTGGTGCAATATTTCTTCATTTGAGCTGCACAAATGGTAGTTAACCAGAAGATGTGGTCAGGAGATGCCTAGATGAATTATCTTACCTTTCCTCTGCAATGGAAAACAACTGTTTTTGATATATACGTTTTTAGGTGATGCTTGCTTTTTCAAAACACAATTCTTTTATTTATTATGGCATGCCTAATTTTAAATGTTATTGATGTATTTAATTGTATTTGTATCCAGTTGTTTATTCAATCAATCATTAGTTATTAGCACTCATGTTCCAAGCATTGTGCTGGGAGCCACAAGCAGAAGAATAAACAGCAGACTCATCTCCACCCTAATGCAGGCAATGATAAGGACAGACACTAAATGGAGGTCCAGGGAGAGCCAATAGAATGCACTGTACTGGTGGAGGGAAGCAGCAGTGTTTGAGGAATCCAGAGCAGGGCATGTGACTATACCACAGCAGAGAGAGCATAGGGAGAGAGGTGTGGGAGGAGGGCCAGAGCGCGCAAGGCCTTAGGGCTTGTGGACTTTATCCAAGGGTGGAGCTTTAAGTATTGATCACATTTGCTTTTTTGAAAGCTTCCCTTTGGCTGCAGGGTGTAAGGAATTGAGTGCCTGCTAATGGACCAATTAGGAAGCACTACGCTGGTCTCAGGAAGGAATGACGGGTTCTCTGGTTGGGATGGAGCAGTAGAGAGACAGAGAAGTAGACAGGCTTTAAGAGTAGAGATATAATCTATTGGAGACGGTAACTTACTGGGTATGAGAGGCAAGAAAGAAGGAAGTGTCAGGGTAAGTATCTCACATGAGCTACTGAGCAGACCGTGATGCTCCATTAATGAGGATAGGGACAGGAGGCAACTGTGATTCAGACAGACTATGCAATCTGTTTGAGACACCTGAGAGACATCCAAGTGAAGATGTTTCTCACACTTCTTTCTCTCATAGAATTAAACCCGATCCCCTGAACACAAAGTGAACAACACCAAGGATGGCAAACACAGATCATCAGCAGTGGAGAGAGCAAGCAGATAACCACACCATCACGGCCAGCAAACACGGCAAGGAGAACACATACTTCATTGCCCCATTTAAAAGTGGAAAAATATTTTAAAGAGACAGGAGATATCTGGGTTCTATTTAAATTTTTTTTTTTTTTTACTAACTGAATTCATCATACCAAGTTCCTCAGTGATTCAACCTTCCTGGTATAATAGAAACAAACACAATAGCTTCCTCCCATAAAACGTTAACTACTAAGGTCTCATGCAATTCAGTTTTTTAAAAAATACAATAAAGAAGCTATACAATGTCAGCACATGAATAAATCACCATAGCATTATTTAGCTATGAAGTGCTTGTAAGATTCTCCCCGGGGCCTGAAAGCTTAAGGAGATGAATAACTCCTCTCTTCTCAGGCCCAGTTCCAAGGTGCAACTTGGGGCAGCAACTTGCGCCAGCAAGACAGCAGAAGGAGGAAGAGAGTCCGCCTGAAGACAAGTACTCCTAAAGACTGAGAAAGAGGCCATCCGGGTACAACATAGCAGTTACGTCAGACTACGACACTTCCTGTTTACAGGAGACTATAAAACCTTTGCCCCGTCCTCACTTGGTGCTGAGGCCATTTTAGGCCTCAGCCCGCCTGCACCCAGGTGCTCATTAAAACAGCATGTTGCTTCACACCACCTCATGTTGTCTGTTAGCGCGCTCTCGGGGTTCGAACCGATACAAGACCCTTAACGGTGCTGAGTGTCCAATAATGACAGGCATGAAGATTTAAACCAAAACATGAGAATGAAAATTACCTATTAATAATATGACACTGATTTTCTCTTTCAACCAACAATAAACATAATTTATCCAACATAGGGCTCAATATTTATATATTTATTCCTTTTCATCCATTCCATTTAGAAATGATTTCCCATTATGGTAACATTTGGCTACTTGGCATACCTAGGGAAGTAGTTAGCTGCATTTTACCTTAACTGGGGAGTTAGCTTATTTATAAATCAACACTGCTCAGGAAAATGAAGGATACCTGGACCTGATGTAGAAAACTCTTTAGTAGGCATTGACAATTATATGAATTGATAACAATTATGCATTTTAAATAATATTAAAAACCATGTGAATTACAGTATTAAACATACTTTTTTTTTTGAGACTGTCTCACAGTGTTGTCTGGACTGCAGAGCAGTGGCATGATCGCAGCCTCACTACAACCTCCACCTCACAAGCTTAAGTGATCCTCCCACCTCAGCTTCCTGAGTAGCTGGGACTACAGGCGCGGGCCACCACATCCAGCTAATTTTTGTATTTCTTGTAGAGACGGGGTTTTTGCCATGTTGCCCAAGCTGTTCTCGAACTCCTAAGCTCAAGCAATCTGCTGGCCTCAGCCTTCCAAAGTGTTGGGATTACAGGTGTGAGCCACCATGCCCAGCCAAACATCCTTTTAAAAAACAAGTAAATCCCACAGATGGCTGAGGACTTTAACTAAATAGAATAAACTTAAGATTCTCATCCCTTCCCACTCTCAAATTTATACTGGTAGGAAGCCTCTCTACCTTACATGGTACTGAGGTATTTCACTCCATGGGACGGGTCTCTGGACGACAGGAAACCTAAACAGTATATCCTGTCACTTTTAAATAACTATGCCTAATTCAGAAAATGACATAAAACTTAGTACACTGCATCACTTTTGTTGTTTTTTTTTTTGAGATGGAGTGTCGTTCTATCACCAGGCTAGAGTACAGTGGTGCGATCTCAGCTCACTTCAACCTCTGCCTCCCAGGTTCAAGCGATTCCCCTGCCTCAGCCTCCCAAGTAGCTGGGATTACAGGCATCTGCCACCACACTCGGCTAATTTTTTGTATTTTAGTAGAGATGGGGTTTCACCATGTTGGTCAAGACAGTCTTGATCTCCTGACCTCGTGATCCACCCGCCTCGGCCTCCCAAAGTGCTGGGATTACAGGCGTAAGCCATCACACCTGGCCTGCTGCATCACTTTTCTAAAAACATAGTTTCTTATCCCACTTTTCATAACATGTGAAGACTGTGATGTATTTAAAGAAAGGTTTTCCAAGGTGTTATTAAAAATCCTCAGGTACCCAGATAGGCAGCTTTTGGGCACAGGCTGGGAGGCACAGTAGTCCCCCTTATCCAAAGTTTCGCTTTTCGTGGTTTCAGTTATCTTCGGTCAACCATGGCCCAAAAACATGAAGATATTTCGAGAGAAACATCACATTCATATAACTTTTATTACAGTTTATTGTTATAATTGTTCTATTTTATTATTGCTGTTAATCTCTTACTGTGCCTAAATTAAAAATTAAACGTCATCACATCTATGTACATATAGAAAAAAACAGTATATATAGTGTTCAGTATAGGTGGTCTCAGGCATCCACTAGATGTCTTGGAGTGTATCCCTCACAGATAAGGAGGAGCTATTGTAGTCGTGACAAGAGACACTGAAGACTTTCACAGGTGGTTAACGTCAAGCGCATGGATTACTTTCATTTCAGCTTACTGTCACAAAACTTTTTAAAATTCAATAAACAGATTCACTCTGACCTAATATTAACTATGCATCAACTCTGTGCCTAGAATTATTTTAGATCTTTTCCATGTATGTTGCTAATTATACATTTACTAAATATTAATAGAAAATCTTCTAAAGCCCTCTTTTGTTGACATCATGTGCCCAGTTACAGGTAAGAAAGAAATACGTTTATGCCAATCATTTAACCATCATCTCTACTTGGAGAAATCTGAATTACAAAGCACAGCTTTCACTGACCTGGGAAGGAGATCTACTTCTACTACAGAATGGATTGCATGAGTAGGAAAACCGGAAAGTTTCCCAGACGCTCCTAAAGTTATTGTTTGACTATTGTTTTTGTTGGGGTGAATTAATAGCCAACAAGGAACTGAGCAAAGTATTTTAAAATCAGCCAAAATATTTATTGAATTAATGAAGGGCCAGACACCTTGTCTGCTGGCTCTCCTTGGCTTTCCTCGTCAGAAGTCTGTAACATCCATAAGGCTGCATTTCCTCATGGAAAGCTTTTAATACTTCCTATATTCTGCACTATCCTTATACTTCCTATATCTGGCATTTTCTTTTAGCTTAAGTTTACCTTTTTTTAAAGAATAATCTTCCTTGTGTCTAAGATAGCGTAAGTGGTTACTTCCCTTCCCCTGTCCACAGTTAAGGAGGCTCAATCACTGCTTCAACGTTGGGAGTGTCTGGAGGCACGTGGAACTTCTACGGTGCTAATCTGGTAATACTGTAACTCTTTTGATGCCAACAGCCCCTAAATGGAAGCTAAGAATGTGAGATGGCATCCCCAAGTGAAATATCAAAAGCTGCTCACTGGGGCCATCAATAATGTCTGCTCATTTTGGGATAGAGTGATTATGGTAAGGGAAAGGGAGCTAAATTTGGAAGGGTGTAAAGAAGACCTAAAGTAGGTGAAAGACATCAGCTATGGCCACTCTGCAAAGAGTTTTCATCTTTAAATGATGGTTGAGATATGGCATTTTACAGCTTTCTTCCTAGATTGTAATCAAGTTTCCTAAGACAATGTGAACCAAATTTCTTTTTATTTATACTTATTTCTAGTATACTGCTGTGGGGCTCAAAAAGGTTTTTAGTAAGTAAGGTAAGAGGGAACTGGAACTACTAAGAGATTCATTATTAAAATTTCTAAGTATTAAATGGGTCCACATTCAGAAACACAAATCAACACATGCTAAAGACAAACATGATTTGGATAATCTACTACTTTGCTTTAGCCAGCCAGTCCTTTTCCACTTGTGAAAATAACCAAGTATTTTCTATACTCAGGAATACCAGACATCAGGAAGTGAACTAAGAGAATAAAAATGTAGTGGCAAAGAAAAGAGTCAAAAACTAAAAACAGATCAAATACATCAGGAAATGGAAAAAACAAATAATTTTCCCTATTTTTTAGTCCCTGTAGCAGAAATTAAATCTCGTTTATTGCTAGATCTAACTGAGAGAGAAATTTGTGTAGGTAGATTGGTTGCCAATTTAAGACAAATAGTATATTTTTTAAGTATCATCCCAA
This sequence comes from Homo sapiens, assembly GCF_000001405.40. Lineage (NCBI taxonomy): Eukaryota > Metazoa > Chordata > Mammalia > Primates > Hominidae > Homo > Homo sapiens. The sequence goes on from NC_000017.11 coordinate 32,799,369, forward strand.
CCATGACTGCATTCTGAGCTTCATAAGCCATTAAGAAAATCTTTAATTGTTCTAAAAAAATAGCTGTCCTCAATCTCTTCAATAAATGGTGTTAGGAAAACTGGATATTCATATATGGAAGAATGAAAATATAACTTTATCTCCCCTCTTAAAGAAGAATCAATTAAAAATGGATTAAAGGCTTAAGCATAAGACCTGAACCTATAAAGCTACTAGAAGAAAACATGGGAAAAGCTCAATGACACTGGTCTGGGCAGTGATTTCTTGGATATAACCTTAAAAGCAAAGAGCAAAACCAAAAAAAAAAAAGAGCAAAACCAGACAAATGGGATTGCATCAAACTAAAAAGTTCCTGCACCACAAAGGAAACAATTAATGGAGTAAAGAGACAACCTACAGATTGGGAGAACATACCTACAAATTGTACTTTGGAAAGGGGCTAATATCCATAATATATAAGAAACTCAAACTACTCAATAATAAGAAAACAAATAAACTATCTATTTAAAAATGGGCAAAGGACTTGAATTGATATTTCTCAAGACATACAAGTGACCAATACATATGAAAAACTGCTCATCTCTAATAATAAGAGAAATGCAAATTAAAACCAAAATGAGGTATCACCTCATACCTGTTAGACTGGCTATTATCAAAAAAATGAGATAAGAAGTGTTAGAGACGATGTGGAGAAAAGGGAACCCTTGTACACTGTAGGTGGTATTATAAATTATACAGCCATTTTGGAAGACAGTATAGAGTTCTTCAAAAACTGAAAACAGAATTACCTTATGATCCAGCAATCCCACTACTGGATATATACATACCCAAAGGAATTAAAATCACTATGTCAAAGATCAGTCTGCACTCTCAATCACTGCACCATTATTCACAATAGCCAAGATATAGAAACAATCTAAGTTTTCATCAACAGAGGAATAGATTTTTAAAATGCGAAATATATATATATAAAACAGAATACTATTTAGCTTTTATTTAAAAAAATAGGAAATTCTGTCATTTTTGATAACATGGATGAACCTAGAGGACATTATGCTAAGTAGAATAAGCCAGGCAGAGAGAGACAAATACCACATGACCACACTTACATGTGGAATCTAAAAAAGTCGAACTTAATAGAAGTAGAGAGTAGATGGTGGCTACCAGAGGCTGGAGACCAGGGGAGGATTGGATGGGGAACTGGGAGATGCTGGTCAACATGTACGAAGTTTCAGCTAGAGAGGAGGAAAAAGTCACAGCAGGGTGACTACAGTTAATAATAATGCATTGCATATTGAAAAATAGCTAAAGGAGCTATTTGTTTTTGTTTTTTTTTGTTTTTATTTTTGTTTTTCCAGAAACAGGGTCCCACTCTGTTGCCCAGGCTGGAGTGCAGTGGCGTAATCATAGTTCACTATAGCTTCAAACTCCTGGGCTTGAGCAATCCTCCCACCTCAGCCTCCTGAGTAGCTAGGACTACAGGTGCGTGCCACAACACCAGCTAATCTAAAAGAGATGATTTTAACTGTCCTTATCACAAAGAAACGATAAATATTTCAGGTGACAGATATGCTAATTACTCTGATTCGACCAGTCCACAATGTATACATGTATCAAACATCACACTGTACCCCATAAATATAATTATTTGTAAATTAAAAATAAAACAAGAAAAAAAGGAAAGTGCCTGTCCTCTAGTTCAATCTTGCTCATTTAAGCAGTAAGCAGTTTCTCTAAGTGTCTATTAATATGACATTTCAAAAAAGTGAAAGAAAAACTAAGCTTATTTATAAATAATATTATTTACAAATCTTTACTTAAACAAGTCTTACATCTTCTGTGAATAAGATTTGAAACTAAATAATGTGTGATTGAATAACTAAAACTACTAATATTCTTATTTTAAAATTCCAGGAAATACTTTGTCTCAAGATTTTGCTTATAATTCGTCTAAGTTTAAAAAGTCAAGGGTTTGGCCGGCGTGGCCAGTATATTTGGCAGAGACAGGGCTGAGGATTCGGCTGGATCACTGGGCTGGTGGTGGGGCCAGGGTAAGGATTCCACTGGTGCAGCTGGGTTGTCCAGCAGGGGAGGGGTCTAGGAAGTGGCCTGCATGGCAGGGGGAGTGGAAATTGGTGACATACAGGAAAACTGAGAAAATAAGTATATATGTTGAGGATAATGGGAGCCCAGGTTTCTTCCTACCACAGAAAGAAATTACAAATATGAAAGAGGGAAGGTTAAAATAAACCCCATGGTGTTAGATTGAAATGGTAAATATCAATATGGTACCTGTCAATAAATAGACAAAGAAATAGATGTAGACACATGTATGTGTGTGTGTGCATTCCCCAACCCCCTTCCTAGCTCTGTTTGTAAGAGCAATGACACACCAATGGCAACAACCATATCTACCACCCAGTTCTTGATTTCTAAATGCTATACTAAAGGAAACGGCTGAATCCATAATGGGGACACAGGAAATACAAGATGAACCTGGACTATCTTTATGAGCAGAAAATAAGGAAGTTCTCACAGAATGACAGACATGTCCAAAGGATACTGCAGCCAGCTGAAACGGACCTCCACTATCCAAATCTGGGATAGTTTATTGTGGAAAATAAGGAGAATCAATTCAGTTGTTGACTATCTGTTCTCAGTCTTGGCTGTGTGGTATACAGCTTGTACCCTGACCAGCCTTCTAGGAGACACATACCATTGATTACAAGGGAGAACAGACCAATGGGAATGAACTGGCACAAATTCATCACCACAAATGAACAAACAGCTCAAGTCTGTGCTCTTCTGACAGTATGATCATTTGTTTAAAGTACCTAATATGTAGATGCCTACACATCACCACATATGTATATATTTTGCTAATAAGCTTCCTCTTTGGACACAGAGAAGCAACGCGTTTATTTATGCTTTGAGTACTTTATTATGTCAAGGTACTAACAGTTTGGATGCAGAGACAAATAGTTTCAATTGCTAATGCATTAAAAACATTTTTTCTAAGTTTTATTTTTAATATCAGCTAAAGAAAAAAATTTTTTTCTGGGAAATAACTTGTAAAACATGGTATCAATTAAGTTGGTCTTAAATTTTCCCTTTCTCAAATTCTGACTAATCTGACTAATCTGACAAAGATTAATCACTTAGGGAAGAAAAATATTTTTCACTGTTAAAAATCTGTGGTTAAGAGTTAGTTTGACTTTTAAAAATAATTTTCACATTGAAACAATTTCAAACTTAAAAGTTGTAAGAAGACCATTAAAAACTCCTAAATTTCATTCAGATGAATGCCCAATTGTTAATGTTTTCAAATTTGTCTTATTCTCATATACATGTATGTGTGTATGTAGACCTATAACATATATATACATACAGATAAATTTCACTTGTTTATACAGATTATAATAATCTATTTCTGTGATCAACCAACTAATTTTAAACACAGAATGATACATGATTTTGTTCTTCAAATGATGCTTCATCAAGTTAGGAAAGGTACCTGCTGGTCTAAAAAAGCTGGAGGTTTCATTTTGTCTTGGTTTTAGATTTGGTGGCCAAATCGCACTATTACACACTAGTCCAGTAGCCAAACTGTCTATGGAAGTTAGGCAGGCAAAGATAAGTGGAAAAGGAAAGAAGTCAGTCAAACAGGGCATGGTGAGGGCTGTGAGAAGCATGAGCCCTGTATAAAGTAAGCAGCTGTTAACTCTAGCAGACAGTTCCCATTCTGAAATGTGAACCAAGTTGTGCCAGAACTTCCAATTTTTCTTTCTTTTTTTTTGAGACAGAATCTTACTCTGTCGCCCAGGCTTGAGTGCAGTGGCGTGATCTCGGCTCACTGCAGGCTCCGCCTCCCAGGTTCACGCCATTCTCCTGCCTCAGCCTCCCGAGTAGCTGGGACTACAGGTGCCCGCCACCACACCCAGCTAATTTTTTGTATTTTTAGTAGAGACAGGGTTTCACCGTGTTAGCCAGGATGGTCTCGATCTCCTGACCTCCTGATCTGCCCGCCTCGTCCTCCCAAAGTGCTGGGATTACAGGTGTAAGCCACCACGCCGGGCCCAGAACTTCCAATTTTTCAAGAAAAGCTGGAAATATGTATTTTAAAAGGATGTTATCCTATTTTAAAACCAAACTAATGTTTACAAATCATGAAATTGGTTTGGGAAAAAAATCATCTATAGCTTATATACATCGCACTATCAGCTGACAGGTGTAATAATCATTCCCAGTTAATTTCTGGTCATGACTAATCTGAAAGTTCTAACAACATAAATAGGCAATACACACTTTGCAAAACAATGAAAAAATAATGACCCTAACCCCAAGGATCCTGCAGTCAATTCTCTTGCGAAGGAAGTGATGCAATATAAACTACACTCTTGCTGGCAAGGATTGATTCCATATTACAAAACAACATCTGCAAAGCAGAGCTTTTAAAGGAATCTTACAGAGTAGTCCCACTTATAAAGAATCTAATCCAAACACAGTAATTACCAGGAAATTTGTAATGATTCAAGAGAACAAAGACTTTTGTTTTTAAATTTTGTAAATTGTTTTAAAAAAGAAGACAAGCAAGGAAGTTCCCTTTGCATTCAAAGGCTGAATGGAAGATTTATCTAGTAATACTAGTATTTATATGCAGTCATCCCTTGATACCAGCAGAGGGTTGGTTCCAGGACCTCTTGTGGATAGCAGAATTCTTGGATGCTCAAGTTCCTGACATAAAATGGCATAGTATTCGCATATAACCTATGCACATCCTCCTGTATACTTTAAATCATCTCCAGATACTTATAATGCCCAATACTATGCAAACACGATGTAAACAGTTGTTATACTATATTTTGGGGGAATGATGACCCAAAAAAGTCTGTACATGTTCAGTACAGATGTAGATTTCCAAATACTTTCTATTAGCAGTTGATTGAATCCACAGATGCAGGACACATAGATATAGAGGGCTCTAATAGTATGACTAACACTAACTAGTATGACTAGGGTTTACTTTGGAGTTTACAGGAATATACTAAAATTATTAATAAAACTTATGCAATTTTTATTTTTAAATATTGTCCTTTAAGAACTATTTGAAGACCCACCATCTCCATAAGGCTTTTCTTGACACCTCTAGCCTGGAGTGATCTTTCTCCCTCCACTGGACTTTCAGGACAATTACTGTCTCTACAATTTATTTGCCAATTAATTGGATGTTGCACTGGGGCATCTCATCTATTACCCTTTTAAGCAATTAAATGTTTCACTGCTATCTAGTATTTTAAATGCTTCTACATTTGTTTATATTCTCTAATAGTTCCTAGAACAGTGTTATTTCAAGGGTTCCAGTCTGCAAACTGTCTGTTGCTTGGTCTGTGATAAGTAAGGAAATAAAGAGTTTAGTAACTTTTACGACAATTTGACATTACAGTGGCAGCCAAGAGCAAGATTAGTGGACTCATTTTATTCAATAAAGTATAGAGCAGTCTGGATGCTATCAAACTCACATGGTGAGGTTGCATGATGAGGTCCTGTATGATACAAGCTGGATTGGTCACACACAGTCTGACCATGTTACAAAGTGTCATATTTAAGGGTATTATACAAACTCTTAACTCAAAATATTATTTGCACTGTATTAAGAGGTAGGGCCTTTGGGAGGTGATTAGATTATAAGGGTTCTACCCCCATGAATAGAATTAGTGCTCTTATAAAAATGGCTTGAGGGAGCTTGCTTGCCCCTTCTGTCATGTAAGGACACAGCAAAAAGGCACCAGCTATGACGAATGGATCCCAACAGACACCAAATCTGCTATCAATATCTTGATCTTGGACTTTCCAAATTCCAGAACTGTGAGCAATACATTTCTGTTGCTTATAAGTTGCTGAGTTTAAGGTATTTTGGTATAGCAGCCCAAACAAACTAAGACATTAGGGAAATAAAAAGTACATTATTTATTTTTAATCCTAATTTGGTTTCACGCCTAATCCTTTGCAAAATAAGCTTTATGGACTCCTTTGTCTCCAAAATACATGTATTTTCTGAGTGTACAGTCATTGCAAACCAAATTATGGTGAAGGAAGCAGGTTCAGAGAAATGAAGACCAAAAGAGATTGTACTAGCTGTTACTTGGAGGTGTGATTTCCTCACATATTGAGTTTGGTTTTGAAGCCAAAACCGATGGAGAAGTGTGTTATTTGCAGAGATGACTAATGAAGCAATCAAACCATCAAAATTAGACAGCATTTATATATAAAACAAACATTACTTCAAGGCCAAAATAATTCTCTGAAAAAAAAAAATGATAGCTTTAAAAGCTGATGTTTACAGGATAGTCTAACCCTGATCAAGGCAGCTCATTCAGGTTGGGCTGGTTCAAAGAAGCACTGCTCTTGGATCTGAATTCTGGAAGAGCTTTTTCAAAGATTACGTGTTCCTTCCTAGAGTTACTCCCTGATAGACATAGGACCTCAAGCCACATCTTTAGGGCTTTTCACCATCTTTATTCTCAGGTTATCTGCAACTTCAACGAATAAACTGCCTTCTGGGGTTTGATGAGAGGTAAAAGTTCATGATTATTATAAAGTAACCTTATGGCCGGGTGCAGTGGCTCACGCCTGTAATCCCAGCACTTTGGGAGGCCAAGGTGGGCGGATCACAAGGTCAGGAGATTGAGACCATCCTGGCTAGCACGGTGAAACCCTGTCTCTACCAAAAATACAAAAAAATTAGCCAGAAGTGGTGGCACACGCCTGTGGTTCCAGCTACTCGGGAGGTTGAGCAGAAGAATCACTTGAACTCAGGAGGCGGAGGTTGCAGTGAGCCAAGATCACGCCACTGCACTCCAGTCTGGGTGACAGAGCGAGACTCTGTCTCAAAAACAAACAAACAAAAACAAAAAAAAGTAACCTTATCACACCATACCTAAGGTGTTATGTTGTTTGTTTTTCAATTAGAGTTTAAATTTATTTTTTAAATGTATATTTAATATGTATCCCATTTGTAAATTAGAATGTTTAGCTTTGTAGAAATAGTCATTAATCTGTGAAAAGTGAATCTTCAGCCTTAACTTCCCGGGCTCAAGTGATTCTCTCACCTCAGCCTCCTAAGTAGCTGGGGACTACAGGTGCATGCCAGCACGCCCAGCTGATCTTTTAAATTTTTAAAAAATTTTCACTAGAGACAAGGTCTCACTATGTTACCCAGACTGGCCTTGAACTCCTGAGCTGAAACAATCCTCCTGCCTCAGCCTCCCGAAGTGCAGGTATTACAGGTATAAGCCACCATGAATGGCCAAACCTCCACATTTTGAATATCTAAAGAGATTAATAATAAATCTTCCGAGTAAGGATTATGTCATCTGTTACTATGTTTTTATAGCTCCAAGGGTGTTTGGCTTTCCAAGGTGTTGCTAGTCTGTTCCTTGCTTGTTCACCATGAATGAATTACTTATTTCTTTGCCTGCCCTTTAGTTCCAGCATATTCAGGAAAGGAGTGGTGCAGAGTCAACAGTGAATGGCATTTCCTATTTTACAAAACTGGCAACACGTAAGCCTTAACTAAATAACATAGGATGTATAAATAAAAATGTAGGTGAATTTGGCAATTCTCTTTGGTCTATACATATTATATACACACATAAATAGGCTATAAGTTAATTTCACTTAAGGTGAAATAACAGTTGCACAACTCAGATTTCTCAAACTTGAATTTATTTTCATGGAGGATTTCACAAAGTCAATTTAAACCAGATTGGAAAAAAATCACAAAAATTAATACACAATAATCCTACTATTTTAATATGTATGAATAAAAGGTAAAGACTATACTATAGTGTTTAAAGCAGTTTAAACACTTTATTACAGTAAAAATTACAGTAAAAATATTTAAACAGGGTAACCTTAGTTCCACTCTCTAGAGGTTCCTATTGTTAACTTATATATTCTTCCATAAAACTTTATGTTCCTATACCCTATGTATATACATATTTAAAACAAAATTATATATAATATGTAAAATATACACTGTATCTTACGTGTCATATTAATATATCTTGTCTGTATGTGATATATATCATATAATCTGATCTACATGTTTTTCTCAATTAGGATGTCTTAAATACTAAAGGTAACATTAGCAGTAAATAGTAAAGCAGGCTTATATCCCAAACATTTCATCTGTTCTCCCACACTTCTGCGGGAGTTAGGCAAGGCCATGCTATTAGCTCTGCCCGGCAGGCTGTGGGATACACACACACTTCTGGGCCAAAGCACAGAAAAGCTGGTGTGCACATGCTTTGGTGACTGAGGAACCTCTGTGTTTGAGATGGCAGAGCCACAAGATCAAAGCAGCTTGCGTGCTCAGGGATTGCCTGGAGAGTCCCCTGGATTGACAGAAAAGTTTATGTGACTGAGAAATAAGCCTTCTTACATTAAAGCCACTGAGACTTTGGGGTTGTTTGTAACTCTAGCATAACCTACCCTATCTTAATCAGCAACCCTTTCACATTACCATATTTGCATACCTCATTTTCCTAAATAACAGCATAGATATGTTATAATTGAGATGTCAGCCCCTACTGATGTACTTTTAGGTTGCTCCTGCTTTTGTGGTTGCTATTGTTACTATAAACAATGTTATCATTAACATCACCTTACCCACAATTTTCCTAACCCAAACAAGCATTTCTGTGGGGGAAAATTTCTTCAAGTGAGAACTGATGGGTCATAGAATACTAAATTTGATGTTTTGGAAGGCCAAGGTGGGAGGACTGTTTGAGGTCAGGAGTTCAAGATCAGCCTGGGCAACATAGTAAAACCTTGTCTCCGCAAAAAAATTTAAAAATTACCCAGGCATGGTGGTGCATGCCTGTGGTCCTAGTTACTCAGGGGGCTGAGGCAGGAGGATTGCTTGAGCCCAGGAGTACGAGGCTGCAGTGAGATATGATCATGCCACTGCACTCCAGCTTGGATGAGAGCCTGTCTCTTTAAAAAAAAAAAAAAAAGTAAATTTGAAAGAAATATTTAAGTAATACGTCAATAATCAGAATTCAAAAGATATAAAAGGAATGCAGTAAAAGTTTTCCCTCACAGCTTATCCCAGAACTTCCAGTGCTTTTATCCGACTATAACCAATGCTATCGATTTCTAATGTATTCTGAGCACTATGAATGGAATATTTGTGTCCCACCCCCTGCCACGCCAAAATTCATACATTGAAATCTAACTCCTAATGTGATGGTATTTGGAGAGGGGGCCTTTGGGGTTAACCAGGTCATCAAGGGTAGAGCCCTCATGAATGAGACTAGTGCCCTTACAGGAAGAGGCCACAGAGCTAACATACTCTTTTTCCACCATGTAATAATACAATGAGAGGGTGGCAGTCTGCAACCCAGCAGAGGTCACTCACAAAAACTCAACTATGTCAGCACCCTAATATTGGACTTCCTGGCCTCCAGAACTGTCAGAAATAAATTTCTGCCATTTATAAGCTACCTACTTTATGATATTTTGTTAGAGCAGCCTGAAAGACTAAGACATTGAGAAATTTTGTATGCAAATTTTATGCCTTTAGGTATAGCCATACGTATATATGTAAACATGTGTACGTATACGTACATATAAATACACACATGCACACACATATGTATATTTAGGGTAGATTTGAGAGATATTTCTAAATTGTATCTCAAAGAAAATGCCTGCTCTCCCACACCCCCTCCTAGGGCTGTTTTTATTCATTTTTGTTTTTGATAAAAAAAAAAAAAAAAACTGTCACCCATCCTGGAGTGCAGTTGTGCAATCATAAGCTCACTGCAGCCCCAAATTCCTGAGCTCAAGCAATCATCCCACCTCAGCCTCCTGAGCTGCTAAGACTACAGGCATGTGTCACCACACCCAACTAAATTTTTTTGTTTTTTATTCTATAGACATGGGGGTCTTGTTATGTTGCCCAGGCTGGTCTTGCACTCCTGGCCTCAAGCAATCTTCCCCACTTGGCCTTCCAAAGTGTTGGAATTACAGGCATGAGCCACTGTATCTGGCCTAGGCCTTTTTTTTTTTTTTTTTCTTTTTCTGAGACAGAGTCTTGCTCTGTTGCCCAGGCTGGAGGGCAGTGGCGTGTTCTTGGCTCACTGCAGCCTCCACTTGCTGGGTTCACACGATTCTCACACCTCAGCTTCCCATATAGCTGGGATTACAGGCATGTGCCACTATGCCTGGCTGATTTTTGTATTTTTGGTAGAGACAGGGTTTTACCATGTTGGCCAAGCTGGTCTCAAACTCCTGGCCTCAATTAATCTGCCTGTCTTGGCCTCCCAAAGTGCTGGGATTATAGGTGTAAGCCACTGTGCCCAGCCATTGGGCTGTTTTTAAAATAAGGGGCACTCATGCAGAGTTTCTGTGCTCAGCAATAATAGCAACTGCTAATACTTGGACAGGCCTTTTGCATCATCTTATTAGAAGGGGTCCAACTATAATTGTCAGGTGAGCTAATAATCTATACAGTATTTGCAGTACAAATTCACAATGATCAATGATCTGCTTCTCTAAAGACAGGCAAAAACTAATTAATGCTTCCTCTATACCTAAAGGCAGTGGGAAAGGGCTAAGTAAAGGGTGAAGGGAAAAGGCCAGGACAAAGCAAAAGCAGTGGCATGCAGGTGACCTTGACAGGCATGAGCAGGAAGCAGCCAGGAGAATGATGTGGCTGAAAGGTGTACATGAACACTGGGGAGAAGTGGCAAAGGGGAGGAAGTAGTGGGTAGCCAGAGCCAGGAACCAATGTGACAAGGGACTATATATGAAGGGTGAGGAAGCTGCAGAGAAGAGCACCCAGACAGCAGACAGGGAGGCTGAGAAAGGGAGGAGAGAGTAGGTGGCAAGAGAAACAGAAGCGCAGATACAAAGAGTTCTAAGGGTGACCCTGAAGTTCAGAGTTCACAGACTCAGAAAAGGTACAGATGGTTGGGTGTCCTGTGTCAGAATGTGCTGGAGGATTTCCCCTGGTAATTTAGGTCTAAATAGCAAATGATTGAAAATTCCTGATCTCTGTTTCTCATGTTTATACTTTTGGGGAACCATAAGGTTAAGTCCGTAACTTTTTTTTTTTTTTTTGAGACAGAGTCTCGCTCTATTGCCCAGGCTGGAGTGCAATGGCGTGATCCTGGCTCACCGCAATCTCTGCCTCCTGGGTTCAAGGATTCTCCAGCCTCAGCCTCCCAAGTAGCTGGGATTACAGGCACCCACCACCATGCTCGGCTAATTTTTATATTTTTAGTAGAGACGGGGTTTCACCATGTTGGCCAGGCTGGTTTCGAACTCCTGACCTCAAGTGATCTGCCTGCCTCGGCCTCCCACAGTGCTGGGATTACAGGCGTGAGAAATCTAACTTTTAATATGCCTTTAAATAACTCTGTCCACTTATCACAATTTCCTCGGCTTAGGATAAATCTATTCTGTTTGAGGAGTTGTCTTTTTTTTTGGTAATTTAATATTTATGAGTCTTTTAAAAAGTAGATTAAATTATCTGGCCTTTTAAATTCTGAATTAATTTTAATGGGTTTAGGTTATTTGCCTTATGGCATTACACTGAAACCTTGGCAGACAGACAGCAATTGTAGCAACGGCTTCACCAAAAGTGAGTGTATTCCTTAAGAAGAGAGGGAGAAGGCTATCAGCCTGAGAGGCACCAAAGGATGAGGAAGACTTGAAAAAGACTGGGAGACACCATCAATAATGAAGAAAAGAGGAAGGAGCAGTTTCTGCTCTCAAAAGGGCATCTACATTTCCAGTTCAGACATTTCTTCCAACTGCCTATAGGATATTTCAACTAGGATGTCTCACTAGGCATCCCAGACTCAATGCATTTAAAACATAACTCAAGTAAACCTCTACCAGTCAAACCTACTCATCCTGTTGTCTTCCTCATCTCCATGAATGGCTATCCACTTAGCCAAAAAGAAACTGGAAGTCAAGTGAGGCCTTTCTTCCCCTCCCTATGTCCAGTCAATGAGGATGCATGCTGCATCTCCCAAATCCATCCCCGCTACTCCAGCCCCAATCCTTGGTCTGAGTTGATTTTCTACAGTACTTACTACCTAGTTTTCCCTAACTTCAATGTGACTACTAATTCTTCTTCATTTTTATATCTTTTACTTCTAATCATGAAATATTTCAAACCTTGTAGTAGACACTGTATGCCCTCTAGCCACATTTATCTCCCAACCCTCACCCTCTTTTTTTTTTTTTTTTTTTTTTTTTTGCCAGGAGGGCTCTGATGCTGCTCAGGTGTTCATCCCTCACCAAGCCATGTGTTCCAGAAATGGAATGCTATCCCCAGCTCCAAGAGAATGGATCTTGGTTAGTCTAAGGTAAAGCTGGGAATTCCAGTCCTCTTGTCATTGATGAGATTAGGAAGCTTTTCTTGGATCTGAGTAAAGATGTGGGGCAATCCTTTTTGAAAGCTGTCATATGCACGTGTTGCCTGAGTTTTCATCTTGAGTTGAGGAGAGCCAGTCTAAAAGGACAAGTCAAAATGCTGAGGAAATGGAAGGCACCTGGGTCCTTGAAAACATAACTGAGCAACTGAATTATCCAACCCAGGACCCATTCTACTACTACACTTCTTGTTATGGGAGAGAAATAACTTTCCTTGTAGTTTGTCACTTTTATTTGGGTTTTTCTATTACTACTTGTAGCCAACACATTCTGCTATAAAAAGAGATAAGCTTGCCTTAATAGGGAAGTTGATAAGTTTAGTTTTGAATTCTGAGTTTGAGTTTACTTTTCCAAATGGAAACAAGATCAAAGGATGGATGAGAGGACAGGAGTGCAGAAATTCAAGAATTGGTACAGAAGGGATATTGAGGGCTACACAGAAGTGGCTGAAGTCATCAGGTATGATTATGACTCAAAATGGCAAACAATTATTCAGTGTTTTTTATGTGCTAGGCACAATTTCAAATGTACTACAAGAATTATCTCTTTTATTCTCACAGTTCTAAGAGTTTCTCTTCCTATTTTACATATGGTAAAAAATGAGGACAAGAGAGGTCTAGTAACTTGCAAAAGGTTACAAAGGTCAGGGGTGATAGAGCCACAGTTCAAACCCAGCAGTCTGACAGCAGAGTAAATGCTCTTAACTCTTTATGTTGTGTTACCTACACTTAAGTTAGAGGAAGTCAGGATGAAACATGAGAGTAATAAGCCTTCCAAGTGAGGGAACTGGAGAGACAAGTAGAGTACCAGGTCAAGGGAAGGAGTACTGACCTTGAGATATAGCCTGTGGGGTTCTGGGTAGGACAACGGAGAGGACTGCAGAAGTTCCAGCAGACACTGGGCACCAACTTCACCTGCTGCACAGTTTTGCTTAGAAACAGCAGCATGTTATAACACATTCAGCTTCCTTGCCTTAACAAAGCACTAAGTCACTTACAAATAGGAAAATAATATTTATTGAGTACCTACAAAATGCCAAGCACTAGACTAGGTAGAGACTTTATATGTATAGGCCATTTAATTCTCACAATCACCTTAACCATAATGGCGACATTAACTTTTCATGAACAATTTTGCCAAGCAAATATAACTTATACACATGGAGTCATCCACACCCATCATCCAATCCATTGGCAAATCTTGTTAGTTCAATCTTCAACAACTATCCAGCATTCAATCATTTCTCCTATAAACGGTCTTCACTGATGATTTCCCAATATGTGAAAAGATACTCTGGCACTGACTTCAGTCTCTTCTTTATTATATCCTCAAATATCACTCTACAGACAAGTCTGAAAAAAGACTAGGTTCTTACACAACCTATTACTCATTCATCTAACAAATATTTTTTGTGCTAAGCAATACGCCAAGGGCTTAGATACAATGGTGATCAACATAACTATGGTCTGTGTTCCTCCAGACAGCCCAGTAGGGGATGCAGACAAGTAAAAGGAAAATGTAACAAAGGAGCTATTAGAGGAAATGCAGGGAGATATATTACAGTACAAATGAAAGGCAGTTAACCCAGACCTCAAGGACCGAGAAGGTGATCCCAGAAGTAACATCTAAGTTGAAAACTAAAGAATGGGTAGGAATTATTGAGGCGATGGGGTGGAGGAGGAGGAGTGGGAAAGAGTAGTGTGCCACATGGAGATCTCAGCAGGAACAGAGGCTGAGAGGCTTCAGAAAGAAAAAAGCATGTTTAAAGGATGGAAAGAAGTTCAGTAAGCCTGGAGCACAAGGCACAGAAAGGACAGTAACAGTAAAGGAAAGGAAAACTAGAGAAAAGAGAGGAGAATTAATTGCTGATGATGCAAGGGCCTTCCAAGTCATGTTAAGAAGTTCTGGCTACAGCATGGAAGTCTTAAGACTGGAGCTATGGAGACCAGTTAAGAGACAGCTGCGTCCATGGGATGCTTGATAGAAACCTACACTAGAGCATGGTGGTAGTCACACTCAAAAGATATTTAGGAGACTCAATTGACCTCATCTGGTGATTGATCAGATGGGAGTGGAGATGGTGAGGACAGACATGAATCAAGAATAACTAGATTTCTGCCATGGGCATTAGGTGGAAGGTTTAATACAAACTAGCTTTCACATGTTGGTAACTTTCTCGAGGCAGCAACACTTTTTAGAAAAGTGACCTGCCAGAGTTCAGGTCAGCCATCTAAAAAACACTTCTTGCCAGGAGTGGTGGCTCATGTCTGTAATCCCAGCACTCTGGGAGGCCGAGGTGGGCAGATCATGAGGTCAAGAGATCGAGACCATCCTGGTCAACATGGTAAAACCCTGTCTCCACTAAAATTACAAAAAATAGCTGGGTGTGGTGGTGTGCACCTGTAGTCCCAGCTACTCGGAAGGCTGAGGCAGGAGAATCACCTGAACCCGGGAGGCGGAGGTTGCAGTGAGCTGAGATCCCACAACTGCACTCCAGCCTGGCGACAGAGCAAGACTCCGTCTCAAGAAAACAAAAACAAAAACAAAAAACACTTCTGTGTTAACATTCTAAATTTATCCCTTCTTTTTTTCCTACTGCACTTATAAATAAGAGTAAATGCTCAATGAATTTGTAAGCACAGAAACCATATAAATGACCTTATAAAACGGTGTGAGAGGAAGAAGGATAATGAAGGGCCTCCTTAATCAGAGTAGCCATTTGTTGGCTGTTAAAAGAAGAGACATATAATTTGGAGTAATGAAAGCAAGAGAAAGAATTAGCAGACTGTTTTAAATGAAAACATGTCTCTTCTAAGCACGATGCATTACAAATAAGACAAATTAATCATTGTTGAAAATTTAAATATTCACACTGGAATTGCTGTATCATCTATTAGAAGTTGCCTAGAATAATGCTAATTGCAATTACAGATAAACTCCAAACTTTCAGTGGCTTTACACAAGAAGTTGATTTATTACCCATACATTAGTCCAATACAAACGTTTCTGTGGGGAGGGAGTAGGCCTTTGCTCCATGCAACTGTTCAGTGACATGTCCGACAAAAACGCTTCCATCTTCAACACATGACTTCAAGTTACGCTGCGCATCAACAGCCAGCCAACAAAAGTGGCAGAGAATGGAGAATCACTTGCGGGAGGCTTTTATGAGTTAGACCTAGAAGTGTCTAGACCTCAGAAATTCCACCAATGAGTACTCTGTCACATGACACGTAACTGCAAGGGAGGATGTGCCTCCAAAGAACAGGAAACACATTTTGCTGAATAATTAGCAGTCTGTTATGGATGGTAAAATACTGAAGACAAGATATATGACTTACTCACCTTTGCAGAGCTTAACAATATCTTGAAGAAAATAGGCGCTCAAGGCTCAAATATAATTCTGTTGAAAAAATACTTAATGAAAAAATTATCTCATAAGAGATCCATTTTGCTACATAAACTACTGCTAAAATACATAAACTGTAGGAAAAAAGATTTTCCAGCTCTTGACTTATAGAAGTTGCCCATTTCAACCTGGATTTTCCTTATTTACCAGGAAGACACCAAAAATATTGTGGTAGAAGAAATCATTCCAAACTTGTGGCTCAAGAATTGTGAGAACTATCTCTAAAGTATGGAAAAATATCAATGATAATGACTTAAATATTTTAAATTTTCATGTTAGTTCTTATTCTCTTAACTTTTTTAAAAGCATAGTTATTATGCTTAAGTCCAATCCTGGTCAGGCAGCCCTCTTCCCTCTCGTAGATTTGCCAATGAGAACAGGAGGCCTAAAGAGCACACGCTTTGGCAAAAGAAACAAACAAGAAAGCATGCTGGCTCTGAATTCCCTTGGCCTCAAAGTGACACATCACTCTGTGCAGAGTTCATTGGCCAATACCACAGGTTAGTCCTGTGGTCCCCACCTAACTGCAAGCTAGGTAGGAAATGTTGAGAAGGACAAGGTAAGTGATTACCGTCTCTGCCACACCTGTATAGACCACAAGCCCCAGTTTCTAGGTACATTTTCCTATGTAAATTTCGGGGTTGTATTCTCTCATACAAATTAGTTTCTTGTAAGTTTGTTTACTAGTATCAATAACTGAGAATCAAGAGGATAAAATTAAACTTCTGGGCTTATAAACAAATCCTTTATCCATGGTAACCTAGTAGCAACTAACTGATCTGAAAACCAGTGGGAAGTAGCCAGTTGATTCTTCTCAATATCTCTCAGCTACAATATCCTAAACAAGGAATCCATTCATCTATCAGTCAATAAATATTTATTGAGAATGTCTGTGGGTCTAGTGTGATGTTTAACACTGCATTAAGCGTCTGGGAGTGAAAAGGGCACATTTGGTTCCTGCCCTGATCAAACTTAGAGTCAAGTGAGGAACACAGTTTTAAAAAATTATCAACAATCATATTATTACAATCCAGACAAACAAGAGATATAGGAAGAGGTCACAGTGCTAACACTGTATTAAACATGAGACCTGACCAGGTTAGGAAAGGCTTCACTGAGACAAACGCAGGGCCCAGAAGGATACATAAGGGTTAGGCAGCTAAAGAGAGAAGGTTAATGTCCTAGACCAAGGGAAAGGTTGGAAACTTAGTCCAATGTTATTTACTTTTCGTCTTAAACTTTGAAATCATTTTAATAATTATTTTGGTTTCTCTCCACCTGATTGCTGTAGTACTATTAAAACTGAATTTTAAATAATTCTGTTTGATTCTAAACAGTCAAGTTTGCAATAGATTGCCATGTTTTAACAATATCTTCAAATTCTAGGCAAGGGAAAAAACATTTGCATATAATTTTTCTCTAAACATATTTATACTATGTATTTACAATTAGTAAATCCTGAGTTACTTCATTGTTTTTATATTAAGTGGTCTAAATCTAATAAATGGATGCACTCACCTCAACTGCAGATATTATGAAAAATTCCTGGATGTAGCATAAGTATGAGTTTAAAATTCAACATCAAAACCTTAATCCATTTTCATCACACACACAGGATTTAGTCTTTCTTCCAATATAATACAGTCCCTTTTTGAATTTTTTTAAATAATAAAAAAATTAGTGTTTTTAACTAAAGAAAAAGATGACAAGCGGTAAGAAATGCCACAGAATAAAAAGTTTTTGGTGAGGAAAAATTATGTAACTTAGGCAAGTAACTACTTGTACCTCAAATTTCTATTTAATGAGGTACTAGATGTATTGCTATAAATAAAATAAAAATAGTAATTATCTGCTAGCTACTTCACAGTGATTTTTAAATTTTTTTGTAGATACAGGGTCATGATATGTTGCCCAGGTTGGTCTTGAACTCCTGGCCTCAAGTGATTCTCCCACCTCGGCCTCTCAAAGTGTTAGGATTATAGGCATGAGCCACCATGCCTGGCTAACAGTAATGTTACAAGAATACATTAGCAATCTACAAATTTTATGCATTTCTAAAAAGATATGAAGACTGAAGACTGAAGACTGAAGCTTCTTTATGTTGCTGAGTAACAGGAAAACAACCACCAGATTATTTAATGGTTTAGCAACAAAAAACTTGGAACAAGAACATATTTGTACCTCTCTTAATTACAGTAATAAAATGCATATACATTCTATGCCTTTTGAAGGTAATATTTTACACTCATAAAATGACTGCAGTTTAAAAACTGGTTTTGTCAGCTAAACACAGGAGTTACCATTTTCAAGGAAAGTAATCCTTCCCAGCTATAAAAGCCTATACATTTATGACTTGTTTTCAGTTCAAAAACTCAAAATTAACCAAAATAAAAGGATCCAGTAGAGGTTGATGTTCCTCTTTCTTTGCTTTTTCTCTAAACTGTTTTCAAGTAGTATAGTAATAGCCAACACTCACTGAGCGTTACCATGCCAGGCACTGAGCTAAGTGGTTTACGTGCATTATCACATTTAATCTTCACAACAACCCTATATGGTATGCACTTTTAAAGAAATATCTTACTTTCCAGATAAAGAAATGGAGACTTTAAGAGGTAGTAGGGGCCGGGCGCGGTGGCTCACGCCTGTAATCCCAGCACTTTGGGAGGCCGAGGCGGGCGGATCACGAGGTCAGGAGATCGAGACCATCCCGGCTAAAACGGTGAAACCCCGTCTCTACTAAAAATACAAAAAATTAGCCGGGCGTAGTGGCGGGCGCCTGTAGTCCCAGCTACTTGGGAGGCTGAGGCAGGAGAATGGCGTGAACCCGGGAGGCGGAGCTTGCAGTGAGCCGAGATCCCGCCACTGCACTCCAGCCTGGGCGACAGAGCGAGACTCCGTCTCAAAAAAAAAAAAAAAAAAAAGAGGTAGTAGGTTCTTGCCCTACAAGTATTGTGAAAGAGTTGAGATTCACCTAAGCAGTCTACTTCTAGAGCCAGTGCTTTTAACCACACCTCTATCCTGCAAATAGTCTGTAAACAAGTCTTAGTGATGCTTCTGTTCAAACTGTGGATCGCTGCTGCCCCTGCAGTCTCTGACCATTCTTCCCAGCAATGCTGAGCTGTGGTCCCATGTGAAGGCCTCATTATGGAAGGAGGGTTGGCTAAGTATCCAATAGTAGCTCCAGCCCAGTGGGAAGGTACCACCACTTGAGATGACACTGCAACGGAGGCAGATGCTCGATGGACACATTCAAGACCCATTCGGCTCAAGGATCAAAAAAATGGGGCTTGCAAGTTCCCATTCTTCTTTTCTAGAAGAGCTGCTGAGAGAGAGACCAATGGGGGAAATAAAGTGAAAGCCTCACTCTTCTCTAGCCTAAGTTTTAGAGTCCAGTGAAGCATTGCAGCATAGGCTTTGTAGTCAGAAAACCCTGAGATCAAATCCTGGTTCTACCACTTGCTATAGCGATCTTGGGCAAGGGGTCAGATCTCTCTAAGCCTGTTTCCTCATCTGTAAGGAAGGGTATTATATCACATAAGGTTACTGTGAGGACTAAATTAGACTAAGTATGCAATAGGATACCAGGGTCCAGTTTTCTTTGGATGTAATGGGCCTGGAAAATTCCTTAAAATCCTTTTCACCTACAAAATCTTATGAAGTTCTGCCTCATTTTCTGCTTAAAAACTTTAAAAAATTAATAGAAATAAAAGAGAATTCTACTAGAGAGATAGGTTGACGTTACTTCTTCCTTGCTTTTTCCTTAAAGTGGAATGTTAAAAACTAGGATATGCCTGGAAAGTGTTCTATCTACAAAAAAGGAAGTTAGCAGCCGCTGAAAAGTAACTACAGATGGCTATTCACTTTACTCTGAAAGCATTTGCTGTTGATATAATCACACCACAGGAAAACATCATAATGTTGGCTGAAAGAAATCTGAAATGACACAGCAATAATGCTTCATCATGTAGAAGTTGGTTTCAAGTTTTTTTTTTTTTTTCGGTCTGGATAGTGTGATTGCAAGAAGGGAGGCTATGCTAGCTTGGTTATAAGCAGGGAAGTTGGCTGTGAGGAGATAAACAGAGATCTCACAGGAATTCTGGGGTAGAAATCACTGGACCGGAACTGAAGGGCTATCTCCCAGCTTCTGCTTCTGCCTTTTCATTCAGTCCATTCCCCTCCGTTTACTCAACAGTTCCCTCTGCTTTGGTGGCAGTTTCTGCTCCTTCTCAAGGCTGACTTGCACATGGCTCTGACTTGCTGTGGCCTCCTCTCCATCATTCTCTGCATCAGGTGCTTTCAACCTTGATTTTATTGTTTATATATACTTATGAACTTTTCTGCAGGGAATGTCCATACTTTCATCAGATGCTTCAGGAAAGCAATGACCCCAAAAAGGAATAAAAACCACTGTTCTATCTCATGACACTCTACCTTTAGTTTCTACTAGTAACTCTTTTAGTTATTCAGTTTCTTAATTCCAAATTCCTACCAGAATAATAATAATGGCTACCATTTATGAAGCTTTGAGTATGAGCCAGATACTGTTCTAAGGACTTAACTATTTTTAATTCTCAAAACCACATTATATAGGATCTAATATTACAGAGAAGGAAACTGAGGCATAGTGAACTTTGGGTAACCTGCTTAAGGTTACACAACTAGCAAGTGGCTAAGTCGGAATTTCAATCTAGACAACATGCATAGTACTTAAAACTGACTGAGTTAAACTTTGCAAATCAAGCCACAGGTTGTTGGTAAGCCCACAGGTTGGTCATCTTTGGATTATGTCTCATTCCAGATGTGGCAAGAGGGAGAGACGGGAGACAGGAATCAAGTGGTTCAAAACATGGTCACTGTTCAGTAAGGCCATAGAAGGGTAGTTTCTCTTTTAAAAAGTGAGAACAAGGATGCACAGAAATGGGAACTCTTGCACACTGTTGGTGGGAATGTAAACTGGTACAGCCATTATGGAAAACAGTATGTAGGTTCCTCAAAAAATTAAAAATAGAGCTACCATATGACCCAGCAATCCCACTTCTGGGTATATGTTCAAAGGAAAGAAAATCACCATCTTGAAGACAGATCTTCACCCCATGTTCACTGCAGCATATTCACATTAGTCTCAAGATACGAAAGAATCAAAGTGTCTGTTGACAAATGGATGGATAAAGAAAATGTGATATACACACATACACAGAAAATGGAATACTATTCAGTTTTAAAAAGCAAATCCTGCCATTTGTGACATGAATGATTAATGAACCTGGAGGATATTATGCTAAGTGAAATAAGCCAGACACAGAAAGACAAATACTACATGATTTCACTTACAATATGGAATCTAAAAAGTTGAACTCAAGGAAAAAGAAAGAATGGTTGTTATGAGGTCATAACCTCATACAATTATGACCATATGAGGGCATATATGGTCAAGGGATGGCGGACATGGAGAGATATTGGTCAAAGGGTAGAAACTTTCAGTTATAGAAAAATATTCTCACCATAAACACACAAAAGAGTAACTATATAAGGTGATGACTACGTTAATTAGCTTGACTGTGGTAATAATTACACAATGTATACCTATATCAAAACATCACATTGTATACTTTAAGTATATATATTTTTTCTGTTCATTCTTCCTACTTTTTCTTTAACTTTTATTTTAAGTTAAGGGGGTACATATGCAGGTTTGTTATATAGGTAAACTTTTGTGTTGGAGGTATGTTGTACAGATTATTTCATCACTCAGGTATTAAGCCTTGTACCCATTAGTTATTTTTCCTGATCCTCTCCCTCCTCTCACCTTCCACCCGCTGATAGGCCTCAGTGTGTGTTCCCCTCTGTGTGTCCATGTGTTCTCATCATTTAGCTCCCACTTATAAGTAAGAGCATGCAGTATTTGGTTTTCTGTTCCTGTGTTAGTCTGCTAAGGATAATGGCCTCCAGCTCCATCCATGGCCCTGCAAGGGACATGATCTCATTCTTTTTTATGACTGGATGCAAGTATATATAATTTTTGTTTGTCAATAAAACCTCCATTAAGCTGGGGGGAAAATGATGTAGGTGGTGGGCAGGAATAATTAGTCATTCATATCTCTAATATAACTATCACTTTCATTGTTTAACTTGTGGGAATATTCTTAAATCAACAAACTAAAATAAAGAAATGAATGAATACATATGTACATAAAATTTAATTTAGTTTTAGGAATTACAAATAAGGATGAAGTAATCCTTATTGTAGAGAAATAAGAGATGGCCAAGTGCCCTACAACTGCCAACCTTTGTCAGCTGAAGATAAGTAAATCACACATACACACACACACACACACACACACACATCTTTGACTGGAACTTCTCTATGGATCCAGGGAGATCTAGTCCTATATTTGAACTGAATTTCCATGGACAGATCTAAATTCAAACTACCAAATTCAAACTCGTCCATACTAGGGACTGGGGGGAAAAGTTTTTTCAGGGAAAAACTCCTTTTACTTATAAGCATAGGATTTTTGTTCAAAAAGTGAAAGAAAGAGACAAAATATGAATGCAGGGATTAGGTTGTGGACATCCTTTGGGGGTGATGGTGGGGCATAATTCTGCCAACCACAGGCAGCATTTTAAAATTAGTGGTTTTTAGGAAACAATAGGTGCTGGAGAGGATGTGGAGAAATAGGAACACTTTTACACTGTTGATGGGACTGTAAACTAGTTCAACCATTGTGGAAGTCAGTGTGGCCATTCCTCAGGGATCTAGAACTAGAAATACCATTTGACCCAGCCATCCCATTACTGGGTATATACCAAAAGGATTATAAATCATGCTGCTATAAAGACACATGCACACATATGTTTATTGTGGCACTATTCACAATAGCAAAGACTTGGAACCAACCCAAATGTCCAACAATGATAGACTGGATTAAGAAAATGTGGCACATATACATCATGGAATACCATGCAGCCATAAAAAAGGATGAGTTCATGTCCTTTGTAGGGACATGGATGAAGCTGGAAACCATCATTCTCAGCAAACTATCGCAAGGACAGAAAACCAAACACCGCATGTTCTCACTCATAGGTGGGAATTGAACAATGAGAACACTTGGACACAGGAAGGGGAACATCACACACTGGGGCCTGTTGTGGGGTAGGGGGAGGGGGGAGGGATAACGCGTCCAGCGCCGTCCGTCCGTTCGTCTTCCTCCCTCCCGGCCTCTCCCGCCGACCACGGGCAGTGGTGGGGGGCGGGGGGCGCGCGTCCCCGGTCGGCGCGCCGCTTCTTCGGTTCCCGCCTCCTCCCCGTTCACTGCCGGGGCGGCTCGGGACGGGGCCCGGGGAGCGTGGGTGGGAACCGCGGAGGCGGCCGCGCCGAGCCGGGCCCGTGGCCCGCCGGCCCCCGTCCCGGGGGGTGGCCGCGCGGGCCCCGGTGGGGCGGCCACCCGGGGTTCCGGCCCTCGCGCGTCCCTCCTCCTCTTTCCTCCGCACGGGTCGACCAGCAGACCGCGGGTGGCGGGCAGCAGGCGGCGAGGCCCGGGGCGTCCCCGCACCCGGCCGACCTCCGCTCGCGACCGCTCCTCAGTCGGGCCTCCGGGGTCGACCGGCTGCCGCCCGCGGGCGTGAGACTCAGCCGGCGTCTCGCATACCTAATGTAAATGACGAGTTAAGGGGTGCAGCACACCAACATGGCACATGTATACATATGTAACAAACCTGCACGTTGTGCACATGTACCCTAAAACTTAAAGTATAATAAAAATAAATAAATAAAATTAGTGGTTTTAACCATGACTTTTACTTGGTCTGGTAAAATTATCATGGTAAATATTCTTGTTTTATTTCCCACATTCAGGAAGGGGTGATCATGTGACCTAGTTCTGGACAATGAGATGTAAGTTGAGGGTTTCTAGTAAAGTTTTGCTTCCTCAGTATAGGCACCCCTTTTCCTCGTTTTCTTTCTGTCTAGAATGCTGATGAGAGGTTGGAGGTGGAGTAACTATCATATGACCACAAGACAAGCATGAGCACAAAAGTCACAAGCCAAGGATAGACTGAGTGAGCACCCAGGGTCAGGGCACTGATGACACTACGCAGCTACAAGATCAGCCCAACTACTAACCTCTGCAGCATTCATTTTATATACATATATATATAAAATATTTTACAGAGAAGGAAACTGAGGCATAGTGAACTTTGGGTAACTTGCCTAAGGTTACACAACTAGCAAGTGGCTAAGTCTGAATTTCAATCTAGACAACATGCATATAGTGCTTAAAACTGAGTTAAACTTTGCAAATCAAGCCACTGGTTGTTGGTAAGCCCACAGGTTGGTCATATATATCCCCAATTTGGCGAAATACACCTAGGAAAACTGATAATAGTAATATAAGTAATTAAAAATTGAGTGATCAAAGGGAGAGAGGGAATGTAAAGTTATAGTTATAAAAGTAACTACTAGGAAAAAACCTAATTTTAGATGTTCAAATTATCAAAAGGAAAACATAAAGCCAGGCAACACAAACACTGAACATCATGCAAAAACTATTTAAGAAGTACTAGGCTGGGTACGGTGGCTCATGCCTGTAATCCCAGCACTTTGGGAGGCTGAGGCGGGTGGATCAAGAGGTCAGGGGATCGAGACCATCCTGGCTAACATGGTGAAACCCTGTCTCTACTAAAAATATAAAAAATTAGCGGGGCGTGGTGGTGGGCACCTGTAGTCCCGGCTACTCAGGAGGCTGAGGCATGAGAATGGTGTGAACCCGGGAGGTGGAGCTTGCAGTGAGCCGAGATCAGGCCACTGCATTCCAGCCTGGGCGATAGAGCAAGACTCCGTCTCAAAAAAAAAAAAAAAAAAGAAGTACTAAAGGCAGAAAAATTACATAAAGTAAAACAGAACTGAGACCAAACATATCTGTCATGTCAATAAATTGTCATATAAAACCATTAAAAGCAAGACTCTCAGAATGATCACAAAGTAGAATCAAATTATATGCTGAACACAAGAGATTCATTTGGAACAAAACAACCCTGAAAGTTGGTAATAATTCTCCCAAAATTTAACTTATAAATTCAAAGCAACTGCACTCAATAGACTAATAAACTTTCATTTAGGAACTCGAAAAGTTGGCTTTAAAGTTCAATTTTTGCAAAATAAAGAACAGTAAAGAGATATTTGTCCTTTCACACAGCAAAGCATAGCATAATGGGTCAGCTATCCTAGTTATAGTACCCATAAAACTAACAGCTTACTGTTTGTCCAGAGTTTGGGGTTCTGTGCCAGGCACGTCCCCCAAATACTTTACACATAGTATCTCATTTAATCCTCACAACCCTGTTAAGGAGCAAATAATTACCCCTATTTGACAGATGACAAAATTAGGATTGAAGAAGACTGCATTACTGTCTGAGGTCCCCCGGCTTAGTAAGTGATGGCTCAGAATTGACCCAGGACCTCTTTCTTTGGAGCTGGTGCTCTGGTCTAACTTTCCATTTCTAGTAAATAGAAAACAAACCATATACAGAACATTATTATGGCATACTCTCATTATTATTTAATTTGAATGTATGTATGGGTATGCACAATTTCTCTCCCTTGCCTTCTCCCGCTCTTCCTCCCTCCCTCCTCTTATAGTAGCTGGCTGTCCAAATGCTTGCATGTCCTGGAAGGAGACACACTAAACTGCAATGTTTACTTTTGTGGAGTAGAATTCGTGGAGGAGAGGAAAGGGAGGAAATTTCATGTTTTACTTCATTTACTTCTGATTGTTTGACTGTTACTTGCATGTTTTTCTTTAGTAATGAAAAAATAAGGATAAAAAAGTAAGCTAAATTAAAAGTGATGAAAATATTAAAGAATAGCAGCATATCTTTGTTATCTCAACTGTGGCCTTTTGAAAATGTGATATTAGAAATAGTCGTTGAGCTTGTTTGGGTGTACAACATTTTCAAACTGAAATTAAGTACTACTACAACAAAAATTTCCATAATACATTACTTTATAAACACAGGGTATTTATTATTTCAGGATGATTTTTCATTTCTTTTTCTTTTTTCTTTATCTTATTTTATTTTATTTTTTTGACACAGTGTTTTGCTCCAATGTCTAGGCTGGAGTACAGTGGTGTGATCACAGCTCACTGCAGCCTTAACTTCCCAGGATCAAATGATTCTCCCACCTCAGTCTCCTGAATAGCTGGGACTACAGGTATGTGCCACCACGCCTGGCTAATTTTTGTATTTTTTTGTAAAGGCAGGGTTTCACCATGTTGCCCAGGCTGATCTCAAAATCTTGGGCTCAGGCGATCCATCCACCTTCGCCTCTCAAATTGCTGGGATTACAGGTGTGCACCACTGCACCCGGCCCAATTTTTCTTTAAGCAAGGTCACATGCTCATATGCGCAGAGTTTTAAAACTATTGATAGTTTTAATTGATGGGCATGACAGAAGTCGAATGCTGCTTCCTTAACAGAATACTCATTTCACAAGTGATATATGATATTAAAATGCTATAAAAATGTTTACCATAGCCAGGTGTGGTAGCTCATGCCTCTAATCCCAGCACTCTGGAAGACCCAGGCGGGAAGACTGCTTGAGCCCAGGAGTTCAAGACCAGCCCAGGCAATATAGCAAGATCTCATCTCTACCAAACATTTAAAAAATAAGATAAAAATTAGCCAGGTGCTCTGGCACACGCTTGTAGTCCCAGTTACTGGGAGGCTGAGGCAGGAGGATTGCCTCAGCCCAGGAGTTTGAGCTTGCAGTGAGCTATGATGGTGCCACTGCATTCCAGCCCGGGTGATAGAGTGAAACTCCATCTTAAAAAAAAAAAAAAAAAAAAAGTGTATTACTACTTTATTCTGGGGGTTAACTATTCTAGGGAGAATACACTTCCTGAAGAATTTTGAGGTATTTTAGAGATCTTGATGATACATTCTCCCTTCCTCTCCAACTATTGGTTAGTTTGCCCCATCTCATTTACTCTCAAAGCATTCTGTACTTCCACCTTCACATAACTTAACCATACAAGTCTAATAAAGACTTGCCTGTTCACCTACCTGCAATCAACACCTCCCATCCCCACCCATTTAGCAGAGCCTGGCATATAGGAAGTCAACAAAAGTTTGTTGATATGAATGAATGAATGTTTTTAAGGCCTATGTGGAAAAAATACATAGAGATGCTTTTCTTACAGTAGCCAGCTTACTACCTTAAAAAGAATAGGAGCTTAAATATTTAGTTGCAAATGAGTAAATCATGGCTTGAAAATTTATTTGTAGAAAAATGTGCATCCCTTCAGTAATTTCTATGTTACTAAAATCTGAAATCTAACAAAACTTGACATTTAATAAAACTGAATACAATGTAATTTATACAGGTGACACCACACACCAAAAATCCTGCCCTGATATAGAAGACCGTGGACACTGGATCTTCCACACTCTTGTGATAGGAGAAAATTTCTATCTGAATAGAAGACAAACTAGTACTAATAGCAAACTAATTTAATGGACATAAAAATATCTTGAGAAAATATTTCAGAAGTGCAATATTTGGTAATGCATTTATCATACTGTTTCATAATTTCCAGCTAAATTCTGATACAATCATAGTTGAAAACATATACATATATATATTTTAAACTTTTAAAAAATGCTATATCAGTATATTAGGAAACATGGGAATGTAAAATATAAAACATGGGAATGTATGTTAGGAAAAATGGTGCCACCAAATGTGAAAGACAGTATGGTAGTTCCTCAAAATATTAAAAATAGATTTACCATATGATCTAGCATTCCATTCCTGGGTATGCACCCAAAAGAATTGAAAGTAGAGGCCTGAAATTTATTTGCACACTAATGTTCATGGCAGCATTATTCATAATAGCCAAAAAGTGGAAACACCCCAGATGTCCATCGATGGATGAACGGAGAAACAAAATGTGGTATGAACACACAATGGAATATTATTCAGGATTAACAAGGAAAGACATTCTGACACATGCTATAACATGGATAAACCTTGAGAACATTATAATAAGTCATATAATAAGTTGTGACTAAGTCAGTCACAAAAGGACAAATATTGTATGATTCCATTTATATGAAGTACCTGGAATGAAAAAATTCATAGAGGCAGAAAGCATAATGGTGGTTACCAGGGTTGTGAAGAGGGAGGAATGGGAGTTATGGTCCAATGGGTAGAGTTTCAGTTTGAGATGATGACAAAGTTCTGGAAATGGGTAGTGGTGACAGCTGAACAACAATGTGAATGTACTTAATGCTACAGAAATACTGAACTGTACACTTAAAAGTGGCTAAAATGGTAATTTTATGTTACATATATTTTACTACAATAAAAAAATTAATAAGCATTTTGTAAAAAATGTTTGTATTTATTTCTCTATTTTTAAAACCTCCAATCGATTCAACTGACATGAACACCCCCCAAAAAGGAAAGAGTAGAAAAAAAGACATCATTAAGTTTAAAGGCAAACTCTAGAATCTACAGCCCACAAAACAGATGGTCAGTGACTATGTACACAAGGAATTGTCTTTTATGCCAAAGCAATGAGGAAAAAGTAACCTTGAAAAAAAATCCAGCTCTCACTTAAGCAGAAAAATATTTTCAGAAATCTGATTTACAAGTAAAATATGATGCTTATCATTACTTATAAACTGCAGTTTTCACTAAAGAAATAGGGATAACATTACAAAGCATTAAGAAATAACTCTTACCAAGTCAGAACCACACCAATGGCAAAAGCACATGATCACAAACCGCTAAATATTGGACAAAGACCAAAACCCTGAGCATGGGAGAGGCTGAAAGCACAATGAAAAACACTTCAAGTTAAGGATGAGTGAAAGAAGCTGACGTGGAAGCCAGGGATACTAATGGCAGGCATTATTTTCCAGAAAGGTCCTGGGTAAGAGGTCATTGTTCTGTGTAAGTAAATTGGATTCTGTTTGTTTTCTCCCGTGCTATCAGAAAGAAGACAGGAGGCCGGGCGCAGTGGCTCACGCCTGTAATCCCAGCACTTTGGGAGGCCGAGTCGGGCGGATCACCAGGTCAGGAGATCGAGATCATCCTGGCTAACACGGTGAAACCCCGTCTCTACTAAAAATACAAAAAATTAGCCGGGCATAGTGGCAGGTGCCTGTAATCCCAGCTACTCGGGAGGCTGAGGCAGGAGAATGGCGTGAACCAGGGAGGCGGAGCTTGCAGTGAGCAGAGATCGCACCACTGAACTCCAGCCTGGACGACAGAGCGAGACTCCGTCTCAAAAAAAAAAAAAAAAAAAAAAAAGAAAGAAGACAGGAAACAGGTGTGTACGTGAATGAGTCAAGCAGAGAATGAGCAGGCTCTGGCCAAGTATGCCAGGTTCCAAATGTTCTCTCTAAGCTACTACATGCAGAGAGGGAGGGAGGGAAAATGCTATGTAAGCCAGTGGGCAAAATCAATTATTTCATATTATTTAAAGAGGTAAAAGGGGTAGAAAAGCTAACCTATTTTGAATGCCTGCTTCGTGCTAAGAGGCAAGGTGGTGCTAGATATGCATTTTTCTCATTTAAACTTCAGAGCCACTCTATGGTGTTGTATTCTGTTCTATCAGTTCTGTTGGTGCCATACTACTATACTATATTCCTGCTATGGAAACGGAGGCACACACATACAAGTCGGGTAAACCTGCTTAAAGCCACACTATTAGTAAGTGACAGTCAGAAGGCAGACCTTGGGTCTGACTCCAATGCTCAGGACTTAATCACTGAGCTACACTGCCTCAATTCCACACAGACAGGAGAAAATAAGTTAGGAACAAAAATGGAAATGCTAGAAAGAAAATATGCTATGGTGTGTGCCAAAGTAAACTACAAAACATTTGCTTTTAAGATGAAATCTTGAAATAGTAGCAAAAAGAGAGTCATCTAACAGGGAGGAGCTAAGAAAGTATTAGAACAGGGGAACTAGATACTTAGATTAAGGGCATTTTTGAGTAAGGTCTTCTCAGGGTGCTTTCATTTACCTCCCCACCTTTTGGGACAGATATTTATCAGAACATCAGACAAAGTCATTTTCAAGTGGTGGATAAAATGATTTGGCTAAAAGTTATTTTATGCACTTTGAATTTATACACATACCTCTGGCTTTGCAGCCAGACCTGAGGTTGTACCCTAGTTCAATTACTTTCTAGGGGTAGGAACTTGAGTCTCATGCTGTTCTTTTCTGTTTTGTTTTTGGAGACAGAGTCTTGCTCTGTCACCCAGGCTGGAGCACAGTGGCGCAATCTCAGCTCGCTGCAACCTGCACCTCCTGGGTTCAAGCTATTCTCATGCCTCAGCCTCCCAAGTAGCTGGGACTACAGAAGTGTGCCACCAAGCGCAGCTAATTTTTTTATATTTCAGTAGAGACAGGGTTTTGCCATGTTGGCCAGGCTGATCTCAAACTCCTGGCATCAAGTATCTGCCCACCTCGGCCTCCCAAAGTGCTGGGATTACAGGTGTGAGCCACCAAGCCCGGCTTCATGTTGTTTTTTAAACTAACAAGGAAATGAGAGAGATACAGAAACTAGAGTACATGCCTTGTGGGATTTTTGTGAAGCAGAAATGAAAAGTCCCTAGCATGAGACCTATCATAAATCGGTCTCTCCAACCCACTCACCGCTAATCAAATAAACAGACATCTCTTCTATGAATAATTTAATTCACATATCATCAAATTTTCCAGGTAACTGAAGCTTAGCCCTAGAGTCCTGTCTAAAGCTAGAGAGAAAAAGAGCTCCCAGAAAAGGCATGAGACAGTCTTCTTATGAATAAAGTTAACTGATTACAATATATATTTTAGTTTCCATTAAATAAATTTTACTTTATTCTCTTTATCTGTGCTCTGGATAACTGAGGTAAACCGAGAAAGTGATAACATTTAAATCAAGATACTCAGCATTAGCACAAAATTCTCCATCTGATGAAAATATGTGGGATGCTCATTTTCGAATAGTCAAGTGCAGTAGTGAGAAGGGGGTAAAGAGTAGAATAAGGAGTTTGATCTGCAAGTGACTGAACAATCAACTGAGATAACTCACTACCTTCAGACCAGCCACGATGCTTTAAATAGCATTTATCACACAATTATCATTGAATATAAGAAAATACTAAAAATGTATAACAGCATAGTACCCCCAGGAGCTACTGTCCTAGATTAAAGTGGGATGACTGCAAGCAGGGTAGACAGAAAGAAGGCTGTGAAATACAGCAGAACATGAAGCTAATAAAAATGAATGTGGCAGAGACATTATCTAGTGAAATAAGATGTTAAAAACACAGTAAATGAAAGGATACAGTGTTGTACTGCTCAGTGGTATGAACCCATTTTTATTCTTTAAAATCATATAGGCATTTATCTAACCTATATAAGCAGAAAAAACTCTGGGCAGATAAACACAAAATATTAAGCATGGTTATCACTACATGGAATAATTGGGTTTTTAAATTTTTCCTAATACTCATTTTCTGATTTTTCTACACAAAAAGCGTTTTTAAAAAATACCGATATGGGCGGTGGCTCATGCCTGTAATCCCAGCACTTTGGGAGATCGAGGCGGGCAGATCACGAAGTCAGGAGATGGAGACCAACCTGTGTAACGGTGAAACCCGTCTCTACTAAAAATACAAAAAATTAGCTGAGCGTGGTGGCACGCACCTACAGTCCCAGCTACTTGGGAGGCTGAGGCAGGAGAATCGCTTGAACCCAGGAGGCGGAGGTTGCAGCAAGCTGAGATCATGCCACTGCACTCCAGCCTGGGGGACAGTGCAAGACTCCGTCTCGAATAAAAAAAAATACTGACATGAGTGCAAAAAGCAGGTATAGATTAAGTTTTCATAAATATATTACTGACTTGTGATCAAGAGAATATTGTCAGACTTAAGAAAGTAGAAGTCAACACAATACTAAGCAGCAATTTAATAGAGTGCTAATCTAATCAGAAAAGGCTTCCAAAATTCTGCCGAGAAAGAGAATAACATTTTTTGAAGCACATGATATTCGCTTGGAGGAGAAAGAAACAGCTTTTTGTTATTTTTTGCTGTCTTAGATCACGCTGAGTTTTTACTGCAAGAAACCTATGAAAAGTACCCATTACTAATAGCACTCAGGTAAGTCCTCACAGATGAATTTATTTCACTTTTGTTCTCACTAATTTGTGAACATTGCTTAGGAAACCCCAAGCTGATGGAGCATTAAGTGCTTTCAGATAATGAGATACTTAGTAATCCAACTAAAATATCTGTTTAAAGAGGAATGTGAGCATAGGGCTTCCACTAATTTGTTTTTAGAATGATGGCTTAGGATCACTTACAAAGTAACATATGCTCAAATCTAAATAAACAAGGTAAACAGCAATGTAATTAATTATTGATGCAATACAAAGTAATAACCAGAATTGTGTGCTGTTAAAACAATGTACTGCATTTAATAACTCAATTTGTGCCCCAGAGAATAAGATTACTTTTCTACATACTTAAATGCTGGGGTGTTTGTACTTAGGTTTACATATTATTCTTAAACAAATATTTAGGTAAGTTCTCAGTGATATGCTGCTTTCATTTCCTGGAATTTGAATGGCCTGATCAGGTAACCAGGGATGCTGTTGTCATTACACATAAGGGCAAGGCATCTTTTACCATCTCCTAACTTTTCTAGGTGAGGCAATGCAGGGGAAACTAACCTTGGAGTCCAACACACCTGGGTCCTCATCTCAGCTCAGCTGTGTAATTTTGGTCATCATCTCACTAGGATTCTGCAGTGTCATGTATACACTAGATCTTAGCCAAAAGGCCACGAAGCGATACATTGTCATGTATAATATGGGGGTTTTCTTTTTTCTTTCTTTCTTTTTTTTTTTGAGACAGGGTCTTGCTCTGCTGCCCAGGCAATGGTACAATCATGGCTCACTGCAGCCTCAGCCTCCCTGGGCTCAGGTAACTCTCCCACCTCAGCTCCCTTGACTCCACTGCTGGAACTACAGGCACGCACCACCACACCTGACTAATTTTTTTCTTTCTTCTTTTTTTTTTTTTTGTATTTTTTTTGACATGGAGTCACGCTCTGTCACCCAGGCTGAAGTGCAGTGGCACAATCTTGGCTCACTGCAAGCTCCACCTCCTGGTTCATGCCTTTCTCCTGCCTCAGCCTCCCGAGTAGCTGGGACTACAGGCGCCCGCCACCACGCCCAGCTAATTTTTGTATTTTTAGTAGACACGGAGTTTCACCGTGTTAGCCAGGATGGTCTCGATCTCCTGACCTTGCGATCTGCCCGCCTCGGCCTCCCAAAGTGCTGGGATTACAGGTGTGAGCCACTGGGCCCGGCTCCTAATTATGTATTTTGCATTTGTTAAAATTAACTTGCAGTCTGTGAATACACATGAATGAGAAGAGCAAGCTAAGAAAAAATTAGGTGTTCTGAGTAAAAGCAGCTGCATTAAAATGGCGAATTTCACCAATTTTATTGACGTGAGAAAAAGGCATGCTTTATTTTTAAACGAAAAGTAAATGTAAAGAATAGAAGTTATATATGATTTAAGAATCTACTGTTCTTTAAAATACAAAGAACTAAGAACTTTTAACTTTGGTACAAGTTGGCAGCTTAATTTATCTGATCTATAAAATGTTTTTATGCCTACAAAACAATCTGAAATTTCTCCCAAGGGACGTTTACATTATTTTAAAGTAGTGTTGTATATGGTACTCCCCCGAGTCTCGGGTGCTCAAATCATAAACTATGCTCACAGTAACAAGTTCCCTCAGAATTAATTTATATTTCCAGCTTGGACTTCTAACCCAAATCTCAGAACTGTACATCCACTTGCCTACTTAGCATTTCTACTTGGATGTCTAGTGGCCACTTCAAACGTAGCATGTTAACACTGAGCCCCTGATAGTGTCCCACACCTGCTCCTCCTGCTCGCTATACCCCATGTCTCATCTGTCAGTAAAGTATGTCCAGAATCCATTTATCTTCAAAGTATATCTAGAATCTGTTTATCTTCAAAGTACATACAGAAGCCACCCGTCTTCAAAGTATATCGAGAATCCATCTATCTTCAAAGTATAAACACAATCCATCTCTCTTCAAAGCATATCTAGAGTCTGACTACTTCTCACCACCTCTGCTGCGATCACCCAGGTCCAAGTCACTATCACCTCTCCCACCTGAATTATTGTATAGCTTCTTAGCCAAATGGTTCCCCTTCAATTTATTCTTAAAACAGCAGCCGGAGTAATTCCGTTAACATGTAAGTCACATCATGCCATTCCTCTGCTCAAACTCTCCAATGGCACCCCAGCTCCAATGGCACCCCAGGAAAAATGTCAAGTCTTTCTATCAGCCTTCCTGGCCTTACTGGCCTTCCTGACCCTGATCCACCCACAGCTCTGACCGGATCTCCTTCTGCTCTCCTCTTCACACACGCTTCACTCCAGCCTTACTGGCCACCTCCTTGCTCCTCTGAACACACTAGGCAAGCTCCCATCAACAGGTCTCTGCATCTGCTGTTCCCTCTGCCTGGAAGTCTCTCCTCCCAGCTGTCTGCGTGGTTCACCTTCCTTCAATTCTTTCTTCAAATGCCACCTTCTCAGTGAGGCCTTCCCTGGCCATTCTAGATAAGACCCCCTACTACACCTCCGAACACTCCCTCTCTCCACATTGTGCTTTTTCTCCACAGCATTTATCACCAACTAATGCACTATATACTTTGCTTCTTTATCATTATTTTTAGTCTGTCTCCCCCCACTAGAATTAAAACTCCATGAAGGCTTGCATTTTTGTCTTTTTTGCTTACTATTTTACCTGTCAAGACAAGGATGGTGCTCAGCATATTGTAGGCGCCCAACAGATGTTTGCTGAATAAATGAACTTCTCCGAAATGTAATAATACCTGATAATATGTTTAGCCTGATCAATATTAATTAAGTACAACAGACAGAAGTCCCAGAATTGTCATCAAATTAGTAGAACACTTTGGGAGGGATAACAAATTGCTCATTCATTCATTATTCCAGTCACTGGAAAAACAGAAATGAACAAGTACATATGATACCTGTCCTCATGGAGCTTGCAGTCAAAGTGAAGGTGTCCACTCCCCTGCCCCATAACCAGAACCAAACAGTGCCTGTGGGTAAGGCCAAGGTCACCTGGCCCCCAGTTCTCCAAGCTAACAACATGTGAATTATCCTCAATTCTTTCTTCTCCCTCACCTTCCAAAACAATTACCCAATTTGTCATCAAGACCTCTTGAGTCTACCTGAGGAACGTTCCAAATGCAGTCCAACTCTCCAACTCCACTATCATTCAATTCCTCATCCTACATCATCTGCCACTTGAGAACTGCAGCATTCTCCAAACTAGGATCTCACCACAGGCTCTCCTACTCCAATCTGTCTTACAACCTTAGCTGGAGTTACCTGCCCCAAAACAAACACTGTTCCTTTTCTTAAACATTTTTTGGCCAGGCACGGTAGCTCCCACCTTTAATCCCAGCACTTCGGAAGGCCGAGGCGGGCAGATCACAAGGTCAAGAGATCAAGACCATCGTGGCCAACATGGTGAAACTCTGTCTTTACTAAAAATACAAAAATTAGCCAGGCATGGTGGTGCGCCCCTGTAGTCCCAGCTACTCGGGAGACTGGGGCAGGAGAATCCGCTGAACCCGGAAGGCGGAGGTTGCAGTGAGCCCAGATCGCGCCACTGCATTCCAGCCTGGTGACAGAGTAAGACTCTGCTTCAAAAACAAAAACAAACAAACAAAAAACCACATTTCTTCAACCGCTTCCCATTGCCTACAAAAGGATATATACAAGGTCCTGCACAGTCTGGTCCCAAACATACCTTGACAAGTACAAACACAGCTCTGGTTTTTGGTTTTGCTTTCTTTTGGGGTTTTTTTTTTTTTGGTTTTGTGTTTGTTTGTTTTGCCAGATACCATACCCTGCCTGGCTGCTTGGCAAATACCCATTAATCCATTATTCAATACTCAACTAAAATGTTACCCCTTCTGTGAAGCTCTCTCCTATTCCCTGCACAACAGCACATTTCCCTCCTCTAAGCTCCTATAACATTTGTTATACTTCTGTCACAGCACTGAAAAACATGATCTGTTATCATTTGCATAGCTTCCTTGGTCACTACTGAAAGGACCATGACTTAGTTATTTTCGGATACTCTATGCTTAGTAGAGGGCCTACAACAGAAATGCACTCAATAAATAACTTGAATAAATGAATGAATAGCATTGTCACAAAGAGCTTTCTTACACGGCCCTGAAATGGATTCCCTGGCATAGGTTCTACCTACTGTTACTGGTTCTGCTTGAGATCACAGAGAACATAACCTACTCTTGTTCACATGGATGCCTTCTGATTTGAAAGCAGACATCAAGTCCTTCTGGGTCTTTCTTCTCCCAGACAAGCATGAGTAGGTCTTTCAGCTTTTGTCACATATCACAAGCTCACATCTCTTTAACACCTGGTCATGCTTCTTCTGAATTCATCCTAGATTATTTATATCCCTTTAGAACGGTGGCACCTAAAACCAAGTGAATATTAATTCCTTTGTTGTAGTCACAACTCTTCAAGTAATCTAACCTAAAAGAGAATTAAGATTTGGGGGTTTACACTAACTGTTGGTTCATACTGCGCTCACTATGGACTGAAAATTACTTTTAAATGTTTTAAATAAGATTTGTTTGCTTTCATTATGAGTATAATGCTCATTCATATTTTTGTAAGCTAAAAATAGGAAGAAAAACAAATCTCATTAACCAAAGACATCTAAACCACTGCATATATTTTGGTAAATTAGTATTTTAATGCAAAGGGGGTTGTGTTTTACACTCCTCCAACCATATGATATATTCACAATTTATACATATTGCAACATATAATATTTTTAAGTATTTCTAGTTGACAGTAACTGCCATTTTTACCTATTAACCATATGCTATTCTAACAACAATCCTGCAAGTGTATTTGTGATTTAGAGAAGAGCATACTGAAGCTTAGGAAAATTAAGTGACTTGCTCAAGGCCATGTGTTATTTTTCCCTCAGTTTATCAGTAAGGAATGTTAAAGAGCACATATAGGGCATAGTTTGCTGAATTTGGACACATGGATAGTCCTAACCCCCTTAGAGATCAATACATAGAATATTTCCATCACACCAGAGGGTTCTCTTCTGCTCATTCCCAGTTAATTCTCCCACCCAGGGGTAACCACTATTCTGCCTTCTATGACGATCAGTCACTAATCAATTTGCCTACTCTTCCATCAAATCAGTGGAATCATTTAGTATGTACTCTTTTGGTCTATCTTCCTTTGTTCAACATAGTGTTAGTGAGAATCATTCATGTTGTTGTGTGTGTCACTAATTTGTTATTTCATTATCACCATACAGTATTCTATATAGGAATATACCACAATTTAATTACATTAACTATTATAGTTACATAATGACATCATATAATTATATTAATTATTACATTAGATTATACCACGGTTAAGCCATTCTCCTGTTTATGAACATTTGGATTATTTTCAGTTTTGGTTTAGTTTGAATGAAGCTACTCTTTTTACACTTTTAAAAGTCTCTTGGTAGACATGAATTCTTCTCCTGAGTATATACCTAGGAGTTAAATCGCTAGGTCATAGGATAGGTATAGAGTTAGCCTGAGGAGATACTGCCAGTTTTCCAAAGTGGCTGAAGTAATTTACATGTTTCCCAGCAATGTGTAAGAGTTCCAGTTGCTTCATATCCTCACCAATATTTTTTTCCTTTTTTTTAAATGGTTCATTCTGAATCCTCACCAATATTTGATTTTTGTCAGTTTTTAAAATTTTAGCCATTCTGATGAGTGTGTAATATTATCTCATTGTAGTTTTAGCTCCCATTTTCTTGATGTGCAATGATGTTGTGGACTTTTTAAATGTTTATTGATCATTTGGTTATCTTCTTTTCAAAGTGCCTGCCTTTTCTTTTTTTTTTTTTAACTGGGCTGTTTGTCTTTTTTTTTCTTTTGGTAGTTCTTTAAATGTTCTAGCTATGAGTGCTTTGTCAAATCTTATATTATATAGGACCATAATATATAATAAAAATCTTTTCCCAGACTGTGGCTCATGTTCATTGTTAATGGCTATGCATTACTCAATTAGATCTAACCACCGTTTAATGATTCTCTTACTGCTGGACATTTAGATTATTTTCTTTCTTTCTTTTTGCATCCCTAGGTGGGCACAAATAGACTATTTCTAATTTTTGCTTTAATTAAACACTGATAACCAAAATTTAAAGCTTTATTTGTATCTAAAATCTTTCCTTCATCCATACTCACAGAAGTTGAATTACTGAATTAATGTACACAACCATTTGGTATTGATGCAGACAGAGCCAAACTGGTTCAGAAAAATTCTATCAGTTGATACTGGTGCCCAATAATGCATCATAATACCAACTCACCATGTCCTCACCAACTCTGGCTTTTCCCCTATTTTTTATCAGTCTGATAGGACAAAAAATTTGTATTTCATTGTTTTAATGTTTAACTCAGTGATTACTAGTAAAATCGAAATTACTTTTGTTTAGTCATTTATATTCTCATTTTCATAAACGGTCTTCATTTTGTGTATGCATTTATCAAGTGCTTTTTAGAGTTCTTCTCATTCACTAAGGTATTGTGCTTTTCTTTTCATATAATACTTTACAACATTTTTATTTTTATATTTACTGCAATCATTTCCCAAGATGTAATGTTCTTTGTGCTTTTCAAATTTTTATGTAGTTGGATCGGTGATCACACCCAAGCTTAGAAATATTTTTTCCCTACAATATTCCCCATAAATCTAAGTATTTCCCTATAAATATTCATGTCAAACTATATTCTTAAAATTAAAAAAATTAACTCTTTAATGCCTTAGCAACCTTTTTGGGGGTACTATTAACATACTGGTCTCATCTCTAACTCTTATCTTTTTCCAAATTAATAACCAGCTCTGGCAATACCATTTATCAAATATTCTTTTCCTCTTCAGATTTATGATGCATACCTTATCATTTATTAAATTTTTAGACACGAAATAGTCTGCTTCTGGACTGTCTTTTCAGTTCCATCGATTTGGTCTTAGCCTTATAATTATTTCATTTGACCAATATTTACTAAGCACCTGCATCACGTTAGATTGTAGGGATAAAACAGGGAACGAGACATAGTGACTAGATAGTCACTATTTTTATGGTGCTTGAAGGCTAGTGAGAAGATGGAGACAAGTAAACAGACAGACGGGAAAAGTACAGGCAAGAGCTCAGGCTGGAGAAGTATTAAGGGCGAGATCACACAGGATATTAAAGATCTAAAAAATGAGTTTGCACTTTATCTTGAGAGCAAAGTAAGCCACCGAAGGGCTTCATCGGGGGCAAAGTGTTCAGATAGGCATTTTAGAAAGATCACTTTATCTATAAGAAAATAAAAATAATTTACTAGAGGAAGTCAGGAGTACAGTCAAGGAGCCCACTTAAGGGACTATGAGGAATATTAACAACTGACTCAATACTCTTCTTCAAACTTTTCTATGCTACTTTCACATATTTAGTTTCCACATAAACTTTGAAATTGTTTAGTCAATTTCCCTCCTATACACCCAACTCCAATCCAATTGTGATTTTATTTGGAAGTACACTAAATGCTTAATATATGAAAAATTACAACTTGATTACATATAATTTTCCATAAGGTTTTTAAACAATTGCTATTCAGCCATGTTTCCTTCCATCATATATTTTTGCAAGAATAACATAAGTTGTTAGCAAAACAAAAAACAAGAAAAACAAGCAGAGTAGGAACACCTTAATAGTTTGTCTCAAAGTACAGGAAATGTCAAGAACTAAAGGAAAGCAAAAGCAAAAAGGACTAAGTCTAAGCCAAGAAGGTAGACTAAGCTGTTGGAGAGAACTATATGGACAATTTGTTAATTCAGTGTTAAACAGAGGTATACCTTGGTCCCAAGGAAGAAAGAACCTTATTTTTCCAAGAGCCAAGAAGTGAATAAAGAAAAAACTTCAACCTGAATTCAAAGCAAGCTGGAGCCTTATCAAAATAATTGTAACCTATAGTGGCAGGGCCTAAGAACCAAAGGAGTGGAAAAGACCTGCCAGAGAATTTAAGTGCTTTTAAATTGGGCCAGACTAAGTTAGGAGTAATTGCGTGTGGCTTTAATCAGTTTGAGTTTGGATTCTCTCATACCATAGTGCAGTAAGGCTGTGAACCTGGAAACACTGTGAGCTGGAATATGGACAGCAAGTTGAAGGTAAGGGGCAATTCCAGAGAAAGGCAGAGGATGAAGGGAAGCATGGGGAAGGAAGCTCACCCTATAGGAAGAGATTAATCCTCCTCAACCTCTTCAGTACAAACAAGACAGGACACATAATTCTGTGAGTGGACAAAACAGAGATACTGCTCATATTTTTAGGCCTGTATTTACTCTCAGGATTTTTAATGCATTTTTTCCACAGGGGATTTGTTATTCTGAAAATGGGTTGAGTCTTATTTTGCAACGTGAATAGTGAGATATTTAATACAAGGCAAAATTTAAGAAATTGAAGATCTGACGGTCTGACAAAACTACCAGACACATAATGCCAAAAAGACATAGTTCTCATTCACTTTCCTTTCCAGGGCTGCCATTCAAAGCCGTCTCCTTTTAGAAAGAAAGAATATTTACACAAAAGATCTTGTTTCAATTACAATTTTCTTGTTCCATCTTTTTATGTGGGCAGAGCATAATTCCTTCATTCAGGAGATGTTTACCCCACTGGAGGCACTAGGGCTATAAAGATGAAAAGAGAGATGTAGTTCTTATCCTCCTGGGGTTCATATACAACAGATTATACAGATAAATAATTAGATAATTACAACAAAAAGCCCAGGGTGTTACTGGCGCACACTGGAGAGGATCTGGGGAGTTCAGGAAGCAGCCTGGAGGAAATGGCATCTAAAGGAAGGTTGCAAGGGTATCTCATACGACCCAAGGGTTAGGACCAAGATAATTAGAACCAGATTCTGGAACAGAGCTTTTCTCAACGTGGGAGTGATTTACAAGTATGACCTCTCAGAACACTGCAGAGTACAGCTTTTTACCTG
The DNA here is from genome assembly GCF_000001405.40 of Homo sapiens. Lineage (NCBI taxonomy): Eukaryota > Metazoa > Chordata > Mammalia > Primates > Hominidae > Homo > Homo sapiens. The sequence continues at coordinate 32,840,413 of NC_000017.11, forward strand.
GGTTCAGATTACAGGTGTGTCCGCCAGCCATAAGCACAGCCTTGTCCATCTCCTTCAATGGGCAGTATTTATATTACCATTTGCTATGTGTGTCATGACATAAAAAAGGTTAGGAATCACTGCTTGTAAAGAACTAAGGAAATGTTTTTGCCTTTTGGCTATAATTCATTCTTATTCTCTCCCTCTCTTACTCTCTCGTCTTTCTTTCCCCTCATTCTTCTCTACTCTTTTCTACTCTTCAACCCTCAGAACTTGACTCCCAACAATTCCAAAACATACACATTCTGAATTTCAGCCACCAAAACAGAGAGAAAGATGATTTCATTTCAAATATAAAGTCCTGGGGAAGAACTGTGGTTGGTCCAGCTTGAGTCAGATGCCCATCCTTGGACAAATCAACAGTGACCAAAAGGCAGGAATGTCTTGTGCAGATGATCCCTAACTTATGATGGTTTGATTTTTTTGACTTCATAATGGTGCAAAAGTGATACACATTCAGTAAAGACCATACTTCAAGTACCCATAAAACCATTCTGTTTTTCATTTTCAGAATGGTATTCGATAAATTACAGGAGATATTTAACACTTCAGTATAAAATAGGCTTTATGTTAGATGATTTTGACCAACTGTAGGCTAATGCAAATGTTCTAAACATGTTCAAGGTAGGCTAGGCTGAGCTACGATGTTTGGTAGGTTAAGTGTATTAAATACCTTTTTGACTTACAATAGTTTCAACTTATGATGGGTTTATCAGGCTGTAACCCCATTGTAGGCCAGGCACAGTGGTTCACACCTATAATTCCAGAGCTTTGGGAGACCTAGGCAGACAGATGACTTGAGCCCAGGAGTTCAAGACCAGCCTGGGTAACATGGCAAAAATCCCACCTTTACAAAAAATAGAAAAAATTAGCCAGGCACGGTTGCATGCTGTAGTCCCAGCTACTCAGGAAGCTGAGGTGAGAGAATCACTTGAGCCTGGGGAGGTCAAGACTGCAGTGAGCTATGGTTGTGCCACTGCACTCCAGTTTGGGTGACAGAGTGAGACCCTGTCTCAAAAAAAAAAAAAATACACAACCCCTTTGCAAGTCAAGAAGCATCTGCATTTAAATTGTAGCTCCCAGAGTTACCATCTGGCTGGATTGGAGAAAAGGGCACTATTCAGATAAAATAATAGGTGTCTACTACAAAGTTTGGATGCTGAAGGGAAGCATCTGGGAGACAGGACAAGGATGAAGATTCAAAAGAGTAAAAAGATAATTTCAGAGATCAATGTCCCTGTGAGGGTGAAAAAAGACAGGACTCACGATAGGGTAGGCAGAATTAGCCTAATAGAGGAGGATAAGCCCCCATCTCCTATTGCAACAGGAAGGAAGGAAGAAAGAATGGATAAAGATGCGGTCTTTAGATGTGCCAGAGGAAGTGGGAGTTCAGGTCTGCAGGGTATTTCTCTGGGAAGCAGGAAGGTGATGCAGGAGACAGGGAGTAGGCTAGTAATAAAAGATTAGTGAAAAGGCTAAGAAAGAGACATTACACAAAATAAGAGAGAGAGAGAGCAGTCTAGGGAAGCACAGAAGTAACGTCCATAAATTTGAAGATCTGAGTGAGATTAGCAATTATACATTTATTTGTACCCATCTGTGCAGTAGTAGTATTTTCTCCAGCAAGTCTCGGCAGCCCCAATATTGGATCTGTAGGGACAAATTAAGATGAGCCATTTGATAGTTCCAGGACTGGGGTTTTGCCAGGTGACGGTCCCTGAAGGTCAGCGGAACAAGGCAGTTTAAGACTGGGAAGACAGGGATACAATGGAGCTTGGACTGAGAGTTGTGGGTCTGAAGGAAGAAGAAGCAGTATGAGAACAATAAAATAGAATGGCATTCTGGGAGATAACCAAGAACACAGGGGATGTGAAGCGTAAGTTACTGCAAGGTTTCCGAGACAGTTAATCCCAGCAGTGCCCAGGTGGACAGGGGTCACTTAGGACTCTTAGGAGTTGGCTGCACACTGGATTAATGGGGTTTCTGATATTTTTCTTGATTAGAAATATGCAGTTATTCCTCAAAGTCTTTATATGTAGATACTTTATACACTTTAAGGGGCTCTCTTTCGCTCTCTTTCTCTTTCTCTCCCCCACTCCTCATCTGTTCCTATAAAATGCCTGCATTCTTTCTCAGCAAAGGTGATCTACCCCAACCAGACAAAGCTGTGTGCCATTTCCAAGATGTTGCTGGCACTCGAACTTTCACTCAAGGTGTCTTACATACCTTCTCCTCACTCTCATTCAGAATGTGCTTCCACATTCTATGCGCTCAGACTTCAAAATCTCACCAACTTCAACATCCAGGTAAGTATCCAATTTCTTCTAGGAAAGTCTCTAAGATTCTACCTAACCCAAATCACTATTTCTTTCAATACACAAGTTTTTCGTACTCAACACAGTTATACTGTCATTTGTTTTATTTCTATTTCTTTCTTTTTTTTTTTTTTTTTTTTGAGATGGAGTCTCGCTCTGTAGCCCAGGCTGGAGTGCAGTGGCACGATCTCAGCTCACTGCAACCTCTGCCTCCTGGGTTCAAGCAATTCTCCTGTCTCAGCCTCCCAAGTAGCTGGGACTACAGGCACCCGCCACCATGGGCCAGCTAATTTTTGTATTTTTAGTAGAGACAGGGTTTCATCATATTGGTCAGGCTGGTCTCGAACTCCTGACCTCAAGTGATCCGCCCGCCTCGGCCTCCCAAAGTGCTGGGATTACAGGCATGAGCCACCATGCCCAGTCTACGTCTATTTCTCTTTAAGGACAGGAATTCCTCTTAAATTCAAGTTTTAAGCCAAAATATGTGTGAGTGTAGCTGGAGCCTAAGAAAGACTATTGACTTAAAGTACACAGCCAGCCAAACATGCAGACAACCATCTTTTTATTCTAAAGCTTACATACCACACTGAGTATCCATAAAGAACAAACTCCGACGACTAAGGAAAAAATAGAGAAGTGTGCTTATACAAAATGTATTCAAAGCTGCACAATAACCTGCCAAATTAGTAATGGAATGTCAAATGAATCAAATGGAAAGCATAATACTGACTACTAGCCTTATGTTTATTAGTCACTAAATCATCATGTATTCTATCTGGCATGCTAAGAAAATCCAAAGTCACCAAGCTTTATTTTCCCCTATCTTAAGGAGAATAGAAGAGATGGAAATAAAGGAGGCAAGAATGGTTTACAGATCCAGCTGAAACCGAATGGAAGGAAAGGCAGTGGATTTCATCAAGATCCTACAGACAAGGTGTAAGATCTGTAATTTCGAAAGGACATATACACAAACTCATTCAGCCACATTCCAGTCTAGAATTAACATGAAGAAAATCTATTAACAATGGTAAAGCTTTTTTCCTCTCCAAATGAATATGGCAATACCCATTCTGGAGAACTCTTATTCTCTGTTGAAATAACACCACTTTTCTATATGGCCATCTAGCAATAAATATAAAAATGGTTAATTTGCATACATTTGACTTCTTGACTTCTTATTTTACTTCTAGGAATCTATATTAAGAAAAAAGATAAATATATTTTATATATACACATATACACACACACACATATATATACACATACATACACACACAAGGATATTTATCAGCATAATGATAACCTTATTAACAAAAAACTAGTATCAGCTCACCAGTAAATTTATTAAATATTCTATTATATGTAACACAACAAGTAACATATAAATACATGTATAAAACATATACTGATAAGTGACAAAAGCAAGTTTAAGAACAGTATTAGGCTGTTCTTAATATGTATATATCATGTATGTGTATATATAATATATAATATGTATATATCATATATGATATATATATCATATGTATATATTATAATATGCATATGTATATATTATATAATATGTATATGTATATATTATATGTGTATATATATTATATATAGTATATATGTGTATATATACTATATATAATATGTATATATGTGTATATATACTATATATAATATGTATATATATAATATGTGGCTCATAACTGTAATCCTAGCACTTTGAGAGGCTGAGACAGGAGGATCACTTGAGGTCAGGAGTTCAGACCAGCCTGGGGAACATAGCAAGACTATGTCTCTGTAAAACATCTTCTAAAAATTAGCTGGGCATGGTGGCACATGCCTGTTGTCCCAGTTACTACAGAGTTACTAAGGCAGGAGGATTGGTTGAGCCCAGGAACTTGAGGCTGCAGTGAGCTATGATCACGCCACTGCACTCCAGCCTGGATGACAGGGCAAGACCCTATCTCTAAAAAAACAATGTATAATGTAATATAGTTTTATAAAAATAAATTTTAAAGTAATACTGATGTGCATGTACCATATAATAATGTCAAATGGGGTATGACTTCTGGGAGACTTTCTCTTTATAAATCTTGTGTTTATGAAACACTTGAGTTAGGAATTTTGTATAACTTTGTATTATATTCATAATTAGAAATGTATAGATATTTTAAAGTAGATGTATATCTATTGACACGTAAAATGTCAACAGTACACCTTTTAAATGAAAAAAATGCAGCTTAAGGCAACATATTCACGTTTCTAAAAAGTTACACACATACCAAAGGAAAAAAAAAAAATCTGGAAGGCTACACCAAAACATTGTCGATGGCTATTCTGGGTGGTGAGATTTTTGTGTGATTTTTGCTTTCCTCTTTGTAACTTTCTATTTTGACTCCCTTTTTAAAAAAATTAAGACCACATACTATTTTTATAAATGAAGTTTTCACTTAAAAACTTCGTCTTCAATTTTCACTAGTAAACCTTTTTAATAACTAAAAAGGTTCAACAATACTGACTTTAATTATGCTTCCTCTCCCTATTCACTCAATAGCCTCTAGGTTTACCCCTGCCTAAAGAATCAGCAGTAGAACAGGAGAAGTAATAGGACTGAGATTATCAACAAAAAGTGGTTGGTTTCAGCTTTGCTACGAAAAAAAGATAGAGTGCCATAATATTGATAATGTCATTTTATATTTTCAACTGATGATTTCCAAAGAGGTTTTACAACTACAATCATATTTGGTTCTCAAGTCTATGAAGATGGCAGGGAAGTATAATTCCCCCTTATAAGATAAACAGTCTCAGTTAGAAGAGGTAGAGGGATGTATCCAGGTTCTTGACTTGGGGAGTGACAGCGTTGTCCTGCATAGTTCAATACAGTAGCCACGAGCCACATGTGGCTATTAAACTTAAATTAAAGGGAAATAAAAATGCAGTTCCTCAGTTGCACTGGCCACATTTTAAGGGCCCAATTGCCACAGGTGGCTCGTGGCTACTGCTTTGGATAGTACGGTACAGAATATTTCCATCATCACAGAACTGATGTGATTCCCACTCCAAGGACATTTTCCACTCCTGTGGTGGCTTTCTACACCCTTGCTTTGCCCACTTAAAGTAAAGGAAAATATTATTTGAGCATCTTACTCTGAATGGTACGAGCTTCTGAAATACTGTAGAGGAAAAAAAAAAAACTGCTGAATTCATAATACAAAGATGGCTAGGGTAGCCAGAGAGTGGTGAGTAGTGGGAGAAGGTACAACGAAAGCCTGAAGGGTGATAGAGTGAACTCTGAGGGTTGCCTACTTAGCACCTATTCCCTCTCTTCTTCCTTTTAATAGGACTAAGATTTTATTTTGGTATCTACCCCTACCCAACATGGGCTTTGTCCCACAGAGTTCAGGAACAGGCCTGCAATGCAATTTGGGCTTCGTCACACAAGACAAAAAGTTAGCTGATAAGAGTAACACCTTTTGAGGCTTTGGTCTTAACCTCTGAAAGGCCAAACAGCAGAATACCTACTTCAACATTATCTCAGGCATTAACCAAAAAGTGTATGTGTATCATGTGATCACACACAGGACTATTAATAGTTATAGCTCATCAGCATAACAGAGTCCACAATATGAGCCAAGCACATCACTCTGTTTTACTAATATGTGTAGTATTTCTATTAGCTTTATTAATATGTGTACAGGTGAGTATCTAGGTACATTCTGAGGTTAAAAAAATCTAATTTTGTGCTTTGTGTTTTGAAATCTACAATCTGAAATAGAAATACATTCTTGCAAAAGTAAATTACAGTAATAATTAAATAAAAAGGGAAGCAGACTGATAATACAAACATTAACAAGCACATTATCTAAGTAGACTTTGTGGAGAACATTACTCCTTTTGTAGACAAACATTTATAAAAATTTAAACAATCAAGACAGGTCAGGCACAGGAGTGATAACTGATGCCTGTAATCCCAGCACTTTGGGAAGCCGAGGCAGGAAGACTGCTTGAGGCCAGGACTTTGAGACCAGCCTGGGCAACATAGCTGCCCAGCTAAATTTTTTTAAACAAAAAATTTAAAAATTAGCCAGGTGTAGTGGTCTGTGCCTGAAGTTCAAGCTACTCGGGAGGCTGAGGTAAGAGGAATGCTTGAGCCCAGGAGATTGAGGCTGCAGTAAGCTATGATCACACCACTGAACTCCAGCCTGGGGAACAGAACGAGACCCTGTTTCAAACAAACAAACAAATAAGTAAATAAGACAGAATAGGGAGATTAGATGATAGCACAATTCTCCTCTTTATAGAATTTACAGAATCATAACATTAAACAAAACAACCATTTAAAAACTATACCTGAATTTAGTAATTTAATTCCATGTAGCCCATGAGTCTTTTAAGAAAAATCCTAATTTGGGAATTCTTCATACATGGCATGAATGAGTTAGATACAGAATGTCAACGATGCCAAACTTTTATAGAATGGAACATCAGTACCAAAAACTATCATGCAATTTTCAATGGAACAAACATGGTGAAAGTTACGAGTGATTTTGGAATCACAAGCATATATATGCTGCTTTGTTCACATACTTCAGAGAATAATTATAGCCCAGAGAAAAGAAACTAAATCACTGGCCCTAAGCAGAAAGACAGTGGCCACTTGCCATTTTTTTCTCAGCTAAAGACAAACTGCAGGACATATCTTGGAACTTTGGAACTGTCTCATCAGGGACTCACAAAAATGTCCCAATGGGATAGAATAGTTATTACTATTATTTTGAGACTGAGTCTCACTCTGTCACTAGGCTGGAGTGCAGTGGCACAATCTCAGCTCATTGCAATCTCCACCTCTGGGGTTCAAGCAATTCTTGTGCCTCAGCCTCCCAAGTAGTTGGGATTACAGGCATGCCCCATCACGCCTGGCTAATTTTTGTATTTTTAGTAGAGACAGGGTTTTGCCATGTTGCCCAGGCTGATCTCCAACTCCTGGGCTCAAGCAATCCACCTGCCTCAGCCTCCCAAAATGCTGAGATTACAGTCATGAGCCACCATGCCTAGCCAGAATAGTTATTATTAATACATGTTAAAAACATGGCTCAAACCAAAGAAAGCTTAATATTGTCCTCAGCACACAACAGTACCTATACAGTAGAATAAGAACCAAAGATTGTTTATACAAAAATTAATTCACTGCTGAAAAAGGCACTAACTGAGAAGCCGTAAAGTACAAGTATTTCCTACAGGGTACCTGCTATGTACAAGCTTCTGTCATTCTGTTTCAGAGAAGATGCTGAAATGAATACACATGAATGAAAGTGTGCAGTGTGTACTATGAAAAATGGGCCTCTCTCCGTTCTAGTTAGTTAATTTATTTCAGATTAAATGAGATTTAAGATATGACTCCTGGACCAGGAAAAATGCTATAAAACATATGATTAGGGCAATTGTAAAATCTAAATATGGACTTTGGTACAAGATTATTATCTACCCCATGTAAAATTTCCTGCTTTTCATAACTATGCTGTGGTTATGTAGGAGACCCTCCTTGTTCTTAGGAAATTCACATCGAAGAATTAGGGGAAAGGGGCAGGATGTCTGCAACTTACTCTCAAATATTGGTAAGTGAGTGATAAGGCAAATGTCAAACAATTGATGAATCTGGGTGAAAAGTACATGGGAGTTCCTGTAACTTTTCTGAAATTTTAAATCATGTCAAAGTAAAACATTACCAAAACATTAATTCTTTACATTTCCTTATGAAAACAAGTAGTTCTGTGGTAGTCAAGTCTCAGAATGATCAAGAAGACTAAATGTTTTGTATGTTACAGAGGCCATTAGTGGGCTTGAGGAGTTGCCATACTCTGTCCTTAGCTCTCTGTTGCTTACACTGGATTTAAAACGGATTCACTCCTTAAAGTGGAAATACTCTTGTTTCTGTGGGGTATCAGTCCCTGATGACTTCCAGCTTGAATTACTGGTGCCGTTGCTACCTAACCACAGTCCCCCGTCCCACACCCTTCTTGCCATAGTAGGTAGCTGGGCTCATTCAGTGCAGTAGTCCCATGTCTCATATTTGTTCCTTAAAGTACATGCTTTAAGAGAATAAGCCACATTGTAATAAAGGGGCTCCTAGATGACCATTTCATAGACACTGCCAAGTTCCCTAACATTCTTACGTACCTGTGCAAAGTTACATAAACATATATTATTAAGTATAAGAAGAAATAAATTGTTAGAAATAAACATGTAGTAAGACATGTAAAACTGGAACACAAAATCCCTTAAAAATTAAGTGTTTTCCATGAAAAAATGCTCATCATCACTGGCCATCAGAGAAATGCAAATCAAAACCACTATGAGATATCATCTCACACCAGTTAGAATGGCAATCATTAAAAAGTCAGGAAACAACAGGTGCTGGAGAGGATGTGGAGAAATAGGAACACTTTTACACTGTTGGTGGGACTATAAACTAGTTCAACCATTATGGAAGTCAGTGTGGCCATTCCTCAGGGATCTAGAACTAGAAATACCATTTGACCCAGCCATCCCATTACTGGGTATATACCCAAAGGACTATAAATCATGCTGCTATAAAGACACATGCACACGTATGTTTATTGCAGCATTATTCACAATAGCAAAGACTTGGAACCAACCCAAATGTCCAACAATGATAGACTGGATTAAGAAAATGTGGCACATATACACCATGGAATACTATGCAGCCATAAAAAAGGATGAGTTCATGTCCTTTGTAGGGACATGGATGAAACTGGAAATCATCATTCTCAGTAAACTATCGCAAGAACAAAAAACCAAACACCACATATTCTCACATAGGTGGGAATTGAACAATGAGATCACATGGACACAGGAAGGGGAATATCACACTCTGGGGACTGTTGTGGGGTGGGGGGAGAGGGGAGGGATAGCATTGGGAGATATACCTAATGCTAGATGACGAGTTAGTGGGTGCAGCACGCCAGCATGGCACATGTATACATATGTAACTAACCTGCACAATGTGCACATGTACCCTAAAACTTAAAGTATAATAAAAAAAAATTAAGTGTTTTCATCTTACAGCTGTAAAAATAAGTTTGAAGCCCAAATTGTGGACTTTTGTGTCCCTTCTACAGTTTAAAACAAAACACGGAAGGAAATACACTTCACTATCATGACATGTAATCCACAAATTACATGTCTAACCCTTGAGCTTCTTTTAGAAACTCTCCTCACTAATTTGCCTGTGTTTTTGAATAGCAAGTAATATGTTTTCAATCATGAAAGGTTACAGGGAAATTTTTGTGGTAAAAACTGGCCTTCCACTGGCATAAAAATCATCAGTCTTACTGCAATCCTTTGGGAAATAACTTTTTTTTTCCATTATTGTCAAGCAACTTTCAAACCAGTTTAATAGCTACTGTTCTTGAGATGGCTCTTTACATCCTTTAAAACTGATGTCACTCAAGACCATGTAAGAGAAAACAATGATGGTAAGTTTCATAAAGGAGTTATTTCTTTACAATATTTTGAGAGAGAATCAAACTATGTGAAGTTTTAAAAATAACAATTATCCACTGATACTTAAATGGACAATTGCCCATCCTCCAACACATCACACACTCAGACCTGAACTACTGCACTACTCTTTCACCATGGGTACAACAATCCTATCAAAGAATGCAGCCACTTTATTTTGAAATAAAATTGTATTTGATATTAATTTTTTAAAAGTATTCTTCAGGAAAAAATGTCTGAGCAGTATAAAAACTAAGTGACTTTTGTAAGTGCTCTATTTACCTCTCTTTCATTGTTTCTCTATAATTCCTCTGATTAAACACTGCTCCACTTTGTAATATGAAGTAATTTTGCACAGGAATAACACAGTAGAGTAATGCTGTCTGATTTTCTTTCTTCTCCCTAACTCACTCTTATGTACCCTGTTTTTTGTTTGTTTGAGATACACCATATAAGGACATACCAAGTTTTCTAAAATTTAACTACAAGCATTAGTGAATTTGAGGGGAATGGAGTCTTATCAAGGCTTGGATTGGGCTTGATCACCAACTTACCATGGGAGTCAATCTCTGTCTCTTTTTTCTCATTTATGAGAGAATAAACCTCCCTGTACCTACTTTAAATTTTAGTTAAGAATACTTATGAAAACTTTTTTTTTTTCAGATGACCAACTGTTTACTTCATTTCTCCCCTGCACCTAGGCTGCCAAGTACTATGAAAAACAACAACAACAACAACAACAAAAACTCAGGTTGACCAATTGGAAACTCTATAAATCCATGGAGTTCAACATCAGGAGGACCTTTGGCATTGTCTGGTGATCCTTGTACTTGTCCTTCAACAGCTCCCAAATCAGAAGGTAAACCTATTCACTCTCACCTCAAGTCGATGTTTCTACCATTCCCCCCACTCTCAGCCAACATCTTGCCTTCTATTTCACAAAGCAAAATAAAATCCAATAGACAGAAACAACTCTGACTTCCTGCCACTTTACCTACATCCACCCTAATCCTGACCACCTTTTTTCCTGAGCCTGAAAAAGAGGGAGCCCCAGAGCTCTGGAACCCATCCTCTCTCACTTCCTCAAGCATCTTGTTCCATCAATGATCAACTCCAATTCCCACAGACATGCCTAAGACTCTTCACCTTTAAAAACAAACAACACAATATTTTCCACCAGTTCTGCAGCCCTTCTATCAAATAGTCCATATCCACCTCATCTACTCCTCAGCTCAATGCAACCTGGCTAACTCCCTACCATTCTACCAAGGCTTCCCATCACCAAACTCAATGGTCTCCTCCATTCTTTGCTTCTGTGATCTCTCTACAGCAGTGGTCCCCAACCTTTTGTGCACCAGGAACAGGTTCTGTGGAAGACCATTTTTCCATGGACCCAGGGGGGTGGTTTCAGGGTGAAACTGTTCCACCTCAGATCATCAGGCATTAGAGTCTCATAAGGAGTGTGCACTCATAAGGAGTGTGCACACGCACAGTTCGCAATAGGGTTTGCACTCCTCTGAAAATCTAATGCTGCTCATCTGTCAGGAGGTGGAGCTCAGGCTGTAATGCTTGCTGGCCCGCTGCTCACCTCCTGATGTGCAGCCCAGCCCGGTTCCTAACAGACCACCGTACCGGTCAGGGGCCTGGGGGTTGGGACCCCTGATCTACAGCATTTACTACTGCTGTTGTTTCCTTCTAGAAATTCTCTCCTCTGTTAGTTTCTCTCGTACCATTACTTTCTAGTTTATTTCTTTTATTGACTCTTCTTCCCCTAAAACCTTCAAATGTTAGAACTGTCTGCCAGTGGAAGTAGAAATTGATATGACCATTTTGAAAAACACTTGATGAAATGTAAAGTTTTTTTTGTTGTTTTTTGAGACAGGGTCTCACTCTGTCACCCAGGCTGGTATGATCTCAGCTCACTGCAACCTCTGCCTCCCAGGTTCCAGAGATTCTCTCACCTCAGTCTCCCCAGTAGCTGGGACTACGGGCACATGCTACCACACCTGGCTAGTTTTTGTATATTTTGGTAGAGACGGGGTTTCACCATGTTGACCAGGCTGGTCTCGAACTCCTGACCTCAGGTGATCCACCCACCTCGGCCTCCCAAAGTGCTGGGATTACAGGCATGACCACTGTGCCTGGCCAAAATGTAAAGTTTTACATTTGTTTATGTCTTGTAGCCAAGTTATTCTACTTCTAGGAATCCATACCAAGAAGAATTGTGATCTTAGAAAATAATTCTCATACAGACATATTAAATGCAATGTTACTTATAATACTAATATGCTACTATGCTTGAATTAATGGTAAATAGGGTGCAAAATTGTCTGTAGAATGTCGTCTCAACTATGTGGCAAATACATGCATAGTTTTTTCCTAACAGTGACTTTCTTGGGGAATGAGAATTGAATTATGGGTGAATATTATTATCTTATTGTCTTTATATATTTCTATATTTTTCAATTTTTCTACAAGAATCATGTATTTATAAATTTAGATAAAAAAAGAAACAATTTTGAGAAACAAACCAGAGGTCCAAAAGACCTTTTTGTGAAAGATGGTATTTACCTTCACTTCTCACTGTATACATTCTCTAATAAGGTAATCTCATATACTTCAAAAGCATCAAATGTCATCATATACAGATGACTGTAACACCTATGTCCTGACTACACACCACTCTAATCTGCTTCAAAACTGTACAGTCCAGTACTTCCATCTGGCTACTAGACAATTCCATGTGATGACTCGCAAGAACAATAGCCTCAGCCTGTTATCTTACCTTCTAACCCACACTCCAAATTTTCTTTCCTCTTGCATCTCTACTCTTTGTAAACAGCACCATCGAAATCAAATACCAAAGCCAATCAATTCTACCTTCTCAACAGATATGAAAACCACGCCTCTGTGTCTCTCTTCCCACTTTCTCACTAGTCTCACTTGGACTCTTTCAACAATTTCCTAAATGTTCTCTCTACTTCCAGCTTCAGTCATGTGATTATATATCTCCTTCATTAACACCACAGTCTTCTAAAATGTAAATCTGATCAAGTCATTTCCCTAATTAAAATCCTTCAATGGCTCCCCATCACCACATAATAAAAAATCTTTAGCATAGGATTTGATGAATTTATTCTTATTCTATGGCCAACTTGCCAACTTCCTGCTCACACTTTAGTTCAAACATCTCCTTTGAAGCTTCCGTTTACCTCCCAGAAATAGTTGGATGCATCCTCCTCTGAGTTCCTGGGGCATGCCATCCATATCTCCATCACAGCATGGATTACACTGCTGTAATTATTTCCATGTCTGTCTTTCCCTATAGACCTGGATTACACAGGGGCAAGGGAAGGATTCTATTCATTTTTGTATCTCTAAAACCTAGCATATAGTTGATGGATAATTAACTGCTAATTGCTTAAATGAATGATTTGGCTCACAAACGAACAAAAAGTACATGATGGATTAACAAATTATGGATCTTTTTTTCCACACTTCTGAACCAATGCTCTAGAATCAATATATGCAAGATGGCAAATTTACCCAATAAATTTGTCAATAAATTATTGAAACAAACAGTAAATTCAACATTAGGAAGCATGGTATCTGCTTCAAGTTCAAACAACTGTCTCGCAGTGATATTTAAAGTACGCACATTTTAAACTTAATTATTAGAATCTTCCCCCAACCTCTTATTTCCTCTTTCTCAGGAATACACTTGAAAGTCACCTTTCATAGCTACTGATTTCAAATATAGGCAAAAATTATCTTAGTTTCCTAAAAACAGAATGAAAATTCAAATACTTTTTTTACTAGCAATATCAACAACTTCAGCATACTGGAATCAGTCCAAACTAAAGAAAAATAAAATCTCCTTTTCACTCCACGGAAAGTTTCTTTTACATTAATTGCAAGCATAGGCAATAGGTAACCCTTGGGAATTTTAGCTTATTAATCAGAATCATCATTAAGATCTAACTCATAAGAGCTTACATGAAGGAATAAAAATGGATCCTGGCAGAGTAGACTAGTAAAAATTTATGAAACTCTGAAAAACAGATCTCTTCCTTACTTAGCCATTCAGAATTCCTCACAAATGAGTCACCTTCCTCCAAGAAAAGCAAAGTTCCACCTGAAATAAACCTGAATGTGAAAAGCTTGCACATCTAAAGGAATCAACTTCAGTTCTTCTCTGGGCTAAAGGGAGAAATCATTGGCGAAGCCAATGGCAAACAACAAATAAGAAATAATTCTTGCTTCACTTTGGGATACATTATACACTTTATGCAGTGGTGACAGATTTAATTTTATTTAACAAGCTAACATCAGAATTAGTTTGTACTCCCTGTACACAGACCAACTGGGCCAGGTTAACACAGTAAAAACATTTATGGAAGTAAAAACATCCCATAAATGTGAAATTCTTGAAAGGCATCTGAGACTCAAAATAAAATTAGAAAGTGATTTGAGAAGTAATAAACACAGGGTAAAGGTTGAATAGGCACAATAAAGTCCGTAACTATAGCTACAGAATACATGAATTGAAAGTAGAGAGCTGGAAGTAGAGTTTCCTGGAATGAGGGAACTGGATGAATCTGCACGCTTTAACTGTGGTCCCTATGAAGATGCCAACATATGATATACAAATGTGTATGTGTACATGTGTGAGTGTAGCTTCACTCACACACGCACACATCCCATATTTGGCAGTTACTCTTGCAGTCTCTGCAAATCCACGAAGTCATGACACACCTTCAACTAACAATAAAATTGTTGGTTCCATCCCCATTGGCTGCAATGAGGTTTATGATGCCATATGTAAGGTCAAAGGATTGCTACAAACCTTTAATTGCTTGCTGATTTTTGTACTGTTTCCTCCATGATTTCCTTGAGGACTCCTTGTGGCCTTTTTTAAAAACACACTTTTATTGAAGTATAACATTCATACATAAGAATGTACACATCTTTAGTACACGTAACCACTGCCTGTGCCAAGACTGTTCCCGGCACCCCCAGATACCCTCCTTTAGTCTCCTCCTAATTACTGTCCCCTCTCTCTTCTCCAAAAATAACTATTATCCTGACTTCTTACACCATAGATTAGTGTTGCTTGTTTTTGAATTCTATATAAATGAAAGCATAGAGTACGTATTGTTTTCTGTCTGGCTTCTTTTGCTCAATGTTATGATTGTGAGATTAATTCATGCTGATGTATGTAGCTGTAATTCATTCACCTTTGTTGTCATCTAGCATTCTATTGTATGAATACAATTTATTTTTCCATCCCACTGTTGATGGACATTTGTGTTTTTTCTTAGGTTTCGACTCCTACTCCTACATCTAACATAGTACTTTCCCCCTTTATTTCTACACTGCAGAAGCTGCAGGTCTAGTATTATTTCTTGCATGCCTAATATCATTCATTCACTTAAAAAAATCTTTGGCAACTATTACAAATCAAAATAGGTCTGTAGAAGCCAAAATAAATGGAGAGGAGGTCACAACAGAGTAAACAATACATGTTGTGAAACATACTCATCTCTGGAACGCACAGCACAGGGCTCTTTGGATGAGGTTGTCTGAAGCACTAACTCATGGATCCATGCTATGATAGTCTGTAGGACTAGCTTTCATTGGCTGAGAGTATATAGTCATTCTTATTCCCTTGTTCTTCTTTTACTCTCATTTTTAAGGCAGGCATTTCAGAATGACAGCATTATAATGACGGTACCGAATTTTGCAGCTTTAAACAAAATGTATCTTAGTTGCCATCAATCAGAATGTGCATGCAGATGCTATTCTTGGATGATTTTTTTTTTCTTTTTGAAATAGTATAGACCACACAGCAGCTATACTATGGTCAGTGAGACCACCCTGCCTGGGAACACAAAGACTTCTGTTGTATGAGGGAGAGATATGGACAATTTCCACAAAAAGCATAGGAGCCTTCATCCTCTTCATGTCTGCTGCTCCAGATTCCAGCGCTTCACATCTCCTCAGACATCTCATCCTTTGCAGAAGACTCTCTGTCCTCTCAAATGTCTTTCTCTCTCTACGGCCTCCTTCCCATCATTACCTATTCACACTCAACTCTCTTGGCTTAAAAAGTAGCAGAAAAACAAAAACCTGTAGCTATGGTCTTCTCTCCTTTCCAACACACTTCTTGAAAGCAATATCACTCAGTCTCTAGTTGTTCACCCCTACTGACTAACCCACTACAAACTGTTTTCCACCTCTACCTCTCCACTGAGATCACCCTAATGAAAGTCATCAATGCCCTCTTGGATGCTGTATTTAATGGACACCTCTTCATCCTTCTCTTCCTTGGCCTTTCTCAAGTGTGCAACTTTGCTGACCCCTCTCTTCTCAACTTCTGTGATATCAGACTTTCCTGTTTTCTTCCAACCTCCATGGACACTCCTCTTCAGACTCCTCTCAGGGTCCTTATTATTCTGACTGTCCCTTAAATACAGATCTCTTTGAAGGTTCAATCCTTGGCCCTTTTCTCACATTTTATGCTCATTTCTGATCATCTAAATCTCAGAGGCATGTTCTATGAGCACTTTGATCTCAACATGAGAAGAGGTACTGGGAAATATCCTCCTTTTTCCAATATTCTTCTCGATATTCTACACATACAGTCATCCCCTCCCCCCAAGTCTGTATCATTGCTCTCTATTCCTTTCCATATGTATGAAGCAGGGGTAGCAGAAATGTCAAGCACTTTGAAGTCCTGTCAGTCTGGCTTCAAATTCAAACTGCTTCTTAATCAGTTATGTGACTTTGGCAAAGCCATCTTCTTTCTCTGTAAACACGTGTTTCATACCTGTATAACACCTATCTTGTAGGGTTGAATAGATTATAAGAGATTAATGAATGAAAACCACCTAACA
Source organism: Homo sapiens (assembly GCF_000001405.40). Lineage (NCBI taxonomy): Eukaryota > Metazoa > Chordata > Mammalia > Primates > Hominidae > Homo > Homo sapiens. Next base: position 32,857,175 of record NC_000017.11, read on the forward strand.
CTGCACCTGATGATGCCTAGTAGCTGCCCCAATAATTAGTTTCCTTCCCATTTTCCATTTTATGGAATCTAATCCTGTCTTCCCAACTGTAATGAATTTAAGGCAGAGCTAATCCTTTAAGAATCCTTTGGCCGGGCACGGTGGCTCATGCCTGTAATCCCAGCACTTTGGGAGGACGAGGTGGGCAAATCACCAGGTCAAGAGATAGAGACCATCCTGGCTAACACGGTGAAACCCCATCTCTACTAAAAATACAAAAAATTAGCTGGGCGTGGTGGCGGGCACCTGTAGTCCCAGCTACTCAGGAGGCTGAGGCAGGGGAATGGCGTGAACCCAGGAGGTGGAGCTTGCAGTGAGCCGAGATCGCACCACTGCACTCCAGCCTGGACGACAGAGCAAGACTCCACCTCAAAAAAAAAAAAAAAAAATAGACTCCTTTAACCCTATCAGACTGGTCTTCTCACCGTCCCTGAACATGTCACAACCATTCACAGAGGCACCCCTGCATGGAATGCTCTCCCTTGCCATTCTTACTTCATGCATACCTAAGTCTTATTCACATTCCAGCATTCAGCCCAATCCCTTAATCAATAAAGGCCTTCCTTAACCACCAAAGCTCAGACTCCTCAGAAATTTTCTCCACATGTGAACTGTAGAATATTGCTACTAATCATCAGGCATTTATTATATGCTACTTTCGGGGGTTACATATCTTTTCATTCCATTTATCTCCAATTATATCATTATTCTTGGAACGAATTATATGTAGTCCTCAGTATACACAGTTTCTAGCAAAAAGCTTTAAGTAATACCTGTTGATTGGTAATGTTAATTGTTAATTTGTAATAACTGAGAGCATAACATCATTTAATATTTTCAACTGTTCCTTTAAAATATGCATTTAGACAACTGGAATCCTAGAATGTATGACTTTAGAGGCCACATAGACCAATATTCCAGATGCACAACATCTCTTTACAAGAACCTAATGAGTGAACCTTTAACTCCAGTTTCAATAAGTTCACATGACCAGAAACTCATTACCTTCTTTGGGAACCATTTGATGTCTAAGTAGCAGTTCCAAAATACAACTATCAATATCAGGAGATTAACATATGATATATTGCTAAGATTTAATTCTTGAACCCTATTCAAATTCTACCAAATGCCCCAATAAATGTCCCTTATAGCAAAAGTATACAGTTCAGCATCATGCTTCACCTTTAGTTGTTATGTCTTGTTATTCTCGTTGCTTCTAGAATACTTCCTCAGTCTTTCTTGGAATTTAACATTTTTGAAGGTTACAGGCTAGTTATTTTAAAGACTGGCCTTCAATCTGAGCTTGCTAGGTGTTTCCTCTGATTAGATTCAGGTTATGCATCTTTAGCAGGAATGTCACAGAGGAAGTAATGCTGTGTTTTTCTCATTGCACCTGATCACATGGTACATGATTCTGATTTGTCCCATTTCTGACATTGTTCATTTTGATCACTTCATTAAGGTAGCATCTGTCAGGCTTCTCCACTGTAACAATAATCTTTTTTTCTTTGGTATTAATTAATTGAACATTTTGTAGGGAGATACTAAGTAAATATCCCATTCCTCATCAAACTTCAAAAGTTATTTATTAGTTTATGTAAGTATGGACTCATGGTTTCCGATTTCATTTTGATGATTAAACTGACCCAGATTTAGCTAGTGGGTACTCACTTAAGCTGCTTTCTGAATCTGTTTTACATTTTTCATCATTCTTTGAGGATTTCCTTGCTTTCTGAAAATACAAGATGCCCCCGGCTCACCTTGTATTAATATTTACTTTGTGACAACCCTGGAATTACCCATTTCTCCACAAAGCCCTGATTTCTTTCAGTGGAGGATGGTACTAGGTGTGACCATTGCTATTATATTAAGGTATCACTGCTCCCAGGTCCTCACAATGGACAGAGATGGGGAATACATAATGTATGGATATAGGTGCATACGCATTCACATCTATATTTACTCCTCTGTCTAGCTGTATATTGAAAACTTCTGATTCCAATCTAACTACAAAGGGTTGACTGTACTTTTCCCCTTTCCATATTTGGAGCTCTCTTTTATGACCATGAGAAACCTGACTCCATTATCCTCAACATATTTACTTGTTTGTCAATCTCCCTGTTTATCACTTATCTCCCACTGCTGTCACCAAGACCATGCCAGCACGGATGCTCTTTTTCCATACTCAGGTCCTCATGCATTGGCCCCCTCTTTACTCAACTTGGCTCCAAACTCTAATCTGGGCCCCTGTGGCTCCCCTTCCCCTGGGATGGATGCCTACCTTGCTGTGCCCCAACCCAATGGCTTTAGGACCAAATTCTTCAGGAGGAAGAGAAGAAGAGGAAGAAAAGGAGCAGAAAGATAAATCTACATCTCTTCACTTTTACCCACTGGCATGAATTCTGTCTTTTGGGGTCTCCCAGAATAAACATAATCAATTCATACGCAAGTATTTGAGGTTGGTGTTCATGTCCTGTCTTGTTCCTTCAGTCATTCCTTAAATGACATGGTTTCAAGTACCCTCAACATATTGAGCATTCTTTTCTGAATAAATCCTATTCTGTCTACATAGCTTGTAAAACTGTGTAGAGGAGGCACTTTTGGTTGCCTATCCAATATCCTATTCTGCCCCTAAAATTCCTTCTTTCCTAAAAAAGCCTGACTTTGTTCAGGTATCCACTCCCTTCCATACAGCCACATGCTGCAGGAAATGAGAAATCTATCATCAGCGCCTGACTATTCCATCATGATAACCACATTCCTCTTACCAGTGGCAGGTTTAATAATGGGCATGTGACCAAATGCTAACTAATGTGACATGTAAGGAAGTCTTCTGGGGGGCTTCCTAAGCAAGGAGCACAACACAAGCAGAGAGCTCACTCTCCTTCCTCAGGACATTACTGTGCCTGGGTGAGATGCACAGAACTGTTGCAACGACCTTCCACCAGCTGAGGATGAAACCAGCACAAGAAGGGCAAAACCAAGGGAATCACAGACAAGTGGAGGCAGAGTCCTTAGGGACTGGCCAGAACCTCTCTTATCATTAGCCTTCTTGTTGTGTGAGATAACATGTTTCTTTTCTGTTTAAGCCAGTTTGGTCTGGTTTTCTTTTTAGCTGCCCCCAACAGCATTCTGACTGATATAGAGTGAAGCTAGCAACCACACACCCCTCCAGGAGAGGTGTGATAAGCTAGGGAACTTCCAAGTCCCTGTATTTCCTCTGACATAGCCCAAGTCAATGGTGACACATAACATAGACTACTAAGACCTCCATCTTTCTCACACCTACAACAATGTTATTTTGTATTTGTATTGTTAAATTGTTGCCCTTCAATAGAGAACTAGAGGTTTACTTCTTATTTACATTGTAAGCTTTTCCATTGTTTCAACTAGTTCAGGTCTTTTAAGTGAGAATAATAAAGGAAATTGAAGAGTTGCTACTTGATTGCAAAGCAAAAGAGCTAGGAATAGGACAAAAACCGAATAATAAACACAAAGCTAGGAGACAGATTTTTGCCCCCGTAGTAAATGTGCCACTAGACTAGTAAAAAGTCCTGACTTTCTGTGTTTCTAACTTCATGCATCTATACAACAGTGAGGAACCTCAAGATTCCCTTCCGGCATTAAAATTCTATGACTCAAGAGACTTCATCAGAGAATTCATGGCTCAGAATTTCTCTGGCTTGAAGCATAAAATGAAGAAAAGTAAATCCCCTCAAATCAGTGTTAGCCCATTAGTCATTATCAAGATTCACTTATTTCAAATCAACAAAACACTGCCCTAGGGCTACCTACTCCAAGAAACAACTCTGTTATACTATAGGGATCACGTCTGGGCTGTATTGGTGTTTATTCTTTTTTTTTTTTTTTTTGGAAACGGAGTCTCGCTCTGTTGCCCAGGCTGGACTGCAGTGGCGCAACCTCAGCTCACTGCAAGCTCCGCCTCCCAGGTTCATGCCATTCTCCTGCTTCAGCCTCCCGAGCTGGGACTACAGGCACCCACCACCACACGCAGCTAATTTTTTGTATTTTTAGTAGAGATGGGGGTTTCACCATGTTAGCCAGGATGGTCTCAATCTCCTGACCTCGTGATCCACCCGCCTCAGCCTCCCAAAGTGCTAGGATTACAGGTGTGAGCCACCGCACCTGGCCTGTATTTATTCTTAGCAGAGGAAATGTGTAGAAAACAATTGCCAAATCTGCACCCTATTCACGAATGTGACAAAAAACAAACATTCAGCCATCTCCCAGACCAGAGAGATTATAGGAGCTAAATGAAAGAAAGCCCAGATAGTTAAAAATGTGTTGTCACCCTGATGTAAAGCCCTTCAATTGCTCCCCAACATACTTAAATTTTGAATCTTGGGATTTTATGTCCCAAGACCCTTCCGCAAAGTGTGGTCCCTGATGAGTGCTCCATCTTCACCTGCCCCTACTTTGCCTGCCCCACTCTGCCCAAAGACTCTAGCCTCACTGGATACCTTTCAGTTTCAGAAACTGAGCCTATCTAAAAATATGTCTCGGCCAGGTGCCACGGTTCACACCTGTAATTCCAACACTGGGAGGCCAAGGCAGGTGTGGATCACCTGAGCTCACAAGTTTGAGACCAGCCTGGGCAACATGGCAAAACCCCGTCTCTACAAAAAATATAAAAATTAGCTGGGCATAGTGGTACACGCCTGTAGTCCCCGCTACTCGGGAGGCTGAGATAGGAGAATAGCTTGAGCCCAGGAGGTGGAGGTTGCAGTGAGCTGAGATTGTGCCACTGCACTCCAGCCTGGGCAATAGAGCCAGACCTTGTCTCAATAAATAAATAATCAATAAAAGTTATGTCTCTGTCTTCTCTCTCTTCCCTATCTGATTGTTCCCCCGCTCCCCACCTCTCCCCCAACAGGCACATATTCCGCATCCTTCTGATCTTGCTTAAAGCTATCTTCCCCATAAAGTGCCTTCCCTGTGACACACCCACATACTTGGACACGTCATTTCCATTTCCCCTATGGGGGAACTCTGCTCTTTCTCTTCATAGCACTTATTACTATTTGTAGTTATCCTTTTGTTTGTTTACTGGTTTAGTATATTCCCCTTGCTGGTTTATCAGTTCTATGAGAACAAGAACCGTGTCTATCTGGGTTGCTCCTGCATATCCAGAAAAGAATAAAGACAACGTGGCTGCCACCATACTTTCAAAGGCACCTTAATGGCATGGAAAAGCATTTAAGATACCATGCTATGTGAGAAAACAGTTTACAAAACTATATGTTGTATAAGCAGGAAGATGCCAAAGTTTTGAATATGTACATTTTTTATATGTCTAGAAAAGACTGTAAAGGAAATAAATCAAGGTATTAACAAGGAGGGTGGGATTATACAGTTTTTATGGATAATCTGAGGACAGAAAAATACATACATTGTAGCTAAAACTGGATAACCATAACCATCGGGTGAAAAAATGGAAAACTTGTTGTAAGGATAAAGAATAAAGTGTGATTATCAACGATTAAATTGATTTAATAACCAAAACAGAACTAAGAACACTGACTATTTGGATAAGTTGTAATACATTTGTTAATATGTCAGTCAGCTCACATTACAGTGATAGTCCATTTAGTTTTAATAGAACACAACTGTGGAGTGAAAAACGTTAGCCTAGGACAGTGGCTCCGAGCCTGGCTGCATATGAGACTCACCTGGGCACTAAGGAGGCTTAATAAATCACCATCTCCAGAAGACAGAGTCCGGGGAATCTGCGTATTTTAAAAGCTGGGTGATCATGACACAAAGCTGGATTTGGGAACCCCAGCCTAGGGTAAATCAAGAAGTTGAAGAAGAGGTTTCTTTTCAGTAAGAGTTTCAGATAAAATAGGAACCTGAGAGGTGGAGATGCAAACAGTAACAGATTCTGCCAATAGCAGCTGCCTACCACAAGTCAACAAGCAGTCATAAATTGCACACTGTGTGGAAAAATGCACTCATCATGTTTGGTTTGTTCAACCACACAAACAATTCAAATACCAAGGGCAGTAATATGTTTTAGAGTAGCACCTTACCTACTTAGAACTCAGTTTGGCCTACTTGCCTTTCCAGCCAAACACAGCAAAGCAATAAAAAATACCTCTCAGCAGAGAAGATAAAAAACAGACATCTTAAAACTCTTGCCCTACGACTGATATACCCAAGGTAACCCCTCAGTCTTCATTACAACATATTAACTCCTTTTTTATACACCCTTCTAATGAGCTCGGCTGACAGCCAAAACCCAGAGAGGATTACCTTTGTAAATTAAGAGGGGAAAGGGAATTCACGGGGAGGCACACAGAAAGCAACGATAGAAACTGAACCATATATTTTTAAAAGTTAATTTAGATCAACTTAGTGTGGAACAAAACATTACAAATATGACAGTAAATACCAAGGACATGAAAACAACTTTTTATAACTACAGTCATGATGATCTAAGTCATTAAGAAAAAGAATTAAATCACATTCTTTATATTCTGCTTAAGGAAGCAAAAATGAAAAGGCACGAACATCTGAGTGCCCTCTATGTGTAAAGAACAATAAACAACCCAGCTATTATCTCATTTGATATAATAATCTTGTAGTGCAGAAATCAGTCTCATTTTAAGACTGAGCCATTAAAGGCTCAGAGAACTGAAGTAGATTTTTTAAGTTTTACTGTAGAAGGTAGCCATAGCCATGTTGAACTTTGAATAACTGAAATATTTCCTTTGCTCATTATTTTATACCATACTGCCACTTTTAAAATAATTTTGGTTACAAACATTTCTTCCTTTTTTTTTTTTTTTTTTTTTTTTTTTTTTTTTTTTTGGTGTTTGCAAGAATAAAAGCCTTCTGGAAAAAAAATCATCTAAAACAGTTGTTTGCAAGCTGTTTTTCCAATGTGATAGCATTTTTTCCCAAATGACATATTCCTTGGAACCCCACTATGCAGGAGCAGAGCTGCTCTGTTAAAAGCACTAGAGTGCCAGGGCCTGAAGCCCTACTCCACCTCTACCTGTAATCCAAGACTGCTCCTCAGGCACCTCCATGACCCAGGACACGACAGATTACAGATTTTTTTTTAAAGCACCAATCTAAACAAGCTTAGTCCCTAGATTTGCTGTGTAAAGGCATGTCCCTTAGAAACACTTAGCAAATGACACAAAGCTATATAAAGGCATCACAATGCTGTGAAAAGTTTGGTAGTATGGTAAAATGTAGTTAACTGGCTAAGGCAAGCAACATCATGAGACTGCTCAAGATTACAGCACCACTAATGTTTCCTGCTTTGTTGTACGGTGTCTAGCTTCACATGTCTGAGTTCTACGAATGAAAAAAAAAAAAAAAAAAAAAAAGGAGAGAAATGTCTACCATTTCACAAAGGCCCAAAATCTATTTTAGTGGTTTTTCCAAGAGCAATGGTAATTTCATTTTTCCTGCATTACCAAAAACTGGAGTTATTACAGAAAAATCAGATTATATACATAAAATAGAATACATTAAAAAGCATACATAAAATATAGTAAATGCATAGTTCAGCCAAGAATCAAAGATGCAGAAGTACTATGCATTTATTTGTTTATTCCGTGATAGAGGTGAAAGTATTTTCTCCTTAATGCCTGGAAATAAGCCTTGGGAGATAAGACTTTGTCTTGCCCTTAGAACTTTGAGTGTAGAGGTAGGACATAAATATAAACCGATAGGAAAGGTTGAATGCAATTAAAAAAAACAGTTGTACTCACTGACATTTAAACTATTCTAGACATTTTTTGAATTGTTTATAGGTTTTTGTCTTAATAAGACGGAACACGGGATAAGATGGCAGAAACAGGTTAACTCAATCTCATTATCAAGGACTATCCTTATAATAAACTTAAAATGACCTAAATATCTGTAAAACCCAAAGCTGATATATGACCAATGATGGGGTTTATCCAAAATAAATATGTTGTTGGGTTTTTTTCATGGGATTTGACTTTTAATTGACTATAAAATTTATCTTGACTTTATACTGGACACAAAGCAACAGTCTGAGATAGAACCATTTGGGATAACCCGGCGTTGCTACAGATGATCCTCTATTGTACAAGTTACTCAAAGCCGACTTTGTGGTCAGAGGCGAAATTTGTTTGCTTCATTGTTTTAGATTAAGCCATTTTTTTTTGACAAATTCATTTGCTTCTTCTGCATATGTGAACCTTGTGAATATACAGTAAGTGGTAATGGGTTTTTTCCCAAGACTTAACAATATAACTGTGAGAGATATGAGGAGAGGAGGAATAAAAGGAAAGCTGTGTTTGTTCCTTGGTGTGTTTATCCATCTATTCCAGGAGGTTCTTTTAGAACTCTGAACTGGCCTGTGGCTTTTTCTGAAAAACCTATGTTCAGGAGTAAACAATCTTTTTATTAAAGCAGAATAGCTTTACTAGAGTTAATGCTTTAATCTCATTAAAGTGAAATCCATTTCTATATTGTGTATCAAGGAGCAGAAATGTGGGAAAATAAAGGCAATCCCATGCTGGGATAATTGTAACTAGTCCCATGTGGGCAGCTGTGCCTGGAATACAAACTGGGATATCTTCAGGAATGAGGCTAGGACAATGAGGAGCCTGGAAGGTGGACAAAATATCAAGAGGAACTAGCAGATGTTCTTGATTCCCTTCTCCATCAACTGAAGTCACTTACTGGAACCCTTCACTTAAAAAATGATCTACTTTCCAAAACCAGACCATTCTATTTCAATAAGAATGTTGAAAACCATGATTAGAGTCATAGTCTGGCTCTCTAGGGTCTCTCTTTTTATTTTTCATTTTTTTACAGACAAGGTATCACTATATTGCCTAGGCTGGAGTGCAGTGGCTATTCACAGGCGTGACCATAGTGTCAAACCCATAGGCTTGAGCAATCCTCCTGCCTCAGCCTCCCCAGTAGCTGGGACCACAGGCATGGGTCATTGCACCTGGCTCCTCAGTAATGTCCCTTAAACCCAAATGTTAGGGCCACAGTATTCACCACACACACTGGGTGCTGTGTCTTGGAAGTTCTGTAATTGAGCATAAAATAAAAGAAGAAAAAAAAATTCTCTCTCTCTTCTAGACCCAAAGATAAACCAGAGACACAATTTTTAATTGAGCAAAGTTTTCGTCAGGTACCCTCCCCTCTCTGTCATCAGGACCTGCCTCCCCAAGAATGAACTAACCTTATACTACCTGCTGCCCGTCCCTTCCCACAAGGGTTCAGTTCTCTATCCCAGGTCTGCCGTATCCCTGAACAGTAACATACTGTAAAGTTATTTCTCAAAAATGAAATTCTCTATTCCTTATTCTAACTGATGCCACTGAGGCATGAGAAAGAAATTAACCAGACTGAGCAGATTTACACTAACATGCTTGTGCTGCATTAGAAGTATTTGACTTTCTAAGGGGATTCTTATCAACCTAACTCAATCTCTAGTTGGGAGAATTTGGGGCAGCATAAGACAAGAATGAAAGAAGTGCAGACAATGTGGGGGAAAATATTTTTGAGCAATGGAAGCTGGCTAGCAGCACAGCCAGCCCACGCATGCTTAAAGTGAGTGGAGAGAGAAGAAAAGAAGGCCAGGATGGCTCAGGCCACAGGGCAGGGGGAGGAAGGACTGTTTCCAAATGAAAGACTATCTCTACTTCAACAAGGGTCTGCTGACATTCTACCTCTTCCATAGGGCATTTTTTACCTACTCCCAATGCCATTTTTTCTTTTTCTGAATTCCCTCATAATATAGTACATACATATAGACAGCTCTTAATTATATTGTCATCAGTTCTCTTTTCTAAAAATATGATATATTGATTCCTTCTCTGTAGGAAGCCCTTAAAAGAATGGATTGTCTTGGGAGGCCAAGGCGGGTGAATCATGAGGTCAGGAGTTTGAGACCAGCCTGGCCAACATGGTGAAATCCCATCTCTACTAAAAATACAAAAATGAGCTGGATGTGGTGGCAGGTGCCTGTAATCCCAGCTACTCGGGAGGCTGAGGCAGGAGAATTGCTTGAACCCAGGAGGCGGAAGTTGCAGTCAGCTGAGATCACGCCACTGCACTTCAGCCCAGGTGATAGTGTGAGACTGTCTCAAAAAAAAAAAAAAAAAGAATTGTCTGTGCTATTCATTTGAGCTCAATCATATTTCACTTTATATTGATCCATTTATTAAGGTATCTCTTACTCCCAATTAAGCTATCCCTCAAAGAGTAACTTTATTAAAAGTAACCCCCACCAAAGTACCCAACCCAGCACTAAGCACACTGTAAGAATTCAAGTAGTTGGCCGGGTACAGTGACCCACGCCTGTAATCCCAGCACTTTGGGAGGACAAAGCGGGCAGATCACCTGAGGTCAGGAGTTCGAGACCAGCCTGGCCAACATGGTGAAACCCTGTCGCTACTAAAAATGCAAAAATCAGCTGGGCATGGTGGCAGGCGCCTGTAATCCCAGCTACTCAGGAGGCTGAGGTAGGAGAACTGCTTGAACCCAGGAGATGGAGGTTGCAGTGAGCCGAGAGATCATGCCACTGCACTCCAGCCTGGGCGACAGAGCAAGACTCCGTCTCAAAAAAAAAAAAAAAAAAAAAAAAAGAATTCAAGTAGTTGCTAGCTTTAATACCAGGAGATTATATGAAAAACATATAGGGTCTATAGATAATGAGGAAATTGGTTATAGATTTAAAAAAAAAACAAAAAAAAAACTCTAGACTTAAAGTCTATTACCTAGCAATAGTGCCTAGATGTTACAAACCTTCACGGAGGCTGAGAACAGTGACATGCAGAATAAAATAGTTTAGAAATCTCTTAAATATGAATATATTTCATTTTCCAAAGAGTCTAAAACGATTTCTAGAAATTAAATAGTGATACCTGGAGGGAATGTGATTATGAGAATGCATAGGGTGATAGTTACAGAGTGAATTGGGAATAGCAAGGGCATTTTTGGTTCACAGGGCTGGACCAGGGAATGGAGCAGAGACAGAGGGGTACCCACTGAGTATCTACTATGCTTCAGCCACCACCATAGGTATTTGACACATATTTTAAATGTGCTATAATTTCACAAGAACACATCATCTTTATAGATGAAAAAACTGAGGCTCAAAGAAGCTAAGTCACTTGTCCAAAGTCACACAGGTGGTAGTAAAGGAACAAAGACAAGATTAAGGTCCAGATTTGTCTATTTCGTGTTCTTGCACTCTCTGCTAGGTAATCTGAATTCCCTAGTTTGCGCCATTGCAAACTTTCATCCTTGCCCCCCAAACAAAATCAAAACAAACAAAAAAGACAAAACTTTGTCTTAGTGAGGGAGGAAGAAATGACAAGGAAGAGATGAAAATATCTAGCTCTCTAGCAGTTATGGGGTCAGGGTAGGGAGGTGAGGCCATTCGGGAAGGATTCAGGAAGAGTTAGCATTAGTTGAGTGAGAATTATATACCAGGCACTTGCTGAACATGTGATTTCATCTCAATAACCCTAAAAGGCGATCATTTTACATATAAGGAAATGAGGCTTAGGGAAGCCTATGGTAAGAGAAGTATGCTCAGCTGAAGCTGAGATTTGAACTTGGTCATTTACGTCTCAGAGCCTGTGCTCTTTCCATGATTCCCTATTGGAAGCATACTTTTGATTCTCTTTTCCCACAAATGCTCAAAACTAAAGTTTGGAAAACATTGTTCTATTCAAGAGATCTTGGCTGGGTTCGGTGGCTCATGCCTGTAATCTCAAAACTTTGGGAGGCTGAGGCGGGCGGATCACTTGAGCTCAGGAGTTTGAGACCAGCCTGACCAACATAGCAAAACCCCATCTCTACTAAAAATACAAAAAAAAAAAAAAATTAGCTGGGAGTGGTGGTACGTGCCTGTAATCCCAGCCACTAGGGAGGCTGAGGCATGAGAATCGCTTGAACCTGGGATGCAGAGGATGCAGTGAGCCAAGATCGCACTACCGCACTCCAGCCTGGGCAACAGAGCGAGGCCCTGTCTCAAAAAAAAAAAGAGATCTAGCCAGTAATTACATTGCAGTTGAACTGAAAGAAGCCTGCTTCCTACAGGAAATAAAACTGTCATCCAAATCAAGGCATCTAATAAATGATAAAGGAGAGACATACAATGCATATTTTAAAATGCTGTTACCCTCTGACCCCATTATGAATATAGTTGGCATTTTTATAGGCCATGTCGGTGAGGCTCATGAACAGGTAATCTACCCAGCGGAGCTGGAGCCACTGCTGACAGTAAAGTTCCCCGACTTAGCAGTGGCTGGGCAATAATACAATGACCCAAACCAGTTCCAGTGGCAGCACCACAAATGGGTACTAGAGAATTATCATTAAATGAGGTCACTCCTAGAGATAGTGTCCATTTTGCTTAGCTGACTCACACTTAGGTGAGAATGTCAACGAACAGCTCTCCACATAGAGCTAATATGGAGATCACTAAATAAACACATTTCTAGCTATATCAGATTCAACATTTTTGTCTCAAAGTTAAGCAAAAAGCCAAAGTGTATCTCTTTAATGTAAAAGTAGTTCCCAAATAAAAAAAAAAAATTAGCCAGGCTTGGTGGTGTGCGCCTGTAGTCCCAGCTACTCAGGAGGCTGAAGTAGGAGGGTTGCTTGAGCTGGGGAAGTCAAGGCTGCAGTGAATCATGATTGTGCCATTGCACTCCAGCCTGGGTGACAGAGTGAGACCTCGTCTAAAAAAAAGAAAAAAGAAAAGTAGATCCCATCAGAACCTGCAATGAAATGAACCAGTAGCAACTTCTAAGTGCTTGATTCCACCCACATCTGGCTCTATTTGGGAACTAAATTCAGCAGAAGTCTCCAGGGTCAAGAAATGACCCTGAATAAAAATAGTCTCGGAAATCTGTCACGGAGTAGGAAAGGAAACCAGGCGGCAGGGTGATTCACTCCAAATGGCAGCTCCAAAACCCAAATTCCCATTTTTGTCCCAATATGAAGCCAATGTACAAAACAGGCAGAGAGCAAACTGTCCTTTTCCAAAGGCCTTCAAAAGAGGTTGCCAAAGAATTTCACATGGAAGCCAAAAAGATTTAGTGTGCCATTCACCTCTCCTATAAATCTAACTAGAGCTATTTCTAACTAGAGCCCTGAACCAATGGCAGGTTTACATTTACTTGAAGACCACCCAGGGTATCTATGGGTTTTTTTCCCTGGCAAGCAAGAGACACCCTTTGTCCCACCAAATTTTCCAAATGACCAAACAGCCACAGAGAAAGAATACAGGGGTGGTGTGGTGAGTATGTGTGTGTCTGTTTCCTGCCTTTCTTCTAATCTATAACTCACTGCCCCAACACACAGTTAAGTTCTATTAAAGTACAGTATTTTGAGAAGATTGTCTGCTAAAAAAAAAAAAAAAGAAAGAAAAAAAAGAAATAATTCCATTGGTTGAAGACCAATCAGCCAACATTTGAGTACTCAGTTAATTCATTTTAAGATGTATTAAACATGGGGAAGGGCAAATTCTGTAGCATCACAGAAAACGCAAAAGGATTAAAGGTAGGTTTGCTTCACAGCCACTCACTTGCACCTTCCCCTTCCAAAGCCTTGCATTTTATTCTGCATTCATGATTTACATTCTTTTTCTTAAAGGTGGTTGCCCCCAAGCATTATGAGGTTCAAAGCACCAGAAAACCTGGATCTACCTCTGAACAGGCTATCTGCCTTTGAGGATTCCATAGGTTGGTGAGGAATATGAATATGATAAATTCTCTGTTATGAATAAATGTCCATGTATCCTGAGAGCACATGAGAATGTGACATTGACCTGTTTTGGGGGATTGGGAAAGATTTCTCACATCTGGTCTTGAAGGATGAGTAAGAGTATGGCAGGCAGGGAATGAGGGCAGAGATGAGGAAAGGAGGACATTCCAGGGGGTGAAAACAGCAAGAGCCAGTGGCTCTCAGCTAGGGATAATATTGCATGCATGTGAGCACAAAGACACCCACCCACACACAACCCCCCCAGGGACTTGTGGCAATGTCTAGAGACATTTTTGGTTGTCATAAATGAAAGAGGAGTGGAGTTGTTGACATCTAGTGAGTAGAGGCCAGGGATGCTTCTAAACATCCTACGACACACAGGACAGCCCCTACAACAAAGTCTAAAATGTCTAAAATGTCAATAGTGACAAGGCTGAAAATCCCAGGTCTAAGCAAAGGTACAAAAGACATACTGTGTTAGATTAAAAAAGAGAAGTTGCATGGAGCTTTGGCATGCACAGTGCTTCAGATGATTGCTTTTATGGAAGACAAAACCCAGTAAGAAAAGAGAGGGTGAAAAATTAAATTTCTGAGAAGCCAAGATATCAGACTGAATAGATGCTTTATTCTCAAAACAGGAACCAATAACAAATAAAGTTAAGAAACTGGACCTCTGGAAGTCTAACGTATATTTCATTGTCCTATAAAATGGAAAGCATTTCTGTCAAGGACACCGTCCGTGGCTCAAGTCCACTCCTGAGCAGTAGCCTGCATTCTTCCTTTCACGCACATGGCTGAGAGTGAGGAGTGTGCGGAGTAAGGAGCACGCCGAGGAGCAGATGCAAGCAGCTTGCCCTGGCAGGACTCTCAGAGGGAGGGTGCAAAGCTGATGTTAATGCTGGAAGAACTCACGTATAGGAATGGCCCATGTAAGGAGAAAAGGAACCAATGAGCTCCACATCCAAAAAGGAAGTGGCTACAGAGAAAGCAGAACATGGTAGGACAGGGATGTTGTGGTTAGGGCTTCAAGTGGTCATCAGGGTTGCTGGCAGGAACTGCTCCTGACCATGGAAGCAGGCAGGACTCATACAGAGGTCTTACGCCTGAGCAGAGACCCTTGGAAATTGGAATGAGGAACTTATCACCACCACCTCCATCTCCACCAAAAAGTCAAAAGAAATATCCCCCAACAAGAGACTTCTGGGAGGGAAAGAAGGAGCCCTCACAATACAAGCAGGTTTTGTTATAAAGCAAGGAATATAAATTGAAGCTCCTTCTCAGATATTCCAGGGTTTTGTTAGAACACAAGCAGGTTTTATTTATTTATTTATTTTGAGACGGAGTCTTGCTCAGTCACCCAGGCTGGAGGGCAATGGCGCAATCTCGGCTCACTGCCAGCTCCACCTCCCAGGTTCACGCCATTCTCCTGCCTCAGCCTCCCAAGTAGCTGGGACCACAGGCACCCACCACCACGCCTGGCTAATTTTTTTTGTATTTTTAGTAGAGACAGAGTTTCACGGTGTTAGCCAGGATGGTCTCGATCTCCTGACCTCATGATCCGCCCGCCTCAGCCTCCCAAAGTGCTGGGATTACAGGCGTGAGCCACCGCGCCCGGCCGCAGGTTTTGTTATAAAGCAAGAAATATAAGTTGAAGCTCCTTCTCAGATATCCTAACTCGCAGTAATCCACATCACTCTTTTACTCTTGCCCCATCCAGACACACATCTAGGTCAATTTTTTTTTTTTTTTTTGAGACGGAGTCTCGCTCTGTCACCCAGGCCGGACTGCGGACTGCAGTGGCGCAATCTCGGCTCACTGCAAGCTCCGCTTCCCGGGTTCACGCCATTCTCCTGCCTCAGCCTCCCGAGTAGCTGGGACTACAGGCGCCCGCCACCGCGCCCGGCTAATTTTTTGTATTTTTAGTAGAGACAGGGTTTCACCTTGTTAGCCAGGATGGTCTGGATCTCCTGACCTCATGATCCACCTGCCTCGGCCTCCCAAAGTGCTGGGATTACAGGCGTGAGCCACCGCGCCCGGCCTAGGTCAATTTTTAAAAGTAAAAATGGTAGGAGAAAGTTGCATCAATTGTGGCAGTTGTCTAAAAATCAAGCTTTAGCTCCAAGAGGGAAAAAGAAGGCCAGATTAATAGCAAAACAAGAAGATAATTCTAAAAGGACAATGCCACATAAGCTTTTAAAAAAAAAAGTAACAAGCATTTTTCCCTCTCTACAAAAAAATGTTGTCATGAAGGAATGTACTCTGTACCCAGCATTATGCTAGGTGCTGCTGTTGAGAAAACACAGACCCATGAAGCACCTGCAGCCTTGAGTGCTTGACTATTACATGACTTAAAGGAAGGAAGCAGGCCTTGCAGAAGAGCCAGGTGGGAAGGGAGGACAGGACATTCCAGACTGGGGAGTAAGAGCAGGAACTACAGCTTGGGAGGGCAGGAGTCATGAGGTACAAGCACACATGGGAATTTCACTCACACATCCATATATACCAATGGACCAAACACGCTCAATTTCAGCTATATACAACCAGAAATATGTGCCCAACCACCAATATTCCAGGAGACAAAAACACTTCAACATCACAGAACAGCACCTGGATTACGCAGTGGTGGGTTTCTGGTCACCTTCTGCAAAGTGAAAGGAAAGAGAGGACTGTTTTCTGTCTGGGTCAGAATTTATAGTTTCAGAGGAGGGTAAGGGTGCTACCCTTTGCTGGCACTGTGTTTATGGCTACAGGGAACCAACTATTTTAATGTATAAGTAAGTCATGAACAATCACTGATCTGTACAATGAGAACCACAGCCAGTTCTCAGAGTCATCAAGGACACACAGATGAGATACATACAAATACATATACATCTGTACACCCAGGATTTTGAATGATGTGGAGATTGGGTATAAAGGTAGACCTAAAAACCTGGGCCTTAGCCAATGGCCATATGGAGAGCTGGTGATTCCTCCCACCTCTCCACAACACCAACCCCTTCCCTTCCAAACAACTTAACTTATTCACTGTCACCCAGAGTCAGCTTTCATGCCGCCAACCCCTGCTCATGCTGCTTAATCCACCTGGAATGCTCTCCAGCCACGAGTCCACCTTTACAAATCCTACCCATCCTTTGGAACTCAGCTCAACTCCTCTCTTCCTCTATAAGGTGTTTTGGAGTCAACCTAAGGTATCTCTCTCTCTTCTGAACTTCCAGAACAATTTCTATAATTACTTGACAAATAATCACCTAAGCTTTATAAGGCTTTTATCTTCTCTTTCTTTTCCTTTCTTTTTTTCTTTTCTCTCCTTCCTTCCCTTCCTTCCTCTTTATCTGTCTCTGTCTCTCTCTCTCTCTTTGTGTCTCTGTCTCTCTCTGTTTTCTTTCTTCTTTTTCTTCTAAGAGACAGGGTCGTGCTCTATTACACAGGCTGGAGTACAGTGGTGTGATCATAGCTCACGGCAGCTTTGAACTCCTGGGCTCAAGCAATCCTTCTGTCTCAGCCTCCTGATGTTGTTTTCTTGAACTATTCTTTAAATCAATAGAAAATTCCACCTTTCTCCAGGTCTTCATTGAGATGTCACCTCTTCGAGAGGTAAGCAGCACATCTTGTAGTTCTTTGGATACTCCTAGCTTATCTCCTAGAGTACCTTGCACACAGTAGAATTAAATTGC
This sequence comes from Homo sapiens, assembly GCF_000001405.40. Taxonomy (NCBI): domain Eukaryota; kingdom Metazoa; phylum Chordata; class Mammalia; order Primates; family Hominidae; genus Homo; species Homo sapiens. Next base: position 32,874,634 of record NC_000017.11, read on the forward strand.
AGCATTCGGCCGGGCATGGTGGCTCACACCTATAATCCTAGTGCTTTGGGAGGCCAAGATGGGAGGATTGCTTGAGGCCAGGAATTCAAGAACAGTCTGCTCAACATAGCAACTCTAAGGGCCCATCTCTAAAAAATATAAATATAAATATAAATAAATTGCAGCATTCTCTTCTGTACACATAGGAGTTGTTAGGCTCACCTTAGTAATCTATTTTGAGATTCAAACTTCACACTTAAGAGACTTAATGCTTTAAAAAAAAAAGCAGAAATTCTAAGTGCCTTCCCTCAATTTACTTTTTAAAAACCACAAGAGTTTTAATTCTATTACAGAGGAGTAGTCCTACAAACTAATGTAGCCCTGTTAGACTCTATGCCTTCAATTTCAAATTCTGAAAATTCTGCAAAAGCTCTGGCTAAGCCCATGTATTTGCTGGAGGTGAAAGATGGAGGTTAAAATGAAAGGCTTCATATTCAACTGTTACTACATGGTCTTGTATACAGTATGTACATAATAAATGTACCAATGTCTGAAAAACTGAAATGATTATAACTGAGAGTGACAAAATTATAAAGGCATTTCTCAAAGCACACAACTTATTTCCTGTGGGGGAGAGGAGTAGAATCTCTTAATTTAAAACAACCTTAATCTATGAAATTGCTATGTAACTTACCCCTTTATCTATTTTATGTGCACTTGGGAAAACTTAAAACAGTTTTACTAATATGGATTTGCCAGGCACTAATCTTTGAAGTATGTATACACATATTATTAATAATTCATTTAACCCTCAGGACAACCCCAATCCTACAGACGGGAAGACTGAGGCACAGAGAGGTTAAGTAACTTGCTCAAAGATCACAGCAAGAATGCAGTGGAACTAGAATTTGAATCTCAACAGTCTGACTCTTAATCACTATGATAATGGGTATTGGTTATAGCTGATGTAGAGGTATATCATTTTGATTAATATTTGGGGTGATTTCTATAAAAGTTGTACATCCAAACCTTGATCAGAAATGTAACATCCTATCATTATGCTGGTATGTAATCAACCTGATTGACCCCTGTCAACTGGATTGACAGGGGTAGTTAATAATGAAATTAGGGTTAAGCACCCAAGCCTAGATTATGACTTTCACTTTATAAGCTTAAGGAATGATGTTTAGCTATAAACCTTAGAAGAAATGCAGCCAAAGCTTGCAGGGAAACATACACACGCACACCAAAACTCAGCTATTTTGAAATTCCACTTACTTTAATGTTTAAGTCAAACTACTTTAAAACTGTTTACATATTACTCTATCAAGGGTGAAATAATCGCATGTAAAGGGCTTTCTAAAACAAATCCACATCTTGGAAGCCCATTTTGGGGCGTTGAGTTGTGACTACGTTCTCAAGGATGTTAATAACACAAGAGCTCCATCCACTAACTCCTTGAAAAAAACCAAAACCATGAACGTCTTGTCAAATTCAGACAGTTTATCTTGGCACTGGCAAGTACAGCAGTCTCTTCGATGTCTGGAAACGTGTCTAATTACGTTTAGAGAGTAACTAAAAAAATAGCCAGTGTCCCGGAACAGACAGCTCAGGGATCACTCCATAGCATCCTGAATGACAGGATGGAACTACGCCAGGAGGAAAAAAAAAAGAAGGGCGAAGAAAGAAAGAAAAGAAGCAAGTGTAAAGCCGGGATGAGACGCCAGCCTCTCTCCAAAATAATCCTCCAGTCCTCCTAGGGCCTTCGGGGCCACCGCAACTCTCGTTCAAGTTATTTCCCTTCAGTTTCCATGAGGTCACCGGCCCGCCCACATCCCTCACCTGGCGCGGGGAAGCGCGCCCTCCCGCGCGGCACACCCTCTGCACCTAAACCCCGGACAGCGCCCAGGGCTCCCCTCTCAGGGAAGCGCGGCCCTTGAGCTCGACACGCCCCCCGCACCCCAAAGCGGCCGCACCCCAGGGGCGTCCGCTCTCGGGAAAGCGCAGCCGCGGAGCTTGGCAGACCCCCGGACACCGCAGCCCGGCCGCGCCTCCATCCCTGGAGCTTGGGCGCTCCCGACACCCCGGATCCGGCCGCGCCCCGAGGCGCCCCCTCTCGGGAAAGCGCAGCCTCGCGCCCCTGCGCGCGGCCGCTCCGCCCTCACCTGAGCCTGAGGTTGGCCATGAACTCGGGCATGGAGACGGTGTCCATCAGCACGAAGTCTGCCTTGCCGAATTCCAGGCTCTCCTGCTCCGCCATGGCGCCAGCGCGGGGGCTCAGGTGGGCGCGCTCGGGCCTCCGGGGCCGCTCCGTGGGCCCGCGATGAGCTCGGGAGGGGCCGGGGCGAGGCCGCGCCGCGAGGCTACGGGGAGGGGGCGCGCACGCCGCTCGGCGGGTCCGGGCCGGACAGAGGCCGCCTCGCTGCTCCTCGGCGCCTTCTCGGCCGGCGCGGCTCCGAACGGGACGCACCCGACAGTTTCCGCTCCTCCCGCCGCGGCTGCCGGGCGCTGTAGGGGCCGGGACACCGAGACGGAGACGGCAGCGGCTGGTCCCGCCTCCAGCCTGGGGCTCGTCCCGGCTCCGCCCCGCCCGGGCCTCCCGGCTCCGCCCCTCCCGGCCCACTGAGGAGCCCGCCCCAGCCGCGGCCCTGGCCGCCGCCTCTTCACCTGGGCGGCGCGCACGCGCGGGTGGGCGGCGGGGACGCGCGCTGGGCCGGGCGGCGGCAGCTGGGTGGCAGCGCCCCCTGGGGACAGGCGCTGGGATCTCAGGCGGCCAAGAGGATGGCCGCCTGCCGCCCACACTTGGTAGCTGCCAACAAAGTTAGAAAAGTAGTTCGTGGAGCTTTTCGCGAGGACAATTCATTATGATTCTGTCACCCTGCTCCAAAACCCACTCCCGCCTCTCTACTCACACCCTGCCCATTCTTGAAGTGGTGGTTCAAGCACAGACTGAGAGGTAATAATAATGGCTAACATTTTTGGGGCACCAAAAATGCCCAGAGCTGTTCTCAGCGCCTTAGAGAACTTTTAAGAAACTTGCCATACGACTAGGAAGTGGAGCAGCTGCGGTTTCACGCAGGTCATTTGACTTAGGAGCCGCAGCGTTCAACCACGTCTGACTACCTCCATTCTTCAGTGGCCCATTTTCTCTTCCACTCATCCGAGCATGTCATCAGACATTACCTTATATGATTATTAAGTTTTTAATATATCTTTGTATCATCTCTCCAGGATTATTGCGGATGTCTTGAGCATGGGACCATTCTTTTTGCATCCACCAAATAACTATTGTACTACTTTGCATATATAAATATGAAATCCATACTGGTTCAGTGGAATGAAGTGAGTTGTAAGTAGTCTCCAATTTATTGATACATTGGTTGAGCTTGGAAAATTCTTTTTGAACTCAATGTATTTTCCCAAAGAAAATATACTACAAATGACTTTCTTTCTTTTTTTTTTTTTTTTCTTTTTCTGGAGACAAATTCTCCCTCTGTCACCCAGGCTGGAGTGCAGTGGTGCAATCACAGCTCACTGCAACCTCAAACTCCTGGGCTCAAGCAATCCTCCAGCCTCAGCCTCCTGAGCAGCTGGGACTACAGGTGTATGACACCATGCCCAGCTATTTTTTTTAAATAAATGACTTTCTAAGGTATCTACATTTATTCAGTCCTGTGTTTCTGTTAGGACATCTTCTATTACAAAATCTACGAGGAAATCTAGAGGCCTCCAAGGACCTGGCTGGGCTTCAACTCTGGCTGAGTTTGAGATGAGTAAACCAGACTGAAGGACCTTGCCCAAGGCCTGCTTCAGCTGCCAGCCACCCACACTTGCTAAGAGAAAGGAAAGGAGCTTTGTCACCTCCTGAGGGACTGCCTCTGCCATCAGAAAACCACCCCAATCCCTGGCACCAGCAGAGCTGGGTTGCATCTGACTACCGTTAGCAGCTGTCCTTCAGAAGGAGGAGATCCACCTGTCTCGATATCAGTGTCCTCATTTGTGGAATAAAAGCTCTGGAATAAGGTAGGACTGTCCTATGGTTGGGTCATTTGTGGAGGTGTCGGTCAGTGGCTAAGTAGGTTATTGCATAGGGTATGGTTGTATTCCTAATGTTTGTATTGGCATGTTTTAACATAAGCAGAACTGAACTTCAAGAAGGAAAGAAAGAAATCTCAAACTGTATGCACTTTGGAGCATCCAGGGACCACACCCCAAAACCTTTTGGTAAATTATATATGTGTGTTCCCTGAGCTCTGTAGGTGTTAAAAATTAGGGCAAAATCCCAGGTACCAGGAAAAGAAACATCACGGCTTGCAGATGATGAGAGAGTTGCAGAAATTGTACAGTGGTTAGGAGCTATGGTGGGATACAATGTGGTTTCCAAATGGCCAAAGTAAGAGATCCTCATTTTAATCAACATCTTATATAGGAACCCAACATATAAAACACATATACAACATATGCAAAGGGTATTTTATTAATTTCTTGTATAAGTCCAAATTAGTATAAAATTAGGCATTGATGCTCTCATGATGAACCCAAATCTGCTCAATGGGGCTCACTATTAGCCTCAGGATTCCAGTTTACTTTTGTATGTTGTTTTCATTGTACTGTGTCAAGCAAATTCTTGTTTGTATAACTAAGCAGTAATTTGTTACCCATACAACTTTACATTCAGCATTTCTAGGCCAATGTGCAGTTACAACATTATTAATCAATGACACACTTGAGCAAAGTTCAGGTATATGCACAGCCGGCAGGAGAGACTGAATACTCTGGTCTGCATTCAGTCAAGGTAACCTAGAGCAGATTAGCTCATTATGAATGTTCTTTGTGATAAAATTTGAATAGAAACACATTTGGAGATGCATGTTTTTGTTACAGTTTAAAATATACAAAAAATAAAACAAATAAAAGTTTATATCCCCAATCATGAGACACACAGACACCATGAGCCTCCTGATATGGTCTCCTGAAAAAGACACATATCATTTACCTGCTAAAAATACGTAAATGGAATCTAATCATGAAGAAGCATCAAACAAACTCACATTAAGGGGCATCCTACAAAACAATTGACCTGTATTCTTCAAAAATATCAATGATGTGAAAGACAAAGAGGCTGAGGCACATCACTATTAAAGGCAATGGGTGATTCTGGACTGGATCTCCAACCAGAAAAATGTAAAGGACATTGTTGGGATAATTGGTGAAATTCAAATATAGACGCGATGTTAGATAGTAGGATAGTATCAATGCTAGTTTTTCTGAACTTGATCATTTTACTGGGATTCTGCAAGATAATGTCCTTGTTTCTAGCAGGTATCTGCTAAAGTATTTAGGAGTAAAATGATGTCTCGAACTGTTTGGCAAGAATAATAAAAATAATAAGATGAGGAGGTGGAAGGAGGGCGTGCATATATATTGGTAGACATATAAATGATTAAAGCAAATGATGCAAAATACTAACAAGTGGTAAAGTCATTAAAAATATATGGGACTTTTGAGGGGATTTTCTTTTGTACTATCCTCACAACTTTTCTGTAACTTTGCAATTAGTTTGAAATTTATTCATTTATTTTGAGACGGAGTCTTGCTCTGCCGCCCAGGCTGAAGTGCAGTGACACGATCTCGGCTCACTGCAACCTCCGCCTCCCGGGTTCAAGCGAGTCTCCTGCCTCAGCCTCCTGAGTAGCTGGGACTACAGGTGCATGCCACCATGCCCAGCTAATTTTTGTATTTTTAGTAGAAACGGGGTTTCACCATGTTGGTCAGGCTGGTCTCAAGCTCCTGACCTCATGATCTGCCCACCTCAGCCTCCCAAAGTGCTGGGATTAGAGGTGTGAGCCACCACACTCGGCCTGAAATTTAAACTTAAAAATTAAATAGTAATCTAAAACTGTGCTAAATAAAAATTTTTAATTTAAAAATATTAAATAACACTTAGAAATCAAAGTCACATCAGAATTTTGCAAACCTTCCAGAACTGAAGAACCAGCAGATATTTTTGAAAACCCTGGTCCAGGGTACCTCTTAGCTCTATTTGGCATAGATGTGCTAGGAGATTATAAACACTGAACAGGTAATTCTAAAAACAAAAATAATTAGATGTCAAATATACCCATATGCCCCTGAGAAGGTGCATCCTGTTCTCTGCCTGAAGTTCTCCCCGCCACCCCACCCCTCACTCCTATGACCTAGCTAACTTCCGCTCATCCCTCCGCTCTCAGTCTCAACATCACTTCCTCCAAGAAGGCTTCCATAATCTCCTGAGTCAGAATTGGCTGTTCCTCCTCTGTGCCTCCTGCAGCATCCTGGAAGTGCTGCCCCCATTACAGTACTAAATGCCCTTGAGCCTACTGTCTGTCTCTCTCACTCGTTTGTAAGGGCCATGAGGGCTGGAAGCTGTCTTTTCTGGTTTTTGATGTAAATGTAATTCTGGCACCTCCTAGCATAGTGCTAAGAGATGAAGTGCTTAATAAACTGTTGCTTGATAAATGAATATGGAATGGTCTGTGAACCTATGGGTCATAAAATGTGAGACTGTAAATCCACCCCCCTTGGTAGTTTTCTGCATTGCAAATTAGTCATTGTACAACATTAACCTCAGTCTCATCTCCTGCCCCGGAAGCAGATCTCAGGGCTGTGTTTATTTCTCCCCTGGGACCAGGCCTGCACACTGTGTGTTCACACTGAACAAAAGCTACTGTTCCAAAAACCCTTCTGTAGTTACCAGCCACTGCAGAGGGTCTACTCTTGATGATCCACGAAAATCAACCCTGAATTTTCCACCACAAATGTTTATTCCCATTCAACTTTCCCAGAATGTTTCTGGGCTGCCCTGCCCTCCCTCCCTTTACCAGAGGCTTTGCATCCAAGGAAGACAACTCTTTCAGCATGAGTCTGGCAAGACAGAAATAAGACAGCTAGGAAAAAAACAACAACAACAATAGTCACACAGCATATTCAAAGGGCATTTTATAAATTTATTTTATAATCCCAAATTATCACAGAGCAGAAGTAGAAAGGCAAACATATGTTGCAAAATAACTTCATTACGTACTTACAGCCATATAGAAATGATTTGGAACTCTGCCTTAGAAAATATCCAAAACATACCTCCTCCTCTTTACTGCATGAGCCTGGATTTGAACTAAGAATGATACATCAGAAATAGCATATGTACTTTTCATGGCTTCTGAAGCCAAAAAATTCTTTAAGTATAAAGAGACCTGACAGTTGCCTCTCTGATGTCATTAATGACTTTTACCCACCTGTAGAGTCCCCTCTCTCCCCTAACCCCCAACCTGACACTCTAGACATCTCACAGGACAAAGGAAAGGGAGTTTTCATGGCAGGGATCACTACCCTGAACCATCCTGAAAGTCCAAAAAGTGATTTTTAAAGTTCATCTTCTCACCTCTAACTCTTAAAGACAGAAGACTAGCAAGCCAATTGCTAACGACTTGGCTTTGAGTTCTAGACACTTCTTTTCTCCATTGTTCCTGTGGTCCAGCTGTGCTTACCTGTGATGGTGTTGAGTTGGGGACTGGAGTGACTGTGATACCACAGACAGAGCTCCTTTTAACTAATCAGGCTAAGCACAGAGGGTGTTGGGAGATGTCAGCTGAAGAGGGGAGGAGATAGAGGAGGAAGAGAAGGAAGGAGCCGGTACTACAAGGGTGTCGGCAGCAAGAGGAGAGTAGCAAGGCACTACTTCTCAATTTTAGGTTTCATCATCCTTTAATAAAAACGTGTGGACTTCCGGCTGGGCACAGTGGCGCATACCTGTAATCCCAGCACTTTGGGAGGCTGAGGCGGATGGATCATGAGGTCAGGAGTTCAAGAGCAGCCTGGCCAACATAGTGAAACCCCGTTTCTACTAAAAATACAAAACTTAGCTGGGCATGGTGGCACGCACCTGTAGTCCCAGTTACTCAGGAGGCTGAGGCAGGAGAATTGCTTGAACCCGGGAGGCGGAGGTTGCAGTGAGCTGAAATCGTGCCACTGCACTGCAGCCTGGGCAACAGAGCGAGACTCTGTCTCAAAACAAAACAAAAACACTTGTGGACTTTTTCTCTTGAGACAAATATATTAAGCACATACACAGAACAGTTTGCCCACGGGCCACCAATTCACCTCCACCCCTGGAAGTAACCTCTCTTCTACGGGCCCCAAGTTAAGGACTCCTGAGCTAAGGGAAAGATCACACCACAATTCCTGATTATTTTGGAATGGAGAAGAATTATAGCAAGCCATCACTGTCAGTATCCTGTGAGTCACCAGACAGGGACTGTCCCAATAACTCATCCCCCTGTGTGGGCAGACAAGCCACAGATGTAAGGCCACAGGAAAGATAGAATCAGAGGGTGGAGGCGGACAACCTGGAACTGCCTCCAGAATTATTCCTGCTTGCCATGACGTAGTTTCTGACTATAAACATTCAAAGGGAATGCATCTTCTTTAGGAATTACAGAAGTGTTTATCACTCTGGGTTGGAGTTGGCTGTTCAGGCATATCCCTAAACTCTCTAGGACAGGGGCTGTGCCCAACTCATCCTTATATCTACAACCCCTCAAACTGTGCCTGGTACCCAACAGGTATTTCTTGAGTGTAGTAGGTGAATTAATTAGCAAGTTAATTAGTAAATGGATGTGTGTAGATGTATTGTTCCATTTTAAGGGCCATATGGCCTTTCCTTAAGCCCCAAACCAAATAATCACTAAATCTCAAGCTATTCTGCCATTGAAAGCAGTCCTAGAGCTAGAAAGTTTGGGAGTGTGATAGGAACCCATGAGAGGGAAAACAAAAAGACATATCACAATCTATTCATGGATTGATGGTGTCTTAAGGCAGGATGTCTCAAGCTTTAAAGTGCAGAAGAATCACTTAGGGGGCCAGGCGCCGTGGCTCACGCCTGTAATCCCAGCACTTTGGGAGGCCGAGGCGGGCGGATCACGAGGTCAAGAGATGGAGACCATCCTAGCCAACGTGGTGAAACTCCGTCTCTACTAAAAATACAAAAATTAGCTGGGCGTGGTGGTGGGTGCCTGTAGTCCCAGCTACTCGGGAGGCTGAGGCGGGAGAATCACTTGAACCCGGGAGGCGGAAGTTGCAGTGAGCCGAGATCGTGCCATTCCATTCCAGCCTGGTGACAGAATAAGAGTCCGTCTCAAAAAAAAAAAAAAAAGAAAAAGAAAAAGAAAAATCACTTAGAGATCTTGTCAAAAATGCAGAATTTGATTTAGTAGGTCTGGGTCCTGAAATTCTGCTCTTCTAATAAGCTCCCAAGTGATGCTGATGCTGCTGGTTCTGAGACCACACTTTAGGTAGCAAGATTCTAAGGAATAGAATGTTGTTACTTGAACATCATGTTTAAGTATGATGATATCTGTAAAGGAGGATATGTTTGGTCATATCAAACATCCTCCTTTACAGACGGACAAACCGAGTCCCAGGAAGAGTGGCTGACTAACTAGATCAAAGTGAGGCAGTGGTAGAGCTGAGACCAGAACTCAAAATATGTGGTTTGGGTCATGTAATGGGTAGTTTCCACTATCCAGCATGGACATTCAATTAAGAGATTGCGCCGGGAGGCTGGGGCAGGAGAATTGCTTGAACCCAGGAGGCCGAGGTTCCCGGGTGGGCCAAGATCGGGCCACTGCACTCCACCCTGGGTGACAGAGTGAGATTCTGTCTCAACAACAACAACAAAAAATTAAACAATTTAAAAAAATTTAAAAAGAGAGAAATTGCACTTCGTGAGATGAAGTTCAGGAGGTAAGGTAAGTAGAAGTGAGGGAGAGCAACACCCTAGATCTTCTCTGGGTACCCCCAGAACTTCTGTTCCTTTCCCATTTGTAAATATTGGGATGATGTCTTCATTTTCTCTGTCCCCTTTTTCTCCTAAAAGTTTAGAGTAGAGGTTAAAGAGGAGATATTGTTGGGATTGGAAGAAAACCGTTCCAATTCCAAGTACTTTGCTACTTTGTCAGGTGGAGGGAAGAAATGAATTGGAATGGTTTTCTTTCAAACCCAACAATATCTAGTAACTAGTACAAGATACGATAATAATAACTAGTACTAGATACATCTACTACTACAATATCTAATACCTAGTACTAGTTAGTACTAGTTTCACCTAGCATTCATATTGGGTCAGTATCTGCAGAATTGACATTCCAGGAAGAGTGCAACATCATATTTAGGGTGATGGATAATCTGCTCCCCCAAACTGCTTTCCTCCTGCCTTTTACCCAGAGTTTCTCAGTTTCTCAACTGGTAAGCTGCAGCAGTATCCATCTCCTAGGGTTAAGATCCTGAAATAAAATGCATAGCATGACCCTCTGACTTTTTCCAACCAACTGGATTAATTCTTCAGAATATCTAGAGGTATAAATAATGTGAGCCATGCTTATATCCAAATCTGACAACCTGAACCCTGAAGAAATTATACAGGGGAAAAGTTTCAATCTAGGAGATCCCAGAGGTCATGTAACCCAATATCTCATCCAATGCCTGAATCCCCTCTGTAATATGCCACAATGTCTGCACCTACCTGGGACATTTGCCTCATTAGGCCTCCCTCATGCCCAGAAGGTATATCTACATAAAAACAGCTCATTCATCTGTAATCCCAGCACTTTGGGAGGCCGAGGTGGATGGATCACGAGGTCAGGGGTTTGAGACCTGCCTGACCAACATGGTGAGACCCCATCTTTGCTAAAAATACAAAAATTAGCTGGGCATGCTGGTGCATGCCTGTAATCCCAGCTACTCAGGAGGCTGAGGCAGGAGAATCACTTGAACCCAGGAGGCGGAGGTTGCAGTGAGCTGAGATTGCACCACTGCACTCCAGCCTGGGCGACAGAGCGAGACTCCATCTCAAAACAAAACAAACAAACATCTCACTCACTCTTAGTCCTGAACCACTGCCCAGACTCGCTGCATGCCCTGTATGCCAACCAGCTCCCAACTGTCCCATCTTCTTGTTCCTCATTATCCCTATTTATGAGCTTGATTTGTCCTTTGGAGCTTATATGCCACCAAGGTAGGACCAGCTTGAAGTGAATTGTAATCAAGCTGGGGGGCCAAGGTCAGGGCCAGGTAGAAAGGAGCCTCCTACTTTTCTCAAGTTGACCTGTCTTTAGAGTTTCTGTCCATAAAATTCCAACTCTTATTTCACCGATCTTTTTGAGGTCCAGCGTCTCAATGTCTCAGTGTGACTTTGCTTATCTCCTCACAGTGTCACTTTCTCTTAGTGTTCTCATCCTTTCCAAGTCTCTAATTAGCTCTCCTGAACTGAATAGGATTCTGTTCAGAGTAGCATCCTCCCCATACTCAGGAGGCAGTGGTGGCACAGTGGTACCCAAACTTTGGGTACCTGCACCAGAGGCTTAGAGATCTGAATTTTAATAAGCAGCCCAGGAGATTCTGCTGCAGGTGGACAGGGGGCCAACCAAACTTGGAGAAATATTGAGGGGAATTTTGGTGTCATACACTGGAGTTCAAGTCCTAGGTCTGTATGACCTTGAACAAATTAGCTCATCTGCGTAAGCCTCAGTTTCCTCACCTTTAATAAAGATGAGAAAAACCCACCTCGAAGTGTGAAGTGAGGTGACATCTATAAAGTGCTTCATGTAATTTAAGGCGGGCAGTAAGCACTCAGTAAATACAAGCTAGCATTGCTATTAGTGCAATTGCTTCTGTTATCTTCAGAATAGGGAATTATTAGAAGCAGATAAGTTGTAGCATGTCCTTTTTAGCAGACTGAGATTTCTAATTGATGCCTGTGAGCTTCTGGTCACGCTGTGATTTTCCTCTATGTGAGTTTTATGATTCCTGTTGATTTATTACCATTTACATGTATAGCCCTGGGCCTTGCACTTAGTAAGGGATCAAAACTTCCTCTGCGTGTGTGTGCGTGTGTTTGCGTGTGTTTAAAATAAGAGACAGAGTCTAGCTCTGTCAGACTGGAGTGCAGTGGTGCGATCACAGCTCACTGAAGCCTCAGACTCCTGGGCTCAAACAACTCTGCTACCTTAGCCTCCTGAGTAGCTAGGACTATATAGGACTACAGGCACATGCCACCATGCTTGGCTTATTTATTTATTTTTTTAAATTTTTTGTAGAGACAGGGTCTCCTATGTTGCTCAGGCTGGTCTCATAGAGACAGGGTCTCCTATGTTGCTCAGGCTGGTCTCAAACTGTTGGGCTCAACCAATCCTCCTGCCTTGGCCTCCCAAAATGCTGGGATTAGAGGCATAAGCCACTGCACCTGGCCCTTCCTGAATATATTTGAATGAGTGAATTCCCTCTGTGCTACACCCTCACTGCAGCATCACATTTCTTCTTCCCATTCCCCGAATGCTCTCCAGCCTCCTCCTGACATAAAGCCCTGGTTTACGTCCCTCCTGGCACAACTCTTCCCATTTCCCCATTCCGTGTGAAGAGTGCCATCCCATGGAGCCTTGATTGTTACCTGCCAATTTGTATATGTTATTTGCATTAAAACTTCTGATTCACGGAGGAGCCAAGATGGCCGAATAGGAACAGCTCCGGTCTACAGCTCCCAGCATGAGCAACGCAGAAGACGGGTGATTTCTGCATTTCCATCTGAGGTACCGGGTTCATCTCACTAGGGAGTGCCAGACAGTGGGCGCAGGCCAGTGGGTGCACGCACCGTGTGCGAGCCGAAGCAGGGCGAGGCATTGCCTCACCTGGGAAGCGCAAGGGGTCAGGGAGTTCCCTTTCCGAGTCAAAGAAAGGGGTGACGGACGCACCTGGAAAATCGGGTCACTCCCACCCGAATACTGCGCTTTTCTGACTGACTTAAAAAACGGCGCACCACGAGATTATATCCCACACCTGGCTCGGAGGGTCCTATGCCCACGGAATCTCGCTGATTGCTAGCACAGCAGTCTGAGATCAAACTGCAAGGCGGCAGCGAGGCTGGGGGAGGGGCGCCCACCATTGCCCAGGCTTGATCAGGTAAACAAAGCAGCCGGAAGCTCCAACTGGGTGGAGCCCACCACAGCTCAAGGAGGCCTGCCTGCCTCTGTAGGCTCCACCTCTGGGGGCAGGGCACAGACAAACAAAAAGACAGCAGTAACCTCTGCAGACTTAAATGTCCCTGTCTGACAGCTTTGAAGAGAGCAGTGGCTCTCCCAGCACGCAGCTGGAGATCTGAGAACCGGCAGACTGCCTCCTCAAGTGGGTTCCTGACCCCTGACCCCCGAGCAGCCTAACTGGGAGGCACCCCCCAGCAGGAGCACCCTGACACCTCACACGGCAGGGTATTCCAACAGACCTGCAGCTGAGGGTCCTGTCTGTTAGAAGGAAAACTAACAAACAGAAAGGACATCCACACCGAAAACCCATCTGTACATCACCATCATCAAAGACCAAAAGTAGATAAAACCACAAAGATGGGAAAAAAACAGAACAGAAAAACTGGAAACTCTAAAACGCAGAGCGTCTCTCCTCCTCCAAAGGAACGCAGTTCCTCACCAGCAACGGAACAAAGCTGGATGGAGAATGACTTTGACGAGCTGAGAGAAGAAGGCTTCAGACGATCAAATTACTCTGAGCTACGGGAGGACATTCAAACCAAAGGCAAAGAAGTTGAAAACTTTGAAAAAAATTTAGAAGAATGTATAACTAGAATAACCAATACAGAGAAGTGCTTAAAGGAGCTGATGGAGCTGAAAACCAAGGCTCGAGACTTACGTGAAGAATGCAGAAGCCTCAGGAGCCGATGCGATCAACTGGAAGAAAGGGTATCAGTGATGGAAGATGAAATGAATGAAATGAAGCGAGAAGGGAAGTTTAGAGAAAAACGAATAAAAAGAAATGAGCAAAGCCTCCAAGAAATATGGGACTATGTGAAAAGACCAAATCTACGTCTGATTGGTGTACCTGAAAGTGATGGGGAGAATGGAACCAAGTTGGAAAACACTCTGCAGGATATTATCCAGGAGAACTTCCCCAATCTAGCAAGGCAGGCCAACGTTCAGATTCAGGAAATACAGAGAACGCCACAAAGATACTCCTCGAGAAGAGCAACTCCAAGACACATAATTGTCAGATTCACCAAAGTTGAAATGAAGGAAAAAATGTTAAAGGCAGCCAGAGAGAAAGGTCGGGTTACCCTCAAAGGGAAGCCCATCAGACTAACAGCGGATCTCTCATCAGAAACCCTACAAGCCAGAAGAGAGTGGGGGCCAATATTCAACATTCTTAAAGAAAAGAATTTTCAACCCAGAATTTCATATCCAGCCAAACTAAGCTTCATAAGTGAAGGAGAAATAAAATCCTTTACAGACAAGCAAATGCTGAGAGATTTTGTCACCACCAGGCCTGCCCTAAAAGAGCTCCTGAAGGAAGCACTAAACATGGAAAGGAACAACCGGTACCAGCCGCTGCAAAATCATGCCAAAATGTAAAGACCATCGAGACTAGGAAGAAACTGCATCAACTAACGAGCAAAATCACCAGCTAACATCATAATGACAGGATCAAATGCACACATAACAATATTAACTTTAAATGTAAATGGACTAAATGCTCCAATGAAAAGACACAGACTGGCAAATTGGATAAAGAGTCAAGACCCATCAGTGTGCTGTATTCAGGAAACCCATCTCATGTGCAGAGACACACATAGGCTCAAAATAAAAGGATGGAGGAAGATCTACCAAGCAAATGGAAAACAAAAAAAGGCAGGGGTTGCAATCCTAGTCTCTGATAAAACAGACTTTAAACCAACAAAGATCAAAAGAGACAAAGAAGGCCATTACATAATGGTAAAGGGATCAATTCAACAAGAAGAGCTAACTATCCTAAATATATATGCACCCAATACAGGAGCACCCAGATTCATAAAGCAAGTCCTGAGTGACCTACAAAGAGACTTAGACTCCCACGCATTAATAATGGGAGACTTTAACACCCCACTGTCAACATTAGACAGATCAACGAGATAGAAAGTCAACAAGGATACCCAGGAATTGAACTCAGCTCTGCACCAAGCGGACCTAATAGACATCTACAGAACTCTCCAACCCAAATCAACAGAATATACATTTTTTTCAGCACCACACCACACCTATTCCAAAATTGACCACATAGTTGGAAGTAAAGCTCTCCTCAGCAAATGTAAAAGAACAGAAATTATAACAAACTATCTCTCAGACCACAGTGCAATCAAACTAGAACTCAGGATTAAGAATCTCACTCAAAGCCGCTCAACTACATGGAAACTGAACAACCTGCTCCTGAATGACTACTGAGTACATAACGAAATGAAGGCAGAAATAAAGATGTTCTTTGAAACCAACGAGAACAAAGACACAACATACCAGAATCTCTGGGACGCATTCAAAGCAGTGTGTAGAGGGAAATTTATAGCACTAAATGCCCACAAGAGAAAGCAGGAAAGATCCAAAATTGACACCCTAACATCACAATTAAAAGAACTAGAAAAGCAAGAGCAAACACATTCAAAAGCTAGCAGAAGGCAAGAAATAACTAAAATCAGAGCAGAACTGAAGGAAATAGAGACACAAAAAACCCTTCAAAAAATCAATGAATCCAGGAGCTGGTTTTTTGAAAGGATCAACAAAATTGATAGACCACTAGCAAGACTAATAAAGAAAAAAAGAGAGAAGAATCAAATAGACACAATAAAAAATGATAAAGGGGATATCACCACCGATCCCACAGAAATACAAACTACCATCAGAGAATACTACAAACACCTCTACGCAAATAAACTAGAAAATCTAGAAGAAATGGATAAATTCCTCAACACATACACTCTCCCAAGACTAAACCAGGAAGAAGTTGAATCTCTGAATAGACCAGTAACAGGAGCTGAAATTGTGGCAATAATCGATAGTTTACCAACCAAAAAGAGTCCAGGACCAGATGGATTCACAGCTGAATTCTACCAGAGGTACAAGGAGGAACTGGTACCATTCCTTCTGAAACTATTCCAATCAATAGAAAAAGAGGGAATCCTCCCTAACTCATTTTATGAGGCCAGCATCATTCTGATACCAAAGCTGGGCAGAGACACAACCAAAAAAGAGAATTTTAGACCAATATCCTTGATGAACATTGATGCAAAAATCCTCAATAAAATACTGGCAAACCGAATCCAGCAGCACATCAAAAAGCTTATCCACCATGATCAAGTGGGCTTCATCCCTGTGATGCAAGGCTGGTTCAATATACGCAAATCAATAAATGTAATCCAGCATATAAACAGAGCCAAAGACAAAAACCACATGATTATCTCAATAGATGCAGAAAAAGCCTTTGACAAAATTCAACAACCCTTCATGCTAAAAACTCTCAAGAAATTAGGTATTGATGGGACGTATTTCAAAATAATAAGAGCTATCTATGACAAACCCACAGCCAATATCATACTGAATGGGCAAAAACTGGAAGCATTCCCTTTGAAAACTGGCACAAGACAGGGATGCCCTCTCTCACCACTCCTATTCAACATAGTGCTGGAAGTTCTGGCCAGGGCAATTAGGCAAGAGAAGGAAATAAAGGGTATCCAATTAGGAAAAGAGGAAGTCAAATTGTCCCTGTTTGCAGATGACATGATTCTATATCTAGAAAACCCCATTGTCTCAGCCCAAAATCTCCTTAAGCTGATAAGCAACTTCAGCAAAGTCTCAGGATACAAAATCAATGTACAAAAATCACAAGCATTCTTATACACCAACAACAGACAAACAGAGAGCCAAATCATGAGTGAACTCCCATTCACAATTGCTTCAAAGAGAATAAAATACCTAGGAATCCAACTTACAAGGGATGTGAAGGACCTCTTCAAGGAGAACTACAAACCACTGCTCAAGGAAATAAAAGAGGATACAAACAAATGGAAGAACATTCCATGCTCATGGGTAGGAAGAATCAATATCATGAAAATGGCCATACTGCCCAAGGTAATTTACAGATTCAATGCCATCCCCATCAAGCTACCAATGACTTTCTTCACAGAATTGGAAAAAACTACTTTCAAGTTCATATGGAACCAAAAAAGAGCCCGCATCACCAAGTCAATCCTAAGCCAAAAGAACAAAGCTGGAGGCATCACACTACCTGACTTCAAACTATACTACAAGGCTACAGTAACCAAAACAGCATGGTACTGGTACCAAAACAGAGATATAGATCAATGGAACAGAACAGAGCCCTCAGAAATAATGCCGCATACCTACAACTATCTGATCTTTGACAAACCTGAGAAAAACAAGCAATGGGGAAAGGATTCCCTATTTAATAAATGGTGCTGGGAAAACTGGCTAGCCATATGTAGGAAGCTGAAACTGGATCCCTTCCTTACACCTTATACAAAAATCAATTCAAGATGGATTAAAGATTTAAACGTTAGACCTAAAACCATAAAAACCCTAGAAGAAAACCTAGGCATGACCATTCAGGACATAGGCATGGGCAAGGACTTCATGTCCAAAACACCAAAAGCAATGGCAACAAAAGCCAAAATTGACAAATGGGATCTAATTAAACTAAAGAGCTTCTGCACAGCAAAAGAAACTACCATCAGAGTGAACAGGCAACCTACAAAATGGGAGAAAATTTTCGCAACCTACTCATCTGACAAAGGGCTAATATCCAGAATCTACAATGAACTCAAACAAATTTACAAGAAAAAAACAAACAACCCCATCAAAAAGTGGGCGAAGGACATGAACAGACACTTCTCAAAAGAAGACATTTATGCAGCCAAAAAACACATGAAAAAATGCTCATCATCACTGGCCATCAGAGAAATGCAAATCAAAACCACAATGAGATACCATCTCACACCAGTTAGAATGGCAATCATTAAAAAGTCAGGAAACAACACGTGCTGGAGAGGATGTGGAGAAATAGGAACACTTTTACACTGTTGGTGGGACTGTAAACTAGTTCATCCATTGTGGAAGTCAGTGTGGCGATTCCTCAGGGATCTAGAACTAGAAATACCATTTGACCCAGCCATCCCATTACTGGGTATATACCCAAATGACTATAAATCATGCTGCTATAAAGACACATGCACACGTATGTTTATTGCGGCATTATTCACAATAGCAAAGACTTGGAACCAACCCAAATGTCCAACAATGATAGACTGGATTAAGAAAATGTGGCACATATACACCATGGAATACTATGCAGCCATAAAAAATGATGAGTTCATGTCCTTTGTAGGGACATGGATGAAATTGGAAATCATCATTCTCAGTAAACTATCGCAAGAACAAAAAACCAAACACCGCATATTCTCACTCATAGGTGGGAACTGAACAATGAGATCACATGGACATAGGAAGGGGAATATCACACTCTGGGGACTATTGTGGGGTGGGGGGAGGGGGGAGGGATAGCATTGGGAGATATACCTAATGCTAGATGACAAGTTAGTGGGTGCAGCGCACCAGCATGGCACATGTATACATATGTAACTAACCTGCACAATGTGCACATGTACCCTAAAACTTAAAGTATAAAAAAAGAAAAAAACAAAAAAACAAAAAAAAAAACTTCTGATTCACTCTGTGTTAAAGTGTGACTTGAATTTGTTTAAAATAATGAGAAAAAACAAAAACAAACAAAAAACAACAAAAACAAAACAAAACAAAAAACCTTCTGATTCACTCTATCATACATGCTCTGTGTATAAATGGCATTTTATTTTATTTTATTTTATTTTATTTTATTTTATTTTATTTATTTTGTTTTGAGACAGAGTCTTACTCTGTTGCCCAGGCTGGAGTGCAGTGGTGTAATCCCGGCTCACTGCAACCTCCACCTCCCAGGTTCAAGCGATTCTCCTGCCTCAGCCTCCCGAGTAGCTGGGATTACAGGTGCCCACCACCACACCCGACTAATTTTTGTATTTTTAGTAGAGACGGGGTTTCACCATGTTGGCCAGGCTGATATTGAACTCCTGACCTCAAGTGATCCGCCCGCCTTGGCCTCCCAAAGTGTTGGGATTACAGGCGTGAGCCACCACACCCAGCCATATATGGCATTTTAAAATAGAGAGTTTAAAGATGAGACTGGTGACTTGAGAGTAAGAGTTGGGGGTGGGGTGGGGGCATGGTTTTGACAACCAGGCAACAAGCAACTACCTTTTCCTTTCATACTTGTTCCTTTCCAGTACACAGAGGTATTCTGTTTAGTTTTTGTTGTCGTTGTTGTTAACTCAGGCACTATTCAGATTTTTTTTTCAGGGTTTTAAATTCAGGACTTTGCAGAGTATCAAAGAAATAATTCAGAAGAATTCAACCTACACTATAAATAAGTTACATTTGAAATTCTCCAGCAATGAATTGATACATGTAGCAATTATGTAGAGCACATGTGTAACTACAAACATTGTGGGGCTCTGGTGTTCAGTTTTGGAAGGAGAGAGAATGCGAGTTAGAAAGCAAAGGCTCCAAGGCTGGCTTTGCCACTCAGACACTGTATATGACCCTGTGCAAGTCACTTAAGCCCTCTGAACCTCAGTGTCCTTCTCTGTTAAGTGGAGTAATGCTAATATCTTACCTCATAGCGTTGCTCTGATAATTAAATGGGATAAAGAATGTTAGTGTGGCATCTGGGACATAGTTAGGGCTCCTAAGTTGACGGCACTGTTATTATCTGCCAGTCCCTTGCACCAAGGCTTTGAAGCAACTTATAACCAGTAGTAGGGGAAAGAGTGTCTGTTCTGATCTGGTTCTTCTCTCCTTTGACACCCTGGTTCTCTGGTGTCCTCTTATCTGTTCGTTCGTGTCAGGCTGGTCAATTCCTTGTAGCTGAACTGATACACTAATTGCAGGAAGTTCATGGGCTATCTACAATTTCTCAAAGTTGAGTCTTGTAGATACAGTCACTTCCTGGCATTTTTGTTCATGCTGTCACCCAAGTTCCTAATTGCTGTTGCATAACCAGGTATGTGCTTGCCTTTCAGAGGATGCGTTTTTCTCCTGATGCAAATACAAATACAAGGCATAAGTGCAATGTCTGTGAATAGATGCCTCCTCCACTCCAACCCAAATCTTGTGTAGTTGTTTCAGGAAGCTTTCATAGATCAATAAATTCCATATCTGGTTGGTCATTAGATTTACCTGGCCTGCTTTAGAAACATCTATCTTCCAGGTTTCACTCCCAGTCTTTTGAATATAAATCTTAGTGGCTAAGAATCATGTAATAAAAACACCTTGAGTTAGGTACAATAAAAGAATAACTTCTGAAATGACTGTTGCCTGGTAAATTAATGGCCATTGCATCAAAGTAGCCTCTCTCGTTTAGAGTCTACACCTAATCTTTTTTTTTTTTTTTTTTTTGAAACAGAGTCTTACTCTGTCACCCAGAATGGAGTGCAGGAGTGCAGTGGCATGATCACGGCTCACTGCAGCCTCCATCTCCTGGGCTCAGGTGATCCTCCCACCTCAGCCTCCCAAGTAGCTGGGACCACAGGCATGTACCACCATGCCCGACAATTTTTTTTTTTTTTTGGTAGAGACAGGGTTTCACCATGTTGCCCAGGCTGGTCTCAAACTCCTGGGGTGAAGTGATCCTCCCACCTCGGCCTCCCAAAGTGCTGGGATTACAAGTGTGAGCCACTGTGCCGGCCTACACCTAATATCTATTAAGGATTCTGAGCACCTTCATCTTCTGCAGGTGTGATCACTAATTTAATTAGGAAAGCATACTTCAGCGCTCCCTATAAAACCTTTTTGGAGCACACACTGACCTACAGCCAGTGCTCTGAGCTAGGGGCCTAAAGATTGAGCTTTCAACATGTATTTCATTTGCTTAAATGACCTAAGATTCCCTAAGAACAAGACTGAGCTTTATTTCCCAGTCAAAAAGAAGCATGAGTGGGCCAACTCAGCCACTGGGAAGAAGAGGAGGTGGAGAAAGAAGAGGAGGAAGGAAGCCTATTTTAGTTACATGGGGAAAATCCTAAAGCAAGTGAGTTGGTGCACTCTTTGTAGAAGCTTAGAATGGCCAAGAGAGGTATCATGTTAGCGGCCCTGGGTATCATCTTGACTTCAACTTACTGTGATACAGGAGTCCTTCACACATAGTGTTCCTGAAAAGTTATGTGCCAACAGCTTTTCTAAATTGGATCTGCTAATGGCTGCTGTCTTCTCTCGCTTCGTTTTCTTTCTGTTGGCAGCAGCTCTGAACACCTGAGCTCTTAATGAATGTCTCTCTCGCTCTCGTATCTGTTGACAGGCAATCTGTAAATCTGTAAACTGATTCTTTTTCCTTTTTTTTGAGATGGGGTCTTGCTCTGTCACCCAGACTATAGTGCATTGTTGCAATCATAGCTCACTGCAGCCTCCATCTCCTGGGCTCAAATGATTCTTCCACCTCAACCTCCCAAGTAGATGAGACTATAAGCCCACGCCACCATGCCTAGCTAATTTGCTTGTCTGTTTTAGTGGGTTTTTATTTTTTTTAGATAGGGTCTCACTACGTTTCCCAGGCTGGTCTTGAACTCCTGGGCTCAAGCAATCCTCCTATGTTGGCCTCCCAAAGTGTTGGAATTATAGACATGAGCCACTGCGCCTGGCCTAAACTGATTCTTAAACGCCCTCTCCTTTTCTTGTAAAGCGGATATTTGCCACCTAGTCTGTTTTGTAACTTTGAAGAGTGGCATAGATCAGTTTTCGTCAAATGATGCTCTGTATTTCTAATATTACTTAGGAGGGGTAGGCACCCTGGTTCCTTCCTCCTGCCCACCCAACTTCACCCCGTGGCATAAGAAATTGGTAGAAAACAATCAGGAAAATCTTCCCCCTCAAAAGCTGGGAAGATTCAAAAGATGTAAGGAGATTTTCTGAAATCTTGACTGAATTTTACGCCTTCATGACAAGGAAGTAAGTTTGAGTGTTCACGTGTGTCATACCACAGCTCCCATATTCCGGTAATATCATCTAGAATCTGTTGCTTATCTTGGGAAACAAAGGGGAAAATGAGATTAAGGAAAGATGGGAGAGGAGAGAAGGTGCATGATGTGTAGTGAGGATATATAGAACAGAGCTTCTCAACCATAGCCCTGTTGACATGTTGGGGCTGGTTAACTCTTTGTTGTGGGGTTCTGTGCATTGTAGGATGTTAAGCAGCCTCTACGGCCTCTATCTGCTACATGCCAGTTGCTCCCTCCCTCCCAGTTGTGACAACCAAAAATGTTCAGGCATTGCTGAATGTCCTCTGGAGGGCAAGATTACCCCCAGTGGAGAACCCCTGCTCTAGAGCCTGTAGGGCTGGTAGGACCCTCTATGGGAGTACTTGCATTAAGTAGTCCTTTGTGCATTCCCTGGACATTCTCCTCTAATTAGTCTTTCTTTGGCTTGTTCTTAACTGTGTGGGCCTGGCAGGCCACCTTGTACCTCCCAAGGCTTGGGTCTGTGGCTGGAGTCACTGTCTCAGGGCACTGTAAGGATAAAACAAGATATTGGTTGGATAAATGTATTGAGTGTCTAAGTGGTCTAAGTGCAAGCCTTGTTTGCTGTGGGAACTCAGATGAAAATGATGCAGACTTTATTGTAAAGGGACTCACAATCCTGCGGTGGGAGAGTGTTGAGGAGGAAGTATTTCTCAATTATTAGAACCAGGAAAACTTTTTGAATCTCACCTCAAGCCTCCCTCTCTCCTCCCTCTCCCTCTCATCCCCCATCTCCCCCTTCTTCCCTCCCTCCCCTCTCTCTCTGTCTTACACACACACACACACACACACACACACACACACACAGCAACAAGAAGCTGAGAGCAGTGTGAAAATATGACTTGCTCCATATGTCTCATGTCCAAGTGGAGCTAGGATTAGAGCGTTGGGTAAATGATTCTCAGAACAGCTTATTTTTACTACTCTGGTTGTCTCTCTAACATTAAACAAGGACACTAATGACATGTAGCAACATGTGATACAGGGCCTGACGGCAGAGAGTGCCAATGTTCTCAGTGGGAGGAGGAACTTAGTAAGTGTGTGTGGAACACAGATAAGGGAGCTGGCACTTGGGGAGGAGCCTTACAGGATGGATAGGATCTGAAGAGTGCTGTTGAGTGTCAGCATGGTAGGTAGAAGTGACAGATGAACAGTGGGGTGGAGGCTGGAAAACACAGGGACACATCCGAGGAAGACCAAGTTTTCCAGCCTGGCTGAAGACCACAAAGAAGTAACAGGAAGAAAGAGAGGCTGAAGATTGAGAAATGTCAAAGTAAAATGCTTACTTAATGTGAAATATAAAGTGGGAAAGCACATTCTAAACTAAGTGTTTTCCATCTTCAGATGGTGTTGGACGTTAACTCCACTTCTGTTAGGAAAAACCAAGTCACAAAGGTTGAAGTGACTGGAATTAGTCTGTGTTATCCAAACAACGGTTATCTTTCTCACCAGCTCCAAATTCCCGTCCCTCTCTTCTTTCTCATCCCAAGAAACTGCTGATAGGTACTGTGGACCCCAAAAATCTGAGATAGGTCTCAGTTAGCTTAGAAAGTTTATTTTGTCAAGGTTGAGGATGTGTGTCCGTGACACAGTCTCAGGAGGTTCTGATGACATGGGTCCAAGGTGTTAGGGGCACAGTGTGGTTTTATATATTTTAGGGAGACATGAGACATCAATCAATATGTTTAAGATATATACTGGTTCAGTCTGGAAAGGTGAGACAACTTGAGTCGAAGGCAGGACAACTCAAAGTGGGGAGGGGCTTCCAGGTCATAGGTAGATAGGAGACAAATGGTTGTATTCTATTGAGTTTCTGATTAGCCTCTCCAAATGAGGCAATCAGATATGTATATATCTCAGTGAGTAGAGCAGTGACTTTGAATAGAATCAGGTTTGTCCTAAGCAGTTCTCAGTTTGGCTTTTCCCTTTAGTGATTTTGGGGGTCCCAAGGTTTATTTTCATTTCACATCCCCCCTTTTCTTTTTTAAAATCTTTTGGAGAAAACATTTTAGGAGAAAATTAATCTGCTCTCAGGTTTTGTCTGATGTTTCATGGCTAGGATGGTTTATTTTTAGATGGGTAGGTCTTGAGTTACTAGGAAAGTTCATTTTTAGTAAGTTGTGAAGTCTCATGTCCTATGAAGATAAAGTAGGGGGAGGAAGGGAGAAAAACAAAAACAAAAGAACAATATTGGAAAATTGGTATAGGCCATATTACTCTGAAGTCCATACTTTAGTAGGCAGGTATGAAAGTGGCTTATGTATGTAAATAGGTTGCTATTATTTTCTTCTGAAGTTTAAGTTGTCTAGTTTCAGTTCGTAGGGTTTTATGAAAGCACAGCTTAGTTTTCAGTGACTCTAAACTGGGAAAGATGTGGGGGAAGAAAAAATTGAAAACATTATTTTGAAGACTTGTAGCCAAGAAAAATTAGAATTTGGTCTGAACTGTAGAAAATAATAAAAATCGAACAACATTAGGCAAGACTAGAATCTAATAACAGGTGTACCATAGTTTTTGAAATATAATTTTTCTCTGTCTAGTTTACCATTTTTATTAAAGACAAATCATGGTAGGACTGATTTGTTTTATTATACTTGGCCTGATTATTTGCATATAGTATAGCAAGAAAAATTTTTTAACATAGGCTTTTAAATTGGCTTTGATGGAACTTTGTTCCATAGAAAGAAACTTAGATAAGAGTTTTTAAAAGCCAAGCCCAGTCATGGATTTGTACCATCAAATACCTATGAGTTGAGTGAATTCTTCTCCTCTTGAGGTTCCAAGATAAACTTGGGGCTCCTGGGCCTGTCAGAAAGTGACATTCTTTACTTATCATAAGTCAGCCTGGCTGAAGACCTGTACAGGGACTGTGTCAACAAGGTATGAGGCCAGTTTTCCTAAGGGGCTTTTATTGGCTCCATAAGTCAAGTGTGATTCTTTAAAGGAAAGCACACCATTCCAGTCAAAAGTCTTGGTAAAATAACCAGTTTCTCTAGTCGTGTCCTGTTATAAATGAAAATAGATTCTTACTGTACTTTTGTAAATAACTGTATTTTCAAAAGTTAAGAATACTCATAAATAGTTTGTAAATTCTGGAGAAGTCAGATAGAGAGAAACAAATATGTTTTAAAGTTTGTTCATAGGCATATACTAAATTGTTAAAAGTTGTCAATAGCTCAAAGGAAAAGTTTCCTTGACTATGAAAAAAACAAAACAAAGGATCAGCAATAAAGTTTTAAGTCAGAAGTCAAAAAGATTATTTCAGTCTTCTATTAGGTCACTATTTATAAACATTTCCGTTTTCCATGAATCTTAAACATTTTTCTTCTATTCTGATGTCACAGTCTCCAAAGTTATCAGAAATTTGTATTCAAGAGGATCTGTTAGAGCTTTATGGTTGTTTATAAAGCCACCTTCTAAAGAGGACCAAAGCAAACAACAATTGTCTGTGGATGACAAAGTTTTAGGTCAGTCATAGCTGACATACAATTGACAAGGAAATTTGTTACTTCTGTGGCACACAATAATTTAACATAACAATTATAATTACTGATAATGTATACTAAGTCATATCAGAATTATAGGAATTTCCCATAATTTTGGAACACATACCAATAACATATTTATATAAATACAGCCCAGATAAAGTCAAATATCATTTTAGATTTGACTTGTTTCCTGTATAATTTGTATATAAAATAATTCAAACTAGGACTTTTGGGAAACCCAATATCTTAAAGGATTAAATTTTGACTTTAGGGAACCTAATATCTTAAAGGATTAATTAGGTCAGAAAAAGACAAAATTTATAATTTGATTTTGGAAATTTTGTAAAATATCAAAGGTTAAAAACACAGGTCATTGTAAAACAAGTCATTCATTTGACCAAAGTGATAACTCAAGGATTTCAAAAAAAGGCAAAAACTTTCATTCTTTGAGAGAGGACACTTAATTTTCCAAACAATAAGTCCTAATAAACAGTATGAAGGCAACTACAATTTTTTTTTTTTTGAAACGGAGTCTTGCTCTGTCGCCCAGGATGGAGTGCAGTGGTGTGATCTTGGCTCACTGCAAGCTGCGTCTCTGGGGTTCACGCCATTCTCCTGCCTCAGCCTCCTAAGTAGCTGGGACTACAGGCGCCTGCCACCACACCTGGCTAATTTTTTGTATTTTTAGTAGAGACAGAGTTTTACCACGTTAGCCAGGATGGTCTCGATCTCCTGACATCATGATCCACCCACTTTGGCCTCCCAAAGTGCTGGGATTACAGGTGTGAGCCACTGCACCCAGCCCTTGTTTTTAAAAATTTTATAAGCAATCTATAAAATTTTAATCTCGGCCAGGTGTGGTGACTCAAGCCTGTAATCCCAGCACTTTGGGAGACTGAGGCGGGTGGATCACCTGAGGTCAGGAGTTTGAGACCAGCCTGGCCAACATGGTGAAACCCTGTCTCTACTAAAAATACAAAAATTAGCTGGGCATGGTGGCATGTGCCTATAATCTCAGTTACTTGGGAGGCTGAGGCAGGAGAATTGCTTGAACCAGGAGGCAGAGGTTGCACTGAGCCATTATCACGCCACTGCACTCCAGCCTGGGTGATAGAGTGAGACTCTGTGTCAAAAAAAATTTTTTTTTTTAAATCTTGACCATAAGATATAATTTCCATAAACCTTTTATAACTTTTATTAAGGAGTCAGTTAATGTTTCAAAAAAACCTTGTTAATCTGACATAGGGGCTTATGCATTGGTCTTGTATCAGTGTGTCTTTGATATTAATTATTAATTTATAGGGAAACTGAACTTATTTTATCTCTCAAAATCAGCCCTTAAAAATCTCACATATTCACCTCTTCTGTGATAGTCCCTGGGCCTTGAGGAGTTGAATAATTTTAATTTCTGGCCCTGTGACTTCAGGAATGTAGTTTATTTTAATTGACATCTTCTATTGGGCCTGAAGATGAGGCTTTAATTGTTGTCAGTGTTTAAGATTTAGCAGGACTTGGTGTCCTTTTTAGTCCCAGGAGTCAAAGTCCTATAACTCAATGTCACAAGTACTTTAAAAGTACTTGTATTTAAAAGTATGAGCTGAAAATGAGTTGAAGGAGAGCATTACTATTTTGTGCCCTTTAAAAGGAGAAAGAAAACTGAAAATGGCGAGATGCAATGAAAGTTGAACTTTGGGCTAAAAAAAGTTAAAATCTCTTGTAATTTATTAAGAGTAAGTCAATCCCTTAAGAAAATTTCATTGTTCTAACCAATTATTTAGTGTAGAAGTGTTTTTTTTAACATCAAGCCCAATTTCTAGAAAGATCATTATACTTTCTCTTTAATTGACAACTTGATCATATAAAACTTTTTTAAAAAATGAATTTTCTTATTGTGACTTACACAGACTGTTCATAACATGTTTGGACTTTCTGGCTTGTCCTGAACATCCCTCTTTCTTAAACCATCAGTTATTTTACTTTAGGACTAAATCTACCGTACAAGACTCTTTCTCATTTCTCTTTACGCTTTCTTACCGAAAAAAAAAAAAACCTCTTTACTTTTATAACTTTCTTCACATCTTTCTTACTTCTGGGTTCCTTTTATCTTGTTTTATACATAACCTTTAAATACATTTTAAATTAGACAGAAGTCATTTACCTAGATTATTTCTGAAAACTGTGATAATCATCATTTAAAGTTATGGAACCATCATTGTAAAATTATAACTGAGACAGTGATCTCAGTTTTAACCTCCAAGTTGTCCTTGTTTATTTTGGGGTGTGGGCTGAACTAACTTTGGGAGGAATTTATAGTTTAGCTTTGAAACAAAGATGATAACAAACCCTTCCCCAAACAAACCTTACTGCCTGTAGACTAGACCGTCTAAAGTCACAAAATTAGGAGTTATGGTAATCTTACTAAATTCAAGATATAGTTTTTTATTAAATGAATATCAATATCTTATTAAAGATTACACAAGTTGGCTGGGTGCAGTGGCTCACGCCTGTAATCCTAGCACTTTGGGAAGCCGAGGCAGGCGGATCACAAGGTCAGGAGATCGAGACCATCCTTCATAACATGGTGAAACCCCATCTTTACTAAAAATTCAAAAAATTAGCCAGGCGTGGTGGTGGGCACCTGTAGTCCCAGCTACTCAGGAGGCTGAGGCAGGAGAATGGTGTGAACCTGGGAGGCGGAGCTTGCAGTGAGCCGGGATTGCGCCACTGCACTCCAGCCTGGGCGACAGAGCGAGACTCCATCTCAAAAAAAAAAAAAGAAATTACACAAGCAAAGATCATTCTGTTTTTGGGCTGTGTTTATAGTTTTGTAACCCCTATACCAAATTTTGACACCTTTATAGTATTTGGCAGGGATAGAATGAAATTGTTTAATTAATAAATGCAAACAACAATGTATGTTGGCAATTATTAAGACATTTCTAATATTACTTTACCAATAATGTTAAGGTTAATTTATTAAAGATTTTACTTGTTACATAAACTTGAAAGAGCATTTGACTAGTCTTTTCTTTTTTCCTGATAAAGTATTTGATTCAAGTGTTTTATTTTCTTAAGCCAATTAGAGTTCTTTTATATATTTTCAGTAGTGAAATATTATATATATATTATATATACAACACATAAATACATAGATGTATTAGGCATGCCAGTGGAAGTACTTCCTATCAGTTCATAAAAAACTTTTTTTTTCCTATCTTAGACTTTCAAATTCTTAACAACCTGTTTTATTATCTTAGGCACTTGTCAGTTAAATAGTCTTAAACTTGTATATTAAAGGAAACAACTCGGGTAAAAATCTAATGGCAAAATTTACATCGTAAGTTATGGAGAGAAAAAGTCTGTGTTAGAGGGAAATTAATATGAATTTAATTGTCATTTGAACATAAAATTATAGAAATTATAAAGTCCTTTTAAATACACACACACCTTATAGTTTTTACTTCAGAACTTTAGCCATGAGATAAATACAAATTCACCAGCTTGCAAAATGAATATGTTGGATCTAAACAGTGGTTTTTATCTGAAGAGAAAAATAACAGCAGATTTAAAGCAGGCAGAAGAGAAAAATAGCGAAAAAGAATTTAGGAACAACGTAGTTTGCAGGTCAAACTTAGGGCTCTTTTTCTCTAATGTAAGTGTGTACAAGGACCATATTCCATTTTACATAAACTCTGGCAAGTAGAGGTGTCATAAAACCTACAGAGTGTTCAAAAGGAGGTCATTCTCCTTGTTTTCTCCTCATTAGATTATGTCTCACTTTTTTTCTGAAGAGGGGGAACTGAGCTGTGGCCTCAGGTTTTTTGTGTGGTGGTTTGATGTGTGCTGCTTGTGGCCAGACTCCACAATGTGTCACCACTAAGTTGTTTCACCCTCTTACGTGTCTCAGTTTCTCTCTCCAGAGGTCTAAGACTTCTGAGAGGGTTCAAAATGCCAGGTGATCAGTTTTTATACGTGTTTCCTGGATGAGTCTTTTTTTTAAATTAATTTTTGTTGGAGATTTCCCTGTGGGGTTGTTGTATGTCATGGGGGTCAACCCCCCAGACACTCCCACAAGGCCCCCGGTCACCCAGGGGCACCTTTCAGCTGGGAGGAGCAAATGCCCTTTCTCTTCAGAGCTGAGAAAACTCAGTCTCTCATTTATCTATGAAAACAACAGTTCAGTTCCTCATGTAAATGTACACAGACAAGCCGAATTGAGATTACTTTTGGGAGACAAAGTAGTAGACAAGACCTCTTAGAATGCATCTCCGAACTAGAATTAGGCTCCTTAAACAACAACTTCCTAGGAGAGAAAAAATAAACAACAGCCAAGGGCATTTCCTGTAGACTGTGTTCAGCCACCCCTACTTTGTAGCTCTCATCCACCATTACACACATCAAGGTCAAATCCTCTCACAGTACAAGATAACCTCTGGTACCCCCAAAGCCAAAGAGGTCAGGTCATGTAATACAGAAAAACAGACCTTTAGACCTAAGAAAAATCTGCCTATGACTCTTGAAACTCAACAAAGAAAACAGAACACCCCAAAAGGGGTGACTAGAACCTTTGTTCTGAATTCTTTTAAAGGGTTCAAGTCATTAGAAGCCTCCTCTAGATTTTTTGGTACTGTAGATGGCAAAGGGGCAAGGAGGTATGGGGTGGAAGAAAAGTAAATGAAAGAACTTTTTTTTTTTTTTAAGACAGGAAGTAAACACAGAAACCAAATGCATTTTTTAACTCTTTTATAGTTGTGAGGAATTTTAGTCAAATTAGAGAGGTTTTGTTACCCATAATTTGGAATTTTCACTTGGATTTGATCAAGTCATGTAAAGCTGGTCAAATCTGATGGAAGAAAGACCGGAACAAACAACAACAACAAAAACCCAACAATATGATCACTGAGTGTTCTAATGGAGAAAAAATTAAGACCAGCTGGTTGTTGAACTTTAGCCAAGACAAAACTCCAATTCAGTTATTTACCTAGGGATGGGTCTGAGGCTGAAGACTGCTTTCTACCATCCTAGAAGCAGGAAAAAAGCCTCAAACTCCTCTTCCCTGCCGAGAGTGAGCTCAAACTCCATAAAGGAGTTACCTGCCTTCCATCGTCCTGTAAACAGGAAATCTTGCCTTCCTTGTTGGGAGCAAGTAAACTCCAAAACAAACAAACAAAACAAAAGAGGGAGGAGTTGTACAGCAAAATAAACTTTAGTTCTTGACTAAATTTGGGGAGATCAGGGATTCTCTGGAGGGGGTGCTTGCAGACTTCAATAAATTGTCCTATTGGTTTGAGCCATAAAGTTAGCTCATGCTGGTACCAAGCACCGACAAGAGATTTGTCAAAGGTCAGGGGCATCTCTACTCAGAATCCCTTTATGGTTACCAAAATGTGAACCCCAAAAATCTGAGACAGGTCTCAGTTAATTTTTGTGTGTGTGGTTGTGTGTGTGTGTGTGTGTGTTTTGTCAGTTAATTTAGAAAGTTTATTTTGTCAAGGTTGAGGATATGTGTCCATGACACAGTCTCAGGAGGCTCTGATGACATATGCCCAAGGTAGTAGGGGCACAGTGTGTTTTTGCATATTTTAGGGAGACATGAGACAGCAATCAGTATGTATAAGATGTACATTGGTTCCATCTGGAAAGGGGACAACTCGAGGTGAAGGCGGGACAACTCAAAGCGCGGAGGGGGCTTCCAGATCATAGGTAGGTAAGAGACGAGTGGTTGTATTCTACTGAGTTTCTGATTAGCTTCTCCAAGTGAGGCAATCAAATATGTATTTATCTCAGTAGAGGGGTGACTTTGAATAGAATGGGAGGCAGGTTTGTCCTAAGCAGTTCTCAGTTTGGCTTTTTCCTTTAGTTTAGTATTTTGGGGTCCCAAGGTTTATTTTCCTTTTACAGTATAACAGCCTGTTTCATCAAATGCCTGTCGTTGCCCCTTTAGGTGGTTTATTATTATTTTTTAATTCATCATTCAACTTGAAGGTCACTTATGTTGTTCCACTTGTACATGAATTCATAGAAACCATGAGTACTGGGTGTTGGGTCAGACCACAACTGTTCACTGTGGGAAGCCTTTACTTCTGTCTCACCTCTGTGCCATTTCTCCCCTAGATCCACCCTGATTTCAGCGGGCGTTCCTGGGTCTTGTATGCACTAGGTGCCCTCAATGCTTGGCAACTGGAATGGGTTAGCCTGGAGGCATTTAGGCTGTCCTTCTACAACCACAGAAGAGCCATCACTGGCAGAGAGATCCTTGGCGCAGTTAAGCAGAGATCTTCTCAGAAGAGCTTTTGAATAAATGAAGTTGTTCAGAATGGCCTTGTTAAAATGACTCACTTGTCAAAAAACTAGATGTGTTGGAAGGCTGGGTTGGAAGACAAGATGTCTGAGAAGCTGTCCTGCTGCATGAGGAGTTTCATTGCTACACACCTAGTCTCTGGGTCCTGTGTTTTTGGCCTCCAGCTTACTTCGTGAACATAATAAAGGAAAGGCATTTTCTCTTGTGCATGCTATGTGTGCATGTGTGTATGTACTTGTTGTCTATGGCTATTAATTTCTTATGTATACTACTCCCGTTTTGCGCTTACCCATTGTATTCTTTGAAGGACACAACTAGATCGATGACACTGTATACCCATCATCTCTCCCCACTCCAGACTGAGGGTGGAGACTGCTACACTAGAATGAACTGAGATCACAAAGGATTGGGGGCAAGTTGGGGGGCACGTATGTGGGGGTATTAATCCAGGGAGAGGGGAGCTTGAAAGTAGACAGTATTGCCCAAACTTGCAGTGTAATGAGGACTGCTGCCAGCTTCTGGCTTTCTCCCTATCCACCTGTGCCTGCCTCTCCAACCTTAGCCCCCAACCTTTGCTTTGGCCGTAATTTTCCCTTTTACCTGGCTTGTGTAGATTGCTATGGCTCTTGACAGTGTTGAGACATTGTTTAGACTCCTATGAGGAAAGACAATTTTTAAAATTTAAGCACCTCTGCCATGATTTACAGGAACTAAAGCAAAAGGTATCTGCTTGCTCTTTGAGTATAAGAATTGTGGCATTGGGGCTGGGCGCGGTGGCTCACGCCTGTAATCCCAGCACTTTGGGAGGCCAAGGCGGGCAGATCATGAGGTCACGAGATCGAGATCAGCCTGCCAACATGGTGAAACCCTGTCTCTACTAAAAATACAAAAATTAGCTTGGTGTGGTGGCATGTGCTTGTAATCCCAGCTACTCAGGAGGCTGAGGTAGGAGAATTGCTTGAACCCGGGAAGCAGAGGTTGCAGTGAGCCGAGATCGCGCCACTGCATTCCAGCCTAGTGATGGAGTGAGATTCTGTCTCCAAAAAAAAAAAAAAAATTGTGGCAGTGGCATTGATTATCTATGATGTAGCACTTATATATATTAATGTGTGTAATAAGTGTACAAGTGTCAAATGTATAATCTGGTCCCAACTGCAGAAAAAAGACAATTATAATAGTATGATAAAATCAAGGGCAGGCATGGTGGCTCACGTCTGTAATCCCTGTACTTTGGGAGGCAGAGGTGGGCGGATCGCTTGAGCTCAGGGATTGGAGACCAGCCTGGGCAACATGGTGAAACCTCATCTCTATTAAAAATAGAACAATTAGCTGGGTGTGGTGGCATGCACCAGTAATCCCAGCTACTTGGGAGTCTGAGGCAGGAGAATCGCTTGAGCCCAGGAAGCAGAGGTGGCAGCAAGCCAAGATTGCACCATTGCACTCCGGCCTTGGCCATGGGAGTGAAACCCTGTCTCAAAAAAAAAAAAAAAAATCACGGTAAGGAGCAAAAGGGATAAATGGGATGATATGCTGTAGATAGGGGTGGGTGGGGAGCCTGGGGGAAGCCTGGGTAGGTGACATGAAGGAGAAGGTCTTAAGAATGGAGAAGGGTTCCTTAGCCCAGAGGCTAAGGAAAAAGCCTGAGCAAAGGCCCTGAGGCAGGCAGGACAGTTCTTGGATTAATTGGAGAAACTAAATGAAGCTGGGACAGCTGGGCTCTAGCAAGCAAGGAAGAAATACAATAGGAGATGAAGCTGGAGGAAAAGACTGGGGCCATGTGATGCAGGGCTTGGGTTTTACCTGGGTACAGAGGGACACCACTGAAGAATTTTAACTGGAGAATTGACATTTTACTTAGGTGTTTTGTTTTCAGACAGAGTCTTTCTATGTTGCCCAGGCTGGTCTTAAGCTCCTGGGCTCAAGCCATCCTCCTGCCTTGACCTCCCAAGTAGCCTGGATTATAGGCATGTACCAACGTACCTGGCTTTATTTTGTTTTGTTGTTGTTGTTGTTGTTTTTAGTTGAGATACAACCTACAGTAAAGTGTACGAACCTTAAGCACACCACAAAGTTCTACATATGTATACCAGATTAAGATACAGAATGGCCCCATCACTGACTTAGGTTTTAGACCTCTGTTGCCGCTGTCAATAATGGATCACAAAGTGTGGAAATGAGAAGATTATTTAGAAATGTTCCATGTCAGTTTCGTAGAGAGGTGATGGTGATCCAGTTGAGTGTGAAAATGGAGAGAAGTGAGAAATTTGAAATGAATTTTGGAGAGAGAATACAACGTGCTCATGGAATGAATATGAGCATGTAGAAAAAAGTACTGATTCCTAGGTTTGGAGCTTGGGCATTGTGGGAAACAGCCATGCAATCTACAGAGATGGAGAAGACTAAACACAGGACAGGTGTTTTGGGGAGAGGAAGAAATTGAGAATTCCATTCTGGACATGCTCATTGTGAAATACCTATGAAACCTGCAAGTGAAGACGTGAAATAGATAGGACTGGGCCCAAAATACAAATCTGGGAGCCATCAGCATCAAAAGGCAATGTATAGATCAGCAGGAATGGATGAGATTACCCAGGAAGATGGGGTAAAAAGCAAAAGAGAAAACTATCCAGGAAAAAGACTGAAAAATTCTAATATTTAAAATCAGACAGTGGAGGAGCCAACAAAGGAAACCAAGGATAAATCTAAGAAAATCAGGAGAGGGTGGTGTCATGGAAGCCAAGAGGGAGAACATGGTCAGACTGGTGTTCACAATCCTGGTGGGAATGTGAGGATATTTATGTCCATTTGGTGACATGGGGGTCATGGTGATCTTGAGAAGTCAACTCAGTGGAGCACAGTGGGTATCAGCGAGATTTGAGCAAGTTGAAGAGAGAACGGGAGGTAGTTAGTAGAGACAGCTTTTTTTCTTATGGTGTTGAGATGAAAGGTGAAATCTAGTTTGAAAGAGAAGAGAGACACAGGCTGGTAACTGGAGAGTCACTTGGTATATAAAGATTTTTAAGATGAGTGATACTAGATTTTAATTGTTCATTGGTGGGAATTCTCTAGCAGAGAGGGAGATATTAATCCAGAAGAAAGTAGAGAAAGCCAAAGGACCTTGAGAAAGTAAAGGGAGATGAGATACAGAGTAGAGGTGAAAGAGAAGATAGATACAAATTTTGGAAGGTTTAGATGTTTGGTGATGAAAACATGGAGTTGATACCTATTTCTTTTTTCTTTTCTAAATGGTACAAGTAAAGCAGAATAGGGGCATAGGAGGTTTAAAGATTAGATATGAAGTTGTTTGAGGGAGTAAGTGAGAGTTGGACACTTACGGACAGATGGATGACTAGGAATAAGTGCCTGTTTGAGATTTGTGATCATGAATCAAAAGCAAAGCCAGTCTTGGGTGACTTTCCCTAACTATGTGCTCCAGTGCCAGCATGGAGAACACGGAGTTTGGGTTCTGCCAAGAGAGCTGGGAAGGAGAGAAGAGCAAGAGAGCAACTCCGTGGTGGCCTATGTGATCCAGGCCAGATGGTAGGACCAGAGGGTGAGAGGAGTGAGAATGGCATGGAGCTCAAGGGAAGCACAGAAGATGTCAGGCCTGTAAACAGAGGCTCCAAGAAGGAATTTCTCTCCCCAGCAATCTTCAACGTTAGCTCACAGATGAGGGCACTTGCTTTAGAAGCAGTGGTGACACCCAGTGACCACTCTTTGAAGTGCACCTTCTTGGTTTTAGGTTGTCAGCAGATCCGGAAGTGTGTGTTTTTTTCCACTTGGGAGGCATCAGAGCCCTCACCATTCTCTCCATGGTTCTCTCTTGCAGGATTCTGTCCCATTGGTCCTGGACATTTCAAGGGGATGGAGAGGCTGCTGCTTAGGGGGGTAACTAGAAGTGGACTGAAGGCAATCTGGGGGCTGTTAGCTCCAGACCCCAGACCTGGCCTTCTCTGCTAGGTTCCTGCTGTCCTGAGACAGATCCTGAATCCTGGGATGGCTTTGGGTATTCTAAAGCCCTGCTTGGATTTAGAAAAATGCCAGGTAGTGACATAATCCTCTTCCAGCCCACAGTTGTCCTGGGGAAATACCATCCTGGCTGACCCAGAACTGTGTGAGGACTCTCTTCTCAGCACCACCTCCCGAAAGTTGACTGTTGCTGGGGTTCTAAGAGGGTTCCACTGTCTCCAGCTCCACTTGACCCAAGCACTGGGATCTGGCTTAGTCTAGAGAGAAACGCAGATTCCTCCCAAAGTCCTGTCAGTCATCAGAGGTACTGGGCATGACTTCTGGGCCAAGAAGTTGGGTGTCCCTTAGTTAGAGGGTATAGGGAAATACAAAGAGGACCAAGACAGGACAGCCCCTTTGCAGCAACCTAAGGCACTTTTACTGTTCTGATCAATTACCCTGTACCAGGACATGCTGTTTCCCTTCCACTTTAAGAGGTTAGTAAATCAGGTTTGAGTTCAAACACAAGAGGGTCACTGAGGCATGGGGTAGGTGAGGGAGGTGGTTTCTAAGGTGGTCAAGAAATGGAGGAAGACTGTTTCTGACTCACCTCTATCCCTCTTCCCCATCTCTTATCTCACACTCCCCGGTTTGAACTGGACTTTGTACTTAGGGCAGCCTGGTGTCGTGGAAGGAGCCTGTGCTGAACTTGCAGTCGGGTCATCCCTTGGCCACATACCTGCTTCCACATCTGTAAAATGGTGATGTGGTGATGGCACATGGTTATGGTGAAAAATTAAACAATGCACATGAAAGTGTTTCTTACACCAACACAATGCTTTGGTTTAAGGCATTACTATTAGATATTTATACCAAGGCAGATTTCACAGACATTAAGGAAAAAGAAAAAAGTTTTATGGCAATGAAATTCCATTAGAGGTGTATACCAGGCCCTGGGGGAACTCATCAGAGGCAAAGTGACCATTGATGTCTTTTCCAAGACTGAGAGAACACAGAAAGAGGTGGGTAAAGGAGAAGATCCACCACTTGGAGTCAGACAGACTTAGCTTCTTATCCTGTATTTGCCAGTTACTAGTTGTGGCATCTCACACAAGTTCTTGAACTTCCCAGATGCTCAGTGTACCCCTGTATAAAGTGGAGATAATTCCTCCCCGCTGACCTGTTGAGACAATTAAATGAAGTGCTGCCTGTAAAGCACCTTAAATAGAGTATGCACTCAGTGAATATGGTATCATGAAAATGAGTTAATTCAGGTCATCCCAAACTAAATATTTTGGACATATGTTATGGGCCAGGCACCAGGCTAGGTGGTGGGTGATTTTGTCTTATAACACAGCTTTTCAGATAGACAGTTCTAGTTCAAATCCTAGATTTACCACTTACCAGCTGTAGAAATGTATTTAACTTCTTCGAGCCCTAGTTTCTTCCTATATAAAGTGAGGGAGAATAATACCTATTTTGAGAGATTATTGTAATAATTATATAATCTATGCAAAGTGCCTAGCACAGTACCTGGCATGAACAAAGTCTCAAAAATGACAGTGATTATAATTAATATGATCATGCTGAAAATTAAAAGTAGGAGATGCTGATGTATCAGATTTAAAGCTGGACGCTTAAATAACTTTATTTATAGCATTAAATCCATCCTTGAACCAATCTTCTCTGCATTAACTAAAATATGGGATTTACTTCCCCTTATACACATCTACACATCACTCCCAAAATACTTAAAGCAAGATATTTCTATTGGCTGTAAAGAGGGACATGGTAAAATACGGAAATGGGCAAGAGAGGACAGCTGTGTTATCTGTCTTTAAAGCTTTTTCAGGGAAGTCTTTTGAAGATTTTAAGTGTTTTAAGCCTCAATTGCCAGATGCATATGCCCTGTGCACATGCCTTTTCCTCTAGGGAAACCCTGTTCAGGGTCTCAATGTCCCCTGGCCCAGCTGCCTTAACTTAGCGCAAATGCAAACTTGCCCTGTATCTCCAGTGGCTCAGAACTGCCCTGCTAGCTCTCAACCCTCCTCCACGCTTTTTCTTTTTCCTTGCTTCCTGGTCCTGCCCCCTCGCTCCAGCCAGACCCACAGCAGTTCTGAGTGTTTGCTGACTTTCACTCCTCCAAGGAGGACGGGCTTTCGCTATGGTCTCTGTCCACGCCCACAGCTTAGAGAAAGCCTGATCAGTGTATACACAACCCCCTTCCTGGCTGGTGGCGCTGTCCTTGGAAAGCCATTTACTAGTCCATAAAAGGGCCTGAGCACTTAAAACAAACATGGACTCGGTCAAACCAGAAATTTAAAATTGCGGCACTTTAATTCAGGTCAACCTTCATTCTCTTTCCAATTCTGGTGCCTTACCCTGTCTGAGTGTTTCCCATGTGCTTAACCCTCCTGCTTCCCAGTGGCTGCCACACCCCAGCGGGCCTGTTGGTGCTGGGTGTGGGTGGAGAGTTCCCATCCCTGCTGTAGAATGACAGTGATGATAGCTAAGCTTTATTTTCACTCCATGCACAGTGCTTACTGAGCACTAAGCTCCAGGCACTGTTCTAGATATTGGGGGTCAGCAGAGACCATGACAATAAAGTCCCTGCCCTTATGGAGCTTATATTCTGGAATGGGAGAAGTCATAAATATATCGCGCAGTGTCAGGTAGTGATACATGCCATTCAGAAATCCAATTCAGGCAGGACATGGTGGCTCATGCCTATAATCCCAGCACTTTGGGAGGCCGAGGTGGGCGGATCACTTGAGCCCAGCAGTTCGAGACCAGCCTGGGCAACATAGAGAGAACCCGTCTCTACATACACACACAAAAATTAGCTGGGTATATGTTGGGGGAAAGGCTTATGGGGTGCCTGTATAAACTGGCTGTAAAAATATGGGACAGTAGGTTGTGAAAAGCCACAAAAGGCCTCTGAGGAGGAAAGCCTTCTTATCGCCATTATGTTCCCATGCTCTGAGCGAGACTTGCTCTCTTATCTATAAACACTGTGTTCAAGAAAAAAGACCCTCCTTTGAAACATTAGAATGTGGCCAGATGTACAGGCTGCTAGTTAAACCCACTCCCACTAACTACTCTCCAATAAGTTAAAGATACACTGTTTGAGCACAAAGGAGATTCATTTAAACCACCACTGCTATAGATT
The DNA here is from genome assembly GCF_000001405.40 of Homo sapiens. Classification (NCBI taxonomy): domain Eukaryota; kingdom Metazoa; phylum Chordata; class Mammalia; order Primates; family Hominidae; genus Homo; species Homo sapiens. The sequence goes on from NC_000017.11 coordinate 32,913,495, forward strand.
ACACGTATGACGCACTGCCTCCCTTTCACTGTTTCGCCTTCAACATCTGCTTCTTAGTTCTAAGTGACTGTACTCAATAAATAGTGCAGAGACCAGAGCTCTGAGCCTTTTACAGCCTCCATTTTACAGTTGTCCCCCTGGCCCACACTCTTTATGCACTCTTAACCTGTATCTTCTCATTCCTTCGTCGCCACTGGACTTTGGGTACCGTACGGGTGGTGTTGAGGCTGGTCTCCAACAGGTATGGTTGCATGCACCTGTGGTCCCACTTACGTGAGAGGCTGAGGCAGGAGGATTGCCTGAGCCCAGGACGTCAAGGCTGCAGTGAGCCGTGATTGCACCACTGCACTCCAGCCTGGGTGGCAGAGCAAGAAAAGAAAAATTCTAAACAAAACAAAACAAAACACCAACCAAACAAAAAAAACCCCACATTTCACAACAGAGCCAGGGGCACATCAATGATGGGAGGTGCTACTTTAGATAGGTTGATCTGGGAAGACTTCTCTGTGGAGGTGACTCTTGTGCAGGTCCCTGAGCAAAAGGAAGGAGGAGCCTTGGGAATAATGGGGGTAAGGATTCCAGGCAGAGGGCATTCCAGGCAGAGGGCACAGCAAATCACTGGAGTAGAATGAGCTTCACATGTTGGAGGAACATCTAGGAGGCCTCATTTTTCTTTTAATGTCATACAGTGATGAGCACTTAAAAAATCTGTGATAAAATATATACAACATAAACTTCCCCATTTAAACCATTTTGAAGTATACAGTTCACTGGAATTAAGTACATTCATGCTGTTACGCAGCTATCACCACAATCCATCTCTAGCACTTTTTAATCATCTTCTCAAACTGAAACTCTGTGCCCATCAACAATGACTCCCCCTTCCTCCCTCCCCCAACCTCTGGCAACCACCATTCTACTTTCTAGGTGTTAGCACTTTAAATGTGTCATCTCATTTCATCCTCAAAACAACTGTAGGCCATGAGTTTTACTGTGATCCCCATTCTACAGATGAGGAAACGTAAACTGAGTGAACTGTCTCAGATCACACGGCCATTAAGTGAGGGAAGGAGGTCTCCATTCACAGTGCTTCTGGCTCAGGCTCCTGCTTGTAACTGCGTACCTGGTAGGGGTTTAGGATGTCCTTCTGCCGCCCCTCTGAAAACATAGAGGTGAGTTGAGAGAGTTTCATGTGGATTACAGACAATGTGAGAAGCTTTTCTGGTTGGGACAGGAGGGGGTTTGTTGTACCTCACTGGTCCTGTCTGCCTGGAAGGAAGAGGCTCTTGCCCAGTGACGAGGATTGGGGAGAGAAGGGAGAGTAGGTAACCAACATCTGTCTGCTATTCTCCTTTTCCATCTTTGTCTTCTGAGCTGTCTTTCAAGGGGTATCAGCTGCTCTGAGTGGATAAGCATGGGCATCTTTATTGCTTGGTGTCCAGTCAGCCAGGTAGCACTACCACCACTTATTTATTACTAGGTTATAACACAGTGCTAGGTGCTGCAAAGAGATTCATCCAGGAGCTACGCATGACACAGATACAGCTATGCAACAGATATCAGAAGGAAAAAGCAAAACAAAAGGAAATCAAGATGAGACTAGCCAAAAAAGTACAGTACTTGAGTTACATCTGGACCAGAGTAAGTCTGTTTTTGATGATGGAGTGTGTGCAAAATTGGGATGGAGTGGCTCTATTTGTTGCAGCTGGAGCCATGACCACCTGTCCTGTTCCAATAACCAGGTTGTTGGAAGAGCTATCAGTTTCCTGGTTTGAGTGGTCTTGCTTTGGTACCAGGAGGTGTTGAGTTTCACTTCCTGCCTTCCCACATATAAGCTGAAAGAGCTCAGGCAAGTTGCCTTACCCTTCCAAGGCTATTTCTTCCTTTGCAAACATAATCATACCTACTTTTTAGGGTTGGTGAGAAGATCAAAAGAGATAAGGTGTGTCGGATGTCTAATCAGTGTTTGCTACATAGTAAGTGCTCAACAAATATTCATTCCTTGCTGAGTAGAGCACGAGTATGCACCCAGTGGCCAGGAGCCAAGCCTTCTTCCTCCTTATCATGGTCAGCACCATTTCTGACCTGCTGGCTTGTCCTCTCTAATCACTGGATTCAGCTTTCAATTTGGGGACCCTTGTTACACACTTTGCTGTTCAGACTTAGTGAGGAGAGGCCTTAGCTAGGGGTATTTGAATTTTGGGGAACAATCCAGCAATCATACCTCTTACCTATTTGGGGACAACCTCCTCACATGCAGTATATTGGAAGGCAGGATACTGCCTGTGCCTCACCTCCCACAGTGGAAGCAGACAGGGTGAGGTCCTACCCAGGATTTGGGATCTAGAATGTAGGATAATGGAGAGGGGCACTTAGCCCCTAGAGCCTGCCCAGTTCTTAATCTTGGTCTTCAGTCTCCTGCTGATTCTGTGGGCACCCTCTTGTCCTTTCAACAAGTCCCCTTTCCTCGTGGGACAATCATTTTCTGTTGCTTGCAATTCAGTCTTGTGCAACACTGAGGTCTTCTCAGATCAATCCTGAGAGAGATTTCAAGGGGCCTTGGGATGTTAGAACAATGGGAGACAGCTGGCTAGAAAAGGTACTGGGCACAACCTTGGTACAACTCTTTCCTCCCAGCAGCAGGTTAGTGGGTGGTTAATTGGGGCATGCATACTGTCAGCTCCAGGCAGTCGCTGAGCTGTTTATTCACTTGTTTATATGTTTGCTTGTTTTTTGGTAAGTGTATGTCTTTTCTATGTGTGCTTCAACCTCCTCAAGATTAAAGCTTTCTTTTACATCTCTTGTACAGAGTCACAGAACCCCAGACCTGGAAGAGGCCACAAGAGATCATGTGGTTTTAGCTTCTTACCTCAAGGCCACCAAATGTTTAACCACCCAACACAAATAGAAATAGTTCGTCTCAGAGACTCTCCAAGAAATGGACACATTTAATGTCCCCAGTCACCCATTCCAACGCTGGCTGCTTTGCTTTGAGCCTATTTTCCTTACACAGATTGTAATGCTTGTAGCTTCTTCATGAAAGCACTTCAGAGGATTATAAAATCATCCCTCAGCCTTCTTTTCCCTGAGAGCCAATGGTGGGAAAACCCAGCTACCTACAGGTCCAGGCTCTTACCAAAAGGGTGAGCTGTGAGTGTGTGCACATATGTTGTAGGGGCAATGGGGTAGTGCTGGGTCTGGAAAGCAAGCCTCGGACAACACCTGCCCTCTCCTGCTGACTGTTGCTACTGGTGGAATGTAGGCTGTGTTTTTGAGAGATCTTATTAATTTTTCAGGGAAGCTGGAAATCTAGAATTATAAGTGAGAGTCCTGATTTTTTAAAATGTTGGCAACTAATCTGATTTTTAAAAACCATGAACCGGGCCAGGCGTGGTGGCTCACACCTGTAATCCCAGCACTTTGGGAGGCCAAGGCAGGAAGATCACTCGGGGCCAGGTATTCGAGACCAGCCTGGCCAACATGGTGAAAACCCATTTCTACTAAAAATACAAAAAATTAGCCAGGCATGGTGGTGCATGCTTATAATCCTAGCTACTCGAGTGGCCGAGGCATGAACTCAGGAGGCAGAGGTTGCAGTGAGCCTGAGGCAGGAGAATAGGGTCTGGAGGCAGGGAACCCAAGGCTGATTCACCCTGAATTCCTAGAACTAAATCAAAAGGAAAACCCCAACTTTCAACACCTAAGCAACAAAAGGACCAGAGGCTACTCCCTTTGCAAACCACCCTGCCTTTCTGCTTGGCAGATAGAAAATTGAAAGTACCTCTGATAGATTGCTTTCCAAAACCAATCAGACATTTGCATAGGAGGGTAACTTTGTAACTTCACTTCAGCCTCTGATTGTGGAAAGCAACCAATTAGACTGATTGCAGGCCACCACTTCATTTGCATGGGGTGAATACCAAGTGCCCAATAGGAAACCTCTAGAGGGTGTTTGGACCCCAGAAAATTCTGTAATGGGGGCTCTGGAGCCCCTATGCTTGGGCCCGCTCCCACCCTGTGGTGTGTGCTTTCATTTTCAATAAATCTCTGCTTTTGTTGCTTCATTCTTTCCTTGCTTAGTGCATTTTGTCTAATTCTTTGTTCAAAATGCCAAGAACCTGGAGACCCTCCACCGGTAACATATTTTGGTGAGCCAGCCAAAAGGTAAGCCCAAAGTTTGGGGTTTATTTTTCTCCTTTCTGCTCCATACAGGGTAATCTCTCTGTCTCTCTCCCTCTCTCTCTCTCTCTCTCTCTCTCTCTTTTTTTTCCTTTGCAACTCGGGTCCCTTGGTGAGCAGTGCCTAAGCATGGAGGCAACTCTAGGTCTCTGGCTGTGGCAGGTGAACTGAAAGGGTTTTCCATGTGGAGGCACCTAACTGCCACCGCCTGGTTTGCTTAAGGGACCTGGGTATTTTTCCTTTCTTTCTTTTTCAGTCTTTCAGTGGCTGTTTCCTAGCAGCTCCTTGGTAATTGAGGGCAACTGGCTGGGACCACTCTCCAGTGTTGCCTGAAGGCAAAGGAGTGAATGGGGATAACTGCCCTGCCCAGAAGCAGGAAGGACTCTTCTGTCTTTTCTGGTTGTGGTCCCTGATCGCTACATGTGGCACAGCTTGGGGCGAACTCACAAGTGTTTCAGGCGACTTAAACCTTTTCTTATGCTAAATTCTTCCCTTCTCCTACTCGACTGGCTAAGGGCAAAAGAAACCCACTCAGCCTCCAGTTCCTGTCATTAAAGTTCATGGCTATCTCTAGTGGAATGAAGAGCATGGGAAATTGTGGCCTTAACAAATTATAAGAGTGCTGTAAGTCCAGGCCTTCATCCAAGGATAAAAGGAAAGCTCATAGTAGGCCATGACCTCTGGAGGGAAAACATGCAAAGTGGCACTGGTGCCCATCTAAGGTCAGAGACATCTGACACTCTAAGATTGGACCCCAAAGGGGGACACTCTGGGGGATCCTCTGGACCACAACCTCTCCAAAGAGAACGCCCTCGGCAGAGGTTCTTAGGCCTAGTACTAAGCCCTCGTTAGAATTTTCTCTTGCAGTTGCGATACTGTTTGGCCCCAATATTGTTTGGAATCTGGAGTTTGCTGTTGAATGGGAAAGTAGGATGGAGTTGCATGTATCCAGGCTTTAGTGCTGCTGTCCTAAGCAGGGTTGGGTCTGGTTAATATGTGATGCTCTCCTTTGGTGCTGTTTGGCCCCAGTGTTCTTTGGAATCTGGGGCGGTCTGGCCTTTAAAAATCAAACTGCTTTACCTGAAATTTTGGTTCACGGCCTTCATTGGATTACCTATTGGGGCAAACAAAGTAAAACTGGCAAGCTTGTATTGCTATCTCATGGCTAGGATTCCAAGGTAAAAGGTATTGGATCTTCATTTATTTGTGTGTAGTGTGTATACATGTCTAGATGTGTTTATTTGTATGTATGCTTATTGTTATATGTTGTGTCTACCAAACTGGCTTGTAAGTAAAAGAGCCCTCATAAATTAAATAAATAAGTTTAAGCAATGTTCAAGTTCATGTGACTTAAGTATAACTTTACTAAACAAGCTGCTTTTAAAATTATTGGTAAAATAAAAATAGAAATGCCTTCAGAACTGTCAGCATACACTTTTGTCTGGATTTTATATTTGTCTCTGCTAGATATTTTGAGGTGTCCAGGTTTGGCATAGAAAGTTATAAAACTATAAACCCAGCCAAAACAAAGTGATCTTGGTTTGCGTGCCCTTTTTATTGACAAACATGAGTAATTTAATGTTGTCAGCTAAATCTTGTGATTTATTAGCAAAAATACCTATGTATTTAACTTTGAGACTCTTACTTAGGTTTAGGTGAGCACCTGATGTTCACTGGCTATTCAAAACGTAGTTAACAAGGAAATAACTAACTTTAAATGATAGCATCTAATATCTCAGTTTACAGAAGTTATCTAGATAAATGTAAGTGAAAGAATTGAGTATATGTAAATGGGATAAATGTTTTATGTAAATGTTTTGTGTAAATTAAAATCTTAAAATTATTTTTGATGCTCGTTGAATATGTGGGTCATTTCCAATTAAGAAAGGGTTGTGGTATGGGGAAATATATTTTTAAAAACTGTGGGATTGTTCTTATCTATAAATGCCCATGTCTGATCGTTCAAGATTTCTTGCTTTTTAGTGTTTTGCTAAAGTTTTAGGTTACTAAGGACAAAATGTGCCAAAAAAGTTTGTGATATTAGTGAGAAAAATAATAATTTTGTCTAATTCAGAAGTTATCTAAAAGTTAGTTCAAATTACAGATTTGAAAAAGTTGTTTATGAAACAATGTAGTAAGGAACCAGTAAGTAGGGAAGAAACATGTGGAAAAGTTTAGATAATAAAATATTATTTAAAACCTCATAGAGAATTGGAGAAATTTGGCTAATTAACATTTTCATAGTTAAAGCTCTTAGTCTTGATTAAAGTAAAATAAGAAATATTGTAAAAAAATGCATTGGCAGTTTGGCAATTCTTTTTTAATATAGTTAAGCCGTGTTTTTCTGTGTGGAGTCAAATTTCATATACATACTTGCATTGCTTCACACTATGTTTACTGTTTTGCATGGATAGTGCTGGCACTGGAGTACTTACTGATTATGTGCCTGGAGTTAATTTTTTTTTTTTTTTTTTGATGGAATCTAGCTCTGTCACTGAGGCTGGAGTGCAGTGGCATGATCTCGGCTCACTGTAACCTCTGCCTCTTGGGTTCAAGCTATTCTCCTGCCACAGCCTCCTGAGTAGCTGGGATTACGGGTGCGTGCCACCATGCCTGGTTAATTTTTGTATTTTTTAGTAGAGCTGTGGTTTCACCATGTTGGCCAGGCTGGTCTTGAACTCCTGACCTCAAGTGATCCACCCGCCTTGGCCTCCCAAAGTGCTGGGATTACAGGCGTGAAGCACCACGGCTGGCTGAGAGTGTATTTCCTGATTGCACCGGATATGTGGTGATATTGGTGAGCTTAAGGATACTGAATTGTATATCAGGAATAAAATATTCATTATGTGGGTTTTTCTGGCGGGGAGCTCTGGGTAACACTGCTGCCTCCCGGGTAGATTGAGTAGGAGAAATTTAGGGTTGGTTTCCTGTTTGTTTGTGCTTCTAATTTTTATTTGTTTGCTGTTTACGCTCCTCTGGGCTTTGCTTATGTACGCATATATATAAAACCATGATTTTTTTTAGTTTCTAGTGGAAGGCTTTTATTCGGTTCTATGAATAGTTATTTTGTTTCCTATGCATTTCTAGCAAGTCATCATTTGTTCCATTTGTCTGGAATTTCTAGGCTACCTTTGTTGGGTTCACAGGAATTGATGGAACACACCAGCTTGTTAACTTTAAACTAACTTTTTGGATATTAGATTCCCTGATACTTTAAGTGTATTGAGTATGCTTTCAAGTCATATTTTTCTCTCTCTGCCTAATTTGTCCAGACTTTGTAAACTATTTGTGAATATTCCTTTTTTTTTTTTTTTTTCTTCTTGAGATGGAGTCTTGCTCTGTTACCCAGGCTGGAGTGCATTGGTGCGATCTCGGCTCACTGCAACCTCTGCCTCCTGGGTTCAAGTGATTCTAGTGCCTCAGCCTCCCAAGTGCTGGGATTATAGGCACGAGCCGCCGCGCCCGGCCTGTGAACATTCTTAATTCATGGCAATGTTTGTGTTTGCATATAGTTGAGCCAGGGTCACTAGGGCTGCTCAGGGAGAGAGAACCCAGAAACCTGATACGCAGCAAAAGGGTAAGAATTTCATACCAGTCGGACCTCTGGCCTCTCTTTCTCTGTGCAAACCGGTTGAATGAATGGTAAAAGATTATAAGAAGGCATGGGAATGTAAATTTTTGTAAGCCTTTAGCATATTTAATAGGCTTCCCAAAATCAAATTTCAGCTTACATATTTAGTTACATGGGAAGCATTGTCAAAATAAAAAAATGTTTAATTTTCTTCAGGTTATATTTCAGTGACTATTAATATATGTTACAAAATTGTATGGGATTTCTAAAATTCTAAATATGTCTGAGTATATGCTATCATTCATAATTATGTTTATTATGTTAACTTACTGTAGACCACAGAAATAACCAAATTTCTTTTTTTTTTTTTTTTTTCCCAAGGCAGAAGAATTTTTCTTAGTACAGAACAAAATGAAAAGTCTCCCATGTCTACTTCTATCCACACAGACCCGGCAACCATCCGATTTCTCAATTTTTTCCCCACCCTTCCCGCCTTTCTATTCCACAAAACCGCCATTGTCATCATGGCCCATCCCCAATGAGCCGCTGGGCACACCTCCCAGACGGGGTCGCGGCCGGGCAGAGGGGCTCCTCACTTCCCAGTAGGGGCGGCCGGGCAGAAGCGCCCCTCACCTCCCGGATGGGGCGGCTGGCCGGGCGGGGGGCTGACCCCCCCACCACCCTCCCGGACGGGGCGGCTGGCCAGGCAGAGGGGCTCCTCACTTCCCAGTAGGGGCGGCCGGGCAGAGGTGCCCCTCACCTCCTGGATAGGGCGGCTGGCAGGGCGGGGGGCTGTCCCCCCCACCTCCCTCCCGGACGGGGCGGCTGGCCGGGCAGAGGGGTCCTCACTTCCCAGTAGGGGCGGCCGGGCAGAGGCGCCCCTCACCTCCCGGACGGGGCGGCCGGCCGGAAGGGGGGCTGACCCCCCCACCTCCCTCCCGGACGGGGCGGCTGGCCGACCCCCCCCCCCCGCCTCCCTCCCGGACGGGGCGGCTGGCCGGGCAGAGGGGCTCCTCACTTCCCAGTAGGGGCGGCCGGGCAGAGGCGCCCCTCACCTCCCAGACGGGGCGGCTGGCCAGGCGGGGGGCTGATCCCCCCACCTCCCTCCCGGACGGGGCGGCTGGCCGGGCGGGGGGCTGACCCCCCCCACCTCCCTCCCAGACGGGGCGGCTGGCCGGGTGGGGGGCTTACCCCCCCACCTCCCTCCCGGATGGGGCGGCTGGCCAGGCGGGGGGCTGAACCCCCCACCTCCCTCCCGGGCGGGGCGGCTGGCCAGGCAGAGGGGCTCCTCACTTCCCAGTAGGGGCGGCCGGGCACAGGCGCCCCTCACCTCCCGGACGGGGCGGCTGGCCAGGCGGGGGGCTGATCCCCCCACCTCCCTCCCGGACGGGGCGGCTGGCCGGGCGGGGGGCTGACCCCCCACCTCCCTCCCGGACGGGGCGGCTGGCCGGGCGGGGGGCTGACCCCCCCACCTCCCTCCTGGATGGGGCGACTGGCCGGGCAGAGGGGCTCCTCACTTCCCAGTAGGGGCGGCCGGGCAGAGGAGCCCCTCACCTCCCGGACGGGGCGGCTGGCCGGGCGGGGGGCTGACCCCCCCACCTCCCTCCCGGACGGGGCGGCTGGCCGACCCCCACCCCCCCGCCTCCCTCCCGGACGGGGCGGCTGGCCGGGCAGAGGGGCTCCTCACTTCCCAGTAGGGGCGGCCGGGCAGAGGAGCCCCTCACCTCCCGGACGGGGCGGCTGGCTGGGCGGGGGGCTGACCCCCCCCACCTCCCTCCCGGACGGGGTGGCTGCCGGGCGGAGACGCTCCTCACTTCCCAGACGGGGTGGTTGCCGGACGGAGGGGCTCCTCACTTCTCAGACGGGGCGGTTGCCAGGCAGAGGGTTTCCTCACTTCTCAGACGGAGCGGCCGGGCAGAGACGCTCCTCACCTCCCAGACAGGGTTGCGGCCCAGCAGAGGCGCTCCTCACATCCCAGATAGGGCGGTGGGGCAGAGGTGCTCCCCACATCTCAGACGATGGGCGGCCGGGCAGAGACGCTCCTCACTTCCTAGATGGGATGGCGGCCGGGCAGAGACGCTCCTCACTTTCCAGACTGGGCAGCCAGGCAGAGGGGCTCCTCATATCCCAGACGATGGGTGGCCAGGCAGAGACGCTCCTCACTTCCCAGACGGGGTGGCGGCCGGGCAGAGGCTGCAATCTCGGCTCTTTGGGAGGCCAAGGCAGGCGGCTGGGAGGTGGTTGTAGCGAGCCGAGATCACGCCGCTGCACTCCAGCCTGGGCACCATTGAGCACTGAGTGAACGAGACTCCATCTGCAATCCCGGCACCTCGGGAGGCCGAGGCTGGCGGATCACTCGCGGTTAGGAGCTGGAGACCAGCCCGGCCAACAGAGCGAAACCCCGTCTCCACCAAAAAAAAACGAAAACCAGTCAGGCGTGGCGGCGCGCGCCTGCAATCGCAGGCACTCGGCAGGCTGAGGCAGGAGAATCAGGCAGGGAGGTTGCAGTGAGCCGAGATGGCAGCAGTACCGTCCAGCTTTGGCTCGGCATCAGAGGGAGACCGTGGAGGGAGAGGGAGGGGGAGGGGGAGGGGGAGGGGGAGAGACCAAATTTCTTTGTATAAAAGTGTTAACCCAAGTGGAACAAAAATTAGTTGAGTACCAAGAAAATACTTTGCCAGATTTGCATGCTAAATCAGCGGATACTAAAATTGTTTAGATATACAATTTGAATGAACTCCATGGTCTAAGTCAAATTACCTATGATAACCCATCAGTTGTCAGTGCTATACAGCTAAACTGGAGAAACAACTGGTATTCAAGATGACGTAAGTCCGATGTTAAGCATGGACTCATGGAGAACCAGGACAGCAGCCTTGCCCTTCCTGAGTCCTTAAAGCTTTTGTTATTCAAGGTTATGCACTCCATGACTCATCATGGAAAAGATAAAATAATCCAAATTAAATATATATTGGTGTGCTGACTTATACATTGCTAAAGTAGTTTATAACCAATGTTTGGTTTGTCAAATCCATATTCCTGGGAAGACAATCAAATCTTCAAGTACATTTGGCTACCTCATGGGCCATTTAAACATTTCAATTGCCATTTTCAATGCATGTTTCTGGTTGTAAAAAAGCTTTCCTATGCAAGAGGGCTGATGTTATAACAGTAGATTATTATGCTACAGTGTATTTTCACCAGGTAAAGAAAGCTTTTTATGGGTCACTGAGGACAATCAACCCCTTCACAATCTAGAACCCAAAGATTGGGTCTTCTGAGAATATCTACTGTAAAGGCTATAGTTACACAACAGATTTTAAATTCTTTTGTGAAGGTTACGATAGAATCGGCTGAACAGAGAAGTATCTGTGCAGCTGCTGGCACTTGTGGCTTATGGAGAAATACATCAAATGAAGATTATAGAGATTTAGTTGTAGGGGATTAACGAAGAGATTTCTTAGTTAAGTGAGTAGATTCTTTAGCACATTCTTTGATTTAATTTTAGGTGGTTTGGTTTATGGGGATCCTTGGTATGAAGTATGCTCCAAACTCTTAGTATTATCCTCCCAGTAGTCATAATAATAGTCTCCCTGGTGCGCTGTATTATCTCAAAGGCTTTAAATGCTTGCATTCAGCCATCTCTAGAATGTCAAATGGTCTCTTTTCAAGTGGAATGACAAGAGCTGAAAGAAGTGCATGACCAGGAGGATACCATAACCTATGAATGATGTGGTGAGACTGGAAACCCAAAATGATGGCAAGTGAGTGTGGTGCTAAGGCCTTAAATTTTGGTCACACTCTCACCCAAGTGAGAACCTGACCAAAAAGGGAGAATTTTTTTAACAAAATTATGAGAGGCCAGTGTTTTGGACTGACATCATGTGCTAGGCCCCAGCAAACCAAACAAACCAAAACACATAGATCCTAAAACAGACCAGGTTTTGTTTTTCTCCTGCAAACAGGATGTTCCACCATAAGGAGGTACCCTCTACTCAGTCCTTGTTCCCACTGTACAAAACTCACTGTTGTTTTACTGTTTCCCAGTGGGTTTCAAGACCAAATAAGTTCATTTATGATGGTGGTAGTGACATGAATGACTAAAGGTTTGGTCAATCTCTCAAAATTGAGAAAATGACCAAAAGGGGGAAATTGTTAAAGCAAATTAAATATAGCCTGAGAAGGACTCCGTATTTCTATATTGGAGTCTCTGTGGATGAACGGTAACCTAACTTAGGAATATGTGCCTGTAAAAATAGCTGAGTCTTGGCCAATCCCAGCAACCCCAAATCAGGCCAGGAGATAAGGTACTTAATAAAACGTGGAAGTGCTCTGGATAATAGTGGCCATTTTTTTATTGCCTTCTTCCAAACTTATGGAATCACTTCCTTTGTAGTAATTAGCAGAATGTTTCAATTCATCTCCATAATGAACATTCCTGACAGCATAAGTATCCACCCCCTGAAGTTCCTGTTAAATCTTTTAACCATATTCATTTCCTTTCACATAGAGACCATCAAGCTTCAGATGATCATGTGACAAAGTTTCCAGTCAGTTCCAAGTGAAGACACCACCCCTGGCCATCAGGATGCCACACTGTCTCCACTAGACAGAGTAGGGCAAGAGTTCCATGATCTCCAGTAGGTAGGAACTACGCCCCAAGTTGGCATAAAGCAGTTACAGTTCCTCTGCATCCCATAAAGATTTATGGGGGTCATGTCTCTCAGGAGAGAGATGAGGCAGGAGAATAGGGTCTGGAGGCAGGAAACCTAAGGGTTCACCTGACTTCCTAGAACTAAATCAAAAGGAAAACCCCAACTTTCCGCACCTAAGTAACAAACGGACCAGAGACTACTCCCTTTGCAACCCCCACTCCCCACTTTCTGCTTGGCAGATGGAAAATCTTTTGAAAGTACCTCTGATTGCCTTTCCGCAACCAATCCTGCGTTTGCATAGAAGTGTAACTTTGTAACTTCACTTCAGCCTCTGATTGGTTGTGGAAAGCAACCAGTCAGACTGATTGCGGCCAAATATTCTTTTGCATAGGAGTGTAACTTTGTAACTTCACTTTAGCCTCTGATTGGTTGTGGAAAGTAACCGATCAGACTGATTGCGGGCCAAATCTTCTTTTGCATAGGAGTGCAACCTTTGTAACTTCACTTCAGCCTCTGATTGGTTGCTTTCCACAACCAATCAGACTAATTGTGGCACCACTTCATTTACATGGGGTGAACGCCAAGTGGCCAATGGGAAACCTCTAGGAGGTATTTGGACCCCAGAAGATTCTACAGCAGGGGCTCTTGAGCCCATATGCAGGGGCCTGCTCCCACCTTGTGGAATGCACTTTTGTTTTCAATAAATCTCTGCTTTTGTTGCTTCATTCTTTCTTTACTTGCTTTGCTTGTGCCTTTTGTCTAATTCTTTGTTCAAAATGACAAGAACAGGCCGGGTGCGGTGGCTCATGCCTATAATCCCAGCACTTTGGGAAGCTGAGGTGGGTGGATCACCTGAGGTCAGGAGTTCCAGACCAGCCCGGCCAACGTGGCGAAACCCCGTCTCTACTAAAAATAACAAAAAAAATTAGTGGGACGTGGTGGCGCACACCTGTAATCCCAGCTACTTGGGGGGCTGAGGCAGGAGAATCGCTTGAACCCAGGAGGCAGAGGTTGCAGTGAGCTGAGATCGTGCCATTGCACTCCAGCCTGGGCAACAGAGCCAGACTCTGTTTCAAAAAATAAATAAATAAATAAATAAATAAATAAATAAAGGCAAGAACCTGGACACCCTCCACCCGTAAACAGCCAAGACTGTGCCACAGCACTCCAGCCTGGGCGACTGACTGAGACTCTGTCTCAAAAAAATTAAAATAAAACAACAAAAGTATGAACCAAAAAAACCACCTCTGTGGGCTGGATGTGGCCTTGGGGGTACCAGTTTGCAGACCCTGTGTCAAGCGGCCTAGGACCCAATCTGTATCCTTTGTTAACTGTCACCGATACTGACCTCAGACCTGGACCACTGGGATCCTGCCCTGAACCCCGTGCTTTAGTTGGCCCACTCCAGCTGGAGCGTATGTTCCCTTCTAGATCATGCTCCTGGTACCCTGGACTCCGGAAATCCCTGTGTAAACAGCCCTGAGCCTGCTTCCAAGGTCTGACTTCCATCCACCCAGGGCAGCCTGCCCTGCCTGGCCTGAGTATCGTTAGAATGAAGGATGGCAGGGTAGGGGGTGTGTGTTTGCCTGAACCAGTAGACCCCCTTCAGTATGTATGGGATGGAGTCGTGTGGGAATAGAAGCAGCAAGACTACTAGCAAGGGCTCTGCATTTGTACTCTTGCCCCTGGCTAGGCAGTCGCCAGGGGTGGGCCTGCTTCTCACTGACCCGTGGGTCAGGCTGTAAATAAGAGCGACCCTCGATTCACTCTTTACCCTGGGCCAGGCAGTCCGATGCATCCTGCATCCCATCATTCCTAATACCAACTCTGAGGATGCTGACAAGCAGCAGCCCCGTTTTACAGACCGAGGCACAAAGGCTGAACTAAGTTGTCCATAGCTAGTGAGTGGCAGAGGCAGGGTTTCAATGGGACAGTCCGTGGCGGAGCACACTGGCTCCGCCGCCAGCCCCCCTGCGGTACCCATCCGCGCTCGCCGCCTGGGACCGCCAGCCCGGGGCGGGGCGCAGGCAGGGACCCTCCGCTCCCCTCTCCGTCTGCCGCCCGGACGGGCCACCGCGGGGGCGCGAGGAAGGGGTGTTGGGTCGCCAGGGCCCGCCTCCCAGCTGCCCCGGCCGCCGGGGGGCCTGGCGGTGACGGCGGCGCCTGGCGGCGGGGATTTGGCGCGGGCCGGGGGCCGGGGGCCGGGGCGCGGGGGCGCGAGGCTGGATTCCTAGGGCCGCGGCGCTTCCCGGCATGCTCCGCTGCAGGCCCGCGCCCGCGCCCGGACTTTGCCATCGGCGGGGCAGTCGCGGGATGCGCCCGGGAGCCACAGCCTGAGGTGGGTGAGCCCCGCCGGGCCGGGCGGGCCGCGGCGAGTCGGGGAAGGGGACGCGGGGGCGCGGGGCCTGGCCCGGCTGCCGGGGAGAGGGGAGGCGGGTGCCGCAGCTTTGTTCTTGCCGCGGGGCCGCGCGCCCGAAGTTGGGGAAAGGAGTAGGAGCCGCGCCCCGGAGCGCTCCGGGGCCCGTGCGGCGCGTCCCGGGCGGGCTGGGGGTCCCTCCCTCCCGGGGACAGAGTGGGCGTCCTGGGTGGACGAGCACGGGGAAGCGGGTAGGGTCTTGGGTCTGTTCTGTCCTTGTGGTTCTGGAACCGGAGGGGAAGGGGGAAAGTAAGGGAGAGAGAAAGAGACGGAGAAAAACAGGAAAACTTACTCTTCAGTACGCAGGGAAGAATAGAGAAAGAAAAACACAAAGAAACGCCACGCAGACTGCAGAGAAGGACCACGAACACACGCTCCGAGAAACACACTCAGCTCACACGCACTGAGAAGCACACTTAAGATAAACACTCAGGTCACACACACAAGCACACTAAGAAACATTCAGTTCACACACACTCAGAAACACACGCACTCAGAAGCACACAAGATAAACACTCAGCTCACACACAGAAGCACACTCAGAAACATTCAGTTCACACACACTCAGAAACACACGCACTCAGAGGCACACAAGATAAACACTCAGCTCACACACAGAAGCACACTCAAACATTCAGTTCACACACACTCAGAAACACACTCCGAGAAACAGTTCACACTCGCTCAGAAGCACACTCAGCTCACACACACAAGCACACTCGGAGAAACATTCAGCTCACACACACTCAGAAACATACTCTGAGAAACACAATCAGCTCACACCCACTCAAGCACACTCAAGATAAACAGCTCACACAAGCACATTCAGAAAACACTCAGAAACATAGCTAACACTCAGAAACACACTCTGAGAAACACAGCTCACACACTCAGAAGCACACTCTGAGAAACAGCTCACACACACAGAAACAGAAAAACAGCTCACGCACACTAACACAAACACACACGGAGAAACACACTTAGAAGCACACTCAGCTCACACACACCCAGAGAAACACGATCAGAGAAACACTCAGAACGCACAGGAAGAGAGAGGAAACCAAGTGGGTGGTCTTGGAGGCCTGGGGACCGGGGGAGGGGAAGGAGAGACACTGAGAAGCGGGAGACGGGAGCAGCAGAGGGAAAGATGCCTGGAAAGAGAAACAGAGATAAAGGCAGACATAAGAGGAGGCAGAAAACACAAAGGCCAAAAGGAGGTGGTTAAAAGGACAGTAAAGAGAAACACACACGTAGAGAAACAGAGGCGGACCCTGAGAATTACCCCCCTCCCCCACCTACCTCTCACAAAATCAGCGACACACACAGAAGAGGCAGATGCCAGCCTTCTCCTTCTTGTGGTCCAGTGAGCTCGAGATGGGAGAGCAGCTCTGTGAGCCCTTTGAGAAAGGCTTCCTTGGCACTTTAAGCCAGGCATGTCCCAACCTTGTCTACCTGGCAAACTCCTGCTCATCCTTCAAAACCCAGCTCTAGCCTCACCACTCCTGTGAAAGTGTCAGTTCCCAGAAAGTGTCATGCAAGCACAGTTACTCTCTTTTCTGTGTTCTTCTGCAGGAAGCACAGGCACATGGAGTTGAAGTGGTTTGTCACCTGTCTGCCTCTCCCACCAACTCCTTAAGATCAGGGTCTCTGTCCTATCTATCTCCAATCTCCAGTGCATGATGCATAGTAGATGATCAATAAATACTTAGTGAATGGTGACCGAGAGCGTTTGGACCCTCCGAGACATGGAGGATAGAATTAAGTGCAAATAGAGGAAAAGCACCCTCCTGGTATTCTAAGGACTCCTAAGTCAGAGTGTCTTTTTTTCACGTGGGGAAATTAAAGCCCAGAGAGGGGAGAATGCTTGCACAAAGAGAGACAAGCAGGAGGCCTACAATGAAATAACAGTGAATATGTACTTCTGTGAGATGCCCTTGTTCTTCTGGCTTATGAGTTTAAAATAGGTGTGAAAGACCCCGTTCTTCAGTTCCTCTCTCCAGAGGCAGCTACTGTTATCAAGTTACATTTTATGTGTGTTTGTGCCTATCGATGTGTTCATACTAAAAAAATTCTGTGCACTAGTATATACAAATGCACGGACTTCTTTCATTCTTCTTTTGTACACAAATAAAAGAATTCTATGAGAAAAAGAAATAGATGTGAAACAGTCTCCTGAGTGAAAACTGGCAAGAGGCAATGGACACTTTAATGCCAGTTCTAAGTTTCCAACACTGAAACTGGCAATTAGAACTCTTTCCAGAACCTTTACAGTCTTCTTTCTTCCTTAGAAAGGAAAAGTAGAGTGAATGTCCATCTCAGTGTAAGTGGATGGCTTTCCATCTCCTGACTGCATATTGGAAAAATTCTGTAACCTCCCTGAACCTCAGTTTCCTCAACTGTAAAATGGGATTACTAATATGTCCACTTCATAAGATTGTTGTTGGAAAAGTTAACAAAGAACCTGGTGCAGAGTAGATCCTCAGTAAATACAGTTTCATCTTTCCTCTCTTTAATGGGTGTTCTTTTGTGCATGTTTTTATGGCTGCGAAAACAACTGCTAGTTAAAATGTTTCCTTTTGTCTAGGGTTTAAAAAGCTATTTTAAGGCCGGGCTCGGTGTCTCACGCGTGTAATCCCAGCACTTTGGGAGGCCCGAGGTGGGTGCATTACTTGAGGTCAGGAGTTCAAGACCAGCCTGGCCAACATGGTGAAACCCCGTCTCTACTAAAAATACAAAAAATTAGCCGGGTGTGGTGTCAGGCACCTGTAATCCTAGCTACTTGGGAGGCTGAGGCAGGAGAATCGCTTGAACCCAGGAGGCAGAGGTTGCAGTGAGCTGAGATCGTGCCATTGCACTCCAGCCTGGGTGACAGAGCTAGACTCCATCTTAAAAAAACAAACAAACACAAACAAACAAACAAAAAATTTTAGTCCAACTGGGGAGCAAATTCTTCTGAGAAAGGAAAAGGCAAATTTGGGGCATGGCATAAATTTTACCTTGGTTCTCTTCAGGCCCTCAGGTCTCTGCAGGTGTCGTGGAGGAACCTAGCACCTGCCATCCTCTTCCCCAATTTGCCACTTCCAGCAGGTAAGACCCACCTGTCCCACTCTCTTTCGTGGCTTCTTGACCAGATCTGCTCTGACTTCATGTTCTCTCAAGCTTTAGCCCATGAGGAGGATGTGACCGGGACTGAGTCAGGAGCCCTCTGGAAGCATGGAGACTGTGGTGATTGTTGCCATAGGTGTGCTGGCCACCATCTTTCTGGCTTCGTTTGCAGCCTTGGTGCTGGTTTGCAGGCAGCGCTACTGCCGGCCGCGAGACCTGCTGCAGCGCTATGATTCTAAGTGAGTGAGCCTATGGAGGGCAAGGAGGAGGGGTGGGCTCTAACTAAAGAAAAAGAGAGGAACACGTAGTTCAGTGTTGGGCAACTCTAACTCAGCTTTTTGGTTCTAAAATGGTACCTGCAGGTGTCCTTCCCTGTAAAGACCTCAGAGTTTAAGAATGTTCCTTAAGCCTCCCAACATCCTGAGTCACCTCCTTCTCTGCTTCCTGAGCCAAGAAGAAAGTCACTGAATATGAACATGTTCACCTAGCATAAAAGCTCAGCCATCTGTCTCAAACTGGCCACCTCACTTAGCATTTGGATAAGCCAAATCACTTTCCAGCCAGACCCACAGGAACAGAAATCAGATGCCCACACTCTGGCCATACATCTAAGCAACAAACATTTGGTTTTGTGAAATCCCAACTTAGGACTGTTTCTCTCTTTGCACAGCAGATTTTTTTTTTTTTTTTTTTTTTTGAGATAGAGTTTCACTCTCGTTGCCCAGGCTGGAGTGCAATGGTGCAATCTTGGCTCACTGCAACCTCCGCCTCCCGGGTTCAAGTGATTCTCCTGTCTCAGCCTCCCACGTAGCTGGGATTACAGGCATGCACCACCACGCCCAGCTAATTTTTGTATTTTTAGTAGAGACGGGGTTTCACCATGTTGGCCAGGCTGGTCTTGAACTCCTGACCTCAGGTGATCCACCCGCCTCAGCTTCCCAAAGTGCTGGGATTACAGGCATGAGCCACCATGCTTGGCCTGCCCAGCAGATTTCTTTGTGATGCATTGTATGTGAAATATATTTTGTAAGCAAGATTCTATTTTCAATTTAGGGATATTTTAATTGATAGACCGTTCAGGGATTAACCCTTAGTTTTTCTTATCCTTCTGTCTTAATCCTATCAGCATCTCTGTCAAGTGGTTCATAATTTATAAATGCCCATTTATATGACCCAGGAAAGCTCTTCTACTGAACAGAATGCCATGGTATCTCATTTTCTAAAGTACCCTGTTGTAAAATTGGAGGTGTTTTTACTTCTTTCACTTTTCCAGTGTAACTAGGAAAAGGCAGGGATATAGGGATGGACCAAAGTGGTTCACAAGAGTTATTCTGCAGACCAGGTGGGGAGCCTATGTAGGTTTGGGTAATAGGAACCACCGCCTCTCTGTAAAATGTAGGATTAAAGGGAAAATACATTATAGAAGGATATAATTTTGTCCTGAAGGGATATCCCTAACATCTTTGTAATCAGGTAGTTATACCCTACTCTTTCTCTTGGTAGCTTATCTGACTCCATTTCACTTTTCTTTTGTTTTAGTGCTCCCGGCCTGCCTCCCCAACTCCCTGTCTAGCCATGTGCCCTGCCCTCAGCTGCAGCCCCACTAGGCTTAGGTTTGGATCCGGGACAAGTGGTCTCTGCCCTAGCTTACTGACTCCCTTACTTCTTTTATGGTGTATGTGGGCCTCAGTGAGGAGAGGATCAGCAGCGGTCACCCACCATGAAACCATTTAACGGGGGCCTTTTCTTCCAGGCCCATTGTGGACCTCATTGGTGCCATGGAGACCCAGTCTGAGCCCTCTGAGTTAGAACTGGACGATGTCGTTATCACCAACCCCCACATTGAGGCCATTCTGGAGAATGAAGACTGGATCGAAGATGCCTCGTAAGGCCATGGGAACTGTTTGCTTCCGGGCTTCTGGCAAATGATGCCCTTTGCTGGTGTCCTTTGCCAGAGCACTTAGCTGGCATTCAAGAACAGTCACTCTGTTACTTGCTGCTCTTTCCTGTGCCTTTAGTGTGGGGGAAAATCAGAATATGACTTGAAAGTGTTTGTCCTTTCCTTCTCTCCCCACATTTTGTAGACCTGAACACTGCGGCCTATAGTTGTGTGGCAAAGGTTGTTATAAAGTCACCCTGGTGTGCTTTGGTTATCCTTGAGTGCCCATAAATTTGGCTCAGGCTTCAGAGATGCAGCCCTTTTCTTTAGGATCTCAGGGGTCTCTCCATCCAACAGGAGCCCCTACATTTTGAGAAGCGGCTGCTACTTCATTGCCTTATCCATTTAGCCATCCATTCCCTGGTCCCATGTTTGTGGGGCATTATGTGGAGGGTACTGGGTCAGGTGCTGCAGATATTGAAACGGTTGAAAAGACAGTTATAGTCAGTATCACAGAAACTGTAAGAGATCCTTGTGTACAGTGCAGTAGGCACATGGAGAAGGCAGTGTCTAGGTTTGCCTGGGTTGGGGAGGTTGAGCTGGATCTCATGGAAGATATCACAGAGGAGGTGCCTTTTGACTTGGGTCTTGAAAGATGAGGAGGAGTTCCCCAGTCTGAGCAAAGGGGAAGGACACATTGGGCAGAGGGAACAGTCTACCAGAAGCTTGAGAGTTATATTAAAGCATGACTCGCTAGGCACACAGTGGAGCTTGCTGGAAGAGTGGATTGGGTGCAGGGAGGGGAAGGGAAGGGAGGTGCTCCCTCCTTTAACTCATGGGCTGGTTCATGTTGACACTGAGGCATTCCCACTCTCAGTGGTTGGTATTGGGCTGTGCCCACCGGTCAGGGCAAGTTGAGAAGCAAGGGTGGGAGCTGGAGGGTGGTGGGCCCCTCCAGATGAGCACTGATGACTTCTTCTTGTTTCCCCAGGGGTCTCATGTCCCACTGCATTGCCATCTTGAAGGTAACCCTCTCTTATTTCTCTGTGGGATAAAGGGTAGTCGAAAAGCACCACTGTGCGTGGATGGAGTAGAACGGGACCTTAGAAAGGGCACTGACCTCTCGCAAGAGGCCTTTCCTTAACTTGACACTTGGAATTTTTGTGGTTTACTTCCCCCCCTGCCTGGACTGGCTGTTCACAGAATCTCAAGGCTGTTTCAAAGGCTTTATTTCATCTGGTCGTCTTAATTCAATGACCTGTGGGAAAGACAGCCTAGGTACACAGCCACCATTTCACTCCTCTTGGAGAAAGCTGTGTATTCCTGAGACCGTGTAGCTGCCAAGAGAAATGGGGTTTCCCTGCTTCCCCCTGCACACTCATTTTCACTAACAGAGAGTTCAGGCCTGTATGGTGAGTTTCTTTCTGTATTTGGATTTCTACTGTGACTAGAAAGTCATCACTAGCCTTCTTTGGCTGTGACCGTAGTCAGCCAAATGGGACAATCAGTGTTAAAAAACCAAAGCAGGCATACTTCAATCTGAAGGCAGAGGATTTTTTCTTTGAAAGCCTGGAATCTTTGAAAAATTGCATCCAATTTGCATTTTGGGTAATTTTATGGTTTTAGCATTTGTTTTCAATTCTTGCCTGTTAATATCCTACCTAATAGAATAATAACTATACTGAAATATTTGGCCAGTTGCAAATATCAGGGTTTTTTTTTTTACATCAGTAACCTGGGTAATCACACATTTATCTCTTTGACTAGTAATTATTCAAGATTTCAAAAGAGACAACTTTGTCTTTTCTTTAGTGTCATTCAGTAGAAGACACTATTAATAAAACATTCTTTACCCCACCTCTTCTTTGGCTGTCTCTCTCAGGGGATGGATAAATGCCTAGTAGGAAGTTATTATCTCAGAGTCCAGGCTTAGTTAATTCTGAGAGGCTCTTTGGATATACAAATATGGCTATAGATATAAATATGGTTATTGATAGAGCTAGGTAGGCATAATGGCTAGAAGATAATACTATACTACATTTCCCTTCTCCTGGCCAAGATGTGTCCTGGGCCTGGGTTTTGTCTCCTGTCCTCATCTATTAGGAGGATAAATGGCACCTGTGGTGTGAGATGAATCAGCTGGAGGGAGTCATATTGAATTGGAATCTGTGTCTACCCGGCGAACCTCTGATCAAAGGAGAGGGCTTCTAAGTCTCCTCTTGGGATCTTAAGACTCTTTTGCTAGGTCACCTGCCCTTGAGTCTCTGTGGTGGGAGCTGGGAGAGGGGTCTGGGCTAACTCCCAGGTGGACCTTTGGGCTTCTTTCTGCCCTCTACTGTCCAGCTCCAAGTATAGGTCAGGTAGGGGTGCTTCCTTGCCATGGATAGAGGCGCACCCATGTTGGTTGGTTCTAGCATGGGGTGGCCTGGAAAGGGGAAGCAAGCTCTGGGGTGGCCAGCTCTGTGGGTGGGACCACGAAGAAGGCTGTAGTCAGTCTTGCCTTTTCCCTGCTTTTCCTAAGGTCCTTTCATCATCAGCTTGATAAACATGCTAATATATTACCTGAGACAATTGTTGAAATAAGTGCTGTTATTGGAGCATGTGCTTAAAGGGAACAATTGCCCTTTGTTCAGCCCCATTCCTGAGGGTGCCTTGTTGGAGATATTTATTCTTGTGGAAGACTAAACCATGAGATGAAGGAATAGAAAAAGAAAGTAGGTTTTTCCCCTAAGTGAGAAGGTGAAATTGGAGCACATGATTTTTCTTAAGACAGATTATTTCAGCTTAGGCTTCCCAGAGCCCACACCCTGCCCTTGATCTGCGGCTCCCACCCCAGGTCCTCTCCCAGCCATGCCCTTGGCTTTTGCCACTTCCCACCCGTTTCCTCTCATCTCTGTACTTTTCACATCTGGCCATTAGGTTGGGGGCCAGCTGCGATGGAACTCACGGCAGGGCTGATTTGTCTCGTGGGGGTGGCGAGGCCCTGAGTGGAGCCAGGTCAGCCCTCATCTCTCTCCTCCCTGCCGCATTAGATTTGTCACACTCTGACAGAGAAGCTTGTTGCCATGACAATGGGCTCTGGGGCCAAGATGAAGACTTCAGCCAGTGTCAGCGACATCATTGTGGTGGCCAAGCGGATCAGCCCCAGGTGAGCAATTGGCGGCTTCGAGGTCCCCACACTCCCTGAGGGAAGAGAGGGGCTGGAAGCTGGGGTAGCCGCAGAGCTGGGCTCTTCTATAAAATGGTGCACAGGCAACTTCAGCTATTTGTTTCCCACACATTTACAGAGTGACCAGGAGGGTTTAGATACCGAGACTTCTCAGCTAAGGTGGGCTTCCACCATCCCCACCTGCAGCATGACCCATCTGAGAGGGCTTTGGGGAAGCGCCAGCAGGTGCCTAGTCCTGACCCTGTCCTAGACCCTGCCCTGCAGAGCCCGTGGCCGCCCCTCTTACCCAGCCACATACCAGCTCCCCTTGACACGCCTTCCTCCCAGGCCAACATGTCACACAGATGCCCACACCCCTGTCTCTGCCTGAATCTGTGTTGGAGACTAGCTTGGGGGACCCACTCTGGCTGTGCCCACTGCTCCATCCCTGGCCCAGGCCAGCAGCCTCCAGCACTGGGTGGGAGCTGAAGCCATATGGCATTCAACCTCCCAGATTCCAGGCTAACTGCGAAATCCCGTGTGGGAGGCAACCAGCAGGATTGCAGTCAACAGCTACACCCCCTCATTTGGGCTTGATATCGTGAGGAAAAATAAAGCCCTTTTCTTAGAGCCAAGGGCTGTACTAAGTTTGTGCTGCCACCTGGTGGCTGGTATGCCGACGTGCCTGAGCAGAGGGTCGGGGCCAGGATGTTTTCCACGTCAGCCACCTGGCCCCTCCGCCCACCCGGGAGGGCACCTCTGTATGCCTGCTGAAACAATGGCACTGCTGTGAGTTCCAGGGGCCCACACGTTCCTTGTTGCCATGGCCCCAGGTAAATCACGAGGAACCAGCCCTTTCTCTGCCTCAAGATTAACCAAATAAAAACGACCAGTTTCCTGAGTTGCCACGTGAGTTCCTCTGAGGGAATACACGACCTGGTCAGCTTGAACTCAGTCCAGGCAGTTCAGTGAGTTGAGAGAGTGGGAGGGAGATAATCCAGGGAGGGACTCAGCTGAGAACAGTTCCCTGCCTTCTCTGGAATTGCCTCCAGTGGGCTGTAGCCACATGGTCAGCCCCTGGCTTTATAAGAACCCACATCCCAGGCTCTGGGTGGGCACTGGGCATTCCTTCCCCATTATTTTATTTATTTATTTATTTTTGAGATGGAATCTTGCTCTGTCACCCAGGCTGGAGTGCGGTGGTGCGATCTTGGCTCACTACAACCCCCACCTACCGGGTTCAAGCGATTCTCCTGCCTCAGCCCCCTGAGTAGCTGTGATTACAGGTGCCTGCTACCATGTCTGGCTAATTTTTGTATTTTTAGTAGAGATGGGGTTTCACCATGTTGGCCAGGCTGATCTCAAACTCCTGACCTCAGGTGATCCTCCTGCCTCAGCCTCCCACAGTGCTGGGATTATAGGTGTGAGCCACCACACCCGGCCTCCTTCCCCATTAGTTTTAAAGATTCTGCACTATGGTATTCACTAGACCCTTTGTCATGCTTTTTGTGCCTTCTAAGAGCCACTTAGAGGCCAGGCAGATTCCTGTGATACAGGTTACAAGGCAGCACTTTCAGGAGGTTGAGGTTTCTGTGTGAGCCTGGGTGAGTAGGATCAGCACGGGTCCTAAGATGAGGGTGTGGCATTGTCC
The DNA here is from genome assembly GCF_000001405.40 of Homo sapiens. Classification (NCBI taxonomy): domain Eukaryota; kingdom Metazoa; phylum Chordata; class Mammalia; order Primates; family Hominidae; genus Homo; species Homo sapiens. Next base: position 32,938,099 of record NC_000017.11, read on the forward strand.
AGAGAGTGGACCTGTTCTGGTGCTCACAGGCCCATCCTAAAGAGTACCTTGGACTACTTCTAGAATGCTCCGTGCCATAATTCAGCCAGGGTCCTGCTTTGTCCTTTTGCCCTCACACTTCTTTCTCCTTCTGGCCATGTTTTGTCCCCATTGTTTTTCCTGCTCCATTTATCCCACACAGTGTGTTGATGGCCTGTGAGTCTCGAGGAGGTGGCTTCAGCTCCAGGGCACTAGAGAAAGGAGCTGGCTGAGATAGGCGCGGAGGGTGACTGTGTCTCTGCATGTCCTCACCGGCTCCACAGCCGTGAATAAGAGTGTTTGAGGCCATCTTTTTTTCAAGTGCTTTTAGAAATCAAACAATACATCTTTATTTTTTCTTCCTATCGAGTGTTCATGAGCAAAGATTTGGAGCAAAACCTTGTGCCACGCAAATCAGAATGAATTGTAGTTCTGAACTTGATTTAAAAAAATTAACCACAGGGTAGAAGAAATCCAGTAGAGCAGTGTGAAGCCAAATGAAACTCATGGCCTTCTTTTTCGGTGTCTTACATACCTTTAGCTTTGTATTTTTTTTTCCTGAATACAAGAGTAATTAATGCTTATAAAAATGTGAAATACTGCAGACATACATGACCTGGAAAGTCTACTCCCTCCCAATTGTAGGAAAAAACCACTATTAAGTGGTGAGTGTTCCTCCAGATCCTTCCCAACCCCACATTTCAGAGCTTTTGTTTATCTATTTTTATGCAAATGACAGATTGAGCTTTACATATTATTTGGCAATTTGCCTTTTTAATATAGTAGTAATCTTGAACATCATTCCATATGTATGACTGTATTTTAAAAAACCATTGGAACTGAAACAAAACTAGAAAACAAAGTAGTCTCTGCAAAGACTGAACCTGAAGTCTTTGTGCCTAAGTGTCTGTCTGAGAATGCAGAAGCAATTGGAGAAAGAACCATTAAAGACCAGGTCTGGAATACCAAAAAAGAAGAACTGGAATAAAGATAGAAAGGAAGGAAGGGGCCAGGCGTGTGGCTCACGTGCCTGTAATCCCAGCACTATGGAAGGCTGAGGTGGGTGGATCACCTGAGGTCAGGAGTTCAAGGCTAGCCTGGCCAACATGGTGAAACCCCGTCTCTACTAAAAATACAAAAATTAGCTGGGCATGGTGGCGCGTGCCTGTAATCCCAGCTACTTGGGAAGCTGAGGCAGGAGAATCACTTGAGCCTGGGAGGTGGATGTTGCAGTGAGCTGAGATAGCACCACTGCACTCCAGCCTGGGTGACAGAGCGAGACTCTGTCTCAGGAAAAAAAAAAAAAGGAGAAAAGGAGATCAGGAAAGTGAAGTACTGAACACCTTTTGCCTCCGGTCAGGGTGGATGATGTTGTGAAGTCGATGTACCCTCCGTTGGACCCCAAACTCCTGGACGCACGGTGAGACCAGGGGTGGGTGCATGTTCGGTTTTTCATGCAGAGGTCCACAACCGTTTTATCAGATCTGTGAGGCTGGCTGACTGGCTTGTGTAGGGAGGGTGGCTTTGCAGCCTCCTTAGGCTGCCCGGGCCATGCGTGCCATTTACTTCAGTGAGCGGCGCCTGACTGGGTGATAGAGGCCAGTCCTCTCCTGAAACCCAGGAGAAGAAAGAGGCAGTCTTAGATTTTAAATTGTTATGATTAGACTTCCGGCCATGTTACATCCTAACTGTGCCTTCCCTTCTACCTTTTCCCCTTTCCCCCTCTGATTTTTGTACCCCAGAAGCAGACATGCCTTAGCTGTGAGTGCCACCCAGTTGGGCGGTGGGGCAGTGGTTCCCAGAGCAGTGAGAATGGAGGTGACAGGTCAGCCACAGCTGTGCTCACCTGCCACCAGACATGCGCATACACAGAGTGTACTTAGCCCTATGAAATTGTTATGTTCCTATACCAGATGCAACCCATTTAAGAAATATAGATTCTTTCGTGCCTTGGATTTATATGACTGTGTCATACACATGTAACAGTTGCCAGATCGGCAGTGGGTCACAGCGCTTCAGCTTTGGTTTCTCTGCCCCACTCCTACTGCTGCCGAGCTTTGTCCGTGGGTTAATAATCTGTAATGTATTCTCAAATGCATCATGGTACTAACCATATAAAAGGTATTCTACAGTGAATCTTTCAGCACTGAAAAATCTACTCCTCACTTTGGTTTTCAGTTACATTTTTTTTTTTGAGTTGGATAAACCAGCCCTGGGCCTTACCAATTTGTAATCAATAAGGAATGTTTAAGTGAGGGTGTGTCTGTCCTATGTTTCAGTGGGCAGCGGTTGGGGAATATGCTCATCTGATTGACTATATCTGAACTGTTTCACAAAGCGCTCTTTGGGGAGATGTTAATAGGTGTGCTGCAGAAAATGGCTTCCACAGTCTTAAATAAGCTTGTGAGAGACAGCCTGTTATATTCTCCTTGGAGCTTTACCAGGTACATCTCAGAAGGCTCTGAGGCAGGCTTCAGTTAACCATGTTTAACCCAGCCATCTCCAAATTTATTTGAGCATGGAGCCAACTTTAAATTGCATACCTACCAACATCCTAGGGAAGGGTGTGCAGTTTGGGGAATACTAGTCAAAAAGTCTATCTATTTGGGCTTTTGTGCAAAGTCCCTCATTTCCTAGGAAACCTGACCCTATTTTCTTTTTTTCCCTAGGACGACTGCCCTGCTCCTGTCTGTCAGTCACCTGGTGCTGGTGACAAGGAATGCCTGCCATCTGACGGGAGGCCTGGACTGGATTGACCAGTCTCTGTCGGCTGCTGAGGAGCATTTGGAAGTCCTTCGAGAAGCAGCCCTAGCTTCTGAGCCAGATAAAGGCCTCCCAGGCCCTGAAGGCTTCCTGCAGGAGCAGTCTGCAATTTAGTGCCTACAGGCCAGCAGCTAGCCATGAAGGCCCCTGCCGCCATCCCTGGATGGCTCAGCTTAGCCTTCTACTTTTTCCTATAGAGTTAGTTGTTCTCCACGGCTGGAGAGTTCAGCTGTGTGTGCATAGTAAAGCAGGAGATCCCCGTCAGTTTATGCCTCTTTTGCAGTTGCAAACTGTGGCTGGTGAGTGGCAGTCTAATACTACAGTTAGGGGAGATGCCATTCACTCTCTGCAAGAGGAGTATTGAAAACTGGTGGACTGTCAGCTTTATTTAGCTCACCTAGTGTTTTCAAGAAAATTGAGCCACCGTCTAAGAAATCAAGAGGTTTCACATTAAAATTAGAATTTCTGGCCTCTCTCGATCGGTCAGAATGTGTGGCAATTCTGATCTGCATTTTCAGAAGAGGACAATCAATTGAAACTAAGTAGGGGTTTCTTCTTTTGGCAAGACTTGTACTCTCTCACCTGGCCTGTTTCATTTATTTGTATTATCTGCCTGGTCCCTGAGGCGTCTGGGTCTCTCCTCTCCCTTGCAGGTTTGGGTTTGAAGCTGAGGAACTACAAAGTTGATGATTTCTTTTTTATCTTTATGCCTGCAATTTTACCTAGCTACCACTAGGTGGATAGTAAATTTATACTTATGTTTCCCTCAAGTGTGTAGTTATTGAGTCAAATTCATATGCATGGTGTATTGTGGGACATACTTAGATGGAAGGAGAGAGCCTAAGAATCCTGAGGATGATTTCTGTGTATGCCTCAAAATGAGATATTTAGGCTGGGCGCGGTGGCTCACACCTGTAATCCTCGCACTTTGGGAGGCTAAGGTGGGTGGATTGCTTGAGCCCAGGAGTTTGAGACCAGCCTGGGCAACATGGTGAAACCTCATCTCTACACAAACTACAAAAATTAGCTGGGCATGGTGACACGTGCGGCTGCTTGGTAGGCTGAGGTGGGAGGATCGCTTGAGCCCAGGAGGTGAAGGTTGCAGTGAGCCCTGATTGTGCCACTGCATTCCAGCCTGGGCGACAGAGTGAGACCATGTCTCCAAAACATACATATATATAAAATATATTTAAAGACCTCTTGGAGTTCAGGCAGAAGTGAAGATAGCACTATGAAGTAGTTTCCACATTAACAATAGCAATGACTTGAACGATGTGTTCCCCCTTTCTTCTGATATTAATATCTGTTCATTTTGCAAACATTGAAAGATTATGAAAGCTATGACCCAGAATCACAATTATATAATTTGGATACATACCCAAATGGCATAATTTCTGTCATAAGCCTGTAGGAAAAGCTTGAATTCTTCACTTCTCAGATTCTCAGAGCCAGCTTGCTCTTGGGAGAGGGGCCTGGTATAGGGGCTGCCCAGGTTCGTAGCCTATGCTGTCAAGCATGTTTGGAGTTGCACATCTGTTCCCATGTCATTTTCTCTGTCTAACTGAAGTCAGAAAATTCCTCAGCTGGATTCTGGGGAACCAGGAACCCATATTCCCAAATCCAAGATTGGGACCTGGTTTGTCTTTCCATTTGGGCACATTTCATTCTTTCCAGGAAAACAGGCCACTTCCAACCTGCACAATGTACACCAAACCACAGAACCACAGCTGGGATATGGAGTCAGGAGAGGGAAGCTGGAGCTCAACTCTCATGGACTAAAGGATGGATTCTGGATGGGCTCCAGGGGACACCTTATTGGATTGGTGGCTTCCATCAACTCTTAAAAACGTTAAGTGGTGAACTTTCCCGTCCTGTCAAGCTGTGAATGGGGAATGTATACAAAGTCACTTTGACTTTTCTATTTGAGGCCTCCACAGTAAACATCCAGAGTCATCCTATTTTTGTCTTTTTACCTCCCTTTCAGAACCTGTTTTCGTAATTAGACTGGAAAGCAATTCATGCTAAGTTTGCAATGGCTGCCACAGTTGTAAGTGTCCCCTGCATTTTAACCTGCACTAGAGCCCTAAGCCACAGAGAAGCAGTTCTGAATTGGTATCTCAAATACCATCCACCTGGTGTGGGTCTGCAGGGTGGAGAGCTTTCCCAGCACCCCTGAAGCAATGCCCAATGTCGATTACCTTCTCTGAGTCCTGGCAAGTCCTGGCACATTGGCTTTCTGGATCCCTTAGATGCTGCCCTTTCTGTTGTGAGGAGAGGTTGCCGAAGATATTGGAGGTGTCTGCTGGACTGTAGGATTTCTGATCCCACTGCTGTGTAGTTTTTTTTTCTAGTGCTGGACAAGTAAGAAGCCTCTGGATAAATTTGGTGTTGGTGGCTGATGGTTGAAGTGGAAGCAGTCTTTGGGGTAGGAGGCAATGCCACTCCTCTAGGCCCTTCGGGAGTTGGCTGAAGTTACTTCCTCCCTTGGAAGGGGCTGGTTAGTGAGTGCCAGGGATCTCAGGACTGTCTCTGTGCCAGGTGTGGTTTCCCAGGCAACAGACACATTCCTAAGTGCCTAGTTCTCTAGCGTCTGTATACATGGTAGTAGAGCCTTCCTTCCATGTCTCTCTTCCCTCTGGCCTGGAATAGGAGCATTAGACTCAAATTCTGATGAAAAAGAAATTACTTGGAGATAGAGATTCAATGTGAAGAGAACAAGATATTTGAAGTCAGAATTAGGTTTGAATTTGGGCTCAGTGACTTACAGTGTGAGCTTGGTCAAGTTCTTAACATTCTGGTCCTTAGCATTCTCATCTGTATGGTCAAGGCTATTGTCATTGGGTTGGTATGTCAACAAGCAAAACGGTATGTGTGAGCTGCCCAATTGTGGGCCTGGTTCTGATTAGCCAATGTTAACACCCTTCTCTCCACAGCTTCCCATTCTCTGATGCCGCTGACCCAGATGGCGTCACCTCAGTTACCATGGCTTGGTCCAAGCAGTGACTTCTGTTCATGGGCTCTGGAATTGAGTGGCCAAAAATCTGGAATCCCTACAGTAGGGAGAGTAGCCTTGTCCCTGCCCCACTACAAGTCTGTTCATATGAAGACATACAAAGCCGTCGCCTCTAATCAGTGTTCAAAGGGTCGATTGTGCAACTCACATTCCTCCAGAGAAATTCCCCCAGCTTGTGAGATCTCCAAGAGGGAACACGTATTCCTGGCATCCAACTTCCCCTGGTGCTCCCCCTGACCTGCCTCATTCCAGGAGTTCCCTCTCCAGAGACCCTGTGTGCCCACACGAGCAGACTTTTAGAAAATGGCCTACAGTTCAAAGGCCCTGCATTGCTTTATGGCCTTGGAAATGTGGGGAAAGTGTCAGATGAAGAATTTCTATCCTCCTCACCTCCTCCCTGTCTCCAATAAATGCATACCAAGAGCTTTCTGTGGAAGAGGGTTCGTGCTAGATGCTGGAGCTATGAAACAAAAGGCACAATCCCTGCCCTTAAGGAGCGATAGAGAAATGAGCAACTGCTGGAGCCATGACTGTAGCCAGTGCTGTGATGGAGGGGACCACAAGAGGGACTGTGGGCACACAGAGAAGGGACAGGGCAGGGGTGGGGTTGAAATAGGGCAGAGCTGCTGCCTGAATGGAGACTTGACAAAGAAGGAGTCAGGCATCAGAACAGAAAATGGTCCCAGCTACTCAGGTGGCAGGGGCAGGAGGATCGCTTGAGCCTGGGTTGGGTGGAGGCTGCAGTGAATCTTGATAGAGCCACTGCACTCTAGCTTGGGCAACAGAGCAAGACCCTGTCTCAAAACACACACATGTACACACACACAGAAAGTGCCGGGGGAAATAATATGGTTGTGCTGTGTTTGTTCTGGTGGGTCTTACTGTGTTTCTATGAGAAAGGCTGATGAGCAATTTTCAGAATTTGAGGCAAAACTGGTTCTTCCTGTTTCATCCTATTTGTATTTTTATTATCCCAATTTTGCAGGTAAGGAGACCAAAGCAGAAAGATCAGTAACCCTCCTGGAGTCTCACAATTAATATGAATCAGAGCAGGATCTTCAACTCCTCAACTTGTGTTTTTAACTGGCACATCTTCCTGCCTGGGTGCAGCAGGTGGGAAATCCATCATGGAAAGGAAAGAACAGACATGAGAGTCATTCCATTCTCTTCCAGTTCAAATCTTTTTTTGTGAAAAAAATGGTAGTTGTGACCCATGAATTAATTTCACGGCCCACTAATTGGTTACAACCCACAGGATGATAGAACATAGGTACTAAAATGAGGGCTGGGGCATGGGTGAGGTATTTCCTCTCCTTCCAAAATGACTTAATTTTATCCATTTAAAATAAAATTTGCATTTACCAGAATAGTGGCAAAAATTTATTGTGCAGAATAGAATAATTGATTTATTACATGAATGATTAGTTCAAGAGTCATCTGTTGAGCATCTGCACTGGATTAGGCCCAGAGATGCATGAATGAATAAAAAGATAATGCCTCTCTTGAGGTGCATATAATCTAAGGTGGAAAGAAAACCATAAAGAGGCATTTTCAATACAGTGTGGTAAGGGCTAAGGGAGGGAATGTGTGTGTGATGACAGCGCAGAGCAGGACCACCAAACCCAGGTCATGAGAGTTTCCTAAAGGTGGTTACATCTCAGAATAGTCTGTCGAGGAGTAGGTGTTAGGAGAAGACAGGGTGGGGTTGGGAAGGTGGAAGTGGAGGACAGAGCATCCAGGTAGGGCCATCTTGCAGACATGACATTCCATGCCATGCTCAGGACATGTTAGCTGCTTCAGTACTGTGAGTGTCAGGTGGGAGCTGTGGCATGGTAGGAGGTAAGCCTGGGGAAGAAGGTGAGGATGAGACTCTGGAGAGTCTCATAGGCCTTGCTGAGGTCTTTGGACTTTTTCTCTAGGTGATAGGGGGCAATTGAATGTTGAAAATTGTTTTCTTATTTTTTTTCCTGGGGCATTAGCAATTGATCACTGCACCCTCACCAGCCTTTAATGTTTTCCTAATTTGATAGGTGAACAATGGCCTAGCATTGTGTTAATTTGCATTTCCCTGACTACTGGTGCAGTTAGACATTTTTTTTTCAGGTGTTTATTAGCTATTTGTACATATTCATGCCCTTTGCCCATTTTTCTACTGGGATTTTAGTATTCTTATTGACTTATATGAGCTCTTTATATATTAAATATAACAACCCTTTGTCATATTTATTGCATATATTTTCACCCAGCTTTGTCATTTGCTTTTTAGTTTTGTTTACAATGGTTTCTGATGTCCAGAAGTTTCAAATTTTGTGTAGTCAAATTTATTGATTTTCTTTTTGTTAGTTATTCCTTCCATTGCTTTTATACTTTCTTATCTAGAGATCAAATAAATATTGAGAGCTGGAGCTATGGAACAAAAGGCACATAATAATATTCACATGTTAGGTGTAGTGGCAGAAAAAAACAACAGGGTAGAAAAAACCCAAACCTTCCTTTATCCACCCCAAATCCACCCCAATCCACCCAAATCCTGTGGGAACAGTCACAGGTCAAAGAAATAGACAAGAATGGTGAGGAGAGGAAGGGAACACCTTGAAGGACGAGTAGGAGCTGGTCAGGCATACAGGGTGTGTGGGAGTAGCACAGAAAGGAAGCTGCATGTCCCAAGGTAGAGGATGAAGAGACAAGCATGTCTGAGTGCGGGGGATGCAGGGCAGAGAAAAGCCACACAATTTCTGCTCTCATGAGATTGTAGTCTGGTGAGGAAAGACATACATTAAACAAAATGTTGCTTAAATAAATGTAAAATGAAAACTTTAAAAGTGTTGTAAGAAAATAATTTGAATCTTATGAGAGATTATAAGGGAAACTGATCTATCTAGATGTCAAGGAAGGCTTCCAGTAAGAGGATCTTTGATATACTATCTGGAGGATAAGTAGGAGTCCAGAGGTGAAGAAGTGGATGTATGAGAAACTGTACATGTAAAGGCCCTTTGGCAGAAGGACAAGAACTGAGACCAGGCCAGTGTGACTGAAGAGCAGAGCAGACAGGGAAGAAGGCCAGGTGAAAATGGGGGAGGGACTGAATCATGCCAGACATTGCAGGCCATGTGAAGGACTTTGGTCTTTCTCTGAAGAGTGATGAGAACCCATTCAAATGGTTTATTCAGATCTGGTGGGTTTTGATTAGAGGTGGAGACATAATCAGATTTGTATTTTGAGAAGATCCTTTTGCCTTCTACGTGGAGAACCAATAGGAGGAGGCTGGAGCAGATAGGAGCTGCCTGATGCTGCTGCAGCAGTCTAGGTGAGAGATGATGGTAGCTTGGTCTAGGCAGGGAGAGGAAGATGGAAAGGGGAGTGGAGCATTTGAGAAATGTTTAGGAAGTAAAATAAATAGAATTTGGGTGGATTGGATATGGGACAGTGATGCAAGATAATAGCGTGCCAAGAAAGACTCCTAGGTTTCAAGTTTGCACACTTATATGGGGGTGACAGTTTGGGGCTAGGGGTCACTGGTACAGGAAGCACCAGAAGAGGATCAGGTTTGGGGACGAGTTTAAAGTCATCCGTTTTGGAGTTGAAGAGTTTGCGGTGCATTTGAGATATCTGAGTTGAGTTAGAGATATAATGGTTGGAGCTCAGAAAAGACTGGGCTGAAGGCTTTTCATTAAGTTATTAAGAGAGTTTTGGCCATGGGTGCAATCCTAGGGAGAGAGTGTGGAGTGAAAATTGCAGAGGGGTGTGAGATACTCTTAACATCGAATATGATACTGGGCCAGTTCAAAGCTCTGTACTGTTATGTTGATGGCTAAATGAAATTGCATATGCCCAGTTCCTGGCACACAGTAGGCACTCAGTAAATATTAAATATATCTCCTTTTTCTCCTTTGTTTCTCTGCTCCCTTTATTCTATTTCTCTCTCTTTTCTGGCTCTATGTATTACAGCCAGAGACTCAAGCTGACTTCTTTCAACTTCCCCAGGGTACCTAGTGCACAAACCTGGCATACATCGCTCTCCTCCAAGACCCAGCCTGGGAGAGCCTACCTCTTGAGAGCTGTCTCAAGCTGAAGTAAGTTTAGTTACCAATGATCAGTGCTCAGAGAGCCAGTTTTTTTTTTTCCTTCCCTTCCTTCCTTCCTTCCTTCCTTCCTTCCTTCCTTCCTTCCTTCCTTCCTTCCTTCCTTCCTTCCTTTCATTTGTTCTTTTTTCTAGATGGGATCTCACTCTGTTACCCAGGCTAGAGTGCAGTGGCATGATCTCTCAGCTCACTGCAACCTCCGCCTCCTGGGCTCAATCAATCCTCCCACCTCAGCCTCCTGTGTAACTGGGACTACAGGTGCATGCCACCACACCTGGCTAATTTCTGTATTTTTTTTTGTAGATATGGGGTTTTACCATGTTGCCCAGGCTGGTCTCAAACTCCTGAGCTCAAGCGATCTGCCCACCTTGGCTTCCCAAAGTGCTGGGATTACAGGCATGAGCCACTGCCCCTGTCCGAGAGCTAATTTTCTTAGGACACACAGCAACTTCTACTGGATGATCGCACCTTAGAATGATAATTATGTCACCTTGCATTTCCAGAACATTTTGTATTTTTTCAGAGAGTTTTCACAGTGATTATCTCAGTTGTTCATCAAAGGATTTTTCATTATGAACTGCATTTGCGTATTTTATTTACCTATAATCCTTTCCCCGCTGCTGAAACAATAGCATTCTGAGCAAACATGCATATGGCTAACAAATCCACTCTTATTCATAAGATTTCTTTTTCTTGTTTTCCCATTTTATTTTTAAATCATGATTTTTATCTTCCAGGCCATATTCTTTCACACATTTTTGTTATTCTCAAACTCATGATTTCATTCTTTCTCTTCTGATTTGGCACGTGCCCTCTTCATCTCCTCTCACCGACGAGGGTTCTGGCCCCTAACGCCCATTGTTCCAGTACATTCAGAGACTCACGTTTCTGACTCCTCTCCACCTCATTCCTCTCTGAGGCAAGTGCTGTTTATTCTGCATTGAAGCTTCATATTACCTTTAACTAGAGATTTGTTATGCAAGACAACCTCATGATCGTGCAGCCTCATGCAGATTTTTCCTTTGCCCTGGCATCTTGAAGATTCTTTTTTGCTTCTCAAATCACATCTTTTTTTCCCATTCTTCATGACACTTTCCTGATTTCCCTTTCTGTATTCTTGATCTTTATCTTCTGCTATCTGAATTCATCATCTCAGCAAACATGTGTCAAGCAACTACTATGAACCAGGCTCTGTGCTGGGCTCTGGGGATTCAAAAACCCATGACCTGATCTTGACCTTGAAGTATTCACAGCCTGCAACAGTGGGTCTCAGACCTGGTGGCACGTTTGAATCGCCGTCTGAAGAACTTTAAAAAAATACTAATTGCGAAGTCCTAGCCATAGAGATTCTGGTTTAATTGGTATTGAGTGAGACCCTGGCATTGTTATTTTTAAACAGATTCTAATGTGCACCCAGGGATAAGAACCACTCACTAGTCTAATGGATGAAACAGATGTGGAGACAAATGATTTTAATACAATGTGAAGGCAGAAGTAAGCACAGAGGGCAGGAGGAGAACAGAAGAGAAACCCGGGATCCAGCTTAGGAAGTGAGAAAGCCGGGCAGGTTACCCAGAGTGGATGACTCAGTGCCCCGTCTCATCCCAGAAGAACTTTTTGCAGAGCCCACCTTTCCTCCCATTTTCCAATCAAATAGGAGAAATGAAAGTATCTCCTAGAGTTACCTTTTATCTTTTTTTTCCCCCAGATGCAGTGTTTATTGTTTGATTTGTAGTGCTTATTGTTTTTGGAGTTTAAATTCTCCCTGCATGTCTGATTTCAGGGTACCAACATGATGCCATTGAACATGGGACGTGATGTGCATAATCAGCTCTTGGGAACCTTCAGGTGTGGGCTACAGCACCTCACTGGACCGCTGGGTTCCTAGTAGAGTGGAGGAAGTGTTCACTTAGCCACAACTTTGCTTCACCCTGGAGGCCAACTGAGGCATGTTAGTATACCCTCTCCCTGTAGTTCTGGAGTGAGGACATTGGAAAGCTAAACAGTGGTGCTTGATTCAAGGTGCTTGATCTAATTTCTGTGGCCTTTGTCTGAAGAGGGAGGAATAAGAACGTGTCAACCTGGAATTCCCAGACTGGCTGATTGGGTCACATTTGGAAAGCTGCTGTGTGCACATCTGATTATCCTGCACCTAGGACTATGATTCATTTCTTCTTTCTCAGAACGTGTATCAGTTTGTTATATTGATTAGCCTGATTGTCTGAATAGTGTCTTTCTGTGTCAAATCTATGAAAGTTTGAACCCTATATGCTTTTGCTGAATACTGTATTTCCAATACCTAGTAATTATACCTAGACTGACACATAGTGGGAATTTTTTTCTTCAAGTTTAAGTGAAAATTTATTTATTTTTTTAAATCTCCAAAAGCTTCCCATTGTTTATTATTATTTTTATTTTATTTATTTATTTTTTAATTTTTAAATTTTTTTATTATTATACTTTAAGTTCTAGGGTACATGTGCACAACGTGCACGTTTGTTACATATGTGTACACGTGCCATGTTGGTGTGCTGCACCCATTAACTCGTCATTTACATTAGGTATATCTCCTAATGCTATCCCTCCCCCCTCCCCCCACCCCACGACAGGCCCCGGTGTGTGATGTTCCCCTTCCTGTGTCCAGGTGTTCTCATGGTTCAATTCCCACCTATGAGTGAGAACATGCGGTGTTTGGTTTTTTGTCCTTGCAATAGTTTGCTGAGAATGATGGTTTCCAGCTTCATCCATGTCCCTACAAAGGACATGAACTCACCCTTTTTTATGGCTGCATGGTATTCCATGGTGTACATGTGTCACATTTTCTTTATCCAGTCTATCGTTGATGGACATTTGGGTTGGTTCCAAGTCTTTGCTATTGTGAATAGTGCCGCAATAAACATACGTGTGCATGTGTCTTTATTAGCAGCATGATTTATAATCCTTTGGGTATATACCCAGTAATGGGATGGCTGGGTCAAATGGTATTACCTTTTATCTTAAGGAATAGAAGAGCGATTATGAGCATAGGCCTGGGATGCAAGAAACACATTCAAATCCCAGCTCTGCCACTTACTGTGTGGCCTTACACAAAATCGTGTGTGTGTGTGTCTGTGTGTATGTGTGAATTGACGGAGCTAATGTATGTAATGTGCCTCACCCACTGCTTTACATTCAGTAGATGCTCAAAAACATTGTAGCCATGGGCCGGGTGCAGTGGCTCACACCTGTAATCCTAGCACTTTGGGAGGCTGAGGTGGGTGGATTGCTTGTGGCCAGGAGTTTGAGACCAGCCTGGCCAACATGATGAAACCCTGTCTCTATTAAAAATACAAAAATTAGCCAGGCACAGTGATGTGTGCCTGTAGTCCCAGCTACTTGGGAGGCTGAGGCAGGAGAATTGCTTGAGCCTGGGAGGCGGAGGTTTCAGTGAGCTGAGATTGCCCCACTGCACTCCAGACTGGGCCACAGAGCAAGATGCTGTCTCAAAAAAAAAATGTAGCTATGTACACTTCAAAGTACACAAACACACAAATGCACATGCTGATGATGCTCAGTGTGTCTTCTTCCAGCAGCAAGTACTCAGATGACTTTCCTTGTTTGCCCTGCTGGCCCATCCCTGCTTGGGGGAGATACTTCACTTGGTCTGTCTCCATGTGATCTTTGAAGGCAGGTGTCTGAGCCTCAGCTCCCATGTGCCTGCTCCTCTCCAGTCCCTTCCCTTGTCTTCCCCAGTTGTTTAGCATCTTCTTTACCTCCAGTGTTCCTGCCAACATTGGTCCCTGGCTCATTGTCTGGTCTGAAGCTTATCATGGATCTGAATGTGATGGTTCTCCCACAGCTCGCTCTGTCATCCCTGCTGTGTTTTCCCTTATGGTGGCTGAGTGGTCCACTGCCATCCTGCATGGCACCCCCAGCCTCACCTGCTCCTGCCAGTGCTTGTGGTGGGACTTGAGCTGGAGCTGCAGCTGGAGGGCTCCAGCTTGCCATAGCTGCCCACTGTCCTTTCTAAATGTATTATTATTGCCTTGGCTAGGCCTCTCCTTTTCCTGGGACAGCAATCTGAGGTTTTCTTGGTCTTGAGGCCATATAGAGACCTTGATTGCCAGACTCTGACTCCCTGGGGAGTGCTTTCTTAAGTTTATAGCTTGGCCCATTCTGGAATGATGCTGTAGTCTTCCTCTAAAGCCTGCCTCCCACTTTCTCTGAGCCTTCCCTTGCTCCTGAAACAGAACGATTACACTGTTCTGATGTCCTTACTTTCTTATTTCTCACCTTTCCCTGTGCATTCTCTCTCAACCCTGTGGCAGCCCTCTGACCTCCTTGCATTTCTGGCGAAGGTCTATGCATGGCATTGCCTTCCTGCCTGCCACTCCGTTTGTCTCTCCTAATTACTGGGATTCTGTTTATACAGACTTCTCACTTTGGCTCTTTGGTTTTTTAAAAGTGATTTCTGCTTCAATTCAGCACTTTACCATTTCTCCTTCTCCTCTTTGTTATTTACTTCTGCAAATGGGATTATTAATTTTACTCTTTGAAACTTTTGGCTTTGTCCTCCCCTGATATGGCTTGGCTCTGTCCCCACCCAAATGTCATCTTGAATTGTAGCTCCCATAATTCCCATGTGTTGTGGGAAGGACCCAGTGAAAGACAATTGAATCATGGGGGCAGTTTCCCCCATACTGTTCTCATGATGGTGAGTAAGTCTCACGAGATCTGATGATTTTATAAGGGGTTTCCCTTTTCACTTGGCTCTCTCATTCTCTCTTGTCTGCTGCCATAAAAGATGTCCTTTGCTCTTCCACCATGATTGTGAGGCCTCCCCAGCCATGTGGAGCTGTGAGTCCATTAAACCTCTTTTTTTTTTTTTTTATAAATTACACAGTCTTGGGTATGTCTTTATTAGCAGCATGAGAACAGACTAATACATCCCCTGAGAGAGGCTTTTCTCTTATTGTCTTTCCAGATGACCCAGCCCCATTTGTCTTATGAAGGGTGAATAAGACTCCTTTTCTCTTCTTTTAAAAATTTATTTTTATTGATATGTATATTAGATATACATACTTTTGGGGTACAGGTGATAATTTGGTACATTCATGTAGTCAAATCACAGTAATTGGGACATCCAATACCTTTGTTAAAAACTTCAGTGGAAATAAATTTAAAGGAGTTTAATCAAACAATGAATGATTCATGAATCAGGCAACCCCCAGAATCACAGCATATTCAGAGAGACTCCAGGGGTGCCTTGTGGTCAGAACAAATTTATAAAAAGGGAAGTGAGGTACAGAAATAAGAAGTGAGGTATAGAAACAGCTGGATTGGTTACAGTTGGTGTTTAACTTAGTCCATGAGTAGTTTAACTTAGTCCATGAGTAGATGAAGTGTGGCCACTGGGATTGGCCAAGACTCAGCTATTGTTACAGGTGCATACTCCTAAGTTAGGTTTTCAATCTTGCCTGCCTATTAAGCTGGGTTACATTTTGTCCACAATCACTCATATATAGAAGTATGGAGTCCTTCTCAGGCCATATTTAATTTGCTTTAACACCTTAAATATTTATCTTCCTTTAAGCGAGGAACATTCAAATTATTCTCTTCTAGCTATTTGGAAATATACAATTGATTAATGTTAACTATAGTCACACTGCTGATGTATCGAATACTAGATCTTATTTTTTCCATCTAAGTCTATATTTGTACCCATCAATCAACTTCTCTTCATGCCCCTCTCCCTGTACCCTTCCTGGCCTCTGGGACATCCTTTCTCTTAGTTGGTGTTGTTGTTGGACTGATCACTCTGTCCTGACCTGGTAGGACTTTGCTCATTCCCCATCTCCTCTCCTCAGGAGAACACATGCCACACTCATCTTACTGGAGTCTGTGGATTCCTTAAAACAGCCTGGGAGATCTGGAGGGGTAGCAACTATTATTACTGGTTTTTAGTTAGGAAAATGAGACTTAGCAAGGAGGAAACAGGCCTAGGAAGGGAAACTCACGCTCCAAGCTCATGCAGCCAGTAAGGGAAGAACTGGGAAAGAATGCACACCAAGGAATTCCCAGTTCATTGCATGGAGGAGAGGAGGTGAGTGTGCTACTCAGAGCCCCTAACATCTGTCATCCTGTAAAAGCTATAATAAAAAGTCATAAATGCATAAACAGTGTGAAAAAGTTCAAAGGTAAACTCATTAAGTTCAGAAATATAAGGGGTATGCCTAGGGCCAAAAAAAAAAAAAGTCATCTAATTATGGGACGCACTAGCACAGTGTGGTAGAATGTTAAAATAGCTGAGAGGAGCCTGCAGAGACAGGGGCCTTGGGTGACTGGGTCCCTACTGCATGTTGGGAGCTGTTGGAAACACCTTACATGCATTATTTTATTTAATCTTCACAAGAGATGAATGACCTTATGAGGCTGGTGTTATTACATCCACCAACTCAAGGCGCAGAGAGGTCAAAGCACTTGCTCACAGTCACAGAGTGGCTTAGGAGCTGATTTGGGATGAGAGACCAGGTCTCTCAAATTCCATTTTCATGTGCTTGCCTCCATGTCACGATTTGCCCAGTTTGCTGAAAGACAGACCTGCACGTGGCCCCTACAGAAGAGATACATCTCTCTTTGGGAGAGGTTGGCATTGGGGAGGAAAGCCCTGCCCGTCAGCCCTCCTCCTGGCTGCAGCGCCCTGGCTAGCTGTACCTGTGGGTGTGACTCTGTGTAGCTGTCTTTCTCTTAAGTATACAGAGAAAAAAAATTTTTTTCCGTCGTGGGGATAAAGTTCAAGGAACAACCTCACCAAGAAGGTGGGGCTGAGTGCCGCCCAGCTGGCTGGCTGCCTGCTGTGAATAACTAACCAGAACACATGGAATATGGCATGATACGGGCCAAGACAGAGCAAGGACCCAAGTTCATGTATGACCCTCATCACCCTCCTTTTACATGCTCCCAGCGCCATGGAGAGCTTGCAGTTGGGAGTTAAGAGGGGCTACTCTCCCTTCCCTTCCAGGTAGAGGTTAAGATTCATGTCTCATAGTCCTTTATTCTTCGGGGTTTTCTTGAGACTTATTTGAGTCAAATACGTGCCAAATGAGGACCTGTCCTGCTTAAGTACTGGAGTTGGAGGAGACTAAATACCTCCTGCTTATCCCTCCCTCTGCTTGCAACACCCTCCCTGTTCCTCAGTTCTTCCTCCAGGTACATCTCAAATGTTCCCTGTTATAAGAATAGCTAATATGCTTATACACTAATACTTATGTGGCAGATATATTTATTCATTTATTTAATCCTCTCAACAGCCCTACAGCATAGGTACTATTATTTCCATTTTGCAGATGAGAAAAACAAGGCACAAAAAGGCTAAGTAATTTATCCAAGGTGACACTGTTAGTAAATGGCAGACCTGGGATTGTATCCCAGTCTATTTCAAGATATTGAAGTTGGCAGCATGGTGTGGTGAAAGAGCCTGGATTGGGTTCAAATCTTGGTCACACCATTTAAAGCTGCATGAACTTGGGAGGTGGCTTAGCCATCTTGAACCTCAATTTTCTCATATCTGAAAGGGAATAATATGGTCGGGTGTGGTGGCTCATGCCTGTAATCCCAGCGCTTTGGGAGGCTGAGGCAGGAGGAACTTGAGGCCAGGAGTTAGAGACCGGCCTGGGCAACATAGCAAGAACCCATCTCTAAAAAATAAATAAATAGATAAATTAGTTGGGCATGGTGGCGTGTACCTGTAGTCCTAGATACTCAGGGAGCTGAGGCAGGGAGGATGGCTTGAGCCTGGAAGTTCTAGGCTTCAGTGAGCTCTGATTGTGCCAATGCACTCCAACCTGGGTGACAGAGTGAGACCCTGTCTCTAAAAAAAAAAAGGGAATAATACATCAAACATCATATAATTGTTTGTGAGGTTTAAAAAAGATAAATAATGACATTATTGAACATTTGAAAATAAGTAATACGTATTGGTTCTCTTCCGACTTTGAATCAATCAATTATATTAAGCATAAAGCTTTAGCATAGAATATTATAGGATAGAATGAGATGTCAGATCCGGAAAGGATCTTAGCAATGACCTAATCCAATGCATTGTCTGAAGCGTGAGGAATTATTGACACTTGCCCAAGGCCAGTCACATAGTAACTCAGTAACTGTGACAAAGATTGTGAGTTGCCTTTTCTAATATCTTGTCTCCCTTCTTAGCAATAGCATCCCTGGTTTTTAGCTGGGTTCATGGTGTCTTGGAAAAAGGCTACATTTCCTAGCTTTCCTTGGAGCTAAGTGTGGCCATTTGACTATGTCTGGCCAATGAGATGTCAGTGAAAAAGTCAAAGGATACTTTCTGGAAGTCTCCTTCAAAAGGGAGAATGCTGGTTCTTTTCCCTTTCTTCCATCTTTTTGCTTAGAAGGCAGATCTGGTAACTGAAGCTCTTGTCATCTTGAACAGGAGTATGTCATAGCCTAGGGATGACAGTGCCTTCACACTACCATGAGTTATTTACCTCTAGATTTATTTCATATGAGACAGAAGTAAACTTCTGTCATGTTTAAGCCACTGTTGGTTGGGTTTCCTGTTACTTGCAGTCTAATCTAATCCTAACAGACAGCATTAGATACGGACTAGAAACAAGGTCAATAAATGTTTATTGAGTTGAGGAGAGGTCCCCCAGAGAAGCCTGGCCTGTCTTTTTCCATCTCTGCAGGTATTTAGGAGAGAAGCTGGGGTTTTCACAACAAAACATCTTGAAGCCCTAAAATGACTTGTCATGCCTTGTGAGTGGGGGTGGGCTTATCTCTGGAAACCAGGGCTGTGGCTGGAGGAAGGTGCCCAGGTATGGGTGGTCTGGCACTGTCGGTCTTCTCTCTCAGCCACAGAGGGACAAACCTGTGGACAGAGCTATCCTTTGGTTCCAAATGTGGGTCTCTGCACACGGTCCGTCCCCTAAGCTCTCAGCTGGTGGGCTGAAGAAGCCTGAGGAAGCCAGGATCTGTGAGATGGCCCGATTACCTTGCCTGTTATTCACTTTGTTACTGGCATGTTTTGAAATTGATGATTTCTTTTCTTTCCTCAAAAAACTTGTTCCTCCCTTTGCTTTGCTTTTTTTTAAATTAATTTTTCTGTCATGAAATATTTCAAAGATAGACAAGAATAGAAAAGAGCATAATGAATACCTATTTACCCACGATTAAGCTTTATCAAATCTTAACATTATGTCATATTTGCATCAGATCTCATTTAAAGAAATAAAATATTACTGATATAATTGAAGATCTCCGCATATTCCACTCCTACCCCTGTTCCTCTCCCTCCTCAGAGGTAACTATTACCATGAATCCAGTGTTTATCATTCCTATGTATGTTTTTACACTTTTATTACATATTTATGTATTCATTAATACAATATAGCATTACTCAGTAGGGTTTTAAATTTTATATATAAATTGTAGCAGATTCCACTTATCATTGAATATTCCATTATATAAATATGCCACAATGTATTTCTCCATTTTCCTGTTGATGAATATTTATGCTGTTTCCTTTTTTTTTCTTTTTTATAACCCACACTATGCTGTGATGAATTCCTCCACTTACCTCCTCCTGGGGAACAGTGAGAGGGTTTGTTTAAGGCAAGTGTCAGCAAACTATAGCTTACAGGTCATACCTGGCTACCACTTGTTTTTTGTATGCAGCTATGAATTAAGAATGGTTTTTACATTTTTCCTTTTTCTGAATTTGAATTTTAACTTTAAAAATTGTGGTAAAATGGGGCCTGGCATGGTGGCTCATGCCTGCAATCCCAGCACTTTGGGAGACCAAGGTGGGCAGATCACCTGAGGTCAAGAGTTTGAGATCAGCTTGGCCAACATGGCGAAACCCCATCTCTACTAAAAATATAAAAATTAGCTGGGTGTGGTGGCACATGCCTGTTATCCCAGCTACTCGGGAGGCTGAGGCAGGAAAATCACTTGAACCCAGGAGGCAGAGGTTGCAGTGAGCCAAGATCGCACCACTGCACTCCAGCCTGGGCGACAGAGGTCTCACACACACAAAAAAATAAATAAATAAAAATAAATTAAAAATTATGGTAAAATATGCATAACAGAAGATTTACCATATTCACCATTTTTCAGTATATAGTTCAGTGGCATTAAGTACATTCACGTCATTGGGTGACCATCACCACCATCCATCTCCAGAATGTTTTCATCATCCCAAACTGAAACTCCGTGGTCATTAATAACTCCCCTTTCCCGCTTCCCCTAGCCCTGACAGACACCATTCTACTTTCTGTCTCTGTGTACTTGACTACTGTAGGTCCTTTATGTCGGTGGAATCATGCCATATTCATCCTTTTGTGACTGGCTTATTTCACTTAGCATCATGTCTCCAAGGTTCATGCATGTTGAGGCATGTGTCAGAATTTCATTTTTAAGGCTGAATAATTTTCCATTGCATGTGTGTATCACATTTTGTTTATCCACTACATTTTTAATGGTTAAAAATAATAAGAAAACTATTTTGTGGCACGTGAGAAGTACATAAAATCCAGATTTCTGTGTCTATTAAAAAGTTTGAATCGAGCACAGCCACAGGCATTCATTTGAGTGTTGTCTATGGCTGCTGTCATGCTAAAACAGCAGTTAATGAAGACCATATGGCTGGCAAAGCCTAAAATATTTACTATCTGGCCCTTCACAGAATAAGTTTGCCAACTCCTGCTGTTATATAATTACCTAGAGGTGGAATAATGAATGGTAAGTTATGGGCATCTTCAGCTTTACTAGATGTTGTAAAATTGCTCTCCAAAGCAATAGAACTAAGTACTGTAGTGCTTGAGTTTTTTGTAAACTTCTTTCTTTCCTTTTTGGACAGATTCTTTGTTTAAATAAAGGTGCTGGAAGGGCCCTTAAAAGGCATTGTGTAGTCAGTTAATGTTGCTGCATACAGACAACTTTGAAATTTGAATGGTGGCAGAGTGTGGTGGCTCACACCTGTAATCCCAGCACTTTGGGAGACCAGGTGGACCGATTGCTTGAGCTCAGGAGTTCGAGACCAGCCTGGGCAACACGGCAAGATGTGATCTCTACAAAAAAATGCAAAAATTAGCTGGGTGTGGTGGCATGCACCTAGAATTCCACTACTTGGGAGGCTGAGGTGGGAGGATCACTTGAGCCAGGAGGTGGAGGTTGCAGTGAGCTGTGATTGCACCGCTGCACTGCACAGTCTGGGCGACAGGGCAAGATGGAACAAAAAAGAAGAAGAAAGAAAAAAAGAAATTTGAATGTTTTACAACAAGCGTTTATTTTGGGCTTATTGACCTGTGCATTGGTAGGGTTTGGCTGATGTGTAACGGGCTCAACTCAGCCTGACTCCAAGCAGTGGGTTGGGCTCAGGTTTGCTCCACATGCCTCTCATCCTCCTTGGACTTGTAGCTGAGGCAAATTTTTCTCATGGGAAAAGGCAAGAACTCGAGTGTAGGCCCACACAAACACTTTTCACGTCTTTGCTAGTGTTGTGCAACCATCCTGTTGGTCAAAGAATAGGTAGGCCCAAAGTCAAGAGCTCAGGAAATACACTCTGTCCATCGTGAAGCCATGGTATGAATGTGGATGTATAATTCCACTATAGGGGAAGGAAGATCTGGGGTCAATAACTGAATCTGCCACAGATATCAACGTTTTTTAGTTTCAGGATCTTCCTTCCTTCCTTCGTTCCTTCCTTCATTCCTCCTTCGTTCCTTCCTTCCTTCCTTCCTTCCCTCTCTTTCTTTCTTTCTTTCTTTCTCTTTCTTCTCCCTGTTTTTCTAATATCTTTTTTTTTTTTTTTGAGATAGGGTCTTGCTCTGTCACCCAGGCTGGAGTGCAGTGGCTGATCATGGCTCACTGCTGTCTCGGCCTTCCAAGTTCAATTGGTTCTCTCGCCTCAGCCTCTCAAGTAGCTGGCATCACAGGTACATGCCACCATACCCAGCTATTTTTTTTTTTTTAAGTAGAGACAGGGTCTCACTGTATTGCCCAGGCTGGTCTCAAACTCCTGGGCTCAAGGGATCTGTCCACCTCGGCCTCCCAAAAAGCTGGGATTACAGGCATGAGCCATTGTGCCCAGCTCTCTCTCTCTCTCTCTCTTTCTCTCTCTCTCTTTCTCTCTCTCTCTCTATTTCTCCTTCTTTCTTGGAGACAGGGTCTCTCTCTGTTGGCCAGGATGAAGTGCAGTGGTGTGATCATAGCTCACTGCACCCTTGAACTCCTGGGCTCAAGCGATCCTTCTGCCTCAGTGTCCTGATAGCTGAGAGTATAGGTATGCACCACCATGCTTGGCTAATTAAAAAAAAAAAATTTATAGAGACAGGGGGTCTCACTATTTTTGCCCAGGCTAGTTCAAAACATTTTCTTGAAACAAAACCTTATGTAGAATTGTAATGTAATATGGAGAAAAGTGAAGCTGCTCTGATTTGAAGTGGGAGTGGGGGTGTGCAGAACCCCTGCCTGCTCAACTCCCCTCTGTTCCCGAACACCTCTGCGGAGTCCCCCAGCTTCACAGAATGTAGTTTGATAGCCAGTCTCTTACATTGTTTCCTCTTCCAGGCAACGTCAACACTCTCCCCGCTGCAAGATCCAGGGATCTGCAGCAACACAACCAGGAGCAGATCCTCTCTGAGGGTTGAGTCTCAACATGTGGCCCAAAGGGGCGCCTCCTAGAAGCCAAGAGTAAAGAGGACGCCTGAGGCCACACCTGAATGTGGGCAAAGTAGATGACAAGATTAGAAACAGACCTGGTTTGCTCCGTGGCTCAGCCCAAGCTGGCTGGATTGACAGAACTTCAGCTCCTTGCCTGCCTCCAACTCAGGGAAGGAGATCCTTGTCCTGTGGAACATCTGGCTCTCATGTCATGAGTCTTCTGTCAGAGTGATGGTGGCTTCTTATCATTATTGACTTTCACCATGGTCTTAGCAGCACCTTTTGGGCAGGCAGTCTGGTTGCTGTTTCCAGAACGGAGCCACAGGCCAGCCCCATCCCATGTGGCCTCTGTAATGCTTTCCTCTTCCATAGGCAGTGTGAGAAGCCCATCCACCAGAGTTACAGTGGGGAGGTGATGAGTCAGACCACATCCTATTGTGAGCTTGCAAGGCTGCTTTCATTAGGTGTTAGTTCCCTGTGGCTGGCTGGACCAGGAAGCAAGGTCCAGCCCCCTCTTCTCCTCTCCATGCCCCAGTAGGCTCCCCTGCTCTCTCCAACCCTCCCGCAACAGCCAGTCTTCCCCTCCCAGGCGCTGCTCCTGGAGCTCAATCAGCAACTCCATCTCCAAGCTTTATGTTTCCCATTAGATTTCTCCTAATTTTCTTGTCCTTTACAACCTGACAGTATCTGTACTTTTGTTCTTATGATCTAATTACAATTAGTGATTTAATGAGACTACCCTCGGAAGCTGCAAGAAAGGCAGTGATGGGCAGGATGGTGGAGACGGGAAAGTAAGCAGACACTTGGTGTCTATAGGGGATTTGTCTTGCATTTATTAATTCTACAAATGTTTATTAAGCATCTATTATATGCCAGCATCCAGGCTAGGCAATGAGAAGATAGTGACAAACAAGAACATCGAGCCAGTTATCTGTTTCTCCCCCTCCCCACTTGCTGGTGAGGTCTTGCCGCATCTGGACATGTTTTCCGTAACTGACTTCCATTTATTTGGCTGCTGAGCTCTGGCTGGCTGCTTAGACATTCTGCTGCTGTGCACTCATCCCAGCCAGAGCAGCTTTACAGACATTTACTGCTTGTACCCTTGAGTTTGCTTCACTTTTTGAACTAAGCACCTTGAACCTTCACAGCTGCCTTCTGCAGGGGCCCAGCCCTGGAACTGAATTTTTTTTTTTTTTGAGATGTTATCTTGCTCTGTCACCCAGGCTGGAATGTAGTGGTGCTATCTCGGCTCACTGCAACCTCCACCTTCTGGGTTCAAGTGATTCTCATGCCTCAGCCTCCTGAGTAGCTGGGACTACAGGCACCCGCCACCATGCCTGGCTAATTTTTGTATTTTCAGCAGAGATGGGGTTTCACCATGTTGGCCAGGCTGGTCTCAAACTTCTGACTTCAAGTGATCCACCCACCTCGGCCTCCCAAATTGCTGGGATTACAGGCGTGAGCCACTGAGTCCAGACTGGAGCTGAAATTTTGCCCCCTACTCAACTCTATCCTGAGCTCTGGCCTGGCTTGTTCTCACCTCCCTGTCTTAGACTCTAGAGAAGTGGGCACTGTTTAAGGCCAACCATTGACTTCTGATAATATAATTAGATAAAGGCTTCTGGACTAACTCCATTGCCTTTGTATACATTGGTTTCCTCTGATAAGAAAACTGGGTAGTAACTAAAGCCACATTCTCTGGAGAGATGAAAGATTAACCAAGAGAAGACTAAGCTTCCACTGTTTATTTAGAACGTTTAAGGAACCAGAAGTGGGTAGCTGCTGCTTGACTCTCTTTATCATGTGGGTGCCTCTGTCTCCTTCTGTCTTCTTGTCTGTAAGTGTCTCTTGTCAAGCCTGATTGTCCCAATACTCCCAGCAACTTTGGAATTCAGGGGTCTGCCTTACAGCCTCATGAGCTCTGTGTATGTTTGCAGGACTCTATTTTAAGCACTATCAGAGTTTGGAGCTCAGTTTCAGCCCTCTGTGTGGGAGTGCCTTAGCGAGATACTGGCAATCCGGATTTCAGATTCTGTGAAATAGCTTACTTCAGATCATTCCTCCAGGGTTGCATCTCCTTGGATTTTGAATGATTGGTTTCAGACTTTTAGCCTCAGGACTTGGCATTTCAGAATGTTAGGTCTCTTCATAGCTTAACTAATCTACATTCTTGTTGACCTTTAATCAATAAGAGATGGTCTTGGCTTAACCATGGGACAGATTCTGTTTTACAAGATTTCTTTCTTTATAGAGGCTCAGGGGTAGGATGATGCCTTTCCCACTTCAAACAGTCATTTTAACCTCTTTTGATGGGTATATTCTTGGGAGTGCAGTATGTTCTTGGGATGAAGGAAGGAGATGCTGGAAAAACACAACTTTATATCCCCATCCTTCAGAGTATAACAGATCTTTATCTTGATCAAATGTCCAATGTCAACTTTTTTACATGTAAAATGGGATGCGTGTGTGTGTGTGTGTGTGTATGGAGGGAGGGTAGCAGAGACTACTAAACATCTTTCTCATGGAACCGTGATGGGGTTTGACAATGTTGTGTGATTTTTCATGGAAATCTTAAACAAGAATACAGTTGTGCCTAGGCAGGCAATACACTAATACACTGACTGGGACCCATCTGTAGCTCTTAGAACACAACAATAGCTAATATTATTAAGCACTTACTAAATACTTTATCTTACTTGAAATTCACAGCCTCCTAATAATAATTTGAATTATTACCATCCCTACTGACAATTAGGTCACTCAATAACAAATGGCAAAGGAAGGGTTTGAGCTCAGCTCAGACTTGGCATCAAGGCTCTGTAATCTTCCACTTTGTAGTGACTGGAGCTGTTGAAATGATTATTCCAGTGTAATCTTTTTTTTTTTTTGGACAGAAATATTTCTATTAAGGATGGGTCAGAGGCCTAAAAGCAGGTCTGTCTATCTCCCTGCCCAAGTTCTTTCCACTTCACTAGGCTGCCTGTGAAGCCTGAGATCCATCACCGCCTCTTGGAAAGTTGTGACATCATGTAATTCTCTTGGCTTGAAGGCCACTCTGTCCCACTGGCTGTTGAATGAAGATGCTTGTCAGTGAATTACAATTTTCTTTAACATTTTTTCCATGCTAACCCATTATGATGGTTTTTTAAGGAAGACAAATGTTGATTAAGCATGTACTATGTGTAAGGCAATTTCACACACATTATTCCCTTTTTCTCCTCATGCCAATATAGGAATGGTGCAGTAGGAATAATTATTCCCATTTTACAGTTGAAGAAATGGAGGTGACAATACACCCATTTTAGCTTATGGAGACTCAAAATACCATATACAAAATCAGCAGGTGGGTGAGTAGGGGGCACAGCTAGAGGATGATGGCATTAGGAGGGGCCACATGGATCATCAATGTGAGAAAACATTTTAAATGATCCATTTTCAAGGCATGATAAATCTAAGTACTGGCAGCCAGGCTGCAAACGTAACAAACCACATGTCTCATGCACCTAGAAGGTCACCATAAGTGAATAGAATGTAGAAGAGGGGTCAGCCCATAAAAGGGAAGAAAGTTTTGTTATTGGGAAATTGAAACTTAAGCAGGGGAGGAGACCAGGGCATAACCTTAGAAGGGAGATAATGAAACTTAGGCGATGTCTAGGAAGATTGTAACCCCATAGTACTCAACCAATGAGGAACTGGGGGGAGGATTTGTGTGCTAGGAGATAAATTACCTGTTGTAACTGCCCTGGGTGTGCCTGCCTACCAGACACCTGATCTTGCAAGTCCACCATTAAAAGTCTCGCTTCCGCTGTTCTTCGTGTCTCTGAGTCCATTCTTCGGGTTTGGATGGGTGAATGTATGTTTCTCACAAACCTGGAGGCCCATCTGGGATCTCTGTGCCTGCGTGGAGTAAGACTCTGGGTGAGAGGGGAGATGTGTCCCACCTGATTTAGGTGGCCTGCTCTGTCCGGGCGCCCCGGCTCCCTGCAGAAGCCATAGACAAACTCGAGACTGTTACTCAGGAGGCAGTGGAGGTGACAGAGGGAGAAAAGCAGGCACTGTGGCAACCAGGCAAACTTGTGCATGAGCCAAGGTAGAAAATTGGACTATAAGTACTGCCTTGGTGGTTGGGCATTTTCGGAGGTCAAGTGTGTGTGACTGAGAGGTATCTTAGATACGAAGCGAGTGCAGAGTCCCAATCCGCAGTTCCATTCTCCTGCAAGGGAAATGGCCGGAGATGGATGAAGTGATTTTCGGGGTGTGCAAGAAACCTCCAATAGAGGGGGGTTATGTACACAAGGAAACTCAGACACAGAGACTGACCAAAAATGGGAAACAGAAATTCTAGGCCAAGGGGACAAAGGAAAGAGGGAATCAAAGACTCTCTCTGACATTCCCTGGATAGTCTTTTGGGGAGAGTGCTGCAGGTTTGGAGGGACAACTCTCGAACCAGGGACAAGGAAAAGCAAAAGATGAAAAAGTATTGCTGTTTTATCTGTCCCAAGGACCCCATTTGTAAGCCTTCAGTCTTTTGGCCTAACTTTGGATCAGACGAGGACTGGGTTTGCCAAGTTTTAATTCTCTATGTGAATGATAAAACCCCATACTGACGAGAAGAGATAGGTTACACTCTCTGATGGATCATGGAATTAGCCCCCATGTTCCCCCTCAAAGAAGAGAAAGAGCCTAGTAAAAAGTCCTCACCCAGGGAAAAGCCCTGGGACCCCCTACCATGCTTGCCCCTTCCATACGTCTCAAAAAATAGGGGACAGGAAGATCAAGGGGCAGGAGGAAGGTTAGAGGAAGAAAGACCTGGAGACCATGGGGGAGCTGAACCAACCTCTCCTTTAAATCTTTATCCAAATTTAAGTAAAGAATTAGAACAGTGTAAGAGGCTATGTGTGTCTCTGCATGTGAGATGGGTCTCCTGAATACAGCACACTGATGGGTCTTGACTCTTTATCCAATTTGCCAGTCTGTGTCTCTTAATTGGAGCATTTAGCCCAATTACATTTAAGGTTAATATTGTTATGTGTGAATTTGATCCTGTCGTTATGATGTTAGCTGGTTATTTCGCTCATTAGTTGATGCAGTTTCTTCCTAGCATCCATGGTCTTTACAATTTGGCATGTTTTTGCAGTGGCTGGTACTGGTTGTTCCTTTCCATGTTTAGTGCTTCCTTCAGGAGCTCTTGTAAGGTAGGCCTGGTGGTGACAAAATCTCTCATAGGCTCAAAATAAAGGGTTGGAGGAAGATCTACCAAGCAAATGGAAAACAAACAAAAAAAAAAGAAGCAGGGGTTGCAATCCTAGTCTCTGATAAAACAGGCTTTAAACCAACAAAGATCAAAAGAGACAAAGAAGGCCATTACATAATGGTAAAGGGATCAATTCAACAAGAAGAGCTAACTATCCTAAATATATATGCACCCAATACAGGAGCACCCAGATTCATAAAGCAAGTCCTTAGAGACTTACAAAGAGACTTAGACTCCCACACAATAATAATGGGAGACTTTAACACCCCACTGTCAACATTAGACAGATCAATGAGACAGAACGTTAACAAGGATATCCAGGAATTGAACTCAGCTCTGCACCAAGTGGACTTAATAGACATCTACAGAACTCTCCACCCCAAATCAGCAGAATATACATTCTTCTCAGCACCATCTCGCACTTATTCCAAAATTGACCACATAGTTGGAAGTAAAGCACTCCTCAGCAAATGTAAAAGAACAGAAATTATAACAAACTGTCTCTCAGAACACAGTGCAATCAAACTAGAACTCAGGATTAAGAAACTCACTCAAAACCACTCAACTACATGGAAACTGAACAACCTGCTCCTGAATGACTACTGGGTACATAACGAAATGACGGCAGAAATAAAGATGTTCTTTGAAACCAATGACAACAAAGACACAACATACCAGAATCTCTGGGACACATTTAAAGCAGTGTGTAGAGGGAAATTTATTGCACTAAATGCCCACAAGAGAAAGCAGGAAAGATCTAAAATTGATACCCTAACATCACAATTAAAAGAACTAGAGAAGCAAGAGCAAACACATTCAAAAGCTAGCAGAAGGCAAGAAATAACTAAGATCAGAGCAGAACTGAAGGAGATAGAGACACAAAAAACCTTTCAAAAAATCAATGAATCCAGGAGCTGGTTTTTTGAAAAGATCAACAAAATTGATAGACTGCTAGCAAGACTAATAAAGAAGAAAAGAGAGAAGAATCAAATAGACACAGTAAAAAAATGATAAAGGGGATATCACCACTGATCCCGCAGAAATACAAACTACCATCAGAGAATACTATAAACACCTCTATGCAAATAAACTTGAAAATCTAGAAGAAATGGATAAATTCCTCGACACATATACCCTCCCAAGACTAAACCAGGAAGAAGTTGAATCCCTGAATAGACCAATAACAGGCTCTGAAATTGAGGCAATAATGAATAGCCTACCAATGAAAAAAAGTCCAAGACCAGATGGATTCACAGCCAAATTCTACCAGAGGTACAAAGAGGAGCTGGTACCATTCCTTCTGAAACTATTCCAATCAATAGAAAAACAGGGAATCCTCCCTAACTCATTTTATGAGGCCGGCATCATCCTGATAGCAAAGCCTGGCAGAGACACAACAAAAAAAGAGAATTTTAGACCAATATCCCTGATGAACATCGATGCAAAAATCCTCAATAAAATACTGGCAAACTGAATCCAGCAGCACATCAAAAAGCTTATCCACCATGATCAAGTGGGCTTCATCCCTGGGATGCAAGGCTGGTTCAACATATGCAAATCAATAAATGTAATCCATCATATAAACAGAACCAAAGACAAAAACCATATGATTATCTCAATAGATGCAGAAAAGGCCTTTGACAAAATTCAACAGCGCTTCATGCTAAAAACTCTCAATAAACTCGGTATTGATGGGACGTATCTCAAAATAATAAGAACTATTTATGACAAACCCACAGCTAATATCATACTGAATGGGCAAAAACTGGAAGCATTCCCTTTGAAAACTGGCACAAGACAGGGATGCCCTCTCTCACCACTCCGATTCAACATAGTGTTGGAAGTTCTGGTCAGGGCAATCAGGCAGGAGAAAGAAATAAAGGGTATTCAATTAGGAAAAGAGGAAGTCAAATTGTCCCTGTTTGCAGATGACATGATTGTATATTTAGAAAACCCCATCGTCTCAGCCCAAAATCTCCTCAAGCTGATAAGCAATTTCAGCAAAGTCTCAGGATACAAAATCAATGTGCAAAAATCACAAGCATTCCTATACACCAATAAGAGACAAACAGAGAGCCAAATCATGAGTGAACTCCCATTCACAATTGCTTCAAAGAGAATAAAATACCTAGGAATCCAACTTACAAGGGATGAGAAGGATCTCTTCAAGGAGAGCTACAAACCACTGCTCAATGAAATAAAAGAGGACAAAAACAAATGGAAGAACATTCCATGCTCATGGATAGGAAGAATCAATATCATGAAAATGGCCATACTGCCCAAGGTAATTTATAGATTCAATGCCATCCCCATCAAGCTTCCAAGGACTTTCTTCAGAGAATTGGAAAAAAACTGCTTTAAAGTTCATATGGAACCAAAAAAGAGCCTGCATTGCCAAGACAATCCTAAGCCAAAAGAACAAAGCTGGAGGCATCATGCTACCTGACTTCAAACTATACCACAAGGCTACAGTAACCAAAACAGCATGGTACTGGTACCAAAACAGAGATATAGACCAACGGAACAGAGCAGAGCCCTCAGAAATAATACCACACATCTACAACCATCTGATCTTTGACAAACCTGACAAAAACAAGAAATGGGGAAAGGATTCCCTATTTAATAAATGGTGCTGGGAAAACTGGCTAGCCATACGTAGAAAGCTGAAACTGGATCCCTTCCTTACACCTTATACAAAAATTAATTCAAAATGGATTAAAGACTTAAGTGTTAGACCTGAAACCATAAAAACCCTAGAAGAAAACTTAGGCAATACCATTCAGGACATAGGGATGGGCAAGGACTTCATAACTAAAACACCAAAAGCAATGGCAACAAAAGCCAAAATAGACAAATGGGATCTAATTAAACTAAAGAGCTTCTGCACAACAAAAGAAACTACCATCAGAGTGAACAGGCAACCTACAGAATGGGAAAAAATGTTTACAATCTACCCATCTGACAAAGGGCTAATATCCAGAATCTACAAAGAACTTAAACAAATTTACAAGAAAAAATCAAACAACCCCAACAAAAAGTGGGTGAAGGATATGAACAGACACTTCTCAAAATAAGACATTTTTGCAGCCAACAGACACATGAAAAAATGCTCGTCATCACTGGTCATCAGAGAAATGCAAATCAAAACCACAATGAGATACCATTTCACACCAGTTAGAATGGTGATCATTAAAAAGTCAGGAAACAACAGGTGCTGGAGAGGATGTGGAGAAATAGGAACACTTTTACACTGTTGTTGGGACTGTAAACTAGTTCAACCATTGTGGAAGACTGTGGCGATTCCTCAAGGATCTTGAACTAGAAATACCAGTTGACCCAGCCATCCCATTACTGGGCATAGACTCAAAGGATTATAAATCATGCTGCTATAAAGACACATGCATACGTATGGTTATTGCAGCACTATTCACAATAGCAAAGACTTGGAACCAACCCAAATGTCCATCAATGATAGACTGGATTAAGCAAATGTGGTACATATACACCATGGAATACTATGCAGCCATAAAAAAGGATGAGTTCATGTCCTTTGTAAGGATATGGATGAAGCTGGAAACCATCATTCTCAGCAAACTATCGCAAGGACAGAAAACCAAACACCGCAGGTTCTCACTCATAGGTGGGAATTGAACAATGAGAACACTTGGACACAGGAAGGGGAACATCACACTCCAGGGCCTGTTGTGGGGTGTTGGGGGTGGGGGCGAAGGGATAGCATTAGGAGATATACCTAATGTAAATGACGAGTTAATGGGTGCAGCACACCAACATGGCACATGTATACATATGTAACAAACCTGCACGTTGTACACACGCACCCTACAACTTAAAGTATATATGTAAAAAAAAGAACAGTGTAAGAGGATATTGAAAACTCCCCTATCCACTCCACACAGCAGGCATCTAGCATGTATCCTCTTAGGGAAGTTCCCATGGGACAGGGAGAGACTGGCTTTGTAAATGCTCCTGTTACAGGTACTGAAGTTAGGAATTTCAAGAAGGAAATGAAACCACTCCTAGAAGATCCCCTCAGTTTAGCAGACCAGCTGTACCAAATCCTAGGACCCAGCTTTTACACCTGGGCTAAAATTATTCTATTATAAATATACTGTTCACAGGAGAAGAAAGGGGAATGATTAGGAGAGCAGTCATGACCATCTGGGACAGGCAACACTCTCCTGGGCAAGGGTTCTTGCCAGCCAAACAAAAATTCCCAAATGTCATTCCCAAATTGGATAATAAAGATCCCAGGGACTGGGCCCAAATGGAGGAATGAATAATTAGAAGAGATCAAAGAGTCCACTCCTAGGGCATAAAATGTCGTAAAGGCATTTGAGATTCAACAAGAAAAAGAGGAAACTCCCTCTGCATTCCTGCAGAGGCTCAGAGATCAGATGAGAAAATATTTTGGATTAAATCTGGAAGAACCAGTGGGCAAGGCCTTTTAAAGGTTAGCTTTGTGACTAAAAGCTGGCCTAGCAGGCCAGGGAGTGCAGCTGCAGGCGTGGGGGTGGCAGGAGCCGCAGAGCCAGAGCAGACAGCCGAGAAAAAGGTGGACAGTGTGAAAGAACCAGTGTGAGTAAACCCCCAATAAGAAACTAATGTCTGTATTATGCAAAAGGAGTCACTGGGGATCCAAGTCTCTGTATAATGCAATACTTAGGAATTATGGGTGTATAGGGATTTATACCCTCATTAAACAAGTATGTGGAAGTTGTGTAGCTTGTCAAAGGATAAACAAAAAGATAATGAGAAAACAGGCCACGGGAGGAAGACCTCCCAGATTAAGACAATTTCAAAGCATTGAAGTAGATACCACAGAAATGCCCTAAGTAGGAAGACTAAAGTATTTACTGGTGATCATAGATCACCTTCCTGGCTGGGTCTTTCCCCTTTCAACAGCCACCACCAGGAATGTGGTCAAAATAATATTAGAACAATTGTACCCTAGATTTGGCCTGGTGGAAAATACTGATTCAGACAATGGGAGCCACTTTTTCTCAAGGTTGTTAAGGGGAATTATGGAAGGTTTACAAATTAGATGGGATTATCACACCCTTTGGCATCCCCCTTCCTCTGGAAAGGTAGAAAGAATGAATCAAACACCCAAAAAGTGTATCATCAAACTAATCTTAGAAACTAAAATGCCTTGGACAAAATGTCTTCCAATAACACTCCTTAGGATTAAGACAGCCCCAAGAAAAGACTTGGGATTGTCTCCCTATGAGTTATTATATGGGCTCCCATATTTGGGCAGAGCTACAGATCTCCCTACTATGGAAACCAAGGATCAATTTTTTTTTGATCAATTCTTAAGATATTATATACTGGCCA
The DNA here is from genome assembly GCF_000001405.40 of Homo sapiens. Classification (NCBI taxonomy): domain Eukaryota; kingdom Metazoa; phylum Chordata; class Mammalia; order Primates; family Hominidae; genus Homo; species Homo sapiens. The sequence goes on from NC_000017.11 coordinate 32,971,253, forward strand.
TATCCTCTACCCTGTTATCCCTTAGGTTAAAAGGACTTCTGACTCAAATTCTGCCTCTTGAGTTTGTGGTTTACCACTTCCAGCCTGGTGACTTGGTGCTGATTAAGACTTGGAAAGAAGACATGCTGCACCCAAGCTGGGAAGGTCCTTATCAAGTGCTCCTGAGCACTGAGACAGCTGTGCAAACAGCTGAATGGGGGTGAACTCAGTATACTTGAGTCAAGTAACTGGTAAAAGATACCCCAGAAGGGAGGGGAAAAAACCCGGTGAAAAGTGCATGGGTCACCTGAGGAACCCTTAAAGTTAACTCTGAGAAAAATCTAAAAAGAAAACATGAGCTGGTCCCATTTCTGGAAGTTAATATGGCTGGGATAGGCTACTATACAAGAAGCAGAAGGTCAAAATGGAAACTGGCAGGGGACTCCTCCCTATCCAATCAGGTTGGTAGTTAATATAACCCAGATGGTAGCACCCCAAACTATAAGATTTAATGCCTGCCAGGTCTTACCTTGTGGGAATTTGGAAAATTAGAGACAGCTCTCCCAGGTGAATAAATATCTTTGCCCTGAGTCAAATGCAGGTTACAGTAGGGCATCACCCTGCCCCAGCTGGGATGATGTATGGTGGACTACCCAATTTGAGGGTTGGGCAGTAAACATGGGGTGGGAAACTCTGAGCTGAAGACCTTTGAGGAATAAACTACCTCTGTCCAAGAGCTCCCCACCAAATAACTGCCAGAATTTAGAATGCAATCCTATACTCATCACCATTGACAATCCAGCTGTTCTAGACCAAGAACCAGAAGTAGCATCCTATGTACATAAGTTAGGGGCAGACATCACAGGGAAAGACCCCTAGGGTGGTTTGTTCTCAAACTAATCAATAACTCAACCTCCCATTTGCCTGGGACTACTGCAACCCCAGACCCTAACAAACACTTTAGTCCACCAAATAATGACCCTAAAAGGGTAAAAATAATTGAGGTAAAGTATTTAAGGCAAATCATAGAAATTGAGACAGTTTACAGGGATGTGAATGTCTGGGTCTAATGGGTCAAATTTTCGGTATAAGCCCTCAAGAAGAGTAATTGCTATGTGTGTGCTGCAGGACAACCTCAGGCAAAAGTGGCTCCGTTTCCCCTAGGATGGGATACCAGTCCTGAAGGAATGCGTTGTATGTTGGCTCTATACGAGGATAAGGATGCATGGGAAATGAGACTTCTAGGAGTCTGTCGTTACTCTTTCCTGCATTGCAGAGGTCAGATCCCACAGCAATCCCCTCATTCTCTATAGGGAATATGAACTACTCCTCTTGCCTCTCTAGGCAGGGGGCAGGTTCAATAAGCCCATGGGAGAACTCTCGACTTGTACCCAATTCCTAAACATCACTGGTGAGGCAAAGGCAATTACTCAGCTCTCCATATACCCCAGGCTGATGTCTGATGGTATTGTGGGAAAGGAATCTCCATAGCTTGTTACTGTCCAATTGGACCAGGACTTTGCTTTAGTCCGATTGGCCATTCCCTTCACCCTGGCATTCCACAAGATACCTGAAAATACATATGGCCACCAAAACTGGAGAGATTTGACAAATTCTTTTGACCGCAATATATATGTTGACTCAATAGGAGTCCCTAGTGGGGTGCCTAATGAATTTAAGGCCCAAAGTCAGCACTCTTTTGGGGGTCAACTAATTTTTTCTTTTTTTTAGACAGTGTCTCGCTCTGTCACCCAGGCTGGAGTGCATTGGCACGTTCTCGGCTCACCACAACCTCCTCCACCTCCCAGGTTTAAGCCATTCTCCTGCCTCAGCCTCCCAAGTAGCTGGGATTACAGGTGCATGCCACCATGCCCAGCCAATTTTTGTATTTTTAGTAGAGATGGGGTTTCCCTATGTTGGCCAGGCTGGTCTCAAACTCCCGACCTCAAGTGATCTGCCTGCCTCGGCCTTCCAAAGTGCTGGGATTACAGGCGTGAGCCACCACACCTGGCCCAACTATTAATAAGAATGTGGATTGGATTAACTACATCTATTATAATCAACAGAAATTTATCAATTATACTTGAGACACCCTCAAAGGGGTGGCTAGCCAGTTAGATGCCACCAGCCAAATGGCCTGGGAAAACACGCTTGCGTCAGACATGATACTAGTGGAAAAAGGGGGCGTATATGTTATGCTAGGTGGGAAATGTTGTACTTTCATTCTCAACAATACTGCCCCAGATGGGACCATCACAGAAGCTTTACAAGGACTGAAAACTCTAGCCAACGAACTGGCAGAAAATGCTGGAATTGATGACCCACTTGTGGGTTGGCTAGAAGTTGGTTTGGAAAGACATGGTAGCTTCAATCCTTATATCTGTCACAATTGTGGCAGGAGTCTTAACCTCAGTGAGATGTTGTATTGTCCCTTGTGTGAGGGGACTAGCACAGAGATTAATTGAAGCAGCTATTAGTAAACAAATGCCCATGACTTACCAGGAAAATAACCTGTTACTGTTAGAAACCAAATTAAACTCATTCTCCTATGATGAAGAAAGTAAACGAGAAATTCGAGGACTAAAAGGCTTCATATGAAAATGAGACCAAAGGAAGTAAATAGAAAAGAGGAGGGAGTTTGTGAGAAAACATTTTAAATGGTCCATTTTCAAGGCATGATAAATCTAAGTATTGGCAGCCAGCCTGCAAACGTAACAAACTGCATGGGTCATTCACCTAGAAGGTCACAATAAGTGAACAGAATGTAGAGGAAGGGGTCACCCTATAAAAGGGAAGAAAGTTTCATTATTGGGAGATTGAAACTTAAGTGGGGAAGGGGACCCAGGGTATAACCTTATAAGAGGGATAATGAAACTTAGGCGATATCCGGGAAGATTGTAACCCCACAGTACTCGATCAATGAGGAACTGGGGGAGGGACTTGCATGTTAGGAGATAAATTACCTGTTGTAACTGTCCTGGGCGTGCCTGCCTACCAGACACCTGATCTTGCAAGACTGCCATTAAAAGTCTTGCTTCCGCTCTTCTTCGTGTCTCCAAGTCCATTCTTTGGGTTTGGATGGGTGAATGTGTGTTTCTCACAATCAAATCAAATTGTCTTGTTTTGCAGGTCAGGGAACTGACTATGGCCTAGAGAAATGAGAGAGCCTGTCTAAGATCACATGGAAGCTAGGAACAGAGAAGGATCCAGACCTAGACTGCTCTATGCCGTATATTAGGATGTTTTGACCTTGCCACGACTGACATTTGGGCTGAATAATGATTTGTTGTGGGCAGCAGTCCTGTGCTTTGTTGGATGCTGCATCCTTGACTTTTCCTCACCAAATGCCAGTAGCAATCCCCCTCCCTTAGTTGTGATAACCAAAAATGTCTTCGGGCATTGCCATGCATCCTCTGGAAGGCGAAACCATCTCCAGTGGAAAACCATTGCTATATAAGATATTCCTCTGAGGTGGGGCATGGTGGCTCATGCCTGTAATCCTAGCACTTTGGGAGGCGAAGGCGGGCAGATTGCCTGAGCTCAGGAGTTTGAGACCAACCTGGGCAACATGGTGAAACTCCGTCTCTACTAAAACACCAAAAAAAAAAAAAAAAAAAAAAAAAAAATTAGCCAGGCGTGATCCCAGCTACTTGGGAGGCTAAGATGGGAGGATCCCTGGAATGCAGGAGGCAGAGGTTGCAGTGAGCCGAGATCACTCCAGCCCAGGCAATGGAGTGAGACTCTGTCTAAAAAGAAAGAAAGAAAGAAAAAAAAAAGATACTCCTTTGGGCCCATCAAACAGCATAAAACTGGAGCTCAGCTCTTTCCTTGTAGTTTGGGAGAGAAATTGCTTTTGGGTGCTAAGTGGAGAATGTCTTTCCTCCCCACTCAACCCTTGAGCACTGCGGGAGAGCTCTGCTGGGGCCTGGGATTTCAGCTAGGAGAGAGGAGCTCCAAGAGAGTAGTAGGGAATGTGTCAGAGGGAAGACAGCATGAACACCAGATCTTTTGAAAGATGCATATCATTTTCCCCATTTTGCAGAGAAAGGCGTAGAAGTTCAGAAGGTTGAACACACCCACAGAGCAGCATATGATTTCCCTTCCACACACCATAAGAAGCCCCATAGAATACCCAGGCTCACTGTCTCTCAACTCCAGGCCCATGAGCAATAATGTCAGAGGCTTTCTCTTGTGCCCTCTCTGTCAATGGCAAGAGCAGTGTGATTACACAGCTATGTTCTGGAAAGGTCGATCTGGTCCCTGCTCTGGCCCTTCCTGTGAGCGTGGGAGGTCTTCACTTTCCCCTTGGGGGTCTTGGTCCTCACATTGGACTGCACCAGGGATGAGCATCTTCCTGGTGTTCACTCCACCTTCCCACACTCGCAACTTTGAGAATCAAATGGGGTGAATAAAGGTGTTTACAGGGTGTATTTATTTTAATGAAAAATGACAGTTTTTTTGAGTCCAACGTAGGACAATGTGTATTTTTAGAATCCAGATTAACCTGTTTTATTCACAGGAAGTATGTTAGTGCAAATGACTGTTTAGCCACTAAAATGTTAATAACTGGATCGTTTGTTTTGTTTTTGAGACAGGGTCTCGCTCTGTTGCCCAGGCTAGAGTGTACTGGCGTGATCATAGCTCACTGCAGCCTCAGACTCCTGGACTTGAGAAATCCTCCTGCCTTAGCCTCCTGCATATCTGGGACTCCAGGTATGTGCCATCGCACCTGGTTAATTAAATTTTTTTTTTTTTTTGTAAAGAGTGTCTCTTTATGTTGCCCAGGTTGGTGTTGAAATCCTGGCCTCAAGCAATCCTTCCACCTTAGCCTCTTAAAGTGCTGGGATTACAGGCATGAGCTACTGTGCCCGGCCTTTTCTCATATGTAAGGAAACTGATGGTCAGGGAGCTTAGGCCACAGGATATATGGTTAGCAAGTGGCAAAGTCAGAACGCTAAACATGCGTCTTTGGTTTCCAATTCCAGCTCTGTCTCTTAGATCACACTGCTTCTCAAGATGCAGCGGCAGCTACTGCAAGAGTGAGAGGCAGTCTGGGTCCAGGGTTGGATGTGTACAGGGCCCTCAGGTTGTACAATCTCTCTGGTTGCTAGGAGTCTCCGATAATTAGAGCCCCCAGGTTGCTAGGCAACCCAAGTTGCTAAGAGTTTCAGTTTATTACAGGTATTGGGTTGTTAAAAGCCCCAGGTTATTCAGATTTTCAATTTATTAACAGCTTCATGTTTCTCAAAGGCCCCAAGTTATTAGAGACATCAGTTTCTAGGGGCCCTAGGCTCTTATGGATCTAGGCTATCGAAGTTGTTAGGTTGTTAGCTCAACCTGGTTGCTAGGACTTTCAGGTTTTAGAGGCTCTGGGTTTCTAGAGGCCTTTAGCTTGTGAAGGTGTCAATCCACAAAAAGCCTCATTTTTTAGCACCTGTAGCTTTTCACAGGTTCCAGGTTGCTACGGACACAGTCTCAGAGTTTTAGGTTTTCCCAGAGTTGTGGGTCAGCCCAGCAGTTTTCTTCCACCCATTCAGCCTCTATGTGGTCAGATACCATAAATGCAGCTGTATGTTTCTCTCAGGTGTTTCATCATTGCTGACCTTGTTCAGCACCCACAGCAGCACTGACCTAATTCACTCTACTCAAGGCCCTAAGCACTTAGGCACTGGTGGAAAGGTCTTCAGAGCAGAAACTTGTTATATTCTAAAACAACCATGTTTTTTTTTCTTTTTCTTTTTCTTTTTCTTTTTGTTTTTAAACATCAACTCAAACCAGATTAAAACAGCCACATGTTCAGCCAAAAAACACATGAAAAAGTGCTCATCATCACTGGCCATCAGAGAAATGCAAATCAAAACCACAATGAGATACCATCTCACACCAGTTAGAATAGCAATCATTAAAAAGTCAGGAAACAACAGGTGCTGGAGAGGATGTGGAGAAATAGGAACACTTTTACACAGTTGGTGGGACTGTAAACTAGTTCAACCATTGTGGAAGTCAGTGTGGCGATTCCTCAGGGATCTAGAACTGGAAATACCGTTTGACCCAGCCATCCCATTACTGGGTATATACCCAAAGGACTATAAATCATGCTGCTATAAAGACACATGCACACGTATGTTTATTGCGGCATTATTCACAATAGCAAAGACTTGGAACCAACCCAAATGTCCAACAATGATAGATTGGATTAAGAAAATATGGCACATATACACCATGGAATACTATGCAGCCATAAAAAATGATGAGTTCATGTCCTTTGTAGGGACATGGATGAAATTGGAAATCATCATTCTCAGTAAACTATCACAAGAACAAAAAACCAAACACCGCATATTCTCACTCATAGGTGGGAATTGAACAATGAGATCACATGGACACAGAAAGGGGAATATCACACTCTGGGGACTGTGGTGGGGTGGGGGGAGGGGGGAGGGATAGCATCGGGAGATATACCTAATGCTAGATGACGAGTTAGTGGGTGCAGCGCACCAGCATGGCACATGTATACATATGTAACTAACCTGCACAATGTGCACATGTACCCTAAAACTTAAAGTGTAATAAAAAAATTAAGTAATTAAAAAATAAATAAATAAAACAGCCGCATGTTGAAGCACACTTGGGTTATGTTTCTGTTGTAATCATTCACCTTCTAACCAATTTTAAATAATATTAAATTAGACTTTGACAGCCCCTTACTTCCAATTATTTTATTAGATTAGCCGGAACAGTAAAACTAGAGTTTGTGTGTGTTTTTCATTTCTAAGAAAGTTTTTCTTTTCCTTTTTTTTTTTTTTTTTTAGACGGAGTCTTGCTCTGTCTGTCGCCCAGGCTAGAGTGCAATGGCGCCATCTTGGCTCACTGCAACCTCTGCCTCCTGGTTCAAGTGATTCTCCTGTCTCAGCCTCCCGAGTAGCTGGGATTACAGGCATGCGCCATCATGCTTGGCTAATTTTTGTATTTTTAGTGGACATAGGGTTTCGCTATGTTGGCCAGGCTGGCCTTGAACTCCTGACCTCAAGTGATCCGCCTGCTTTGGCCTCCCAAAGTGCTGGGATTACAGGTGTGAGCCACAGTGCCCGGCCAACTTTTTTTTTCAAAGTAACTATAGGTTCACAAGAAGTTGTGAAAATAGCACTGGGAGATCCTGCATATGCTTCATCCAATTTCCTTCAATGGTTACGTCTTACACAGCTATAGTGTAATACCACTGTCAGGACATTGACATTGCTACAATGTGTATATAGTTCTATGCCATTTTATAACATGTGTAGATGTGTGTGTGTGTGTGTGTGTGTGTGTGTGTATGTGTTTGAGACGGAGTCTTTCTCCATCGCCCATGCTGGAGTGCAGCGGTGGGATCTCTGCCTCCCAGGTTCAAGTGATTACTCCCACCTCAGCCTCCCATTAGCATGGCTAATTTTTATATTTTTAGTAGAGATGGGGTTTCACCATGTTGGCCAGGCTGGTCTCGAACTCCTGACCTCAAGTGATCTGCCCGTCTCAGCCTCCCAAAGTGCTGGGATTAATAGGCGTGAGCCACTCTGCCTGGTCTCATGTGTAGATTTGTATACCCACCACTCCAATCCAGATACAAAACTATGCCATCACCATGAAGCTCCCCCTTGTACTACCCCTTTACAGTTACATTCATCTTCTTCCGTCCCCAACCTGTGCATTTTTAAATGTATTTGCTTAACGTCTCTTCAGTGCCTTCTGTGTGCCTCACCCATTAATAGGTCAAAGAAATACGGAGATAACTATAATGTACTTGTAGCTCTGGAAGAGCTCACAGACAGGGCCATAGTCACATACATCACAAACTATAGTGTAATGTGGTAATTCTATGATAGGAATAAGCTCAAGGTGCAGCGGCAAGCAAATAGGTGAGGGGGTGGGGTGTTCAGGAGGCAGAGAGTGTTGGATTAGCTCCTTCTGCAAAAGTTGTGACACTGGGTTGATTTTGAAGGATAAGACAAAGTTATCTGTTGCCAAATGAGGAAGAACGTTTAGACAGACATGTCTGGGGAAGAGTTGGTTGTTTGGAACTTCCAGGGCCCAGGGGTTGGGAGGTGAGGCTGCAGGGTGAAGAGGGCAGACCATGGAGGTCCATCTGGGCTTCTGACTGAGTGGGCTGGCCCAATTCTGTAAGTGACAGAGCCCCACTGAAAGGTTTAGAAATGGGGAATGGTGCATTCAGCCCTGTCATTTAGAAAGAGCCCTGTGATGTAGAGAGGCCAGTTAAGAAATGACTGCAGTCCCAGGTAAGATACGAAGAAGGCATCAACCAGAGTAGTGGGAACAGATATGGAAGAACCAGCTCTGAACTCAGAAGGAGATCGGGGTGGGAATGAGGAGTTATCAAAAGGATGAACAAGCACTTTTTCCAAGATTGATTTTTTTTAAGGTGATATCAGTTTCCTGGAGAGAAAATCCTAGGATATAAGTCCAAGAAGATGAATGCGAGAAGAGTAATTCCCTGCTTATCCAGAGATCTTGCCACTGCAATGTAAGCCAAGATAGCATAAACTTGTATGAGGAAAAGGCCTCTGATCAGTTGAAACAAGCTCATGCTGTTTTAACTTCGCAATATCCTTTAGGTCCTTACTCAGAGGCTTTTTTGACAATTCAAGTGTAGTTCTCAAAAGCATAGTTTCTTTGTTTCCTCACCTCTAAAATAATAATATAAGCAATCTTTTATTGAGTGTCTGCTTGGTGCCAGGTACTGTGTGAAATGTTTTGCATGTTATCTCATGAATCCCCTCCACACCTTCCTGGGGTGGCAGTTCTCTTCATTTTACAGGGAGGATACTGAGGGTCAGCAAAATTAATTAATGCACCAAGCTCACAGAGCTGGTAGGTTCTGTAAAATCAGGCCTCCCCCCAGGTCCGCTGCTCTCAGCCCACTGACCCAGACTGTAGAAGCCACAAATCACAAGAGGGAAAGGAAGAATGTCAGCCTATAGTGGCACCAGGTCCAGGAAGGAAATTCACATGAATTGAGGATCTTGGCAACTGTTAAGTAATTTCTATCAGTTTCACATAAGTGGTATATAAGTTAGCCTTCTCCAGAAACAGAATAGGATGTCTGTCTATCTGTCTGTCTATCTATCTATCATCTATCTATCTATCTATCTATCTATCTATCTATCTATCTATCTATCTATCTATATCATCTATCTATCTATCTATCTTCTAACAAATAATTTTCTACCAACTTCACGTGAGTGGTATATAAGTCAGAGTTCTCCAGAGAAATAGAACCAATAGGATATCTATCTATCTATGTATCTATGCATCTATCTATCTATCTATCCATTTTCATACTGCTATGAAGAAAAAGACGTTTATGGACTCATGGTTCCACATGGCTGGGGAAGCCTCACAATCATAGTGGAAGGTGAAGGAGGAGCAAAGTATTGTCTTACATGGCAGCAGGCCAGAGAGCATGTGCAGGGGAACTGCCCTTTATAAAACCATCAGATCTCATGAGACTTATTCACCATCATGAAAACAGCATAGGAAAAACCTGCCCCTGTGATTCAATTACCTCCCACTTGGTCTTTCCCATGACACATGGGGATTATGGGAGATACAATTTGAGATGAGATTTGGGTGGGGATACAGCCAAACCATATCATTCAGCCCCTGGCCCCACCCAAATCTCATGTCCTCACATTTCAAAGCCAATCATGCCTTCCCAACAGTCCCCTAAAGTCTTAACTCATTCAGCATTAACTCAAAAGTTCACAGTCCAAAGTCTAATCTGAGACAAGGCAAGTCCCTTTCGCCTATGAGCCTGCAAAATCAAAAACAAGCTAGTTACTTCCTAGATACAATGGAGGTACAGGCTGGGTAAAGACACCCATTCCAAATGGAAGAAATTGGCCAAAATATAGGGGCTACAGGCCCCATGCAAGTCCAAAATCCAGTTGGGAAGTCAAACCTTAAAGCTCCAAAATGGTTTCCTTTGACTCCATGTCTCATATCCAGGACAGGCTGATGCAAGAGGTGGGTTCCCATGGTCTTGGGCAGCTCTGCCCCAGTGGCTTTGGAGGGCAGCCCCACACTCCTGGCTGCTTTCACAGGCTGGCATTGAGTGTCTGTGGCTTTTCCAGGTGCATGTTGCAAGCTGTTGGTGGATTTACCATTCTGGGGTCTGGAGGACAGTGACCCTCTTCTCACAGTTCCACCAGGTAGAGCCCCAGTGGGGACTCCGTGTGGGGGCTCTAACCCCACATTTCCCTTCTGCACTGCCCTAGCAGAGGTTCTCCATGAGGATACAGCCCCTGAAGCAAACCTCTGCCTGGACATCCAAGCATTTCCATACATCCTCTGAAATCTAGGTGGAGGTTCCCAAACCTCAATTCTTGCCTTCTGTGCAACCGCAGGACCAACACCATGTGGAAGCTGCCAAGGTTTGAGGCTTGTACCCACTGAAACTATGGCCTGAGCTGTACTTTGGCCCCTTTTAGCTACAGCAGGAGTTGTTGTGATGCAGGGCACCAGGTCCCGAGGCCGCACACAGCAGGGAGGCCCTGGCCCTGGCCCAGAAAACCATTTTTTCCTCCTAGGCCTCCTGGCCTGTGATGGGAGGGGCTGCTGTGTAGGTCTCTGACATGCCCTGGAGACATTTTCCCCATTGTCTTGTTGATTAATATTTGGCTCCTCATTACTTATGCAAATTTCTGTAGCTAGCTTGAATTTCTCCCCAGAAAATGGGGTTTTCTTTTCTATTGCATCATAAGGCTGCAAATTTTCCAAACTTTTTTGCTCTGCTTCCTTTTGAATGCTTTGCTGCTTAGAATGTTTTCTGCCAGATACCGTAAATCATCTCTCTCAAGTTCAAAATTCCACAGACCTCTTGGGCGGGGGCAAAATGCTGCCAGTCTCTTTGCTAAAACATAGCAAAAGTCACCTTTATTCCAGTTCCCAACAAGTTCTTCATCTCTATCTGACACCACCTCAGCATAGACTTCATTTATTGCTCATATCACTGTCAGCATTTTGGTCAAAACCATTCAACAAATCTCTAGGAAGCTCCAAACTTTCCCACATCTTCCTGTCTTCTGAGCCCTCCAAGTCTCTAGGAAGCTCCAAACTTTCCCACATGTTTCTATCTTCTTCTGAGCCCTCCAAACTATTTCAGCCTCTGCCTGTTAACCAGTTCCAAAGTTGCTTCTACATTTTTGGGTATCTTTATCGTAGTACCCCACTCTAGCGGTACCAATTTACTGTATTAGTCCCTTTTCTTTTTTCTTTTCTTTCTTTCTTTTCTCCCTTCCCTTCCCTTCCCTTTCCTTCCCTTCCTTCCTTCCTTTCTTCCTTTCTTCTTTCTTTTTGAGATGGAGTTTCACTTTTGTTGCCCAGGCTGGAGTGCAATGGCACAATCTTGGCTCACCACAACCTCCACCTCCCAGGTTCAAGTTATTCTTCTGCCTCAGCCTCCAGAGTAGATGGGATTATAGGCATGCGCCACCACACCTGGCTAAGTTTTGTATTTTTTAGTAGAGATAGAGTTTCTCCATGTCGGCCAGGATGGTCTTGAACTCCTGGCCTCAGGTGATCCGCCTGCCTCGACCTCCCAAAGTGCTGGGATTACCGGCGTGAGCCACCGTGCCCAGCCATTTTCATATTGCTAGGAAGAAATACCTGAGACTGGGTAATTTTTAAAGAAAAAGAGGTTTAATGGACTCATGGTTCCACATGGCTGGGGAGGCCTCACAATCATGGTGAAAGGTGAAGGAGGAGCAAAGTCACATCTTACATGGTAGCAGTCAAGACAGCATGTGCAGGGGAACTGCCCTTTATAAAACCATCAGATCTCATGAGACTTATTCACTATCATGAAAACAGCATGGGAAAAGCCCACCCCCGTGATTCAATTACCTCCCACTGGGTCCCTCCCATGACAAGTGGGGATTATGGGAGCTAAAATTCAAGATGAGATTTGGGTGGGGACACAGCCAAACCATATCATTCTATGTATCTATGTGTCTGTCTATAATCTATCTGTTATCTATGTACCTACTTATCAATCTATATATATATAGAGTTTTTATATATTTTTTAATTTTTAATTTTTGTTTTTGAGACAGGATCTTGCTTTGTCATGCAGGTTGGAGTGCAGTGGCACCATCATAGCTCACTACAGCCTTGAACTCCTAGGCCCAAGGATCCTCCTGCTTCAGCCTCCTGAGAAGCGGGGACTACAGCACATGCCACTGTGCCCAGCTAATTTTTTATTTTTCATTTTTGTAGAGATGGGGATCTTGCTTTGTTGCCCAGGCTGGTCTCAAACTCCTAGCCTCAAGCAATTCTCCTGCTTTGGCCTCTCAAGGTGCTGGGATTACAGGTGGGAGCCACAGCACCTGGCCAAGGGAAATTTGTTATAAAGAATTAGCTTATGCAATTATGGAGGCAAATCCCAAGATCTGCAGAGTGAGAGGGCAAACTGGAGACCCAGGAGAGCTGATGTTGTAGTTCCAGTCTGAAGGCCGACAGGCTCAAAACCCAGGAAGAGCCAAATGTTCCAGTTTGAGACTGAAGGCAGGAAACAAACGGTGATGTCTTAGTTGGAAGGCAGGCAGGCAGGCAGGAGGAATTCTCTCTTAACTTGGGAAAAGTGAGCCTTTTCTTCTATTCAGGACTTCAAACAGATTGGATGTGGCCCACCCACATTAGGGAGGGCAATCCGCTTTCTCAATCTACCAATTAAAATGTTAATCTCATCCAAAGCACCCAGAATAGAAACACCCAGTAAAATGTTTGACCAAATATCCTGTGACCCAGTCAAGTGGACACATAAAATTAACCATCACACAGGATAAGATAGAATAATAAAGGAGACACAACACTGAATGAATACAGTGGTGTTAGACTAGTGTAGGAATAAGTGGCTTTACACACCACAGTCCTCCTGCCAACAATGCCACGTGACTACTCCCATTTACTGTGCCCACTGATGAAAAGAGCAGGGAACAGCTCATGGGGAAGAGGTGAATTCTGTTTTCAGTGCACTAAATTTGAGGTGGATCAGGTGAGAGTCTTGATCTATGGATTTTAGGCTCTCTCTGCTTAGCCAGAGGAGGACGCATTCTCTCTTTGCCCACAGTGACCCTGGAACATTCCTTGTGGCCAGCCTGAGGACTCTTCTGACCAAGTCTTCTGGGCTAAGTTTCTTCTGCATCAACTAACTCGGTGATTTTCATTCATTTCTTCATTTCTTTACTCACCCAGCATCTAAAAATCTTTGTTCTTGATGCTGGGAAAATAGACATGGGAGACACAAATCAGGCATTTGCTAGTCTGGTGGGAATGATAGAGAAAGAAGAACTGAGAGCATGTGGGATGTGCTGAGATTATAAGTTAGCACTGGATACTGTACAAGAATGTACCACTGGATACTGTCTAAGTCAGCCCAAGGAGGCCAGAGGGAGATGTCAAGCTTTAGCAGTGCTTTAAGAAGGACTAGATTCTAGCCAGGGAGTTGGGTCAGAAAGAGCAATTTTGACAAATGTGAATATATGATCCCATACAAGACATGGATGCAAAATGTCGTCACACATTTAGGGGAACTATAAGAGTTTGGCTGGAAGTGGCTCTTAGCCCTGGCTGAGCTTTGGAATCACTTGGGAACATTACAAACGTACTGATGCCTGAGTTCTACCCCCAGAGATTTTGGTGTAAATGGCCTGGGATGGGACCCAGGAGTCAGTAGTTTTTCTAAAGTGTTGGCAGGCCTGAGGACAAGGCATGTAAGAGAGGCTGATGGAGAACTTAAACTTGGAGAGAGCAGAGGAGTATCTCTTCTGGGATGTGGTCAAGAATCTGAGCCCACTTTGAGGGTAGGAAACACTGTGCAGAGCTCAGCAGGGAAATAAAGACCTGCTGATCTCCAACTGGGGCCTCGTCTGCCCTTATAACTGTTCCTTTTGAGCTTCTGTTTCTTATTCCCCATTTAAAAGTGAAAGTCAACTGGGAAATAACAAAACATACAATAAAATAAAATAAGCTGAAAGATTACTCAATAAAAAGAAGCAATAAAATAGTAAAAGCAGGCGGATGCAGTAAAACCCCCAAAACTCAACCAGACAGAATCACCACCAAGGGCCAGGCAATAAAAACAATAGCTAAAATGTACTGCTCCAAGTGGTAAGCATCTTCATGCATTGAGACACTTGAGATTCACCACCACCCTAAGAGGGAGGGATGGTTATTATTTCCATTTTATAGGGAAGGAAAACGTGGTTTGGGGAGATGAAGTACAGTGCTCAAGGTTACAGTGGGCAGGGCAGGGTAATGACTCCATTTCAATGATGAGAAGTGGAGGCTAACTTGCCAAGGCTAGTTAGCCAGTTGGGGCAGAGCAAGAAATTGAACTGGGATTTCTAACTCAAGTACAAAGCTCTTCCCTCCCCCACCTCCAATAAAGCCCGAAGACTGGCTGCATGTGGGAGTCATCTGGGAAGCTTTAAAGACATATTGATGCCAACAGACATTTCTTCAAAGAAGACATACAAATGGCCAACTGGTGTTTGAAAAAATGCTCAGCATAGCTAATCACCAGGGAAATGCAAAACTAAACCACAATGAAATATCACCTCATACCTGTCAGGATGGCTATTATTTAAAAAAAAAAACTAAGACAAGTGCTGGTGGTGAGGGTGTGAAAGAATTGGAACCCTTATGCACTATGGGTGTGAACAGAAAATGGTGCTGCTGTTATGAAAAACAGTATGGAGCCTGGGCATGGTGGCTCACACCTGTAATCCTAGCACTTTGGGAGCCTGAGGCGGGTGGGTCACAAGGTCAGGAGTTCAAGACCAGCTTGGCCAAGATGGTGAAACCCTGTCCCTGCTAAAAACACAAAAATTATCTGGGCTTGGTGGTAGGTGTCTGTAATCCCAGCTACTCAGGAGGCTAAGGCAGAGAATTGCTTGAATGCAGGAGATGGAGGTTGCAGTGAGCCAAGATCGTACCACTGCACACCAGCCTGGGCAACAGAGTAAGACTCCATCTCAAAAAAACAAAAATAGTGTGGAGATTCCTCAAAAAATTAAAAATACCATACGATCCGGCAATCCTGTTTTTTGGTATTTATCCAAAATAATTGGAATCATGATCTCCAAGAGATATTGGCACTCCCATGTTGATATGGTTTAACTCTGTGTCCCCACTCAAATCTGATCTAGAATTTTAATCCCTACGTGTTGAGGGAGGGACCTGTAATCCCCATGTGTTGAAGTAGGGAGGGAAGTGATTGGATCATGGGGTGGGGGCAGTTTCCCCCAGGCTGTTCTCTTGATAGTGAGTGAGTTCTCATGAGATTTTTCTTTTTTTTTTGAGACTGAGTCAGGCTGGAGTGCAGTGGCATGATC
The DNA here is from genome assembly GCF_000001405.40 of Homo sapiens. Lineage (NCBI taxonomy): Eukaryota > Metazoa > Chordata > Mammalia > Primates > Hominidae > Homo > Homo sapiens. Next base: position 32,986,621 of record NC_000017.11, read on the forward strand.
TCAGCTCTCTGTAACCTCTGCCTCCCGGTTCCAGCGATTCTCCTGCCTCAGCCTACTGAGTAGCTGGGATTAGAGGTGCATGCCACCACACCTAATTTTTTTTGTATTTTTAGTAGAGATGGGGTTTTGCCATGTTGGCCAGGCTGGTCTCAAACTCCTGGTCTCAAGCAATCCACCTGCCTTGGCCTCCCAAAGTGCTGGGATTACAAGCATGAGCCACTGTGCCCAGTCAGAGTTCTCATGAGATCTAACGGTTTTCTAAGCATCTGGCATTTCCCCTGCTTGCACTTCTCTTGCCTGCCACCATATAAGATTTGCCTACTTCCCGTTTCACCATGGTGGCAAGTTTCCTGAGGCCTCCCCAGCCATGCGGAACTGTGAGTCAATTAAACCTTGTTCTTTTATAAATTACCCAGTCTCAGGTATTTCTTTATAGCAGTGTGAAAATGGGCTAAAACAGTAAATACAATGGGGGTACAGGCATTGGGTAAATGTTTCCATTCCAAATGGGAGAAATTGGCCAAAACACATGGGCTACAGGCCCTATGCAAGTCCAAAACCCAGCTGGTCAGTCATTAAATCTCAAAGCTCCAAAATCTCCTTTGACTTTATGTGTCACATCAAGGTCATGCTGATGCAAGAGGTGGGTTCCCATGGTCTTGGGCAGCTCTGCCCCTGTGGTTTTGCAGGGTGGAGCCTCCCTCTCGGCTGCTTTCACCAGCTGGCATTGAGTGTCTGTGGCTTTTCTAGTTGCACAGTGCAAGCTTTCAGTGGATCTACCATTCTGGGGTCTGGAGAACAGTGACCCTCTTCTCATAGCTCCACTAGGCAGTGCCCCAGTGGGGACTCTGTGTGGGGGCTCTAACCCCACATTTCCCTTCCACACTGCCCTAGCAGAGGTTCTCCATGAGGGCTCCACCCCTGCAGCAGGTTTCTGCCTGCACATCCAGGTGTTTTCATACATCCTCTGAAATGTAGTGGAGGTTTCCAAACCTCAATTCTTGACTTCTGTGCACCTGCAGGCCCAACACCACGTGGAAGCCACCAAGGCTTGGAGTTTGTACCCTCTGAAGCCATGGCCCCTTTTAGCTCTGGCTGGAGCTGGAGTGGCTGGGATGCAGGGCACCAAGTGCCAAGGCTGCACAAAGCAGCAGGGTGCTGGGCCTTGCCCATAAAATTATTTTTTCCTCCTAGGACTCCAGGCCTATGATGAGAGGAGCTGGCTTGAAGATCTCTAACATGCCTTGGAGACATTTTTCCCATTGTCTTGGCTACTAACATTTGGTTCCTGGTTACTTATGCAAATTTCTGCAGCTCATTTGAATTCTTCCTCAGAAACTGGGTTTTTCTTTTCTACCACGTGGTCAGGCTGCAAATTTTCCAAACCTTTATGCTCTGCTTCCCTTTTAAACATAAGTTAAAATTCCAAACCATGTCTTTGTGAATGCGTATAACTAAATGCTTTTGAGAGCACCCAGGTCACTTCTTGAATGCTTTGCTGCTTAGAAATTTCTTCTGCCAGATACCCTAAATCATCTCTCTCAAGTTCAAAGTTCCACAGATCTCCAGGGCATGGTCAAAATGGCACCAGTCTCTTTGCTAAAGCATAGCAATAGTGACCTTTGCTCCAGTTCCCAATAAGCTCCTCATCTCTATCTGTGACCGCCTGAGCCTGGGCTTCATTGTCCATATCACTATCAGCATTTTGGCCAAAACCATTCAACAAATCTTTAGGAAGTTCCAAACTTTCCCACATCTTCCTGTCTTCTTCTGAGCCCTCCAACCTGTTCCAACCTCTGCCTGTTACTCAGTTCCAAAATTGCTTTCACATTTTCAAGTTATCTTTATAGCAGTGCCCCACTACATTGGTACCAATTTACTGTATTAGTCCATTTTCACACTGCTATAAAGAAATACCCAAAACTGGGTAATTTATAAAGGAAAGAGATTTAATTAACTCACAGTTCCACATGGCTGGTGGAGGTGGCTCAGGAAACTTACAATCATGGCTGAAGGGGAAGCAGGCACGTTTTACAAGGTGGCAAATGAGAGAAGTGCAAGCGGTAGAAATGTCAGATGCTTAGAAAACCATTAGATCTCATGAGAACTCACTCACTATCATGAAACCAGCATGGGGGAAACCCTCCCATGGTCCAATCCCCTCCCTCCCTTGACACGTGGGAATTAAAACTTCCTCCTTTGACACATGGGGATTGCAATTCAAGTTGAGATTTGGGTGGGGACACAGAGCCAAACAATATCACATGTTCATTGCAGCATTGTTCACAAAAGCCAAGAGGTGGAAACATGTGTCCATCCACTGTGATATGGTTTGGACATGTGTCTCCTCCAAATCTCATGTTGAAATGTGATCTCCAGTGTTGGAGGTGGGTCCTATTGGGAGGTGTTTGGGTCATGGTGGTGGATCCCTCATAAATGGCTTTGTGCTGGCCTTGTGGCAATGAGTGAGCTCTCATCCTATTAGTTCATGCAAGAGCTGGTTGTTTAAAAGAACCTGGCATCTCCTTCCATCTCTCTTGCTCCCTCTCCTGCCATGTGACATGCTTGCTCCCCCTTCACCTTCCACCATGAGTAAAACCTTCTTGAGGCCTCGCAGAAGCCCAGCAGATGCTGGCACCATATTTCCTGTACAGCCTACAGAACTGTGAGCCAAATAAACTTCTTTTCTTTATTAAGTTCCCCAGCCTCAGATGTTCCTTTATGGCAATGCAAAATGAGCTAACACACACAGATGAATGGATAAAGAAAATGTGGTATACACACAAAGTGGAATACTATTCAGGCTTAAAAAAGAAGAAATTTCTGACATATGCAACAATATGGATGAGATTTAAGGACAATATGCAAAGTGAAATATGCCAGTTACAGAAAAGGAAATAATTCTACTTTTATCAGGTACCTAGAATAGTCAAATTCATGGAATCAAAGAGAGGAATGGTGGTCACCAGGGGCTGGCAGGAGGAGAAAACAGGGAGTTACTAATCAATGAGCATAAAGATCCAGTCAGGTGGCTGGGTGTGGTGGCTCACGCCTGTAACCCCAGCACTTTGGGAGGCCAAGGCAGGTGGATCACCTGAGGTCAGGAGTTCGAGACCAGCCTGGCCAACATGGTGAAACCCTGTCTCTACTAAAAATACAAAGATTAGCCAGGCGTGGTGGTGCATGCCTGTAATCCCAGCTACTTGGGAGGCTGAGGCAGGAGAATAGCTTGAACGCAGGGGGCAGAGGTTGTAGTGAGCCGAGATCATGCCACTTCACTCTAGCCCTGGCAAAAGAGTGAAACTCCATCTCAAAAAACAAAAAACAAAAAACAAAAAAAAAAAAAGAAAAGAAAAAAAGAAAAAAAAGAAAATCCAGTCAGGCAAGATGAATGAGCTCAAGAGAGCTGCTGTACAGCAGTGTCCTCTACAGTCAACAATAATGGATTGCATATTAAATATATGTTAAGAGGGTAGATCTCCTACTAAGTGTTCTTACCTCAATAAAAAAATGAAAGAAAAAAATACTGGTGCTGATGCTGGGCCATCCCTCAATTTTAACTTGGTTGTCCTGGGGTGGGGCCCAGACAGATAGGGTGGACATGGTGCAACCAGACACTTTTATGGCTGTGCTCTGCACTTAGTAGTAATTACTATTATTTATTGAGCACCTGGGGTACTAAGCACTTTGTTGCTGTTTCATTGAGCCTTCCTAGTACCCTGTGAGGTTGGTGTTGTCATCCCCGCTTGAGAATCAAGGAATCAGAAAGTGAGGCTGTTTTCTCTAGGTCATCCACCTGGAAGTCACTAGCGCCTGTGTTCAGCCCTGGTCAGCCTGACCCCAAAGCCTATGCTCTAGCTGCTGTGCTGTGGGACTCAGGCTCCTGTGGGACACAGACGTGGGCACCACATGCCCTTTCCTTCCAATTCTCTGTCCTTTAAGTTTTAGGGTCAATAGGGTAACCTTTGCCCTGCACCTGTCCACACTGAATGGCCATCATCCAGGTGGAGAAGGGAGTGGCTTGTGGCTCAGCATTAAGGAAGAACTTTCTGGCACTCAAAGGAGCTTCATGGTGAGATGGGCAGCCTGGAAAAGCAGAGGGCAACCACCACCATCCCTAGGAACCCACCACCATCCCTGGGCACCTACCCCCATCCCTGCACATCCCTCACAATCCTTGGGCACACATCACCATCTCTGGGAATCTACCACTATCCTTGCACACTTACCACCGTACCTGCACACTGACCACCATCCTACACACTCACCTCTGCCTCTGCGCACCCACCGCCATTCCTGAACATCCACCACCATCCCTGGGCACCCAACACTACCATCCCTGCACATCCACCACTGTCTCTGAACACCCACCACCATCCCTGCACATGCACCACCATCCTGGGGCACCTGCTACCATCCTTGGGCACCCACTTCCATCCATGCACACCCATCACTGTGCCTGGGCACCCACCAACATCCCTGCACACCCACCACCATCCTGGGGCACCCACTGCCATCCCTGGGCACCCACTACTGTCCCTGCACACCCACCACTGTGCCTGGGCACCTACCACCATCACTGCATATCTGCCACCATCCCTGGGCACCCACTACCATCCTTGCACATCCACCACTGTTCTTGCACACCCACCACTGTCCCTGGGCACCCACCACAATGCCTGCATATCCACCACTATTTCTGGGCACCAACCACCATCCCTGCACATCTATCACCATCCCTGGGCACCCACCATCATCCCCGTGCACCCACTACCATCCCTGCACACACACCACCATCTCTGGGCACCCACTACCATCCTTGCACACGCACCACTGTCCTTGCACACCTGTTAACATCCCTGGGTACCCATCACCATCTCTGTACATCCATCACCATCCCTAGGTGTCTACCATTATCCCTGGATAATCATCTGAAAGATCTGTTGGGAGAGGAAGTGTCATCCCTCAGTGTAGTGTGTGTGTGTGTGTGTGTGTGTGTGTGTGTGTGCGCGCGCGCATGTGTGTATGTGTGTGTGTGTGTGGGGCAGAGATGTGCAAGGGGGCTGGGATTAGATATCCTGCTCTGCCTCTGGACCCTGAGTGGAAGGGCTCAGGTGGGCTAGTCAAAGCTCTGTGGTGGCGCTGTTTGTGGAAGATGAGCTCACAGAGCTGGAGTTCTAGAAGGCCCTCCGTTGGCCTGGAGCCTGCCTTCCCCATTGTTCTCTTAACACTGGGTGCCTGGGGCCCTGGCAAGGTTGTGGGGGACATCTTGAGCTGAAGCAGGGTTTTGAGCCACTGCTGCTGCTGCCATTGTCACCATGGTCTCAGCTCTGCGGGGAGCACCCCTGATCAGTGAGCCCCCTTTCCCTTCTTCCTGGGGCTGTTAACAGGGGCGCTGGGTTGGTCTGGCCAGAGACCAGGTGGAGAAAAACAAGGTGGTGGTTAGGGTGGGGTTATCCTGGCCTGGAAGAGTGACCAGCTGAGAGAGGAGAGAGAGAGAGAGAGAGAAACTCTGGAGCTGTTGTGAAATGCTCAGGATGGAATTCCTTTTAAGTCACTTTTCTACAAAAAAAAAAAAAAAAAAAAAATCAAAAACAGTCCATGTGTAGCAGTCAATTTAGTTTCCTCCTCTACAACTTAGGGATATTAACCCCACACCTTTCAATTGCTGAGAGGATTGGATGAGATTAAGTTGGAAAAGCTCTGGGAAAGGCCTGGCACAGTGTTCAAAGACTTGACAAACTCCACCAGGTTGGCTGCCTCCTCCTTCTCACTCCCCTCGCGGTGAGAAGAAGGTCTCATGTCCCTGTGGCCACGCCTTTTGTGGACTTGAGTTTCAGAAGCAGCCACAGAGCAGCTACTCCATGCCAGCAACTCTGCAGATAAATAAGACATGCAGATAAATAAGACCAGCCGCCGTTCTTCAGAAGTTAACTTTGTGGTGGGAAAGACTGACATCTATTCCAGCCTCGTGTGACAGAGGATGTGGAAGATCGGGTGTGTGAGAGTGTGGGGGGTGGTGGCATGCCAGGAGACTCTCACTGGGGAACACACCTCTGATAAGACCCTTCAAGTATGAGTCAGAGTTAACCATGTAGAGGAAAGGAGAGGGTGAATGTTCTAGAAAGCAAGGTCATTGTGAGAGAACAAGGTGGCACTGCTGAAACATAACGTGTGAATGAGGGAGTGGGCCGCAGGGCTGGGCTGTGAAGGGTCGTGAAGGGCCGTGTGGACCTCGAAGGGGCAGTTATGGTGGGAGCCATCCAAGGTGTCACAGGGCTGGGCTTTTCATTTAACAAATTTGTTCTGATGGATGTGTATAGAATAGCTTGGAAGAGTGGTTGAGACATGATACAAGAAGACCATGAAGGAAGCCAGGATGGAGGTGTGAACCTAGGAAAGGACGGTGCTCTCGGAGGGAAGGTGGAATCCACAGGACATTGGGACTGATTGGTTGGAACTGGGTGAAAGATGTCATGGGGAAGGAGTGAAGAATGACATTCATATTTCCAGTTTGGGTAAATGTGTGGCCCATCATGTTTTAAAGCACATAAGGAAAGTCACAAGGCAGAAGAAGGCATTGATGGAAACAGTGGTTCTGTTTAGATGTGCTGGGTTTGAGGTGCCTGCAGGGCATTCAAGTGGAAGTGTCCTGCCAGTAGCTGCCTCTGAGGTCTTGGGGAAGATGCCACAGGGGTTGCCAGCCTTCAGGCGGTGGCTAACAGCAGGGCTGCCCAGGGGGTTTCCTCAAAGTGGAAGAGAAGAGGGCTCAAGGCAGGAAGGCCTTAGAAAGCATATCAGCGTTTATGGCCTGGGCAGAAGTGAATTCCACGGAGGATAAGGAGGAGAGTCAGCCAGAGAGGGAGGAGGAAACCTGGGAGAAGGGAGCATCGTGGAAACCAGGAGAGGCAAGCCTTTCAACAGCGGGTGGCGGACGGCATGAGTACAGCTGAGAGCTCCCATGAGACAGAGTCGAAGGGGGCCTCCTTGGACCCGCAGAGCAGTTTCAGCGCGCGGTGATGGCAGGGAGGCCAATTCACCAGGTTGGAAAACAAGCGGGAGGGAGAAAGTGGCGATTTTCCCCAGGAGTTTGGGCGAGAAGAGGGGGAAAGAGACAAGGGAGTAGCAGTCAGCATGAGACTTGAGGGAAGGCATTTAGAAGATGGAGACTGAGAAAGTCTCTACGAGCAGGGGAAGGAGGAGCAGGAGGGGAACGGTGCTAGCGCGCCGGGAGAGGAGGGACAACGGATGGAGCAAGGCTTGGTGATGGGAAGGACAAATCTAGAGCTTAGAGGGAAGATGGGCCTGCATGAGATTGGAGGCCCCGTACCCAAACAATGACGGGGTGGAGATGAGGGCGAGGAGGCTACTGATGAGTTTGCAAGTGAGCAGGGCTAAGGCAGAAAGAGGAAGAAATTCCACAAGTGAGCACCTTGCTTTTCTTAGTGCAGCAGGAGACGAGATCATGTTCTGAGAGCCAAGGGGTGGGACAGCGTGGCGTGCTAAAGGACAATACTGAGGGTTTTCATTTCCTGTGAGGGAAATGGGAGAGAGAAGTCTGAGCAGAGACAAGCGCGAGTACCAGTGTTAGTTGTAGTTCATAACAGAAACAACAACTCACTTATTTTTAGTGCCAAGAGCTACGCTGTGCCCACGCCTTTTCTCATTTATTCTTCCAACAATCATATGAGGCAGGTGTTACTCACGTCCTCATTTTATAGAGGAAGAAACAAGCCTCAGGGAGGGCCCAAAATCAGAGATGGAGCAAGGAGCAGAGGGGGGCTTCCAACCCGAACCTTGCTGCAAAGCCATGACCTCAACCACTTTGTCATCCTCGGGGGCATTCAAGGTCCCGTGGAGGTTGGAGACCAGGGACACCAATTGGCACAAACAAGAGTTTGTACAACTCTTTCACTTTTTGACTCTGTGAAGGTGGAGAGCAGGTGTGGAGGCGCAGAGGTCAAGAGAAGCATGGGAAGGCTTGTCAGAGGTGGTGGGCAGTGGGATAGGAGCTCACAGAGGTGGGGAAATGCGGGTGAGGACAAGAAGCAGGGATGACCAGGGCAGGGGAGGGACTGGCTGAGACACAGAGGAACTGGAGGGGACTAGGTCTGGGGAGATGAAGGAGCCCTGATGCTGTGACACCCAGGTGCTAATGTCCTCTGTGATTTGGGGGACTGGCCACACACAGCCAATGATGACAGGGCAGGGAGGTCAAACCAGACGGGCAGGCTGGGCTTCCAGGGAGAAGGGCTTTTTGCAGGTTATGGTTTAGAAGTGGTGGTGGGGGTGGAGGAGACTCTCGGGACATCTTGGGGTCTTGTGTGTGGAGAAAGAGCAGCTTCCCCTTGAGCGGGCTATAGGGGAGCAGTGTTCTGGGGGAGACCTTGTTTCAGTTAAGATCTGGAGATGGAGGGTCAATGCCAGAAGGGCTGTCCCTTGACAGTTGGGCTGAGAGACCCATGAACACACCGCCTGGCCATCCCCTCCGGGAGCATCTGCTCAGTGGGGCTTTGGATTTATAGAACTTTGTCTCCATCCAAACTTCGCCCCTTCCTAGTTATAAAATCTTGGGCCTCAGGACTAAATAATCCGTAACGTGTAATATGGAGCTTACAATAGGTTAGTTTTCTTCCTGTCTCTGGCCTGGGTGGTGTGAAGCAGGATGGGGAAGGAGAGGGGCTGGTCTCGGGGTCAGGGTGATGCTGATCAGGAATGCAAGGGGGCTGATACGTGCTGCTGGAGCCTGGCCTTCTGCCCACCCCTTCTCTCCTCTCCCCTTTCCCAGGGGTGCACTCAAGCCCTGTTTCTTCTCCTTCTGTGAGTGGACCACGGAGGCTGGTGAGCTGCCTGTCATCCCAAAGCTCAGCTCTGAGCCAGAGTGGTGGTGGCTCCACCTCTGCCGCCGGCATAGAAGCCAGGAGCAGGGCTCTCAGAAGGCGGTGGTGCCCAGCTGGGATCATGTTGTTGGCCCTGGTCTGTCTGCTCAGCTGCCTGCTACCCTCCAGTGAGGCCAAGCTCTACGGTCGTTGTGAACTGGCCAGAGTGCTACATGACTTCGGGCTGGACGGATACCGGGGATACAGCCTGGCTGACTGTGAGAACCCCTCTCCCTGGCGGGCCCTGACTTCCCCACACCTCCCTCCCTCTTTCCCTCCCTCTCTCCTTCTCATTCAAGGGCTGTGGCTTCGGGAGCTTTTAGAGCCCTTCTGTAAACTGAAGATGATTTGAGATGGCAGGTAGAGAACAGCCAGCACGGAGTAAAACACGCAGTAGGCAGGCAGCAGGCAACCAAATTGGAGTCACCCCTTCATTTCCCCCTGCTGCTAAAGTCGGGGTCAAAGGAAACAAACAGCTCAGTCCCCTAAACTTAACTATGGCCACAAGGATCAGACATTCCTTCTGAAATTAGAAAAGACAAACTGAACAGAGCAGTCATGCCAAACTTTTCAAGCTGGTGGCAGTTTTAGATGGCCATGTGGGAAGGGCAGTCATACCGGGGCTCATCTTTCTAACAGGTCGAGCACCCTCTATAGATTCCACCTGGGTCTTCCTAATCTTGTTACTGAAGATTTAGCACTTGTAGGCTGGGTGCAGTGGCTCAGGCCTGTAATCCCAGCACTTTGGGAGGCCAAGGCAGGTGGATCACTCTGAGGTCAGGAGTTCGAGACCAGCCAGGCCAATATGGCGAAACCCCGTCTCTACTAAAAATACAAAAATTAGCTGGGCATGGTGGCAGCTACCTATAATCCCAGCTGCTTGGGAGGCTGAGACAGGAGAATTGCTTGAACCCGGGAGGCAGAGGTTGCAGTGAGCTGAGATCACGCCACTACACTGCAGCCTGGGCAACAGAGTGAGACTCCGTCTCAAAAAAAAAAAAAAAAAAAGATTTAGCACTTGTAGATTCATTCAACAAATTTATTGGGCCCTACTATGTGCTGAACAATGAGATAATGGGAAGACTGCTGGGCTAAAAGTCAAGAGGCCTGAGGCCAGCCCCAACCCATGCTATTTGGTAGCTGGATGGGACCCTGGGTGAGTCGCTGTGCACCTCTAAGCCTCGATTGATTGGTTTGCAAAGCAGGTGGGAGGCACCTGCCCCAATCACCTTGATCAGGCAGGAGAGGCTCGGTGGAGCCAGCGTGGGACCTGTGCAGTGAGCACCCTGGTCTGGGGTGGCTGTAACCATCTGACCCCCAGGCCTATGCTCTGCCCTATGCAGGGGTCTGCCTTGCTTATTTCACAAGCGGTTTCAACGCAGCTGCTTTGGACTACGAGGCTGATGGGAGCACCAACAACGGGATCTTCCAGATCAACAGCCGGAGGTGGTGCAGCAACCTCACCCCGAACGTCCCCAACGTGTGCCGGATGTACTGCTCAGGTAGCTGGGCCTGGGCCCAGGGCTGGCAGGAGTCAGGCCCTGCATTAGCTTTTGTTCCATTCCCAGTTTAGTTTGCTACCCCCATCTCTGAGTGAGGGTTCCCCCACATCAGGCTGGGCCCACGGAGGAGAGGGAGATGGGACAAGGGATGAGGGTAGGTCTTCCATCAGTCTGAATTGGGGTCCCAGATAGGAGACTGCCTTAGGGCTATAGGAATGGAGGGAGGATTGTTTCTGATGGAGGGGGAGAGGGATAGGGTTGTACCTGTGCTTCCGGAGTGGTTGAGACAGGATTGGATTTAGGCGAGTGGAGTGTGTGTGTGTGTGTGTGTGTGTGTGTGTGTAGAGAGAGAGAGAGAGACAGACAGATACACACTCACACACACACACACACACCTGGATGTCTCCTGTTCTCTCATTGTGTTTCTCTGCCTATCACCCCAGATTTGTTGAATCCTAATCTCAAGGATACCGTTATCTGTGCCATGAAGATAACCCAAGAGCCTCAGGGTCTGGGTTACTGGTAAGTAACTTGGGCTGGAGCCCCGCAGCGGTGGTATGGTTAGGACTGGTGGGCAGCAGCAGGGAACAAACCCCTTTCCTTCCTCACTTCTGGTTTAGAGACCACACTCTCCTTCTTGTTCTTCTCTGGGCGGTGACTGGCAACTGCAGCTGATATTATCTCTCCTCTTCCCTGTTCTCCATCCTCAGGGAGGCCTGGAGGCATCACTGCCAGGGAAAAGACCTCACTGAATGGGTGGATGGCTGTGACTTCTAGGATGGACGGAACCATGCACAGCAGGCTGGGAAATGTGGTTTGGTTCCTGACCTAGGCTTGGGAAGACAAGCCAGCGAATAAAGGATGGTTGAACGTGAATATGGCTCTCAGCTCTCAGTGTGTCTGCAGGTGCCATGTCAGAGCCAGAGCACCTCCGTTTTCCCTCACCTCACCTGTCCGCTTGGGCTGGGTTTCCAGTGGACTCCAGAAAGCCCAGCACCAGAGGCTTACCTCCATTTCTGGTGGCCTGTGGGCAGGTGTTTGGGGGGGGCACCAGTGCATTTTTTGTCTACCACACCTGGCAAAATTTGGGTCTAGGGTGGCCAGATTTAACAAAACAAATACATAAGAAACAACAAAAACAGGATGCCCCAGTTTAATTTGAACTTTGGATATACAACAGATAATTTTAAGCATGTCCAAAATATTGCATAGGAACATATTTATATTAAAACTATTTGACGTTTATCTAAAATTTAAACTTAACTGGGTGTCCTATGTTTTACCTGGCAACCCTAGCTGGATCTAGGGCTGTGCACCTCTGGCTTGATTGGGAAGGTTCTTGGGACACTTTTTTTCTGCAGCTTTGGTTGCAGATGGTGGTCACTGTGCTTTGGCCCTCCAGCTGTGACTACTAACACACACCCCTGCCAAGCCGGGGGTGCTGCTTGGTCGCGGGAGAAGAATGACCACCCGGAGCTTCTGCTTTCACCTTGCTCTCTGGTGCCCTCTCGTGGCGGAAGATTCAAGTGCCGCTGATAGAGACGGTGCGCTCACTTTGCCCACTACTGCTAGGAGTTTGGAGGATGGGACGGGAGTGACCGTGGCTTTCAATCCGCACAGCCAGTGCAGCCTTCTGCCTTAGTCAGCACACGAGAAGCCCAGAAAAAGATAGCGCGGTCCCCTGCTAATCTGGGACGACTGCCTCTAAAGGAGGAAGGTGGGTGGGTCTCAGGATCGCAGTGGATGTGGTGGCAGCAGCAGCAGTTGCAGAGATAGGATGATGTGTGAGAAGCCTGAGCCCTGAGTTCAGACTGTAGATTCTTCTGAAAAGGTTCCAAAGAAACCTGTAAGCACTGAACTGTTGGTTGAGGCATGGCTGGTGACTCTTAGGGAGAGGAGGGGACGACACTGTCGCCCCCCACCATCCTCCTCCACCTAATTCAGCCACCCTGAATGCCTCCGGGTCAGCATACACCAGAGGGGCGTGGAATGTCCACAATTAGCGAGTCAGGCCAGTTTCCTTCCCCTGCTGGTCTGGTCAAGATGATGATGAAACTTGAGAGCGACTCATGCAAGGGGACAGAGTGGTGAAGAACCCTGCTGGCAGTAGGGGCATCAATGACTAATGGAGCTATTAAATCATAAGTAGGGAGAAGCTGCTGTCTTTTTAACATCAAGGCAAACACGGTGTGCCTACCATGTGCCATGCATTATCTAATCTAGACCCTAGAACAATAGCTATGATGCAGCTACCATTATGACCACCATTCCACAGACAAGGGGAAACAGAGGCTCAGATGAGATAAATTTGCACCCAGCTCAGTGTGACTCCACATGTACGCTTACTCACTGTACTTTGCCAAGGGGTTGTTGTTATGGTCATCTGGCCTGGGACCCATGACCCATCCATCTTTCTTTTTTTTAAATTTATTTTTTGTAAGACAAATTAAAAATTTTATTTATTTTTATTTGTACAACTAATGGGGTACCTGTGTGATTCTGTTACACATATAGATTGTATAGTGGTCAAGACAGGGCTTTTAAAGTATCCCTCATCTGAGTAATGTACACTGTCCCCATTAAGTAATTTTTCATTGTCCACCCCCCTCATACCCTGCATTGTTCTGAATCTCCATTGTCTATTATTCCAGTCCTTTTTTTTTGAGATGGAGTCTCACTCTGTCACCCAAGCTGGAGTGCAGTGGTGCGATTTCAGCTCACTGCAACTTCTGCCTCCGAGGCTCAAGAGATTCTCGTGCCTCAGCTTCCTGAGTATAGGTGCCCACCACCGCACCTGGCTAATTTTTGTATTTTTAGTAGAGATGGGGTTTCACCATGTTGACCAGGCGGGTCTTGAACTCCTGACCTTGTGTAATTTGCCCACCTTGGCCTCCCAAAGTGCTGAGATTACAGGCATGAGCTACTGTGCCCGGCCCCTATTATTCCAATCTTTATGTCCATGTGTACACATTTTTTCACACCCACTTAGGAGTGAGAACATGTGACATTTGACTTTCTGTCCCTGGCATTTTTGACTTAAGATAATGACCTCCAATTCCAACCATGTTGCTGCAAAAGACATGATTTCATTCTTTTTTTAGGGCTGAATAGTATGCCATTGTGTATATACATCAAATTCTCTTTTTCCATTCATCCATTACACTTAGGTTGGTTCCATATCTTTGCTATTGTGAATAGTGCTTTGATAAACATGAATGCAGGTGTCTTTTTGACATAATGGTTTCTTTTCCTCTGGGTAGATACCCAGTAGAAGGATTGCTAAATTGAATGGTAGTTCTACTTTTAGTTCTTTGATAAATCGCCATACTATTTTCCACAGATATGTTAATTTACACTCCCACTAACAGTGTATAAGAGTTCCCTTTTTTCTGCATCATCACCAACATTTGTTGTTTATTGCCTTTTTAATAACAGATATTCTGATTGGGGTGAGATGATATTTCATTGTGGTTTAAATTTGCATTTCTCTATAATCAGTGATGTTGAACATTTTTCATGTAACTGTTGACCATTTATATATCTTCTTTAAAAATGACTATTTATGTCCTTTGCCCACTTTTTTTTTTTTTTTGAGAAAGGGTCTTGCTTTGTTGCCCACGCTGGAGTGCAGTGGTTTGATCATGGCTCATGGTAGCCTTGACCTCCTGGGCTCAAGCAATTCTCCCACCTCAGCCTCCTGAGTAGCTGAGACTACAGGCATATGCCACCACACCTGGCTAATTTTTGTTTTTTTATAGAGACAAGGTTTCACTCTTTTGCCCAGGTTGGTCTCGAACCCTGGAACTTAAGCAATCCTCCTGCCTTGACCTCTCAAAGTGCTGGGATTTTAGGCATGAGCCACCATGCCTGGCTTGCCCACTTTTTAATGGGATTGTTTCTGTCGTTGAGTTGTTTGAGTTCTTTGTATATGCTACATATGAGTCCCCTGTTGAATGAATAGTTTGCAAATATTTTCTCCCATTCTACAAGTTGTTTATTCTGTTGATTATTTCTTTTCCCGTGCAGGATCTTTTTAGTTTAAGTCCCATTTGTCTATTTTTCATTTTGTTGCCTGTGTTTTTGAGGTCTTAGTCATAAATTATTTACCTAGACTAATGTTCAGGAGAGTTTTCTCTAGGTTTCCTTCTAGTATTTTTATAGTTGTGAGTCTTACATTTAAGTCTTTAATCCATCTTGAATTGATTTTTGTATATGATGAGAGACAGGGGTCGTTTCATTCTTCTGCACATGGCAGAAGTTTTCCCAGCACCATTTGTTGAAAAAAGCGTCTTTTCCCCAACGTATGTTCTTGTCAGTTTTGTCAAAAATCGGTTGGCTGTAAATATGTGGCCTTATTTCTGAGTTCTCCACCCTGTTCCACTGATCTGTGAGTCTGTTTTTTATACCAGTACCATGTTGTTTCGGCTACTATAGCCTTGTAATATAATTTGAAATCAGATAATGTGATGCCTCTGGCTTTGTTCTTTTTGCTTAGGATTGCTTTGGCTATTTGGGCCCTTTTTTAGTTTCATATAAATTTTAGGATTTTTTTTCTAATTCTCTGGAAAATGATGTTGGTATTTTGATAGGGATTGCATTGAATCTGTAGATTGCTTTGGGAAGTATGGTCGTTTTAATGATATTAATTCTTCCAGTCCATGGTCCAACCATCCATCTTTGAAGGATTCGTGCCTTCTACTTCAACTTCAGACTTCTGTTGCCTGCCTGGCCTGGTTGCTTCACTGGGTCCCATTCAGCTTGTCTGGGAGAGGAGCCCAGGAATAGGTGTAGTGAAGCTCTTGGAACCAAAGAGAACATTGTTAAAGGATTTGGGGGCTGTGAGCAGTGATGATGGCCACAGTCTCTTCAAGATGGGGCTGGACTGGGATCAGGCCTGGACAAGGGACCCTGAAGGCCTGGGCTGGGTGGTTGACCAGGAGCAGGTGAAGACGGAGCTGGAGAAGGAGTATTTAGGGAAGAGGGCCCTGATCAAAGCCAGGGAGGCCTCCCTTGTTATGAGGGCTACAGAGTGTGCAGGCCCATCTGAATGTAGAGGCCAGGGGAGCCTCTATGTTCAGAGCTCAGCTCCTGAAGGACATGCTCAGGTTGGTGAGAGTAACCAGGCCATGTCCTGGTATCTCTCTCCTTCCACGTCGCTCACCCCACTTACCATGGGCCATTAAGTCTTACCTCTTTTACTTTCTTTATATCTCTAGAAACTCTCCCTCCTTTCTATCCACATGCAGCTGCTTTAAATCAAGTCCTCATCACCTCTTCCCAAGGACGATTGCAATGGCTTCCTAAGAGTGTTCGTGTCTCTAACCTTGGTCCTTGCAACTCCACCTCCTCCCTCAGAGTGAGCTTTCTATCTTGTTTCTGCCTTGCATCCTAGGCCCAATAGCTTTTCTTATCTTATAGGGTTAAAGTTCAAGTTCCTTGGGTTGGTATACAAGGTCTTTCATGACCAAGACTCAGCTGACTGCTACAGATTCAACTCTCACCTGTTCGGAAACTTTTGCTCTAGCTAGTTTGTGTCCTTGGCGGTTAGTTTCCTGAGGGTAGCATGCTGCTTCACGCCTTTCATTATCACCGATCATTCTTCTCCCATTCATTACACTCTGTCCCTTGAATGCAACAAGCTGTTTGCACCACAGGGTCTCTGTACCTCTCTCTTGTCTTCCTGGAATTTTATTTCTTCAGATCTTTGTTTTGTTTTGTTTTTTTGAATTTCAAGCTGTAAGTTTTTTTATTACAGAAAAAATTTTGGTGCCATGTGTTTGTGGTATCGAGTGAGTAGAATACAAAGATAACCAAAGGTAACCAGTGTTAACCCAGGGCTCACTTGTTCACACTTTAAATTTCCAGTTTCTTAAATAGATTTAATTTTTGGCGTTAGACTCCTATCCTAGCTGTTTGATTGCTTGATACATAATTAAAACCAAACATGTCTAAAGCCACACTCCATCCTCCTGAAACAATATCCTTACCTTACTTATGTTAATTTTAGTATTCTTCTTCCAGTCACTCAAATTTGAAAATACTGTCATCTTTGACTTTTTCCTCTCCATTTGCCACAGCCATCCTATAAGGTCTCTGTAATATCTTCAACTTCCACCGCCCTTTCAGATCTTGTTGCTTCCAGTCAAGTTTGAACTGTGCCTCTCACATAGTATTCTTTTTTTTTTAATTATACTTTAAGTTCTAGGGTACATGTGCACAACGTGCAGGTTTCTTACATATGTATGCATGTATACATGTGTTTTGGTTTTTTGAGATAGGGTCTCACTCTGTTGCCCAGGCTGGAGTACAGTGGTGCGATCATAGCTCACTGCAGCCTCCTGAGTAGCTGGGACTACAGGTGGACGCCACCACACCCAACTAATACTTTGATATTTTTGTGGAAATGCATTTCCTCAGACCTTTGGGTGACGCTCCCTTTTTCTTCAGTCAGGTCTTGTCTCAGTTTCACCTCCTCAAAGTGACTTCTCTGATTGCTGTAGCTGAAGGAGTCTTTCCCCTCTTTGTCACTATCTTGGCACTACAGCATGCTCCATTATCTGAAATTATTCCATGCACCTCTGAATTTATGTATATCCCCTTTTCACTTGCCTATGCTAGATTGTAAGCACCATGGGGGCAGAAAATTTGTTCGTTCCTTATATGTCTACCACCTAGAATAGTACCTGGCACATTATACTCAATAAAAAAAAAAGAACCTGTTGAATGCATGATTGATGCATGAATGAATGAATGGTAGGCACTCAGCTAATGTTTGCAGAATCAGTGAGTGAATGGGGCTTGATACCATCTAATATGCAACAATTGATTCAATGATATTACTTAATCACTACCTATGTGCCAGACCCTAGGCATCTCTCCAGATGGACCCACTGCCACCCCCTGCCCCATGCCCCCGGGGATCCCTCTCTTGGGGAGACTCTCTATCCCTCAGCCAGGTAACCACCCTGGCTGCTTTTCATACAAGTCCTGCCTGCCTCCTTCTTGCCCATATGTGGTGTAGAGGGAGCTCAGCATGGTTTGGGCAGTTTGGCAGAGGTGGAGCAATGGGGTTTTCTCCTTTTTCCTAGCCACCTGACCTTGGGAAAGTCACTCCACCTCTCAGAGCTCAGTGTTCCTCATGGGCAAGAGGAGCAAATGAAGGCCACCTTGGAATATTGTATCAATTGCACCTGTAATCTATCATCGTAATCCATAATATAGAGCAGCGACGCGCCCAGCATAGTGCCTGGCACAGAGTGGGGCTTCAGAAATGCTGGCTCATCTGGTTTTCCTGAGCTCTGGGGGTAGCAAGTTCCAACCTACCTGGGGAGGAATGGGTGGGAACAGGACATGCCTGCCCCAGTGACCAGGGCTTCCTTAGGAGACCTGTACTGTGTCCTTCTCATTGTTTGCTAAGAAGAGAAAGAGAAAGGGGAAGGTGTGAGGAGGAGAAGGAGGAGAAGGGGAATGGTTTGGGAAAAGTAGTAGACAGTCCTATGGAAAGTAGGGGAGAATTCAATGAATTTTTGTTACTTTTCGTAAGTCTCCCCCTTCTTGGATTAGTTTGGCTGCAGGAGACAGATTTAAAATGGGCTTTTCTATATCTTTTGTGCTAAGGGTGGATTGAATGTTCCTGGGGATGATTGGCTTGCTAAGGTGCTGTCCCTTCTCTACCTGTAGGTACAGGTGAGGGTGGCAGAGGCCCCTGGCAGCTGAAGGAGGCTTTGCGGGGTGCTCTTTCTGTGTGGTCCATGCCCTCAGCTGGGTATGGTGGTTTTTCTCCACTCTGAGCACTGGCCTGAAGCTTCTAGGGTAGGGAAACTGTGGGAGGTGGGCCAGTCAGAGGGCACCCAGAATTTCCTGGACCCCATCACCTCTGTGCCTATGGCAGACATTGCAAACTGAGTACAAGCCTTTGTCTTTACTGAGCTGGCATGTGTCCAGGAATCTTTCTTTTTTTTTTTTTGAGACAGAGTCTCCCTCTGTCGACCAGGCTGTAGTGCAGTGGTGTGATCTTGGCTCACTGCAACCTCTGCCTCCCGGGTTCAAGTGATTCTCCCACATCAGCCTCCCAAGTAGCTGGGACTACAGGTGCGCACCACCATGCCTGGCTAATTTTTGTATCCTTAGTAGAGACGGTTTCATCATGTTGGCCAGGTTGGTCTTGAACTCAAGTGATCTGTCTACCTTACCCTCCCAAAGTGCTGGAATTACAGGTGTGAGCCACCACGCCCAGCCAAGGAATCTTTCTTGACAGTTCAATGGTAGTCACTCTCGATGGAGTTGGCATGTAGAATGGGACCTCTTTATCATCTCTGACCTACCCTATGTTGGCCATCACAGCAGCACAGCATCCGGAGGAGATTGAGATGGTCATCCCCATTTTTAGGAGGAAACTGAACCTCAGAGAAGTTCTAGAGCTTGCCCAAGGAAGCACAGTTGGCCGGAGCTGGGACTTGGATGGGGCTGCCAGGTTGCCAAGGCCATGCTTCATCCTCAGCTGTCCCAGCTGCCATAGCTGCACTAGCACTTGGACTCTCAGCAGGCTGCCCCCTGGAGTGGGAAGGCACAGTTGAGGGGTGGGGGGCAGTGGAGAGATAGCCCACCTATCCACAGGGGATCCATCATTCTCCAAGCCCTCCAGCTTCTCTTCTGCCTCCAAGTCTCTGCCCAGGTATCTGTTCTGCAAACTTGCTTGCCTGGCAACTTCTACCCATCTCTCAAGGCTTCAGTCAAAACCTGCTCCGACTCAGCCAACCAGACCCAGGTGTTTCTGCCGCAATGAGCACACTGTGCCCTGGGTACCTTTGTAGCTCTTGCTGCTCAAGTCTTTCTTTCTTTCTCTCTCTCTTATTTCTTTCTTTCTTTCTTTCTTTCTTTCTTTCTTTCTTTCTTTCTTTCTTTCTTTCTTTCTTTCTTCTTTCTTTCTTTCTTTCTTTCCTTCTTTCTTTCTTTTCTTCTTTCTTTCCTTCTTTCTTTTTCTTTTTCTTTCTTTCTTTCTTTCCTTCCTTACTTCTTTCTTTCTTTCTTTCCTTCCTTCTTTCTTTCTTTTCTTTCTTCCCTCCCTCCCTCCCTCCCTCTCTCTTTCTCTCTCTCTTTCTTTCTTTCCTTCTTTCTTTCTTTCTTTTCTTCTTTCCTTCTTTTTCTTTTTCTTTCTTTCTTTCTTTTCTTTCTTTCTTCCCTCCCTCCCTCCCTCCCTCTCTCTCTCTCTTTCTTTCTTTCTTTCTCTTTCTTTCTTTTCTTTCTTTCTTCCCTCCCTCCCTCCCTCCCTCTCTCTCTCTCTCTCTTTCTTTCTTTCTCTTTCTTTCTTTTCTTTCTTTTTCTTTTCTTTCTTTCGACGGAGTCTCTCTCTGTCTCCAGGCTGGAGTGCAGTGGCGCAATCTTGGCTCACTGCAACCTCCGCCTCCCAGGTTCAAGCGATTCTCCTACCTCAGCCTCCTGAGTACCTGGGACTACAGGCGTGTGCCACCACGCCCAGCTAACTTTTGTATCTTTAGTAGAGACGGGGTTTCACCATATTGGCCAGGATGGTCTTGCTCTCTTGACCTCGTGATCTGCCCACCTCAGCCTCCCAAAGTGCTGGGATTACAGGCGTGAGCCACCATACCGTTCAGGTGTTTCTGTACATGCCTGTTGCCCACCTCTGCCCACCTAGACTGTGTCTTCTTGATATATGAATTCCCAGTACCTAACTCAGTGCCTGGCACATAGTGAGCACACAGAAAATGCTTGTGGAGTGATGGGGTCAGGGCAGAGACTCCAGCATGGTACTGGGAAGTTTCCCTCCGGGAGGCTGGTTGAGCTGGGTGTGCTTTGGTGCCCACCAATCACTTTGTATTGGGCCTATTTTAACTCAGATAGAACTGCTTTTGTAAAGAAGCCACAAAAGGCAGAATTACACTAAAGACAAATGGCCTATAATGGTGATAAGTTTGCCACTTCCTTCAGAGGCATGGGGGAGAGAACAGCTTCAAGGAGGCAAAAAATCCAAATTCTCCAACCCAAAGCATCACTCACAGTCATTATCAGGGGGCGGATTTTCTTTTCAACAAAAAGCAAAACACCATTGTGGCCTTGCTCAGAAACAAATGAGATGTCAGCAGTGGGGCATGTTTGGAGGCTCAGTGGCAGCCAGCGAACATTATGCATGCATTCCCGGGTGCAGGGCATGCAGGGGGCATGTTCTTGAAGAACCAGGCCATGGGGGTGTCTGCAAAGTGGACGTTATGGTTGCTTCTTATGTACACAGGTCTTTTCCTTCAGCCCTCGAAATCTCCACATGCATAAAATAATTTTATGAAATCACGTTTCCAAGTTTTTCTGTTCATATTCATTTTCTGCTCGTTCATTCATTTTGCCATCTGTGAGAACGCACAAGCTGCAGCAGGTGCCAAAGGTTTAAAAAAATTATGGGAGAAAACAACACTGATCAAATGCTATCTATCCTTTTATTTTTTCTTCTTTCTGTAAATTGAAAAATGACAGTCATTATGTGATTTTAGGAGAAGAAATGTTGGTTGCATTTTGTGGTACTGTGGCGTTCTTTTGGAGGATTGTTTAGCACTTTCTCGATCAGGGTGACTTTGCCTAGCATGGGTGGACCCCTAGAGGATCACAGATGGGCTCTGGGGATCCATAACCCTCCTGAAATTATATGCAAAAATTTTGTTTTGTTTTGTCAAGTAGCTGGCACTACAGGCATGCACTGCCACGCCTGGCTAATTTTTTGTATTTTTCAGAGATGGGGTTTTGCCGTGTTGCTCAGGCTGGTCTCGAACTCCTGAAGTCAAGTGATCCTCCCACCTCAGCCTCCCAAAGTGCTGGGATTATAGGTGTGAGCCACTGCACCCAGCTTGTAGGCAAAATTTTACGTATATCTATGTGACCATGTGCAATTTTGGGGGGAGAGAATTTACAGCTTCATCTTATTTTTAAGAGTCAGTGATCCAAACAAGATTAAACATCAATGTTCTACGGGAAGAAAAGAGAAAAGAAGAAAAGATAGAAAGTGTTTTATACACTTAAACTTATTTAATCCTCATAATAAGCCTGAAAACTAAGCATCAGCATTTCTGTTTTATAGATGGAGAAATGGGGGCTCTGAGCAGTCAATTAAATATTTGCTTAGATGCCTGACATTCACTTACAACTTCAACTCATAGACTGTTAGAGTCGGGAGGCACCAAAGGGATTATCTGTCCATTTTCATCTCCTTCCCTTTTGTAGAGGAGGAAACTGAGACCCATAGAAGTGAAGTGAACTGGGCCTAAAGTCATGTGGTCAGTTTGCAGCAGAAACAGATTAGAAACTCAGTCTTCTGGCTGGGCGTGGTGGCTCACGCCTGTAATCCCAGCACTTTGGGAGGCCGAGGTATGCGGATCACCTGAGGTCAGGAGTTTGAGACCACCCTGACCAACATGGTGAAACCCGTCTCTACTGAAAATACAAAAAATTAGCCAGGTGTGGTGGCTGGCACCTGTAATCCCAGCTACTCGGGTGGCTGAGGTAGGAGAATCGCTTGAACCCAGGAGGCAGAGGTTGCAGTGAGCCGAGATCACGCCACTGCACTCCAGCCTAGGTGCGACAGAGCCAGACTCCATCTCAATAAAAACAAAAACAAAAACAAAAACAAAACTCAGTCTTCTGACTTTGACCAAAGCCTTTTCCAACCCACTGCTTTATTCTTGAAAAACAAGTGAGTACTGGTTTCATCAAATGTTAAATTGAATTAGTAAGAGATTCTCCTCCTTCCACCTGTCCTCAAGCAGGGTTGGGTCCTATAGTCCTGTTTCATGTCCCCATGAACCTCATGCCCCCTAGAATAACCTGTTAGCCTTAGGAATACATAAATGCTGCACAAAAAGATCCCATGTGCTAAGAGGCTAAGAATCTCCAATGAGTGGGGAGAAAGGCATTAGCTCAAGAAATCAACCCTTGGTTTGGGAAATGTCTTCATAGCCTCTTGGGGAGCAAAGGAAAGAGCTTGAAGGACTTTAGCCGTGACACTCCTCTCAGCATGGTGGCCAGGCCCTTCATCCTTCAGCACCTGCCTACCTCTCATGCCCCTTCATGTCTTTGCTTGGGTTCTCCCGGACCTGTGTGCAATCCCCTGGGCTGTGCCTCCTCCAGCCTCCTGGGCTTCCCATACGCTGCTCTCTCACTTCCCTTCAACTGGAAAACCCAGATTCATCTTTTGCAGTCTTCTGTTTACTTGTCAGTATTCCTTGCTCAGATTAGAAATTCCTTGCCTCACTGCAAGTGCCCAGCAAGGTAGCAGTCAATCATACAAGGGCATGGCAGATGCACCTGGGCCCTTCCT
Organism: Homo sapiens; assembly: GCF_000001405.40. Taxonomy (NCBI): domain Eukaryota; kingdom Metazoa; phylum Chordata; class Mammalia; order Primates; family Hominidae; genus Homo; species Homo sapiens. The sequence continues at coordinate 33,009,321 of NC_000017.11, forward strand.
GCATTTGCCCCTTCTTTCTTCCCCTGCTGCCTTCCCTATTATGCCAGAGAGCTTGTTCTGTGCAGCGGAGGGTCTGCCCTGGCTGTGTGCGGGTCAGGGTTGGCTGCATTCTCTCCCGCTGCTTTAGCAGTTCCTTGCCCTCTCTGAGCCCGCTTTTCTTTGTCACATGGGAGTTGATTCATTGGGATCTTATGGAGGCCTTCAGCCCCGTTCAGGGTTTGGTTCTCAAAATTGAATAAAAATCTCTGAGCTTGTGGAGGAAGAGGTTTCCTTTGGGCCTGTGGGCTCAGGTGGGCTGTGCTGAGCTTTACCTGAGGGAACACATTACCCACCAGGATCACACCTGTGGGCAGGGCCTGCCTGCGACGTCCTCCTTCCCAGCTCACCAAGAGCCATTCTCCAGAGACCCTCTGTCTCCCCCTCATCAGTGCTTGTGGCTCCGCAAGCTTCTCACTAGCAGCGTTCATGGTGAAAACTCTCACAAAAATAGCTTCAAGCTGGAACGAGGAAAATAAAATAACTCCGGCCTGTCCCTGCCAAAAACAAGAAAACAGTGTGCGAGCAACTAGCCCAGTCCTCTGGCAATGGATGCTCACAGCGAGGCTCAATCATTTCACTCTCTTCAGCTGCTGTACATCCCCAAGATCCCGTGTCTGGGGTCATGTGCCATTAATTAATTAACTAATTAATTGATTGATCCAATCCTCTGAAGTCACTGAGAATTCAACCTTGTGGTTTGGACTTGTGATTGCTCCAAACTCCTAGCCTTGGTGTCATCTTTTGGGTCACTCCTGAAAATGGGACAACTCCCTGAGTCTCCCTTCTCCACCAGACTTCCCCAGGTCCACACTAAGGAAATGATTGCACAAATAGCTACTTGTTTGATGGGAGGATCATAAAAACACTCCCCTACCCACTGGAATTTAGACTGTGTCTTTTGTTAACAGCCAATTAATAATAATCAGTAGCTGCCTATTGATTTGCTCTCTTGAATTTCCTTTTTTTTTTCTTTAAACAGGTAAAGAATGTAGACCTGGTTTAAGCCGGACAAAGCCAGAATCCTCAAATCCATATGGGTGCAGACATCTGTGAGCCCTGAAGCAATCCAAATGCATCTAAATATTCTTTGCTCTATCACAAATGGATCTAATTTTTTTTTCTGAAAAGGAAGCCAGAAATCCAACGAAGCAGTTCAAATTGTAATTTAAGCTATAGATTTTTAAAAAATTTAAGAAGCTGCTAAACTGGAACGAGGCAGAAGCATCAGAGAGACTCCCGACTAATTGAACAGTCATTTCATTTGGTTCCTGTCCCTGGTAGGAGCGGTCCAAGGCTAACCTCTGGATCCCTGTTCTTCTGTATCTGACAGTGTAGATACCAGCAGGGCATTTTCCAGCCTGATGTAGTCGTGGGTGAGTTTGTCTCAGTGGAGGGACTTTCACACTCTGGCCAAGTCTGGAAAACTGATCACTGTCAGTCCTTCTTGTTTAAAGTGAGTCACCTTGGTGGGTCTACAAATGGAATTGTGAACCTGGGAGTTTAGGGGTATAGCTTCGGCACTGCCATTAACTCACTGTGTGACCCTAGGCCAGGCCCTCCTCTCCTCTTGAGAGTCTGCTCAATTGGAAAATGAGGACATTAAGCTACCTGATCCAGCAGGCCTGTGGGCCTGTGGTAATGGCCTCCAAAGATGTCCCCATTCTAATCCCTGGAACCAGTGAATATGTGACCTTACATCGTAAAAGAGGCTTTGAATAGGTGATTAATTTAGTAATCCTGAGATGGGAAGGTTATTCTGGATTATGCAGTAGGCCCAGTGTCATCAAAAGGGTTCTTTAAAGGCTGGGCATGGGGGCTCACACCTGTAATCCCAGCACTTTGGGAGGCTGAAGTGGGCAGGTCACTTGAAGTCAGGAGTTTGAGACCAGCCTGGCCAACATGGTGAAATCCCAAGTCTGCTAAAAATACAAAAGCTAGCCGGGCATGGTGGTGGATGACTGTAATCCCAGCTACTCGGGAGGCTGAGGCAGGAGAATCGCTTGAACATGGGAGGTAGAGGTTGCAGTGAGCCGAGATCATGCCACTGCACCCCAGCCTGGGTGACAGAGCAAAACTCTGTCTAAAAAAAAAAATTCTTCAAAAATGGAAGAGGGAAGCATGAGAGAAGTCACAGTTAGAGGGAGATGTGCCTGTGTGGATTTGTGACAGGAGAAGGACTTAACCCGTTATGGCTGGCTTTGAAGACTGAGGAAGTGGTTGCAAGCCAAGGAACGTGGGCAGCCTCTAGAAGCTGGAAAAAGCAAGGAAACACAGCCTCCTGTAGAGCTTCCAGAAAGAAATGCAGCCCTGCTGACACTGGGTTTTAGCCCAGCGAGACCTGTGTCAGACTTTTGACCTATAGAACTGTAAGATAATACATTTGTGCTGTTTTAAGCCACGAGGGTAGTAGTTATTTGCAGTGGCAGTGATAGAAAACCATACAAGACCCTTTCTGGCAACTTTACACTCTCTAAGAATAAAAGCTAGCTTAGCTAACAGCTGGCAGCCCCATCTGGGAGAATGCTTGGGAGGAGGCATCACAGGGGTGCTCTGTCCCAGCTGCCTTCTACAGTCCCCAGGACTGCCAGCTCCTGGCCATGCTTGGGCGTGAGCATCCCACTGGGCAGGGGAGGCAGTGCTGTTATGGCACTTTGAGTCTCAGGAGATCATCTGGTCCTGCATCTTCCCTTCACACAGGTAAGGTATTATCTTCATCCAAAAATTGAGGGAGCTGTGCCCAGAGATGTGCATGGTCTCACCCACTGTCACACAGCTACTGAGAGAAGAACGCTGTGGGGCCAGGGCTCATAACTCCTGGTGGGAGACTCTTCCATTTGTCACACTGGGCAAGTAACTTTTCCTTGTGTTAGCGGGTCATGAAGGAGAGACAGACAGATAGGGAGGTTGGATGGCAGAACAGGACTGGAACCCTGAACCCCTGGTCTAGCCAGTGCTTTCTGAGCACCTGTGCTTGAGGGGAAAGGTACAGCCACATTAGGCCTTTCTTCACTGCTTGAGGAGAGACTTTGAGGGGGGAGTGGTGGGGGCCGGGAGGGAAAGTGAAAGATTAGGCTAAAGGAACTGCTGCTATGGAACCAGCATGGTGCTAAGGATGAGGATTCTGCCTGATCAGGAAGTTCTCTCTCACACCTGGAGGCTGAAAAGGGCATGCCCTGTGTCCGTAACACCAAAAGGCACCTCCCAACCTCTCATTCCACCTCTAAGAACTCATGGGGAGCAAGGCAGAGTGCCAGTGTGGCTTCTGGGGGGACAAGGCAGGTCAGTTTGCTGGGGGTGGGGAGGCCAGGAAGGCTCGTGTGTGGGAGGGAGGCCATGCTGGGGCCTGTGTCCAGCCCAAATTCACCGATGGGGTCAGGAGGGGTCAGGGTAGCAGACAGATCACAGGGGGACACAAAGGCCTTCTTGATAGTTTCCATGTCTGAGCAGCATTCTCCAGGCCACGTGCCTGTGGGTCCAGGGCAGCCTCCTTCAGAACGCGGGCTGTGACTCATCAGTGGGACTTGAAGACATTTACAAAGTTGTGAGCAATCTTTAAAAAATTTTAGAATAAACATATAGAGTATGCACATTTTGTAAAAGTAAGTGTTGTTGCGTAAAACTTTACATATACACAGTCTGCAGTTTTGACCTGGCAGGTCCGACCCTTTCCTAGGCCCCGGAGGGAGAGAGACTCGGATGTGGAGAAAAGGCAGAAATAACTCAGCCATTTCCACAAGACCAGCTTTTAATATGACTGTGATTTGAAGCACGAATAAATAAATGCCAAAGAAAATGGAAAAACCAAAGCAAACCTCAGAACATCAAAACTAAAATAAAAAAGCATAAAATGAAGCAAAACAAAACAAATCTCCATCGGACAAACATAAAAGCCCCCCTACCCCAGATAAAAAGAATCAGACTGTACAAGCTGTGTCACAGGGAGAGAAGAACGACATGGGCACCATGGGTGAACACAGGCGTCCCCCACCCGCTGGCTGCTGTGCCGCCGTCATAGGCACTGGGGGGGAGGGAGGTTGGCGCGGGTCACCTTTGGCGCCGAAGCCCCATGGGCAGCTTGGGGAAAAGGGGGTTTTTGGGCAGGTTAAGAACTTTCACAAACGACACAAGAACTGAATGTAGCAGAGAGTCCCATGGGTTCCCTCTTGATTGTGCAGTTCTGATTCCAGGGTGGCCTCATGGTGACTTTGGACCTGGAATCTGGTCCCACTGCACGGGCAGCAGTGTGGACACTGGAAACCGCGTGGAGGAGTGTCATGTACAAGACAGACGTGGAGGTGGCGCCACAAGAAGTCTGAGCATGCAGGTGCTTTATACATCTGGCAGTGAGATGTGATGGCAGGTTCGTTCTTGGACAGTTCCAGAGTGTGACTCATCTCTCCTAAGAGGGACGCACGGCGGGGCCCAAGGATGCGTCGTGTTGGACGTGGCCGGAGCGAGGTCTAGGCAGCTAGTCTGCAATGTGTGCATAGGGGGCTCTTGCTTCTTTCCAGCACTGGGGCCATCCCACCTGAGCTTGCTGTTCCTTGTCCTGGGTCTTGGGCCTCAAGGTCTGTTTGGAGGGAGTGCTGGGTGACTCGAGGGGTGTCAGCAGGCAATCTCCTCCAAGGTCCCCAGGGTCGTCTGCAGGGGCACGTTCACAGTGTGACTGATGGTTTCAGAGTGGTTTGGCATTGTGTCACAAGTACTCTGGAAGGGAAGGGTTGGTGGGAGTTTATTATTCGCTCAGCAAAAATTCTTCATGATGCCACCAGCGGCCCAGCCTAGGCCCTGGGGAAGGTGCTCCCCACTTGTGGGCTGCTTCTGCTCCAGACATCTGATAGGCTAGTTTACCATCTTGGGGGCATGAGGCTGAATGGAATCCTTACCATTGCACACCTGGGTGCCCCCTATGGCAGTGAGAAGGCTCCCTGGTTTGATTGGCTGCTGGTTTGATCCCTCTTAGAGGTGCCCCTCATGTAACTGGACCTATATCTGAGTGGTCTGTAGCTTTGGGGCTGGATGGTCTGAGTCCTGACCTCTCTCTTGGGGGCCTCCCTCGGGGCTATGGTGCAGGAAGTGCAGCCCATGGCTAAGCCTGGGGCAGGGAGGACCCATGGCTGAGGCCAAGCAGAAACGGTAGAAGGCCTTAGAGCTCAGAGCCAGAGCTGGTCAGAGCTGCCCCAAGGACTTTTAGGGTTAAGCTGGACCCAGGGCAATGTAGTTGTGGGTCCCTAAGCGGGGAGGGGCTGAGCTGGCCGCACATGAATCTTCAGGGTGGTTCCCAGGCTGTGGTGGGTGGGAGGCTGGGAGGGATGGGAGCAGGGCACCGCTAGCCAGGAGGCTGTGCCAGGAATTTGGGGAAGATTTGATAGGGCCACAACTAGGGGAGGAGAAACAGGGTGGAGAAGAGGCTGTGACGCTGAGACCTTCTGAAGCAAGGAGGGCTCTGGGGGTGCAAAGGGAACCACTTGCTGAGCACTTACTATAAACTAGGTGCTGTGCTGACTGCTTTGCCGGCAGGATCTCACTGAACTCGGATGACAGCCCCCTGCAGTCTGATCTGATGCAGATGCTTAGACAGGTTTAATATGTAACTTGCCCCCAGGCACACAGCCAGGAAGCCGGAGCCTTAGGATCCAGCCAGGCCAGCTGATGCCAGACCGTGGGCCCCTTCCACACTGCCCTCCCCTTCCCCACTTCCGTTCCACAGAGGCTGCAGGGGACCGGAGAATCAAAGCAAGATTTGTAGACAGTGTGTGGAACAGAAATGGAATCCATATAGGGAGAAGGGGCTGGGATCCATTTTGGATTTGTTGATATTAAGTGGGTGGTGGTCACTCAATGGGCACCGTTTTCCAGGGCTGGAGGTGCTGATTTGGGGCCCAAGGCTGGATGGGGAAAGCTGGCGACACCTGCACCCATCAGCGAAGGCCTGAGCCCAGGAGTAGACTGAGTTTTGGAAGCAGAATGACCAACAGCCACAGAGGGGCTGCCCTCGGGCTATAGGAAAGAGAGGCAGAGTAGGGCAGTGGTTAGAAGTGCTTGGAGGGCAGCTCTGACACTCAGCAGCTGTGGGACTTTGGTCTCTGGGCCTCAACTGCCTCAAATACAAAGTGCCTGACAGTGCCTGACACGTACCAGGCATACAATAGTCAGTAGCTATAATGGGCACTATTGCTACTACCAACTTCATGGGGCTCCATACTCTATCCCTTTCGAATGGGATGGAGGGCCAATGATGCTTTGCTTGTACTTTGCCACCACTGGGGAATAAGGGAGTAGATGTACAGAGCCTGTCCAGTTCTCCCCCTGCTGTGAGATGGGGGAAGCAGCTGTCTGCCTGGGAGAAGCTGGATTGGGCCAGGCAGTTCCTATGTTTGGAAGCACCTCCTGGTGTCTGCTGCATCCGTACTGGCTTCTGGCATGACTCTCAGAGAGAGGCTCGAGGCTCAGCTGGAGTGTCCTTGGATTTGGGAACTGACAGCATGTCCCAAGCCATGGAAAGGTGTGCAGTGAGTCACATCTTTCCTGCCCGGCCCCAGCATCTGGTTTTGTACTGCCGGTACAAGCCAGAGCAGCAGAACAACTTCCAATCAGTGAGCTGCTCTTACCACATTCTCATCGTGGCTCCCTTCGTCCTCCTCTTTGCCAAGCAGGTCTAATAGCTTCTCTTTGATCAGCTGCAAGAAAAGCAGGAAGGGGTTGGTCAGGCCGGGAAGAGGGTGCAGAGGCAGAAGGGACCTCCCTCCATTGGGCCCCACTGGGGTGGCAGCTGCTTGGGCTGTGGCTGAACATACCGTAGCACAAGCCCAGCCTGGCAGCCAGCTCCAGGTGCCTGTCTGTCTCAACCCAGCCTTTTGGCTGAAATGGGATTTTGTTGCAGGAGATGGAGCTAGGAATAGGTAATGGAAGGCCCTGCTTCACAGGGTGAACTGCTGTCTTTGTGGCTGGCGAGTGTTAGTAAGTGGTGTGTGCTGGTATGCTGGCTCCCTGTCTGTCCTCAGGAGCAGCCTTGGGACCCCCTTTCTGTGGCTGGGGCTGGGGGACAAGATTATTATTCACTTGCTAGGCCTGACACTGCACACAATTCAGAAGACCAGGACATGCCTGAGTTCATAACATTTTACTCCTAGCAATAGAGGGTAGTTCTTAAATCTGTTACCTGGTGTGATTCAATTGCCATAACTGTGTACAGTTTTCCACAAAAGTCAATAAACAAAGCAGAATAAAATCTGGCCATGGGAACTGATGTGGTTTTGGGGTCACTGTGCTGAGACGCATGAGATTCTCCAGAGGAGCCTGGTTACTGGGGCACGACAGGTCCCTACTGTGGTTCCGAGCAGCCTTTGGTCATGAACAGCCCCCTCCGAGAGACAGAACATGGTTCTGCAGGCTCCCGTCTACTGCTCCTGTTTGGGGGACTTCATAGGTCCAGGCATTCTTTGGAAGTTCTGGAGCCATTGCCATTTTCAGGGGCACACATTGGAGGTGAAGTGCATTGCCCATCTCACAGCCAGGGGGATGGAGGCCTCCAAGGGAACACCCGTCAAAACAGAGCCTGGGATAGTGGCATCCACAGGCTCGCTGTCAGAGAGAGATGCAGGTGAGAAGGCTGACCCCAGCTCTGGGAACCCTCATTGTCAGAGAAAGCTTTCAGAGGCCTCGTTCCAGCTGCCTCTTGAGGGAGACATTTCCCCAGACTGTCAGCAGCCGGGGCGGCTGGCGTGCCCTGCTGTCTTCTCGCTGAGGATTGGTGAGGACTGCTGGGAAGTGCCCCTTCCCTAAGACTGGCTGGGCCACAGAGGACATGACTCAGGTGATGGGCCACCTAGAGGGCAGGTGTGTGTGGGTGGAGGGAGTGTGTGTGCAGGTGTGGACATGCTCATGGATGAAGCCACCACCTCCAGCCCAGCTGCAGGAGGGGCTTGGAGCTGGCCTCAGCACAGTCTGGCCCCCTTCCCCTCATCCCTCCCCATCCTTCCCTGCCAGTGTAGATGGCCCAGTGCTGTTCCAGCTCCCAGAGGATAGGCCTGTGTTTCTCTTACATCCACCGCCCCCCAAAAACCTCCCATCCCCTTGCCCCACAGAGCCTGGGCTTCAGTGATCGACTCTATTGGTGGACAGGAGGGGAAGCAGGCTCTGCATGGAGAGAGGCACCGCCTTCCCTCTACTATGATTCTGAACCTGGGGCACGATGAGGGCACCAGCATGCGGTCATTTCCCTGTGGGGAATCCCAAATCTTACCTCATAAATATAATCAAAGAGCTCTAGTATTGTAAGGATACTAGCACCAATGAACAATCCCATCTGACCACCAATATCACCTGGAGAGAGAGGGAAAAGACCAAAGCTTTGCTTTTATGCAGCTTCCAGGAAGGGTGAACAGACTGAGATGCAACCCAGACCTTCTGAATGGCGCCCCCTCCATGGGGAGCCTGGGCCTTGTTGTGGGAGGTCCAGGCCTTTGGCAGTTCCTTCCCTCACGGCACAGCTCTGAGAGCTACCATTTTTCAGCATTCAGTGGGGTCGGGGACTAAGCTGATGGCTTATTGGAAGGGCTTAGACTAGATCTCATGACCCACAGGGCTAACGGGGTTGTTTGGTTACACTCAAAACCACACCGATTGGGTCCTGTTTTGACTCTGGGCTGGGAGTAGGGAGAATAGAGAGCTAGGATGTGTGTGGACTGGTGACAGGTGCCCTGGGTGGGAGTCTCGGGAGGAGATGCTCCCCTAACCCAATCACGGCATGGGCTTCAGGGCCACCTTAGGGCACCTCCCACCCTTGGGATAAGGCCATAGGTGTCTCCTCTCTCCCCCATCCAAAAGTTAGTGTGCAATTTTGACTCTTTCTAGAGCTGAGGTTCTTACTCTGGGGTTTATAGGCCCCCATTATTCAAAGTTTTCTGGATTTGTCTTCAGATACCCCTGCATCCAACTCTCCTGGAAGAATTGTAATCAGTGTTGCTGCCTGGATACACCTAGGCCAATAGAATCAGAGCCTCTGCGGTTGGGGTCTGGATGTCGGGATTTTTAAGTTCCCGCTGGGGGTAAGGTGCATTCTCGGGCCCACCAGAGTTTGAGAACCACTCTCCTGGGAGGACTTCAGATGGCTGGAGACTCTCCTGAAATTGAATGCAAAATGTATGTGTGCCTGGGCATTTGTAGCAGGAGAGTCCATAGCTATTATCAGTTTTTAACAGGGGTTCTGAGTCCTCAAAAGCTTAAGATGCTTTGCTGCAGAGGCAGTGTGGCAGAGCCGAGGGCTCTGAGGCTCTGAGTCCAGAGAGTGGCCACCAGCTGGTTGTGTGGCTTTCATAAGCCCTGACCTTCTCAGGAGCTTTGTCTCCAAAGGATATTTGGTGGTGGTGGCAGGATGGAGGGGGTTGGATGAGATGAACTATGAAGTTCTTTCCAGCCCTAATCTCTAAGACTCTCAGTCTCTGGAAAGAGGTTTGGGAATTGGGTTTGGGGGGCACAGTTGGGGGTGGCAGGACAGTTCTCTTGGAGATGCCAGCTTGACCTCTTGGCCTGAGAACTCTCTGGTAGGCAGATCTGCCCCACTCCTTCTCAGCTTATGGCTGGGTGGGGTCCAGCACCCACATGCCCGGGTGAACAACAGAGATGGTGGGGAGAAGGCTCTTCCCAGTGGAACGCGGTGCTGGCCTCAAACTGGCTCTCCCTCATTCCTTTCCCATCACCGCTCCCTCTCATGTCTTTAATGGAGGCTTCTTGGGGACTGTGTTCTAATGGATATGTATGTCGGGGGAGGTGTGTGATGTACGTGTGCAGTGTGAGTCTGTAGTGGTATAGTGTGGGGTATATGCCAGGGTCTGGGGTGTGTGCACGTATTTGTATAAAAGCAGGCAGGAGGTCTGGCTGTCTATGGTTTTATGTAGGTGGCTCTCCCTGTCTAGGCACCCTGAGTGTGTCTAAGTGTGTGTGAGTGTGGGTCTGTGGAGGTGAGCAGAGTGTGTCGAGCGTGTGTAGTGTGGGTGTGCTTGTGTGTGTATATGGGGGTGTGTGGGGGCTGTGTGCATGGATGTGTCTCTAGCTGTGTGATTGGAACGTGGGGCTGTAGAGGTGTGCATTTGTGTGTGTGGTCCTGGACCACCGTGGGTGCATGAACCTGTAGGTTTGGTGCATGTGCGTGCAGACTGGGGTGGGGTATGCTGTGGGTAGTGTGTGTAGCGTGCACGTGCATGGACACCAGGAGGTGAGAAAGGGCCGTGCGGTGCTGAGAGAAGGGCCTGATGGGACCTGATGGCTGAGGGTTTGCAAGCGGCACACGCTCTCATCACAGGAGGTCCAGATGGCAGCATGAGCTCCTCAGCCGGCTATTCTGGATGGGAACACGATCGATGCTGAACAAACTCATCCTCATATCTGACGCAGACATGACAAATTCAGAGCTCAGGCCCTTCTTGCTCTGTATGTCTCTCTCTCTCTCTCTCTCTCTGTGAAAGAGAGGGATCTGTGTGAGAGAGAGAGAGAGAGAAAGAAAGAGACGCACATAGAGCAGAGAGACAGAGAAAGACTGTGAGCCTATGCTGGGGGAGGGCAGGGGGTAGGAAGAGGCCTGTCCTGGGTCCTCTTTATGGAAATAAAGGGCAAGGCCAGCATAGGGGTGAGTGAGGGGTCTATGTCTCTGCTGGGGCCAAGGGAATGAGTCTCTTGGCTCAGTACCTTTGGCCACAATGACTTCTGAGGCTGAGTGACAGCCACTTTAACCCAGCTGGGACCGAGCTATGGTGGGGAGTCCCCAGCCTCCTGGAGAAAGTGTAGAAATGCTTAGCCAGCCCCTGGACACACCAGCTGAGCCCTGGGTCCCTGGCATAGTGATTGTCCAGGTGCCAGAAACTACTATTTATGGACCTTTTCTGGGCTAGGGGGTTATCATGTTTAACCATCACAACAAGCTCATAAAGTGGGTTTTATTAAACCCATCTTGCAGATGAAGAACCTGAGGTTCAGCAAGGTAAAGCTACTTGCCCATATTCTCATAGCTGGTGTGAGAAGCCAGGTAGGAGGCACCTGCCCCTTCCAAAATGCTAACGTCACCTGGTTCAGCTCAGGGAGACAACAGCTATTTCTCTTTCTGGTTTACAGGCATCAGATCCTTTCTTGAGAGTGAGTGGGAGCTGAGAGAAGGGCTCTAGAGTCAAGTCCTTTAACTGTGCACTCTCAGGGGTCTTGTGAGTTTTGGGTTGGGCTGGGTTAGGATGGAAATTAGCTGCCTGTATCCATCAGATGCCACTGGAGCCGGGGAGCTCATGCGAACTTTTGTGGGGTGGCAGCAGGTTTGTAGATACCTGGGGAGAGTGGCCCTTCATTTGTGTTTGACAAATGACTCTCAGTCCAGGGGGCAACACCTGGCCTTCTGGATGCAGCAATGTTGCTTTTGGGGTGAAGTTCCATCAGGGCCCTCACCTCCCAGGTCCCACCTTTGACCACCCACAGTTCAGCCTTCCCTCCTTCTCTCCTTCTGATACCTCTGCCCCCTCTCCATGGCCCCAGGATCCTGACTGCAAGCTGGGGCAGAAGACCATGAATTCCAAGAGTGCAGGGTTAGAAAGGCCCAGAGAGACCTTTAGGCTGACCGTCCTCATTGCATAGATGGGGAAAATGAAGCCAAGATTGGGGAATAAATTGGGCCTGAAATTCCACCCCACTGCTGGGGTTCTTTCCATTCTGGGAGAGGAGCAGTGCAAGGAAACAGGGAGTAATTATTAGTAAATCAAAAGGTTAGACTCCTCCGAGGCTATGTGTCTGTCTGCTTGCCTCCCATCCACCTGTGCATCCTCCCTCCCTCCCACCCTCTATGAGATGTGGAAATTTGTGCAATAGACACTGACTTACCAAGTAAGGCAGCAACTTCATACGCCTTCTTCTGTTCAATTGTCTCATAATTGAGAGCTTCAAAAAATATATCCAGAACAAGGATGTTCTCTCTGCAGAGAGAATAGTCAGTACCATACATGGTTAGAGCTATCAGCATTCACAGGGAGCATCTAATACAGCTTTCCCATGGAAAGATGGAGAAAAGGAGGCCCAGGAAGTGAGGCAGCTTGCCCAAAGTTAGAGCTGGTTAGTGGCAGAGCTGCGGCTTCAAGCCAAGAAGCCTGACTCCCAGCCCGGGTCTGGAGGCCTACATCAGTTGCCTCCTTTTGTTGCTTATTTCTGTCTCCCTGCTTTCTCTTTGCACCCTATGCAGGAGTCCTGCCTGGCTTCCAGGCCTCTGCGCCTCCAAAGGGCCTGCCTCGTCCTCAACATGAAGGTGAGTTTCATTAATCTTCTGACAAGGCTTGTCTTGGCTAGGGTGCCTGCTCCAGCTGACCTCATGGGCAGCCCCTGCCCACTCCTGAGGCCCCCTAAATTCCCACTGGTATTTATAACAAGCTCCTCCTGTTGGGAGGCCCTGCTCTGGCATTATCAAGTCAATTGCCAGAAGTCAAAGAAAGTTTGTAGGGAGCAAACTTACATCTGGCTGGGGGGTGTTCTGGCAGAAGCACCGCGGCTTGCTTTGCTCCTTTGGGCAGGTGTGTGAGTGAGACACATCTCGGCAGTAAAAGTCGTTACTGCCTGCAGACTGTCTGCCAAGCAGCAGGGACTGGCATCCCCTACAATTCCTGTCTCCTCCAATGTGCCCACAATTCCTCCAGTGCCCCTTGTTCTCAACCCACTGAGCAGAAGCTGGCCCAGGATGGGGTCTGGGGACAGTGTTGGCAAGAAGGAGGGGCTGGCGAAGAGAGGAGCAGATTCTTCTTTCTGTGAGCAGGGCTCGCAGGGCAGCTGTTCAAAGTATCACCTTCTCTTGCTTGGCTTGCCACAGCTGTTTCCTAACAGTTCCCTTCTTCCCATCTGCCTTTCCCCCGTCTTCTCTATCGCCGCCTGAAGGATCTTTCTAAAACTGCTAACTTGATTCAAATTAAATAAAATTACAGTTCCACTCCCCAGTCACAGGCTGCATTTCAAATGCTCGTTGGCCACATGTGGCTAGCAGCTACCCCGCTGGGCATTGCGGACACAGAACATTTCCATCATCACACAGCATTCGTCCTATTGGGGAGCAGTGGGCAAAAATGCAAATTTGAGTCTGTCACTCACCTCTGAAAGCTCTTCAGGGGATCCCTAGTCTGTTAGGATAAAGCCCACCCCCTGCACCCACTCGGCTCAGCCTACAAGACCCTCTTGCTCTGACATATCCATGTTCCCCTTTGAAGTTTTCTCTTCTGCCCTGTGCTGATGGTCTCTGCTGAGCTTCTGCCTAGGACACCCACTTCTCCCATGCTTCCATTCATTTATTCTGTTAAAACACATTTTTTTGAGTACCAACTCTGTGCCATATGCTCCACTAGAACTTGGCAGACAACAGAGAACAAAAAAGATAGTTTCCTGCCCTCAGGGGCTTTCAGTCTAGTGGGGCAGACAGGTAACAAACAAGGAAACACAACATGAATATGTAATTACACACTGTGGTGTTATAAAGGAAAACACCAGAGGACTTTGAGAGAAAAATAACAGGAGAGCACCTCATCTAGATGCCTGGGATAACCTCAATTTTATTTTTATTTTTATTTTTTATTTGTTTTAGAGACAGGGTCTAACTACGTTACCCAGGCTGAGCTTGAACTCCTGGCCTGAAGCAATCCTCCTGCCTTGGCCTCCCAAAGCATTGGGATTACAGGCATGAGCCACCATGTCTGGCTGGAGATGACATTTAAATGGAGACCTGCTTAAGGAGGAACCAGTTAGGTGGAGGCTGGGAGGAAAAGAATTCTAGGCAGAGGGAATAGAACGTGCAAGGTCTGCCTGGAAAACTATACATCCTTTAAAAAAATCTCTGGGCCAGGCGCGGTGGCTCACACCTGTAATCCCAGCACTTTAGGAGGCCGAGGTGGGTGGATCATGAGGTCAGGAGATCGAGACCATTCTGGCTAACACACGGTGAAACCCTGTCTCTACTAAAAATACAAAAAAATTAGCTGGGCATGGTGGCGGGCGCCTGTAGTTCCAGCTGCTCGTGAAGCTGAGGCAGGAGAATGGTTTGAACCCAGGAGATGGACCTTGCAGTGAGCCGAGATCATGCCACTGCACTCCAGCCTGGGCAACAGGGCGAGGCTCCATCTCAAAAAAAAAAAAAAGAAAAAAAAATTCTCTGAAGCTTTCCCTGATGTCACCTCATTGCAAGCTGCAGCTAACCCATCATTCTCTCCTTCCCTATGCATCCCCCTATGATAGCCAAAGTCACCCTATATACCATTCAGTGTGTGCTTGTCTCTCCATAAGACTGCAAGCTCCTTAAGGGCAGGGGCTGTGTCTTACTCATCTTTGTCTTTGTATTCTGAACATGGAGCGCAGAGCGTGACACACAGAGGGTGTTCAACTAATGTTTGCTAACTTGAACCAAATGCTTATCTTTGCTTTCCTCCTTGATTGCCTCCAATTTCCTCCTTATCCAGTTCCCCCTTCCCCCTGCCTACCATGCCCACTAAACTTACGAGATATATTTTTCTGATTTGTTAAATTTCTTCTCAAGGTACTTGGCTGATGTCTTGCTGGGGATCTTCACCATGGAGAGCTCTTTGTTGTAGCGGGTTAGGTTGCAGGGTGTCCTGCAGAGACAGTAATTGCTGTCCTTTTCCGCCAACAGACCTGGAGGGGAGAGTGAGGTGGGGCTTAGTCAGGTGTGGGCACTGGGATTTCTAAGGGTCCAGAGTAGCTGGATTGTAGCAGCTGAGAAATGAGCTGGGAAGGGGCACTGGTCTGGGGAAAGTGAGGGGCAGGGATTGTGGAGAGAGGGGAACTGGGCTTTTGCTGTAGGTTGATCTTGTTTTCCTTCTGCTTCTTTTAACTGTCATGTCACTCTTTAAAAATTGTTGAAATGGGACCACTTTTGCAGAGGTCTCCAAGAGAGTCCTGGTGTCCTCAGCTTCTCATGGCTTTCTTCCCTGCTCCCAGCCTCAGTATTCTCATCCACAGAGAATGATCCACCATCAAAGCAAATGTAGGAGACCATTTTATCTGAAACCCAGGGCTCTGTGCTCTTCCTGCTGGGGCTCCCTCATAGCCAGTGCCCCACCTTCTCTGCCTGGTGGGTTAGGATGCAGGCAAAGTTCCTTCATTTCTTTCCCTGGAGGCAACTCCCTGCATCTGGAACCCTTCCTGCCCTCTCCTCTCTTCTTCCAATTAGACATAAAGTTTAAGGCATCATTTCCCTCTGACAAAGACTTTCTCCCTGATCAAACTTAGCCAGGCTCTTCAGAACCCTGTTCTCAACTAGGCCTTGACCTTGGCCCCCATCCATGCTGGGCGGGCCTAGCCCAGTTTTAGCAAGAATCCTGCTAAAGTCAGTTTAGAGAGAATCCCCCACCCTTGATATCTGATCACCCTGGCCTGCCTTTGCAGATTTCCCCCTAACTTTGATGTTTTCTCTGGGTAATTTTCCATCTACTGAGTCCTCGCTCTGCTTGATGGCTATGAATCTCCAGCTGTCTTGGCTGAATTCTCAGTTGAGTCCCATCTGTTTCCCCTGTTGTGATACTCTTGACACCTGTTGCAATTGCCCTGAATAAAGACTTCCTTACCATTTTAACTAGTGTCAGAGTGATTTTTTCTTTAACACCTCCCTCCCTTTTTCCTCTAGCCACCTCAGTGTTTCCAGCTACCCTGGGTTTTGCTGAGTCTTTGCACACATCAGAAGTCACTCCCTCTCCTCTCAGCCTGCCCTCCCTCTCTAGTCCTCCTGGAGGTATCTGGACCTGAGGCCAGCACTGCCTCACTTAGCTCCAGCAAGTGCAGATGCTGAACGAACTTGAGGGCACATTGTTTAAAAAGTCTGCTTGTCTTGATTATAAGCCATTTCCTGGGTCCAGAGAGAGGCAAGCATGCAGAGTGGGCCTAGCTTTGGGGCTGCAGCTTGTTTGTGCACTCTCCCTCCCTCCTAGTTTTCCAGCTGGGGAACCAGCAGAGGTCTTCTAACTGGCAGACCCCCCGCAGGCCCCTCAGGCAGGAGGAAGAAGTGTGCTTTGTGTTTTCCATTTGCATGCATGGAATGCAAACCTGACTTTACCTCTCCAGCCCTCCTCCACCTCCCCTAGGCTCAATGGAGCAGAAGAAAGATGGTACTTCAGAATCACCTTGGCCTCCCCATGTAGACACCATCAGAGTGTGTGAGGGGAGGTATTGCCAAGCTCCTCTGATGCCTACCTGGCTGCCCACTGTCTATCCTCTCTCCACCTCTGTCCTCTCCCCTGCATTCCTTAGCACCCTCTGTTTCCCCTGAAACCCACTCCTTCTCCATCTCCACCTTCCATATCTCTTTCTCTCCCCAGTCCCATTTCCAGCCCTCATCCTCTTGCACCAGTTCCCTTCCCAACCTTCTCTTCTTCCTCCTCTCCATCTCCCTCTCCCATCCCTGCAGCAACTCCACCCGACCAGCCCCTTTCTTCTCATCCTCTCTCCATTCCTTCTTCCACTTGATCTTTCCCCAAACCCAGATGATTTCCATGATCTCAGTCTCAGGCCCCCGGCCCCCATGATTCCATCTGTCCCCTGAGTACTGACCTAGGGCAGGCTCTGCACACTCCTTGTGCTGCTCAGGGGTACAAAAAGGGGCATCCCCTGCAAAGAAGAAACACCAGACAGAGTTACTCAGGCAGGAACATTCATGTCAGCAACACCTCCTCTGCTTTGGGCTTAGGGAAAGGGGTGCCTCCTGGCAGTTGAAGGGGCAGCGGCCTGCCAGTGGGCAGTTCGAAGGGAGCCTTGGATCACAGTGCACCCCAGAGCTGGAAGGCTGGCTTCTGATCTGCTATGTAAGCTTGGGCAGGCTGTTCACCTCGTTGAGCAGGAGACAGTAGGATCTGTATGGCTAACTTCTCCCATGTTTCTGTGTAGGTCCAGCCAGCTCCCGTGGGTGACAGGTGGGCTCACCTTGAGGATTGAGACTAGGGAGGTGGTGGTAAGCACCTTGTAAGCCTGGCTATACATCATCTTCTTTAACCCATACAGGCACCCTTTGAAGTCAGAAGTACTGTGTCTGTTTTACCCATGATAATTTTGAGGCTTAAGCATCCTGCCTTCCCAGGACACCAAGGCTAGTAGTGATGGAAGTGGGCTTTGAACAGAGGTCAGTCTGATCCAGAGCCTGGAGCTCTTCTCAGCACAACCACACTGCTGTATGGGAACAAGGGTTGTTTTGTGTTTCTTCATTGCTTTGTTCATAATTCCACATTAGTAACTGAGATGTCAGTATTAGTGTCATGGGTGTGATTGACACCTCTACTGCTTGCCTTTGGCTAAGGGTTGGTGGGGAAAACCTCACTGGCTGGTGGCCTAGTCTGAGCATCAGGTGAGTAATATTCCCCAGTACTGGATTCTCCTTGCTGGGATCTCTTTGTAGAAACCCAGGATCTTTTCTTTTCCTTTACCAAGCTCTAAAGTTAAAGTCCACCATGTTTTTTTCCTTATCATTTTCCCCAAATCCTTTTTCGGAGCCGAAGAGTCAATATGCTTTCTCCTTTCCAAAAACAACAGATTAAATGACATGTTTCCCTGTTTGCTCTGTTTTCTAGGAAGCTCAGAGGCCATTTTATTATTATTCGTATTTAAAACATACAAATTTATTATTATGTTACAGTTTAGCAGGTCAGAAGTCAGATATAGGTCTCATTGGTCCAGAATCAAGGTGTTGGGTGGGAGGCCAATGTTCTTTTTGAAGGCTGTAGGGGAGAATTCATTTCCTCGCCTTTCCCAGCTTCCAGAGGTCACCCCCACATTCACTGGCAACCCACATGCATCGACTACCCACATTCTTCCATCTTCAAAGTGAACAAGTTTGCATCTCCCTGACCCTTCTTTCATAGTCATATCTCCCTCTGACCCTGGCTGGAAAAGGGGGGTTGATTTTGAGGACTCTGATTAGATTTGGGCCCACCTTTCAGCACAGATTATCACAGAAAACAATTGGTAATGAACCAAATGTCCAGTATAAGGATTTAGTTAAGTAAAATTGAATAAAGTATGATATAACCATGAAATAACAGCTACTAAATATAATAACAACATTCCCGGCACATAGTAGGTCTTTAGTCAGCATGACTTTTGGTTCCCTCTTTCAATATGCTAAATAACAACCACTGACTTTTATAGTTTACAAAATATTTTTATATCCTAGCCTAATTTTCACCTTATAACAGCTGCTGATTGTGTTTTAAAGTTCATAAACGTGAGAACAGAGAGGTTTAGTAACCAGGTCATACAGTAAATGAGTGGAAGAGCCTGAATTAGAAACCAAGGCCCCACTCATGTGTCCTTGCTGCAACACTGCGCTCTTCCTCCCCAGATCAGCTTTCCACTCTGCACTTCAGCCTCTGATAAGCCAACTGTGTGAGATGGCCACATGCATTGTTAGTCTGACAACAGAGGTGTCATTATGTGCACATTTATTTGCTGGCCAATAGACTTTTGCCTCATTTGAAGGAGTGCTAGACATTTGGACACAAAAAGTGAAACATCTGGATGAAAGAAACATCTGGATGCTCAAACATGTACTACACGAGCTGCAAGAATTGCAAGCATCCAGTTATCTGGAAGCTAAACTCTCAGAGGTAAGAACAGCAGACAACTGGCAAACATTGAACACTGGGATGAACATTCCCCAAACACTGGATGCTTCTGGATACCAGGATGCTGCCTTGGTTGCTGGACCAGAAGTTTCCACCTGCCCTCTTAATAGGCACCAAATAACAGAGTCTTCCCAGAACATCATCCTTTTGGATCCCAGCGAAGTGGGTGAAGTGTTTCCCATTAGGATGAGAAATGCAAGGTGGGTCCCAGGCAGATCCCAGGGCCCTGTGGCCACCCTGCCCTGGCACTGACCTGGCATGTGAACCATGCGGCAGTTGCAGTTTTCCACAATGTAGCGGGTCTCACAGTCAATCCTACAGGCGGTGATGCTGTAAACAGGAAAAAAGTCGAGGCCCATCTCTGAGGATCGGCACTCACCCCACGGTGGGGGCAGGTATGTGAGCTGCAAGACAGGAAGGAGGGGGCGGCAGTCAGCCTCAACAGACTCAGTAACTCATTCATTTACTTACTCAATCAACAAACAATTATTGAGCATTTAAATACCATTAACTTTATAGACCTTCAACATCTGGCTCCAATACTAGTTTTCTTACCTTACTTTAATTTTTTCTTTTTTCTTAGAGACAAAGTTTCACTATGTTGCCCAGGCTGGTTTTGAACTCCTGGCTCAAGCGATCCTCCTGTCTCGGCCTCTCTAGTAGCTGGGACTACAGGTGGGCACCATCAAGCCCCACCCTAACTTATCTTTTATAATCTTCCCATAAATGCGGTTCTCCTCAGAGTCTCTTACCCCCACCATGTCTTCCCACTTCCACATTTTGCCATCTTGCATCTCTTGGAAAGACCCAACTAAATTCCACCCTCTTGGTTTGAGACATTGGAATCCCAGACCTAGACCTGGAGGACGAAACCCAGAGGAAGATTCAGAATGAAATGGCTCTAGGCACTATCCTTCTTATTTATAGTCCTGGGCCTGGACTAGAGAGACTTTCCAAGTCATGCTGTAGATGGCACCTTTTCCCTTTGGAGAAAATTACATTCCTATTTTCAGAGGTCCAGTGATCATAAATGCTCTCATAGCATCTATGGTACTTGCCTAGTGGGAAGGGTGAAGGATGAGGGAACTAATGGTTGTTGAGCATTTTCTAGGTGTTGAGTCCTTTATATCCATTTTTCAAGATTAAAGAATAAAAACACAATACAATGTACAAATATTAAGTGCACTATTCAATATATTCTAACAAAGGTGTTTGCCCATGTAACCAGCACACCAACCAAGATAGAGGACATTTTAAAACACCCTAGAAAGTTCGTTTCTGTCCCTGTCCAATCAGTCCCCAACCTACCTGGGTAATCACGGTTATGAATTCTCTCACCATAGGTTGGCTTTGCCTGTTCTCAAACTTCATATAAATGAAAGCTTACACTATGTGCTCTTTTGCATCTAGCTTCTTTCACTCAACATAGTGTCTCTGAGGTTCATCTACATGGTTGTTTGCACCAGGAGTTCTTTCCTTTTAATTACTGAATAGTTTTCCAGCATTATGTATGACTACACTAAAATTTGCTTATCCACTCACTTGATGATGGGCATTTGGATGGTTTCCAGTTTTTGGTAATCATGAAAAAACTCCTATGAATATTTATACATAAGTCATTTTGTGGACATATGTTTTAATTTCTCTTGAGTAAATGGCTAGCAGTGGAACAGCTGGTTTGTAAGATAGGTATAGGCACAACTTTATAAGAAACTGCCCAACTGTTATCCAAAGTGGTTCTTCTATTTTATATTTCCACCAGTAGTGTCTGAGAATTCTCATTACTCTACATCCATGCCAAATCTGGACTTCGTCCACCTTTTTGATTTTAGCCATTTTTGTAGGTGTATGGTTGCATCTCATTTGTATTTGTGGTTCCCTGACGGATGATTTTGAGCACAATTTTATGTGTTTGTTGGTCATTCATATATAATCTTTTGTGAAATGTCTGAGTTTTTTGTCCATTAAAAATTATTATTTTTTAACTTTTACTTTTGGGTTGTAAGAGTTGTTCATATATTCTGGATTCAAGTCCTTTGTCAGACACATGTATTGTAAATATTTTGTCCATACCACCTATAGTCTGTGGCTTACCTTTTCATTTTCTTAATGGTATCTATTTTTTAAAATCAACTTCAGAAGATATAATTTATATACAATAAAATGCATCCATTTTAATGTTCAATTTAATAAATCTTTAGAAGTGTATACACCCTTGTAACAACTACCCTAATCAGATATAGAACATTTCCATGAATCCCCAGAATTTCCTATTTGCAGTCACTGCCTCCCTGCCAACCCTCAGGCAACCCCCAATATGCTTTCTGTTGTTATAAACTAGATTTGCCTGTGTTAGTGTTGTATATAAATAGAATCAGACAGTATGCATTCTTTTGTGTTTGGCTTCTTTCTCTCAGCGTAATGTTTTTGAGATTCATTCATGCTTTTGCACGTATCAGTAGTTCATTCTCTTTTATTGCCGAGTTTTACTTCTTCCTTTCTAGTCTTTATTATTATTTTTATTTCTTTTTCTTACCTTGCTGTATTAGCTAGAAACTCCAGTATCATGTTGGAATAAAACTGGAGAGAGAGGATATCTTCCCTTTTTCCATCTTAGGAAGGAGGGTTCATTATTACACCATAATATATTAGGAATATATTTTTCTTAGATGTGCTTGTCACATTGAGAAAGTTCTGTCTTATTTCTCATTTGCTGAGAGTTTTTATCATCAGTGATATATATTTTGGCAAATATACTTTCTACTTCTATTGAGATGATCACATGATTTTTCTCCTTCATTCTATTAACACAGTGAATGGTATTGATTGATCTGAAGAAGCTGAACCCAACTTACACTCCTGGGATAAACTCCACTTAGTCATAATTTATTATCCGCCTTATATGTTGCTCTATTCAATTTGCTAATATCTTGTGGAGGTTTTTTGCATCTATGTTTATGAGGCATATTGTATTTAATTTACTTTTCTTATAACCTCCTTGTCAAGTTTGGGTATTGGGAGTGTGCTGACCTCATAAAATTAGTTATCAAGTGTTTCCTCTTTCTCAATTTTTTGAATTTGTACGGACTTGGTACCATTTCTAACTTAAATGTTTGATAGAATTTGCCAGTGAAGCCATCTGGACCTGGTGATTGTGTGTATGCGTGTGAAGATTTTTAATTATGAATTCAACTCTTTTAATAGATACAGAGACATTCAGATTTTCTATTTTTGTTCTTGTGCTAGTTTTGGTAAGTTGTGTTTTTTCCCCAAGGAATTTGTTCATTTCATCTAGATTTTTGAATTTGTGGGCATAAAGTTGTATGTAATATTCTTATCATTTTTTAATGTCTGTAGGATTTACAGTTATGTCTTTTCATGTCTGATTACTGGTAATTTGTATTCTATTTTTCCTTATTGTTAATAATTTCTAATTTCATTATGTTTTGGTCAGAAAACATCCTCCCCATGGTTTCATTTCTTAAACATTTATTGAGATGTTTTTATGATACTGGACAAGAAAAATAAATCAATGTTCGATTTTGTTGAATGTTCCACGTGCACCTGAAAAGTATATGCATTCTGTAACTGTTGGCGTACTGTTTTACAAAAGGCAATTAGGTTTAGTTGTTTAATATTGTTGCTCGGATCTTCTATATCTTTACTAATTTTTTCATCTGCTTACTAATCAGTTATGAGAGAGGAGTATCAAAACATCTAACTATGACTATGGACTTGTCTGTTTCTCCCTTTAGTTTTCTCAATTTTTGCTTTGGGTATTTCTGAAACTTATTAGGCATATACATATTTAGGATTGCTACATCTTCTGGATGACTTGACCCTGTCATCATTGTGAATAATCATCTCATACAATGTCCTTGTTTTGAAGTTTACTTTGCATGATAACAGACATGGCAGCTTTATTCTCCTACTATTTATCTTTTTCCATCTACTATTTTGTTTTCATCCTTCTACTTTTAACTGTCAGAATCTTTATATATTTAAGGTACATCTCTTTTTGAATGTGTTTTTAAGGTACATCTATTTGAGTGTTGTATCTTATCCTGTCTGACAACCTCTCTGCCTTTTAATTGGAAGGTTTGATCTATTTACACTTAATGCAATTTTTGATATAGTTCGGTTGAAGTTATCATGTTGTTCTTTGTTTCCTATTTGTACCGATTTCTAGTTCTCCTTTTGTTCTCTCTCTTCTGACTCTTTTTGGGTTAATTGAATATTGTTTTAGTAGTTCATTCTGTTTTCTCCATTGAGTTTCAATTTATAGCTCTGTATTATTATTCTTAGTTGTTGCTCCAGGATTTACAATATTCATACTTAACATCACAATATACCTTGAATTAATATTATGCCAGTTCACATATAATTCTATTTATATTGCTTCTGTGTCATATATTTTACTTCTACATCTGTTATAAGCACTATAATACACTGTTTTTTTTTTTTTTTTTTTTTTTTTTGAGACAAAGTCTCACTCTCTTACCCAGGCTGGAGTGCAGTGGTGCGATCTCTGCTCTCTGCAATCTCTGTCTCCTGGGTTTAAGCAATTCTCCAGCCTCAGCCTCCTAAGTAGCTGGGACTACAGGGATGCACCACCATGCCCAGCTAATTTTTGTATTTTTAGTAGAGCCAGACTTTCACCATGTTGGCCAGGCTTGTCTCAAACTCCTGACCTCAAATGACCTACCTGCCTCAGCCTCCCAGGTGCTGGGATTAGAGGCATGAGCCACTGTGACTGGTCACACTGTTAATATTATTTTTGCCTTAAGCAGCCAGTTGACTTTTAAGGAAGAAAGAAAGTTACGTTTTATATTTATCCACATATATACCATTTTCATTGTTCATCATGCTTCTTACAGATCTGAATTTTCCATTTGATATCATTTCCCATCATGCTGAAGAATCTCTTTTAACTTTTTTTTTTTAGAATGGGTTTACTTATGGCAAAATTTCTCAGTTTTCATTTAAATATACAATGTTGGGCTGAGCATGGTGGCTCATGCCTGTAATCCCAACACTTTGGGAGGCAAGGCCGAAGGATTCCTTAAGGTGAGGAGTTCAAGACCAGCCTAGGCAACATAGTGATACCGATGGCAGTGGCTGCTTACATTATGCCGGCTGCAGCTGTGCAGCTGTGTAGCTGGGGCTGCACACTCCGTAGAGCCAGTGGGAACCCTGACCCTTCTGAGTTAAGACTGGAGCTCCCCATGCCACTGCACCCACAGCTGCAGACCCAGGCCTCCTGTAGCTCCTGGGCGGGGCTACAGCCGCCCAAACTGCAGCTGTGTATCTGAGCCTCCCTGTGCTCTTCTGGGAGCTGGCAACAGGCAGGATCTGCCTTCCTGGGGGTGCAGCTGCAACTGCGGCACCCACGGCTGCAGACCTGGGCCTCTCACTCCAGCAAGCAGGCAGGAGCAGGGGACAAGTGGGAGCCCTGCCCCTTCCAAGTTGGCAGGTGGGAGCTCCCAGGTACAGCTGCAGCTGCCCTCCCAGGTGCAGGATCTGGGCATCTCTGCAGCCTGCACCCTCAGTGGCCCCAGAAGGGACCACCCCAACCCATCCCTGCAGGCTGGTGGGTGACTCCTCCCACTGCCTGGCCTCTCTATGCTCTTGGAGCCTCCTCTGAACTTGGAGCAGGGTTGGGGCCATGAATGACAGCAGGAGGCAGATTGATTCCTGGCAGGAAGGGGATGGGTCCCCAGTAAGGCCCCACCTTCAGACCAGAGAAGGCCTGAAGGCTGTGGGAGGGACTGCCAGTCTTGCTCACTGGAGTTGGGACTCAGGGTGCCCCTTCCAGGCCCACCCATGGGTGCCCATGCATGAATCGGCACACACTTCCTCCCCTCTGAGGTCCATAAAAGCCCTGGGCTCAGCCAGAGCAGAACAGAGAATGGCCAGAGGACCAAGAGGTCAGAGAGACAAGGGGACAGGACGACCAGCTGCAGAGAGGAGTACTCTCTCTGCTGATAGCGGAGACGATGAGATGATCAGCTGCAGAGAGGTGTACCCTCTCCACTGAGAGCTGCAGAGATGGCCTGCCAGCAGAGAGGAGCTACCCTCCAGGGCCTCCTCGCTGCTGAGAGCTGAGCACTCGATGGGGTGAGCTGCCTGCAGAGAGGAGCTACCCACTTCTCTGAGCTCTTCTAACACTAAATAAAACTCCTCTCCTTCTCCTCCTTCTTCTTTTTCTTCTTCTCCCTTCACTTGTCTGCATCCTTCATTCTTCCTGGATGCAGGATAAGAACTCAGGCAAAGGCACCGTGGCCACAGAGGTTTCCAGCCAGAAAAATCGGCACCCTAGAGATCCTGTAACAATACCCTGTCTCTAGCAAGTAAAAAATATAGTCAGGAGTGGTAGTGCACCCCTGTAGTATCAGCTACTCATGAGGCTGAGGTGGGAGGATCGCTTGAGCCCAGGAGTTCAAGGCTACAGTGAGCTATGATTGTGCCACTGCACTCCAGCCTGGGTGACAGAGCATGAGACTCCTCTAAAACAAACAAACAAATAAACAAACACCCAAAACCAACTTAAAAAACCTATAATGTCTTAGTTTTTTTTTGTTATTTTTGAAACATTTTGGCTGTAGATAGAATTCTAGGTTGATAAGTGTTTTCTTCCAGAATTTCAAAGGTGTTATTCCTCTGTCTTCTGGCCTCCATTGTTTCTGATGAGAATCAGTCATATTCTTTTTATTGTTCCCTGCAGGTATTATGCCCCCTTTTCTCCCTCTGGCTGCCTTTGTGCTTTTCTCTCGGTCTTTGCTTCTCAGGATTTAAACTACATTATGCTTAACTGTGGCTTTCTTTGTAGTTATCCTGCTTGGGGATTCTTGAGAATCCTGGATCTATGAAATGATGCTTTTGAACAAATTTGAAAAAATATTAGCCAGTATTTCTTCAACTGTTTTTCTGCCTTATTCTGTCTCTCCTTTCAGGGATACCACTTATATGCATGTTGGAGTACTTGACACTGTTCACAAGTCATTGGCGTTCTATTCCCTTCCATTAGTCTTTTTTCTCTTTATGTATTATTTTAATAATTTTTATTAACCTGTGCTCAAGTTTGGCATTCATTTATTATTTTGTAACCAATCTTCTATTGATTCCATGCAACAATTTGTAAATTTCAGATGGTGTGATTTTCAGTTCTAGGGCTTTCATTTTTTTAAAGGTTTCCATATCTTGACTAAAAGTTTCTCATTATTTACATCTTTTTCTGCAATTATTTAACATGTTTATGATTGTTATTGTAAAGTTGCTGTTTTCTAATTCTAACATTGGGGTTATATGTAGATCTATTTCTATTGGTGGTTTATTTTTCTTTTCCTGTTTTCCCTCTTCATGTGTCTAGGAGTTTTTGATTGTATACTAGGAGAGAGTCATTTTTATTAGATACTGAACATTTCAGATAACTATTTTTGGTGACTCTGGGTAGATTATCTTTCTCTGAATACTGTTGAGTTTTGTTCTAGTAGGTGGTTAAATTAATGGTGAACTACTTTGATTTCATGGAGACATTATTTAAGGCTTTGTTTAGAGATAGGTATATTTTAGTTTTGTCTTTAGTCCTGGGGTTTAGCCCCTGGTCTTGGGAAGCGATCTTAACTCCTAAGGAACAACACTTCTGGGTTTAATGGAAAGCCTGAGTTGTTCATCAAGATTTTCTAATTTGGTGAGACTTATATTGTAGCCTATCTCCCCATGCAATGGCAGCAACTGAAATTACTGCTCAGCTCTTTCAACTGTTGTCATCCCCCTGGGCTTTTTAGACTCTCTCCCTATCCACATACAGTTCAAAGTTCAACCTAGATTTGTGTAAAAATTTGAGGGCTCCTCCTCTGTGGGTTCCTCTTTTCTAGGATTTTCCCTTCCAATTTTCAGCCTTTCTGGCAACCCTGAATACTGATTTCTGGTTTCTTAACTTAATGCCTGCTGATTTGTGGTTGAGCTCCATCCCCAGTATTCCCTTAGAACTTTGAAATGCCCTCAAGGGAGAACTCAGGTAAATAAACCTGTGCTGTCCAGTTTGTGCCTGGTTTTGGTCTCTCTCCGGTGCTGTCAAATAGTAGTTTTAAAATATTTTGTCCACAGTTTATGATTGCTATTTCCAGGAGAGTTAGTCTGATATTAGCTTCTCCACCATTACTGAAAACCAAAAGGCTTTATACTTACTTGAATATTTGCAGGGCTCTTTTTTTAGGTAGATGTTCCTATTATCATGTTATTGATGAGGAAACTGAGTTTCAGGAAGGTTAAGTAGCCTGTGCAAGATCACATAGTGATCTTGTGAGGGGCAGAGTCAGCAGATTTCAGATCCTAAACTTGTGCTTGCTAGTGACCCAGTGCCACAATGCCCCATAGGTCAAGGAAATCGATGGGAGGGATGGAGAAACCCTCCATGGAGCACTTTTCAGACATTATTTATTTAATTAGTTAGTTTTAGAGACAGAGTCTTGCTTTATCACCCAGGCTGGAGTGCAGTGCCATGATCATAGCTCACTGCAACCTTGAACTCCTGGACTCAAGCGATCTTCCCGCCTCAGCCTCCCAAGGAGTTAGGACTACAGGGATGTGCCACCACAGCCAGCTAATTTTTTGAACTTTTTTTTTTGGTAGAGATGGAGTGTTGTTAGGGTCTCAATCCTCCTGCCTCTGCCTCCTAAAGCACTAGGGTTACAGGTGTGAGTCATCATGCCCAGCCTTTCTTTTGTTTTTCTCTAACTGCCCTGTTCTTCCTTTCCCATGAAGCCTTGCTCTACTTTGTCATGTTCCTCTTTCTTTTCAGTTTGTGAGCTAAACAGGCTTTCACAGAGATTTCCTGTATGACCTTGAATAAGTCACTGCTCCCCTCTGGACCTTAGTTTCTCATCTGTAAATAAGAAGGAATTGGGGGCTAGACACCACCAAGTCCCATTCAAGTGTTGATATTCTATGATTTAGAATCGGAGGGAGAAGGGTGGGAGGAGGGAGAGGAGCAGAAAAGATAACTATTTGGTATTGAGCTTAATAACTAGGTGATGTAATAACATGTACAACAAACCCCTGTGACATGTTTATCTATGTAACAAACCTTCACATGTACCCTCAAACCCCAAATTAAAAAAAATTAGCCAGGTGTGGTAGCAAAAAAAAAAAAAAAAAAGAATTGGTTGGATCCCCTACATTGCTCAATATTGGATCCATGAACACACAATCTGGATTTTGGAAGGACTAATCATGCCTTTTGGGCAGGGACTGGGGGTCTAAAATGATGCAGGTTAACTTTGGGGGAAACTCGTTTCTCTTCTACTAAAATGGGTTCTTACAATGGGTGGACAATGAATGTAGCTGGTGAAGCTCTGGAGATGGGCCAAGGTTTGTTCAGGGTCAGCCACTTCCCCCTCTTTTTTTTTTTTTTTTTTTTTTTGCAGAGGTCATGATTCAGATACCCCTCCAGCCCTGCTGTGGCTGGTTCATCATTTGCTCCATCAGCGTCTCTGAAGCCTCACACACAACAGCAGCTGGAAAATTACTGTGTGCACAGCACCGACTCTTGCTTACCAATGAGTGTCTGAAAGTGGGTTGGAGTATTTGTTTATCCGGGTAAGCAAAGACTCAGGAGGACCCTGAAGCACCATCTTCAAATATCTGAAGAACTGTCTCAGGGAAGAATTAGATTTGTTTTCTGGCATCCCAAGGGAAAGATAGACACAAGAATAGTTGTAATACGGAACGTGGGATGATAATAACGTTTATTTTTGTTGCAGGCACTGTGGTAGGTAGGCACATTATAAGCATTGGATACATTCTGGCTCAACATAAGGAAGAACTTTCTAATCCACTGGTATAATTCAATAATAAAATCACTGTCTTGGGAGTGACTTCTCCATCACCAGGGCTGTTCAAGTAGAAACTATACAACTATTTGGCTGGGATGGGAAGAGAGAGAGATTCAAGCATTGGGTGTACAGTTAGATGAGATGACTTCCATGATCTCTTAAGCCTTTGTGTCTAATCATAGACCTTAAATCTACTATTCTAATTTGAGAATGAGAGATAGCAGAATGACCCATGCAGAACCTCGAACTCCTCTCTTTCATGAGACAGCTGTGTGACTTTGGGTAAGCTACACAGCCCCATCCCTCAGCCCCAGCTTTTAGTTTCCTTATCTGATTAAATAAGTTCAGTGCCCAGATGCTAGTAGGTACTTGCCAAGACTTAGTTCTCATCACCTTCTCTTAATAAACTCCTTCATGTTTTTCTATCCTTTCATTTATTCAACAAATATTCTAGCTCCACCTTGGCTCTCTTTACAATTTGGCTAAACAGGCCAGCAAATCTCTGCCTTTTTGGCTTAAGTTATTTTGAGTTGAGTTTCTTGTGATAATGACTCCTGCCCGGTTCAGACATCCAAGTCAAGATGTTACCAGGAAGATGAATCTATGGGAGTGGAGCTGGGAGAGAGATCTGGGCTACAGACATGAATGTGGGAGTCATTAGTGTATAATGAACATGTAGGGTGGATGAGCTAGCCCGGAGATCGAGGAGAGACACCCAGGATTGAGATGCTCCTGCATGTACTTGACAACTCATCCTCCCCCACTCTTTCTCCACTGTGCTATGGAACTGGAGGCTTTGATAATTGCTTAAATTTATGAACAGAGCAAGGAATGCAGAACTTTTGTGATTAAATACCCTGGTGCATGTCTTTCATTGCTCCACTGTCTGGAGCTTCTCTCAACAGTCGCCTTCATTTTGTAGAGAGAAGCTGATGTTTGCCCTTAACCTGCCTGGGGACATCCTTATGTTGTTCTTCAATCATTGATTTTTCCAGCCTCTCCCAGACCAAAGATCCTAAGGCACACCAGTAGGTGGCGCTGCAGCAAGCACAGCTGCCCAAGGCCTCCGCAGCCCTCGCAGCCCTAAGGGGAGTCCAGCCAATCTCCTAGGACCTTGCCAAGCTCCCTGGGCCCTTCCCTCCTTTGTGTCTGCATCCCACACTCTGAGGCTTTGACTTAGATGCTGCTGTGAGTGGATGCTGAGAAGATGATGAAACTGCCTAAGAGTATGTGGTTTCTGCTTCTGGAATGGGCAGGAAAGCATATATGAGGAGAGAGGAAAAAGGAGGGAGACAGGGAGAGATATCCACCTGGCTCACCTGATACCCACCTGGCTCTTCTGTTATGTCAGTCACTAGGCCTTCTGCCACAGGGATAGGACACGGTGCTCACAGGGCTGTTCCATGGTGCCACAGGGATTGGACATTTGCTCACATGGACCAAATTCCATTAGGCTTGGGGGTATCCCTGAGGGTTCCTGCCCAGGTGGAGGTCAGGATCCTCAGCCTTGCCTGGCCTGGCCTCCTCCCTTTCCTCACTGACCCGTGTGTCTGAGATCCTGGCTCGTCTTCCGCTGGGAATGACTATTTAAGAGCCTGTGCTCCGTGGTCAAGATTAAGCTGGCTTTGAATCTTGGCCCTGACACCACCTTAGCTGGGGGACATTGGACAAATGGTTGAGCCTCTCTGACCTTTCCTTCTGCATGAGATCAATCCTGAGATATTGGCTGCTTCAGAGGATGCTGTGATTTTTGAACATGTTAAAGTATGTGTAACCCAGATATTACCCTTGGCTGACATTTGCTCTCTGTTCTGCATAATAGGACCTGACATAAAATGCAGCCCCTTGTTAAGTTGTACAGAAGGCCCACTCACCCAAAGCATTAGAACACACAGAAGATGTCAGAGGGAGTTGGAGGAGGGGGCTACCTCAGAGCAAAGCAAAACCTTCCACTGGAAGAGAGGATTCTACTCCTCCTTCACCTGCCTGATCCTGCTCCCTCCCCATCTTTTTCTCTCTTTCTTCTCCCTCCTCCTTTCTCTCTCACTCATGTGCTCTTACCCTTTTCCAGGAGCAGAATCAACATGTTCCTAAGCAGTTTCATCCTATTCTGAAGTCTTGGCACATGGCAACATCCTTTCCCACAGAGTCTCACTATATCATAGTATTTTCCCAAGGAAAGGAAGTTCCCTCCCTAAGAGGAATTCCGAGGCTAGATGTTAAGATATTTTTCTGCCTTGTTGTGTAACAAGATGGAACATCTCCAAGAGTGCCTGATGTATACAGATGGTGAATAAACGGCAGCCATGGTTTCACTGTGAGTCAGTATTGCCCTTCTATCTCCCTAGTTAGGAGGTTGGCTCAGGGAGTGCAGTGAGTGATGGCTGGAGCCCACCTGGCCATGCCTTTGCATCAGTCATGAAGAGACACACTCCAATGACCTATGGTTCCAATGAAGTCTCCTCTCTGGGATCTCTGTCTGTGTATTATTGGCTGGGAAGCTAGCATCCAACAGTTTGACCACTTCTTCACAATGGTGTCAGCAATGCAATGTAGTGGCTGGTGGTGTGAGAAGAGCACTATTGGGGCAGGAATTGTAACCTCTCAGCCTAATGTATCTGCTCCACTAAATCAGGGGTCTGGACCAGATAGTTTCTAAGCTCCAGGGTCTTCAAAGTCTTTGAGTCTACATATCTCACTTACTGCCATCCAGGACAGATGGTGGTAGGTGGATGGGCTACTCTCAGATGATTAGGGTGGTCTAAATGTTTAGGTCAGAACATGCTTTCTTCCTTTTCTTTGTCTGGAGAAACCGATCAAGACGAGGCCAGCATGACCCTGGCTTAGAGCCAGCAGAAAGCCTTCTCTCTGAGAAAAACTGCCTTGGGAACGGAGGCAAAAAGTCTCCTTTGCAGTCTGTTTTTCAGACAGCATAGTCAAAAGGAGTGTTCAGCTTGCTCAGCAAGGCTCTATCATTGACAAGATAGTGCTCAACCTGATGGACGTGTCCTTTGAAAGTGTGAGAGACAGGAGTGGGGGTGCGCCCTGGGCTGTTACCTTGTTGGGGGCCTCAGAAAGGCTTTTGTTAGCCCAACCAGCTGAGTGGTCCAACCTAATCATATAAAGACTTCATTAATTCCTAGGATGCGTCAGGCACAGGGCCAGACACTGGGGCTATAGAGATGAGTAAAACAGGGTACTTGCTCTCAAGGGGCCCCTGTTTGCCTGAGCCCCTCCCGCTACCATCTTGAGGCACATCTCCAGAGCCCTGGAGCCTGTTCTCTCCCTCCTCCTCCTGCCCACACAGCTGAGGGGTGGTGGGAAGAACTGATGAGCTGTGTGGTCTTGGTCAAGTTACCTAACTACTCTGGGCCTCAGTTTCCTTATCTGTAAAACAGAGATAATAATTTGCAACTCCTAGGACTTCCTGAGAGTTAAATTAGACAATAGACATGGATGCACCTTGCACAGTGTTTACATGCGTTTGTTGAGTCTGAGTCTTTAGGTTAGGAAAGCACTTATGAAAGTCCTTCATTCAAGATGGCAGTATGGTGGCTGGTCTCTTTGCCTGTCCTAATTGCCATCCTCCTCTCAGAACATCCCCACATCTCTTCTTGCTCACTGGATCTCAGACTTTGACACATAGTGGGTGCTTGATGCTTGCTTGTTGAATGAATGAATGAGCGAGCAAATGAATGAATTTCCCTATCCTACTTTCTCCCAGCCCCAGACCAGAGGATAAGTACAAGAGACTGCCTCCTCTAAGCCAGAACTCGGGTTCTAACCACTGGAATTGACAATTCCCCTTTGGCTAGGGCTGGCTTAAATGCTCCTTCTGTGGGTGTCAGCTGAGTTCTGCACTCTGCTGAACCAGGCTGAAGCCAGGCAGGAGCAGAATGTCCATGCTGGTCCTCATGGGCTCTACAATGAGGTGGGCTTAGCACCAAATCACATCTGAGTTCAGGACTAGCCGATGGTCAGGATTTCCAGTGTGATCTTGGGCATGACACTCAACCTTTCTGGGCCTTTGTGCCCCATCTGTAAGGGGCACTATACTCCGAGAGGCCCTAGGTTCTAGGATCAGGTGGCCCTGTGAGGTCCCCCTGTTTCTAACCTTGTGCCTTGTCAGCTCCCCTCTTTTTCCTGCCTCCCACTATAAGTGCAAATTTCTGTCTTGCCCCACCCAGTTGGAGGGCAAATCAGAGCCTGCTTTTTGAGCCATAATGTTCAGTTTGATGTTTTTATTGCATCCTGCTGCATGATTTAAGTGTGTTTGTATATGATTATTATTGTGCTCCTTTTAAACAATTTGGAAATCAAATCACATACTAAAATCAAATCCACCAATCAGCAGGTAACAGAGGCATCAAAGGGGTCTCAGGGGAGACATGTCCTTGTAGGCAGCACAGAAGCAGTGAGACACCCTCCTCCTGCCTCTGCCTGGCTTCAGTAAGGGTTCAACCCAGAAGGTCAAAGCAGAAAGGATGAGATCAAGAATAAGCAAAAGTCACTGTTAAGAGATGGAGCAATAACACCTGCCAGTTGGTGTCTGTGGATTAAAAGGGATTTAAGAATATTATCTCTTTTAATCCCCACAATAACCCTGTGAGACTGGGTACTACTTGCCCAAAAGACTCACTGTAGATTAACTGATGGTATAAATATAGCTGATATTTGTTGAACCTTTACTATGTGCCAGGCACTGTTCTAAGCATTTTACTAGAACCGTCTCATTGAATCCTCATAACAGCCTTATGGAATTGAAACTTTGATTGTCTCTGTTGGATACCTGGTGAGACTGGAGCCCAGAGAGGTTAAATGACTCTGGTCACATTGGACAGTAGGTGGCCTAGCTGGGATTGGAACCCAGCAGATCATACTTTTTGCAACCACCTGAGACTGCTTTGTCTAAAGAAAGAATATACCACAGCAGGGTGGAGTCCACAGGAAGCAGAGGTAATTACTGAGTGAGTGGCTGGAGGCCATTGCAGAGATTTTTGAGATAGGGATATGAGTTCTTCAGACCCCAATATGGGAAACATTGCATAGATGCATCAAACAGCTTAGTTCTCACAACAACCTTGCCGATTAAACATTATCCCTGTTTTGTTTTTTTTTTTTGAGACGGAGTCTCTTCCATCGCCCAGGCTGGAGTGCAGTGGTGCAATCTCGGCTCACCTCAAGCTCCGCCTCCCAGGTTCATGCCATTCTCCTGCCTCAGCCTCCCAAGCAGCTGGGACTACAGGCGCCTGCCACCACGCCCGGCTAATTTTTGTATTTTTAGTAGAGACAGGGTTTCACCGTGTTAGCCAGAATGGCCTCGATCTCCTGACCTTGTGATCTGCCTTCCTCGGCCTCCTAAAGTGCTGGGATTACAGGCGTGAGCCACCACACTCGGCACATCCCCGTTTTACTGATGAGCAAACTTCAGTCACTTGCCACACTGCTAAGAAGTGGCAGAGGCAGGATTCAAAAGCAAGTTGGTCTGACCACAAGGCTACTGGCTGGGGGTCAGGGGACATCCTAATCTTGGCTCTGCTATTAACCAGCTCTCGTCTCTAGGAGACTTAGCATTTTCATCTGCAGCATGTAGGTTCAGAATAGATAACCTGTTGTGTAGTACAGGTGGTGGGTGCTCTATAAGGCAAACCAGGGGACTGCTCCCCATTCCCTCCAATCCTGGGCATATGGCAAACATCACCAATCAATCACAGACACTGTCTTAGAACTTATCTAAACACTGCCATTTGATTGAAATTGGAACTGAGAGGAAATGTTCCATTTTGGGAGGCTTCATATGTAGAAACCATCAAACCACACATTGCTAAATATTCACAGAGAACAGACAAAACTTATTATGTATTATATAAAATACAGAATGTGCTCAGCATGACTTCCCCACAAGAACAGTAACCACAACCTGCCTGCTTGTGAAGGAGTGTCCCTGACTGGCGTTTGGACAATCAGACCACACAGGGAATCACCCCATCAGAATCTGGGGATGCCCTCCTCCTGCCCTGGAATCACACACAGCTGATTGTTGTGCTGGTTGGAAGCGAAGTTGCAGTAGTAGCTGATATAGCACTTTGATGAGCAACAAAAATCAATTTAAAAAGTGAACTACCCATGGTTTGTGATGAATAAAATAATAAGCTCATATCCATTGCAAAAATGTCTATGAGTGGGAGAGAATGTGATAAGAGCAGAAAATGTGAATTGGTTATGCAAAAAAGCAACAGGATTTTTTTTTGAAAGACTATAACTTGACTCATTCTAACACGACTTTTATCTTGGGCCTTGCTGGCTCTAGATATGCCTCTGGAGCTCTGCGAGAATCCTTTAAGCTTTGATGTCATAAGAGCCTCTGCAGTTTTGTTTCCATCTGTCCATCCATCCACCCACCCACCCATTATCTGTCCATCTGTTCATCCATCTACCCATCCATCCATCCATCCATCCATCCATCCATCCATCCATCCAACCATCCATCCATCCATCTTCCCATGCCCCCCACCCATCCACCTTCTATGTGTCCAATAAATATTTTTTATTTTTTTATTTTTTTTGAGAGTGAGCCTTGCTCTGTCACCCAGGCTGGAATGCAATGGTAAGATCTTGGCTCACTGCAACCTCCGCCTCCTGGCTTCAAGCGATTCTCCTGCCTCAGCCTCCCAAGTAGCTGAGATTACAGGCACCCGAAACTAATTTTTGTATTTTTGTAGAGATGGGGTTTCACCATGTTGGTCAGGCTGGCCTCAAACTCCTGACCTCAAATGATCTGTCTGCTTTGGCCTCCCAAAGGTTGGGATTACAGGCATGAGCCACCACGCCTGGCCCCAATAAACATTTATTAAGCACTAATCTGTTCCAGAAACACTGCTAGGAATTGAGGCTATGAAGATGAATAAGATATGATTCCTACACCCATGGGGTTTAGTCTAAAAGAACAGACATGCACATAACCAAGCAAATGCTATAGTGGGGTCATAATGTCCAGGCGTAGTGGGGGCACTGAGGAGGGCATGGTCCAACTAATTGGGGGTGCCATCCGGAAAAGACTTTATGGAGGGGGTGGTCACCTTTGAGCTGAGTTTAGAAAGACTATGTTTTTTTAGGCAGATCAGGAGTGGGAAATGTGTTCTGGGTAGAGGATACTGCATGTGCAGAGATACAGAGGTATAAAGAGGTATAAAGAGGTGGGGAAGCCTCAAGCAATACAGCAAGGCTGGCATGTGGGTGAGTGTTGGGCTGGGGTACAATGCCCGGTGCCTATGGAGCAGCCCCAACACTGTACCAGCTGAGGGCCTGAACAGTTCTCCATAATTGTTAATGTGAATCCTACCCACGCACTAGTAGGTATCACCCTTGTTAAATGATACTGTGAATCCTAGGTATCACTAGCAGGTCTCGCCCCTGTTAAATCTGTGCCCTCCCTTCCTCTCCCCAACATAAGAGCCGCCTCAGCAAGAAGAGTGTTTTCAGTGTGCCTGTGCATGCCGACGCACCATTATAATCACATCTTCATCGGGACACAATTTCTTGGGCGAGTGCTGTCAGCGGCGCCGGAAGCATGTTCCCAGCAAATTGCCTCCGTGTATGATTTGTTGATTGAAACAGGGGGAGGAGAAGTGTTCCAGGGATGCAGGTGGGGAGGTGGACTCACCCACAGGAAGGAGCCTGGGCTTTGGAGTTACGCAGGTGTGGCTTGGCTAATGGGGGGCTGGCCAGGCACTTTACCTCTCAGAGCTCAGCTTTTCTTCAGCCCCTCCAGCCACAGGCTAGGATATCAGCTTTGTCTTTTCTGGGCCAGGGTCATGGCGGGGGCCACCATCTGACCTGCCAGTGCTGTTGGGATCCTCAAGACATAGTACTGAGAGGGAGAGTCCTGACTCCTCTGTAAGCTGGAAAGGGGCAATTTTCATTCCAGATTGCATCTCTGTCCTGCATTTTCTCCCCACACGCCTTCTCCTCCTCCGTTTCCTCTTTTTCTTTTTATGGTTGCATTTCCATCTTTCTAAGAAAATTCCTGAGTCCAACTTCCACCCTCAGCTGAAGAATCTGAAGAGGTCAGGAGAAGTGACCTTTCTCTATGTGAATTGGACTATCTCAGAGCTGCCGGGTACAGCTATGCAGAGCATGCACTGCGCAACTGCAAGAGGGTCTACTCATATGGACTAAGGTGTGAATGAAGCCTCCAGAGAGTGCACAGGCGCAGCCGTGAATTGTTTGTTTCCCTGTACTGTGGTGTCATCTGGGGCTTGACTCTGCTCCTTAGCTAGTCATCCATCTTCAATTCCCATCATTCTACTCTTCCCCTTAACATAGATTACACATATGACATTTACATGGCAATGGAGACATTCCTGGATGAGTGACAAGGGCAGGGGATTGGGGTGGGGTCAGGAGTGCGTTTGTTGGGGTATAAATTGGCTTCCATTCACTATCTCTTTTGGAATAGCGGCCTTTTATTTCCTTGCTTTTTTCAATGGGTGTATTTGAAATGGAAGTTGGGTCCAGGTTGGAATATTTGCTTAATGGGTTTTCTTAAAGTAGAGCACATCTCAATGCATTTGCTGCAATTTTGGCTTTTGCTCTATTCAAAATCCACTTTCCCCCACCTGAGTGGGAAATGAAGGAGTGTCTCTTGTCCCAGGGTGGCTTTTGCCCAGGCTGGGAGTGTGAGGGAGTGGGTGCTGGGTGTGTGTGTGTGGGGAGCTGAATACAGGGGAAGCCTGCCCAGCTCTGGCCTCTGCAGCCCGCCTGTCCTCCCCTCCAGCCATGCTCCCCCACCACAACCTTAGCCCTCCATAGCCTCAGAACAGATTTGTTTTCAGCTGACCCAGCACCAAGCTTCAGGGCTTAGCCCTGAATAAAAAAGGAAGGGGATGTCTGTTGAGCCCCTGCATGGGTGGCAACATGTCAGGGTCTGTGTGTGTGCAGCCTCAGTTAATCCTCACTGATAATTCTCCCTTGAGTGGCAGCTGCAGCAGATTGACAACTCCACGCCCAACACTCCACCAGGGAGGCCGCTGGAGGCCGGGCAGAGTCGTCAGAATGAGCCCCAGTCACCTTCTTCCTTTGGGACACTACTGCAGGGGCAGGGGGCCCACAGGGCAGAACCAACCCCGGAGCCCAGGCTCAAGAGCTGGATGAGTTTCTTCCCTGCACTCGTGATGCCGCATGATTAAGGCTCTGCTGCATCCCTCAGCGCCTGAGATGGCCTCGCAGGAAGCTCTGTGCACACCAAGCAGTTGCCATAAAATTCATCTTTTATTGTCCTCTTCCTGGATCTTTTCAGTGGGGGAATAGTGGATGCTTACAGGCATAAAACATGTGTGGCTTTTATGGGATTCTGCCAGGGTGAAATCTGGGATCCAAACTTTATGTTCTTGACCCCCTTCCCTCTCAGAGTTGAGGGTGAATTCCCTGTCCTCATCCCTAGAAATGCTGCAATCCTTGGCATACTGGGGCACATGTCTCACATGGGGCGGAGCTACTTTACAGATCCCTCCCCCCACTTTTTGTTTTTTTTTAGAGACAGGGTCTCTCTGTCACCCAGGCTGTAGTGCAGCAGCACCATCATAGCTCACTGTACCCTCTGTCTCCTAGGCTCAAGCAACCCTCCCACCTCAGCCTCTGAGGTAGCTAGGACTACAGGCACATGTCACCCATGCCTGTCTAATTTTGTTATTTTTTGTAGAGACAGGGTCTCACTATGTTGCTCAGGCTGGTCTCGAATTCCTGGGCTCAAGCAATTCTCCCACCTCAGCCTCCCAAAGTGCTGGGATTACAGGCATGAGCCACTATGCCTGGCCTTACTTTACAGCAAGTAAAGTACTTTCATTTCCACTAAATGATTTCAGTTGTATATGGCTGAGGCTTTCTTTTCCACTAAATGATTTCAGTTGTATATGATTGAGCCAGTGCTCTAGCCAGCATTGGTTTTAAAGTCTCTGGGGTACATCATGAAAACTTTGAATGGGAATTGGGCAGATGCTGCCCTTCCTAGATGTAATCTTGAATGCTTTGACAATTAGGAAGGACTGCGATGGAAAGATAAATATACCATCTACCTCAGGAGTTCAAAGTCATTTTTATTTGTGATGGACTGAATTGTCTGTCTCTCCTCCCCAAAATTCATATATTGAAGCCCTTACCCCCAGTGTGACAATTTTTGGAGACAGATCCTTTAAGGAGGTAATTAAGGTTAAGCAAGATGATAAGGTTGGAGTCCCTGGTGTCTGTTGAAGAGGAAGACATAGCAGAGCTCTTTCTCTCTCCACGTGAGCACTGAGGAAAGGCCATTTGAGGACACAGCAAGAAGGTGGCTGTTTGCAAGCCTGGAAGAGAGTCCTCACCAGAAACTAACTCTGGCACCCTGATCTCAGACTTTCAGCCTCCAGAAATAAGAGAAGGTAAGTGTCTGTTTTTTAAGGCACTCAACCTGTGGCATTTTGCTATGGCACCTCGAGCTGACTAAGAATCTCTCATCTCTCTCATGGACAGGCACACTTCAGTTTGTGAACCAGTAAAGCCCCATAGCTTCTTGATCACTGCTCACTAGGGCCTCTCGTCTCTGAGGATCATGCCTTAGGAAACTGGGGATGGCCAGCGAGCTCACACTTGAACGTATCTCTCAAGATCAACCTACAGCTAGGAAGAATTTTGATAGTAAAATCCAGGTAAGGGGCTTAATTTCTGGATGGGCCTTGTATGTCCTAATGCATGTTATGGTTATTACTCTCATTTTCCAGAAGAGGAAATTCAGTCAAGAGAGACCACGTCATCTGCTACAGATTACACAGGTGGTGCAGTTGAGTCCTTGAAATCTGCTCCAGGTCTGGAGCCCTGGGCCTTAAAAACCTGACTAGTTTCCCTAGCACTCCCTGGATGGGAGTTCTCCCTGGGTCCTGTGGGCCCATCCCAGGGCCTGGAGTTCCAGGTTGGGTTTGGATCTTTGTCCCTGGTACGGGGGTCTCCCTGTCTGCCTGGACTTTGGGGTGTGGCTGCAGAGAGTGGATTCCCTGTCAATTTCACCTGATAGAGAGGGTCTGGTCCTACGTATTATTTTCTTCCAGGTTTCCCTGACCTCCTTGCTGGTCCCCAAGAAGGACATGCACTCTTACCTTTTCATCAGGGGCTCAACCAAGTGACATCAGTGTCCACACAGGATGCCATGTGGGCTTCCAGAAGAGATCATTTGGGGATCACAGAGGCAGGAAGGGGCAGATGGTGTACCATGTTGTGAAAAGAGCGTGGACTTTGGTATTAGGCAGGTCTGGATTCTAATTCTCAGCTGTCCCTTTGTCTGTAGAAGGGAGACAGCAGTACGGCCCCACAGATTTGCTGTTCAGACTGAATGGAATGTCCTAGGAGAGTGTCGGCACAATGGAACACAGTGACTTCTTTGTCAATATTTGGGAGTAGCATGGTGTGGCTAAAAGACTTAGCTGTGTGCCAAAGGTAGACAGTTTGGGGCTGGCTGTCTCATTTATTGGCCCAGTTTCCCTGTCTATAAGCTGGGAATAACAGCTCATATCTCACTGTTTGAGAATTTCTATGTTTCATCATTTTAAGATGCATAATTTTCTATATCCTAACATGTCTATAACATCTTACCATTAATGGCCTCTTAGCATTGTGTTTAGTTTAATTAGTAGTGTTTTTCTTTCCTACTGTCACATGAAATAATATTGACCCTTACAGTTGGAGTTGTTACCTTAGATTTGATGAGATACACAGCAAATGGACTCATGATTGCAAACGGCTCAGTACAGTGCCTGGAACACAGCTGGTGCTCAGTCAATGGCAGCTGTTGTTATTATTGCCTGTAGACCATGGGTAAGTTTTACAAATGCTGTTGAGCCTCGGTTTCCTCATCTGTATAATGGGAATACTTAGCTTTACATTACAGGGTTACAGGGAGTTTTAAATGAGATTAACATATAGACTGAAGCATCTACCGCAGCATTTTGCATAAAACAGGCGCTCCAAAGTGTGCTCCTCTTCCCCAGGACTGCACCAAGAGAAATCCCCCATGCCCCTCACCATTTTGGAATTATGGCAAGGTGGGTGGGACAGGGAAGGGAGGAAGGGGAAAGAGACTCCTCATGCCTGTGCTCTTTTGTGCCACTGGACTATCTGTCTCCTGCTCACTGTTGCCTCCTAGTGGTCCCAAGGATCAGGGCAAGGCTTTTTGAACCAGATGGGAATGTTAGGAAAGAAAATGCTATCGGGTAAGCCTGCTCAGCCTGAGGAAGACCTCAACGGAAGACCTGAGCCCCACCTCAGGAACTTCAACTGAGACGATGTAACCTGCTGAGCCTTCTGCTGAGGTTTTCTTTATACCTGAACGTGGCCGCTGGGAAATTTTTTCAGATCTCAGATCTAAACTGAGAGGCCATTCCTCAGCTCCCACTCGCCTCTCAAAACACACCTCTATGCTGGAGACGTAGTAACAGAGGGCAAGTTTGGTTGACAAAACGTATTGGCGGCATCCCTTCTCTTGTATGCTCAAGAGACCATGGTCTGGATTGGGATCAGTCAGCCTCAGTATCAAATCCTGGCTCTGGATGACCATGGCCTGTGACATCCTCTCTATAGGCCTCAGTGTCTTTATTGCATGTATAGGGTCTGCCATATAGTCTGTGCTCAAAAATATTAGGTTGCCTATCCCACTTCCCTCTTCCCTAACTCAGGGGCATTGGAAAGAGCACTGGAAGAAATCGTAAGCAATATTGACTTTAACTACAAAATGCTCAGATGTCTTTCCTGCTGCTCTGATGAAGTGGTCTTTGAAGTGAAACATCCCCTGCAAGTCTGTAACATCATAGATGAGCAGATGCAAACTGTTAGACCATGAGGAAATCCCGGGTGCTCACTTTTCAAAGAGGAACAAATAACCTTCATTCAAGCCTGGCTACTTGAGATTGTTCCATGGACCATGGCCCTCCTGCTTGGTGGTGGGGAGACTGGCATGTGGAAACACCATGAGAAAGTGTGGGAGGGTAGGGGTGCAGGGAAGGTTGGACTGACACCCTCTGGTCCTGGTGCTTTGCATAGATTAGGTATGAGGTAGGTACTATTGTTATCCCTGCTATGCAGATGAAGAAATTAAGATGGAGACATGAAGAAACTTGCTCATGGTCTCATTGTTGGCTAGTCATGGAGTCAGAATTTAGATTTCAACAGTCTAATGTTGAAGCCCTGCACTACTATCCTATAGTCCCATACCAAGGTACCCCTCCTTGTCTAATACCAGATGGTGCCCATTGCCCCTGGATAGACCTTCTTTTCAGAGACCCATTGAGAGATTTCTGTATGTCTCAGGATGCTTTGCCAAGGGTCTCTTTCCCTTTCAGTGGAGGACAGGCATATCATCACCATTTTACAGATTGAAGACAGACTCGCAAAGGCAAAGTGATTTTCTAGAAATAATTTAGCAGGTCAGAGGTACAGTTTGAATGAGAACCCAAGTCTTTTGAATCCTGGTCCTACCGCACACTGAACCAGCTGTCTCCCAATCCTGTGCCCTGCCCAGCTCTCTTTCTGGGTTACTGTGTGAGGAAGAATATGATCCCATACACTGCAAGCTAGACCCCTGAATTGACTATCACAATATTCACAGCCCTGTGAATTCAAGTTTTGTCATTTCCTGGAAGCTTTACAAAATATTAATAAGCTGATTTACTCCCTGGCATCTTCTTGAGACTCCTGTAGGCAAGCACCTCATCTGGGGACTGAGTTGAGGTTGGAGTCAGATGTCCTAAGCTTGAAATTCATCCTTGCCACCTGCTAGCTTGGTGACCTCGGGCAAGTTAGTGAACTTCTTTGAGTATCAGTTACCTCTGTGTGAAATAGGAATACCATTCTTCATCTTGGAGGGGTTTTATGAGATATAAGAACAGAATCTAGCGCACTGCCTATATGACATATAGAAGGCAGTCAATATAGCAGAGATCCTCATTGGCAAAAGAGGACAGAAAAATTTTGTCTGCCTTAAGAAAATCCAGTCTGTGAAATTCACCCAACCTTGGGTCAGGGCAGACATTATTTCAATTATTCAAGGATCCATGATTTTCACAAAGGGTTTATCCAGGGCCCTTTAAGTGGCAGCTACATGTGCAAGCTGCCATGCCTGTTTACGAATCATTAGCTACTTGACGGTGATGGTAGCGGGAAGAGAAAAAGAGCAAAGCCCACATTATGGAAAGCCAGTGCTGGGAGCCACTGACTGCTAGAAACCAAATGGGACTGCAGAAAAAATAGGTCTGAAAGAGGAACCCATGGAAAAGATTTCATTTATAAATACGTATCTCACCCTTGTTCTCAGAAACCCATCCTTCAGTTGTTGAAAGCAAGATATGAACACACAGAGTCAGGCACCGCCAAATGCTTTCCCCTAAACTTTAAAAGCTCAGTGACAGGTGACTGGAATGAGCCTTCACAATGTAAGATGCCAATTACAAAATTGTTAATTCTTCTGGCTGTAATTTATCCTGCTATCCCTTTGGGTAGCTAAACAGCTTTGATCATGAGTTGCCCAATCAGCTTATAAGTCTTCTTGATGAATCACTGTCATTCTCCCCGTCCTTTCTCTGGGCTGCAGTAATTCTTGACAACTGCCTTAGAGCCTCTGTCTCCTGTCGATGCGAGAGGGAAGAGCCATCTATTAGGAGGAGCATGTGGAGAACAGGAAGCTCCTGGCATTGAGGAGCTTGGCAGGTGGAGGATAAAACTCTCTCTTCAGGATAGATAGGGCAGAGGACAGGATGATGGATACAGCCTCTACCCAGTGACCTCCAGGGTATGAGGTCCCTGCTTGTTGGGGTCTTTGGGTCGGGGGTGGCTAGGCAAATCGTGCCCACTGAGCTCTAGCGGGTATCCAGAACATCTTCAGTAAGAAAATGCCATGTGCTAACAGTGAGTTCACTGCACAGATAAACTAGGGCAGTTCTCCAGTATTGGAATTCTCACCTTCTTCCTAGGCTGACTGCTTTTCCCAGCTCTCCTTGAATCTAGGAGAGGCACGTGACTAGTTCTCACCATTGAGATGCGGTAAAATAGAAGTGATGTGGGATCCCCTGACTGAGTAGATGTGCTCTCTCTTTTACCAGTTGATAGCTAAAGAGAGATGAGCCTGAAAACCTACAGGAGGACAGAGACACCAGTTGAGAGAAGGCTGGGTCCCTGAATGGCAGCATGGAGAACCGCCCAAATGCCAACTGCATTGGATTGCAATGTGAGTGAGAAACACATTCTTATTGTATTAGTGTTAAACCACTCAGATTTAAGGGTTGATTGTCACAACAGTTAGCCTCCCCTGCCTAATACAGGCAATTTTTTATTAGTTTTATTAGTAAACAATACTTTATTTAACAGAACTCAAATTATCCAACTCAAGAAAATCCCAGGCGGCCGTCTGTTCTGAGTTAGCATGATGGCTTCTATTAACTACATAGCACATTGCAATTCACCTCTGATATCTGTTGTATGGGAATTTAGCTTATAACTTGAAGAGCACTAACTGCATGGATTCTTAATTTTTAGACCTGAAAAATTATTCTTTTTGGGAGTTGGAGGGAAGAACACAGTCTCTTTTAAAAAGGACCTTGGCCCCTTTTCCTTCTCCCTTAGCCTCCACTGGAGGTGTGAAAAGGACCTACAGATTCCATTTTCCCAAGTCAATGTAAGCATCCCTTCTTCTCTAAGTTGAGGCTAATCATTTCTCTCCAGGACTGTTGCAAGAGCTTCTTAACTGGCCTTTGTCTCGTGTATACCCTCCTCCAATCTGACCCCCACCTGATCTTACTAAAATGCAGACTCAATTATATCATCATCCTCTCTGGTAAAATCCAAAATCCTTTTCTTCAGAAGACCCTCTCTGATGGGCCTTCCTACCTCCAGTCTCATCTTCCTGCAAACCATCAGGCTCTTGTAGCCACTCTGCCTTTACTCTTTTTTTTCCTT
Source organism: Homo sapiens (assembly GCF_000001405.40). Classification (NCBI taxonomy): domain Eukaryota; kingdom Metazoa; phylum Chordata; class Mammalia; order Primates; family Hominidae; genus Homo; species Homo sapiens. The sequence continues at coordinate 33,053,794 of NC_000017.11, forward strand.
TATAAGAGGAAGCTTTATTGTTAATTATTTACCTTAATAGTTTCACAAAAAGGGACATATTAATTCAGTTCAACATGACTGGCAGTTAGCAAAATCTAGTGAAGCAAGCGTTTCTGATTGCTAAGGATTTAATCTGGATGCTTTTAATACTTAGCCATCTAACACTTCAAACATAATCCAGAATAAATGCATCATCTCCTTCCCTTTCACCACAATGCCGCACCTACCTTTGCTCTCCTGTATCCCTGCCAGGATTGTTCTTTCTGCTTGTCAGCCTGCAACCATCTACCCAGCTTTCAAGGCTCAGTTTGTGCCCTTCTGCCAAGATGCCTTCTCCACCCATTCCCTCTGCTTTTGGATCTTGGTGTTCAGCCTGAGTTTTATCCCAGCACCTGCAACACCACATTGTATTTATTGCCTGACATGCCCATCTCCTGCCAGCCTTTAAGCTTTTTGGGGAGGTAGGTAGGTGACTGATTACTCTTTCCCAGGGCTGGCCCAAATCTGGGGCTCAAATGACTAGACTTCTGGACTCTGTCGCTGCCAAACCAGTTACCAAGGTAGCTTTCCCTCCCTGGGCCTCAGTTTCCCCATAGGTAAAATTGGGAGCTTGCTTAGCAAGTGATAGTCCTTGATGGCCTGCCTCTAAGGGCTTTTCCGGTTTCAGCATCCCAGGATTCTATGATTTTACCACTAACATTGTGCAGTCATGTGAGGGAAATCAATACTCAGAGTTTTTCCTGTGTGTGAGCCACAATTCTTCAGAAGACTGTCCTTGGGGGTGCATGTGGCTCTCAGCTTTGCCTGACACCAGAGAGAATTTATCATTAGAGAAAAGCTTATGGTGCAGGTTTAGCAAATGTGGCGTCTCGGGCGTTCCAGCACTTCATTTATCAAGTAAACACAGCTTCGTTATTTAGACTTCAGTCACTTGGCTCATAAACCATCACTCAGATATAAAAACTGGGGTAAGATGTCCTATTTATTGACCCTGATGAGAAATGGGTGTGATCAATTATGCCACGGCATGGGAAGAAAAGCCTTTTGCAGGCTTGCAACTTGTTACACGGTTGCTTTTATTTTAGGGCGTGATGTAGGGCGGGCAGGGGGAATTCTCAACACATTTCATGCCACGCCATTAGCAGGTTCAAGGAGCTCCATCACCATTGGCCACATGGCCTTGGGTCAGTTCCCTCCCCTCCACTCAGCCCATGTCAGCTCCTGGGTCACAGCTCTCCTACATGCATTTCCCAGGGTTGACATTGGGGTGGTTTACCCCTTTCCCAGCACTCCAGGAATACAATGCAGGACAGTCTGTTGTATCTAATGGAGTTACATTCATAGGTTTTACAAGCTCAAAACAGTGAGAATTCATGGTTGTTATGATTCGGGCAACCCCTCCTTGCCAAATGCCTGGCCTGGGATATGTCCGATTTGGCCCTGATGGCTGCATGTGCAGGAATTCCTTGGGTGTCCCCCACTCAGTGCTGGCCACCCAACTCACTCTGACTCCAGGGAAGCCCTTCACCTCTTAGCTCAGTTGCCACCTTTTCCTCTCCTGCTCCAGGACTCCTCGTTCCTCAACTGTCGCTTCTGGTTACCAAGGGCCTCTGGGGTCAGCCAGCCTTCCGAGAACTTCCTGCTCCCCCGTCTGCTTCACATTCCTATGTTATGGCTGAATTTTCTGATGAGCCTCTCATGCCCTGCCTCTTCCCGAAAGCTTTTCTGACTCGTCCTTCCGCTTGTCCTGCTCTGTCAGTCAGGCTGGAGTGTAGTGGCATGATCATAGCTCACTGTAAGCTCAAACTCCAGGGCTTAAGCGATCTTTCCTTTGGCAGTGTATTTCTACTAAGAAACCTCAAGTCCAGGGCTTGGTGTCTGATTTTTATATTCAGGACGCCCTTTCTTTTTTTAATTCAGGAAATTCGCAAGTTAAATTGAATCCCAGATGGCACTGTTTGAGCCTTTCTGCCCTTGGCCTCTCTTCACGGGAATCATAAGAAAAGCGACTGCGCCATGTTCTCTCGGTCTTGTCTCCTCCGTGATAAATGGTGGAATTAATTGAATAGCAGAGCTGGATCACCCAGGGCAGTGGTTGTCAACCGCACTCTGCGTCAGAATCACCTGGGAATACTTTTATAAATCACAGAAGCCCTGGACTCAGCCCTAAGATTAGAATTCAGTTGTTTCTGGCATGGACTCCAAGTACTAGTATTTTTCGAAAACTCCCTAGAGGATTCTCATGCTGGAGCTAGGTTGAGAACCGTTCATCTAGTCCAACCTATTTGACAGAAGGGAAAACTGAGATCCAGAAAGGCCAAGTGATTTGCCTCTGGTCATGCAGTTGGCTGCAGAGGTGGGGCTAGGCTTCAGTTTTCTGGGGTATCTTTGGATTCCTCATTCAAAGACCCAATCAGCCCACTCCACTGAGATTTTGCTGTAGCCACAGGTGGACACACCAACACACCCAAAGATACACAGCTGAGTGTATGAAATTCACTCTGTATTGGAAAATCCAGGCAGAAATTAACAATAGAACTTGGAAATGAATCGAAGTGAAAGTGTCCAAGTTAAAAATGGACATGCTTAATGTTGTTTGCTTGACCATAACCCCTGACAGTTTGGGGTTGGGGGAAGATAGCCCCTTCCCAGCCACCCCCCTCCCTGGCCCAGTAGGATTCAGCCTTCTTTAGGGAATAGACACAGGTTGAGCCATGTTGGGACTCTCTGTGAACCTTTTCCAAGCTCCTTATACCCTGCTGTCAGAGAGCCTGACATCCCCACTGTAATGTGCTGGGTGTTCAGGGCTGGTAGCCTAGGACGCTCTATAAAGTTTACTGGCCAGCGAATGAATGACTCACCAGGAATCGATACAGTTCCCATCTGGGATTGCTCTTAGAAAGAAATTAATGAGCAGAATAGGCTATTAAATTATGTAGGAATGTAATACCCCATTGAACTGGTGTCTTCAAGCCAGTGAGCTGCTGTCATCAGAAGGAGCTGAGCACGTTTTCAGCTCTTCTCCAGCCACCCAGGGTTTCCTTCTGAAGCCAGAGAGGGGTTCACATATGCTGTCACTTGCATTATCTCTCAAAGCTACTGACCATCTGTTGAGAAGCCCAGGCCACATTGTACTTTGGTCTCTCTAGATTTTGAACTTGCCTATTTATTTACTTCCACAACATCAACAGGCCCAGTGTGAATGGTGTGTGTATGTATGTGTGTGAGTGTGTGTGTTTAAGGAGGTGGGAAGGGAATGGAAGCCACAGCAGAGATGAGCTAAATTAGGGCTGTCTGCTGTAATATTAGGGCCCTGGGCACTGAATGGCAAGAGGATCTGCATTACAGGGAGGCTTGTTAGAAATGCAGATTCCTGGGCCTCACCTTGAGAGAGTCCCATGCAGTTGGTGTGGGGTGAGGTCCAGGAATGCATTTAACCTGCTTCCCGGCTGCCTCTAACACACACTGGAGTTGGAGTACTTCATTCTATACTTCAAATTCTATACTAGCTTAGGAAAACTTCATTCTATACTTCAAATATTATTGTGGTAAGGAGCAGTGTGAAATCACCCCCTCTGAACCTCCATACCTGAGCTATAAATCAAGGGGAAGGACTTGATGATCTTTAGGTCTCTTCTGTCTCTATGTGCTTGTCATTTTCCTAACTGTCCAGGGAGGTGGACCTGAACATGATGGCTGGAAGCCAATGCAAGAGTTTTAAGATGCTGGATAACATCTTTGCAGGGCTGGCTTTGTTGTGACGACTGACTACCAAACCCCAGAGTCTTCCAAGGTTTTTCTGGGCAGAGGAACTGCCCTTTCTGGAACAACCCTCCAGAGAATGGAGGAAAGAACATTTCTAAGCAGAAGCCCAGTGATTCTGGGTTGAACCGCCTGGAAACCCCGTGGAATGGTTCTGGTTGAGGCTTTGCCTCCAGGGCTGACCTCCAGGGCAGGAAGTTCTGGGGAGGAGCTATGGCTGAGATCCTCAGTGGTTAAGTCAGCCCAGTCACATAGAACAGTCATAGAGTCATAGGCCAGCCCAACTCCAGAGGCCATCAGAGTCAGCACACTTCTACTGGCATTAGAGGTGGGGCATTTGGAAGGGCACAGAGGACTGAGGCTGAACCTGCACAGATTCTGGATGAAGTTGGGTGTGCCTCCCTTTACAAATTCGAGTTTCCCAGTAAAAGTTAAGCATACATCTTTTTAATACATTGATGAAAGTCTATTTTCAGGGAACTACATATTAAAAAAAAAGGTATGTATGCCAGATGCCCTCTGTATAGCCATGAAAGTCCCTGTACCATGGAATGGCAATTAACGAGGAAATTAATTTTGACCAGGAGATAATATAAGTGATTGAACTTTTACAGAGTATTTTCATATACACAAGCTTATTTATCCTGATAATAACCCCTGGGAGGTAGGTAAGGCAGGCTGGTAAACCGAGGCACAGCTGTTCAATGACAGACCTGAAGTTGGAACTTGGGCCTCCTTTGTCAATGCTCAGAGGTGAGGCCGACTGGAAAAGGATGGGAGATTTGTTTGGTAAGAGTAGATTTCCACGGATTGTTATTTTTTAGCAAGCCAACTCTTAGAGTGATTGAAAATACCTTTACTTCATTAATCTACATGCAATTTTCTACCACTGTTTTTTCTCCCTTCTGAGAAGTCAAAAAAAAAAAAAAAAAAAAACAAAACCCAAAACAACAACAAAAAACACCAAACATCTTTTTGCTTCTTATCACTTCACTTTGACGGAGCTCAGCTCATAATACAATTCTACTGCTGGCAGGCCCTGGTTTTTCTTGTCTATGACTGTCAGCTGTCCAGTAACCATCTATCTTCCTTTCGGCCCCTACTCTCTCTTCTCTTTTTTACATGAAAATCTTTGGGAAAATACATTTGGCAATATTTTTTTTCAAGAGACTTGCAAATGCTCATTACCCCTGATGCAGTCATCTCACCTTTCCAGAAACCAGCGTAAGGAAAGAATTAAAATTAGCCTAATAAAATAATCTCAAAGCTCTATGTACAAAGATGTTCAGCAGAATATTATTTATAATAGCAAAAACAGATAAAGCAATTCAAGTGTTCAACAATAGAGAGATGATAAGTAAATTATATGTCTGTTTGATGGAAATATTATGCAATCGTTAAAATGATGGATATGGAGAGTACGTTGGATCAAGGAAATGACACTTCCAACATAATGTTGAACAGAGAGGAGCAGCACCTGCTTATACTGTATGGTTATGGCTCTAAAAAAACCAAAAACCAAAAACCAAACCCACAAAACTATATGCGGAAAAAGATAACTGAAAAACTGTTTTGAAGTATTAAACTCAGGATGTCTTTATATATATATATATTTTATTATACTTTAGGTTCTAGGGTACATGTGCACAACGTGCAGGTTTGTTACATATGTATACATGTGCCATGTTGGTGTGCTGCACCCATTAACTCGTCATTTACATTAGGTATCTCTCCTAATGCTATCCCTCCCCACTCCCCCAACCCCACAACAGGCCCCAGTGTGTGATGTTCCCCTTCCTGTGTCCAAGTGTTCTCATTATTCAATTCCCACCTATGAGTGAGAACATGTGGTGTTTGGTTTTTTTGTCCTTGCAATAGTTTCCTGAGAATGATGGTTTCCAGCTTCATCCATGTCCCCACAAAAGACATGAACTCATCCTTTTTTATGGCTGCATGGTATTCCATGGTGTATATATGCCACATTTTCTTAATCCAGTCTATCATTGATGGACATTTGGAATGGTTCCAAGTCTTTGCTATTGTGAGTAGTGCCACAATAAACATACGTGTGCATGTGTCTTTATAGCAGCATGATTTATAGTCCTTTGGGTATATACCCAGTAATGGGATGGCTGGGTCAAATGGTATTTCTAGTTCTAGATCCCTGAGGAATCACCACACTGTCTTCCACAATGGTTGAACTAGTTTACAGTCCCATCAACAGTGTAAAAGTGTTCCTATTTCTCCACATCCTCTCCAGCACCTGTTGTTTCCTGACTTTTTAATGATCACCATTCTAACTGGTGTGAGATGATATCTCGTTGTGGTTTTGATTTGCATTTCTCTAATGGCCAGTGATGATGAGCATTTTTTCATGTGTCTGTTGGCAGCATCAATGTCTTCTTCTGAGAAGTGTCTGTTCATATCCTTTGCCCACTTTTTGATGGGGTTGTTTGTTTTTTTTCTTGTAAATTTGTTTGAGTTCTTTATAGATTTTGGATATTAGCCTTTTGTCAGATGAGTAGATTGCAAAAATTTTTTCCCATTCTGTAGGTTGCCTGTTCACTCTGATGGTAGTTTCTTTTGCTGTGCAGAAGCTCTGTAGTTTAATTAGATCCCACTTGTCAATTTTGGCTTTTGTAGCCATTGCTTTTGGTGTTTTAGACATGACGTCCTTGCCCATGCCTATGTCCTGAATGGTATTGCCTAGGTTTTCTTCTAGGGTTTTTATGGTTTTAGGTCTAACATTTAAGTCTTTAATCCATCTTGAATTAATTTTTGTATAAGGTGTAAGGAAGGGATCCAGTTTCAGCTTTCTACGTATGGCTAGCCAGTTTTCCCAGCACCGTTTGTTGAATAGGGAATCCTTTCCCCATTTTTTGTTTTTGTAAGGTTTGTCAAAGATGAAATAGTGTAGATGTGTGGTATTATTTCTGAGGGCTCTGTTCTGTTCCGTTGGTCTATATCTCTGTTTTGGTACAAGTACCATGCTGTTTTGGTTACTGTAGCCTTGTAGTATAGTTTGCAGTTGGGTAGCATGATGCCTTCAGCTTTGTTCTTTTGGTTTAGGATTGACTTGGAAATGCGGGCTCTTTTTTGGTTCCATATGAACTTTAAAGTAGTTTTTTCCAATTCTGTGAAGAAAGTCATTGGTAGCTTGATGGGGGTGCCATTGAATCTATAAATTACCTTGGGCAGTATGGCCATTTTCACGATATTGATTCTTCCTATCCATGAGCATGGAATGTTCTTCCATTTGTTTTTGTCCTCTTTTATTTCATTGAGCAGTGGTTTGTAGTTCTCCTTGAAAAGGTCCTTCTCATCCCTTGTAAGTTGGATTCCTAGGTATTTTATTGTCTTTGAAGCAACTGTGAATGGGAGTTCATTCATGATTTGGCTCTCTGTTTGTCTGTTATTGGTGTATAAGAATGCTTGTAATTTTTGCATATTGATTTTGTATCCTGAGACTTTGCTGAAGTTGCTTATCAGCTTAAGGAGATTTTGGGCTGAGACGATGGGGTTTTCTAGATATACAATCATGTCATCTGCAAACAGGGACAATTTGACTTCCTCTTTTCCTAATTGAATACCCTTTATTTCTTTATCTTGCCTGATTGCCCTGGCCAGAACTTCCAACACTATGTTGAATAGGAGTGGTGAGAGAGGGCACTCCTGTCTTGTGCCAATTTTCAAAGGGAATGCTTCCAGTTTTTGCCCATTCAGTATGATATTGGCTGTGGGTTTGTCATAGATAGCTCTTATTATTTTTAGATATGTTGCATCAATACCTAATTTATTGAGAGTTTTTGGCATGAAGGGCTGTTGAATTTTGTCAAAGGCCTTTCCTGCATCTATTGAGATAATCATGTGGTTTTTGTCTTTGGTTCTGTTTATATGCTGGATTACGTTTATTGATTTGCGTATGTTGAACCAGCCTTGCATCCCAGGGATGAAGACAACTTGATCATGGTGGATAAGCTTTTTGATGTGCTGCTGGATTTGGTTTGCCAGTATTTTACTGAGGATTTTTGCATCGATGTTCATCAGGGATATTGGTCTAAAATTCTCTTTTTTTGTTGTGTCTCTGCCAGGCTTTGGTATCAGGATGATGCTGGCCTCATAAAACGAGTTAGGGAGGATTCCCTCTTTTTCTATTGATTGGAATAGTTTCGGAAGGAATGGTACCAGCTCCTCCTTGTACTCTGGTAGATTTTGGCTGTGAATCCATCTGGTCTTGGACTTTTTTTGGTTGGTAAGCTATTAATTATTGCCTCAATTTCAGAGCCTGTTATTGGTCTATTCAGAGATTCAACTTCTTCCTGGTTTAGTCTCAGAAGGGTGTATGTGTCAAGGAATTTATCCATTTCTTCTAGATTTTCTAGTTTATTTGCGTAGAGGTGTTTATAATATTCTCTGATGGTAGTTTGTATTTCTGTGGGATCGGTGGTGATATCCCCTTTATCATTTTTTATTGCGTCTATTTGATTCTTCTCTCTTTTCTTCTTTATTAGTCTTGCTAGCAGTCTACCAGTTTTGTTGATCTTTTCAAAAAACCAGCTCCTGGATTCACTGATTTTTTGAAGGGTTTTTTGTGTCTCTATCTCCTTCAGTTCTGCTCTGATCTTGGTTGTTTCTTGCCTTCTGCTAGCTTTTGAATGTGTTTGCTCTTGCTTCTCTAGTTCTTTTAATTGTGATGTTAGGGTGTCAATTTTAGATCTTTCCTGCTTTCTCTTGTGGGCATTTAGTGCTATAAATTTCCCTCTACACACTGCTTTAAATGTGTCCCAGAGATTCTGGTATGTTGTGTCTTTGTTCTTGTTGGTTTCAAAGAACATCTTTATTTCTGCCTTCATTTCGTTATGTACACAGTAGTCATTCAGGAGCAGCTTGTTCAGTTTCCAGGTAGTTGAGCGGTTTTGAGTGAGTTTCTTAATCCTGAGTTCTAGTCTGATTGCACTGTGGTCTGAGAGACAGTTTGTTATAATTTCTGTTCTTTTACACTTGCTGAGGAGTGCTTTACTTCCAACTATGTGGTCAATTTTGGAAGAGGTGTGGTGGGGTGCTGAGAAGAATGTATATTCTGTTGATTTGGGGTGGAGAGTTCTGTAGATGTCTATTAGGTCTGCTTGGTGCAGAGCTGAATTCAATTCCTGGATATCCTTGTTAACTTTCTGTCTCGTTGATGTGTCTAATGTGGACAGTGGGGTGTTAAAGTCTCCCATTATTATTGTATGGGAGTCTAAGTCTCTTTGTAGGTCTCTAAGGACTTGCTTTATGAATCTGGGTGCTCCTGTATTGGGTGCATATATATTTAGGACAGTTAACTCTTCTTGTTGAATTGATCCCTTTACCATTATGTAATGGCCTTCTTTGTCTCTTTTGATCTTTGTTGGTTTAAAGTCTGTTTTATCAGTGACTAGGATTGCAACCCCTGCCTTTTTTTGTTTTCGATTTGCTTGGCAGATCTTTCTCCATCCCTTTATTTTGAGCCCATATGTGTCCCTCACGTGAGATGGGTTTCCTGAATACAGCACACTGATGGGTCTTGACTCGTTATCCAATTTGCCAGTCTGTGTCTTTTAATTGGAGCATTTAGCACATTTACATTTAAGGTTAATATTGTTATGTGTGAATTTGATCCTGTCATTATGATGTTAGCTGCTTATTTTGCTCATTAGTTGATGCAGTTTCTTCCTAGCATCGATGGTCTTTACAATTTGTCATGTTTTTGCAGTGGCTGGTACCAGCTGTTCCTTTCCATGTTTAGTGCTTCCTTCAGGAGCTCTTGTAGGGCAGGCCTGGCGGTGACAAAATCTCTCAGCATTTGCTTGTCTGTAAAGTATTTTATTTCTCCTTCACTTATGAAGCTTAGTTTGGCTGGATATGAAATTATGGGTTGAAAATTCTTTCCTTTAAGAATGTTGAATATTGGCCCCCCCTCTCTTCTGGCTTGTAGAGTTTCTGCTGAGAGATCAGCTGTTAGTCTGATGGGCTTCCCTTTGTGGGTAACCCAACCTTTCTCTCTGGCTGCCCTTAACATTTTTTCCTTCATTTCAACTTTGGTGAGTCTGACAATTATGTGTCTTGGAGTTGCTCTTCTCAAGGAGTATCTTTGTGGCATTCTCTGTATTTCCTGAATTTGAATGTTGGCCTGCCTTGCTAGGTTGGGGAATATCCTGGATAATATCCTGCAGAGTGTTTTCCAATTTGGTTCCATTCTCCCCGTCACTTTCAGGTACACCAATCAGACGTAGATTTGGTCTTTTCACATAGTCCCATATTTCTTGGAGGCTTTGTTCGTTTCTTTTTATTCTTTTTTCTCTAAACTTCTCTTCTCGCTTCATTTCATTCATTCGATCTTCAATCATTGATACCTTTTCTTCCAGTTGATCGAATCGGTTACTGAAGCTTGTGCATTTGTCACGTAGTTCTCGTGCCATGGTTTTCAGCTCCATCAGGTCCTTTAAGGACTTCTCTGCATTGGTTATTCTAGTTAGCCAGTTGTCTAGTCTTTTTTCAAGGTTTTTAACTTCTTTGCGATGGGTTCACACTTCCTCCTTTAGCTCGGAGAAGTTTGATCGTCTGAAGCCTTCTTCTCTCAGCTCGTCAAAGTCATTCTCCATCGAGCTTTGTTCCGTTGATGGTGAGGAGCTGCGTTCCTTTGGAGGAGGAGAGGCGCTCTGATTTTTAGAATTTTCAGTTTTTCTGCTCTGTTTTTTCCCCATCTTTGTGGTTTTATCTACCTTTGGTGTTTGATGATGGTGACGTACAGATGGGGTTTTGGTGTGGCTGTCCTTTCTGTTTGTTAGTTTTCCTTCTAACTGTCAGAACCCTCAGCTGCAGGTCTGTTGGAGTTTTCTGGAGGTCCACTCCAGACCCTGTTTGCCTGGGTAATCTTCAATACCTGTTTGCCTGGGTTTGTGGGTTCAGCAGCGGAGGCTGCAGAACAGCGAATATTGCTGAACAGCAAATGTTGCTGTCTGATCATTCCTCTGGATGTTTCATCTCAGAGGGGTACCTGGCCGTGTGAGGTGTCAGTCTGCCCCTACTGGGGGGTGCATCCCAGTTAGGCTACTCGGGGGTCAGGGACCCACTTGAGGAGGCAGTCTGTCTGTTCTCAGATCTCAAACTCCGTGCTGGGAGAACCACTACTCTCTTCAAAGCTCAGTTGGAAACGCAGAAATCACCCATCTTCTGCGTCACTCACGCTGGGAGCTTTAGACTGGAGTTGTTCCTATTCGGCCATCTTGGAACCCCCAATTCAAACTCAGTATGTCTTTTGGTGGTCCACATTTTATTCTTTCTACTTTTCTGTGTTTTCCAAGTTTACAGTCATGCACATGCAGAGCTTCTGAAATGGAAAGATGATATGTCCTTTGCACAGTACTGTGGGGAATGATTGAGAACATGGAGTTACAGAGAGGCTTGGGCTTGAATTAGAGCCCAGTCACGTAGAAGGTTTGTGGCTTGGGGAAGGTCATTAAATTCTCTTATTGTCAGGTTCCCCAGCTGGGAAATGGGGACATATCACACTTAATAGGCAGGTTTTTTTTTTGAGAGTGTGTTTAATTTACTGAAATTAATGGCACATAATAGGGGCTCTGTATTTATTGAAAATGATTGAACATATATATTTTTTGAGACAAAGTCTTGGTTTGTCACCCAGGCTGGAGTGCAGTGGCACAGTCATAGCTAACTGTGGCCTCGAACTCCTGGGCACAAGTGATCATCCCATCTCAGCCCCCTGAGTAGCTGGGACTACAGCTGCTCAGTCACCACTTCCTGCTATTTTTTTTTTTTTGAGAATTGGGGTCTCACTATGATGCCCAGGCAGTCCTCAGAATCCTGAGCTCAAGCAGTTTTCCCACCTCAGCCTCTCAAATAGCTAGGACTACAGGTGCACACCACCACATCTGGCTAATTTTTATTTTTTATTTTGTTGTAGAGTTGGGGGTCTTGCTTTGTCGCCCAGGCTGGCCTCAAACTCCTGGCCTGAAGCCATCCTCCTGCCTTGGCCTCCCAAATGATTGAATTCTTATTAGTCAAATAATATCTGGAGGAGGATAGGGGAGGCAACTTCCATTCTCAACTTCCACTCACTCATCTAGTGTGTATTTGTTAAGTGTCTACCATGTGCAAGAAGTAGAGGTAAGGGAATGTGTCATTAACATTAGCCTCATGAGACATAACAAACTGAGGGAGAAAAATCAGGCTATGTAATTGACAGAATAAAAAGTGGAGTAAAATGAAAAACTATATGTCCGATTTTTAAAGTTTTTATTCATTTATCCTTCATAGGAGCCCTTTGAAATTGGAATGATTTTCAATCCACTTTGACGGATGAGGCCCGAAAAGTCAAGGCCTTTGTATGAGATCCTACAGTGATAAAGGTAGGGCTGGGCTTCTGTCTCAGACCAGTGGGATGTTAAGGCGACACATCAAGCCCCCTCCCAACCTACAACAGAAAGGCTCTCTTTGACCATGTGCTTCCCACCATGGCGGGACACCTGGGCCCCATTTCCTATCAGGATTTCCTCTCGGGGAGTATGAACCCATCTCCAGCGAGTCCTTTCCCCGTGGCAGCTGATGTCTTTTTATTTGGGGGAAGGCAAGGGCTTCATTGCTCAGGGGCAGTGAAGAACTTCCAGAATTGGGGACTTGGTAGTGAGGGCTGAGAGAGAACAACTTGGAACACATCTGGGTGAAGACTTTTAAAAACTGTGATACCTGGGAGAAGAATGGCTGTCTCTGATAATGAACACAAACTCTGGCGTGCATGGTGTGTGGATTCTCACCCTGCTAGCAGTTGGCGAGGTCCTGGACCCCATGACCCATCTAATACTTATTCAGCAGATGTTTAGTAGAGCTTTGGAGGCCACCCAGCCTGGTGCTAGGCTTAGGCTGGAGGGTAAAGGATGTCCTCATGGGCCATTTAAAGAGACAAGACACGTACATATTGAAGATTTTCGGCTAAAAACTCAGCGTCATGGAACCAGGATCAGGAAAGGGGAAACTTGGCAGGGCCCTCCCTTTCCATCAGATCCAGTGCCTTCACTTTACAGATGGACAATTTGAAGACCTATAGAGGAAAAGTGACTTTACCAAGGCCACACAACCATGTTAATCCACTGTTGGTTCAGGATAAAGTAAATCAGGGCAGGCTTTTGGAGGTGAGCTACCTGCTATACCTGGAAACCACGGCTTAGAGCTTTGAAGCAAAATAATTCATTCAACAAACATTTCCTAGATGCTTCCTGGGGCCAGGTCCTCTGTTGGACTCTGGGGATATAAAGGTGAGGAAAATGAAGGATTCCCTCAAGGTGCCCCAGAATACTCAGGGGACAGAGATACAAAAATATGGGTGATTACAGGGCAGTAAGTAGTACTCTTGGCAACAGGCAGGAGCCTGGGGAGTCTGGAAGGTAAACCTGGGATTGTAAAATGATGGATGAGTTAGTTACCAAGCAGGCCTGAAGGAAGGGCATCACTGGCAGTGGGAACATCGCAGGCAAAAGACCAGAATCTTTGGCGAGCATGGCTCTCCGGGGCACTGACAAGACAATTCTAATGGCCAAAATAGAGTTCTTGCAGATAAATAATGGGGCCAACTCATGAAATGGCCAAGCCTAGGCAAGGGTTGAAAGATGGGGATTCTACTTTCAAGGAAGGATTGGAATCTGAGTCAAGAGACATCTGTGGATTAATAACTCGTGTACCAAGGGCCACAGACAAAGTTGATTCAGAGGAAAAGACCTCTGTGGGCATCTGAGAAGGCTTCCTGGAGGAGGTGGCATGGAAGGAAGTGTTGGATTTGTATATGAGTAGCTAGAGGAGATGGTAGCATGGAAGAAAGTGTTGGATTTGTATATGAGGAGCTAGAGGAGATGGAATTCTGAGAAAGATAAAAGGGCAGGCAAGGTTCAGAGATGGGAATCTGCAGGGCACACTGAGTAGCTCTTTTTGACAGAGCATCACAACAAGTATGAAACTGGATCACAGGAGGCCTTGAACTTTGGCTTCAAGAAACCACACTTTATTCTTTAGAGTGCAGTTCAACCACTTCAGTAGGGAGCCACCAAGGGTGTCTAAGTGAGGGTGGAGCAGGTTTAGGGATGCCTGTAAAGTCTGACTTTCCAGAATGTCTCAATTGCCTGAAATATAACTGAACTCTCATCAGGGTAGAGAGAAACAGCAACTTTGCAAAGTTAAAAAAGAAGAGAAGTGAATCCTCATGGCTAATGAGAGGATGGAGGTGGGCCAGGACGAGGCGAATTGTTCCTTCAAAGCCACTTTGCCTTGGCTGTTGGGAATGACTTCTTTAATGCATCATCAACCTTTTCTGAGTAGTCCACAACCCCTGCAGAGCAGCCTGGGCCCAAAGCAAGGGGAGGATTAACTAAATGTATTTGCTGCATGGGGCTCTGGAGAGAGAGGGCTCCGGGCAAGACCTTGTCTCTGACCTGGGAGAGCCAGTACCGAGAGGAGGTCAAATAAAGATGCTTGCCCACTCAGACAACCCAGAGAGTGCAACGGCAGGGGAAAACCTGGTAAGTGAGATCCCTTTGTGGGCTTCTAGGTGACTGGACCTGGGGGGGTGGAAGGGTGGAATTATCAGAGGGATGCAGGCCTAGGTTGACCAATAATTTCAGTTTTAGAATTGAAAGTCTCACTTCCCCAAAGACCCTCAGTCATGAGCAAGCCAGGATGGTTGGTCACTGTAGAGGCAACACCCAGAGGCAATAGAAAATAAGTGATTGTGCCTGAGGTCAGGAGTTCGAGATCATCCTGACCAACATGGAGAAACCCCGTTTCTACTAAAAATACAAAATTAGCTGGGCATGGTGGTGCATGCCTGTAATCTCAGCTACTCAGGAGGCTGAGGCAGGAGAATTGCTTGAACCTGGGAGGCAGAGGTTGCAGTAAGAAAGCTGAGACTGTGCTATTGCCTGGGCAACAAGAGCGAAACTCCATCTCAAAACAAAACAAAACAAAACAAAACAAAACAAAACAAACCCAAAATAAGTGATTGTGAATTTAAGCAGTTGCAACTCAGTGCCAAGCCCTAAATTGGTAAATATATTGGCATACAATTATTTACAGTTTTCTTATATCACCCTTTGTACACATGGAGTCTGTGCTGTGTTGCCTCTCTCACTTTTAATGATAACTTGTGCTTTTTCTTTTTCTGATCATTCTGGTTAGAGGTTTATCAATTTTATTAATATCAAAAAAAATCTTTTGGCCTCCTTGTTTTTCTCTATTGTTTTTCTATTTCATTGATTTCGGCTGCAATCATCATCATTTTCCTTGCCATGCTTAGTGTTGGCTCAATTTGCTCTTCTTTTTTTTTAGTTTTTTAATGCAGAAGCTGAGGTCATGATTTAAGACTTTTCTTCTTTTCCTAATATAGGTATTTAATTCTGTAAATTTACCTGTTGGTATTGTGCTACTGGCAGCACATAAATTTTTATATGATAGGTTTTCATTTTAACCTCTTCAAAATTCTTTTTAATTTCACTTTTGATTTCTTCTTTCATCCATGGATTATTTAGAAGTGTGTTATTTTGCTTCTGAATATTTGGAGATTTTCCAGCTATCTTTCTGTTATTGTTTTAACTTAATTTCATTATGATCACAGGACATACTTTCTATGACTTGAATCCTTTTGAATGTATTGAGGCTTGTTTTATGGCCCAGAATATGGTCTATCTTGGTAAGCGTGCTGTGTGTACTCGTAAAGAATGTGTATTTTGCTATTGTTCTGTGGAGTGCTGTATAAGCCATCATTGGGTCAACTTGGTTGAGAGTGTTGTTCAAATCTTCTATATCCTTGCTGGTTTTCTGTCTACTTGTCCTATCAATTATTGAGAGAGGGGTTTTGAAGTCTCCAGGCATAATTGTGGATTTGTTGATTTTTTTTTGCAGTTCTATCAGTTTTTGCTTTCTGTATTTTGAAACTCTGCTATTAGGTGCATAAATATTTAGGTTTGCTCTGTCCTCTTGGTGACTTGACCTTTTTATGATTATGAAATGACCTTCTTTGTCCCTGGTGATATTATTTGTTCTGAATCATATTTTGTCTGATATTAGCATAGCCATTTCAACTTTGTTTTTGATCAGTGTAAGTATGGTATATATGTTTCCATCCTTTAAAAAAAACTATTTTTACCTTTATATTTAAAATACATTTTTTCTGGGTAACCAGCATATAGTTGAAACTTTCTTTTTTTAATCCAGTTTGGCAATTCCTTAAATTGTTGTGGTTAAACCATTTGCATTAAATGTGATTATTGATGTGTTAGATTTAAGCCTATTATTTTGTTATATGTGTTCTACTAGTCCCATTTTTTTCTCTTTTCTCCCTTCCCTCATTTTCTGCCTCCAACTGCAGTAAATGAAGATAAAATATTTTGGACTAAAATTGGACATTTTTGTGATTTCATTTATACCCTTTGTTGGATTATAAGCTAAAACTTTTCAGTTTGCTCTTTTAGTGGCTGTTGTAGAGTTTATATATAAATCTTTAAGTCATCATAGTCTACCTTCAAGTATAGCACTTCAGGCAGAGTAGAAGAATTTTCCAATGGTATTCTCCCATTTTTTCCATCTTGTCCTTTACGATATTGCTGTCATTTATTTTACTTATACATATGTTATAAAGTTCATAATATGTTGTTATTATTTAAGCATTCAACTATCTTTTAAGTAAATGTAAATAACAAGGAAAATATATTTACCATTGTAGTTATAGGTTGGTGCAAAAGTAACCACAGTTTTCGCCATTACTTTTTTTTTTTTTTTGAGACAGAGTCTCGCTCTGTCACCCAGGCTGGAGTCAGTGGTGTGATGTCAGCTCACTGCAACTTCTGCCTCCCGGGTTCAAGCAATTCTCCTGCCTTAGCCTCCCGAGTAGCTGGGACTACAGGTGTGCATCACCATGTCCAGCTAATTTTTACATTTTTAGTAGAGACAGGGTTTCACCATGTTGGCCAGTATGGTCTCGATCTCTTGACCTTGTGATCCGCCCACCTCAGCCTCCCAAAGTGCTGGGATTACAGGTGTGAGCCACCACGCCCAGCCTTTTGCCACTACTTTGAATGACAAAAACCACAATTAATACAATTTCTGGTGCTCCTCATTCCTTTTGTGTGAACCCATATTTCCATCTGATGTCAATTTCCTTTTCCTTGAAGAAAAATCTCTTGGAATACAGATCTGCTGGTGATAGATATGCTGGAGTAAGGATCTGCTGGCTCTTCTGCTTTTATATGTCTGAGAAGACTTATTTTGCTTAATTTTTGGAGGCATTTTTACTAGATATAGATTTTTAGATTGACAGCTTTTTTTTTTCTTCCAATACTTGACAGATATTGCTCCACTGTCTTCTCTGTTGCATTGTTTCTGGTGAGGAATCTACTGTCTTCCTTATCTTTATTCCTCTGTAGGTAATGAGTTATTTTTCTCTGGACGCTTTTAACATTTTCTTTTATAACTGGCTTTGAGCAATTTCGGTATGACTTTGCTGTAGTTTTCTTCATGTTTCTTGTGCTTGGGGTTCTTTGAACTTTTTTATGTGGATTTATAATTTTCATAAAATTTGGAAAGGATTTGGCCATCATTTTATAAAATTTTTGTTTCTGCCCTCCCACCTGCCCCATACTTCTTGAAACACTCTAAATACCAGTATGTTAGGCCACTGGAAGTTGTCTCATTGCTACATTCTTCATTTTAAAAATCCTTGTTTTTCTATTTCATTTCAATCTCCTCAAGTTAACTAATCTTTTCCTCTGCAATGTTTAATTTGCTGTTCATCTTATCCAGTGTATTTTTAAAATCAAAGCCATTGTAGTTTTTAATCTCTAGAAGTTCAACTTGGCTTTTTAACAAATGTATTCCATGTCCATCCTTTGAACTTATGAGATTTAGCTATAAATGTTTTAATGTCCTTGCTGGCAATTTCTAATATGTGTTCATTCTGGGTTATTTTAATTGATTAATTATTCTCATCATAGGTCATATTTTCCTGCTTCTTTGCATGCCAATCATGGATGCCAGACATCATGATTGGATGCCAGATGTCATGAATTTTAACATGTTGGGTATTGAATTTTTTATATCCCTATAAATATTCTTGAGCTTTGTTCTGGAACACATTTAAGTTACTTAGAAAGAGTTTGACCCATTTGGGTTTTGCTTGAAGATTTGTTAGGCAGAAACAAAGCAGCTTTTAGTTTAGGGCTAATTATTTCCTGTTACTGATGCAAGACCCTTGTGGATACTTTACCAAGTGTTCCATGAATTATGAGGGTTTCCAGTTTGACTAGTAGGAATAGGCACTATTCCCAGCTCTGTGTGAGTGCTGCCAGGCACTGTTTCCTCTCATCTTCTCAAATCATTCTTTCTCTGGTTTTGGGTAGTTTTCTCACATGCCTACCCCAATGAGGAATATGCTGAATTTTCAAGGAGGATTTTTCAGATCTCTGGAGTTCTGTCTCTGTGAAGTCCTCTCCTCTCTGGTGCTCTGTCCTGTGAACTCTGGTTGTCTCGGTCTTTCTGGACTCATAGCTCTGTGTCCTTGACTCAGGGAGTCACTGGGCTCAACCTGGGTCCCCCTCCCTGTGCAGGGCTGGAAAGTCTTTCAAGGGCATAAGCTGGGGCAATCATAGTGCTCACCTTTGCTTATTTCTCATCTCTTTGGGGTCACCATCCCTTGTTGCCTAATATTCAATGTCTTGAATAATTGTTTTTCATATATTTTGTTTTTGGTGTTACTGTTGAGGGTAAGTCCACAAGCTGTACCTACATCTTGGCTGGAAGCAGAAGTCTCTGAAGTGGAAGCAGAAGCCTCCACTGCCATCATTCGTCCAGGCCATCTCAATAACAGGCTAATTTTAATACCAATAACAATAACACTAAATGCCATTCCAAAGTAAAGAGTAGACTTGTATCAGGTGGCCCATCTCTACTACGTGTCATTGCTTCTCCATTCAGAAAAGAGTGACATAGCTGCTTCACAACTGAAGTACTTTCATAGCTATTGCCAAATCTGATCCTCTCAACAGCCAGGTGACGTACGTAGGCAGGCATTCGGCCATTTGACGGGGAGAGAGTTTGAGGTCCAAAGAGGTATAGTGATCTGCTCATGGCTACCTAGACAGCAAATGGGAGTCAGAACTATAACCAGGACCTCTGTCCTAGACTCTAGGGATGGATTTGCTGCTTCCTCTCTCCTGCACATCAAGGCACCAGGCAGGGGCCTTAGCTTTCACTCCTGATCAATAATGAGACATTCATTTCCCCACTGGGAAGAAGGAGGATGAGTAATCCACTCCCCCTGCTAGAAAACACAAGGGGAAGTGATGCAGCAATCAACGCCATCCCAGGCGAGCCTCTGTGCTGCCTGGATTCACGGCACGCAGGGCACAATGCTGTATTTTTCTGACCATTGCCATGGTGTGTGGACAAAATATGAGCACGTTTCCTTGGAAAACTTCAACAGTGACTCACCCTCATTTCTACCGGGATCAGTTGAAGAATGGGCAAGCTGGTAGTTGGGGGGAGGGAATAGCCGGGAGCAAAATCAGGACACAGATAACAGCAATGTTTGCTACCTGTCAGCAAGTGGGTTGCTAATGCAAAGTGGTTTCTTAAAAGCTTGGAAAATAAAAACAACAGCCATTACATTCAAAGAGAAGTTAGCATTAGAAAACGATGTGTAGCTCTGAAATGAATTCTCTTTAATCAAGGATCTCATTTTCTCTTGGTTACCAAAAGTTCTGTCCACATGGAGTGGTCAGAAGGCTCTGGTCCCTTTGCTGGCCTGCGAGCTCAGAAGCAGCATGGGGTGGTGAAAAGAGCACAGGCTTTGGAATCTGAAAGGTCGGGGTTTGAATTGTATCTCTCCCTTACCAAGCCTTAGTTTCCCCATGTATAAGATGGGCACAGGGAAGCCTATCTTGCAAGGTGGCTGTGATGAGGCAGCCTGGATAAAGGAGCTGGTGCACGGTGCTCACTCATTGCGACCATCACAATGGGGATCCCGAGAGACTAAGAACAGGGAACAATGGGGTTGATAATGGCAGCTCCACTCAGTGAACCGTGATGGAATGCTAAGACTCATTTACAGAGACGTCCTCATGGCAGGAGAAGATGTTTATGGGAAACAATGTTGAGGGACAAATGGAGAAAACAATATCAAAATCCAATGGACAAACTGGGCTAGAGATGATCATCGGAAGCTGCTTTACCCAGAACCCTACTGAAGGGGCCCAGCCGCTATGGGCTGTGGGTAAGGGGAGGTTTTGAGGAAGTGGAACCTTGTGTAAGCAGGGTTAGGAGTCCTGCCAACAGAGGGACAGAAGAGGGAGAGGGGAGAGAGGACAAGGGAGAGGGATCTGAGGAGAGAGAACAACAGAGAGAATAGCTCCTTAGCTCTCAGTCTTAGTACCAGCAGGTGTGTGTGTTTGCTTTCCAGTGAGCTCTTCCCAGCCTTCAGTAACCACTGCCTTTGGCTCTAGCCTCCGAGGCTCTCTGCTCCTTGTATCCCCAGGAGCCCTAACTGAGGCAGAAACAGAGAGTTATATAGAGAGAAAATTGCAAGGAAAGATACCAAAAGCATAACCATTACTTTCAATAGATGGAGGTGCTATGGGTTATGTTTTTCTATTTTTGTTTCCTCCCTGGCATTTTCTACAGTAGCCATATAGTAAAATCTTCAAGGAAAAATAAAACAAAAGCATGGTCCACAGGCCTCTGGGGCTGCTGTTGCCCACCCTCCCTTCTGTGTTGGCCCTGCCCCTTGTCATACCCTCTCCATGCCTTTTTTGGAGGTGCTGTGTGCCTTTGCTGGTTGCAGGTCTGAGTGGTCCTCCTCCCCTTTCCCCAGGCCTGGTAATTTCCACTTCGATTTGCTGAGCTGACCTTCCTTCCCGAGCACCTGGGGTTCCTCACGGCATCTGCCCAGGAGAAGGCCTTTGGGTTCCATGTCTAGGTTCCTCTATCTCTGAGTTCCTCAGAGCTTGCCTTGTTCTCCTGGGCAGAATAAAAGCAGAACACCTGAGGGCAACTGCAGGCAGTATTGCTCAATGGTTAGAGCCAGGCGTTGGTGCAAGCTGATTCCAATTCTAGGCTGTATCACTTTCTAGCTGTGTGTCCTTTAGCAGGTTTCTTAACCTCTCAGTGCTCCAGTTGTATTTTCTGTAAGATGATCTCCAGTCATTGCTACCTAATTAGATTTGGGAGGTACACCTGAGATACTGGGTATGCTGCATTTAGAAAGGTTCTGGACTTTATAGATAAGACTTTCAAGGAATTGTACCAGTTATGATGGTGAGCGTGGTGGCTCCACTCAATGAACTATGATGGCATGCAAAGATGGATGTTACAGAGGCCTCCTCATGACAGGTCTGATATCAGTTATGATTCCTTGAAAGTCTTCCGCAGAGTGAGGTCACCTCCACTGCCATGTCCCCTCTGAGAGGTGGTAATATGGTTTGGCTGTGTCCCCACCCAAATTTCATCTTGAATTGTAACTCCCACAATTCCCATGTGTTGTGGGAGGGACTAGGTGGGAGGTAATTGAATCATGGGAGCGGTTTCCTCCATACTGTTCTCATGGTAGTGAATAAGGCTCATGAGATCTGATGGTTTTATAAGGGGTTTCCCCTTTTGCTTGGCTCTCATTCTCTCTTGTCTGCCGCCACGTAAGACATGCCTTTTACCTTCTGTCATGATTGTGAGGCCTCCCTAGACACATGGAAATGTGAGTCCCTTAAACCTTTTTCTTTATAAAGTACCCACTCTCGGGTATGTCTTTATCAGCAGTGAGAAATGGACTAATACAGGTGGGAAGCCCTGCTTGTCCTTCTCCTCACTGAGGTTCTGAATATAGCTAAGCCCAGATTCCTCTCCCTGCTCTGCCATCAGTAAGCACCAGAAATGTGTTCAGGAAAGGGGCGAGACAGTCTTCATTATCACCCTTTCAGGTCACAGAAGCAGCTGCCTCAGTGATGAGGCTGTTTTGATGCTTGACATCAGGGCAGCCTGACACCCCAGGTAAAATCCCCTCCCCTGCTGGTCTGCTCCTTCTGCTGGTTCCCACCAGGCCTTCTGGGGGAAACTTGGGGGCTCACTTCAATTCCACAAACACCAGCTGAGCCCCTACTATGTCCTGAGCACTGGGACAGGTGCTGGGCATGGATAGGAGTTAAGTCTCCTTCCCAGTGTCAGACACAGAACAAGCAAAAGGCATGGAAGTGAAGGACCCATTGTCTTTACAGTGGAGAAGGGAGAAGTGACTTCCTAAAACTGAGAGCAGGACATCCCAGTGGTACAGCCCAGAAACTGAGGGCATTGAGTAGGGAAGAGGAGAATGTGATTTTAGGAGCTAAGGAACAGTTAAAAACGGCTGTCAATCTAATGCAACTAATCAATCCAATTCAAATTAATTGAATCTCATCTAATCCCCTGAGCTAATTAAATCCATCCTACATGGATGGAAGAATAGCATGGTGACTGGCACTGCTAGAACCTATGCCCTGCCCTCTTCAATGATTTGGGGGAACTGTGGTCTCTAATCCCAGGTAATTTAAAAAAAAAATTCTAACTTCAAAAACAGACAAAAATCTTTCAAACGTTGCTTTTCCAAAAAGGGAAACTTCTGAGCCATAGGCCTCTTGCTATGTCCTTGCAAGTGCTAGGAGCAGAAGTAGGGTCTGATGGAGGCTGTCCACTAAGGAAGGTATTACAGGGGCAGTCCGGGTAGGAGGCTGTGCCTGGCTACACGGAGCAGGCTGGACCCCTCCTCCTTTATGTGAGCCTGTCTGTCTATTAGGAGTCGGGTCCAAACCATAAAACATATTTGTAAATAGCTGCATTATGCACATCCTTAAAAACTGCACAATTAATATATGAATACATAAATTCACACTTATAAATATGCCAGGGATCCAGTAAAAATGAAGAATCTTCCTGCACACTCAATTGTGTTCTCTTCCTCTGAGCAGCTCTCAGTATGGTAGGCACCACTCTAGACTTTTTCTGTGTGCTGATATGCATACATGCACATTTATAATCATATAGTTTAGGGTGTGGGTATTTTTAATACAAACGGGACCACCTTGTATGTATTGTTCCGCAATTTGATTTTTCACCTACCAATATGTCTTAGAAATTTTCCCCAAGGGATCTCCAAATCTTCCTTACCCAGTTTAACTGTTGCAGGGGGTGGGGGAAATGCATAGGCATCTTCCCTCCTCAGTATAATCATCCTTCTATTGATGAACATTTAAGTTGTGTCTAAATTTCTGCTCATACAAACAGTGCTGCAGGAAAGATCTTTATCTATGTTGTTTGGTGTACATGAGTATGTATTTCTTTAGGGCAGATTCTAAGAAGTAAAACTGCCAGGTTGAAGGGAATGCATGCTTTTTTATTTTATGGATGTGTTGTGCCACATCCCCACCCATCTCCCCAGCCCAGAGGCTCTACCAGTTTATATTCCCCTCAACAGCTGTCCCAGCTGCCCTCTCTAAGAGATGGGTGGCTTCTTTGCTGAGATGCAGCTCCCCTTCTGCTTGTCCCTTCTGTGGTCCCCTTGGCTCTCCTGCAGACCTTGGCCCAAGGCCATCTTCCTGTCCTTTGTCACCCAAATGCATCAAAGGCCCTATTTTAAGAACTCTGAGTACTATTTCAAAACACACAGCACATAAATCGGGAGTGATGACTCTCATTTCAGAATGATTTCTTCTTCCACAAGAGGATCTGCTTCAGGGTTTGGAGCAATTGATGAACCAATATTGATTATGCCTGCCATTTATTCATTCATTGATTTACAGTGTTAGGCTTGTGCTAGCTGCTGCAGAACCCTTGCCTTCAAAGGGTATTCTCTCATTGGATGGAGCAAGACATGCAAATAACTTACGTTATTAGGTAAAGTTATATTAATAGACAATTGACTGCTATTAAAACATTTTAATTACTCAAAGAGGGAGAGAGAGAGGGAGAGAGACAGAGAGTGAAAGATCTCAGTAGGTGAGGGACCAGAGGTATTTTGGGGATGGAGCAGTCTAACAGATAAGCAGTATGATTTACTAGCCCACAGAGAATGATTACTGGGGGCTGTCCAGCCCGTTTGTCACAACATAAACAAATGCAGGGACTTCTCCAGTTGTGATGGCTGGGCAATAGTTGTTTTCAAGCCTGAAGGAGGAGGGGAGAACAGGAAAGAGGTGTCTTTTTCAGACCCCTCCTTCCCTTACCCTTGTCAAGGGAGTGTGACAGTCAGCAAGACTGTTCATATTCAGTCATTCATTATAGTTGATATTTCTAAAAGACGTGTTGGTGATTCTTTAAACTTCTCAGTTGCCAAGAAAAAGATGCAACAGCTTTTGGCCTATGCATGGAAGTGTCCTCTATAGGCCCTTTTTCCCCCTTTAAAAAAAAGTCAGAAACCAAGGCCACACCATTTGGAGTTCAGACAGTGAACTGCCCATGAATCAAAAGATAACGTGACACTGGGCAGCAGGACCAACCAAAGCATGGTCTGATTTATTAACTTGTCCCCTGAGTAAGATAAAGTAGGTGAGTCCATAGACATTAGGGCTCCTTTCTTCTGCCTGGGTCCAAGGAGGAAATAAGCCACCGAGAGATAAGCAGCCAGCTTTTGATGTCAGATCCAGTGCTGAGTGGGTGCAGGAGCAGCCAGTTCTCCCTGGAGATGCTAGTGAGGGTGGGCACCACCAAGGGTCTGCACCATGGACCCAGGCTGGGGCTGCCATGTCAGCACCATTTCTAGCTTATCCTTTCTTCCAGGTCTCAATAAAAAGACTTATTTTTTAGTTCCTAGTGTTCAAAGAGTATTTAAGTTACACCATATCTGAAGGCTAAGAATTTAAATGGACAGTAAATTATTTAAGTTAGCCCTCAGAGATCATTGCACAATATTCGATCCATCCTTCATTCCATCTAAGAACTGTAAGACCTAATCTTTTCCCGTAAGAGTTTACAGTATACTGGGGGCATGCTACCAGACAAATAATAGCTCTTTTAGTTGATTGATTGATTGTAGAAATGGTGTCTTGCTATGTTGCCCAGGCTGGTCTCCAACTCCTGATTCTCCCTCTTCAGCTTCCCAAAGTGCTAGGATTATAAGTATGAGCCACCACACCCAGCCAGCTATAGCCCTTACTCCATGATTGATTGGTTGATTGATTGGCTACCTCTCCTGCTGGCCTGTAAGCTCTAAGAAGAACCAGGCTAGTCTTGTCCACTGGTAACCTAACACCTAACACAGTGCCTGGCACATAGTAGGTGATCAATAAATGTCAATATGAGATGATGAGAGAGTAGGACAGGAAGAAGGCTCAAGGCCTAAGTGGGGCAGTGTGTAGATGAGAGGGGGCTGTGTGCTGGAGGGCAGTGAGATATAATCACTGGGAAAAGTGATGGTGGGAGCCCGGAGGTAGAATTTGGGCTTTATTTTATGGGTTGGGAAAGACATTAATGGGTCTCAAGCAGGCTGTGACATGATAAAGTCCTCTCTCTCACATTTATTTATTCGTTCATTTCATCCAATGCAATTTATTGAACATCTTGTATATGTAAGGCACCATGTAAAATATGAAGAATAGAAGTATGATAGAATCATATCCCCAAAGAATTCCCAGTTTGGCAGGGGAGATAGATAAGTAAACAGACGGTTATAATGTGTACATTTTATGCTGGAGATTTCCACATAATACTCTGGTATGGCCATGTTTGCACTGAATCTTGGAGGAAGGACACATACAAGTGAGGTGATGAAAGGGTGGGAAGGGTGTTGCTGGCAGAGGGAGAAAGGAGAGAGTGTGCGATGCTGGGAGGAGGGCTCTGTTTAATGTGGCTGGGGTGTTGTGTGGGAGGCTGGGGGAGTAGAGTGAGAGGCCACTGAAAGAGAGGCAGGAGCCAGACTGGAGAGGTCTGTGAAGAGATTCTTGGACTTCATCCTGTGGTTCATGAGGGAGGGAGATGAGCAGGGCTGTATTTTAGAACGGTCATGTTGTTGCAGAGAATGGGTTGGGGAGGGACAGAGTGAGCACTGGGGAGGCCAGTGAGGCAGTTGTTGTTCTTATCTGGGTGAAAAAAACATAAGGAACTGAACTAAAGTAGTGTCTGGGGTGGGGGATAATAACAGCTAGCATCATTTGGGCACTTACGGTATGCCAACTGTTCTATGGGTATTACATGTATGAACCCACTTAGTTTTCCGGTCCCCCTGTGAGGTAGGAACCAGCATTATCCCCATTTTGCAGATGAAGAGAATGAGGAACAAGGTTCCACAACTAGCAAATGGGGATTTGCACTCCGGCCATTTACAGAGTTTTGAATCTAGGGGAGCATCAATTATGGGGTGCAGGTGTGGGGACAGGGAGAAGATGAATTTAGTTTTGCCTGTTGATTTGGGATGTCCATGGGACTCTAAGCGAGGAGTTCAGCAGCCCCTGGAATGTTGGGTCTGGAGCTCAGGAAAGAGGTCCAGGCTGGGGTGGCAGTCTGGGAATTATGGGAAAGGATGCTGTAACCTGGGAGAGGACAATACAGCAACCTGGAGTACCACTAGGTAAGGGGTGGCAGGGGAAGAATTGCTTATGAAGGGGGCCAAGGCAGAGTGGGCAGGGAGGTGAAAGGAAGCCAGGCAGGAGTGAAGAGGAGTGTCTCAGGGAGGGTGTGGTCCACAGTCCACATGCTGTTCAGAAACCAGGTGGCATAAAGACTGAGGAGTGTCCCTGTCAACAGAGGCTGGGTTTAGCCAAAGAGATCTCATGAGCAACCTTGACAAAGAAAAGTTTCAGTGGTGTGCTGGAGGTGGACTGGCAAGAAAAAGGGAAATGAAGAATCAGGGATAAGCGAGTACTGCAGGCCCCCCTTATCCACGGGGATACGTTCCAAGACCACCAGTGGATGCCTGAAACTGCAGATAGTACCCACCCCATATGTATCATGTTTTTTTTTCCTATATATACATACATACATACATACCTCTGATAAAGTTTAATTTATAAATTAGGCACAGTAAGAGATAAACAAAAATAACTAATAACAAAACAGAACAATTATAACAATATGCCAGCATCATGACTCTTGCTCCTTGGGGCCATGATTAAGTAAAATAAGGGTGACTTGAACACAAGCACTGCCATACCTTGATGGTAAATCTGATCACAGACACGGCTGCTAAGTGACCAGCAGGCGGGCAGTGTATGTATGCAGCGTGGATATGCTGGACAAAGGGCTGATTCACGTCCTGGGTGGGATGAAGTGGGATGGTGCGAGATTTCATCACGCTGTTCAGAATGGTGCACAACTGAAAACTGATTATTTCTGGAATTTTCCATTTAATGTTTTCAGGCTGCAGTTGACTGTGTGTAACTGACATCAGGGACCGAGAACTTTTTGGTGACTCTTTGTCAGGAAGGCAAGGAGAGGAAGAGGCTGCAAGGTAGTGGGGAGGTAAAATAAAGAATAATTTTATCTCCTCCTAAGACTGGAGTATATTTTTATGGGATTCAGTTTTTGATTCCCCAACAGTGCTAAGCACAATACCTAGCTCATCCTAGCCAATCAGCAATTCTTTGAAGAATCCTTCTAATTCCTCCCTCATCCTCTGCTGTCAAGTCCACCTTGAGAAAATCAAGCTTATATTGTGCAGGAAAAAATGGTGAAAACTTGACTCTTGGCAAAATCGTCTGGGGATCTGAAGATATTACTACTTTAGATGCTGAGTGGCAACAAGTGATTAAGTAGCTAAACTAGCATATGCTTAATTGATTCTTATTCTTGGGCTATTCATGGGAAACAGTGTACCCTGTTGATGGTGAAGGCAATGTCTACACAGCGGGCCATCTCACCTTGTGGCACCTCTCCAGTGCTTTGATGGGGTGGAAATAGATGCTTCCATATTTATGCGGCTCCATCTTTGGCCATTTGGAAGTCACTAAAGTCATGTGTAATAAATTCTCTCTTCTGCCTTGAAAAAAACCAACTGGGCAAGCTTCCATTTCTAATGGGGTCCATGAAACATGGATATTAAGGACCATGGATCTGGCTGTCAGATTGACAAATGAGTCTTCCCTTTTGAAAGGCACTTAGGAAGTTATAATTGGAAGCTTGAGAGGAGTTGTCAAAAGCAGGCAGTGGGCATCCCACCAAGCTGCTGGGCCTTTTTATTTAGGGGTGGGGTGAGGGATACTGTTTCTTCTTGTGAGCCATGGTGGGATTCCCTTCAAATGGTGGAAATGTGGCCAACTTATACCAGAGGCAGAGGCTTAGGCTTCTGTAGGAGCCAACTGGTCCTGCCAAAGACCTAACTAGAGCTGGCAAGACCTAAGTATTCTTATTTGCCTTTATTGTAGTCTAAACAGGCTAGAGAGGCAGTGGTTAGATGCAAGGTGTTGTGTGATGGTAGGCATTCTCAGGGCACTTTAGATACAGCTCAAGTGATATAAAGTCTAGGTTGTGGAATGGAAACCCTTCTCATTCCTGATGGTTTCCAGCTGGTAGTGAAAGAGGTTCTTGGTGACAGTGGGAAGTCTCTGGGAAGGGACATTCAACCCTGGCTCCCCAAGGTGTTTCTGAGGCTGTCAAATATAAACCCAGGGCCAAGATTTCCAGGAAATTTCCCGAACAATAACGTTGGTGGGCCAACTAATTGCCCAGAATCTCTAGATTCATTCCCAGGACCACCAAGAAGTATAAGCAAAGTGGTTGAATAAATATTTGATGAATACATGGATCAACACTTAGAAAACAAGAATCACCACCAGGCTCTTTGAAGAGAGGGTGGGAGATGATGAAAGGCTTCTGATATCAAATCATGACTTGGAAGTCCAGGCATGGTGGCTTACACCTATAATCCTAGCACTTTGGAAGGCAGAGGTGGGTGGATCACTTGAGGCCAGGAGTTCGAGACCAGTCTGGTCAAAGTGGTGAAACCACGTCTCTACTAAAAATACAAAAATTAGCCAGGCATGGTGGCACAAGCCTGTAATTCCAGCTATTCCAGAGGCTGAGGCACGAGATTTGCTTGAACTCAGGAGGTGGAGGTTGCAGTGAGCAGAGATTGCACCACTGCACTCCACCCTGGGCGACAGAGTGAGACTCTGTCTCCAAAAATAAATAAATAAATAAATAAATAAATAAATAAATAAATAAATAATCATGGTTTGAGCAAAGAGTCTGATTGGTGATGTCAACGTTGAAGACAGCTTGGTGCTGTCCCCATACCGCATGAATATCCCAGCTTTGCAGTTTCACATATATTTACTCACTCATTTAATTTTCCCCGAATTCCAGAATTCTGTGCTGGCTCTCTTATCTGTTCATCCACTCTTATCTACACAGATGGCTTCCAGATCTATATCCCTAGCCCTGACCCCTTTCATGAGCTTTTGCTTTGATTAGCTTGTCTAAGCCAGAAACGATATGAATATATCATCCATCACAGCCCAGCTTCATAACCTCAGGGAGACGGGCTTTCAGGGCAGATTTTTAATGGGACAGTTGGCAGAGGTGAGTTAAGGAGGCAGCAGGGAGCATTAGAGTATAACATTGGATTGATTATCCAGTTGTACTTCCAACAACTCACATTTATGGATCTTATCTATAAGCAAGGCACTGGGGCCACAGAATCCAAAAGACACAATCCTTGCTCTCAGAGGGCTCTGAGACTATAAGAGACAAGGGCTGAGAGAGGCAAAAGAAGGCAGTTCTGGAGAGGTAGGTGTCAGGAGCAGTGATCCACATGAAGTAAGCCTACATGGGACTGTTGTACCCTTGGAAGTGTGACAAAAAATGCCAAATCCCCCACTTCATTCTGTGAGTGCTCCAAGACAGGGGCCAGGTCTCGCTTATCTTAATTTTTCCAGCACATTCAGTGCTCAGGGAATATTTGCTGAGGGAATAAATGAATGTACAAAATATTGTATGGAGCAGCTAACTATTCCTAGGAAGGTGGCAGGATAAGACAGCAAAGTCTTCTTAAAGGCCATGACCTTTGGGTGGTATCTGGAGGTGTGAATAGGCCTTTGCCAGGTAGATGAAACAAGGAAGGGCAGATGGAACAGAGGGAGCAGATGCACAGAGGCTGCCATCAAAGAACATGGGGTGTTTGGTGGATGGTTCTGCATCATTGGGATGTAGGGTCCATCCTAGTCAACCACAGGCAGATGAGGAGGTTGGAGAGGTGAGCTGTGGCCAGGCTAGGCAGGGACTCCAGAGCCATTCTAAGGGGTTTAGATTTTTGTAAGTTACAGAAAGCCCTGGAATGTAAGGGTGTTATGTTGGGTAGTGCTGTGACCACTGAGGATGTGGGTTGAGGAAGGGGTACTACCAAGGAGGGTGGCCAGAGCCTCTCTCCTAGAGTTTTAGGCTACTCCACCCCAGCTCCTGCTTCTCACTAGCAGGAGCCCAGATTCTGCCTCCCAGAGCTGGGGAGAGGGTTTATCTCACATCCTTGTCATAATTTACCTTATAAGCATCCCATGCCAGCTGGCAGAGCCGGGAGTGGGTGCAGAACTGCTGTCAGCCAAACTTCCTGGTGATCCTTATGTCCTTGAGTGAGCAGGGGCAGGGACTCCCAGGTGGTGAATGCTAGAGGTCATTTGAAGTCATCTCATGGAATCTTCTCATTTTACAGATGGAAAAACTGAGGCCCAGAGAGGGCAGTGACCTATCCAAAGTCCCATGACACAGCAGGACTAGAATCCAGGCCTCTGGACTCCTAGGCTGATTTGTTCTCCACAGTACTGAGTAGCCTTATTTCTTTGGGCTCATGGTAGGAAAAGACCAGCCTGCCAGCCAGTCCCTCCCTGGATTAGCTCCCTGTGCGCTCTCTCCAGAGAGTCTTCCTGAGTTACAACTGTGCAGTGTGGCAGAGCAGAAAGAGCATGGGTGCGGGAACCTGGTAGATTCGGGCTTGAAGCCCAACCCTGCTGCTCCCCTAGCTACGCAACCTTGAACAAGTTATTCAACCACGCAGTTTTGTCATCTGCAAAGTGGAGATATCAGAACCCCCCCTGCAGGGTTGTTGTGGGAGATTAAATGAGATAATGTGCCTCAAGTGTCCCTACAGCATAATGCCTGGCAGGTAGCATGTGCTCCATTGATAGGAACTGTTGTTATTCTTCTACCCTTCCCAGGGTTCTATTTCTCCTTCCAGCATATTATCCCGCTGCCTGTCTCTGGTGGTCCTGGGATTGTGCAGAGGATTTTACAGCAACTGAGTTAACCAGGGCACTTCTTAAGGTTGTCTAGGAAGGCAGCCAAGGCATACCTTGACTTATTTGTTTTTAGGGCAAATGCAGGTTAAGAAAGCAATCTTTGGACTGGGTTGTAGCCCAAGAGTATATTCTTTAGGACAATAAAATAAAATTTAAAACATTTGGAAAGGCGTGGTGTGTGTGTAATTATGCATGGGTGAGATAATTTTCACCATGCAGAAAGACTTTCCCATTTATACAAAGATTCATGGTAGGACTTCTTTAAGTCACTAGTTCCTCTTAGGGCTCTTACTCTGGAGTCAATTTTCCTAGCATGATTCACACCAACTTTCCAGGAAAGGGCTTTCTACTTCCTACGACTTGTCCCCATGGCCTTCCTGCAAAGTTTCCTTAAACTTTGAGCCAAAGCAGCAGAATCTTGGATTGATAGCAACGTAGCTGCCACATTTTATGGATATACCATATACTATAAGATGCACCATGATTTTATGTATCACCAAGAAAGAATAACAAACACTGCTTATTGTAATTTTAAGACTTAATTGATTGTAAAACGAATCCTTATTTCAGAAATGTTAAAATGTGAACACAAATATGCCTCTTAACAATCAATGAAATGAAGTGTTTGAGGACCAGGATCAACTGGATAGATTTGCATACTCACAGAATGAGAGCATACAGCTGGGGCTAAATCCTCAAAATATACTTGGCTTAACATTATTTTTGCCTTTGTTAAAGAAACCGCTAATCTACAGGCTCTGTGAGGGCAGAGACTGCGTCTCTTTTGTTTACCACTGTATCTCTACCACTTCACTCATAGTAGGTATTCAGCAAATATTTGCTGTATGAATAAATAGAACAAAGCCACAACATGAAAGAGATGGAAAGCCCACAGAAGAAAATAAATTATTCATAATTCCCCCAGTGTGGGTATTTTGGCTGATTTCCTTCAAGTCTTATTTCCTATGAATATGCTCTTTTATATACATGTAAATATAATGTATTATTAGATTTAGCTCTGGGATGTGTTTTTGTATTTCTCTATTAATATAAATGAAATGATGAAATGAGATGATGCGGAAATGCTTTGAAGACTGTAAAATGTTTAACAAATATCTTATTAGTTATAATAATCATGAAAATACAGACATGAATGGGGCTGATTTTCTGAGAATACACTTCAAAGCTAACAGCAAATTTGCCCTCCGAAGCTGGGAATATGTTCTATTTCCTCATCCTACTCACCATAGGGAGTCCTTCTGTTTCATATTGGGAAGGGAAAGAGAAACTTAAGGATTCCTAGAAGTCATAGCTCCGACTTCCCACCCAGCCCAGAAATTTCTTCCATCTTACTAATGGAAGATCAGCCAGGGCTAGGGGAGGAAAAAGCACATCTCTCAGGCTGATGAAAAATAGCAGCCTACAGAGAACTTCCTCCTCTCCACCCCTTACTAGTGGTGGGGAGAAGTTACACACTGGATTCCAAGGAATGTTGTTCACTTATTCTGCTGCTAATAACAATGTAGATAGCAAAGAGATGTCAACACAAGTAAGTAATTCATCATAGTAGGGGTAGGTACATTCAACAAGCCACAAAGTCAGATTTGCCATGGACAACTAATTAACAATTTACTTTTAGAAAGTCACAGAATTTATACACATATTGATGAGTCTAACCTGTTCCTGGTTCTTTGAAGGGATGTGGGTTTACTCATACAACAGAAGGGAGTGCTGACCGATTTTCTCTCCTTGACCAGACTCTAGCCAGGCTCTTCTGAGCCCTCTTCTCTTCTAAGCCTCACCCTTAGTTGGCCTATGAAGACTTGAACAAACACTATCATAGTTTCTAACAGCCCAAGGTCATATCCCTAGAATACCTCTATCCCCTCTTAAAGTGCCTGCCTGAGAAAACTCGAGGCTGCCAAGAGAATTTACTCTTTGCTCCAGCCAACACCTGAATATAGGGCCCCTGTCTCCCCGTCTCTGTGGGAGGGTAGGAGCCTAACTAACTTCAATAAGCACCAGTTAGCAAACCCAGATGCTTTTCACAGGGACCAGCACCCAAGCCCCTTCCTGTTTTTTATGATTTTTTTACTTCTCTGACTCTGCTGCTCAAGCCCTTGCTGTTGCCTCTGCCCACTCCCTCATTCTCTCTTTGAAACACCCAGGCCCTCTCTATGAATTGGGGTTGAGTTCAGTTCATGCTGCACCCTCTTCCCTACTGCAAAAGTAAATAATTGATTAAAATCTGCCCTCACCATGTCAACCCATGTCCAGCTTTGTTTACTTTTGACAGTACTGAGGAGCTCACCTAGGCTAGTAGCTCAGGCTCTCAGCTCACCCAGGCTGCCTGTCCATCTGCATGTCTTTACTGGATAATCCTTGTTCTCACTCTTCTTGACTCTCAAATCCTTAGCCTTGAACTTTGCCCCTGCCATCCTCATGCCCTCCTTTGTCCTCAAGGATATATTTTCCTGGTTGCACCATTTGGTTTCTACCTTGCATACCCTTGGATATTCCCTTTTCTGCTTGCATCACTTGTCTCAGTTTCTGGGATCCCATAGAGGCCAGGCTAACCTTCCAGCACCTCCTGCTCCTGCATCAAAGCTGCAATCCCATTCCCTATGTGCTTCAGTGAAGGTTGACCTTGGACTTCATTAACTGCCCAGGCATTGGGTACAGGGCACAGTTTGTGAGGCCTATGCCATCAACACTTTCCCAGAGAGTAAAAAACAATATAGCTCACGTATAGATTTACAACCAGTGTTTTTTTTTTTTTTTTTTTTGAGACAGGGTCTAGCTCTGTCTCCTAGGCTTGAGGGCAGTGGTGCAATCTCAGCTCAGTCAGCTCAAGTGATCCTCCCACCTCCAACCGCCCAAGTAGCTGGGATCACAGGCATGCACTACCATGCCTAATTTTTTTTTTTTTGGTAGAGATAAGGTCTCATAATGTTGCCCAGGCTGGTCTTGAATTTCTGGGCTCAAGGAATTCTCCTGCCTTGGCCTCCCAAAGTGCTGGGATTACAGGCGTGAACCACCGTGCCCGGCCCTACAACAAGTTTTTAATGCAGAATATCATTTTATAAAATGGCTAAACAGCTGTGATCAGTACCAGATGAAAGATGACATTTGAGCCAAATTTTAAAAGCAAGCTGAGCTCATCCATTACGTGCATGTATCCTTCCTTGCTCCTCCGTCATGGTTCTCCCTGAGTCTCCCTTTCCCACACCCCAGAGCAGGTGCCTTCACTACTCACTGACTTAGCTATGCCTAAGGTCTTCCCCAGAAACTTGTCTTAGATGATCTGGTTTAGGATTCCCTCCCAGTCACTGTCTCTCCAGTTTTTATTCTAGGAAAACCAGGCAACAAGTATTCAGGAGATAAAAGAAAGAAACGGAGTCCGTGTCTCTCCGCAGTCCTGCTTTGAGACTGCCTCCTTACTGAGAGTTTGCGAAGGTCTCCCTTTTGAGATGTAAGACTCGCTTCAGACGTGAGGCTGTGCCTGTCCTCCCTCCACCCACAGACAGAATTGATGCAGCAGTCCCAGCTGGCCAGCTGAGGTCCCCTCCCCAGCGCTATATCAAAGAGAGCAGGCAGGATCCCATGTAACAAGGGCTCGCTCCACTTAAACTCTGTGATGGGAGAGGGACGCCTCCACCCCTTTTCTTTTTGTAGGCTGCTTTGAATTGTATTAACGCAAGTGATGAAACATATCAAGCCCTGGTTAGCAGTTTTCCTTAGCATCCCCTGGCCAAAAAAAAAAAATTTTTTTTAAATTAACTTGTACAAAAAGTCAACTGTAACAGAATGTTCTGGAAAAGAAAAAACCCAACCAGTTTGGTGAAAAGAAAAATGAGCTGGGTTTCCTTCATGCCCAATTTTAGGGAACAACAGGTGGTACAGGAGAACTGGTGACGAAGGTTAGCCAACATCTTTCTCTAGTTTCACAGTAAAGCCCTTGACCGAGTGGGAATTCCATTTCTCCTCCTTGTGCCTCTGCAGGGGGTCGGGGGAGGCTGAGGACCATCAATCCTGGGAGCCCAGGGAACTTACCCTCTGCTCCTGTGTGGCCACAAAGGTCTGGAACCCTGGAGCCACCCCAAAGCCCAGCTCTTGGATGAAAGGTGGCTCAGACTGACTGTGGATCTGAACTTTCACTCCTGCTTCAAATGTCGTTTCCTCTGAAAGAACAAAGATGGACAGAGCCACGGGTCAGTAACAACAGATGCTCATGGAGTCCTGGGATTGAAAAGCTCAAAGGGATGCTGAAAAGACCCTGTGATAAGCAGAATAATGGCCCCCAAAGGTGTCCACATCCCCACCTCCAGAAACTGTGACTAGGTTGCCTTACATGGCAAAAGGGACATTGCAGGTGTGATTGAGTTAAAGTTCTTGAGACGGAGAGACTACCCTAAATTATGCAAGTAGGACCCAATGTAATCACAGAGGTTCCTATGAAAGGGAGGCAGGAGGATCAAGGTCAGAGAGAGAATGGAAAAATGCTATGCTTCTAGCTTTGAAGACAGAGGAAGGAGCCATGAGCCCAGGGATGCAGGTAGCTTCTAGAAGCAGGAAAAGGCAGGGGAATGAATTTTCCCCTAGAGCTGCCAAAAGGAACACAGCCCTGCCAACAACCTTGATTTTATTGAGCCTAGGGAAATCCATTTTGGACTTCTGACCTCCAGAATTTTAAGATAACGAATTTGTGTTGTTTTCAGCCACTAAATTTGTGGTAATCTCTTGCAGCAGCAATGGGAAACAAATTCAGGTCAGTTTGCCAGGTCAACTCCTTGCCTCAGTTGCCAAATCTATAGAATGAGATTATAACATAAGTCAAACTCCTTTATTTTATTGATTAACTTTTCTTCTGGGTCATGAACTGAAGGTGGGGATATCAGGAGGAGGAAAACATGATGCAGCAGTAGAAATAAAAATGCAGGGCTTTCTTGTATGCCAAGGTGTTTGCCCCTTGGGGCTGCAATGGCCAAGTAGAAGAGAAACTTCCCTCATTTTTTCCTTTGGCAGAAGAAATGGCCCTTGGCAGTGGGAGGTTGGGGGCGGTACAGAGCCATCATCCTAAATGTTTAGTGCTCACAATCAGTGGAAAATGAACTTATGGGACTGTATAAGCCTTTACCAGATCCCCCTCTCTGTCTTGTCTTCTCCAAACAGTCTACAGAATGAGCTCTCCAAATGTAAACTGTATAACTCCCTCCCATGTTTCCAAGGACCCCAGGCTCCTTACCCACCCCTTCCCTAGCCTTGTTCTGAGTAGCCTCTGCCTCGAGGCACCATGCGGGGCTGCCTGGATTGGGCATCACTGGTACCCACTCTGCACAAATGCATCTCCTTCTGCCCAGAATGTCTTTCTACCTTGTCCACCTGACCATCTTCCCACTTGTCACTGAAGATTCAGCTCTCCATCCCCACCCAAAGCAACTCTTTCTCTTGCTCTGTTGTATCTTCCACATCTGCCTGCTGGAGCCCCTGCCATAGCACATCGTGATGAGGCTTTAACTGTTTCCTCCAGCAGGCTGGAGTATCCTGAGGCCAAGTTCTGGGCTGTCTCTCTGGACCTCAAAGGTCCTGCACATGGCTAGGCATACACCAGGCACTCAGGAGATGCCTAATGAATGAATAAATGGGAGATTTATGGGTCAAGCCTCAATCATTTATGAATGGACAAGGCCAACCTGGAGGCCAAATCAAGGAATGTTCTCAAAGAAAAAAATGGAGAGAGAATGGATAAATGCAGGAAGGAGAGAAGATAATGATGGGGTTGGGGGTCAGGGATGGAGAGGGGGAGGACATGTCAGCACTCAGGCTGTGGCTTGGGGAGGGTTTGGGGACAAACTAAAGCTGGCACAGAAGAGAGTCACTGGGAAGGAAGGGCTGGGTCCAGCCACGGGAAAGGCATGACCCATGGAAAGTGTGGGGGCTATTGACTGAGGTAGGTGCAGGGGTCTGGAGCAGGGCAAGAATTCCAAGGCCAGGGGCTACGTGGAAAGAAAGGGCTAGCAGGCAGACAGGACCCCAGGGAAGGGTAGGCAGGGCTTTCATCATTTAGACAAGGAGACCCTCAGCCAGGAATCCTTTTGGATATGGTTCATGGAGTGGGAGAGAATCCAGGCAATCTACAAACACATCCCACTTCCCTCCAGTACAGTCATTGTTCTGTGGTTTCTGTACAGCATCACCCTGTCCAAACTCCTATCCATATGCTCCTGGAAGCCTGTGGCTTTGTGTCAATCTCTCCTATTGATGGTGAATTCCTCAAGAGAGACCATATTTTATTCAGTCCAGGGCTCCATCACCTAACCCAGGGCCTGGCCCTCAGGTGGAACCTCAAGGAAGGTTTTTAGATCTGGGAGGAGGACTTCAGGAAAGGGAGGACTGGATGGAATGAGGGGGTTGAATAGTCATCTTTCAGTGGCTGTGTTTTCAAAAGTCTGTCCAAGACGGGGGTTGAGGAGAGAGTGTGGAGCCTGAAAAACAGACTCAGATGGGGAAGAAGGGTGAGTGTGGAGGGCTGTTGGGATGACAGGGATGCCCCTGCTGGGAGGAACTGAAGGCTCCTTCAGTGAGCCGTGGGAGGGAACAGGAGAGATGCCAGAACTTGTTTTCGAGAGCTAGCTGAAGCCGTGTGTGCCTGCTATACAACCAAGCTTAAGAAATCTTACAGCCAGTAAGACAGGCTCAAAAGAGAGGACCTGTGGTTTACAGGAGAAATGAGAAATGAAGGCTTCCTGTCAGAAATGCCATGAGTAATGGGCAAAACATACAGGCCTGGTGTGCCTCTCTTAGTGAGAACCGCCCAAGGCTAATTGAACTGGGTTCGGATTTGGAAGAGGTGCTAGCTTATTCTGAAAGCAGCAGTAGCTGCAGCTGAGAGTAAAATCCTAAAGTAGCCTCAGTTTTTAAAAACATCCAGTGGCTGGATGGACATGAGTGGGAGCAGGTGATAGGTAAGGTTTCTGCTCTCTTTAGAGCACTGCGGACCAGTGGAACTTTCTGCAAAGATGGGAACGTGCTATTCCCTGTGCTGCCCAACATGGTAGGTGCCAGTTATGAAAGGTGGCTTGTGTGACTGAGGAACTGAATTTTTCATTTTATTTAATGTTAATTAATTAAAACTTAAGTTTAAATAGCCCCATGTGGCTAGTGGAAACATTGCTGGATAGCACAGTTCTAGAATATCCAGCTATGAGCAGACTACAGCCCTCCCAGAGCTGAGGGGGTGACGAGAACTCCGCCATCTTGCCTTCCTAAGCAGGTGCTCTGGAGATGCCCTTGTCTGGAGTCCTGGGTAGTTTGGGCAGGGTTCCGAGCAGCAGATCAGTGTGTCTTCATGGTCAAACCACGACCATAGTTCCAGATCCTCTACCCTGCTTTCCCCAAAGCCCTACTTGTACATCTACAGATGCATTTCTTTCTATTTCTTACCAGAATTGCCCTTGGCTTCCTTTTAAAGATTGCTTTCCAGGTTGGTAGTGAAGAGCAGCTCCCTGCAGTCCCTGCCCTCACTCTCTTCCCTTTCCTGGGCATGGCACAGTATTGAGTTGAAGACCCAACTTGAGAGCTGAAGTAACAAATGTAGACTGTTAGAGCCAAGGCAACTTCACACCATCCACTTTGGAGGTTCCCAAGCTAGAATGCAAGTTAAAATCTCCTAGATGGCTTGGGTGATGCTTCCTGGGATCCACTCCCAGAAATTCTGATTCAGTCACTCTGGAGTGGAGAGCAGGAATCTGCATTTCCAGAAATTCTGATATAGGTCTGAGGTCATCTACATTTGGGCAGTGATCTAGTCCAGGGAAGGGAAGTGACTTGCCCAAGGTCAGACAGCAAGTCAAGAGCAGAGCAGGGGCTAGAAGCCAGGTCTCCTGAGTTCTAATGTGGCACTCTTTCTACTCCACCAGGAGTGTGGTTTATTTAGTGTGAGCAGATGCCTTAATTCATAGCTCTGGAGTTCTGAATGGGGGCTGAGGGCATGG
This sequence comes from Homo sapiens, assembly GCF_000001405.40. Lineage (NCBI taxonomy): Eukaryota > Metazoa > Chordata > Mammalia > Primates > Hominidae > Homo > Homo sapiens. The sequence goes on from NC_000017.11 coordinate 33,092,804, forward strand.
GATATCTTTTTCTTTGTAATCACCCCTAATGTCCCTAGCACAGTAGCTGGCACAAAGCAGGGCTCAATAAATGTTTGTTGAATGGAACAAATGAGTGAGGAAGTATCCCTTGCTTATGTCTGCTGTTCCCTGCTGTATCTGGTCAGCTGTGAGCCTGCCTAGGTTCTGGAGGACACTGGTAAACACCAGCACCGCATAATTCAGGAGGGCTCACCTGCTGGCATGCAGGTGGGGCTGCACACACAACAACAACACGGCAACAATAACAGTAACAATATGACTGCACTCATAGTTTGTGGGTCCCAGTGCCAAATGAAAATGCAGGACCCCTTGTTAAAAAATGTTGTTAAAAATTTATAAAAGTAAGCATTGTTATTAAAAAATAAAAGAATTTCAAGACAGCAATCTCAAGAGCATTAAACCAAGTGAGTGGCCCTTCTGATTGTGGGCCCTGTGTGACCGCCCTGATAGTAGCATCTCAAACTGGTGCTGGACAGAATTGTTCACATCCTCATATTTGTCTTATTGGCAACTGATTCAATGCTAAGCTCCTTCAAAGAGTGTAGGTCTCTGGACAGTGAATGATTTGTTTACACATCATGAACACCAGGATTCAAGGACAGAAAGAGAGAGAGAGAGAGAGAGAGTGCAGAGAGAAAGGGAAAGCTACTACATACATACTATGTAGACAGTATGTACATGGGAGTTCTTGTTAATTGGTACCAAGCTGAAACGCAGACAGCGTAACATGAAAGATAATGCTGAACCAAGAGGAGTGTGGTAAGATGGAGTTCAGCCTGCAGAAGCCACAGTCTCCCAGCATTTTCCAAGAGCTTGGCCATAGGTGGCACAAGGTGAGATCTACCTGGCCAGGGAGGGAAGTGCATTTTCTGAATATGCAGAAAGGACATGGGAGCCCTGTAGGAGGAGGCAGGAGCAATAGGCAGAATGCATAACGGGGCAGGGAAAGTGCATCACGATAAAAGAAGCTAAAATCTTTCATCTTGGCAAATTACGGAAAACATGCCAAGGAAATAAACACTGGAGAGAAGTAGGAAGAAAAGTTTATCTGAATAGCTAGGGGGAGTTTTCAGAGCTCAGAGAGTGAACGTGCTGATACAAAGCAATCTTGCTTTGGACAAAAATGACTTTATAACAGTGGCTGAGTGGGGGAACCCTAGCTCCCCAGATAGCTTCAGAGGAGAGGGTGGGACAATGGCCAGCCATATAAGGGGCATCTCACAGTGCAGCAAGGGCCTTGTGTGGGTATGGGATAGCTTCTGTTTGCACCCCCTTCCCAGTGCTTCTCCACCCTGCTCTCTGTGCTACGGGTTTGACTTGCAGAGACTGTCTTGATGGACTCTGTTGCCCTCTGGCTTGGGATCAGTTAATGGTGGGCCAGGTAGGAAACTGGAGGGAGAGAGGAGAGTCAAGCTGGGGTGTCCAGTCTCTCAACTCCATTTGCTGGGTCACTGTGGGTTAGCTGCATGTCACTTTGGAAGGCCACAGCTCCGGGTTGGGGGCTGGAGGGAGAGCTCTTCATAGTGTCTCTCTCTGGGTTTTGACACCAGCTTCTTTCCTTCTTTCCGAGGGGGTGGTAACGGCTCTCCCTGCTACAAGTACCAGGATGCTGCACTCTCCTGTATTGCTTTTCCAAGCCTTGCCCATGCCTTTGTTAACAGTCTTTGATTAATTTCTCCTTTTAGTATTCAATTTGAGGGTGCTGTTGATTTCTCTGCTTGGGTCCTGACTGGTGGATCTCCCATGGGCTCTCACTTAACTTCTGATAGACAGCAGGAGTCCCCTCTGTGGTACCACAAAGGGAAGGACGGACATTGGGTTTGAGCAAGTGCATAGGGATGGAGACCTCACTCCCTGCAGGGGCAGCCCATGGTTTTGGAAGTTCACCCTTATTTTGGTTGAAAACTGCCTGCTTATAGATTTTGTCCCCTAGTCCTAGCTCCGCCCCTTCTACTCCACACCTCTTTAAGGATCTCCCCAGAGATAGAGTGCCTGTTTCCCAGACAAGTGAGTCGGACTTTCTGAGAGAGGCAGAAATGCAGACCTCTTGTACCTGGAGCATCAGAACCAGAGAGAGCCTAGACAAATTGATTAAATACTTGGGGCTGTGGGATCAGGCAAGTTGAAGTCTAGTTCAGTTCTGTGAACTATAGCAAGTTATTTAATCTCTTGGAGCCTAATTTTTCTCATTTTTAAAATGGGTATGAACATAAAAATGGATTGTTCTTCATAGAGCTGTTGTGAGGCTTAAATGAGCCATTGCATGGAAAGTTCTTAGCACAGAGTTTAGCTTAATAACTCAACAATTTGCAGTGTCATCATCACCATCATCACCATGAATTCAGTATTTCTGGCTTTTTACAAGATCCAAGGGGATCAGTTGCTGTTTTATGTTCCTCTTTGCTCATGCTAGTCCCTCCATGTAGACTGGCCCCTCCTCTCATCTTCCATTTGGTTACCCTCTGCCCACCTTTGCACTCACCACCTCCTCGACATTTTCCCTCCATTCGGTGCCCCAATGTCTAGTACTTACCATGTTCACACTTGATCCCAACTCCCTCTCTGTTAAGACTGAGAGATCTCTTGGGGACAGGGTCAATGTTCATTTATGTTTATAATCACAGTGCCTGGCATGCAGTAGGAACTCAAAAATGCTTGGTGAAGTGAACAAATGTGCACAACTCACCTCTGAGACAGAGGATCCCACCCTCCTTGTTTTACAGATGTGCCACCGAGGTGCTGAAAGGCAGGTGGATCTGTGTGGATCTCACAGGGAGTTTGTGGCCAAGCTGGGTTCACATGAAACCTGCTGAGCCAGCTCAGAACCCCTGCTGCAGCCCAGTGAGTGGGCAGCTGTGTAGGGACTTCAGGCCAGAGGCTGACAAGTGCATGGGGGCTGGGCAGGGGCAGCAAAGTCTGCCTGGACCATCCCCTGAAGGGCCGTGGTTGGCATTCTTGTCTTGGGTGGCTGATATCTTTCTGGTCTCTGCTGCTCATTTAATCATGTGGCTTAATCCCTGGGGACCTGTTCATTAAGGCCCATCCTTTGGGCCTCACTGCTACCTATGATCAGACAAATGGGCCTGGAGTGTCCCTGTGTCACCCAGGCATGGGGAGGGGCTTGGCCCATCAGCAGCTGGGCCACTTATACCCGGCAGTGGCATCTCTGGCTACCACTGTCAAGCACCTGCTGTGGCACTGCTCTGCATTCCCTAGGAGACTATAAAGTGTGTGTGTGCCTGTGTGGGTGTGCATGCAGACGTGTACTAGTGTACGGGTGTGCCAGAGAGAGAAAGCAAGAAAGAGAGAAACTCTCTCTGAAATACAGGAACATTTTTCTTATTTCTTCTTATTTCCCTAAAGCATTTCCTGAGATGCTGCTTTGGAGTTCATAGAAGCAGAAAGGAACAACTGACCCTCTTAAGGACAAGACCCAGAGCTGGAGCCTCACAGCAGTCCACATTTTTTCCCTCACTCCCTGGAGTTATGCATCGAATGCCTACCATGAGCATGTGCCACCGGCCTTGGACCTTTGCCTGGCTGGCTTGGAGTTTTAACTAAATCATGTCTATTTTCTGCATCACACTTAGCATGTGCATGAAGCACATCTTCCCAGAATGAAAAAAGTCAGGCTGCTTCTGGCTGCTAAATGGATACCTGCCTCCAAGCGTGTTTCTGATTTATGGCATCATTTCTCCAGAGTCCTCGGACACCTGTGGAGACCCCTATCCAGCACAGTGAAGCCAACAGCATGGTGAAGTCTCTGTCCTCCTGGAGCTCATGTTCTGATGGGGGAGGTGGACGATAACAAACAGGTACACGTGTAACATCAGGCTGGCGATGGAAAGTGCTAGGAGAAGTGATGCAGAGGAAGGGCAGAGCAGGTGTGGCTCGCTTGGTTGGGAGTCAGGAAAGGCCTGTTCAAGGTGAGGGTGTTTGTGTAGTAACCAGAATGAAGTGAGCAATGAGCCATGGGATGATCCGGGAGAAAGTGTTCCAGGTGGAGGGAACAGCAAGTGCCAAGGCTCTGGGACAGGTGCACACTGGGGCGCTTCAAGAACAGCAAGGAGGCCAGAGTGGCAGGGACAAGGCCAGAGTGGCAGGGACAAGGTCAGAGGCCAGCTAACCATTTCGTTAACACCTCACAGTTACCCTTAGAGGTAGGTGCCCCCATTTTACAGACAGGGAAACAGGCTCGGAGAGGTCAGCTGGCCCTAGCCACACAAAGCAGATCCAGAATCCAACCCTTGTCTGCTGGGCTCTGAGGCCTGTGCTTTTTGCCCCCTGCCATGTGGCCTCGCTCAAATACTTTGTGCCTTTCTAGCATCACTGACCACATTCTTCATTGGTTTGGGTCCTTTGGGGCTTTGCAGGCTGGGACCCTGAGCTGCTGAGCTTTGCATCCCCTCTGGGTCATGGCGAAAGACAATCTTGGCACATGTACGGTAAGCTTCGGGGTTTTCACAGACTTGATCCTGCTGGCTCCTCCCAGCTGTCCTGAGGCAGGTGTCAATATCTCCATTTCATTACATTTCATTTTATTTTTTTACATCATGCTCATTTTTCAGATGAAGAAACCAAAGCTCACAGAAAGTAAAGAACAGACCCGGGGCCATTGACTCACGGCTGCGTAGAATTTTGGAGCCAGGAGACCCCTTGACGATTTAGCTAACTTTTCACCTTTCAGATGAAAAAATGGAAGCTCACAGAGAAGACAGTGGCCAAGGGCCACATGGCACGTGGCAGGTGGGCAGTGGCTGGGATCCAGGTCTCTAGATTCCTCACCCTCCCCTGCCTTTTGTTAGTGGGCTAGAAGCCACATTGGTGCCAGATGACAAGCTGATAAAGTTCCAAGCTGGACAGGGAAGGATGGGGAAGAAGAGTTTATTTGCAGTAGGCTCAGCAGCCTTTGTTCTTTCATCTTAGAAGCTCAGTGAGTGTGGGACAGCGACAGTAACACGGACCAGAGTCGCAGCCCCAGCCTTGAGATCCTGGTGGAAAGGGCATGCTGATGGTGTTTGAAGTCAACCAGAGGTGTCATTTTAGACCCTGCTCCCCTGCTCACACCAGAGAAATCCAGGGAAAGCCCAAGGCCAGGGAAGAGAGGCAGAGAAGTGCATCAAGGAAAACACGGGCTCTGAAATCACAGAGACCTGCTTTTGACTCTTAGTCCCACTACTGAGACCTGCGTTTGACTCTTAGTCCCACTACCTAATTGCCGGGTGACCTCAGGCACGTTAAATTGCCCCTCTGAGCTTTAGTTTCCTCTGTTCAAATGAAGCAGGGGCTGATCTCTCAGGTTACTTTTAGCTCTAAAATTCTATGAGCTGAGGGCCATGTGCAAATGTCTTTACCTCACTGCATCTCATTTTAATCTCCTGCAAAATAGATGAAAAAAAATAGATGTGGCTGTTCATAGCTCACATCAAGTCAGAAGAGGCTGATTTCTCTAAAGACAGCACAAAGAATCCACAAATTGCTGCCTATCTAAAATTGGGCAGTGTGTATCTTGTCCTTCCTCTCCAACCCTTCCCTGACAGATAGGCACTGTAGGGCAGCATCTCTAGCTAAGGAGATCCGAAATCAGCACAAAGATGGGCAAGCTCAGGCTTGATTGCTCACAGGTGATATTTTGAAGCTAGGCAAGCTTCTGGAGGAAGAAAAAAAATCAACATTGTGTCCCCATGCGGGATGGGCTGCAATTATGCCTGTTCTGGGTGGCAGCGTGATGCAGCAGCGTTCTTACCAATGGCTGGTGATCCAGGAGATGCTACCAAGTGTCCACAAGAGTTTGGCGAAGGCTGCAAACTTCAGCCCCTCCTGCAAAGCCATGGAGCACACTAGTATTTTAAAGACGCTATGACGTCCTGCAGCAAAAACATGTTATACTTTGTTGATCCGAGTGTTACCCAAAGCAATCTTTTTTCTTTTTCATTTTTCATTTTTAAGGAACACTAGCTCTGTGTGGAAAAAACCAAGGAGGACCAAATCGGAAGATGTGGATTCAAATCCTATTCTACTACTTCTTAGCCATGAGGCTGTGGGAAAGTCACTCAATGTCTCTGCTTACAGTATATATATATATGTATATACACACACACAAAATATATATATACACAAAATATATATATAAACAAAAATATATAAACAAAAAATATATATATAAAAACAAAATATATATATATTTAGATGCAGTCTCACTCTGTTGCCCAGGCTGGAGTGCAATGGCGTGATCTTGGCTCACTGCAACCTCTGCCTCTCAGGTTCAAGCGACTCTCCTGCATCAACTGCCCGAGTAGCTGGGATTACAGGCATGCACCACCATGCCCGGCTAGGTTTTTTTTTGTTGTTGTTGTTATTTTTGTTATTTTTAGTGGAGACGGGGTTTCTCCATGTTGGCCAGGCTGGTCTCGAACTCCTGACCTCAGGCGATCCACCTGCCTCAGCCTCCCAAAGTGCTGGGATTATAGTCATGAGCCACCGCACCCAGCCGCTTACCGCATTTTAAAATGAGTTAATCTGTTAAATGACTAGAACTGCCCTGTCTACATCATAGGAGTGTATGAGGATCAGTGGCTGGAATGTGGGAAAGCACCTTATACACTGTGGGGTGATGCGTCCATGTTGGGGAAGGAGATAGTTAATGTTAGGTCTTGGTTATGCAACTGAGAAATGTGGCTACACTTTCATTCCTGCTAAACAGCATATTTGCAAAATATGTATTTGTGAAAGCACCGTGTGTGGAGTTGGGGGTAGTCTCATTACCAAAAGATTTATCTCAAGCATTCTTTAAATAATGAGTTTTCCTAGTGCATTCAGTCTCAGAGATTATAAATTACTTGATAAGAAGGCTGATGATTCTGGGTGGGTAACTGGTGTTCAGATTATCACCCTTGAAATGCCATCAGAAAGTGTCTAAAATTATAGGGAAAGTTGGTGGATGATTAAGATTCCATTTGTAAAAATTCTGTTTACACACACCGATGGTGGAAGTTAGGTACAACCAGACTGCTGAGTGGCTCATGTATATAGATTGTGATGTGATTATAGAATTCAAAATCATCCAAAGCATTACTGGATTCATAGCAATTTTTTGTTATACAATATTCTCTCAATGAATTAAAAAAGCACAAGAGCTTTCATGTGGGATACTGGCTGAGAAATATTTTGATGTTAAGAAGACATCCCCATTCTTCCAAATGGTGGGGAACAGTGGTCTGGATCAGAGCTTCTTACAGTTGGATGTGCACACGAATCTCCTGGAGGATCCTGTTGCAACACAGACTTGGGGGTGGGGGAAGGCAGAGACTCTATGCGTCTAACCAGCTCCCAGGTGATGCTGATACTGCTGGTCAGAGGATTACACTTTAGCAGGACTCCCAAGAGAATATCTACATTTTTGCAGAACACATAGGCCCCTGGTGATCTGGCCTCTACCTATCTTTCCAACCCCAGGTCTCATCCTTAGATACAGATGCCCTTGCACACTCTGGGCTGTTCTTGGCCTCTGGTCCTCATTCCCTTCCCTCTGCTCAGGACCTCAGCTTTCCAGGTCCTCAGATTTTCCTCTAACTCCCACACGCTGCCCAGCAACCTGGCAAACAGGCCTGAGACTAAAACCAAAGGTCAACTTCTCTCTAAAGCCTTCCTTTAGATACGCTTGTCCCCTCCCTTCTGGAACTGACTATCTCCTTCTAGATTCTCAATCTATCTTCTATCACAGCACTTGGTGACACTTAATAGTTGACACGTTCCCCAAACAGACTGCAAATGCTTGGCACTCCTTGGACACTTTATATGAAAGTTGTTGGGTGAATACATTTCCATCTACCATCTAAAAAGAGCCCTTCAGATATTCCCTAGATTATAAACTTCGAAAACCTGGACTGGGCCCTTCATCTGTATCACTGAGGTGCCTGGCACACAGTAGGTATGCAGTTGAGATTCACTAAATTGGGGACATGAGGTCTGAGGTTGGGGCTGTCTCATCTGCTTCCTAGCTGTTCTCCTCAGACCCTTGCACCAGCTGGGAGTTTTAACTAGAACACACGTATTTTCTGCATCACACTTAGCATGTGCATTACGCACATCTTTCCAGAATGAAAAAAGTCAGGCTGCTTCTCATGCTAAATGGATACCTGCCTCCAGTGGTGTTTCTGATTTATGGCATCATTTCTTTAGAGTCCTCGGACACCTGTGGAGTCCCTGTGTCCAGCACAGAGGCCCACTCTGAGAGTGAGCCTAACATCCCAGCTGGCTGCTGTAGGTTCCTGTGCCCTGGACACTCGGAACTCAGGCCAGAGCCTGCTCCTCTCATTCTGGGGAGCTCCTTAGGACCTGGCACCATGACAAGAGGTTTTCCTGGGAGCAGAGATGTCGGAGAAACCATAGCAACCATCATCACCCACGCTTGTTCTGCCCCATTTGTAAAGGGGGATAAGAAACGTGCTACCCGTGATAGCTGCTCAGGCCTTCCAGCTATGCTAAAAATTTATGATGATTTTAAATTTAATTATTATTTTTATCAAAGCAATATATGTACATAATTTAAAAATCAAGTGGTATTGCAAGGCTTCTAATGAAAACCAGCAGTTTCCTGCTCCACCTCTTCCTACCCCCGAGTCCTACTTCTCAGAAGCAACAACTTTCAACTGTTTTAGCTGTTTCTTCTGGTATTTACTTTCATATTTCCATGAATGTCAACTGCTTGAGATTTATTTCTTGGTTTTAAAAAATTTTAGATCCTGTCTACCCAATTTCTACCATGTAGGAATCATCTACAATCATATTATATTATCTGCACAATTCCTACCTAATCACAGAAGATGAGGATGTAGGCTTCTTAGATGATGTGTTCCACGATGCTGCCTTTCCTTTCACCCTCCAAATATAGTGATATGATATTTTGGTTAAATCAGTATCCAGCTTTTACATAACCATGACTCTGTAAATATTGTGCACAGCCCAGCCTTGCAGTATATAATGTTTTTGATCTCTCTCTTGCGAAATAAATATTTTGTTTTTCCTGTTTTTTTTTCCATTTTGTTTTGTTTTACCTTGCTTTTTCCTTGTTGGTTTGTATGGCTTGCTAGTACCCATCACTAGAAATCCCAGACTCTATGGCAGAGCTGTAAAATGCCTCTCAGGACAGCCAGACAGACCCACAAGGGCCATCCCTTGTGGATCCAACATCTTCCTGCTCCAGTTTGGATGGAATGCTCTCCAGGCCTCCTGTGCAACTGTTGTCCTGGTTCTTCTCTTCATCCTCATCAGGAAATTCTCTTAGGCCAGATCCTTGTCTCTGGAATCTTATGCAATCCTTGATTTACCTTCTCATTCTCCAATAACTTCCTGAAAAAGTCTACATTTTTTGGGAAACCAAATTCTACTCTCACACTTCATTTGTAGTTTGCTGGATATAGAATTCTATTCAGAAAAGAAAGCGTCCCCCTCCAGAAACTGGAAAACATTTTGCCATTGTCACTTTGCTTTGGCTGCTTCTGTTGAGAAGTCCTAGGTCGTTCTCATTCCGGATCCCAGGTATGTGACTATTTTTCTCTCCAGAAACTTTAAAGATTTTTTTCTTTATTTCTGTTAGCCTGAATTTCACCAGGATGTGTCTTGGTCTGGTTTTTTGTTTTTGACGCTATTGCAGACAGGAGTTGGTGAGCTTTTTCCATCTGGACAATCATGTAGTTCAGTTGAGGATTTTTGTTATATTAGTCCTTTGACAGTGTCCTCTTCTCCATCCTCTTGGTTTTATTACTCTAAAACTCCTAGTAATAGGATGTTCTAGAATAGCTTCCTGGATGGACCCTCTGATTTTCTTATTTTTCTCTCACTTTCTACCTGTTTGTCTTTTTGTTTAACCTTTTCGGGAGATGTTCTCAGTTCCAATCCTTCTATGGATTAAAAAAAGTTTGCAATCACATTTTAAATTTATTTGTTTGTTTGTTTGTTTATTTATTTATTTATTTGAGATGGAGTCTCGCTCTGTCGCCCAGGCTGGAGTGCAATGGCATGATCTCGGCTCACTGCAAGCTCCGCCTTCCAGGTTCACGCCATTCTCCTGCCTCAGCCTCCCGAGTAGCTGGGGCTACAGGCGCCCACCACCACGCCCGGCTAATTTTTTGTATTTTCAGTAGAGACAGGGTTTCACCATGTTCGCCAGGATGGTCTTGATCTCCTGACCTCGTGATCCGCCCGCCTTGGCCTCCCAAAGTGCTGGTATTACAGGCCTGAGCCACAGCACCCGGCCACATATTTTAAGTTTAATTTATTCTTCTCTGAAATTTCCTTTTTAATAGCATCCTATGCTTGTGGTTATGGAGGCAGTATCATCTCTTATCTCTCTTGAGAATTTTAATTAACGTGTTTTGATGTTTTCTCCTGCTTCCTTCATTTATTTTTTATTTATCAAAAGGCGTATATGGTGTCTAATATTATCCAGGCACTTTTCTAAGCACTTCATAAATATTAACGCACTTCAATCCTCCCAACAACCCTATAAATGTAGATAATATTATTATTTTCATTTTAGAGGTAACACAGGTCACACAGATGGTGTTACAGCTGGGATTTGAACCCAAGCAGCCTGGCTCTATATCTTGTGCTGTTAGCCAATGTGTCTATTTCCTCAATGTTTCTTTTTGGTTTGATTTGTGTTCATTGCCTTTTAGTGGGTCCCCTCAAATGCTTGGCTCTTTGGTGGCTCATTCAGGGGTAAAAGGTCCTTAAAGGCTTCCTTGTGTTGAGGGGGCACTCCTCAAGGGACTTCATTCTAGGGTGACCTAACTAGGCCTTTTAAGGCTTCCTGACTGTCATTATCTGTGGATCTTTTATCTTGAGCTTGTAGTCTCCAGGAAGGGATCCCCTCAAACTTCTGCTCAGGTGTGGGTGGGGTAAATTAGTCTGGCTGAGGGTCCCACTACTCAGGAAGTAGAATTTCCCTCACCTCCCTGTTTTTCTGCATAGCACCTCACCCATGCCCTCAGCTGTGCCTGATCTCTCCAAGTCCCGAGTTTGTAAGAGGGATATTTGTATGGCTGCTTCTGGCCATGGGAGGATGTGTGGGGGGCCTAATAGTTCCTTTTGTAGACTTTTAACTCTTCCTCCTGGTTTTACCTCCACCTCTCAAACCTGTCTTCAGCAGTATCTTATGCCTCTAATTCCCGATCCTGTCTGGGGGTTCTCAAATGATGTCTATTGGCCTTTGCTGGCTTCCTCAGTGCAGGCCCTCAGTTCTCAGCCTCGTGTAATCTGCCAAGTCGATTGCCACTCGTCCATCTACTTTACATCTTCCAAAAATTGGCTGGCATCTATTTACGGTTGTCTTTTCTCCCATCCTCTTTGTCCTTTGGGTTTATACTTACATATATAAAAAAAACCCTTCGATTGCCATTTAGGTGGGGTCTAGGAAGGGGGCCTCCCATAAACACATATGTTCAACCTACCATGTTTAATCAGAAGCCTAGAATGTCAGCTTCCCTGCAGTTCTGGTGTGCTGCAGAAAGGTCATGAGCTTCTTTCACCACCCCAGGAAAAGGGAGAGGGATGCTTCAAGTTGGTCTCTGGGATGGACACAGCCATGGAACCAACCAGCACTTTTAATCCCAATGACATCTGCCTCCCATCCAGTGGTTTTCAAACAGGGCATCCTCAGTGGTGCCTCAGGGTTGGTCACAGGGACCAAGGGAGAAAGCAAACGGGGGTTTCCATCTCCAGTGGGATCAGAGCCATGTTGCTTTTGTCTGTTTTCTACGTGGGACTGCGCTAAAGCTTTCATTCAGTATAATGATTCTGCTCCTGAAGAAGAAAAGAGGAAAAAATAGACAAGGAGGATGGCAGCAGACCTATCATTATATGCCATTCTCTCTTCAGAGATGCTGCCTAAACCTCTTTCCCTGTGCTATTTTCATGGCAGGGCTTTTATGACCACATTGTGAACATTAAAGGAATTTAGTGGAGGGAGCATCCCTTTTGGGTGTGGATGTGGGTTTTAAGCTTGGTTCAACTGCTTAACTAGGTATGTACCCTTGGGAAGCTTACAACCTCTCTGGGCTCTGTGTCCTCATCCTACAATGAGGATTCTAATACCTTGTTAGCAAGTGATTGGGAAGGTTCATGGCACAGAGTAGCTACTCACTAATGCAGGCTTCTCCCTCACCCTGGCCCTGGCAGTGTACACAATTTCAGCATTGTGTTTCCTCTCAACAAATATGTAGTGTCCTGATATACATCTGTGAGCCAGACAGTCCAAGGTCTCTGACTTCCTGGGACTTGTGTTTAGTGGAAGGGGCAGACAATAAAAAACAATAAGGAAATGAAGGTGATATAGTTTGGCTTTGTCCCCACCCAAATCTCATATTGAACTGTAGCTCCCATAATCCCCACGTGTCAAGGAAGAGACCCAGTGGGAGGCAACTGAATCATGGGGGTAGGTTTTACTGTGCTGTTGTTGTGATAGTGAATAAGTCTCATGAGATCTGACGGTTTCATGAAGGGGAGTTCCCCTGCACACACTCTCTTGCCTGCTGCCATGTAAGATGTGCCTTTGCTCCTCCTTCACCTTCTGCCATGATTGTGAGGCCTCTCCAGCTATGTGGAACTGTGAGTCCATTAACCTTCTTTTTATTTATGAATTACCCAGTCTTGGTTATTTCTTCATAGCAGTATGAAAATGGACTAATACAGTAAATAGGTACCAGTAAAGTGGGATATTGCTATGAAGATACTTGAAAATGTGGAAAACACTTTGGAACTGGGTAACAGGCAGCAGTTGGACAAGTTTGGAGGGCTCAGAAGAAGACACGAAAATGTGGGAAAGTATGGAACTTTCTAGAGACTTGAAGGGCTCAGAAGACAGGAAGATGGGGGAAGTTTGGAAATTCCTAGAGACTCATCAAATGGCTTTGACCAAAATGCTGACAGTGACATGGACAATGAAGTCCAGGCTGAGGTGGTCTCAGATGGAGATGAGGAACTTGTTGAAAGCTGGAGCAAAGGTCACTCTTGCTAGGCTTTAGCAAAGAGACTGGTGGTATTTTGTCCCCACCCTAGAGATCTGTGGAACTTTGAACTTGAGAGAGACGATTTAGAGTATCTGGTGGAAGAAATTTCTAAGCAGCAAAGCATTCAAAGATGAGGGATGAAGAGTAGGGGTGAGGGTGGCAATTTTAAACAGGGTAGTCAGGGGAGACCTCATTGAGAAGGTAATATCTGAGTGAAGAGTTGATGCAGGGAGGCAGTGAGTCATGTGGATATGTGAGCAAGGAGAATTCTCATAGCGGTTAATAGCAAATGCAGATGCCCCAAAGTGAGGGTGTTCCTGGAATATTCAAGAAGCAGCAGGGAAGCCTGTGTGACTAGAGCCAGGTTAACAAGGTGAGGGGAGGGCAATAGGAGCTGAGGAAGCTGGAGGGATACTGGGGTCCAAATCTTTACCCCGAGAACAGCATAGCTTTAAAAAATCATTCCTTTGCTCAAAAGCATACTTGACATATTATCATGTTAACACTAATTAACACTAGGATTTGGGGAAATCAGGGCAGATTGTATTTGATAAAAAAGTGTTTTTCATTGGAGTGCATGAAGGATAGAAGGAGATGTGAAAGGGAGGTGCCTATTTGTGGTCTTTCTGACACTCGAACCCTTTTAGAATTTGTTAGAAAACTCCCTGTACACGGATTCCGGTTTCCTCAGACGTAACCCACCCTCAATTCTCACCCTCACCCCCACTCACTCAGTGTGGCCATCCACAGGGCTGTCTGTCTAGCAGTTCTCTTGGGAGTGCCTTCTGCAACCACCATCGGCCCAACTTCTTTAGGACTATTACAGGGTCTCAGGTGAACTAATTCCCCTGCCCACTGCTGATTGGTCCAGGGGCGGGCACCTGACTGGAGCTGAGCCAATGATTCCCTTCCCTGTATTTTTTTTTTCCCCTAAACAGGACGTCTGTGAGAGTCAAAACAGTCTTTTGCTGGGGGCAGGATCTGTAAAATATAAAACTTAGGCTCTGTTAGGAGCCATGTGTGAAAAAATATGTGTGTGGGAAAAATAAGCCTGTTTCTAGTGACAGAATGAAAAGAATTCAGAGGGAGGAGGAGTGAGAGATCTGAGGATTTAGGAGCCTTGGGTTCCACTCATTCCTGAGGCTGTATCCCTGCCCCTCCTGCTGGCTGGTTGTCGAAGCTTGCCTTGGATTCTGAGAACAATATAATTTCTTTTATGCCTAAGCTTGTTTGATTCAGGTTTCTCATGTGCAACCTAGATAACCCACCGCCTATTCCTTTTATCTTTGAAGTTACTTAGAGGTATCTACACAGAATTTCATTTTTAACAACCTCCCTTTCTGCCTTCAATTTAATTTCCGTTGGAAAACCCTGGCCATGAAATCTGCACTTCTACAGTCTAGGACAGCTTTTTCAAAACTATATTCTGTGAGCTTTTCCATGAAAACGAAGGTTTCTGTGGTCAAAGGCATTTGGGAAATAAATGCTGCCTTGGCTATTCCTATCTTGGAGATTCATGATGTATTATATTAAAGAATTCCTGCAATGAATAAATGTGTTTAATATTTTTTAACCAGAATTCCCTAAATTCTTTTTGGGCCCTGCATCCTTTTTGTTCATAAACATGTTATATCCCAAACTCCTGATGTTCCATAGGGCTCGTTTTGGGGCATACTCTCTAGGACCACATGCAACTGAACCTCTTCCTTTAAAATGGCATATTATCACGGTGCCCCACATGAAGATGTGTGACCAAGGGGAGCACCTTGGTGTGGGGCATTGTCTGCCTGGAGGAAGGGACATTTTTGATAATTTTCATAGAGTCATTGTCTACTCACTAACCATGAGCCCATAGGGCTGGGTCTACCCAAAGAGGGTGTCTTTTGTTAACTTACTCCTTGGTGTCCTCTGTGTTGATGGTGGTCAACACCATCACCACCTCCCCAAAAGGTCCTTCCTGTTAGTTAGAATTATCCCCAGAAGAGTGGTTCCCTCCCTGCTTCCTGACATTCCTGAGAAGTGGAGCCATCCACAAGGCAAGGCAAAAGTGTTCCAGAGGCTCTGCTTTGAGCAGAATGGGAGTTCCAGATGTTGAGGTGCTGCAGAGCTCTGTCTTAGGTGTGGGATATTTGGAATAATCTCTGCTTCTGGAGTGTTTTTTTTGACCATCTTCCCACCTGCTGGTGGGCATGATCACCCTCTCATTGCTTACAGTTTGCAGAGAACTCTCGTTTGAGCCCTTCAGCCCTCCTGTAAAGCCAGTGGGTTTTATTTGTCTCTATTTTACAAACGAGGAAACAGAGGCTCACTCACTTGGCCTGAGTCACGCAGTTAGGAAAGGAAGAGCTGGGATGGGGTCTTGGGTCTGCTTGACCTGGTCATGCCATTTTCTCTGTCTTCCTACACTGCCTCCATCATTAAACTGCCTGGGCACACATCAAACTGCCACGGGCACATTTCAATTCCTTTCCTCTCCATCACCACCCAAATATCTCCTGGACTCCTGGGCCTGGCCTCCTTCCTCTGGGGATTGAGAGGTGGGAATGTTAAGGAAGGGAGATGGCATCTGTGGGGCCGCATGGTTTGGCAGGGCAGGAAGGCTGCCTCCTGATGACTGTGGCAGGGATAGGCCTGGCTGTGTCCATCATCCTCGGGATCAATGACCAAGCAGCCACGTGTGTCTGCGCCTCCTCAGGTGGCTTTACAGACAAGCATCTCTCACCTGCGAGAGCCCACCTCCCATCCTTCAACAGATGTGTTGGCTTCTCTCTCACCCGCATGGGACTCACCTCCCACTGGCCTAGGAAATAAGCAGCTTTGAGGTGACCAGCATCTGCAAGAGGCAGCACATTGCTCAGGGCCTTCTCAGCCTGAAGAAAGGTACGATGGAGGGAGCCCTAATGCAGGAATTCAAGGGTCTGGCTGAGGGGTCTGGGGGAAGTGACAAAACCTCAGCCTCCTTTTCTGGAAAATGGGGACAAGGAGTTCTGCCTGACACTCAAGGTCATGGTGAGGGGATTGCCAGGAATATGGAATAGTATGACCCGAGGAATATGGGAGGTGGCTGCAAAAGCCAAAATCCATGAAGTCAACCAGAGTTGTCAGAAGCTGTTTTCAAATATACTAACTGCTCTCCAATATGGTAGCCACTAGCCCCCTGCAGCTAGCTAATTTAAATGAATAAAAATGAAACTGTATTAAAAATTCAATTCCTCTGCAAAGACATAAGGATGATACAATGGACTTTGGGGATTTGGGGAAAAGGGTGGGTGTGGGTGAGGCATAAAAGACTACACATTGGGTACAGTGTACACTGCTTGGGTGATGGGTGCAATAAAATCTCAGAAATCACCACTAAAGAACTTATTCATGTAAGCAAACACCACCTGTTCCCCCAAAATCTATTGAAATTATAAAAAAGTTCAATTCCTCATTCTCCTAGCCACCTTGCAAACACTTGATTGCCACAAGGGGTTAGTGACTAATGTATTGGACAGAGCAGACAGACAACATTTTCATCAGCCCAGAAGGGTCTATAGGACAGCACTGATCAGATTTTTCTCTAACCTGTTTCTTCTGCCCCATCCATCCCCTGCCCCTGCTTTAAACCCGTTCTTCATACAGCCTGCTTCCCCAACTCCCCAGTCTCAAAGGAAATCGTCTAAGTGAGTGTGCTGGTCCATCTCCCAGGGATGACTCAAACTCTCAGCAGCAACGAGACTGGAGTTCTCTTGCAGAAACTGTGTGCACATCTGGCACCCCGAGTGAGATAATAAGATCCTGAAAGATGGGGTCTTTTCTCATGCCTCCTGCACCCCTGATGATGACCTGCGCAGTGTTAGCATGTGACAAGTCCTTAATCAAGATTATGAATTTTCTCTGAATTGGTATAGCTCATCATCCAGTCAGGTTGACTGAGGGTCCAAAAACTTGGGTCAGAACAGTCTTGGTTCAGCTATGAACTCACTGCATGACTTCAAAGACATCATTACTTCAAGCCAGGCCTCAGGGGAAAGAGAAGGTTGGCCTGGAAGAGATGACCTCAGAGGTTCTTTCCTGCTCTGACCATCTGTGGCTTTGAGGCAGAACACAGACTTTTTGGGTAGCCTTGTAGACTGCAGCCAGTGCTCAGACCAAGGCCATATCCCACAGGGAACTGTGCTGTGTGAGGATGTCTGTGATGGGGGTCTGGTACTGAGAGTGCATGTGTGTGTCTGTGTGTGTGTGTGTGTGTGTGTACATGTGCTTTTGCTCCTGAATCAAGATAACAGGCTAGGAAAGCTACCATTGTCATGGAGGGACATAACTAACTTCTGTTTAGGCTTTGAGTGTGGGGTCTCCATGACTCATTTTATTTCCTTATTTCTCTCTTCTACCACACAGATTAGATTAATCATATAAGTTCTGGTGTCTGCAAGAAGGGCCTCTCTTTGGGGACCAAGACTCCACCCCCTGGACTCCGGGTTGTCTACAGGCCCCCACGGTCCCAGGGCCTGGTTGGCCTCAGGATGCCCTGTCCACCAGCCCTCAGGGATGCCAGAGATCAGAACGGACACAAACCTTCGTCCCTCTGCATCTGGAAGGGCATTGAGTTGAGAAAAGTACACAGGATCAACAAAGTGTCTCCTCAGAGAGTGGCTGATGGGGCTCGGGGTGCCCTGGCGCCTGAGGTGAGCTTCCAGATGGCACTGGCGCAGTGACATGTGTGTGGCCATTTTATCTTTCAGTTGGAGGAGCAGAGGACTGGCTGTGATGGGAGGTAAATGGCCACACTCCCGTCCCTGCAACGGGGTGTTCGTGAGAGAGGGGTGGTGGGAGAGATCCTGGAGTTTGCAGTCAGTC
This sequence comes from Homo sapiens, assembly GCF_000001405.40. NCBI lineage: Eukaryota > Metazoa > Chordata > Mammalia > Primates > Hominidae > Homo > Homo sapiens. Next base: position 33,110,677 of record NC_000017.11, read on the forward strand.
CTCCTGGGGTGGAAGCCCTCGCTGTCTCAGCAGCCTGGTAAGCCTGGGTATGGTGAGTGCCAGACTCTAGAGTCCAAAGTCAATGGACTCAAGGCACAGGGGTGGCAACAGGTAGGGGCTGGGCTACTGGGGCTCCACCCTTTCCTCAGCCCCAACCTGAGGGCCCAGGGCCTCCCTCCTGCTGGAATCTTCCCTCCCCTCCCACTCCCCTGCAGGCTGCTCCCCACGCTCCTCTCTTGACCCACCTCTGCAGTCCTTCCTGTTATGCCCTGAACGCAGCATTAATCTTACTTTGGGTCCCCCTTAAATCCATGGTTCCCAGTCTTGGGCACCTCTTTACCTTCTCTTCCTGGTGAAATTCTAGAGGCTACCATCACTCCTTGGCTTGTGGCTGTATCACTCCAGTCTTTGCCTCCGTCATCACACTGCCTTCTCTTCTGTCTGACCTTCCTGAGCCCCTCTTATGAAGACTTCTGTGATTACATCAGGCCCATCTGGATGATCCAAGACCATCTCAAGACCCTGCTCAAATACCCTTGGTGCTTTCCCTGACCCTGTTCCCTGTGATTGTGTCTCTTCCTCTGGGCCGTGATCAAGGACTTGATCTTTTTCACCATAATGTCCTTACTTGGGTGCAAAGCCTGAGATAGTATACATGGTTTACGAATAGTTTGCTGAAGAAATAAATGAATAAATGAATGCATGAAATAAGCTTTAGGGTCTATACACATGGGTCTCCCAGGGGCTTACATAGGCACAGGCAAGGTGCCAGGTCCCTGAACCCACATCCTTTGGTATTCCAACACTTCCCAGCCCCTCCAGCTTCCCCCAGTGGGCGGCAGCCTGCTTTCCTTTCAGATCTTCTAATTGGGTCGGGATATTCAGGATGACTGAGAGAGAAAGAGGCTGATCCATCCTTCCCGCCTCTCCTGAAATCAAGCCACTCACCTGACCAACCACACCTGTTACTTCAAACCTTCCCCCATGCCTTCCTTCCCCCTACCTACCTTACCTCTCCAGTATTCCCATCCTCTGTCCCTCTCTCACATAGTAAAAGGTGAGGAAACCCAGGGCATCCCAGCCCAAGCCAGGGACATCTTTATGATCTAGCAGCATGTCACAAACCCCTTGCTGGAGAGCAGTCCCTCACAGGGTGGGCCAAGACAGCTCACCAGCCTTTCAGAGTCAGGCCTGCAACCCTCCACCATCACCCAATGCCCGGTCCCTGTGCCCAGCTCACCTGTCTCTCCCCAGATGGGCAGGTACTCATCCTGCTGAATGTCCAGCATGATCTCCAGCCCGTTGCCTGTCCCCCCCTTGACCGTGGTGAGCAGAGGTTTGCCATCCTCGCCTGAGTTAAACATGTAACACTTCCCATATTTTGTAAACACCTGAAGGAGAGAAGAGAGAGAGAGAGAGAAGCACATGGGTAACTTCAGACGGGGGTCCAGAGATTGGCGAGACCCCAGAAATCTGACAGCAGGTCAGAGTCCCCACAGCCCATCACCATCACCGCTCTCAGGAACCAGTGGTTTTTCATCCTGGCTGTGGGCCTGACTTGTACCAAGTGAAATTTTGGCATCAAAGAGCAAATCTGGATGCCCTTTGGGGTTTGTTGCAGTAGGATCTGGTCTCTTCTTCCTCTGAGCACTACCTCTGGGAGGTCCTGTTCACTTCCAGGCATTAAATGTCATCTGTAAACTCCTGACCCTTCAGTCCACACCTCCAGCCCTGGGCTCTCTTCTGGCCTCCAGACACACTAGTTTCACTCATTGTCTTATAAGCATACCTTTGAGATGTGCTTCAAGCAGACCCTGGGCACTCAGCTTGTCCAGAGGGAACTGATCTTCCTTAGCTTCCCCACCCCATTGGACAATTCTCTTGCACTTCTGTCCCAGGGAACAGCATCGCCATCTGCCAAGGGGTTCAAGTCAGGCCCTCAGAGTTGCTGCCCACTCCTGACCCAGAGGACCAATCAGGCAGCAGAGCCTATCAATAACCTCTCTACATCTGTCCTGAATTTAGCCTTTTGTCTTCCTTACTGCTGAAATTTAGGACCCAAGCGTTTTTTGACTGCATCACTCTGGTTTCCTAGCTGGACTTCAGGATTCCAGATGACCTTCTCCAGCCCATCCTCTAAGGTAACTGTGAGTCATTCTGGAATGCAAACCCTATCACATTAATCCTGTGCTGAAAACCCATTAGAGATCCCTACGCTCTTTAGGCTAGAATTCAGACCTGCCACACCCAGTCTTTTGCAATGCCCTCCACCTATTCCTCCTGCCTTTCACTGTGCTGCTTCCCGCCTGAGTCCAGCAGCATCCACTGGAAGGTAGACTCCAGGGGCTCAGTGACTACGTCTGCTTACTCATGCTTAGTACATTGCTGGCACACAATAGGGCTCAGTCAACTTTTGCTTGATGAAAGTATGATTACAAAGAGGCCCCGTGATGGTGTAGAAAAAGCCCAGGGAAAGGAATGCAGAGATCTTTGTCCAAGTTTTGACATTGCCACTTCTTAGTAGTGTGACTTTAAGTGAACCAAATAAAACCTCGCAGCCTCAATGTCTCCATCTATAAAATGGGGGTTCTGGTCTTTGGCTTTGCTACCTCTCAAGGTTATTGAGAGGATCAAATGAGGTAATGCATGCAAAAGTGCTTTAAAACTGCAAAAGCTTTCTACAAATGCTACGGGTTATGATGATTATATAACTGCTTTCAAACCTCGAGCTGAAGCCAAATTACATCTGGCAAAATTGGCTGGAAGAGAGCCAGGCTGACTGTATTGGATTCCTGCAGCCACAGAGATTTGGGTCTGGGCCACTTTCCTGAGCATGCTCCACTGCACTGTCCCATCCTACAGCATGGAGGCCACAGGGAGGCTCTTTGGCTTCCCAGCTTTCAGTGCACAGGCAAGTAAATAACAGAGGTGACTGTTGCAGGCTGCCTTTCTTATGTAAATCTTTACGGCTAGTTAGAAGAAAGGAAGAGGGGCTTCTACCCTGTGCCAGGAACTGTGCTAGATGCTTATCTGTTATCTCATTTAACTCTTACAACTGTGACCGTTGGCAGTTATTGCTTTACCTATTGTGCGGAGGAGGAAACCAAGGCCCAGAGAGGTTAAGTGACTTGCCTAAGGTCACACAGCTAGTAGCAGAAAAACTGAGATTCAAATCTACATCTGTCTGATTCTAACACATGTGCCCTTTCTGCTGTGCTGTCCTGGGAGGGACATGAGGGTTTTCGTCATTGGGACACTTCCTAGCCACATACTGCTCCTTTCTGCCTTGCTTTTCTCATCAGTCCATCAATATTCATATGCATATATTCCTACTATGTGCAAGGATTATGGGGACTGCAAAAAAGTACAAGCTCTACTGCTCGCCTTGAAGACCTGTAGGAAGGGGTAGTGAAACATCTATGTTTTTCCTCACTATACGAAACAGCTCTGAGTCCCTGGCCAGCTGCACTATTTCAGGACAGCCAATTCCTATTCTTTCAGCTTCATGGCAGAGGAGAACAGCTGGAATTAATGCAAAGTCCAAAGCAAATATGCTTTTTCAAAGAACCAAGTTTTTTCATAACTATTGCATATAGCAATTGAACTTGGCAAATGAACTTATCCCATGGAGACGTGTTCTTGGGGATCACTGTAATGAACAGATAAGAGCATTTCATAAGCACATCCATTGCAAGGCATTGAACACACCTGGAGTGAATTCTGGGGTGCTCCAATAGAGCTTTTCTTTGTAGACACTCTAAATATCCTCTCTGTCTCTTCAAAATTGCTTAAAATATTAATTTGCCTATCTGTATGAAGGGATTTGCAAGCAAAAGTAAATTTCAGCTTAGCATCAGATTATTGCAAATTCCAACTCCTTCACCTTTTAGTCCCTGAACTTCAGAATACTGGGCTGGGGTTAGAGAGTAGTGTGGACTCCTGAAATCAGCTGTGATCTTGGCCCTGCCAAAGCATGCCCAGTGCCATTGGTGAAGGTGTTGACCCTCCCTAAGCAACTGAAGATGATGACAAGGTGTAAGAATTGAAAAGGGTCTTAGAGATCATCTTGTTAATCCACCTTACTTTACATATTAGGAAACAGAGTCCCAGGAGAGAGGAAATGACTTGCTAAAGGTTACACAGCAAGAAAGTGTCCAACTGGGACCCTTTCCTTCCTTTATACCAGCCTCTCTCAGTTTTTCCACTTACAAAAAGAGGTGGAGGGTCTAGCGGGGTGCTAAGATCCCCCCATCTCTGAACTTCAATTGATCATTGACTGAGTGTCTGCTTTGAGCAGATACAGTGGGAATGGAAGCCTCATGAATTGAAGGCTTTCCCTGTCAAAGAGGGAGCAGAGAGGTCTTTATAGTGGGAGTGAGTAGAGACTTGTTCCCCATCCTTGACTGCCTCCTTGCTAGGGCTGGTACCCATCCTAGCCCAGGTAGCAGCTCCTGCAGCTGCCCTTGGTGTCAATGTAATCTTTCCTGCTCCTTCTTCTGGGGGCAGTGTGCTGGGGCAAGTTCACAAACGTGCCAGGTGTGAGCTGACATAGCTTAGAGCTTGGTCAAGGGTGGCGGTCACCAGAGTAGCAGGGGTGGGGAGCCAGAGGGAGACTGAAGCCAAATCAGAGAGGTGGCCAAGTGACAATCTATGACAGCTAAATTTTTTATCAAGTCAAGACCACCAGCAGAGGCCTAAAATCCTTGTGTGACTTCCTGTTGCATTTAGGATGAAGCCCCCAGTCCCCACTGGGGCCCTGTATGGTTGAGCCCCTGACACACTTTCTCCCTGCTCTCACAGGCTTCAAACATACTGGCCTCTTCAGTCCCCAGGATGTGCAGCAAGCTCTTCCCCGCCAGGCATTTCCGCATGCCTAGAGTGTTCTCTGCCTAGAATGTTCTGGCGCGCTTTGCCTGGCCAGCTCCTCCTGATCAGGCCTCAGCTTGAAAGCCACTTTCTCAGAGAGGTGCTTGGCTTCTCCAGGCTCTCAGCCTTCATTCATATCGGGACTTCTTGTTTTACAACCTCACATCCCTTATATTTTTCCATTATAGTGTCTATCAAAGTGTGTAACTGGATGGTTATTTACATGATTATTTGTTGGATGTGTTTTCTACCAGACTGTCACCTTCGAGAGGGCAGGAACTGTGTCTGTTTTATTGAATGAATGAGTGAATGAATGAATGAATGAGAGTCAAGGTGCTGCTGCCACACATTTCCTTGTGCACCTCCAGGAAATGCCCTTTCTGTGTTGGCTGGCCTCACTTCGTTCTGGCTGGAGCTCATGCTGACATCTTGCCCAGCTCCCCTTCCCTCCCATTCTCTGCTGGAGCCTTCTCACTTCCCACCTAATTGGACCTAAGCGTTTTTGCTTGCATCTCCATGAAGGCATTAGAGGAAATAATCCTTTTAGGAACTAAGATGACTGGGGACAGTTTACCTTCCTAGGTGCTGGCGGAGAGGCTCACGGAAAGCGAAACGCCCGCTCCCTGGCTGCATGCCTTTGCTGGTCTCTCCGCCTGGGCTGCTGAGCCTCCCGCTCCTGCCTGGCTTTTTTCAGAGGATTATTTTCCTCTCTGCTAAACATCAAAAGCCAGAGAGCTATTTACACACAGCGCAATTTTGCTACAAACTTGGAACAAGATGCAGCTCTTTCTGCATTTTGGGGCACCATGACGTGTAAGAACACACGCTTCAAATTTATGCCTTATCGCCCCCAGCCAGAAAATATAATTTATTTAAGTCCAGACTGTCAGGTTGAGCTCACTGCTTCTTCAGACCTGCTATTCTGCCAGGCATTTCTCTGCTTTCCTGGTAAGTGCTGACAGGCCCACTGTGGATGGCAGGGCTGCATTTGCCGGGTTGCTGAGAGTCTAGAATTGCACTTAGTTGGATTGGTCTGTAAGAATTAATTATGAATTAAGAAAGATGCATGTTTCAAACCTGGATCTCCAGGAATGGTGGGGGGTGGGGGCTCCTGAGATAAAAATAAGTCCCACAACTATCATTTTCATTCCTAATGCTTGCACAGTGTGTTACTGTTTAGAGATTGAGATTGCATATACATAGAACTTCAACTTTCTCAATGGCCCTTTGAAGATGGAGGAAAGGAAACTAACAATTCCTTAGCTTCTACTTTGTGCTGACCCCAGATTGGCACAGTCATAGTTTTATATAATTTTTTTTTTTTTGAGACAGGGCCTTGCTTTGTCACCCAGGCTGGAATGCAGTGGCACGATCACAACTCACTGTAATCTCAAACTCCTGGGCTCAAGCAATCCTCTCACCTCAGCCTCTTGAGTAGCTAGGACTACAGGTGCTCACCACCATGTCTGGCTAATTTTAAACATTTTCTTTGTGGAGATGAGGGTTTCACTATGTTGCCCAGGATGGTCTTGAACTCCTGGGCTCAAGCAATCATCCCACCTTGGCTTCCTAAAGCAGTGGGATTACAGGCATGAGCCACAGTGCCTGACCTCATTCCTCATTCTTCTTCCTCTTCTTCTTTTTTTTTGAGACAGAGTCTCACTTTGTCACCCAGGCTGGAGTTCAGTGGCATGATCTCGGCTCACTACAACCTCTGCCTCCTGGGGTCGAGCGATTCTCTTGCCTGAGCCTCCTGAGTAGTAGCTGGGATTACGGGCATGCACCACCATGCCCGCCTAATGTTTGTATTTTTAGTAGAGACAAGGTTTCACCATGTTGGCCAGGCTGGTCTCAAACTCCTGACCTCAAGGGATCCATCTGCCTCAGCCTCCCAAAGTGCTGGGATTACAGGCATGAGCCACTGCACCTGGCCCTCCTCATTCTTGATTATTGTCCCAACCACCCGGAAGTAGAGGCATTTTATATTCACATCCAGAAATGGAGAATCTGAGGCTGCTTAAGGCCACAGTGCCAAGGGGTAGCAGAGCTGAGACTCATGGGTGAGACCTTCCCATCAGAGACATTGAAAGGAAGGGACAGTAGGCTAAAGGCAGCTCACTGACAGCTAGTCAAGTCTGTGGTCATTCTCAATTCCAGTGTTCTCTTTTGCAAACTGGGCAAGGTAATCATGCCATGTAGTAGATTTGTTTGGGAGGTTACATAATGGACATCTTTACTTCTATACTCGAAGGAAGTACTATGTGTCTGCTTTTCGGCAGAAGAGAGATGAGTTATTTAAGTTATGAAGACGGGGTCAGAGATTAATTGAAAAATGGGGGTTTGGGGGTTCCTGTGCTCTCTGCTTATGTCCACACAATACCAAGCTCATCTTAAAGTAGTTAGAGGGGAAGAAAACAGCCACATGCCCCTGCTTGTCTATTCTCTGATGATGTTAAGCCTGCTGCTGGAAGCCCAGGGTAGCCAATGGGATTCCTGGGGGCCAAGGAGTTCTGTAGAAAGGGAGATGCTTCCATGCACACAGCCCACTTTGAAAATCTACATATGAGTTCCAGCAGCTGAATTGTAACTAGCTATTGATACAGTGGATACCACCAATCTGAAGTTGACACATTCTAAATCAGATAAACATAGAATAAAGTGTAGAATAAGGAGAGAGTCTCATTGGTCCTCCAGTAACTCTTCAAGTAGCTCTGAAATCACAGGCTGGCTTTGCTGCCCTCCCTGGAGTGCCTTCAGTGCTAGCCACTTTATATCTGCTATCGTTAACTTTTGCAACAGCTCTGTGAAGATAATATTATCATCCCCATTTTACAGATAAGGAAACTGAGGCACAGAAAGGCTGAGCCAGGTCACAGAGCTGGAGGAGCCAGGGTGAAATCACTCTTGGCCTAATTCCAAAGTCTATACTCTTTGACCCCATCCCTCATAGCCACGGCTCATATCCTTACCCCTCTCCCAGCCTACTTTGTTCCTGGCAGACTAGTGAGGCTGGTGCTTTGCTGACATTAGAGCTCTCCCACCTGGTAGTGGGGGAGGCACATCTCAGAGTCAGAGGAACCCGAGCAAAGTGCCAGACACCAAAAATCTTCGCCTCCAAACTTCTTATTTTGCACCTGGGGAGTCTAAGGTTCAGAGGGGTGAAATGACTTGTCCCAGGTCACGCAGCTAATCTGGAGGGAGAGTAGAGATCTGACCTGGGCTTCATGTCTTGAACCTCTGCTTTTCCTCGAAGCCTTCTGTTTGCACATGCCAGGGCTTGGAAATAATGGCTAGGATCCTTTTCCTGGAGCATTGCATCCAGGCATAAGAGTAAGATTGGCAGCTGCTGCCAAGCCTAGATGCCAGCCTCTGGGCTTGGTGTGATCTGCTGGGGTATTCCGCCTTACAGAGTTTGGGAAATGCAAAGTGGAGCCCTTACTGAGAGGAGTTAGGAGTAGCTAATACCCATGAAGACACGGTTTTCTGGTCCAATTAATAGTGCAAACAACATTTCTACGCTGTGTACCTACTTAAGAAAATAAATTATGTATAAGCCCCCTTAAGGACTGTTGAAACATCCACTTACCAGCACACAGCTGGTCCTGCAAGCATCAAACCTTCTAACCTATTCATTAATCCTGACCTTTAGGGCTTCTTCTGGGTGATGGGTTTCTCATCTCTTCTTGCTTATTACACGTGAAGGAAATGAAATTGCACTGCTCCAAAATGCCTCTAAAACTTAGCTGTTTTTTCTCTTCCCTGAGTCAATTCCGCTTTCTTCTCAGTGAGCTACTGAAATTTCTCATTAGACTGTTTTCAAAATAATATGCTTGTTAAAGCTAGCCATTTAGTTTTGTTTTGTTTTTCTCTTTCAAACTCCTCAAATACATTTCACACAATTGGGAAGTGAGAAAGTCTGTCAAATGGGTTACCAGGCTTCCAGTAAACAAAATGAACCTGGCTCTTGTTTTCTGAAGTTGCAATTAAGGAGCTTGTCAATTAAATGAAGCCAGAGGGATTTATTAGCAAGGAAGCTGCTGTAGATGGTTAGCTCTTTGAAGGTAAAGACTGGATCTTATTAAAAAACCTGCTTGCTCATTCACCTGTTCCTGAAACAGGAATTTTTTGACCACCTATCATGTTCTAAGAAGTGCTGCATGGCTGTGCTTTTTCTCACAATGAGTTTAAAAAAGTGATTTCAATAAACACTCATGTAAGCATCTCCATGTGGCAGGTGCTGTTTCTGAAAATAAAGGAGATGAGGCGAATGTGACCGCAATGCAGCCCCTTTGCCCTTCCCAATCAGGAGGCCACATGTTTTTCAGGACATCATTAATGTCATTCTCCTTAGAGGCTACTTTTTCTGGGGAGAAAGGGAAGGATAAGCAATCATGTGGAGCATGAGTGGGCACTGTGCTGATTGCTTTGAACGCTCCGTCTGTTAAGGCTCACAAAGCTCTTGGAAGTAGATGTTATTCTTCCCAGCTTACAGCGAGAAGACTGAGGCTCTGAGAGGCTGCATACCTAGCCCAAGGTCCTACAGCTAAAGAGTAGTTTGCCTGATTTTTCCCTTCTTATGTAGGGGTTGCTGGAATAAGGTTTAGCATTATTTGAATGTATGATATGGTAACGTGACCCCCTTCTCCATGCCCTGGGGCCCATCTGCTGTGATGTGACATTTCCTGTGCTGCTTTCACTAACTGGCAGAGACCTTCTAGTCTCCTGCTTCCAAGACTGAAGCACAGCCGGGGCCTTTTCTGCTGGGCAGCTGTCCAGAGAGCTTCAGACCGTGCAGGAAGAGATGTGTGAATGCTATGCAGGAAAAAGAGCATCAAGCGCCTGCAAATCTGTCTGTTGGTTGGGAAAACAACACGAAGGGGAACAACAGGCAAATCTTAGTGTTCTCCTTCAATTGTGTGGACAAATGTGTTCTCCTGGCAGATGACACAGAGGCAGAGGGGAAGGCTGAAGGCACTGCAGTCGTTCACCTGGAAAGGCATTCAAGATGCTGGGCCTCTGCTGCTGCATCCCTCCTGACAACTCATCTGAGAATCCCAAATTTGGTCTGACTTGAGATGATGAAGTGGAAGGTGGGGAAACCAGAGCCTTTCATGTTGGACCACAGCTTGGCTGGTTGGGGGAAGAAGGTTGACAGGCATTTCTGGGTTTGATGGAAATTTCAAATGGGACACAATGACAGGTTGCTTGCTCTTTCTTCTGAGGTCTCTACTGTCTGTCTCCTGTAGATAGTAGGGGTTGTGTCATTTTCATCTCTGTGTTCCCAGGGCCTGGCCTGGTAGCTGGTGTACAGAAGGCACTTAATGGGAGGTTTGGGTGAAGGAAAAAAAGCTAATATGGAATTGGGGACCAGGCAGCCCTGGTTTCAAATCCTGGCTCTGCCACTGATTTGGGTATCTTTTTGGTTCTTCATCTTTTTGGTTCTTGAACGTGCATCTCAGCAATGCTGGTAAGAATACCTTCCAGTGGAGCTGTTGTAAAGATCAAAAGGGGTATAATGGGCCTGAAAGTTCTCTGTAGAAAAACAAAAAGGCTCCGCCCAGGCAGGGAGTATTCCTGCTTATGGCTTGGATCGTGCATAAGCCCTGCAGGAGCTAGGGAGGAAGAGAGTTGCTATTTGGCTGTGGATGTTGAATCTCAGATGTTGTTCCATCCGGGACCATGCCTGTGGATCTCTTGTTCATTTACTTAGTGAGCATCTCTAGAACACCTCTTGTATTCCAGGAACCACATCAGGCCTTGGGGATACAGACATGAGCCACCCTTTAGGAATCACCCAGTGGGGAGGGTGGCCTGCAGACAGGTACTGGGTGGTGCCAGGCACTGTGGGAGTGCACAGAAGGAAGCTGCCTGGTGGGCAGTGATGGGGGGATGGTGGTTTTCGGGGCATGGAGAAGTGTTGTGAAATTTCCCCTAGGGACAGTGGTGGCGACAGCAGTGGTATTTAGCAGGTTGAGACAGATCCCCTAGACTGGCTCCTTGTCTTAGCAGGGCCATGCTAATGCTTTCAGAAAGGCCAGTGGTGCCAGTCCATGCTTCTGGCTACCTGCTGAGCCCTGCCTATCTGCTCATCATTCCAGCTGTCTTCCACACTGGAACCTCACACCCTCAGGTAGACAACTATGGGCTCTACTAAGAGGCGGGCAGAACTGTAGAAGAACACTGACCGTGGAGTCAGATTATGCTGGCTGCATACCTACTACATGCCAGGCACTGTGCACAATGAATAATGGAGCTTAGCTTTCACAGAGTGGATAATTATTAAGACAGAGATGCAGTGACTGAGAGGAGTTAGCATTTGATTCTCCCCAAGAGAACCTGTCAGCCTCAGAGATCTCCCCAAGGCTGGCTCTCTGATCTGCCCACTGCCAACACATCACCAGACCACACCTAGGAGCATACGGCCAAGACAAGTAGATTAAATAAGAGGAAGCACATTTGTAGTGAGCCAAGGCTGACTGTGATGAGCACCCACTTGGCTGCCACCAGATGTAGGAAGCAGAACCCAGGAGGAGTTCCCTGCTTTTAGGAGGGCAAGAACCCAGGAAAGAGTGAGGGAGAATGTGTGGCCACAAACCATCCACAGTCTGCTCCCATTCCCATCTCTGTTGTCCCTACTGCCTATTTCCAACCCTACTGGCATGCTTCCTGCAGCCCTTCCTGTTCCAGTTCCCAGGCACAGCAGACTGGAGTCAGGGGTGCTCACGGTACAGCAGCCCAGACACTCTGGGATGTGGCTCCGAGGCTGCCACGTTCGGTGGAGCACATCTTAGTCTACGTTCGATCACCCATGACATGATGGATTTGAAGTGCCTAGCAGAGGGTACTCACTTGATAAAACTAGCTAATAATATTATTATTAATAGGGATTCTGCACCTGAACTCTGATATCTGAGCTCCTATAGGATGTGATTTCTGGGCTCATGGTTCCTGTTAGAAGTTTCTTTTTAATATTTGATGTTTTTTGGTTTTGTTTTTTAATTGACGCATTTATGAGGTATAACATGATGTTTCAATACATGTATACATTGTGCAATGATCAAATCAGGCTAATTAACATTTCTACTACCTCACATACTTATCATGTCTTTGTAGTTTAAATATTCTAAATGGAGAACATTTGAAATCCCCTCTTTTAGCAAGTTTGAAATATACACTCTTATTAACTATAGTCACCATGCTGTGCAACAGAATACCAGGACTCGTTCCTCCTGTCTAACTGAAACTTTGCACCCTTTGATCAACATCTCCCCATTCCCTGTCCATCCCCCTGCACTGCCCCAGCCTCTGGTAACCAGCAGTACAAATGACCAACAGATATATAAAAAATGCCCAACATCACAAATCATCGGAGACATGCAAATTAAAGCCACAAGGAGATATCACCTCTCATCTGTTACAGTGGCCACTACCGAAAAGATGAAAGATAACAAGTATTGGTGAAGACGTAGAGAAAAGGGAACATGTGTACACTGTTGGTGGGAATGTAAATTAGTACACTCATTTCAGAAAACAGTATGGCATGTCCTCAAAAAACCAAAAATAGAATTACCATATGATCCAGTAATCCCACTTTTGGGTTTATAGCTAAAGGAATTAAAATCAATATGCTGAAGAGATGTCTGCACTCCCACTTTCCTTGAAGCACTATTTACAATAGCCAAGATTCTGAAACAACCAGAGCACCCATCAATGGGTACATGAACTTTAAAAGGTGGTATAGATACGCAATGAAATACTATTCAGCCTTTAAAAAGAAGGCAGTTCTGTCATTTGCAACAACATAGATAAATCTAGATAAATAAGACATTATGCTAAGTGAAATACGCCAGGCACAGAAAGAGAAATACCACATGATCTCACTTATATATGTGGAATCTAAAAAAATTGAACTCAGAGATAGTAGAATGGTGGTTGCCATTAAAAGCTTTTTTTTTAAACAGTTGCTTGCCTAATCTTGTGATTACAACCCTATTCTTGCTTCTAACTGCTGCATGCTGAATTTACGGGAATACCTGCCTGCTTGGTTTTCCTGTGGCTGTGCCCAGATCCCTTCTGGAACGTTTCTTGGGCATTCTTGCAAAACTCTGCATTACTCTGACTGGCTATTTCTGCTCAGGTGAACTTCGCTTTCCCCGCGCCTTCCCAGCTCCTATCCCATGGGCTTGGGTGGGCTAATTCCTACTGCTGTGAGTGTGCTTTATGCCTGGATGAACAACCCTGAGATCAGACACATGTCACTCCTTGCACCTGCCTCATTACACACCTGCTGGGAATATCCCTTCTTTCGTGCAGGTGTGGAATGGGAGAAGGAAGAAGAGGGGATCAGAAGTGTGTTGTGTTGTGTTCCTGGTTAATTTTGCGTTATTCTACAGGGCTGCATTGAAAGCGATGCACCAGTGGAAACCAAATGATAGTTTATGATGTTTACAGAAGAAAAGCACATGTTTCCATTAATGGCAGGGCAGAAAACAATCCCAAGGCAGGCTGATTCTAAAAGCTGATCAAGAAAAGGTCAAATAGGTAACGACCCATATGGCACTAAAATCCTCATACCACATTCTTACTGAGTTCATGTTTTCTTATTAAAGTCATATTTCAGCTTTTCCAGGAACTGCTCGGAGAATGTCATTGTCTGCTAGTTTTCCCCACAGCTGGTCTTGGAGATTGAGTATCATGGAATTTTAGTAGCAAAGCTTACATTATGAGTGTTCAAAGCCATCACAGATTCACAAATGCAGAGAGTTTTCTATAGTTTAATCAGATTGCTTTCCTGACATGTGAAATTAGGGCCTGGCTGGGAGATACACAGCATGCATGATGCCACTCTCCTTTCTAGATCTGTAACAGACATAATTGATTGATCACAATGCTCTTTCCCTCTGGGACTCACAATTGTTTTCAGCCCAATAATTTTGGCTGCCACTATGGGTCCTTTGGAGTTGGCAAGTTAGATAAACACTATTTGCCATTTTTGCACCAGAAGCATATGAGTGCTACTGGTGGTGCCAGTGTCTCTGTAGTAAAAAGCAATGCCTGAAAGTGGGGAAGGGTTTGAGCAGGTGCCACAGGGCAGTGGTCCCCAACCTTTTTGGCACCAGGGACTGGTTTCATGGGAGACAATTTTTACATGGACTGGGGAGAAGGGGGCGATGGTTTCGGGATGATTCAAGCACATGACATTTGTTGTGCACTTTATTTCTATTATTATTACATTTTAAAATATAAAGAAATAATTAGGTAACTCACCATAATGTAGAATCAGTGGGAGCCCTGAGTTTGTTTTCCTGCAACTAGACAGTCCTATCTGGGGGTGATGGGAGACAGTGACAGATCATCAGGTATTAGATTCTCTTAAGGGGGGCACAACCTAGATCCCTCACATGCACAGTTCACAATAGGGTTCACGCTCCTGTGAGAATCTAATGCTGCTACTGATCTGAGAGGAGGCTGAGTCAGGCAGTAATGCAAGCAATGGGGAGTGGCTGTAAACACAGATGAAGCTTGGCTGGCTTGCCCGCCGCTGACCTCCTGCTCTGTGGCCCAGTTCCCAACAAGCTGGGTTGGTAACAGTCTGTGGCCTGGGGGTTGGGGACCCTTGCCACAGGGCAATATGAGGGTCACAACTTGAGGGCTTGGGTAGAAGGGACTCATGAGTGACAGAGGCAGAGGTGGTATCTTGCATATTTGACAAATATTTCTTAGACTTGGCCCCTGTACCATAGAAGAGAGAGCATAGGCTTTGGAATCAAAGCATGAGTTTGCCACTTACTAGCTTTTTAAGTTGGGCTAATATTTATTCAGTATCCTCATGCCTTACTGTCTCATCCTGGGAGACTAGAATCCCAGGGGAGTGTGGTTTTCATTGTGCCACAGTTCCTTGAATTATGAACTAAATATCAAAGGACCTAAGATGATTAGAGGCTTTCACAATGAAAGACAAAACATTTTTAGTTCATTCAACATCTAATGAGCAACTATTACATGTCAAACACCGTGCTAGGTCCTGGGAATACAAAGATAAATAAGACATGGACACCAACCTCAGGTAGTTCATGAGCTATAAGAAATGAAGATAAAATAGCTTAAGATCATCAGGGAGATAAAGCAGCTGTAATATCATCATGGATTCATGCACATTAACTTACAGAATGCAACTCTTCAGCGTAATTGCATAAAGCAAGGTCCACCTGTTCCAGCCTATTGTTCTTGTCGAGCTGTGGGCATTCAAGGGCCTGTTTTCTGCTACTGCTTTCACATCAGTTCACCCTACAGCCTTATCTTTCCTGTCCTCTTCACACCCCTACCTCCCCTCTAGATCCCTGGAACAGGACCAGGACTAGGATGGGGCAAATGAAGACCTAGGGCATGAAATTTAAGGAAGCAATTATTTCGGGGGTTGCACTTGCATTAACCTGAGTGTGGGTGCCTCCTTAAATTTTGCGTCTTAGTCCAGCTCCTGCTCAGGACAAAGTCAGATGAAAACAGGAGGAGAGACAGATGTGATGAAAGGGAGTGACAACTTGTTCTCACAACAAACTTGCAAAATAGACACTATTGTCCCATTTACAGATGAGGAAATTGGGGTTCAGGGAAGGTGAGTTACTTGCAGAGGCATCACGGACTCGTGAAGTGCAAGCAGGAAGAGAGAAAGAGCACAGGCTTTTTTACTGAGATGGATCCAAGTGTGAAGCCCAGTTCTATGGGGCCTGAGTCATGTGACCTTGGGTCAGTTACTTGTTTTCTCTGACCTGTTTCCTCATCTGAAGAATGTGGATAATAATCCTTCTCAGGGTTACATGGAAACGAAGTCCAGTCTCCTCCACTTTGGTCTCTGTGACTCTACTTTTTCATGTGTCGAATGGCCTGGCCACACCTGCCTCACAGAGTTGCCAGGGAGACCATGAGTTCTGAGGGGTTGTCTGAAGGATCAAATGTCAGTTCTAGCCAGGCATGGCTCACGCCTATAATCCCAGCACTTTGGGAGGCTGAGGTGGGGAGATCACTTAGGGTCAGGAGTTCAAGACCAGCCTGGACAAGATGGCGAGATCCCATCTCCACTAAAAATACAAAAAATTAGCTGGATGTGGTGGTGTGCACCAGTAGTCCCAGCTACTTAGGAGGCTGAGGCAGGAGAATCGCTTGAACCGGGGAGATGGAGGTTGCCGTGAGCCAAGATTGCACCACTGCACTCCAGCCTGGTGACAGAGCAAGACTGCTGCAAATCTTTTCCAGAAGGATAATTGAGACTTATGCCACATGTCAGGCGAACCTCCCAGCAACCCTACCATTACTCTTTTTTTTTTTTTTTTTTTTTTGAGACGGAGTCTCGCTCTGTCGCCCAGGCGGGACTGCGGACTGCAGTGGCGCAATCTCGGCTCACTGCAAGCTCTGCTTCCCGGGTTCACGCCATTCTCCTGCCTCAGCCTCCCGAGTAGCTGGGACTACAGGCGCCCGCCACCGCGCCCGGCTAATTTTTTTTGTATTTTTAGTAGAGACGGGGTTTCACCTTGTTAGCCAGGATGGTCTCGATCTCCTGACCTCATGATCCACCCGCCTCGGCCTCCCAAAGTGCTGGGATTACAGGCGTGAGCCACCGCTCCCGGCCGCAACCCTACCATTACTCTTGTTGCTAGAGAAGCGGTGGCAGAATCCATGAGAGGCTAAACAACTCTCTCAACGTCATGCAGCAAGTCAGGGGCAGACGTGGGATCTCGACCCTGGTCTGTCTGATTAAGAAGCCCTGGGAACTCTGCCTCCCAGGATGCAGAATGGGGGACAGCAAGAAAAAATATTTCTCAGCAATGGAACAATACCTAAGATTTGCACTTGAGCATGTTCCATTGTGCCTGAATATAAATTAGACAAAGTGCAAACCAGCATGTGAAACCTCTTGAGTACCAATTCCGTCCTAGACATGGCAGAGGGACGCCTTGAGACTCTTCAGGGTGGTCTGGTGGTGCTGCCAATTAATGATATGAGTCTTTGCTCTACCCCCAAATTCAACTGAAGTTTCACAACTCTTTTTCTCAAAGCCAGAGAATTGAGGGAGACAGCGTTGTGGCTTTCTACAGGTTTAAGTCTTGGTTCTGTTTTGAAAATGTCGCTCTAGTTAGTTTCCTCCTCTCAGTCCTGCCTACCTTCAGCCTGCAACCGAGTGAGCTGCTCATCTCTTACCTGGTTAACTGCCACAGCCTCCTACAGAGTCTCCCACCCCACTCCCTTCCTCCTCCATTCATTTTCCACATGGCAGTCAGGGAGATGTTTTTCAAAAGCAAACGCCCCTGCTTAAACCTCTGCAAGGCTGCAAACTTCTTGGTTTTGGGCTGGCATATTGTTGAGAAATCACAAGACCTGGGCCCCACCCAATTCCTTCTAGCCTCTTCTCTCCTGCACTACATGAGTCAGCTCTGCCCAGCCCTGCCTTTCTCCAAAGACACCATCCTACTTCATAACTCTGTGCTTTCAGACATGCTGACATCTATGCTCAGAACATGTCCCTGCCTTCATTGAGTTAACTCTTACTCATACTTCATACTCCAGCTAGGGAATACTTCCTCCAGAAAGCCTTCCCTGACAACCTACCCACTGCTCGGAATGGCTGACATGCCCTCCTGGGGCTTTGCCAGCACCCTGTGCTCCCCTCCATCCTGTCACACTGGACAGTCTGCTCACTCCTACTTGAACTTCAAATCTCAGCTGGCTCTTCCAAACCAAGGTCAAGTCTGATGAAGGGAGCCCTTTTCTTGGTACCACATACTTTTCCTTCAAGCCCCAATTGCTGCATATTTGTGTGTTCAGCTGATTGATGCTTGTCTCTCCACACTAGACTATAAGCTCTAGGCTATCTTGCTTTTGCTCACTTCCTGGGCTCACTGGGAAGCAGAATGGGGATGGAGACTTGCATGCAAGAGGTTTACTGGGCAGTGTCCTTGGGCTCCACACCCACCGATCACACCCATGCAGGAGGGAAGTTGGCAGGAGAAGTTGAATTTCCATGTAGTTGTAACAGAGGCCTCAGCTGACCTGTGGGGAGTTTTGGAGTGGGGGTGGCCCTTCAGAGCTGTCCTGGATTGAGGCAAGGTGCCAGAATTTGTATCCCCATTGGATTTGGGGTACCCCTGGGGAAAGGACGGAACTGTGGGTGAGGTGCCTCTCTAATTTAGAGGGCAATTCCCAGGCTTGGAATTTCCAGAGTGAAGCAATGTCAGCTACCAACACTCACAGTCGGTGAATGCATGAGTGCCTTAGTTTTTCAAAGGTGGCCATAGTAGTCACCATACTTCCATAATTCCAGTATCTGCCCTTATTCCAGGGACACAGTGAGTGTGCAACAAATGCTGAATCAGTGAATACGTCCATATATTTTTCTCTCTTTGCTCCATCCCTAAAGAGTGGGACTGTTTCTTATTTATCCAAGTACTCTAGACACAGCTTAGCTTAGCATAGGCACTCAGTAGAAATTTGTTGAATGATTGAATTAAAAAAGAATGCATGAAAGAGATAATGCTGCAATTTGGTTTATAAAGAAAGATAAATCTGGACACAGCTCAGCTGTTCAGAGGCTATGTAAAGTGAGTACACCTGTGTGGCCCTGCCCTATAGAGCCAGCATCCCAGAAAGTAGAAAATTTGGCAGGTGGGCAACACCTCTCACGGCAAACCCCTTCCTGTCCTCAAGGCCCAAGTGGGATGTAGCTGGGAAGAGGTTTGGTAAAGAGGAAATCAGGTCTCCTTCTATTAATGTTGACAGTCAATTCTCTGTCTTCTGAAAACAAAAAAAGAAATGGCTGCAGGAACTAGGGGTATTTAGAATAGAAAATAGCCGATTTAGAGAGAATCACGCCTGCTATCTGCAAATATTTGAAGGAATATCATTTGGAAAAAAGAACAGACATATTCTTTCTTGTACTGCCATGGAGAATAGTTCTAGGATTTGGGTTGGACATAGAGAAATAAAATAACAACTAAAGTGTCCAACAATAACCTTTCTTGGGAGATGCACATATTCTGTCATAATAATGGTGTGGGTTACAAAGGTGTATCCCTTTGTGTAGGGTAAACATACCTGGGAACAATAACTTAGGCATGCCCTGAGGATGACCCTGTATGGCAGATGCATCTGAATGTGTGTTCTGAGCTAGAGAATTCAGGAATGGCCAACCTGGAGACTCATTCCTTGTCTATGAGGAACACCTGAGCCCCTGTCCTGTCCTGTGGGACATGGGCCATACAGGGGATTGGGGACCTGAGCTTTGGGTTAGATGGAGGTTGTTAGGTGGAGGTCATTAGTGGGAGGGTGTTAAGTGAAAATGCTATGTAAACTGCATGCTGTTTGCAAATGGTCGTGGTTTTCCTGCCCAGCCCGCCACTGGGCGGCTGAACAGCGGCGGCCACTGGGCTGTTCATAAGGCAGATCAGTTGCCCAGCCTCCCACCACTGGGCTGTTTCTGTATGTAAGGCAGTTTTCCTGTATAGCCCGTCACACACTGAACTCTCTCCGTATGTAAGCCCCTAGTAAAACCCCGTGTCTCATCTGTGGGCTCTGGGTGTCTTCTTTAGCCTCTTGAACCTGGTGCCTTCTCTACTGAGGTTAATAGGGGTTCAGCACAAAAATTTCCCAAAACAATACAGGTAAGGTTTGTGCAGGTCAATGTACATGAATTTTTGCAACAACAAAAAAGCGACGTTAAATTCTCCTCTTTTTCTCCTCCTTCTTTTCCTGCTCCCCTTCCTCCCCCTCCTCATCTTCAGGTAAAGGATAGAAGTGGGCATAGGTACAGAGGAAACAAGAATGGCAAAATGTTAATATTGTAGGACTTGGGTGATAGGTACAAGGGGTTCATTAAACTATTCGATCTAGCTTGTATATGTTTAAATATTTTTCATACCAAAACACATACACGCTAATTATTAAATGAAGATGAAGCAACCACAAACAATTTTGATTGTCAGTTGAATGGGCTACATTGGAAGGTAGTGAGCTCCCTGTCACTAGAAGTATTTATGCAAATGCTATCTGCATGCTCCTCAACTCCCCAACCCCCCAAGAGTCTGGGATATTGGAGGATATTGTCAAGAGCAGGGGACTAAGCGGATAACCTTGGCCTGGATCCTCACTTTTTCCTCCTGGAGGGGGGGACTTGGCTGGAGTCTAGAAGAGACCTGGATTCTCCAGAGCCATGAACTGGAGCCCGAGCTCCTCATTCCAGATCACAGGAGGTGCTGAAGGTGGAGTCAGGGCAGACATCTAAGGGCCCTAAGCCTGCGGAGAGGGGAGTGGAGCGAGATGGGAATCCAAGTCAGAATGAGGAATCACAGATTTGGAACACAGTCTGAGCCAGTGACAACATGAGATTTGGGGTTCAGATCCACATGCCACTGCTTATCAGCTGTGTGTGTGAACCTGAGCAAGGGACTCAAACTCTATGAGCCTCAGTGTTTTCATCTGTAAAGTGGAAGATAGGATTACCTTACAGGGTTGTTGGAGAATTAAATGAATGTGGGCACCTGGCATAGAGCCTACTATGCTTATTGTGGTTATTATTATTTACAAAGGGGAGACGAGCCCATGCAAAGACAGGATCCAATGGGCAGAACGGGATAGGACTTGAAGACCTGCTTCAAACGCCAGCTACCACTGGAGGCTCATATTTCTGGGATGGCTAAGGGATGAGTGTCTGCATGGCTTAAGCAGGAGGAAAAAAATCTACATAGACCCTTCTATTGATAAAATTTTAGGTTTCTAGAGGAATCCCAAGCAATTTTTAGGAGTAATTGCTGGGGCTCTCCATGCCCTGGATCCCTCCCCTCTCTCATAAAACTGCATGATGCTGGAAAGCTGTGTGTTCATATTGCTAGGACAGTCTGCCACAGCTACCCCCACGACCCCCAGAATCACTCAGCTACAGCCTTGGAGGCCTTGGCTTGTGACCCTATCCTAGCCCCTGAGCCAGTCCACACAGTGAATCCCACAAGGACAGGCAAGGCATCTTTTTCATCCCTCTCTCTGCAGCTCCTGTCACACCAAGGGTGTCTAACAGCTGCGTGCAGGGTAAACAGACAGATGCATGAGCTATGTGTGAGGACAGGTGCTTCATGCTCCTGGGAGTCCTGTGAGGCTGGAGGAGGTCATTCTCTCTGGGGCGGCCTGTCCTCTCCAAGAGGACCATGAGTGGCCATTGTTGGCAGGCAGAGGCCTCTTCATTTCCCTGGCCGGCTCAGGCTACCAGTGTGGCTGCCCCGCTGAACACGCCATACATCACACGCCTAATGGTGCGTTTTAGAACATAAGTGGTAACCACCAAATGGGACCCGAGAAGGGAATTAGAGCCAGACACACAGTGGGGAGGGGAAAAAAAATCAAGAGTAGCCTCAGAGGAAATGGGGCCAGATACAATCATCCTGAGACAGGAGAAAACCATCTCCCAAGCATCAAGAGGCCAGGGGAGTTCATTTTATTTAAAATGGGTTCCCTTTATGGAGAGCTGGCCTGGATGCTGGGCACCATCAATGCTACCTGCACTGGGTCTGCCTAGCCTGACCTGGGCCACAGCTTTCTGAAATGCTCTGTGACCTCCTTCCAGCCACCTATTCAGGTTTTCATTCAACAAATATTTTGGCACACATACTATGTGGCTCAAGGTTATGTACTGTAACATTTAAACTTATGCAATGTGAGCCAAATCGCCTGTCTTTGAATGATGGTTCTGCCCCCAAACTGGGTAGTTAGTGAATTTCCCTTGCTTCAGTTCTTCCTGGTATTACCCTCCATCTTACAAAGGCTGTCATGATGTTAAGAAATAAAACCGGTTAAGTGTTTAGAATGGCAGTGAGTAGGTCCCCAAGGGTCCCTGTCCTCCTGGAACACACATTCTAACATTCAAGCAGAGTGAGGTGGCTGGGGGCCAGTTGTTTTCAGGTCCCCCGTGTCCAGTTCAAGGTCTGCACACAGTAGGCATTCAGGGCATTTTATGTGAACCAAGCACAGAGCACACACACACAGACTCACACACATGCATGCACGTACATACAGATGCATGTGCGCTCATGCACACTTGCGACCTAGAGCCTCTGGTAGAGTCCAATTTCCTGGGTAGGTAGGTGAAGTTTTCCAGACCAGTTTAATGAAAAGGCAGCTATTCCTGGGTCCTGGCTTTATGCAGGCATCTTGGTTCCAGGGCTGTCTCATGTCTGGCCCTTGGAGTTTCCCTTTTTGTAGAGCTTGGCTCTGCCTTCAAAATTTTAAAAATTGTTACGTCCTGCTTTTCTATGTGCATGGAGTGGGAGATAACTTTGTGTTGGCTCAGTCCATTCTGGGGATGGAACTAGAAATCATGAGCTGAATTTTAATTTTACTTGCTCATGTCCTACCTTGTTTCTCAAAGTTTTTGAGGTCGTTTATATAGACAGATGAACAATAAATGGTTTCTACCCTCAAGGATTGTATAGTCTCTTCTGAGGGTAAAGTGTGTAAGCAAACGGCTACAATAAACAACAGCAGAAAGAAATGCATGGTAAATGGAGGAATCAGTTAAACACGGGGAGAGACAGAGTTGGGCTGAGCGATCAGCTCTCACCTGAGCGATCAGAAAAGGCTCATGGAAGAGGTGAGATTTTCAGTGAGGTTTGATGGAGAAGGAGCATTTCAGGACACCAAAGGTGGGGAAGGGAAGAGGGCACAGCATGAGCAGAGGGCACAGCGTTGGCAGAGGCGCAGAGGCAGGGCTTGAGTGAATGCGAGGGGTGCTCTGGGAGCAGTGAGCGTGCTGGCGGAATTGCAGGGGAGGCTGTGGAGGAAGTACTGGATGGGATGGGAAAGGTGGACTGAAGATGGTAAAGGTGGATTGAGCCAGATTATGGGGAACTGAAGGCTGGGTAAAGGCCAGATGTTAGGCCAGACAGCTTATGCAGTTATGTATGTAATCCCCAGAGTTGCCTTACATGTTATTATGCCTATTTTAGGGATGGGAAACTTAGACTCTCAGAAGTTACAAGATATTCTACCATAAACAAATGATTATCCCAAAGGATTCGATCTTAGATCTGTAAACTTTAAGTCTGTGTGACTCCAAACTTATGACACTGCTGCCATGAGGCAGTTCAAGAAATAGGGAAGTTATGAAATGCAGCGGCAAGGTAGGTCCGTGGTGATCTCCCGGGTGAGGCATTGGAGTGATGATGAACACTGTCCCTCCTCCTTCTACCCTGCCCCATCACTACCATCAAAAGGATAGAGGAAATGACAAGCTGAATGGAGGTTAAAAGTAAAAGAGAAGAAGGGCAGAGAGACATCAATGCAAGGACTTTGTGAAGGCTTAGCGGTGGAGGGCACAGGAAAAGGGATCAAATCGTCAACCCACAAAAGACAGTCTGGGAATTATGCCTCAGCTCACTTGACAGAACAGAGTCTGAGGTGCAGAGAAAGGACCGCAGCTTCTGCCTCTGTGCTTGATTGAGGGACTCCTTCACTCATGCACTCAACATCCAATCTCCTACATGCCCAGCACTGAGGGTTATGGAGAGGCCAAAGACACAGAAGGTGAGGGGGAAGATATTGAGCAAGTAATATTACATATGCAAGTGCAAAACCTTGTTTATTTCTCTAAGTGACTTGGTGTGGCAGATGTTACCATCCCCATTTTACATATAAGAAAGCCAAGCTCAGAAAGGTTAAGTCAGTTGTCCAAGGTAGAGCTGGGATTCACACCGAGGTCAGTGTGCTACCAAAGCCCGTTCCTTTTCACCAGTGCTCTCTGCTCCCCTGCTGTAATACCTGCCCTCCAAAAGCTTACAGAGCAGAGGGATGGCAACATTGATTGCCCCAAGGAGGACACTTTGGAGAGTGAAAGCAAGGAGCCCACTCAGTATTATGCCAGATGGGAGGCAAAACCTGACACTGTCCCGGGCAAACTGGGATGTAGTCCCCTTATACTAAAAAGGAGTTATTTATATTTGTGTGAGGATTTAAAGTTCCTCAGAGCCTGTTCTTACTTTCAGTCATGTTTCATTTATATGGCAAAACAAGAAAGTTTCCCAGCTTGCTGAAGCTCATCCTTTCAAACACTTCCAGAGCCTGGATAATTCTGGATGGTAAGCATTGAAACGCAGCACTGGTTGTCCTGCCTGAGTAGAGAGCCCTCAACCTGGGTTGTCCCCGGGCTGGCCTTGCTCTCCCACTTGGCTGGGGAGGGCTCCCATGGCTTGTGGTGTCAGGAGCAGAGCTCTGAGAAGGGGAACTCCATCATAGCCCCTGCCCCAAAGGTTGCTCCACAAGACTGGCATTCTCAGACTCTAATAAGTTCTGTACTGGGCTTTCTGTGGCTGGCTTCCTTCAGAGAAACTCAAACCAGCATCAACTAAGTCAGAGACTTAGGATAGCAGAGAAATATTACCACAAGAAAGATGAGAAGGCCCTGGAGGTGAGAGGGGGTCTTTGAGCTCAGTGAGTTCAAACTCTTCACATTATAGATGAAGACACTGTGACTCGGAGAAGAAAGGTGACTTGCCCAGTCATATGCTAATAAGTGGTAAAATGGGACTGGAATGTGGGTTTTCTGACTTCCAGGATGAAGTTCATTCCGCTTAGCCCTGCTGCCCTCATGAACGTCCTGCTCATCCTTCTTCCACCCCAGCTGCCCAGGACCTCAGGAAAGTGCCCGGAACATGCCCCGCTGTCTCATCCCTCCATGCCTTTGCCACTGCTCTTCTGCCTGCCTGGAATACCCTTTCCAGGAATACCCTGCCTAGAAAATACTTTCCCCTCTTCAAGAGGAAGTGGAAGCATCCCATCTGGGCAGCCTTACTTGAATCACTGTGCCTTACTCTGCCTCTCTGGGTCTTGTTCCCGGATTAATTTTTGGTATCTATTATAGGGTGGAATTTATGTGTCCATCTCTCCATTTGACTCCAGGCTCCCAGAGGGCAAAAATTTGCTCTTGTTCATCTCTGTATCCCACTGCCCTGTGAGGGCATGTAGCGAACTCTCAATCAATGTTACTGTATTGAATGGAATGAGAGGTATGACAAGAGGTTGGGAAGGGGCAAAGATGGAGCCAGGCAGGAGGAGACAGGCTCCGACACTGACTTCCTCATGTCACCATGTTGACAAGGGAGGCCCTGTGTAGAGAAGGGGTTTAGAACGGGTCTAAGGGAGCAGGGGGAGAGGCAAGGGGGGCTGGCAATCCTAGAGACTGCTCAACCCTGCCTCTGCCTGTTGGAGTCAGCCTTTGGAAAAGTACTAGTGAATTAAAGCCCAATAAAAAAGTCAATTAAGTCCAAACTCATTTATGCCTTAAGCTCCTCCAAGCCAGTGAGCTGGAATGCAAGCTGGGCCAATATTTCTCCATTTCCCTCCATGTCTACATTGGTCTCCAGTGAGGCAGCCGTGACACATTTTATTTCAACTATAAATGGGGCAGATAGACGGGTAGCAAAGTAATGGCTGCTGGGGGCTCTCTGGATCCCATCCAAGAGATTCATGTCAGTGGGCGTAATGTTCATGTCCTGACCTTGGGCTCTGATAGAGCATAGGGAATCTGTGTGCTTGTGCATGTGTTCCCGTGTGCACGTGTGTTTGCATACATGTACTGGGGGTGTGGATGTGTCTGTGTGCACTATTGTTTGCTATATATAAAAGTGCAATTTGCACATTTGTGTGTTGATTCATCCATTTATTCCACACATATTTACTGAGCACCAGACACTGTGCTTGCCTCTGGTGTTCTCAAGATAGAGAAGGTTTCAGCTCTTACACTTATGGGTTATACGGTCCAGAGGTCTAGAAAAATACACACAATAAAACAAGTAATGACAATAAAGTGTATAGAATGTTATATGAACACAGGTATGCACATGCATGCTTGAATATCTGAGTGCATACATGCTTGGATATCTATGAATGTATGTGCATGAATCAAGTCTCTTCTGTGTGCATGTGTTTTGTGTAAGCTGAACCCAGCTGACCCATGTCGTGGAAAACTTCTTCTGGAAGCCCTTGCAAACCAGTGATAGCTAAAGTGATGTGATTTGTGTGTGTGTGAGTTGGGGAAAGATGAGAAGAAAGAATTAAAGTTGTCAGTGGTATCTGAGTCTGAAGAAGGGGCAAAATACTTAAAGAGTATGCATAACCCATGGCTTCTCCACTTTCCTTTCATTTCCCCTTGAGCTCATATGACCATTGCTCACCCACGGAACCCTCAGGAGGCTAGGGCTGACCCTCATTGTTGGGATAGATGGAGAAAGTCTGGACTAGGGTAACAGCACATGGATTCTATTCCCAGTCCTGCTGCTAAATAGGAAATTCATTGCAAAAAGGGATGTGGAGTTAGGAGTCCCAAACCTGCCTTTACCAGCTGTACAACCTTGGGCAAGTTTCTTAATCTCTCTGAGCCTCAGTTTCCTCATTTGTAAAGAAAGTGTAATAATCCTGTCTCTATCTACCATCACAGGACTGCTATGACAGTCCTGTTCTAAAGCACCCATACAGAAGTGGAACGTAGCTAACATTTCTAACAGTTATTGTTCCTACACGGGACAGCCGCCTGCTGCTGGGCCTTTCTAAAGGAAGCTTTGACTCCACTCACATCTGATTCCTTGCATAGCATTTTGCTAAGTATTGTCCCCAAAATACTACTTCTATGAGATGCTTAAAGGAAGAAAACAAGATGCTGTGGTCTAATAGGTTAGAAAACGCTGGGCTAGCTAGGGTTAAAGATGTTTATTTCTTACAGAACTTATCAGAGGCTTTATTATGCCAATGTGCATTGTGAATCTCCAAGTGGGTGGCAGAGCATACACCACTTCTGTCTGAGATTGGATCCCTCCAGGGGCTAGAATTTAAGGGCAATGGTACATTTGAAGGTGACTTCAGGAAGACCTAGGAAAGGAGTGCAGAAATGAGGTGGGGAAGGGAAGACAACCAATATAGCATATATTTGGAGCCAGTTCCTGCTATGGATGACTGGGGCTTAGCCCTGCAGGGGACCTCTGAGAGATGGTGAAAACCACACTGCAGGGTTGGGGAGGAAGCTGGGCTCATTCCTATTTATTGTTGGTTGAGAGCTACTCTTGGAGTGTTGCCATCCCAGGAGTTTTGGCCTGCTCAGTGCTTACACCCAGAGTGTTTCCATGGCTGGCAGATGTTCTTGGGCAGAAAGTCACTATTCTCAGGAAGTGCCTGACAGCAGGAATAGAGTACATGGAGGTGATATGGGACAGAGCACTGAAAGCATCTGCTGCAAGTTCCTCACCTGACTTGTTCTCCAAATGTACAAAATCCCTCCACAGATGAGCCCTAATCTATTTTTCAAATTGTAATCTTTCCCACTGCCTTTTAGCCTAAAAGACAGGCTGTGTGGATTGCTACAGTGGGAGTGGATTGCTGCAGTGGGAGGGGTGAACACAAACCATCTCTCTTCTAACTTGGATTTCCGGTGACCTTTAAAACATCTGTCACTTGATGTACCTTATGGAATAGGGTCTGTGGCTCACAGTAGGGCAGAGGAATCCAGCAGTTTGGGGGACAGAGGGTCCTGGGAGGTGGTTATTCAAGAGGTCTGGCACCAGGAAAGCCAGAATTCTTGCTGGAAAAGCCAAGATTGAGACTGGAAAGTCAGAGTTAAGCTTTAGATACAAAGTGCCAGCAACAAGCAATGGATGGGCTAAGGTGGGAGAGCCTATGTCAAATGTCCCTTCCATGAGCCACTGCTTCAGGAGTTGTCATGGTGTCTCAAGGGAGCCATGTCAGGCTGCACAGAGAACATCAGAGCTAGAAGCACAGGAACCCTGAGGATTATTTAACCTTTAAATTATCTAACATTTAAGTACAAGGAAAATTGAGGACTAGAGAGGTGAAAGGACTTCCCCAGAGATTACACCCAGCAATTTAAGAGCAGGGCATGAATCAGAACACACATCCCTTGCTCACTATTGAGACCTTCACTCGGAAGTCCTTGACTAGTACACTTCTTCCTGCCAAGAATTTGACCATTGCCCGTGGATTTTTTGATGAGGAAATAATCCAAGCAACATCCCTTTGCTCCAGCCCCTTCCTGCCCCACCTTCCTGCCATCAGCGGTGGCACCGAAGCCCTCCCTTCACCTTTCCTCTTACTTCTTCATATTCCTCGGAGGGCTCCCTGCCACCTCAGGTAGTAATAATATTTTTGATTTTTAGACATGCCAGCAAGTTTTTCCAGGCAA
Source organism: Homo sapiens (assembly GCF_000001405.40). Classification (NCBI taxonomy): domain Eukaryota; kingdom Metazoa; phylum Chordata; class Mammalia; order Primates; family Hominidae; genus Homo; species Homo sapiens. Next base: position 33,138,761 of record NC_000017.11, read on the forward strand.
TGTGAGGAGCACAAATGCTAATGCCTCCATCTGGGGATTATGTTAATATACTATCTTGAATTGACATTTTAAAAAAATGCATATTTTAACTGGCTGCCTTTTCTGTCTCCAAGTCCAGGATCACATAGTATTTAGTGGGATGGTAGAAGTGGTTAGAGAAAGGCCCTGGGTTGGGTTGGAAGTAGTGCCAGCCTGGGGATCAGAAGTCCTGGAATTCAGTACCCTGGCATGTGGCCTTAGGTGGGGCACTTCTCATGTCTGGGCCTCATTTTCCTCAATTGTAAAGTGGGAGGGCAGGGCTGGACAATCCCTAAACCTCCTTCCAGCTCTCACCATCCATGGCTTTTGACTGTCAGAGTCTCCTCAAAGCTCTTGCCTTCTTCCATCATCTTTGCCCTGGATTCCAGGGCTGCCAGCAATGTCACCTCTCCCTGACCTTGGGACTGTTAGTTTATATGCTGGGGACAGACTCTTTCCTGCCTACCTGTTATCTCTCTTGGACTTACCTCCCTAAACTCTCAACCTGAGGCCAGCCCCCTCTTCTGACTGGAGTGAAACATGGTGAGGATGGAGCTGTTTCCAGTCCCTTCCCCAGATCTATTCTTTCTCTGAAGCCCAAAGTAAATTTTCTTGGAAAAATCTTTCAGTCCATTCTGTGTCCAGAATTTGCTAAATATGATCCCCTTTTTGCTTATCCAATAATTGGTGACTGTTGTGGGCAACACTGTTTTGGGCACAGCCCCCCACAACCCTTTCCTTGATGTTGTCCCACACTTCAGTGACCACCTTGGCCAGGCCCCCAACATCTCTTATCTGGGCTACTGGGGTTCCCCTGGCTCTCAGCCTTGCTCTCTGCTGGTTTGTTGCTGATGCTGCCAAAGTCCCCTTCATTCCCTGCAGCAGCATGTCCCCTCCTGCTGGTCTCTCAGACTGGGCCCCTGGTTTCAAAGACTCACTCCCAGACACCCCTATCATGGGCCATGCCTTGAAGAGTACCTGTATACTTCCCCTCCCTTCTTTCCCCGGAGAGACAAGATTGCAAGCTTGGATAAGTGCAGAACTAGGAGGCAGGAAGAAATGAGTGTCAGCCTGGGTCCTGCCATTAGCTATTGTGTTCTAATGCTAGTCCCTTCACGGTACAGAAACTCAGTCTTCCCTAAAATGGGACTAACACGTTTTGCCCCATCTACCTGCCGGGGTTGTACATGGATTCGTAAAGGAGAATGTGCTATACAGAAGGGATTATTTGGGTGTTTTTTCAAATGTCTTCTGGGGGCCAGCTGCATCAGCACTACCTGGGGATAGTAAGAAGATACAGATTCCTGGGCCTGGCCCAGAGCTACTGAACCAGACTCTCTGATAATAAGGCCCAGGAATCTGGGCTTTAAATAAGCTTCTCAGGTGAGTCCCGAAGTCTAAGGCTCTCTGGTTATTGTGATGGTAGCTGGCACTCCCAGATTGTGTTCCCACCTCTCCCTTTGGCTGCTTGGACCCACTGCACATGCTCTGAAGACTTGATTTGTGCCTAGTGTATGGGCAGCTTCTCTCCACTCCCCAGTGCTGGGATAATTTTTGAGTACATCGGAGAAGCAACATGGTGTAGTGGAAAAAGCAGGAGCTTTGGAATTAGACCAGTATTTGAACCCCAGCTCTGCTACTGATTATCCATGTGACTTTGGGTAAATTGCCTGACTCCCTGAGTCTTCATTGTTCTCCTTTCTATGATGGGAATTACAGCAATTATCTCAAGGCTGTGGTTAGCATTGCAGGAAATATATATACATAAAGTAGCTGCCACATTGTACAAGCCCATGAAAAGCTATTTCCTCCACCCAAGGGGCCAGAGACCTGCTGTGTTTGTTTAAGGTGGGTGTCACGTCACATGGTGTGTTTGGACTGAAACCCACAGGGGACCTGATTTGGGAAGCCTGGCAGCAAGTGTAAGACTTTTGCTGAATTCCCCAGAGCCCAAGCCTTGTCCTGAAAGAGACCCACGGCTCCCTGTGCAGGACTATTAAAGTTAAATAAGCTGCTCTGTGAGACATGCATTATTAAAAGCATGCTGGACTAGCTGTTAAGCCCAGCCAGGGCTGCCTCAGTGAATGGGGCTCCCCTGGGGCACATTCCATCCGGGCCACAAGGCAGAACCACAAGACAGAACCACAAGACATGGACACAGCATGAGCACAGCCTTTGCCCTGGATGGGGCAGCTAAGCCTGAGCAGAGCAACACAGTGGGCTCCTGCAGAGCTCTGGGGGCTCTGAGTTGCAGCTTTTCATTTGCAAAGAAAGAGAGTCGCCTGTCTCCCTCATTGGACTAGGGGCTTTCCAAGGACAGAGCTGTGTCTCTCGCATCAGAGAGTGAGTCCTCTTATGGCAGCCATCAGATTAGGTTTCTTGGGCAGGGCCATATCTCCATCACCAGATTGAAGGACTCCTCCCCAAGGGTGAAGGCTGCTTGTGATCTTTGTCCCAGAAAGTATCTAGAGCATCCCTTTCTCCCAGCCTCTAGGCTCCTGCAGCCCTGAGGGCTCTGCCCCTTGCTTTGTAAGCAGTAAAAAAGCAGAAGGCAACCAGCTTTCTTTTACAGGTTGTTGGGTTTTAAATAAAGATAGTTAAAATGATTTATATTCTGCTCAGGGGGAAAACTGGGGAGAGGAAGGAGGAGTAGGTTTTCCTGGCAAGGAAAAGCGGCATAAAATGTCCCACTAAATGCTCACTCAGTGGCCTCCATTCCTTCAAGCACAGAGCAAACACTTGTGATTTAAGCTACACCCGGTGACAGGTTAGTATCAGAACTGTGACTGTGGGTTTGACCCAAACACTTTGGTGTTGTAAGGCTTCCCAGAAGACAAAGGACAGAGAGGGAAGAGCTGATTCCAGGGTGAGAAGAAGGGGTTCCTAGAGGGATGGCGGTAGCTCCCAGCAGATATAATTCCCATTACATGGGCTTCAACTCTTGTCCATTAATTTATACTCTGAGCTCTAGGTCAAGAGCTTGAGTAGGAGGTTGACCTGAGCTTCTCCCAGCTCTGCTGTTAACTCATCATGTTTCCATGCGTGAACCTCTTACCCTCATGAAACCTCAGTCATTAGTGACTTGTGCTTTCTTAAAAACACCATCTGTAACTATACAGGGTGTCCATGAAGTCTGAAAACTTAGGTGAATGTACAAAATAGCAATAAGGACATCTTCAATTTGTTACAAAATGAAATCGTATCTATGTTTGCAGACCCTATTGGCATATATTTATGTGTGTAAGATTATTTTATAAATATCTGTCTTCTCCATTAGACTACAAACCCCTCAAGAGCAAAGACCAGGAGTTTGTTCTCTGTTGCTTTTTCAGCACTCTGCACAGTGCTTGGCACATTCTGAGAGCTCCATACATAGTAATTAAATGAATTAATAAATAAACGAATGGCAAGGTTTATCTTGGGAATGGGGAAGGTAATGAAATAAAGTAAGGACTCAAAAGTGAGCTTTGAGAGGATGTGCTCAGATGTTTGAGACACCCAGCTCATTAACTGGACTCTTTATGGTGTTGAGAAGTAGCATTTCTGCCCAGAGTATTTGGTTGTGATAAAAGAGGTAGTAGAGAGGTAAGATTCACCATGCAGAGGCGAATCCACTCTTATCACCCAGCTGCTTCTGAACATTTATAGATCCCTTCTCTGTCTTCAAAGGATAGCTGTATTCTTTTATAAAGGATTAGACTCTTGCTCTGAGAATTTGAACTCATAGCAGGTCAATGCACACCCAGCCAGGGGTCCTCAGCAATGCAGAGCAGGTTCTCTCTCTCTGAAGAAGACAGAGCACAGAAAGCACAAAGAACAAGTGAGGCTGGTATGGGGCTCTGGGGCATATGGTTCTCTTGGCTGGAATGTTAAGTCCCTCACTAGTCCACTTAACTTTTCAGACTCAGTTCCATGACCACACCCTCTACTCAGGTAGAACTGACTGCCTTCTCCTTTGGGCCTCACTGGAAATATAGGTATTATTTTATCATGTGTCTGAACATACCAGCAATAAGCTATTTATTATGTATTTGTCAATGTTTCTAGATGTGGTGACCACCCTCTATATGTATCCCGTAGATGGTAAATTTCCTTGAGTGGTTGGTGTGGCCAGATGAAAGGGTTGGTCACTGTCCATGGTCCTGAAGGCTAGGGCTGAGTGTCTTCCAGAACACTGAATCATGGATGTTTCCCTACCTTCTTCCACATATAAACCAAAAAGCTCAATAAGGGCTTAGTGATGAGCTGCGAGAAGAAAACATGGGTCCCAGGGTGACCCAAAGAAGGATGTGATTGGTTCTACCTGTTGCATGTGACTCCAAAGCCTGCCAGCATGCTACCTGATGCTAGTCAATAATTGAGATAGCAGTGTAGGTAGGTTGCTTAGACCGCTGAGTCTTTCTTAGATCATGGATGCTAGCTTCAGGTGAAATGTAGATATCTTGACATGTAGATATCTCAGGTGGACCACATTTAGGGACAAATATAGGTTGGACTTGAGGTGTGCTAAAGTCTTTTGCATTCTAGGGAGCTAGGAATTGCTCATTTTCAATAGTATTAATCTCATGATGAAAAGTAATTATTACACCCTTTAAAGCATTTCACATGTAGTTTTAAAAGTGCAATTTATTGAACACCTACTATGTGCCAGGTACCATGAGAGTTGCTTTTGTTTCTCATATATTATCCCTAATCCTTCAAATAACCCAGTTAGAAAAGCTATTATTAACCCCATTTTGGGAAGAATAGAAAATTGTCAGAATGGCCAAACAAGCAGCCCAAGGTCACAGAGCCAGTTAACAACTGAGTTAACTCCTGACTGTTGGTCTCTACAGACAGTCTATGTCTTTTTACTAGTCTATACTACCGAATCTTTTACCAACTGCCTAGCAACAGAAAAAATAGTTTCCATAGCAACGATAGTAAAATCAGTATTGGCATTTGGATAATCCAATTTTTCCAAAAAAACCCCCATAAAACAAAAAATCCAACCCTAAGCTAGTATTCCACATCTGGAAATGTAATTGAAGAAAACAATCTTAGCCATGGAAAAGATGTATGCATAAAGGAATGTACTGAAGCATTATCTACAATCTTTAAAAAAGTTGCAATAAGAAATGTCCAACAATAGGAGAAAGATTAAATGCAGTGTGGTGCATCATTCAGTGTAGTAAACATGGTCTGGTATAATATGGTCCCACTTGATGCCCAACCCTTCTCTTTCTAGGAAAGGCTTCCATTTTCTGGGAACCAACTCCCCCTGGGCAATAGTCATATTATAAGACCCTACTTTCCTGAGCCATGTGATTGGTCCGGGGTGGGCACCTCATCCAAGCTGGGCCAATCAGTTACTTTTCTGGAATTAAAAAACAAACAAACAAAAAAAAAAACGAAAAACAAAAACAAAAACAAAAAAACAGGTTTAGAGACTGCTCAGTTTCTTTTTGGGAACATGGAATGTACAGTAATATCAGGAATATGGCTGGCCCTGTCTTGTCCCTGTGCAATGAGGGCAGAAGAGGGGGCCCATGGTGAGAGAGGGAAAGAACAAGAGTGGGGGAGAAAGAGAGAGAGCGGGTGGGATAGGGAAGAGAAGGGGATGGGAAGGAGTTGGGTGCTTGTGAGCAGTAAAAGCAAAAGTGGAGTCCCTACAGCACTCCATCCTGCTTCCAAGTCTTCCAAGAGCTCAACAGCACTTGAACCCTGTGAGATACCCTAGCATTCTTCCAATAAACTCCTCCCTTTACCCAAGCCAGTTAGAATTAGATTTCTCTTATGTGTAAGTGAGAGAGTCCTAATTTAAATAGTAGGGGTTTAATACCCTGTGTTTTTAGGAAGAAAATGTAGGGCTGCCTAGGGTGACCGATGCATAATTCCAAGGTGGAAAACCTCTGGGCCCACAAGAAGCAGCCTGGGGGAGAAACTTGACATAACCAGAGGAGAAGGTGTGGTGTGCACTGAGCCCAGAGCTCATGAGGGTTGGGGAGCTGGGACACCCACTATATGGGTATCTATCATGACTTTAGGACATGTACCTAGACCCCTACCCTTCCAGAAAACTCACTCTCCTGAAGATACTATGGAAATCAGACAAGTAGTGGATGAATCCGATCTGAGTCATTGCTCCTTCATTTTCATTGGCCTGGAAGCTCCATGACAATCAAGGTTGTCTCCTATTCAGCTCTGCATTCCTAGAGCTAGTACAAGGCCTGGTGCAGAGCAGGTGCCACGTGAGTGCTTACTCTCCTCCAGGAGGTAGACTGGAGTTGCATTTCAGTTCCCTTCTTACTCAATATATGGGGTTGCTATTTATACATAGTCTCTCAGCTTCAAACCCTTCTATGTTCTTCTTTGATGGTGGGGCCAGGACTCTGCAAACTATATTTTCTGGTTCCCTCTTCCCAGGAGACTGGCAGGCCTGGGTGGACTGGGGAAGGCAGCCTCTACCAGCTTCCAGCTCAGGTCTGCACCCTTCTGGCATCAGGGGACATTGATGGTCCTAGACTCCAGTTTCTTTTGGCATTCTTGGCACCACTGCAGCACCAGCGTTGCCATGCACCTCGTCCTCTGGGCTGCCATCCCTGCCTGCGGTCTGAGCAACTATTGGGCTACATGCCATAATCTCTTTAGCAACTGCCTGGCATCACCTCCCGACTAGATCGTAGTAACACCATTTCTTCCCTTTCCTTGCCCAGCCCTAGAGGGTGGCAATGGCTTCCTGCAGAGATTAATCTCCAGGTTACCTCACTGCTCTCTTTTGGCTTTTTCAGACTTCTAACACATGCATAAGATATTTCCAACATTAAATAGCCTTTGTTTCAAATTCCTTACCTATTTCCGTATTTCTGACAATACGTGATTTATTTTAACTTTTTTTGAATCTCAATTTCTTCATCTATGAAAATGAGGGAATAATCCTTAACTCTTGAAGATGTTGGGAGAATTCAATGACATGATAATCAAGTACCTGGAAGAATAGGTGCTTAAAAATGCTGGTTACTCCTTTCGCCCCATGACCAAATAGTCAACCTGTCTATGCAGGAGGCTTTCTCCTCTTGATGACTTGCTGAAAGAATTGGTGGCAAGGGCACAGGGCACAGGAATTGTGCCCTGAGCAGCAAGAAGCCATGCTTAGTGGAGCTCCCTCACCCTCCCGCCACAGCCGACCCAGAGACATGGCCAGTGGAGATCCATGGCCAGGTGGAGGCAAAAGTGTTCAGAATGAATAGTGTCTTCAAAACATTTCCTGCTCTTAGCACCCGCTATCTTAGTCACTTGAGCAGATTCTAATTTAGTCTCAGAAATATTCTTCAATGGCCCCAGGCAGGTGCTATATTTCATGACAGAGATGAGAACAGGAAGCTCAACTTCCCGCCTCCTCAGAGTCAATGACGAATCCCTGGAAGTCAGCAGAATGAGGAAAGGGGGAAAAGCTACCACCCACAGGACAGTTGAATGAATGAGCAACTAAATGAATACCACTGGGTACTAGGCTCTAGCTTTGGGGCTTGGAAAGCATCTTCTCTCATTCAGTCTTCACAGCAACTTACCTGTCCATGTTACAGATGAGGAAATTGACCCTCGGAGGGGTTAGGAAGGTAGCCCACATCCCAGAATCAAGGTGGCAGAGTGGGGTTTGAAGCCCACTTGGCTGGCTGCGGACCTATTCTCTAGGTCCTCCCAGAGGGCACCTGGCTCTGACTCAACTTCCTACTATCAAAAACTAGGAAACAGGTTGGCTCTGGAATCTGAATAGGTAACACTCAGATCATATTTCTTAGAAACCAAACTCCTAGTTTGCTCACAGCCAAACAGCCTGAACTGAGCTAAGACAAGAGCATCCTGTGGAGATCAGGCAGAAAGATCTGTGCCCAGCTCATGCCTCTGGAGCTCGGAGACCTCTGTGCCGGCAGAAGACAGCATCACACCTGTGTCCTCATCTGCTCGACCTTGGCTTTCAGCTGGCTGGTTTGCAAAGAACAGCCGAGGCCTAGGCCAGAAGGAGAGAAGGAGGAGGATGCATTTGGAAGGACCTAGAAGTTACATGATAAATGCCAGAGGCCTGGGGCTATCTGCTTGGGAGCTCTTATTACTTCAGTCATTCTCAGGGGGGAAATCAGCTCATAGCAAACCCAACCTGAGCCACTTTCCTGTGCTAATGTCAATCAACGGGTCAAACTGAGTAATTCTATTTTTCACTGCTGCTGTTTCCATTTTGCTCCTTGATATCTTCTAAAGAACTATACTCCCCTACTTGGAAAATGTGCTTGCTTATTTTTATTCCACATCTGAAGTAAGAACTTAATAACTATCAAGTCTGGGTAAGGCTAGGTAAACTGGACAATATGACAAGAATAGGGTAGATGGCAGGAGTGCTATTATTTTTATCATTGTAGAAACCTGTGAAAATTTAAATATTTTAGAACACATAAAGTGGATGGTAAAAACTGCAAAAAAAGCAGACTTAAAAAGTAAATAAGAGAAGAGAGAAACCAGTTGAAGCAAACATTTGAGATGAGCTAGTAACAGTATGTGCATTGTGGATTCAGATCCAAATATCCTGATAGCCAATGTCCAAAAAAGAGAAACAATTTTCATTGTTTGATAAAAGACATCATACAAGTTCAGCTGGTACTTAAGTCTAGAAAGACAGGTGGGCTGATGTTGTCTTACTCAATAGAAACAACTGCAACTTTGATAACATTAATATACACCAGTGTTTGGGCCAGAGGAAGTGTTGTTCTCTCTAACAAGTTTCAATTCAGTATCTTTTTTTTTTCTTACATTTAATTGGACACAGCAGGATTGTCCTAGAGGGACTACGGTGCAGCAGCACAGAGGAGGTAAAATAATCTTTCTGTGTTTGTGCCATAGGAGGATCTGCTAATAATTTTTCTAATGAGCAAAAATGACCCCACACTACAGTGAAATCCCGGGCCAGTGCCAACTTAGACTCAGCTGGCATGCAGGGGAAGCAAGGAGACTAACATTTATTGACCGTGGCACATCCATCACTTTTAAATGCTTGCAACAAGCCTGTGGACCCCAATTTAGCTCCTACTCAGGGGCTTCCCTCTCCAAGTTGGAGCTGCGTGCTGTGGGCGCTGGTTTTCATCACAGACTGGAGGACCGGGATGCATAGCTCTGTATGTTCACTTGGAATCCTGCAATATCCAAGCAGGTGAACTTTGGAGACAAGGACACTTCACGCTACTGAACAGATGCAGGAAGTGAGGCCTGGAGAGGGGCAAAGACCAGAGTAGAACCAGGCTTTTCATTTAAGACAACAAATCAAGCATCCCTAAAATGTAAAGTAATAATAACAACGCCTTGTCAGTATATAATAGGAGCACAGTTAGCAAGGTGCTTCACACCTTCTGTGCCGTTTCATCTGTCCCACAGGTTGACAGGGAGATAAGCAGACTTTATGCTTTTAGTGAATGCCATACTGCACAAAGAAACATTGACACATACCATATGCTACCCACATAAGCCAGCAGTGATTAAACTCATTCCACAGGTAACTGAATTGGGGTTCAGGAAGGAGAAATGAACTGCCCAAGGTCACACAGGAAGTGGCAAAGCCAGGACTCAATCAAGGTCACCCAACTTCACATTTAAGGTTTGTTCAATCCTACCATGATTCCTTTCACCTAAACATTAGGATGTGCGAGAAGAAGCACACTTGGGTATCAATGCATCATTTCCAAAGTGCACAGTGACTAAGATCCTAGGGCCGGAGGTCAAACTGCCTGGGTTTCAACCTCAGTTCTGCCATTACCATGGCTGTGCCATTTACTTAACCTTACTGTGTTTCAGTTTTCTTACCTGTAAAATGGAAAGAATGATAATAAATTCCATACTTCTTTATTATGAAAATTAAAAGATGATGTGAGAAAGCATTTAGATGGATGTCCTGCTCAGACCTCAAAAAATATTAGCTCACAGTATTTTTTAATTATAAAAGTCATAATAAAACAGTTGTATCAAAGTAATAAGAAATAAAAAGTTGTTATAAAAAATAAAAACTTGAGGCCAGGTGCGCTGGCTCACACCTGTAATCCCAGTAGTTTGGGAGGCCAAGGCAGGCGGATCATCTGAGGTCAGGAGTTCAAGACCAGCCTGGCCAACGTGGTGAAACCCCATCTCTACTAAAAATACAAAAATTAGCTGGGCATGATGGCAGGCACGTGTAGTCCCAGTTACTCAGGAGACTGAGGCAGGAGAATTGATTGAATTCAGGAGGTGGAGGTTGCAGTGAGCTGAGATCATGCTGCTGCACTCCAGCGTGGGTGACAGAGCAAGAGTCTGTCTTAAAAAAAAGAAACAAAAACAAAAACAAAAAAACAAAAAACAAACTTGACATATATCTTTTCTGACATTTCAGTTTCAGATTTTTGTTTTGTAGAAAAATGGGAAATATAGAAACATAAAGAAAACAAAAAATTATTGTAATCCCAACACATAGCAATAATCATAATGTTTTGGTGTTTTTCCAGCTGTCTTTTTTTCTAACATATGAACTACAAACTTTGTTTCTATGTGTTTTTTATTTGGCATTAAAACATGGGTATTTTCCTATGCCCCTGAATAGTTTTTTAAAGTATAACTTTCAGCCATTATAAAACTATGTTCTTCTGTAGGTGGACCATAATTTATGTACTCATTACATAATGTTTGAGTGAAGTTGACTATTCTTTCATCATTGAGTGAAGAGGCTACGTCAGATTTGCAGCTGCCTCTCTGACACTAACACAGTGACTTGTATATAGTAGATGCTTAATAAACATTCAGGTGACTGAAAACTCATGTTTTGATAGGTGTTTCCAGAAAGTTCATACCAATTTATATTCCTGCATTTATTGCATGAGTGTCTTTCACATAGTAATCTCAGCAGCATTTGACTTAAAAATTGAAAAAAAAATTTGCCAATTTGTTAAGTAAAATATGGGACATCACTATTATTTTAATTTTTAATTTATTTGATCAATAGTGAGGTTGAAAGTTTATTCATATTTTAATTAGCCATCTGTATTGTATTTTTCCCTTTTCCTTTTCTTCCTTTCTTATTTTTGTCTTTCCCACCTTCTTTTGAAAGTACCATTCTTGAAGGAACAGGCACCAGACTAACAGTCCTGATACATTTCCTTGGATACCCTCACATTTCCAGATAATTCATGAGGTTCATAACAATGAATTGGGTGCTTGCTAATTATTTTAAGATAATTGCATGAATAAGTTCAGATGCTCATTAATTCTGAAAGCTGTGACAGCTCTCAGGTATTAATGAATTTCTTACTCAAGTTTAGGGAGTTGGCAGTTGACACACAGCTTTCCTGACATTTCAGCTTCAGATTGCCATTTTGTTTTCCTGTAATTCCATGCACACCTTATTAAAGTTCAATTATGGCTTGGAGGAACCTTCATCTAAGGCATTAGCATCCAGTTAATTACTGAGAAGTGATGACAATTGAAGACAAATGGATTTCATTTCCTATCATGACACCAGATTCCCTCCCACCACCTGCCCAGTACAGGTGCACATTTCTTTGGCACGGATGCCCTACTTGCTGTTCAGGGAATCACAGAACATTCTAGAACTACAGGAGTCAGAATATTTGATTTTTTGCCTCCAAAGGAATGCTCAAATCCTCCTGGAAAGATGTTGTCCATTCTCTTCTTGGAACAGCTTTGGAAACCAAAGGCTAGCTTCTACTAATAATCACTTATTCCAAGGTCTTATTATTGATAAGCAATAAGTTCTTTTTTAAATCATAGTGAAGTCTTTCTTGGGGGTGTGGGGGTTCATGCCTGTAATCCCAGCACTTTGGGAGGCTGAGGGGGTGGATCACTTGAGGTCAGGAGTTTGAGACTAGCCTGGCTAACATGGAGAAACCCTGTCTCTACTAAAAATACAAAAAATTAGCCGGGCGTAGTGGCGGGCGCCTGTAGTCCCAGCTACTTGGGAGGCTGAGGCGGGAGAATGGCGTGAACCCGGGAGGCGGAGCTTGCAGTGAGCCGAGATCCCGCCACTGCACTCCAGCCTGGGCGACAGAGCGAGACTCCGTCTCAAAAAAAAAAAAAAAAAAAAAAATACAAAAATTAGCTGGGTGTGGTGTCAGGCACTTGTAATCCCAGCTATTCGGGAGGCTGAGGTAGGAGAATTGCTTGAACCCAGGAGGTGGAGGTTGCAGTGAGCTGAGATAGCACCACTGCACTCTAGCCTGGGTGACAGAGCGAGACTCCATCTGGAGGAAAAAATAAAGAATGCTGGGTGTAGTGGCTCACACATATAATCCCAGCACTTTGGGAGGCTGACGGATGGATCACTTGAGGTCAGGAGTTTGAGACCAGCCTGCCAACATGGTGAAACCCCATCTCTACTAAAACACACACACACACGCACACACACACACACACACGCGCGCACACACACACACACACAATTAGCCAGGTTTGGTGGCCTACACCTCTAGTCTCAGCTACTCTGGAGGCTGAGGCAGAAAAATCGCTTGAACCTGGGAGGCTGAGGTTACAGTGAGCCGAGATAGCGCCACTGCACTCCAGCCTGGGCGACAGAGAGATACTTTGTCTCAAGAAAAAAAAAAAGGTTAAAAAAAGAGTGAAGTCATTCCTGCTTTAATTTCTGCCACTGACTCCTACGTGACCTTAGAAAGTTCTCTTGTGGTTTCCTCATTTCTAGAATGATGGTCCTTGTGACGGTTTGAATGTGTACCCAGAAGTTCATTCGTTGGAAACTTAATCCCCAATGCAACAGTGTTGAGAGGTGGGACTTTTAAGGGGTGTTTAGGTCACAAGGGCTCTGCTCTCATGAATAAATTAATGAAGCTATTGTGGGAGTGGGTCAGTTATCACGGAGGTGGGTTCCTGATAAAAGGATGGGTTCACCCCACTTCCCTGCTCCCTCTCATGTGTGCTCTCTTGCCTGTCCTCCTTCTGCCATGGGATGACGCACCAAGAAAGGCCTTGCCAGATGCAGGCTCTTCGACCTTGGACTTCCCAGCCGCGGAACTGTAAGAAATAAATCTCTGTTCTTTATTAATTACCAGGTATTCTGTTATAGCAGCACAAAATGGGCTAAGACACTTCTGGAGTAATCACCCTGTGTTAAGTCATAATTCTAAAGCCCAAGATGTAAGTAAAGTGCTTCATATATGAGAGTTGCTTAATAAATGTTGTTTCCCCTTTGTGAAATGCCTTTTGTTGCAAAAAAGGGATAGGAGGGAGCTAACACTGATTAAGGGTCTACCATTTAATGTCATCTCCTCTGGAGACTTTCCCTCTACCATCTTAATTAGTACTGAAAACAATCCTGTGGAGTAGATAATATTATTATCTTTATTTTACAGATGAGGAACCAAAGTTCAAGGAGGTTCAACGTCTTACAGATTTGGTGGTGCACTTGCTCTTCCCACTGCCCAGTGAAGCGCTACTCGATCATACTAGACACAATGTGGTTGGTCTATGGGAGGGAGTATCAGGAAGCATGAGGAGCCCACACTTCTACAAAGAGTCGAGATGCCTTCACAAAGATGCCTCATGCTGCAAGGTCGTGAATGCCAAGTGCTCTAGTGTTTCAGAGGTGGAGGAGATCCCTACAGATGAGGCACCAGGAAAAGCTTCAAGGTGGAGGCCGGTCTGAGTCTGGCCTCAAAGGATGAAATGATTCAGATAAACAGCAAAACAAAGCAACAGGAAGGGAGAGATAACAACAAAGGCAGAGATGTAGGAGTGAGCAAGGGAGACTGAATGAGCAGTCCCTGGGACAGAAGGTGTGCACAGGGAGGTGGGAGAGAGAGTGCTAGGAAGGGAGGCTGGCACATGGAACATGGAGGGTTTTCAGTGTCATGTTCAGGGCTTTGGACTTGTTCCTGAGACCTGGGTTTCCCAAAGGGAGTTCTGCTACTGGGGAGAGCCTCAGAGGAAAGAATAAAACAGAATTCCCTGTACATCATCCCTTTCCTGGTGAGTTACAATGCACATTAGCATGTTACGTGGTCTGGGCAGTACTACGGAAAAGAAAGGCATACAAGGTATTTATTTTTTTAACTTTCCACTGGGAAATTTCCAATTAAATAAGGTTGAAAAATCGAACCCAGCAGAGGAGCAATAGAAACCCTCCCCTCCGAGGCCGGAAGGTAATTCAGTCACCCCTGGGGTTTCTCTTCCTGAGAAGAAATCTTGTGCCTGTGGCTTGGATGGCTGCAGCTACTTCCTCCCAGGAGGCCCCTTCCTGGCTTTCTTTTTCCTCTCAGTTTCCAGAGTTTGAGGCTCGTAAAGCTCTTTATTATGCGTAACTCATGTAGCACTCAGATGGGATGGTCATCCCCATTGCAGAGATGAGGAAACAGTCTCAGAATTGAAGCACCCTCCCAAGATCCCATAGCCAGGTGGGGGTAGAGCCAGCATGGGCACCCAGGGCCCCCAGTGTGGGGTTCTCCCCGATGCTCTGCCAGCTAACTCCTCCCCTGTCCTTTCTGGGGTGACCAGGCTTCCACTCCACTTTAAGGAGCGATGGATGTAGATTGGCTTTATTTGCAGGGGTGAGAGTGCACTTGGGAAGGAAGATCTGGTTCCATGATTTGGGGGCAATATGATCACAGGCTAATAACTCAAGAGTTACATGAGGAAGTGGGGGAAATCTAGGGAAGTGCTTTACTTATTTTTTGAGTGCTTACTATGGTCTCTACACTCATGAACACATTCCAGTCTTTGGAAAGTGGGAGGGAGGCATGGTGTCTGGTTTCTTGGGTGCAGTAATGGTGGGCTTTCGTCTACTATTTTGACGACAGTTTTGCAGGGTTTATGCTTTCACAATTTAAGTGATATATGTTTCCCAGGTATGCGGCTGATTTCATGTCTATGGTGAACACTGATGTCTCATCCCATTTCCCTTCAAGGAAAGACAGACCTATTGCCCTCTGCTATCAGCAGAGGTCTGTGACATCAGCTCCCTTAGGGACTGCATTAGGCTAGAGAGAGGAGCTCCACCTAAGATCTTGTTCCTTCCAGAGACAGCCCACGTCCACTCTTGATCCATGTGAATTTGGGGGGCCTGGCCACCTTGGCCCAACTTGGGTTAGCTCTGAAGGGCCACTGAGATCCGAGCTCCTGCGGGTTTGGCAAGGTTTCCTGTTGGGTCTGGCAAATCACAGTTTGACTTCTCCCCACTCTGCTTATCCTGTTTCCTTCCCCTCTGGTCCCAAGGGTGCTCCTTCATGAACATCCTGCAGACTGAACTCTACCTCAGGGTCTGCTTCCTGGGAACTAGGGTGACCAGGCATCCCAGTTTGCCTGAGATGTAGGACCAAGACAGTCCTGGGCAACTAGGATCCTACAGCAAACCCAACCTCAGACAATGTACTTCTGTTTATTATTGTTATCTTTTTGAGAGGCAGGGTCTCACTATGTTGCCCAGGCTTGGGTGCAGTGGCTATTCACAGGTGTGATCATAGCTTACTGCAACCTCAAACTCCTGTACTCAAGAATCCTCCTGCCTCAGCTTCTTGAGTAGCTGGAACTATAGACATGTGCCACCATGTTATGCTGTGTCTATATATTCTAATACTTTCATGGCAACAAATTATTTCATTCTTTAAAAAGTTGGTAGCAGGGCATTTGCCATATCCCCCTTAATGCTTCCCCAACAATATCATGGGAATCTTGGGGAGATGGGTATTATGGTTATTATCTCCCCAATCTTGGTGAAGCAGGTATTAGCCCTAGGAAATTAGGACTCAGAGAAGTTAAGAAACTTTTCCCAGGCCACACAGCACAGTAGCCATGCCGGAATGAAACCTAGGCCTACTGAGTCCAATGCCTGCCCTCTATCCACCAGGCCTCTTTGGTTTTAAGACACGCACCTTGGCCGTGTGTTCCAAACACAGCTGTAGGTAACTAAGGAGGCAGAGAAGAGCAGTTGCTGAATCCCAAACATGCTTGGAGCTTTTTGCAAAATAAAATCGCACTTTTTATTCAATGCCTACCTTCCCATGCAGGCCTAGTTTTAAGCTTCTGAACTTTCTGCTAATTACTGTCACATTAATTAAAAAATAAATCCTTTTTAATTTCCTAACAGGTGGTTTGTGAGGCTGGAAGAGGAGTTGAAACTTGTTTGTAATTATTGTGTGGTGTATTTGCATTTCTAATTGCGCTGAGGGACACTGAAGGCCAAGCTTCCAGTCTCTGGGCTGTCTTTCACCTGCGCCGCGGTGCTGAGTTGTTGGCGGCGGCGGCAGCGTCTTTTCTCCAAGCAGCACCTGTGAGAGCAGCAGCTCCAGCTGGAGTCCCAAGACTTCCAATCAACATAGAGAGCCACAGGGCCTGTGCCTGCGTGGGTTTGCTGTAAGGAGCCTGTAACGCATCGAGGAGCCCAGCGCCCAACCCCACACCTGGCATTGGCTGGGTGCTCAATAAATGCTGGCTGACCACGGCTGTTCCTGAACGAATCCTTATCTCGCTTATCTGATTCAAGCGCCGGGTGGGCGCACTGTGGGCTGGCAGCAAGGGTTCCTGATGCCAGGACTCTTGGATTTGCTCCACAGGTGTCTGCGCATCCATCTGGAAACTGAGCATCTGTGCAGGGAATCCATTTCCTCTTCTAACTTCTGAATAGCTTTAGATACTTCTGACTTCTGAACCCCTTTAGATGTATGCTGTCATTTACCAGGAACATCCTAACATTGATGATTGAGGCTTCTTTGGCCATTTCTGCCTCCACAAGCCTTACTTTTTTTTTTTCTTTTTTCTCTTCTTTCTTTCTTTCTTTTTTTTTTTTTTGAGACGATGTCTAGCTCTGTCGCCAGGCTGGAGTGCACTGGCAGGATCTCGGATCACTGCAACCTCAGCCTCCCGGGTTCAAGCAATTCTCCTGCCTCAGCCTCTCGAGTAGCTGGGATTACAGGCGCCTGCTACCACACCCAGCTAATTTTTGTATTTTTAGTAGAGATGGGGTTTCACTGTGTTGGCCAGGCTGGTCTCCAACTCCTGACTTCCAGTGATCTCAAAGTGCTAGTTACAGGTGTGAGCCACTGCACCCGGTCCTCCACAGCCTTTCTGTAAAGGAGTTAATGAGCCGCAGAGTACTACTTGAGTGCATTGTAAGCACTTTTTACTTAAGGCCCCAATTTAATGTGGTGGAAGGATTACAGGCTTTGAGGTCAGACCTACCATGGTTTGAATTCTGGCTCTACCACTTAGCAGCTGAGAGACTGGAGAAATCATTTAACCTCTCTGGGCCTCACACAGCTTTTAAAATCTGTCAGATGGACAAAATCATAACTTGGTTCTGAATTTCTCAAACTTAGATACACATCAAAATCACCTAGGGAGCTTGTTTTTTTTTTTTTAACCGAGTCTCACTCCGTTGCCCAGGCTGGAGTGCAGTGGCATGATCTTGGCTCACTGCAACCTCCGCCCTGCCAGTTAAAGTGATTCTCCTGCCTCAGCCTCCCTAGTAGCTGGGATTACAGGCACCTGCCACTGCACCTGGCTAATTTTTGTATTTTTAGTAGAGACAGGGTTTCTCCATTTTGGCCAGGCTGGTCTTGAACTCCTGACCCTGTAATCCACCCACCTTGGCCTCCCAAAGTGCTAGGATTAGGCATGAGTCACCATGCCTGGCTTAGGGAGCTTTTAAAAATGATCAGCTTTTAAAAATAATCATCAGTAAATGCTGGCTCGGTGTGGTGGCTCACACCTGTAATCCCAGCACTTTGGGAGGCTGAAGTGGGTGGATCACGAGGTCAGGAGTTTGAGACCAGCCTGACCAACATGTTGAAACTCTGTCTCTAATAAAAATACAAAAATTAGCCAGGTGTGGTGGCATGGGCCTGTAATCCCAGCTACTCAGGAGGCTGAGGCAGGAGAATTGCTTGAATCCAGGAGGCGGAGGTTGCAGTGAGCCGAGATTGTGACACTGCACTCCAGCCTGGGCGACAGAGCGAGACTCCATTTCAAAAAAAACAAAAACAAACAAACAAACAAACAAATCAGTGCTTGGGTTAGGCTGCAGCCAGAACTGATTAAATCAGACTGGGGAGACGGGAGGAAGGGAATATTGGATATCATGATTTTAAAAAGCTGTCTGGGTGATTCTGTTAGGTAGTCAGGGCTGGGAACCACTGCCTGAGCCTCTTGACATGCTCAGACAATGCTGGTTCAACCCTTTCCTTCCCTTGCCTTGGGAAATATAGCCTGGCTATAGTGGTTCTGGGAGCAGCGGGGGTCCCAGGCAGGTTACTGAGGCTGAGATCCAAGAGGTCAGGATGGGGACTCAGGGACTGCAACTAACTCATGAGATGGCACGTGGTCAAGGCAAAAAAACCCCCAGCACTCCCCTCCTCAGTGTCCCTCTCCCTGGTCAGTGAAATGAGAGTTCATTACCTTGCTTGTCCAACTCTAGACACCCCCAGGGAAACCAACCAATCAGGGCTTCTGACAAAATGAAGGCCAAGAATGATGTCATAAAGGAAATGATGCTAAGTTTTATTTCAGGCCAGCCTTACATCTCTTATCTCTTTGATCTCATCACAACCCTGTAGGATAGGCACCGTGATGCCCATTTTACAGATGAATAAACCGAGGCTCTTTGAGGTTAAGTAACTATGTATCCTTTAAGTACTAGAGCCACAAGCCAAGCCCAGTCTGTCCAATTCCAAAACTCTTCATCTGCCTCCTGTACATGTGGCCTTCCTTACATCAGTAAATAGCTTATTATAAGTAAACTACATCCTTATAGTTTCTTGGGTCAGACATCCTGGAGTCACCTTTGACTCCTCTCTTTCCCTCACACCCCACATCTAACCCATTGGGAAATCCCACTGAATCTGTCTTTATGACATATCAAGAATGCAAGCAGGTTGCCACCTCCCTGCTCCCACCTTGGTCTGAGCACCTCCATATCTCACCTGAAATAATGGTGGGTCTCACCACCTCTGCACTTACCCATGTTGTGTACTTGCAGCACAGCAGCTGGAGTGCTAATAACGTTTCCCCGACACTGCCCTCCCATGGCTTCCATCCCACTCTAAGTCAAAGCCACATCCTCACCATGGCCTGTACTGCCCTGCAAAAGGTAGACTCTCTGAGCTCATCACCTACCACTTCTCCCCAGGGGCTCACACTGCTTTCCTGAAAGCTCTCCAAGTACAGGCTTCTGCCCTTGCTGTTCCCTCCTCCTGGAATGTTCCTCCCCCAGCATTGACATGGCTTTCTGCTCTCCCATCCTCGTGGTTTTCAGGGTGACTCTAATGTCACCTGTTTAAAATGGAAATGAACCCACCAGCACACCCTGTCCTCCTCTCCTGTTTTATTTTTTCTCCGTAGTGCTCATCACCATCTGGTATCCTACCAGTATAACCCTACTGATTTGTTTATTGTCTGTCTTCTGTGATTAGATCTTCATCTCTTTGGCTCACTGCTCCATCCCAGGTGCCTTGTACAATGCCTAGCGCATAGGAGGTGCTCAGCAATACTTGAATGAATGAATGAATGAATGAATGAGTGAATCCTGCCACCCCCTCAAGGGAAAGGTGAGATGACTTCTGAGCAGCGGCTAGTGAAAAAACTTGGGAGACAAGGTTGGGGAGAGGTGTTCCCAGTGGGCTGCTGGATTTCCCCTACTGGTCTAGGGGGTGAATGAAGGGATGGCTCAGGAGGTCCCTGGAGTATTAACTGCTGGGCCCTGGTCTGTGGATCGCTGTGAATGCCAAAGATCTCCAGGTGGGCTCTGAACTAATCCAATAATGCAAATCCTCTGTCCTTTTAGGAGAGTGATTGGCATGGCCAAATAATTTTTACCTGTTACCAAGCCTACTTCTCAGCAACCTATAAAACGCAGGCTGTGGAGCCAAACTGTCTGAGTTCAAAACCCGATATTACTACTTGTCACCCATGAGTGACTTCGGGCAAGCCGTTCAGTCTCTCTGTTCCACCTTTGTAAAATGAAGACAATCCTTATACCTATTTATGGCATCATGAAGATTCCAGATGCCTGCAGAGAGCTTAATATAGGGACAGGCATGCGTTAGCATTCAATAAAGGTCAACTCTTGTAATTAAGTGAGGTGTAGAAATTTACTAAACATCGATACTCACAAATGGAATTCATGTGTTGCTGGAGTTTACTGAAGACTTTAATTTGGCATTCTAGCACAAAAGTCTGCATGCCAAGCAATTGGGCGGTACTGCCACACCCCCACCACACCTGAGCCCAGCTGAGAGTTTGAGTTAGTGACTGGGGATGTGCGTGGTTACCAGCGAGAGCATTGGCAGTGTTGTCTTGAGTTGCTGCTGCTTTCCAGCTGCCACCTTTCTTGCTTTGTAATGATAAATTACCATTAGTTTAGTTTCATCATTACCCATTTAGTTTGTTGTGGGTTGTTTGCTTAACAACAGTAATTTGGGCTTATGATTTTTCAATGGCTGGGTTTTAAGGCATGTATGCATTGCACTTCAACGATGCATCATCTATCTCCCTTCCTAAGGCAAATCTTTCTCTAGTCTTTCCCCAAAATCGTCTGCCTGTAACACTTTCATGTTATCTCTGAGTTCTTTTTTTTGCTAAAATACTGGGACAGATGAGCAGGAGGCTGTGAGTGATTTTACTCTGGTGAAGCGGGCTGTGGTCAAAGAGGATGGGAGACACTGTTCTAGATCAGTCTCCCCTCTCCCTCCCGTTTTATTGATGGGAAAACTGAGGCTCCGAGAAGTAAAGGATCAGAGTTCATACACGGTCGCTAAAATCTAGTCCTCCTAGTTACCTGGCCTGGGCTTCTTCCACGCCACATGACCTGCCTAGGCCAGTTCCCTTTCTCAATGGAGGACTTTGGGTCCTAACGAAAGTGCCTTGAAATTGCCCACTCTTGGGTTAGAGTTTCCTCCTGGATCTTCCAATATGGGGCTGGTTTGAAGTAGATTTATGTAGTGCATAAGAGTTGTGGCTCTATAGTCAGACTACTATATTGAACTGTGTGACTTGGATGAGTTACTTAATCTTCTTGTGCCTCAATTTCCCCAGCTATAAAATGAGGATAATGATAGCACCGACCTCCTATATCTGGGAAAATTTGGTAAGACAGTTCACATAGCATGCACAATGCCTGGCACATAGAAAATGCTCAGTGAAAGGCTGGGTGCAGTGACTCATGCCTGTAATCCCAGCACTTTGGGAGACTAAGGTGGGAGGATCGCGTGAGCTCAGAAGTTTGAGACCAGCCTGGGCAACATGGCGAAACTTCGTCTCTGCAAAAAATAAACAAATTAGCCAGGCATGGTGGTGCACACCTGTAATCCCAGCCAGTTGGGAGGCTAAGGTGGGAGGATTGCTTGAGCCTAGGAGGTGGAGGCTGCAGTGAGCCAAGATCGCACCACTGCTCTCCAGCCTGGGTGACAGAGAGAGACCCTGTTAAAAAAAAAAAAGAAAAGAAAAGAAAAGAAAAGAAAATGCTCAGTGAATAATGATTATTGTTAATATTTTTAGGTTCCAGAGCTGATGTCCCACTCCCACCTGGAACCTCTCAGGGCATTATTATGCCCATTTAATAGATAAGAAAATGGAGTCTCAGAGTTGTAGAAACTCTGAACTCAAGACTTGTGGGCATACAGGCAGAGTCCTTCTATTCCCAACACCACCTTCAGGGCTAACCTCAGTGTCTCTGTGCTTACGTTCTGCCTTGACAGTCTCTTCCTCTTCATTGGTGCTCCACTGTGTAGTGGGGCAGTCCAAAGCAGCTTTTTACACATTTCTAGGCTACTTGGAGATCATTCTGTCTTTGTTCTGCATGGGCAGAGCCTCTCTCCCATTCCATTGCAAGTGGCTTGGCAGCAGAGACTGCTATTTCTTTAAAACACATCTGAGAGAGGTGGGACAGAGCAGGAATGCCCCTCTGATAGGTTCCACCTGCCTGGTTGATGGGAAGATGGCTGGGATGGGGTTTGGATGGGGAGGCACTGACAGGTTCCAAACAGACTGCAAGCTTCTCTGTGGCCTGTGGAGTGCTGTTCATGGCGGGGGGAGAGGCCCTGGGACAATTCATGCCCTGGTCCTCCACCTCAGCTCTTGCACCTCTGAGTTGTTCAGCAAGTGTGCTTAGGGTGGACAACTGGGGCAAAGACAGAAAACACCTTCCTTTGAAACTGAAGCTAGTAAATTCAACATAAAGGAGGTGAGATTAAGCCATCAGCAGCAGAGACCTGAAACAGCTTGGAGCTGGGCTGTTGCAGCATTGAAGGGGTTTCCTAAATCTCAACACAAGCTTAGAATACAATCACCATTAGAGAAGTAGCAGCATCTATTGTTATAATAGAAGATAAAGGCCTGCTCCAGGGTGAAAGAATCAGGAATTGGCTGTCTCCTGTGCTGAGAAAGGGTGGGGGAGATGGCTAACATGCATACCTTAGTCTTTCCTGCTGGAGTGAGTAAGAGGACTAAGGTTTATAGAGCACCTACTGTATGCCAGGCAGTGTGCTAAGGATCTTGTCTTCCTTTATATGCTCCAGCCACACTAACCTTCTTTTCCTCTCAAACCTAATTTGTTCCCACTACAGAGCCTTTGCACGTGCTGCTCTTCCTGCTTCTTCTCCCTGCCCTTTGCATGCATGTCTGCTTAATACTATTCAAGCTTTAGCTCAAAGTTTGTCTTCTCTGAAAGGCCTTCTCCAACCCTAGTTAAAGCCATATCTCCACCTTGTCCCACCATCACACTCTTCCACATCACTGTATTTTATCTTCTTTAATGCACTTATCCATTCTCAAATATTTTATTTATTTCCTTGCTTATTTTCTGCTTCCCACCAATATAATGTAAGCTCTTTGAGGGCTGGGATTCTTTCAGCTTTGTTCACAAAAATATACTTGAAGTCTAGAACAGTGCCTGGCACATAGTATGTGTTCAACAAATATCTTTTACCATCTGATGGCTGGGGTCTTTCCCCACGGCATTTTATGCAAACCTCACTAGGATCCCAGGAGGTGGTATAATGGTTTCATTCTGCACACAGGATCAGGGAGCATGAGGGACTTTCTCAGTGAATAAGTAATAAAGCCAGAATTCCTAGGTTTTTTTTTTTTTTTTTTTTTTTTTTTTTGCTTCAAAACTGTGCTTTTAAGTACACCACACTGCTTCACCAGGGGAGAGACAGGGACCTGAGATCAGCATAAGGTAAAGACACTAGCCGTTCTCATAACCAAGATCCCTTCAGCTTCCATCAAGCAACCATCTGGTCTTAGGCTGGCTTTCTAAGGACATCTTGCTGAAAGAAGAAGGTGCTGACCACCTGACGTGACTCTTTCATGTTGCCTAGCAGTCATCTCTTCCAAGGAAAGCTAATCACTGGGCATTCTATTTATCCTCCAGTCTTTTGTGAGAGCTTGGTTAATATGAGCCTCCACCCCATGCCTGCCCCTTGGAGGCTGTAACTCCTGGGGATACAGATACAATGAGCTCCTGATTAGGCACAACTGAGAAGCAAATCCTGCGGCCACCCTGTGAAGGTGAATAAGGGATGCTCAGATGACACTTGTTTCAGCGTTTTGGGCCAAAAAGCATCGCCACATAAATCTCCTCGCACGGAACATCTGCCCCACCCCAGAAAGGTGGCCCATTTCTTTCAAGTGATATCAGACAGGGCAAAATTCCTAAACAAGCAACAAATATGGATGTTGTCTGGAAGTCAGCTGTTGAAATGGCTTGCCTGGGTTCATGCTCCTCACAGCCCCCTCCTGTCTACAACTGAATCCCTGGCTTCACCCCACTCCCAGCTGTAGGCTGAGCCCTGATCCCCACTCTGGAATGTGTCTGCCCTCCTCCAGCCACTTCTCCTCAGGGCCAGCTCAGACCTGATGCTCCAGCTCTAGTTATTGGGTAAACTGTCTCACACTCGGACTTGGCTCACTATTGAATGTCAATTCCAGTGACTGGGAATGCATTTCACAAATTAATTGCTATTTTTGTGGGTGTCTAAAGGTGAGTGGAGTAGGTAGGGGGCCGTGGCTCCTGTTTCTCTTCCTTCCTGGTAGCAGCTCCCCTGGAGGGCAGCTTCTGTAGGTCACTCTGTGGTTCATCTGAAGACACAACCTGAAGCACACTCCTTCGTCTTTTCTGGCAATTTTGTAAGCATTCAATTTCCTTTTATGAATCCCTTTTATACCTAAAGTGATCATGGCTGTTTCTCTTTCCTGCACTGAACTCTGACTGAGAGTCTACTGGCCTGTTCTTGGGCTAAGCTTTTGGGACAAAGAAGCAAGTCAGACACAGTCCTGTCCCCAGGGTGCTCATTCTGGTGGGGTGGGAGTAGGGGGTGGTCTGAGAACTTGAAGGGGACCACTGGATAGACTTGGTGGGGGAAAGCCCCAACTCTGCAGATCATGGAGAGGGAATCTGAGTGTTAGAAAGGGCTCTCCTAGGCCGTCTCCAAGACAAGGAGCAGTTTTCAAGGCAAAGAAACAGCAGCATGACCTTCTAGGTGGAGAGGAATCATATAAGTTCTCCTGTTAGCTTCTGTCCTAGAGGTGGCCTCACTTCCTGCAGAGTGACTCTCTGACCTGCCTCTCTGTGGGCCTGGAGTGCCCCGCACTGACATCTCAGCATCTGCACCAGCCCCTGCCTGCACTCTGAGACCCTTCTATGCTACCTCTGCTTGCCTCTCATGAGGCTGACCCCTTACCCAATGTCATCTACCCACCTCCTGCCACTGCTGATGGGGGAGGGGAAGGGACCTGACCTTCATTAGGCACTCGTGTGTGCCAGGCATACGATGCCAAGTGATTTCCAGACACGCTGTCACATTCACTCATCCATTCAACAAGTGTTCGTTGTACATTTATTAGATCCTGGGTACTATTCTAGCTCTAGGAGATACAGGATTGAATAAAACAGATGTAAGAATGTGGATCTCACATCCTAGCGAGGTAGACAACCAACAAGGAAACAAGTCCAATATGACATGTAATATATCCGATGATGTTAAGTGCTGTGGGGAAAAGTACCAAGACAAGGATGGGGACCAGGAAATGGCAGGACCTGTTGCAGTGTTCAGTAGGTGGTTGGGGAGGTCTCACTGAGAAGCCGGCATTTGAGTAAAGATCTAAAGGGGGTGAAGGAGCATCTGTTCAAACATTTTTGAGGAAAGCCCAGGTAGAGGTGGGAGGATCCTTGAGTCTTCACTGCAGGGACAACTACTGCGGATGACCTCAATTCATAGGCGGGAAAATGAGAGCTCTGAGAGGCTGAGCATCTTGCTCAATGTCCCACAATTATGATCCCAAAGCACACATGTCCTGCCATAAAGCCCATGCTGACACACTTTGCTGCTTCGCCTGGTCCTGGGTTCCAAATTCCTGGCAAGTCTTCTTGCCCTACCTGGGGCTGGCCCAGGCCTGTCCAAGCCCCAAGGGTGCGTCTGGTCAATGGATCCCCTCCCTTCTCTTCCTGGCCTGCCCCATGCTCTGTGCTGACAGCTGATACAGAGCTCACCTCACCTTTGGCAGAATGACAGTTTCTATATTTAGGCGACTCATGAATCTTTCTGGGATTCTGATGAATTGCTGTTTTCCTGAGCTCTGGCTGGAGTTGCTCTTCCCTGTGATTCAAACATTAATGCTCCCCAAGGTCTTTCCTGCAGGAGTTATTGCTGGCGGGTAATTGGATGCAGAGTTTCCTCCAGCCACTGACCCAATTCCTCTTGGCTCAAACCTCAGGCAGGAATGGAGGCGGCATTGGAGGGGTAGAGAGCTCACCAGGCTCTCTGGAAACAGCTGTCCCAAAAGCACATGCACGCACACACACACACACACACACACACACTTATACACACATGGTTATGCACGCATGCAAACACGACTGTTGCAGGGGCTTGCTCAAGGCTTGCTTGCCAGCAGCTATGTCCTGTAATTGAGCCCTTTGGAATCATAACCCACTTGTCAAGAATTCCTTGGAGTCAGGCCCTGTCCTGGAACTGCCCGTGGGTGATCTTCCAAGGCAAAGGACTTCAGAATGCCCCTTGCCTTGCCCATGTCTAAATTTCCCTAGTATCCCATTATCATTAGGAGCTGGTCACTTGGCCATACCTTCTCTCTGACACACTCCTAACCTCCAACATGACAATCTGGGCCCCACTCTCTCTCTTTGGCCAGCTCTCTCCACCCTTCCTTTTGATTCACGTGCCTCCCTTCCTCTCTGCTTAGCGTGTACATCTTGGTTCTTCTTGCTATTTCTATCATCTTCAATGTATTAAAAGCTGTTTGAGGTGTAAGGACAACAGAGACTAAGTAAATCCCTAGCATAGAACCTGGACACTGGCTCAGGAGGCCCCACATGGCCCTGGGATCCTATTCTGGACCCCGAGTTTCTGGATGGGCACCCCCTGTGCCAGGAGGTCTGTGCCAGATGTTTGTCTACCAATCCTGGTCATGTCTGGCCCAAGAGCTGGGCTTTCCCCTTTGTGGACTCAGGCATCTAGGTAGGAGCAGGGAGGGGCTAATAGTCATGCTGTGCCATGCTGAGATTTGCAGAATATTGAACTTTATGGGAGACTCTGACTTGGTATAGTCTAAGTGCCTCAATGCTTATAAGAGAAAACCAAGGCCTGAGCTGGGTAGTCACAGAATGGCTCAGTCTTGGGTCGGGTTTTCTAAGCACTGGGCTGTCTTCTAAGGGTGTGTGTGTGTGTGCGTGCATGCGTGTGTGTGTGTGTATGCATATATTTGTGAATATACAGGCTGTAGTTGTTTCAAAGATTTGTTGAGAGGGGGTTTGTTAAGGATAGGGGAATCTGATTATTCTCTAAATGGGCTCAGCCCACAAATAAGCCAAAAAAGCCTTTATTTCTGGGTTCTTGGATTCCTGATGTCACTCTGACCAAGCACTTTCTCACTCATTTAAGAAGCCCAGTTCCAGAGATAGTAACAAGGACATAGCTAATTTGGTTCCCCTGCTAACATCTTCAGCTACCTTTTGAGGAGAGGAACAAGGAAAAAGGTAAATGGTAATGGAGGATTTGCCTTTTAATGTAAGGACTTACTGAGGCATTCCCTGTAGACTAATTTTAGACTTCACTTTCACTTATTCATTCATTCAACCAATCATTCACTCAGTAATTATTTATTGGAGACCAATTGACATATTCCAAGCAGTGTGTGGAGGCATGGGAGGGTAAAAGATATACATTAAAGAATAAAAGACTTACACCACAATTTGGTGAGCACCTTCTGTCTCAATGTAGTGGACACTGTAATATCCAGAGACATTACGCATGTATGGACACTGCACTCATTCCAACCTGGACTGAATTCCAGGCTGTGAGACCTTGTGCTATAATTTATAAAGTACTTCTGTCAGGCACTTGTCTAAGTACTTTCCTGAATTTACACAATTGCTCTAATCTTTTATTTCTTCATCTGGGGAATGGAGATGAGAATTCCTTCCTCACTGGTGGTTGTAAGGATTAAATAGGTAAATTAATGGTTATAAAGTTACCAACATATTGCTTGACCCATAATAGGTGCTTATTAAATGTTACTTCCTTTGCTGTCTTCTCTGCTGTCAAAAAGCTCATTGTTGGGGGGAGAAAAAGTCTATGAACAGAGACAATAAGCATAAAGTTGACAGCCAAGTTCCAAAGGACAGTTGGGACCAAGTACTGGCAGGGAAAGTGTCCAGGGCAGTGAGGAGTTCCCATTATCTGGGAAAATTAAGAAATGTTTGGTCCCACCTTGTTTCTGGAGTCCCTGAACTCTGCCCCCTCCCTAACTGCAGGTGTTATTGAGGTCCTAGCATGCCTCATACCACAGGACCCCTGGGTGAAGGCAAGACTCCCTCCCCTAGGGCCTCAAATAAGGCCCTCCCCTCCTGGCCTCATCCTTGCAGTGACTGGAAGGAGGTGGGTTGCAGGGAAGTACAGTGAGAGTCCAGACCACAGGCAGAGCCCAGAACCTGGGCAAACAGAATCCCGCTCCCACTGCACTGCAGGAACCGAACGGTATTGCATAAAGGCTGGCTTTGCCGAATGCATCTCGACAACTCATCAGAGAATGTCAAATTCAGCTAAAGCTTTAGCAAGACAATGATTTGTTTGTTTCCACTGAAGAGCTCAAAAAAGAGGCAGGATTTTAACTTGTTCCAAAGAAAAGAGCATCATTTGGTAACAGACTGGAATCATAGAATCACAGAATCACAATATCTTATGACTGGAAGAGCCAGCAATGTCTGTCTCATTGACAGATTGTAACAATTATGTGAGTCAGTGTACATAAAGTGCCCCCTACAGAGCTTGGCACACAGTAGGTACACACTGACTGATCATATGTTCCAAACCCCATGTTTTAAAGATGAAGCCCCAGACCAACACATGACACTCAACATGTCCCAAGCCACCTTTGCCCTCTGCACTTCCACCATCACCAGCCCCTGGTCCCATCAAATAGCACTGCTTCCTCCTACTTGCCACTTCTCTTGGTGGCACCACCCTCCCAAGTTGTGAGCCAGCCATGACCAAAGCCCCTGAGGCAGTTGGGACTCCTCTCTTGACCTCTGTTCAGTCACTTGCTAAGTCACAGAGGTCCTGCCCCTACAGTGACTTCCAGTTCTGCTTCTAGCTTCTTAGTACTGCCACCGTCACACTAGTTGAGTTCCTTGTCATTTCTCACCTGGATCATTGTCGCAGCCTTTGAATTGTTTCTGCCCTGCCCCCACTACCCCCCACCCGGTTCCCTTCTCCAGTTTTTGTGTCTCTTCTCTCCAAATAATGTTACCTGTGATGCTAAATATATTTTTCCAAAGGGAGCTCTGCTGCTACCCCTCTATTTAAAAATCTTTAATGGCTCCCCACTGCCTACTGTATTAAGCACAAACTCCTCATTCTGGCATTCAAGGTCTTAACCCAATAGTGCGACAGGCTGACTCTATGAGCCATGCTCAGCAAAACTAGATGATCTGCTATTTCCCAAACATGGACTATCTACCCCATTTGACAATCCCAATCCCAAGACGTGCCTTCCTCTGCCTCTATTTGCTTAAGGCCAACCCATCCTTTGGGGCCTTTCAAATACCATTTCCTATAGGAAGTCATCCTTCCCATTTCTAACCAGATGCTATTGTCTGAATGTTCCCTCCAAAGCTCCTGTTGAAATTTAATTGCCTTTGGAACAATATTAAGATGTGGAGCATTTAAGAGGTAATTACACTATGAGGGCTCTGCCCTCATTAAATGCAATAATGCCAATATTGCAGAATTGGGTTAAGTTATTCAGGGAGTGGGCTCTGGATAAAATGATGAAGCTTGTCCTACTTTCTTTCTCTGTCTCACATGCCCACTTCCACCTTCTGCCCTTCACCATGGGCACCTACACTTCCCAGATGCTGGTGCCATGATCTTGGACTTACCAGCCTCAGAACTGGGAGCGAAATAAACTTTAGTTCTTTATAAATTATGCAGTCTGTGGCATTCTGGTAAGACAGAAAATTGGTGCCAAAGAGTGGCACTGTTGCTATAACAAATACATGAAAATATGGACGTGGCTTTGGAACTGAGTAATGGGTAGAGGCTGAAATAATTTGGAAAAGCAGGCAGAAAAAGCCTGTATTGCTATAAAAGGAGCAGTAAGGAAGATTCTGGTGAGGCCCCAGAAGAGAGGAGCTGTAGGGAAAGTTTGGAACTCTTAGAAATTACTTAAATGGTCATGATAAGAATGCTGGTAGAAATATGGATGATAAAAGGCATTATGATGAGATCTCAGACAAAAATGAGGAACAAGGTACTGGAAACTGGAGGAAAGACCAATCTTGTTATACAGTTGCAAAGAACTTGGTGGAATTGTACTTGTGTCCTAGGACTTTGTGGAAGGCAGAACTTAAGGGCAATGAATTAGGCTATCTGGCAGAAGAAATATCTAAGCAGCAAAGCATTCAGGCTGCTGTGTGGCTACTTTTAACCACAAATAGTAAGACAAAATAGGAAAGAAATTATTAATACTTAAAGACAAAATTTACAAATAAAAGGAAAGCAAAGTGAAAAGATTTGAAAAACTCTCAGTCTGGTCATATAAAGAACAAAAAAGCATTTTTAGGAGAGCAAACCAAAGGAGTGGCCAAGCAACAGTTTGCTAAAGAGACTAATACTGATAGAAAAAAGATAGGTGCTATTCATCAAGACAATGGGAAAAAGACCCCAAAGGCATTTCAGAAATCTTCAAGGATGCCTGTCCCATCACAGGCCCAGAGCTCTAGGAGAGCAGAATGGTTTCAGGGGATGGGCCAGGGGCGCTGTCCATGGGTTCACTGCCCAGAGCTGCCTTGGGAACCTGCACCCCACATTCTAGCACAGCATTTTTCTGCTGCCCCAGCTATGGCTCAAGTGGGCCCAGGTGTGGCTTGACCTGCTGGACGGTAGAAGCAATAAGCCTTGGTAGTGTCCATACGGTGTGAATTCTATAGGAACAAAGAATATAAGAGCTGTGGAGGCATGGCTTCCTCCACCTAGATTTCCTGCCCCACTCAGGGGAGTGGTTCAACCTCTGCTGTGTCTCTTTCCTTCCAACTGCTCTCCCATTGTCCATGGTGCTTAGACAGCATTTGAACAAAACAATAAAATGGGGAAAGGCACTACCTCACTCAGAGATTCGCTGTGAAAATTCATTTAGATGAGACTGGTAAACCACTCGGCTCAGTGCCTTACAGACAGCAAGCCTTCACTAAAAGTTAGCAATTTTGGTTACAAATGAGAAAACAGAAGCTCAGAAAGGCTGTACAATGTACCCAAATAAAACAGCTAGTAAACAAAGGAATTTGGCTTTGAACTCAAGTCTATTTGCTTTCAAATCTCTCCTTTTCTCAAAATGCCACCCAGAGGTACATTGAAGATCCCTAGCGTCTCTTGCAGTGTTTGAGCTCATGGAGGTGACTCTATGAAGCTCCAGAGTCAATGAAACCCCTGCTGAGTCTCACATCCTTCTCTGCCATATATAGCAGAGGGGGTTTCTGGAGAAGACGTCTATGAATGTGCCTCTCACCCACCTTCTGGTCTCAGTACATTCCTAGCCCTCACGGCTACCTCTGGTAGCTCCAATTCTCCTCCAGATTCCACTGTAATAACACCTTTAGGAATGATATTCTTTGTAGCCTTGGGTGGGCCTCTCGGGTGATGCCCTTTTGTACTTTAAAGTGCTGTGGCCCCCCAAGATGAGTCCATTTATATCAGAGCCAACTGTGTCCTTGCTAGGAAGGCAGCAGAGGAGAGAGAGCTTTCTGGAAGCTAATGATGTGGAACCAACTGCCCTGGAAACACGCACAGTCATTATGTGGGAATGTGGGAGTCCTTCCAAGGGAATCAAGTGTAGCCAAGCCATCCTTTTGGTAAATTTTTCTCAAGTTTTACTCACCTGAAAATTATTTTCACGGAAATGTCTGGCAGGGCAAGTTAAACATGTTGCAGGGAGATTCATGATCTAAGTGGCAGGACCCTGATTCACAAAGACTCAACACTGAGAAGTTTAGATATAAGAAAATCATCAGTGATTACTTATATTACAAAAAGATTCACCTCTAAATTCCCTTCAAATAGGAAATGATCTCCCATTGTTGTTTTTAAAACAGATCATTAACTATTTGACTAGGAGATGTGAGAGTGGGAGGTCAGACAAAGATAAAGGCACAAGTAGGAAAAAAATCTACCACTGATGGTGCTTTAGGAGAGCTCTGGAAAAATATCCAGGAGAGGAAGGGATTTCATCCTTATGGCCCTGTATCTGCAGCATTGCCCGTCCCTTTCATGTAGGCTTCACTGAGACATTTGCCCAGATGTTTGTGCAGCTCTCTCACGTAAATACCAAGAAGCCCTGTGCTTCCCAGACTTCAAAAACAAAAGGAAGGGCAAGAAGGGCTAGAAACCCAGCAGGACAGAGCATGAGAACTTCTTTCATCAAGGGCTTCAAAGATCTTACAGGTCATAAAAGACTAAAGACCAGGTTGCCCAAGCCCTCATCAGACACATTTCTACAACATTCTACAATATTCCCATCAAATATTCACTCTACTTTTGCTGGAGATCAGGAGCTCTCTACTTCCTATAGCAACATACTTCAGTTTGCACAGCCCTGATCAATTGGAATTTGTTCTTGTTGAACCCAACATATGGCACCCCTTTCACTTGACTTAGATCTGCCCTCTTCCCCTCTACAGGCCTTCAGATGTGTGATGTTGTGGGCCTCAACAAAGGTAAACTGATGTGAAGGCTGGAATTGGCTCCTCAGCCTCCAACATCTGCATGTTCAAGAAGATATCAAACCCCTCAATGGACTGGTGATTTGATGCATCACCTCTGTGAGTTGGAGGGGTAGCAAGATGGTACCGGGAATTAGAAGACCTGAGTTCTCAATCTTACTCTGCCCCTAGCTTTCTCTAACAGCCAGTACATATTAATATTTTCTTCTACCCAGGAAATTTTATCAAAGCCATTGGTTTCAGTTGACTAGCAAATTCCTATCCCTAGCCCAAACTTCTCAGAATTCTAGACTTGTAAATCCCATTGCTTACTTAATATGTTTTAGTAGTCTCAGAGGCTCCTCAAACTCAACATGTCCACACTTGGTCTTCTGGGGACCAATCCTACAGAATGGAGCCATCACACATCCAGTTGCACAAGTGTTGTCTTTCAACCTTCTCTGTCAACACTCCCCCATCCAACACATTACCAAGTCCCATTGATTTCACCTCAATATAGCTCAATTCCACCTGCTTTTCTCCATCACCATTGTTATCATGTCTGTTATCCATTACTCAACTCAGGCACCAGCCTCCTGACAGGTCTCCCTGCAGCTCCTCTGGCCTACCTCCAATGTGTTCTCCAAATCAGAGTGGTTCCTTCAAAACACAAATCTGATCAAGTGCTCAAGGGCTTTCCATTGTCCTCAGACTAGAAATAGAATCCTTTAACCTGGGGTCATAACCCTGCAACATGGCCTGTGTTTGTTTTTAGCCATCTCCAACCTCATCTCACTCTGGGCTCTATTCCCTTGGGCCCCCTTTTAGTAACTTGTGCTTGCTCCACTCCCTCTCACCACAAGGCCTTTGCAAACCTTGTTCCGTCTGCCTGGAAAGCCCTTCTCTGCCCTGCTAGCCCAGTTAAATTCTCATCCTTCAAATTTCAGCTTCCTGGCCAATTTCTCTCCTCACACACTTTCATATTACTGTGGCCCTCTCCCTTTTCACACTGGTCAGAACTGCGATGCTTATTTTCACTCTTGTCTAATTATTTGATTAATGTCTGTGTCCTCCACCAAGTTTGAAACTGAATGATAGGAAGGAGCAGTGAATCTGTTTTTGCTCATGATTGCATCATGCCCCCTGATAGTATAGTACTTGCTGCATGAAACTTTTCCAATAACTAGTAGTGGATTGGATGAGTAATGTATCCTATACTCCCAAATGATCATGTCCTAAAGTTCAGCTTGTGAAGGTAAAGCCTGCATTTAAAATTCAGGCTTCTGGGGGCAATGGGTGAGTGGGTGCAATATTTTCCACGTATGGAGTGGCCTAGGGAGCCATGAAAATCCACAGTCCCCACCCCTGCCACAGGTAGCAGATGGCTATGCCAAAATTAAAGCCCAGTTCTGCCTTGGCAGATGGGCAGCTCACAAAACATGGTGGGAATGGCAGTGGTGTTCGCTCTGCAAATATCCTAGGTGTAGGGTGCAGGCCTTAGCCCCACATGCCTGTCCTTACCCCCTAGGAGACAAGAACAAGCACAAACACAGCACAGGCCCTCTGGACAGCCACCTTGCCACTAGCAGAGAGGCTAGTTACCCATCAAGAGGGAAGTCTGTGGGAGCAATATTTTCTCCCATGCACGGAACTTCAGAGTTCACGAGAACTTCTCAGCCATGAGCTCTTACAGTTCAGAGAACTCAGTAGTATGATGGAATGCAGTGGTTCTCAAAGTGTGGCCCCCAGACTGGTAGCCTCAGCATCACCTGGGAACTAGGTAAAGATGAGGATTCTCAGGGCTTACTCTGGTCCTCCTGAATCAGAAACTGTGAGGTTGGGTCGTTTCAACAAGCCTTCCAGCTGTCACTTCACTTCATGCAAAAGTTTGAGATCTATGGATGTAGTGGAAGGAATGTCAGCTTTGGAGAGAGGCAAACCAGAGCTAGAATCCTGGCTGCTCCTGTGCCTGGCTGTGGGCCCATGATCCCATTCCTTAATCAGTTTGGTCACAGTTTTCTTATCTGCCAGAGGGGACATTACTCATTACTCCCTTCCCCATGGAGATACTCTGAGACTCAGCATGGAAGATGTCTGGCATACAGTACGTGCTCCATATATTTCATTTTCCTTCCTTCTTTCTACAACCCCATACTGCTCTATAGAAGATGAGGCAGACTCCCGAGTCTGATCGTATAGAGAGTGAGGGGGATCCAGGTTTGGGGCACATCCATCTGACTCCTTATTCCTTTTTCCTTAGACCACCCCTGAGAGGGAGATAGTCAGAAGCAGGCTATCTGGGGTGGCAG
Organism: Homo sapiens; assembly: GCF_000001405.40. Classification (NCBI taxonomy): domain Eukaryota; kingdom Metazoa; phylum Chordata; class Mammalia; order Primates; family Hominidae; genus Homo; species Homo sapiens. The sequence continues at coordinate 33,173,303 of NC_000017.11, forward strand.
CCTGAATGTGTATGGAACAGCACAGCCTGACTGACTTGAGGCAGCAGAAAACATGGCCACCACAGACCCCAGGTACCTCGGTACCAAGCTTGCGGGGCCTGATCCTCCACACTGCTGAAGAGGCTGAAGGCGCAAACAGAAAGTGAGACCTTGGGGATCGGTGAAGGCAGGAGGAGCTGAGTGGGAGACTGGAGGATGCATTTGTCCTGGCCCCCTTCCTGCCTCCTGGAGGGTGAATAAAGAAAGTGCCACCCATGGCTGAAAGTTCATAAGGAAAACAGAATGCTCTGAAGCAGTGAGTGTGACTTGTTTGTAGAAGAGACAGCCAGTCTGATGGTTAGAAGCACCGGCTTTGACCAGACAGGTCTGGGTTCTAAGCCATTTAACAGCTGTGAGATCTTGGGTAAGTGTCTTAAGCTCCTTAAGCATAAGTTTTCTCATTGGTAAAAGGCAGAAGAAACAGTACCTTCCTCATGGGACTGCCATGAGAATCACATTAGCAAACTTGGATGAAGCTACAGGCACTGTGCCTAACACAAAGTAAGGACACAATCGAAGTGATTCCCTTTCCCCAACCTCAGCCTCTGTTGGCTAATTCCTGTGTTCCAGGCAATCAGATGAGAGTAGCCTTTGAAGTGTTGAGCTGCTCCATTAACCTGGTGCCATAGAGGCCCCACAAGTGCCTCTGCTGCCTCAGAGGTCTGCTCTGAAGCCAAGTACATTTGCTTCTGGTAGTCCAGAAAGCCTTGAAGACAACCAGGTGAAAGAATAGAGGCAGACTTCCCTGGAACCACTCATTTAGGAAAGTTCAACCAGTTCTGAAAATCAAATCCATGGGGCCAGGCACGGTGGTTCACGCCTGTAATCCCAGCACTTTGCGAGGCCAAGGCGAGTGGATTACTTGAGGTCAGGAGTTTGAGACTAGCTTGACCAACATGGTAAAACCCTGTCTCTACTAAAAATACAAAATTAGCCAGGTGTGGTGGTGCGTGCCTGTAATCCCAGCTACTCAGGAGGCTGAAGTGGGAGAATCGCTTGAACCTGGGTGGTGGAGGTTGCAGTGAGCTGAGATCACACCCCTGCACTCCAGCCTGGGTGATGCAGCAAGACTCCATCAAAAAAAAAAAAAAAAAGATTCCGTGTATCCATCCATTCATTCATTCATCAAAAATTCACCATCACTTACTCTGTGAGAGATGCTGTGTACATGCTAGAGATACCAATTAATAAGACTTGGTTTTGGCCTTTGCGGAGCTCACATGCACATCTTAGTGGGGGCGCGATGGGCTTGCAAACCACAGATCTGCTCCTCCTCCCAGGCATACAGCAGGATGGCACTGCCCTGCAGTGTGACTTCTGGCCATAAGTGACTTGCTCTGCCCAATGAAAGGAAGAGGCATGTGTCCCTGCATGGAGGACACTTTCAGAGCCCGTGTCCTGGTGACTATGGAAGCTCATATGGAGATGGAGCCTGGGTCCCTGAGTCACCTGCTGTTGATCTACATAGGACATGTAACGTGAGCAAGAAATGAGCTTGTGTTGTATTAAGCCACTGAGATTTGGAGGTTGTTTCTTCTCATGGCATAAGTCAGTCCGTTGTGACTGATCCAGCCACCAGCTACCCTACTGGCCCTGGTGTCTCTGTCCTTGTGGATGGACCCTCCTCTCTCCCTGCCCCCTACTCCTGCCAAAAGTGGAGCTTTCTTTATCAAAATTTAAAACCCTGAGCAATTAAGATGCTATAAATTGAAAAGTTCTTTCCGACGAATAAAATTGTTCTTATTTCTAATGAATACGAGATGGCTTACATGAAGCTAAGCACTCTGGTGATTATAAAATAGCTGACATAAAATATCAACATTTCTTCTTCCACTGCTAATGTGACCTATTAAATTAGTACTGATTAGGCATTTTTCTTTTGCAAAACTTCTTTCTCCGACATTGATTCTTTGCACAGTTTTCAACCCCAAGTTTGATCTGGCCTGAGATGCTTTTCTCCTTCTTATCTCTTTAGGGCGCATTCTGGGCACTTCTTCCAAGTAGCTGTTTCCAAAAAGCAAATCCCGTGGGTAGCTTGTGTCTCCCAATGTCCAAAGATAGTTCTGAGTTTACATCACTTTATTTTTAAAAGCTCTTCATTCCCATTTATTGTTATTTTATTGTTTTTTTTTTCCTGTGTAGGACTAGAGAGAAAAAAAGGATTCACAAATAAGAAAAATACCCTACTTTTTTTTTCCAACCAGAATGTGTAGTATTGCGGCGCTTGTGGCAGATTGAAATGACTTAATGTAGTTCCCACATTTACAGCGATGAACCTCTCTACTATTAAAGAGGCAACATTTCTCAGTTTGTAAAAGCTTTCTCATTCATTCATCAAGTCCAGCGGCTGCTGCCTCCCCTGTCTGTGCAATCCGCTCACTCCTCTCCCTCCTTGCTTCTCCCCCCTCCACTCAGACCTTCCCATCTCTTCCCCGGGAGGCTCCACTTGGCTCCTGACCAATCTCGGCGCTCTCTTCTTGCTTTTCCAGTGTATTCTCCACCTTGCGGCCAAGATCAACCTTTCTAAAATATAAATCTGAATTTGCCATGCCTCTGTTTGACATCCCTCCCCACTGTTCTCTGTGAAAAGCCTAATCTGGACATCCCTCTACAGTCCAGTGCCTGCTTTTGTCTCTGTGCCTTGTGCTGTACACCCAGCAAGCAATGATCCCCACAAAGATGCCATATTCTTATCCCCTGGCCTCTCTGCACAGGCTGTTTCCCCTTACTGGAATGTCCTTCATTTCCCCTTCTCTAGTGAACATTTCTTCATCCTTCAGAGCCCCACTCCTCCTTGGAGAATCTCCACTCTCTAACCCTTCAGGGCTGGGCAGACAGCATCCTGTGGGCTTCCCTACAGTGCTGTAACACTGTCCAAGCTGCCTTGAAATCTATTGCTTGTCTGTCTCCCGCATTGGACTGCAAGCTTTTTGAAGGCCAGGAGTGTATGTCATTTCCCTTGATACCTCCAGAGCCTGGCACATCGTAGGGGCTTAAAGAATTGTTTTTTCTTTTTTGAGATAGGGTCTCACCTGCTTTGTTGACCAGGCTGGAGTACAGTGGCACAATCATGGCTCACTGCAGCCTTGACCTCCTGGGCTCAAGTAATTCTCCCATCTCAGCCTCTTGAGTAGCTGGGAGGCATACACCACCATGCCCAGCTAAGTTTTAAACATTTTTTGTAGAGATGGGGTCTCACCACGTTGCCCAGGCTGGGGTCTTGAATTTCTGGGCTCAAGTGATTCTTCCTGCCTTGGCCTCCCAAAGTGCAGGGATTACAGGCATGAGCCACAATGCCTGGCCTAATAATTGTTGAATATGAGGGACTAAAACCATTCTTTCATTTGATTTTGATGACAATTCAGGGAAGTATGCAGAGGAAGAATTATCCCTAATTTCACAGGTGAGGAAACTGAGGCTCAGGGACACACAGCCCAAACTATCTTTCAAAGACCTAATGCTGTCCCCAGAACCCTGGGTCTGGATGTCTCATCCCTGAGCACTGTAGAATGGCCACCAAGGGAAGGGTGAGCATGTGCCTCAGCCAGGCTCTTCCAGAAGGTACAGGGGCAGGGAGAAGAGAAGATAGTAGATGGATTTGCAGCAAGACCTGCACCCGTGTATCTGACCTGGTCAATGCTGAATTTGGATGGCTTTGTTCCATATCCAAGGCATGGGTGGCTGGGGACAACTTGTGTCCATAAGTGGAATAAGATTTCCAGTGATAATCACCTTGTTTTTCCCTGCAATTCCTCTAGAGTAATAATGGGGCTAATTCAGGGGTGGGGAAGCTCTTCAATGGCTGCCCAAGTCTTGGGGGAAGGGAAGTCCCCAATCCTTGCAGAGGGATCCCCTGTGTTCCACTGGCCTCTGATCTGCTTAATGAATCCAACTCATTGAAAACCAAGGAAGAGTTTATGTTGCATGTTAGAGCTGATGGTCCTCCAGGAGCCCGAGATCCACCATTAAAGAGGAGCTCCTATATTACTGAGTAAAGATAGCAGTTACAATGAGCAAAGGAAACAAGAAAGAAGAAGTATGATGCTGAGAATCATGGACTTGGCCTTGGACAAAGGAAGGCAGAAAAATGGTCTTAGAGAGGAGGGCTTGCCATCAGATAAAGGGGACACCAAACACAAGTCACAATTGGTGGACAAAGCTGGGAGAGGAAAGGGTGAGCTGGAGGTGGGTGCCCCAGCTTCATTCAGGAAGAGGAAGTCGGGATATATGACCCACATTCTGCTTCTGGCTCGCTAGGATGCAGCTGACACCCATCAGCTGACAGCCCGGTATGAGATGAGCACAAGGAGACTGTCTGCTCACGTGCTTATTTCTGAACCCTCAAACCCCTCAGTCTTAGGGGGTGGAGGCTGCTCCTGGAGGAATCAATGCCTGGGAATCTGGTAACGGTGGAGACCCAGTCCAGGGCCTAGAATCATTCTCTTACTTGCTTGCTGAAATAACATGTCTTGAACACCTACTGTGGGCCAGGTGTTGTGCCAGTCAGAGCCCTAGTCTCAAAGGGGGCTGGTCTAGTCGTCTGGAGACCAGTCTAGTTCCTGACCTTACTCTGGTCATGGTCTCTGTGAGACCTGATCAAAACTGAGGGCCTTTTCTCCAGGAAAAAAATAACCTAGTGTGCGTGCACATACATACACACAAACACACATGCTTGTGTTCTGTGTACAATTCAAGGGGGTTCCTAGCTTCCCCTGAAGGTTATCCATGGACCCTGGGTTAAGAATCCCTAGGTTACCATTAGTTGCATTGTATTATATTCCTGATAATTGCTAAGAGAATAGATTTTAGGTGTTCTCACCATAAAAAAGTTTGCAAGGTAATGCATATGTTCATTAGCTTGATTTAGCCACTCCATGATGTGTATATAATTCAAAACAACATATTGTACATAATAAATATATATAACTTGTATCTGTCAATTAAAAATTTTAAAATATGACTGTCATACAAAAAAAAATCCCTGGTTTAGATAGAGAGACAGACATGTAAACAACTGTGTGGTATGAAATGTGGAGCTGTGAAATTTGGAGTGAAGTCATGCTCTTTAGGGATAATGTAAAGTCTTGGCTTGTTATTCAGTCAACAAATATTTATTTAGCACCTGCTATTTGTCATGCACAGTGCTAGGCACCAGGGACAAAATCATAAATAAAACCATAAAGTCCCTATGCTTTGGATCTTATAGTCCAGTTGACAGGGATGGTGGCATTTGAACTGAGTCTTGAGGTCAGGAAAGAAGATGGGGGTGGGCACCCAGGCAGAGAAAACAGTGTGCAGTGGGCGTGCTATCTGAGTTCTAGGTGCATGAGCTGATAGGCGTCATCTCTACACTGCGTCCCTCCACCAACCTAGAGGATCAGTTTCCAATGTTCCTTTTTGAAGAGGACAGCCCAACAGAGGAGGGCCCCATGCAGGCAGGGGAAGCTCTGTGTGTGCACTCATACATAAGTATGAATGAGCTGGCTTACTGCCAAATAGGATCCTGCATCCCCGACAGCCTCCCTGTAGCAGTGCCCAGAGCCATCACCAGGGTTGGCACAGCCAAAGCACTGCTGAAGTTTCCTCCCTCATTGCAGCCCAGAACTCATCAGAGGGAGAGCTGTCTTTCCTCACACTGGCCAGAATTCCAAGTGCATGAGAAATGGAAGCTCACTGGTGGCTCGGATACTGAAGGTTCTCTGGGGCCCAAGGCAACCTGGCACAAATTTGGTGCCTTTACGCACAGCCATTAATGGGGATTGGTGGAGGAGAGCATGCATGTAGCTTTGAACTCAGCTTCCTCTTCTTTAGGCTCAAACACTATGTAGCCCACCTGGAAGACTTCACTCCATTTTAATGGAAGGAAACCAGCTCCTTCCATCCTTCCAGTTTCTTGGCATACTTAATACCCCCTGTGAGATTTCTGGCAGATTTGTGGCTGGCAGTTAGAGGACGTTTTGCAACTACCACAAAATAACTGTTAAATTAAAATAAATAAATAAAAAGAGATCCAGAAAAAGCATGCAGACACGTCTGGCTTTGTAAAATTACTGTCAGTCAGCCGGCATATGGATTCCTGAAAAGTTGGGCAGAAATCACAATGTTGTCAAAAGGATCCCTGAAACAGATCCCACTTTACCTGGCAGGCTTTTGTTCATCCTCAGAACCTGTTAAAATGTCCCCTGCTTTATATAAAGCCGTTTTGGGACTCTTTCTAGTATAAAGGAACAGACTTTTATTGCATCTCTACCATGTGCTAGAGACTGGGCTATATCCTACATTATCTCAAACCACCCTCCTTACAACCCCACAGGTAGGTATTAGTGCCATTTTACAGATGAAGAGTCTGAGATTACAAAGTTAAGAGACTTGTACCAGGTTCTGCAGCTCACAGGTGATGAGGCCAGAAGTTGAATGGAGCTCTTACAAATGGCTGCAGAGTTAGCTCCTCTGCTCAAATGGCCCTTTCGTTCTAACGTATCATTGTGGGTCACACCAATTTGTAATCGTTTGTTGACAGGCTCTTCCCTTCCATTTGGTGGTCCTCCTTGATGCAGGGGTGCAGAAATGTTTGTGGAATGAAAGTAGAAATAGATTACAGATTCCGTCAGATACATTTCATTTGCAGTTTCAATCTATCTGTAATTCCTTCTTAGATTCTTTGATTGTCTCTTAGGGCTCTCTACATAAACAGCAGAGCCATTCCCACTTTAAGAAACCTAACCTCCCCTCAAATCATCCAAGGATAAAAACAACTGGAAAGGAATGGCCAGGAAACTATTGAAACATTTACTATAGGATCTTGACCTACACTCTTAACTCATTGAAAACAGGACTTGGCCAACAATGGTTCTATTTACGTCCACCTTTTAGAAATGTACCTGTTCAAACTAGAAATCCCTGAGCATTCCAGTTGCATTCAGTTAAAGGAGGTAATTTGTTAGCTATGTTGTTAGTGACCAGAACTATCCCAGGCCTCACAATGAGGGGAAGGAGCATGGTCTGAATTAGGGTAACCAGACAGTGCCTTTAGGAGGCATCATGGAAGCAGGAGGAGCGCCTTGTACTTCTGCTGCTTCTGTCCCCTCAGCTGGGTCCCTCTGTTCCTAGCATGCTTTGAAGCCAGCCCCACATGGAGGAGCATCTGACGTCCCTTGCTGGTGAGGTGGGTGGAGGGAATAGCTTCACTGAACTCCCTCCTTACTCTACATTCCACCACCACCATCATCACCACCTTTCCACCATCCCCCAACTGCTGGGAGTCCAGGAATCACCACCAGGCCTTGGCAGGGACTTGGGGATGCTGACTTACTGAAAAAATTTCTACTGGGAACCTGGGCTGTGAGAACTGTCATCTATTTGGGGACCCTCTGACATCTAGAGATCGTGCTTCCTGATGCTTCCTATTGACCAGACTCCTAACTCCTGATGACATTAAGGTACATCCCCCATATCCGGAGCCTGTGTGTTTGGAGTTCTGTGGCATGTTCAGCTCAGACCTATGTTTCACTGGAAAGGTGGTGGCCCTACCAAGCAAGTCTGGTTGGTTCAATGCTCTGCTCCTTCTGGTCTCTGTGGCAGGCAGAAGGGCCACGCGGCTGTGCTCTGCTTCACATTTTGATCATCTCCTTCGGCAATTCAGAGAACCTTTGGGGAGTTTCGGTTGGCTGAGGAAAAATAAAAACCTCTTTGTTGAAAAGCACTTGGCCAGTTCATAGGATACTAGGAGCTGGAAGAGACTTGGTGACCGAGATTACCATCCACCAGGGGTCATGTCTAGTCAAAATGTCAGGCAGCTGGGCAGGACCTGGAGCCATAATATTAGAGTTCTGAGTTCAACCCTCCACTTAGCAGCTGTGAGCTCTTGGAGGAGTCCTTTACCCTCTCAGCACTTTGTTTTGTTGTGTGTAAAATAAGGATAAAACTAATAGCAAACACTTATAGAAAAACACAAAAGTGTTTATAATAATAAACACTTTTAATAACACTTTTATTAAACACAATAAAACTCTTTATACAGACAAAATCATTAAATCCTTTCAGCAACCCTAGTAATAAATTATGGCAAATGTGGTGGCTTAGAACAACAGAAGTTTATTCTGTCACAGTTCTTGAGCACAGAAGTCAGAAATTGGGGTGTCAGCAGGGCCCCACTCCTGAGGGATCTAGGGAGAGTCCATCTTTACCTCTTCTGACTTCTGGTGGCCCCTGACATTCTTTGGCTTGTGGCAGTGTGACTCTGATCTTTGCTTCTGTGGCCTTCTGCCTTGCATCTCAAATCTCCCTTTCCTTTCTCTTAGGGACACCAGTCATTGGACCTGGGCATCACCCTCAATCCAGGATGATCTCATGCTGAGATCCTGAACTCAATTCCAGCGGTATGTTCCGTTTGCACTTAGTTCCAAATAAGGCCCTATTCACACACAGGTACCAGGGGCAAGGACTTGGAGATATCTTTTGGGGGGCACCCAATTTGAATCCCAAGAAACAAACGAACAAAAACCACACCCCCAGCCTGCTTGACGAAGGGCAAGGAGGTCAGTGTGCTTGAAGCAGAGTGAGGGAGTGTGTGGCAGGAGCTGGAGTCAGAAGGTAATAGTGGCCAGGGCCAGATCGTGTAGAACCCTGCAGTGACTTTGATGTTTAATTCAAGTGAGATGGGAAAGGGATATGGGACTTTGAGTGCAGATTGACAGGATCTGCTTTGTTTTAAAAAGGCTGCAGTGTGACAAGTAGGTTGAGAACTATTGTGGGTTGAAGGCATAAACAGGGAGACAGTCTGAAGGTTATTGCAATAATCTAGGGATGATACGGTGACAGCCTGGAGCAGGGAGGCAGGGGTGGAGGAGAAGTGGTCAGTGAACATTTGGAAGGAACAGCCAATAGGATTTGCTGACAAGTTGGATATGGACTTTGTAAAAAACAAGAATCAGGGACGATGTCAAAATTTTTGACCTGAGCACCTGGAAAGCTGGGGTTGCTACTGACTCTTACTTACCTCCCAGGGTTCTTATAAAGAACCAGTAAGATAATAAATGGAAAGCTTGTATGAACCCCAAAGGTCTACCAAAATGCTATTTGTTGTTGTTATCATTATTATTGTTTTGTGATCTGAAACTTTCCAGCTCTAGGTTGCCAGAAGATGTCAGACTGGGTTGAACCACCATCAAGAAAATCAGTGTCTCAATTACAGGAGAATATAATTAGTTCATTGTAATTTTGATTTGTTCTTTTTTAGTACCTTGCTCTCTTCCCTGCCTGTGTTGAGTACATATTTGAGATTCAAGAAGCCTCTCTCTCTATCATAATGGACAAGGCAACACCAATATAGACAGCAACGGAGAAAACAGTGGCAATTTTGAAATTATCTCCTTGAGATCCTTGTCATTGTATTTTTCAGAGCCATTGTATTTAAATGGGGCAGTTGCAGGCTCTTCACTCTGCACAGTGTGAGTTAGGTACACAATGGTAGACTGCTGTTCCTAAAGAAGTAAATTCGTTCCCGCCCAAACTCGCCCAGGTTTCCAACAAAATCCTTATCACTGTGACAGTTGCCTGTTGATTTTTCTTAAAAAAAGAGAATAATGTTCCATATTGGATTCATGAGTGCACTGGTGAATTTTCATTACTTCTTTGGTTCATTTATTCAAACAGTGCACAGCTTTCATTAACAGGAGGTCGCTATTGTTTTCATCTTCCCCATTTTACAGGTAAAGAAAATGAGGTTTGGAGAGGTGAAACTGATGTGTTCAAGGCCACACAGCCACTAAGAAGCAAAGCTAAGATTTGAAGCCCATCTGCCCCACTCCTAAGTGTAATCCCTCATACTCGAAAGTAAGTTCTAAAAGTATTGGTCTCACAGAAACTAACCTTTATTTTTGCCAAAACAGTTTTTATTAACTTCAGTGAGGAGCTGGAATCATAGAGTGACTTTGATGAAACAGTTTTATTACTTTCAAATGTTATATAAATTACCAACTAAGATATAAAAGAGTGCAAATAATGAATATGAGGGGAGTTAATGAAAAAATTACAATACATAATAAGCCTGCAGAATGCAAGCGTGTATCATAAACATAAAAGACCTTTAACATTACAGTAATTAATTGCTGGACTCAGAAGTTGCTGATGCATGAAAAGAATGCTTAATTTGAGAGCCCTAAAGTTTAGAAAAAGGATACTGGTTTTAAAAGGATTTACCTTACTCGCTGAGACTCAAAGTTCTCAGTAGCAGAGGTTATTTCAAACTGTTTACTCAAAAAACACAGACACTGTATCTGCTTTTCTATCAAAATCTGGGTGAGCAGAACCCAAATTAAAAAGCACTTATTGTATTCATGATGCATTTATTGTATCTTTCATCAGCAGTTTTCAACTAAGCAGAAATGGATCACCATCCACACCCTCTTGGTCTATTTTCCTGTGGTTTATATGAGATTTCAAGATCTGCATTCCAACTGTATATGCTCAATCATACTTTGCACCATAATAATTGGTTAGCGGTAGAAGTCAGCCTCTGGTTTTGAGTCAAGACATGCCACAGAGTCCTGGCTCTGTTACCTCCTAGCTGTGCAAATCTGGGCACATCCCTTAACGTCTCTGGGCTTCGGTTTCCTCTTCAGACAAATTAAGATAACAAAAATACTTATATCACAGGACTATTTTGAGGATTTGGGCATTGTATACGAAATGTCTATTATAGCAACTGGTACATTAAATAGTACTGAGTTAATGGAGGCTATTACTACAATTGAGCTACACAACCCAACCCCTTTACTTTAGAGAAGAGGAACTAATGTTTCAGGAGGTTAAAGCGACTTGCCCAAATTCACCTGGCTATTTAGGGACTCAGATGGTATAGTATAAAAGCAGAATGAAGGTGTCCAGCCTGCAAGCTCAATACCTCATCAACCATTATGTTAACACTGAAGAACATCTCTTCCTACATAGCCGCTATAAAAACTCACCATCTGGAACATATCAGTCAAGAAAGGCACTGCCTGTGAGAGGACATGCTGAAATGGACAAAGTCATGAATGCCTGGAGTTCCCTGAAAACACCGCCACCTGAGACTTAGGGAGGGAAGGACCCAGCCCCCAGCCTTATGCATTTAAAACGGAACTTTCTCCATGACATGTGGTCAGCTCCCAAATGTACCAGACTCTGGGTCCTCTGTGTCCTTCATGATAAACTTTGCAAATGTGACTACTGAACCTGCTGGGGATCATCTGGTCAGAGCAGTGCCACGTTGCCTGCTTTGACCTGGTTTCATCTGAAGCCTGAAACTTCTCTAGAGGTCCAGCCCCTCAACTCCACTTCCATCCTTTGCTGCCCTATTTACACATCTCCCTGCATCCCGTTGGATACCTGCCTTTCAGGGGTAAGCACCTACCAATCCAAAGTAAGTGGCCTGGAAACCTGTGGCCTCACTGGGTTTGCTCCAATTCAACAGTAAATTTAGGGCAGTAAAAGACAGTCCTATATTACTAAACTTCCAGAACTTATCACCCCAGTAAGTAGTATAGATTTATATGGAATTTGGCATCAGCTTAATACAAGCAAATGCATTAAATTCATTAGACATTCATCATCAGACCTAAAACATCCTCTATATATCTCAAGAGTAATCAACCCTATCACTCCTTTGAGAGCATTAATGAAAGAGAGAAATTTGCCTGAAAGATCTACTCAATTCTAGTCCTCTGAAACCTTCTCTGGAATCTCTTATTTAAATGAAACAAAACTACAATAATAACAGAAGCGTCAATGGAACTCAGACTGACTATGCCTGGTCTGTGATGCTGCCCACTGGCATTCATAAGAATTAGACTCATCTATTTTAAAATATCCCTTTCTTAGAGCAATATGTTGTTTTTCAGTTTTTGATTGGGCTTTGTTTGTTTGTCCTACTATTTCCTTTATGACATGCTATTCAGGGTTCAGGAGAATGATATATTCTCCTCAAAACCAGCACTCCAGCCTCTTGGGTGACTATTTTTGTTAAGAAGTTTCTGGCTACACATAATGGAAAAAGTGACTTGGTGCACACGGTAAAGAATTCTTAGCTCACATAAGAAACCTAACATGTTTTCCAGACATGGACAACAGGCAGTACGGGGCAATGCTCCCCGAGAGAAGAGAAACAAACAAATCGTAGGTGAGCCCTGTGATCGCCCTGCCTTACTGCCAGGAGAGGTTCTAGGTTGTGGTGGAGGGAGGGAGAACCCTAGCTGAGCTGGCAGTCTTCCTGAGTTGAGGTGACAGAGTAAAAAATTCAGGAAGGCCAAAAAGCTAGAATTCACAAGATAAGAGTACACAAGAGGAAAGCACCAGAGATCTGCAGAAGGTCTCCCTTCATTCTTCATGGAGTACTGATCACTGTGTATGTGAGGAAACCACTAAGGCCGAGGGAAGAGCCACTGTAGGTGGAACAATCTCCTCCAGATCCCACAAGACTGGGAATACCATGTGTTCTATCAGCCAGAGTGGAACAGCTTTGTAATAAACACTCCAGGCTTCGGGTAGAGTGCTCAGAGGGTATTGCTTCAGAAGTGGGGACAAATTCACCATAGGCAAGGGCTGTCCTGGCCCCATCTAATAAAGCATAAAAGCAAGGGTCTGAAGCAGAGGTCAGCAAAC